>NC_000012.12:62460128-63710128 GCF_000001405.40 Homo sapiens | reverse complement strand
TGTTGCTCTCGTTCTTTGATTTCTATCCTAGAAAACTTTTCTCACTCCAAAATAATACAAACATTTACTATAGGTTTTTTAATCATCTTACTGCTTTTTAGTTTTTCATTTAAACCTTTGACTTGTGTAGTATTTATTTTGGTAAACATTATAAAATAGACATACAACTTTATATTTTTTACAAGTGGCCTGAATACTATTAATATGTATTTACTAACGTATTCATTTCCCACTTATTTTTCATTCTCCCTTTGTCACATGCTGTACCAAATTCTTATGCATACTAGTTCTTACAGTCTCTTTGTTGAGCTGCCAGTATCATATTGTTGTAATTTTCATAAATTGTAAATACTTGATATTTAAATATCTGATATGGCAAATCCCAATCATTTTTACTTGTCATTTTAAAAGTTTCTTGATATTCTTTTATCTTTATGCTTCCAGTCTTTGAAATCTTTTTGTCAGGTCTTCTACATAAATGTTACAGGAATTTAGCTTAGGCTTGTGTTGAATTTATATAATAACCTGGGAGGGAAAATTGATATCTTTACAGTGATATCAGTATTCAAAGACACATATTCCTATTCTCATCTATGAATATGTAATATGTTTGTCCTCTTTCTGAAATCTCCTGTGTTATGTAGCACTTTGCTGTTTTCGTGTTTGTACGTTCTGCACAGATGTTCTTAGGCACACATCTAGGCCTATGAGAGCTGCTCTGTCTGATACAATAGCTGCTGGCCACAGGTGGTTAGTGAAGATGTGAAATAATACTGTTAAGTGTGCAAACACACAAGCAGGTTAACTAACTACCAAAAACCACTAGAATTTGAAGACTCAGTATGAAAAAAATCATTTAAAAAATATCAATTAGATATATTGAAATAATAATTTGGGTTATTATGTTACATAAAGTATATATTTTCATTTTTTTTAATGTGGCAACTGGGCTTATCTAAAATTACATATGTGACTCACATTACATTTTTATTGGAAAACACTAGGGAGATTTTTGGAGGTGCTTACTTTTGTAAAGAGAATTTTAAATTAGAAATCTGCCTAATTTAGTCTGCAAAAAGCTGTTGATTCCTATGTGTCTTTGGCATTGTGCCATTTTACTGAACTTAAAAAATCAGTTTTAATAAATTTTCATTTCAGTCTCTTGTGTTTTCTAGTTAAATTGCTATATCATTTGCAAAAATGATGATTTTATCTCTTCCTTTCTAGTAGTTATACTTTTAAAAATATCTTTTTCTTGTTTTATTACACTGATTGAAATTTCTGGGACACCATTGAAGGATAATAATAGTTGGTATTTTTCTCTTGTTCTTGATTCATTGCATATGGTTTTTGGTGGCTGTTGGTTTCAGAAGAATATTCTTTATTATACCAAAGCAATAACTTTCATACCTAAATTAATAATTTTTATCTTAACATTAATTGAATTTATAGTAAATGCTCTTTTAACATCTATTGAGATTATTTCCTTTTTTTAAAATTTTAAAATTTTAAATGACATTATAATATAGTCATATTGTCTCTGTTGAACCATCCTTATATTCCTGCCTGGAATTTTTTTTTTTTTTTTTTTTTTTTTTGAGACAGAGTTTTGCTCTTATGGCCCAGTCTGGAGTGCAGTGGCGTGATCTCAGCTCACTGCAACCTCCACCTCCCAGGTATTTTTAGTAGAGACAGAGTTTCTCCATGTTGGTCAGTCTGGTCTTGAACTCCCGACCTCAGGTGATCCGCCAGCTTCGGCCTCCCAAAGTGCTGGGATTACAGGCTTGAGCCACCGCGCCCAGCCCTCCTGCCTGGATTTTATTTGTTTTTCTTAAATTACTGGATTTAAACTACTTACATTTTATTTAAGACCTTTTGTATCAATCTTGAAACAATTAGTTGATTTTGTACCTTCTCTTGTCAGTTGTTGGTATTGGTTTCTGCTAATTTGTTCAAATTAATTGAAATCTTTTCCTTCCTTTTATTGTCAGAATCAGTTTGAAAAGCAAAGAAATGATGATTTACCTGAAGATTTTATAAATCTTGTCCATAAATTCACCTGGGTGCAGTATTCTTTTGGGGAATACCACTTTAACAACTTTCTTAGTCTGTTCCATTGTTTATTGGTCAAATATATGTTAATGTCTGTCCCACGTAACTGTTTTTGTCTCAAGTTCTACTTTAATCTTATATGGCTACCCTTTTTAAATTTTTGCTTTCTTTTGTTTACCCTTTAATTTTTAAAAATCCATAGGACTACAGCAATATTCTCTCTCTCATCAATATCCTGTCATTTTCATTAAGAAGAAAACAACCCTTTCTTGACCCCATTTGTCTTCTGAATTACTGACTTTCCCAGTTCTCTGCTCCTTCTTAAAGTTCCTCAGAAAAAGTTTTATATGTTCTCTTTTCCCATTTCTTTCCTCCCTTTCTGTCTTCTCCTCTGCCTCTGAGACATTCATCCCCACTACCCTCTAGTCCACCCTTATCAAAGTCACCAGTGATCTCCTCATTGCTAAACCCAGTGGTCAGTTCTCAGACCTCATCTTCCTTGGCCTGTCAGCAGCCCTTGGCACAGTCATTCGTTCTCTCCTCTTTCCTTTCTGGAAAGAGGCTTCCCAGACCACTCAGTCTTCTGTTTTTTATTCCACTTCATTTACCATGCTTTCTGTATGTCCCTCATTGGCTCCTCCTCATCTCATTCATCTGTAAACACCATGTGTTCCAGACCTTAGTCCTTGCACTTCTCTTCTCAGTCTACATCTGGTCTCTGGGTGCTCTGTCTCGGTTTTATGCCTTTAAGTACCATTATATGCTGATGACTATTGAACCTACATTTCTGGTTCTGGCCTCTCCAGATTCAAATATCTGACTGGCTATTGCTTTTAATTTTCCCTGTCCCCCTAAGAGCACCTCAGATTTCACACACCCTATACCTGGCTGCCTAACCACACTCCTCCACACCTACTCTTCCCTTACTGTTCCCATCATAGCTGCTCATAACTGCATCCTTCCCAGTGTTCTGGCTGAAAAACTTGTAGTCATCTTTGACTCTTCTTTTTCTCATATTTTACACATCCAAACAATTAACTCATCTTGTCAACTAATCCTAGTCCAGAGGAGTCCAACTATTTACGGTCTTCACTGCTACCACTCTTATCTAGGCCACTGTCCTTTCTTTCCTAGATTATTACATTAATTTTCTAACTGATCTCTCTGCCTTCATTCAATATTGGCCTTATTTTTATTCAATACAGCAATCAGAATAATCTTTCCAAAGAAAGGAAGTTTGATCCCATTGCTCATACTCAGAGCCCTCCAATTCCTCACCTTCTAATTTAGGGTACAATCCAAAGTCCAGATAAGGCCTCAAAGGTTCTGTAGAATCTACCCCACCTGACCCAGTTGCTTCTCTGAACTCTACTCTCCTCTGCTTGCTGCCTTCACCACACAGACCTGATTACATTTCTTGAACACGGCGAGGGCTGTCCCAGCCTGAGGGTCTTTAACCTTCCTACTGGATTGTGCTGCCCTGCACAATGGTCAAAGCCTTTGCGTTTTGTTTCCTGACCATATCCTCAGATCCCAGAATAGTGTCTGGCACACAGTGAGCACCCAAATATTTGTTGAGTGAGTGAATGATGTGTCTTTATAAAAACAGCATACAGAGTAGCTGTATTTTTAAAGTCTTATCTAAGGGTCTTTATTTTTCAATAGAAAAACTTAACCCAGCTTCAAGCATTATGATAACTGACATGTTTGGTGGTGCTTCTTTGAACCATTTCTGCTTTCTGTTTAATATAGCTATTGGCTTTAGTTTTTAATCTTTTTCTGTCTTTTGTTATGTTTATCAAGTTTTTTTCCCTTTATTATTAACAATAATGGCCAACACTCCACATGTGCCATGTGTCAGACAATGGGCTATATATATATATTTTATTTCAAAATAATCATATAACAAAGAAACTTATTCTTATTTTGTAGATGAGATCACGAAAGCTTTGAGAGACTAATAATTTATCCAAATTCCCATGATTTGTGATAGCTGAACCTTAAACCCAGTTTAGTTCATCTGAAACCAAAATCTTTTCTCTACTCTTCATTATATTTCTTTTTAATAATTATTGCCTTTAAATTCCAATAGGACATTATTGTAAAATTGATATTTCTCAATTTTTTGCCAAGAATTAAAGTATATATTTTGTTATCCTATAAAATAGGATACTACTCCTCCCTCAGCCAGTAATTTTTGTTTCAATAATCTGGGACTTAAAATCAGATTTTTAGCCCTTGGTCTTTCTTATCATCTTTCTTAAATTATTTTCTTAATGAACATCAGGATTGTGATAGATTAGCCACAATTATTTTTAATTTAATTGTAGGCATATTCACTGTTTACTGCTCATTTCTTCTGTACTCTCTTCAATTATTGGAATTGTGTTCTGACTTTATTGTCAGTTATTGGTAAACATTCAGTAATTGGTTGAGGAAGGATATAAGTGGGTCATCTTCTTTATGAGTTCTTGCATAACTGAGAGGCTCCATTGCCGTTATGTATGAACCTGACTAGAGTCACAGTCCTTTTGCTTAGAACTCTTTCAACCTTCCTTTTAAGTATTGTCATCTAGTTTTGAAGTATTGTGGAATAAAAGCTAATGCCAAACCCATTGTCTTTCTTTGTTGGAAACTTACTTGTTTCTTCTCTGTCTGGACAAAATGTTTCTAGAAAGTTTTCTCAATCTTTGAAATTCAGAAATTGTATCATCTGTTCAGTTGTAGTGTTTTTATTAGTATTTAAATATAACTGAGCCTTTTCAATTGAAAATTTAAGTCTTAATTGAGCTCAGGAAAATTTTCTTCTTTTCTTTTTCTTTTGATATTTGTTGTTTTTTTTTTTTTTGCCAAGACTGAAAGTGTATATTTTGTTGTCCTATACAATAGGAAATAGAGGTTTTTTTGTACTTCTCCCTCAATGAATAATTTTTGCTTAAATAATCTTGGACTTAGAATTTTATTCATTGGTCTTTCTTATTGTCTTTTAGAAATTATCTTCTTAAAGTTAATGTAAACATATGTTGCATCTCCTTAATCTATTCCCCATTTATCTTCTCTCTTTAGATTTTAACTCTGAATTTTGGGAGAACTTCTTATATCTTCTAATTTGCTGATTCTGTTTTCTGCAGCATCTAATATTCTGTCTTCTGTCTTTACTGAGTTCCTTTAAAATGTGAGAATTTCTGTTGTGTTATTTGTAAGTGTAATTTTACATGCTCAGATTGTTTCCTTTTCATGGCTACTAGTCCCTGTTTTATTAATACAGGGTCTTCTTAAATCTTACTAAAATTTTAAAAGCACAAATTAGAGATTTTAAAATGTGTCCTTCTGTTTCTTGCAATAAGTCTGCTTCAGAAGAAGTCATTTGTTCTGCTCTGTTAATGAATTTTCTTTTGAACTGTTGAATATTTTGTAATGTCCAGTTATTTTTCTTTAGCTCATCTGTAGAATAGAATGTCTCTTTAATATTAGGAGCTGAAATCGATCCTGAGTAAAAGCCTGAAGCTGTTTGTTAGATCTTCCAGGTATAGACTGAAGAAGGGACAATACATTTATTGTCATTTTACCAATGTGGAAATTCTGTTTAAGTTAGAGAGTTGTCGCAGATAGATAAGGAAGTAGTTTCTGAAAAAGGAGTGTTGACCTGGCATTGATGTGGCTACCCTCTCTGTCTCAGCAGCTAGAAACCAGCTGGGGCAGTGGTGGTTCCCTCACCTAGCACAGCAGCCTCATGCCCTCCTCCAGAGCTGGCCATCGTGATGGCCCACACTGTTCAGTGTGCCAAATACACCATGTGCTGGCTGGGAGGGCTGCCGTGGGATTCCTTCCTCCTAGACTCCAGCTGCGTGGCAACCTGTTCCCCAAAGAACTGCTCAAAGATCTGCTTTCATCTTTAACCCCATTTGCTCCAAGTTGGGGTTTTGATGAAGTTCCAACAGAAGCCTTGTTTATTTCCACCCCGGGTATCTTTCTTCCTGATGTGCTGATGGATGGCATGCCGGCTGGTGCTGCCCTTACTCCTTACCTGTCTGTGGCTGAAATATTTTAATATATAGTTGGCACCCTCCCTCATTTCTTGAGTTTCTCGTTTTCTTGTTCATATTAGTAGGTCAGGGAATTAAATATAAAGGCTTATTTCACCCTATTGTCCAAAATTCATACTAAGAGTCTGTATAAAAGTGACTTTAAAACCACTTGCACTGAATAAAACTTTCAAACACATGAAGTTTGGACGTAAGCCCGGTGGGATTTGGCCCTTTTTGCTCAGAGCTCAGGTGTACTCTATTAGTTTAGGTGAGGAAGGAGACTTTAGGAAAGCAAGTTGCAAATCTAATATTCTGGGAATTTGTGGAAGTTTTATCTGCATCAACATAATGAAGAAGTAAACATTTTGGCAGAGTTGCTAAAGAAGTTCATGGTTGTGAATAATTCCTGGGTCTTTCATAATAATTTATGGTGCTGGAAAGAAACCATTTTTGGTTCTAACACAGCTCTGGGCTGGGTTGTAGAGTTTTCAAAGCATGTTTCCTTAGGAGCAGTGCAGGGTCAGTGGGGCACACATCTAATCAGGTAAATAGCCTAAAGCAGGGGTTGGCAAACTGCAGCCTGTCACCTGCTGGGTACAGCCTAAAGCTAAGAATGGTTTTTTACCTCTTTAAATGGTTGGAAAAAATTTTAAAGTAATATTTCCTGACATGTGAAAATAATATGAAAGTAAATTTTATTGCTTACCAATACAGTTTTATTGGAACACGGTCTGTTTTTTTGTTGTTGTTTAAGTATTGTATGTGGCTGTTTTTGTGTTACAATGACAGTGTTGAGTATATGTGACAGAGACCATATGACCTGTAAAACTTAACGTATTTACTATCTGGCCCTTTACAGAAAAAAGTTTTCTGCCCCCTGCTCCCACTGACCCACAGTGTTCCCCTTGAGACCCACATTCTGTAAGAGGAGTCACAGAGCAGACTAGGCTTCTGAGATAGAGGAGGACAGCTGCATCACCTCTGCTTGGAGGGATAGGATCCAGGAATACAGTGGTGCTTAGATGTATCTTAGTTCATCTGGGCTGTTATAACAAAAGACCATAAACAAGGTAGCTTATAAACAACATTTATTTCTTACAACTCTGGAGGCTGGAAAGGTCCAAAAGCAAGGTACTGGCAGGTTTAGCATCTGGTGAGGACATGCACTCTGCTTCATAAACGGTGCCTTCTTGGTGGAAAGGGCAAGTAAGCTTCCTCAGGCTCTTTCATAAGGGCACTAGTGTCATTCATGAGGGCTCCACCCTCTCATCCTAGTCATCTCCCAAAGGCCTGACCTCTCAATATTGTCACATTGGTGATTAGGTTTCAACACGTGAATCTTTAGGGGACATAAATGTTCAGACTATAGCAGATGTCAGAACAAAGAGACAGAAATCAAGGAGTGTAAATTGAATTTTATTTCTGGAATATAGAGCAACATATTATAATATTATAATTCTGTAAAAATGGAAATAACTAATTATTAGTATGTGCTTTATTCTTTCTCACATATAAAAAAGTAAAAACATATTTTAAAATTATATTATATACTAAAGTGGTATTTTGATTTTAAACTTCCAGAATATAATTAATTGGTTTTCTAGGAAGTATGTATTTTGAAGTTAGAGTGAAATTTAGGAGTTACCTAGTTTATCTTTGTCATTATAATCACACAGCAGTTAGGGCCCCAGGAGCTCAAGTGACTTGCCCAGTGCCACACGAATAGTAGAAGACCTGGGGCTAGAACTCAGGGTTTTTTGCAACTAGTACTGGGATTTTTCAAAACAGTTGTTTTAAAATTTTTACTTTCGTTTATATGTTTACAGATCTATAAATCATTAAAACCATAGTAAATCTTCAAGATTGTCTAATCCATTCCACCACGTCTTTATTTTATAGAAGTTCCTTACTTCATAGAAGATACCAAAGCCCAGATATAGATAAAGAATCTGAATGCACAGCTTCTTGGGAAAGAAATAATTTTCTTTAAATCTTTAGCAAAGATAGACTTAGTATAAAAGTCTGCATGCATAAAATGGAAGCAGATTTGCTTGGTAGACAGATTAAAGTCTGCTTTTGGGCCGGGCGCAATGGCTCACACCCATACTCCCAGCACTTTGGGAGGCCAAGGTGGGCGGATCACCTGAGCTCAGGATTTTGAGACCAGCCTGACCAACATGGAGAAACCCCATCTCTACTAAAAATACAAAATTAACCAGGCGTGGTGGTGCATGCCTGTAATCCCAGCTACTCGGGAGGCTGAGGCAGGACAATCACTTGAACCAGGGAGGTAGTGGTTGCGGTGAGCCAAGATCGTGCCATTGCACTCCAGCCTGGGCAACAAGAACAAAACTCCATCTCAAAAAAAAAGTCTGCTTTTAAATAAAGTATGTTAATTTAATAAAATCAAAATCTATTGACAACAACAGCAAGAAAGAAGGAATGGCGTTTAACAGAACTGATTTTTTTTTCAAATTATAGAAGGGGTCACCACAAAATTTTTTAGTTAGCAAGATGTGTTTCTGCACTTAAAATGCTACTCATTTATCCACAGCTTTTTAGAGGAAGCATTTATTTTATAAAACCGTATGAACTGGAAGTGCCGGACCAGTGAGTCTGATGGAGTAGAGTTATTCACAATTAACTTACGGTTGTAAATTATCCTTCTTTTCTTGCTGTGTCTTTCTTTCTATCTGTGTATGAAGAATATTTGTTGCCTGCCTCACAGTTTACTGATGTTTATTTCTAAGCTGAGTAATCTGTACTTTGTCAGAATTTTTTATATGGTTGTCACAGCCATACAACTTAGAAAACTAAGCATAATAGTTTTTGGGTTTTTTCAGTGGTACAGTTTACTTATTTGAGTTTCTAATGATAATACAAAACCAGAAATGTATATTACTGAAAAGAAAAATCCACAAGATTAAGTCAAATAATTAAAAATAAACTAAAGGCTAAAAGCTTTTTAAAAGATTAAGTTAGAGTCATTTTGTTTTTCCAAAATGGATTGTTTATTTCAGTTCTCAAATTAAAATTAATGATTTATAATACCTCCTAAATTGTATTATCTAAAGTTTTCATTTATTAAGTATTTTGTGGAAGTTACGAATATTGATACATTGTCTTCCAGTAATTTATAATATATCTGTATCAATCTTTAGAAAAATGTTGTGACAAGGAGTTATTGACAAAGACTCAGTAAGATGTGATGTAAAAATGAACAAATTAATGAGCAAAAACAACATTATGTATTTTGTTTTTTATAAATTATATTTGATTTTAATGGATTTGACATTTTCTCTTTGAACACAGTTTTGCCAGGTCTATATTTAGGAGAGAAAATGAGAATGTAAATTGAAATAACATTTAATATTAATTTCGTCTCTGGCATGTATAAGGAAGGAAGGTTTAAACAAAGCATGGCAAGTTATAGAGACTGGTAGTCTCAGGTTCATCTAAAATGATTATCATCATGTAAGCACCTTCTGGAACACATAATCTCAATGCTCAATAATAACAATAAATATAATTTAATTTTGTTATCTATAAACATTTATTGAGCACTTATGTGTCAGGTACCAATTAAGCTCTCTGTGTATTAATTCACTTAATAACTCTAAGAGCTTTATCATATTGATATCCTTATTTTACAGATGAGAAAAGGGAGGCATGAAAAAGTGAAGTAATTTGCCCATGAGCACACAGCTGGCAAGTAGCTGGGCAGGGTTCAAGATATGCAGACTTGCTCCAGCAAACATGCCCCTAACCACTTCACTAGGGCAGTGGTTCTCAGCAGCATCAGCAGCACCTGGAACATATTGAGCAGCACCTTCTCAGTCCACACCCCAGACCTACTGAGACAGAAACTCTAGGATGGTGCTTGACAATCTGTCCTTTGATGAGCCCTCCAGGTGCTTCTGGTGAACACTAAAGTCTGAGAACCCCTGCCTAGATCAAGAAAGTAGTAGTATTATTTTCAATCAAGGGCCAGCAGCGTAGTAGTGGAGACAGACCTGAAAACATATAATTGCCGTCAATCTAGTAATTGCAGTAAAGGAGGATTGTATTAGGAACAATGGTGTTGCAAAGGAGAATGTGAGGGGAAGGGAAAGTTTTGCTTTTTGAGCATTGAGAAATTTGCACTTTAGTTTCAAAGATAGAGGAAGGGCAACCAGTTTCAGTACTGATAGAGTGCAGGTTTTGCTTGTCTAGAGGTTGAATAAATAGTCCAAATGACTTCAAATGGTTCTGAATGTTTTGGCAGAGCAGGATAATCATTGTAGTGATCCTCTGTTTTGCCCATTTTCTGGCCATGATTGTGTCTCTGACGTGTGTACCATTTCTGAAATTGATGGTTACAAAGTAGTCAGAGGAGATGTTTTAAAGATCAAAGAAGGTAATGATGGCCCTTTTTTTTTTTTTTGCCTAGAAAAAATATTTAGCATTAGATGTTAGAAAGACTGACCTTCAATAACAGTACCCACTTTATCTACCTTATTAAATCCAAAGTTAAGTCTACTAAAACTACAGTCTGTTGCATTGGGATGTGACAGAATTAGCATTACAAGATAGTGTCATAGCTTGTGATACCTAAATCACTTGACCTGTTCGGTGAGCCATTCTCATTTTTCAGGGTACAGTATTTTAGAAATTCTCACAGTGGGCTTCCAGGCTAAACAGATTCTTTGCACTTCTCGTTCTGCTGGAAACAGGGATTAGACATAAAGTAAACATCATGGCCTGACTACTCTTTGTAACATCTTCGAAGAGATGGCCCTGATATGCACCACTGTTTTCAATCACTTAAAAGGCAATAATTCAATTATGCCATCCTTTATATAAGAACTGCCATTGCTTTCAGTTCACTTCCAGGCCTGACACAAGTAAATCACTTCAATAAAATCCCTCTTTTCCCCTCCTAGAGACTAGCATAAGTAATGATACCAGTGATCTAGCAAGGGCAAAATGAATATAATGTTCTTTCAGAAAAGCAAAATGTTTCACTGTGTTACTTGGGAAATTATTTGTCTTGTGTGTGTTATGTGAAAGATATTTAAATCTTATTAAGTGTGCTTTTTAGAGACGTAACTATTACACTCTTTTTTAAAAAACAAATTAAGTGCATGAATTTAGCAGTTATGTGCAATTTGTGGGAAAAGGAATACACCTTAGAAAAACACCATCCAGAATTTGGGCCCATGGACAGCAAATCGTTTATAAATGTACAAAAAATATCTTCCAAGATATTGAAACAAGTTCTTTTGCATGTGAAAATAACCACCTAATTCTTTCCTACGTTCATATAAAATTTTGTTAATATGACTTATGCGTCAGACTTAAAGGACATCAGCTTGAATGTATGTTATAGTTGTCGTTTTATTAGAGGTTGCTCAGCTCACTTGACTTTCTTCTTAATGACCTCAAAAGACAGTCACTCTCTAATATTGTAGTAAATTAAGCCTTTGAGTAAATAACATCAGCTGTTTAGGCTGCTGGGGTTCAACATTATCAGGTGTTTGTATATAAAGATTAAAATATATGGCAGCTGGTAAAATACTTAGGGTCCGTGTTATGCCAGATTATTCTCCTCATTAACTTTTGCTTTGAATATATTCACCAGTACCTCTCAGTGAATGATAAAATGTTTTCATTTCAACAAGCCTAACTCATGGGATTCAATAAGTCTGTTCAAGGGATATTTAAAAATAGGTTACACTTTTAAACAAGTGATAATGGACTCACTAAAGCTTAACATTTCTCTTTGATGTCAGATATAGTTTTATAATAGAACTGCAAGTAATATTCTAGTCAATTTCTCCACCAACTTTAGCATTCAGTCACTGAGAAAAATCCTGTTTGGACCACATTATTCTGAATTAGGATTATACAGACAGGCAGAATAAATTGGAAAAAATATAATCTAAGAGGATAAAATATTTTTGCCTGTTTTAGATATACTTTTAAAGGCACTTATATTTACCATCTTCTATGTGCCAGACACTATTTTAGGTAATTCAAATGCATTTTCTCATTTAATCCTTATAGTAATACTTCTTATTGTTATTCTCTGTTTTATTTTTATTTTCCATAGCACTATTATCAACATCTAACATACTACATGTTTTTCTTCTTCTCTCCCCCACTTTTCACCCCAACTCCCAGTCTTCCCTTTACCCTCATCACTCATTAGACAGGGAATTTTTTTTTGTTTTGTTTTGTTTTGTTTTGTTTTGTTTTGTTTTGCTATCTCTGCAATTTCTTGTTCATAGTAGTGACTCAATACTTTTTTTTCAATGAATGAGTGGCCCTGTGAGGCAGATGTTAGGCTCCCCAGTGTATAGATAAAGAGAGGTTAAGAAAGTAACAAAGTCAGAATGTGAAAATGGTTGTAGATGATCACCTACTCATCTATTCATTCATGCATTTGATAAATGACATTAAAGCCCATGATATTTCCAATATATTGCACTGCTTACCATACATAAATTACATTGATAAAAAAATCCGCATAATTATATTTTTTAACCAACTCACTACAATGGGTTCCCAAAGTACCAATGTTAGACCAGCAGTTCTTTTGTTTTTGTTCATTGGTGGTTTATCATAGTCTCATTTTGTAATGTGAAATTAATTTTAAATAAATAATACACACATCCAAAATTCAAAAGTTATACAGGAGTATATGGTGAAAAGTATCCATCCTCACACCTATCTTCCATTTCTAAACTTGCCTGCTCATTGGAATCACCAGGGGGGAATGTTAACAATTACTGAAGCCTGTCTCCCACTCCCAAAGATTGTGATTTAATTGGTATGGGACTGTGGTGTTGGCTTTGGAATTTTTAGAAGTTCACCTGGAGAGACATTGCTTTTAGTAAAGGTAAAGCCACAAGGGCCAAATATACCCTATTTCCTGAAACAACTAAGAAACATACAAAATATGCAAAACAATGTTTTTTATGACACTGGATATCAGGCAACAAAAGACAATAATCTCTGAGGGATGGGAAACAAATGAGGAGAGCCCTGTGATGATGCAGCTTATTTCCTGAGGGGGTATAGACCATGGCAGTGGGGGAGAATACAGGCAGAGCCCACCAGACTCCCTGAGTTGAGAGGTCAGAGCTGAGTTTGCAGAGACCAAAACAGTGAGAATTCACAGGACAGGCAATAGAAAAGGTGAAAGCTGCATGGAAAAAGCACTCAAAGATCTACAGAGGATCCCTAAAGAACTCCAAAGATTTATAGAGGATCCCTTTTGAGTGTTCAGCTGAGATTTGCTAAGGGAATCCATACGATGAAACTACCAGAGGCTGCAGGGAAGAGTACCTGAAAAGATTAGGGGGAAACAAACAGTACCTCGTGGTCACCCAGGGATAATGCCTGACGTAATCAGCTGGACTGGAAAACCTTGTGATTTAGAAGGCATTTGGTAGACTATTCAGAAGGGTTTTGCTTCAGTAGTGAGGAAGAATTAGCCCTCAACTAAATAGTGTTCCAGTCCTACTTAAAATATCTTGAAAGCAAACTCCCAAAGGATCAAATTATTTCCAGGTAACTTAACTATATCCCAAAAGAAACCTCAAGACATGTCTTATATTTATGTCCTTATAAATAGAATACAAAAATATTCAGCACCTGACAAAATTCACAATGCCTAGTATCTAATTAAAGATTACCAGGAATGCAAAGATGCAGAAAAATATGACCCGTAGTGAAGAGATAATCAGTTGAAACTAAGTCAGAACTCACATAGATATTCTAATTAATAACAAGGACATTCAGACACTTACTATGATTGTATTCCATACATTCCAGAAATTAAGGAGAGATGTAGAAGATTTACCAAAAATCAAAGTCACAATTCTAAAGATGAAAACTGCAGTGTATAAAATGAAAAATATACTGGATGGGATTAGTGGCAGATAGACACTGCAGATGAAAAGATTAGTGAACTTGAAGACATAGTGATAGAAACTACCCAAAATGAAACACAAGGAGCAAAGATAAATTTTTAAAAATTGAAAGAGTGTCAGTTGTGGGAAAATTTCAAGTGGCCTAATATCTGTGTAATTGGAGGCCCTAAAGGTGGTTGGAAGGTGGGACAAAAAATATACCCAAAGAAATAATATCTAAAAATTTTTCAAATTTAATGACAATTGTAAACACAATCCAAAGAAGCCCAACAAACCCAAGCTCAAAAAGCATGAAGAAATAATACCAAATTATGTTACAGTCAAATTGCACAAAACTAGTGATATAAAGAAAATATTAAAACAGCCAGAGAATGATAGACGTATTACATAAGAGGAACAAAGATAAGGATGAGTACAGATTTCTCATTAGAAACAAAGTAAATTAGGAGACAGTGAAGCAACATCTTTAAAGTATAGGTGCTGTTTGACTAACAATGGGGTTATGGTTGGATAAACCCATCATAAATTGAAAATTTCATAAGTCAAAAGTGTCTAAGTCCAGATATAACACCATCGTAAGCTGAGGACTGTATTGAATGCCTACTGCTTTTGCACCATTGTAAAGCTGAAAATTTGTAAGTTGAACCATTGCAAGTTGGGGATCATCTGTACTGAAAAAGAAATCAAGTCTGTTAACTAGAATTCTTTACCCAGCAAAAATATCTTTCAAAAAAACAAAAGCAAAATAAAGACTTTTCCAGACATACAAAAGGCGAAGAATTCACCACCAGTAAACTGCAGTACAGATATTTTAAAGGAAGTCCCTCAACCAGAAAGAAAATTATACCAGATGTGAATCTGGATGTAAACAAAGGCATGAAGAGCACAGGAATAAGAACTACATGGATAAGTAGATTAATTTTTTATTATTTAAATATTTTAAGAAGATAGTTAACCTTTTAAACAAATATAATAACAATTAGAATGGAGTTTATATAAAAAATAAAATGTTTGACCAGAATGGCACAATGGCTGGAAGGGAGAAATGAAAATATATTATTTTGAGGGTCTTATACTAACTTGAAAGATTTAGTGTCACTTGAAGGTAGATTGTGACAACTTAAAGATATTTACTATAAATCCTAAGTCATTTACTAAAATAACAAAAGAAAGTTATATCTAATAAACCAACAAAGAACATGAAATGAAATCATTTAAAGAAAACCCAAAAGAAAGCAAAAAAGAGGAAAGAGATAAAAAAGAACAGATGGGACAAACAGAAAGCAAATAGCCAGACTTCAACTTAACTATATCAATAATCACCTTAAATATAAATGCACTACATATCTCAAAAAGCAGAGATTGTCAGTTTGAATTAAAAAGTAAGACCTGATTATATGTTGCCTACAAGAAATATGCTTTCTATGTAAAGACATAAGTTGAAAGTAAAGCAGTGAAAAAAAGTAGCATGTTAACAATAATTTTGAAAAACTTAAGAGTTGTATTAATATCAAAGTAGATTTCAGAGAAAAGAATTTTACTAGGGATAAAGTAGATAATTTCATACTATTAAAGGGCTCCATTCTTCAAGGGTAATATACAGTCCTACATCTTTATGTCTGACAGAAGTATAAAAAAAACAGACAAATATACAATCATGGTTGGAAATTTTAATATCCCTTTCTTAGTAATTGATAGAGCAAGTAGACAGAAAATGAGTAAAGACCCAGAAAATTTGAACAACAGTATCAACTAACTTGACCCAATTGATGTTTAGAAAATATTATCTAAAATTAGGCCGGGTACGGTGGCTCACACCTGTAATCCCAGCACTTTGGGAGGCTGAGGCAGGTGGATCATGAGGTCAGGAGATCGAGACCATCCTGGCTAAAATGGTGAAACCCGGTCTCTACTAAAAATACAAAAAAATTAGCCAGGCGTGGTGGTGGGCGCCTGTAGTCCCAGCTACTTGGGAGGCTGAGGCACGAGAATCACTTGAACCCGGGAGGCAGAGCTTGCCATGAGCCGAGATCGCGCCACTGCACTCCAGCCTGGGCGACAGAGTGAGACTCTGTCTCAAAAAAAAAAAAAAAAAGAAAATATTATCTAAAATTAGCAGAATATGCCTTCTTTGCAAGTATACACAGAACATTTATAAAGATCTTACACTCTACGCAAAAGAAGTCTCAATAAATTTAAGGGCATTCAAGTCATACAAAGTGTGCTCTCTGACCGTAATGGAATTATATTAGAGAAAATAACAAGAAGATATCTCTAAAGTCCCCAAATATTTGAAAGTCAAATAACACATGTCTAAACAACCCTTGGGGGAAGGAAGACATCAAGAGGGAAATTAGAAAATATTTTGAACTGAATAAAAATGAAAATACAGCATATAAAAACTTGCAGGATTCTGCTAAAACATTACTTCCAGAAAATTTATAGTGCTACATCTCTGCTTTAGAAATGAAAGGTCCCAAATCAATAACCTCATCTTCAATCTCAAGAAACTAGGACAAGAGTGAATGAGACCCAAAGCAAGTAGAAGAAAGAAAATAATAAATATCAGAGTAGAAATTGATGGAATAGAAAACAGGGAAGAAGTAGAGAAAAATCGATGAAACAAAAAGTAGAGATTAATAAAATTGACCATCTGCTGGCCAAACTGAGCAAGAAAATAAGGGAAGAAAATATAAATTACCGTAATCAAGAATGAAAGGAATAATATCACTACAGGTTCTACAGGTATTGAAAGGAAAGATAATAAAGGAATATTATGAACACTTACAATTAAAATTTAACAATTTAAACAAAATGGACAAATTTCTCGTAGACAGAATCTACCAAAGCTCATTCAAGAGAAAACAGATACTCTGATAGTTTTGAATTTGTAGTTAAAAAACTTTTACAAAGAAAACTCTAGGTCCAGATGGTTTCACTGGTGAATGATACCAAACATTTAAGGAAGAAATAATGACAATTCTACCTGAAATCTTCTAGAAAATTGAAGAGGAGGGAAGAGTTTTAACTAATTCTATGAGACTAGCCTTATCTTGATACTAAAACTAGAGAAAGACCAATATTCTTCATGAATATACATGGAAAAATTCTAAACAGAATTTTAGGAAATTGAATTAAAAAAACGATAATATGTCATAAATAACTAGGGCCTAGTTCAGGACTGCAAGGTCGATTTCACATTTGAAATTCAATGGATGTAATGATTGTACTGACAAACTAAAAACAAAACTATATGATTGTCTCAACAGACACAGAAAAAGCATTTAGCAAAATTCAACCTCTATTCTTGAAAACTCTCAGCAAACTAGGAATAGAAGAGAACCTTTAGTCTGGTAAATTGTATGTACAAAAAACCTAGAATGAATATTATACCTAATGGTGAAAAATTGAATGCTTTCTGTAAGATAAAGAAGAAGTTATTGATGTCTGTTCTTTTTTTTTTTTTTTTTTTTTTTGAGATGGAATTTCGCTCTTGTTGCCCAGGCTGGAGTGCAATGGCTCGATCCTGGCTCCCTGCAACCTCCGACTCCCGGGTTCAAGCGATTCTCCTGCCTCAGCCTCCCGAGTAGTGGGGATTACAGGCATGGGCCACCATGCCCAGCTGATTTTGTATTTTTAGTAGAGACGGGGTTTCTCCATGTTGGTCAGGCTGGTCTTGAACTCCTGACCTCAGGTGATCCGCCCACCTTAGCCTCTCAAAGTGCTGGGATTACAGGTGTGAGCCACTGTGCCCGGCGCATTCTTACCACTGCTAATTCAACATTGTACAGGTAGTTTTAGCCATTGCAATAAGTCAGGAAAAATCAAAGTCATTGTGATTGAAAAGACAGAAGTAAAACTATCTTTGTGTACAGGCATCGTGATTATCTATACAGAAAACCCAAATCTCCAAAACCCACTAGAACAAATGTGTTTGGCAAGTTCACAGAATACAAGATCAATATACAAAATAAATTGTATTTCTATCTATTATAAATGAATATCAGAAATTGAAGTTAAAAAGCAATATTTACTATAATACAAAGTAGGGATAAATCTGGAAAGGATATGCAAGACATATATACTTAAAACTACAAAAACATTGCTGAGAGAAATTAAAGAAGACCTAATGAAACGGAAGGATATACTGGTTCATGATTTGAAGGATGCAATATTAAGATGTCAGTTATGCACAAATTGATATGTAGATCTAAAATAATCCTGACCAAAATCACAGGAGTCTTTTTTTGTAGAGATTGACAAAGTAATATTAAATTTCATATGGAAATGCAAAGAACTAGAATAGCCAAAACAACTTTGAAAAAAAGATAGAGTACTAATACTACCTAATGTCAAAAGTTCTAATAATTTTATTCAGCTACAGTAATCAAGACAGTATAGTTTTGGTGTCAAGTTCCACAAACACATCAATAGAATAAAGAGTCCAAGAGTAGACCCACATGTATGTGATGGAGAAGGGACAGTCTTCTCAACAAGTAATGTTGGAATAATGGGATATTCATAAGCACAAAAATAAACAATTCATAACTCATTCATATATAAAATTAACTCAAGATGAATCATAGACACAAACATAAAACCTCACACTATAACACTTTCAGAAAAAGACTAGGAGAAAACTTTTGTGGTCTTGGGCTAGGCAAAGATCTTAAAATATGGCACCAAAAGCATGATCCATAGAATTACAAATGGATAAATTGCACTTCATCAAAATTAAAAACTCTGCTTTTAAAAAGAAACTGTTTAGGAGAGAGAAAACACAAGCCACAGCCTAGAAGAAAATATTTGCAAATCATATATTCTATAAACACCAGTGCCCAGAATATAAAAAGAAATCTCAAAACTCAGAAAACAAATAACCTAATTTTTTAAATAAACAGATATTAACAGCTAGAAATATGGAAGCAAATAAGCACAGAAAAAGATGTTCAACATTGTAGTCATTAGGGGAACACAATTAAAAGTATGATGGAATACCAGCACATGCATATTACAATAGCTAAAATTAAACGTTGACCATATCAGGCGTCAGTGAGAGTACAGAGGACCTGGAATTCTCATACACTGATGGTGGGAATGCTAAATTGTATGACTACTTTGACAAATAGTTTGGCAGTTTCTTTAAAAATTGCACATATATGCAATTTAGTCATTTCATCCTTAGATGTCTTTCCAAGATAAATAAAAGTATATGTCCATTTGTTAAAAAGTATGCATGAATATGTGTAGCAGCTTCATTTTAACATTCAAAAACTGGAAACAAGTCAAATATCCATCAATAAGTGAATAAACCATAATACATCCATGCAATATAATGATACTCAGAGCAAGAAATATTAATGTATGCCCCAACATGATAAATCTTAAAATACGCTGAGTGAAAGAAGCCAGATAAAAAAGAATATATTAGGTAAGATTTCATCTTTGTAAAAGTTTAGAAAATGCGGACTAATCTGCAAGAACAGAAATTATATTAGTGGTTTCCTTGGAAAGGTTTGTTGCGATGGGGACCATGGAGCATAGGAGCTTGAGGAAGCTAGCTTTTGTAGGTGTTAGGTATTTTTGTTATTGTGCTTGTGGCAATGGTGTTACTGGTGCGTACATATGCCCAAACTGATCAAACTATACACTTTATTTTTATTTTTTTAAGATGGAGTTTCACCCTTTTGTCTAGGCTGGAGTGAAGTGGCACGATCTTGGCTCACTGCAACCTCTGCCTTCAGGTTCAAGCAATTCTCCTGCCTCAGCTTCCTGAGTAGCTGGGTTTATAGGTGCCTACCAACATGCCCGGCTGATTTTTGTATTTTTAATAGAGACAGGGTTTTGCCATGTTGGCCAGGCTGGTCTTGAACTCCTGACCTTGGGTGATCCACCCGCCTGGGCCTCCCTAAGTGCTGGGATTACAGGCGTGAGCCACTGGCCCGGCTCCGGCCCCATACACTTTAAATATGTGCCACTTTTTGTATTTTAATCATATCTCAATATAGTTTTTTTTGTTTGTTTGTTTCAAGATCCCTAGTTGACTCAAACATACACACAAATGTGAGAATCACTACTCCAATCCTTCAAGTCCCTGATTTCACCCTGCAGAGGCAACCTCTTCTAGGCAGTTTCTTGTTCTGGAAACTGGAACATTCTAGAAATCCTGTGCATATGCAGGCATATATGAACATACATATCCTGTGTTCTAACTTCACAAATGGTAGCATACTTTACATATCATTCTGTATTTTACTTTTTTCACTTACTATATCTTGAAAATTATTCCATATCTATACATACGGAATGACATCATTCTTTTTGACACCTTTTTGCAGTGGATCTGGATCCTAATTATTTTGACTATAAGAGGTGGTACTTTATTCTTACTCTAAAACAATTTGAGAATAGAGATGTAACTTAAATAGTTGCGGAGTTAATTTTCCTTTTACGCATATCCTTAAGTCCTCATAGTCATAGTCATACTATATATTATAAAATGCGTTCATCTATGTGGGTATATAAGCTTTCTACAACACCAAATTTACTATGAATTAGGTAGTAATTTTTCACAGGTAAAGTTTGCATATTTACGTGAAATGTTGACAAGTATTGACATTTTAAAAAGTTATTATGACATTTTATTTGCTTTGCTTATTCCCTCAATATGAAATGTGGTGTTTTGTTTGTCCTTCCTCATTTAACACATATTTTATAAGTCTTCTTTTGTCCTTTGCTGGTCAATTTGGCATTGGTCTTTGGGCCACAGCTGTTCCAGAAATGTGTACCATGCAGACTAATCTGTTATCAGTATGCACTTTTGGCAAACAAATTGGCTAAAATTGTACTGGCTTTTTTTTTTTTTTTTTAAAGCAGAAGGTCAAATTGTCCAATGCCAAAATATTTTTTTTATTTTTTAAAGTTAACCTCACTGTTTGGTTGATAGACTATGTTACAGGAGGAAGACCATCTACAAGACAATATACCAATTTACCTAGAGGCTAAAACTCCTTATTGGTCATTTGTGTTTTCTTCATGGGTTTTTTGTAATTTTCAGTCTTACAGCAACAAGGATCTTAGTGTTCATTATCCAAACTATCTATATTGTACTATAATCTATGAATTTGTTTGATTTCTTGGTAAATATTAGAGTCTTTCGCTGACTAAAGATAATTTGAACTTTTTGCCAACATTTCATCGGTTGTTGGATCAGTGCAATTTGTATCAACTGAGTATTGGTTTTGTATTTGTTAGCTGATGAAGTCAGTAAGAAGAGTCATTGCAGCTCCTTGCAGTAAATTCATTCACTCATTATTTTTCACATCATGGAATTCCATATTCCTGTGGTCAGGTTTCATAGCTCCTGTTCACCCCTTTGTCCTTCATTTTAAAGTATTTCAGGGGATTGTCCTTGTCCTAGTCAGTGATGTTTGCTTGCAGTCATACACCTGAGGTCATGTCTCTGAGGAGTCACTGTACAACAGAATAAATGTACATGTTTTGAATTTCATCTTTCTGTGCAGTGGTTGCTTTTTGGCTGAGAAAATGGTTTTACTGATTAGTGAGTTACCTCTAAGACCTCTCTCTATCTCTGAGTCCTTTACATTTTAGTTAACCTGTGATATGTCACTCTAACCTAGGGAAAGTGTGGAGAGCCTGATTCAAAAGCATTCCAATGCACCTTCACCCATCCGTACCTATGGAGGAGAAGAAGATGTCTTGGGGGATGAGAGTCAGACAACCCCAAATCGAGGTAAGGTAGCTTCCAAGGCCATGGAATTGCTGGGAGGCAGAGCACCTAAAGGAGAATGGGGGCAGGTCGTTGATGAGATGGCCAGTCCTCAGAGTACATGATGCCGGGAAAGGATTTCAGGAGCCTCCCTGGGAAGGGAGAGCCCCGACATTGATCCTCACAGATTTCATTATTTTGCCTTTGAATCATAGGCGATGCTGCTGCCTGCAGGTTTCCTATGGTTTGTTTTTTTTTTAAGTGAAAGAATACTGAGCCTTTGAGGCAGGGATCAGGAGTTACTTGTCCATGATTTAGTACATAAGAGCTGTTGAACTTTGGGGGCAGTCACCAAGTCCTTCTGAACCTCAGTTTGATAATCTGAAAGTCAGGGAATATATCTGTTCCATCTATGTCAGGTATAATTTGTTAGAATCAAAGACCAAAATAGAAAACACTTTTAAAAGAGGATTGTCCTAATGAAGGATATTACGCAGAGGAAGTGGCCCCAATGTTGACAGCAGGAACTGAACAAAGTTTCTCTGTTCCCAAGGCTTAGAGAGCAGCACTCTGCATCTGGGAAGAGAGTCCAGAGAAAAGAGCCCAGAGGGGCTCCATTCTGGGAACAGTAAAGTTCGTATGGGGAGAGAGTCCTCTGCATTGTTTTATGTCCTTAATATGAAATTATATAATCTGTGAAAACATAGGACATTTCTTTTTTTTTTAATTTTTTTACTTTTTAATTATTATTTTTCCATAAATTATTGGGGGTACAGGTGGTATTTGGTTACATGAGTAGTTCTTTTATTTATTTATTTTTTTATTGATCATTCTTGGGTGTTTCTCACAGAGGGGGATTTGGCAGGGTCATAGGACAATAGTGAAGGGAAGGTCAGCAGATAAACAAGTGAACAAAGGTCTCTGGTTTTCCTAGGCAGAGGACCCTGCGGCCCTCCGCAGTGTTTGTGACCCTGGGTACTTGAGATTAGGGAGTGGTGATGACTCTTAACGAGCGTGCTGCCTTCAAGCATCTATTTAATAAAGCACATCTTGCACCACCCTTAATCCATTTAACCCTCAGTGGACACAGCACATGTTTCAGAGAGCACAGGGTTGGGGGTAAGGTCATAGATCAACAGGATCCCAAGGCAGAATTTTTCTTAGTACAGAACAAAGTGAAAAGTCTCCCATGTCTACTTCTTTCTACACAGACACAGCAACCATCCGATTTCTCAATCTTTTCCCCACCTTTCCCCCTCCTCTATTCCACAAAACCACCATTGTCATCATGGCCCGTTCTCAATGAGCCATTGGGTACACCTCCCAGACGGGGTGGTGGCCGGGCAGAGGGGCTCCTCACTTCCCAGTAGGGGCGGCTGGGCAGAAGCGCCCCTCACCTCCCGGATGGGGCGGCTGGCCGGGCGGGGGGCTGACCCCCCCACCTCCCTCCCGGACGGGGCGGCTGGCCGGACGGGGCGGCTGCCGGGCGGAGGGGCTCCTCACTTCTCAGATGGGGCGGCTGCCGGGCGTAGGGTCTCCTCACTTCTCAGATGGGGCGGCCGGGCAGAGACGCTCCTCACCTCCCAGACGGGGTCGCGGCCGGGCAGAGGTGCTCCTCACATCCCAGACAGGGCATTGGGGCAGAGGCGCTCCCCACATCTCAGAGGATGGGCGGGCAGGCAGAGACGCTCCTCACTTCCTAGATGGGATGGCGGCCGGGCAGAGACGCTCCTCACTTTCCAGAGTGGGCAGCCAGGCAGAGGGGCTCCTCACATCCCAGATGATGGGCGGCCAGGCAGAGACGCTCCTCACTTCCCAGATGGGGTGGCGGCCGGGCAGAGGCTGCAGTCTCGGCACTTTGGGAGGCCAAGGCAGGCGGCTGGGAGGTGGAGGTTGTAGCGAGCCAAGATCACGCCACTGCACTCCAGCCTGGGCACCACTGAGCACTGAGTGAACGAGACTCCGTCTGCAATCCCGGCACCTCAGGAGGCTGAGGCTGGCGGATCACTCATGGTCAGGAGCTGGAGACCAGGCTGGCCGACTCAGCGAAACCCCGTCTCCACCAAAAAAATACGAAAACCAGTCAGGCGTGGCGGCGCGCGCCTGCAATCGCAGGCACTCCGCAGGCTGAGGCAGGAGAATCAGGCAGGGAGGTTGCAGTGAGCCGAGATGGCGGCAGCACAGTCCAGCTTCCGCTCGGCATCAGAGGGAGACCGTGGAAAGAGAGGGAGAGGGAGACCGTGGGGAGAGGGAAAGGGAGAGGGAGAGGGAGGGGGAGGGGGAGGGGGAGAGGGAGAGGGAGAGGGATTTCTTATTACTCAGTCCAAGTGAACCACTAGTATTACAGTTGACTCTTGAACAACACAGTGGTTGGGGAACCAACTCCTGCGTGGTCCAAAACATGCATATAACTTTTCACTTCCTAAAACTTAACTGCTAATAGCCTGCTGTTGATCAGAAGCCTTACCTGTAACATAAACAGTCAATTCACACATATTCTGTATGTTACATGTATTACATTCTGTATTCTAATAAATCAAGCTAGAGAAAAAGTTATTAAGAAAATCATAGAAAGGAGATATATTTACTATTCCTTAAGTGGAAGTGGATCATCATAAAGGTCTTCATCCTCATCTTCACACTGAGTTGGCAGAGGAGGAAGAGGAGGGGTTGGTCTTGCTGTCTCGGAGGTTGTAGAGACTGAAGAGGTGGAGGAGGTGAAAGTGAGGCAAGAGGGGTCAGGCACACTCAGTGTAAATTGTAGTGAAAAATATCTGCATGTAAGTGGATCTGTGCAGTTCTAACCCCTGTTGTTCAAGGGACAACTGTATACAGTCAGAAAATTCAGTGTCAACTATATTCTAAATTTCTGGATGCTGTGGTAGGAAAACTTACTTTCTTAGGTTCTCACAACAGTTTTGGAAACCAGACAGCTTGGTAGAGATTTAATACATTCAGCCTTCCTTATGACACTACAGAGGTCAGAACAGATATCAGGTATTTGCAGCTTTTTTTAAGAGAATCAGGTCATTACCTGCAGGCAGGGTATTAATGTTTTGGTCAGTCTGTGGGAGTGTGCAGGCTATCCAATGAGTTGTCTTTTTCCATTTAGTAAATTCTCTATTCCATGCAAGGTGTAAATATCATTTTCTTACCTAGAAAAGTAGATTTGCCTCGTGACAGATCTCATGTGTGTTTGTCTTTCTAAATTACAGATGTATTAAATATTCTTAAACACAAATTGATCTTTACAGATAATTTAATTCTTGATCTGTACATTGACACAGTGTTTCCAGTCTAATGAGTGTTTTTCCTTACAGGGTCAGCCTTTACAACATCTGATAATTTGTCTCTCAGCTCCTGGGTATCATCTTCTTCCAGTTTTCCTGGGTTTCAGCACCCACAGTCCCTGACTGCTCTTGGCACCAGCACAGCATCCATAGCAACACCCATTCCTCACCCCATCCAGGGTTCTCTGCCGCCATATAGCCGACTGGGAATGCCTTTGACCCCATCGGCCATTGCCAGCTCCATGCAAGGGAGTGGCCCCACATTCCCTTCATTCCACATGCCGCGATACCATCACTATTTTCAGCAGGGGCCCTATGCTGCCATTCAAGGACTACGCCATTCCTCTGCTGTGATGATGCCATTTGTATGACTCTTCTAAAATAGGGAGAATCCAGATCCAGAATGTGCAAGTGGGTATGGAAATATAGGACAGGGCTGGGTGGGTGGGATGTGGGGTATTGGAGTAGGGGCTTTCCAGGAGACACAGGACCTATCAAAGAGGAGAGCCGGACTCACAATAAAACCTACCACTGAGGGAATGCACCACGGACCAGGATTCATCTGAGGGACAGCTCCTGGGTTCAGGAGAGAATCCATGTAAAGTTCTCAGCCAGCCTGAAAGTTTACTAATACAAGGCTGATGAATCTTAAAGTGCATTATTCCTCATGGTTAAAACGCTGTGTTGATGCAGTAAAAGATAAAAGAATCTTCAAAGAGGCCATACTATATAGCATACTGATCATAATGACTAACTGAAGTCAATTTATCCCTGTAGAAAATGGGAGCCAGTAGAGAAATATTTGTAGTGCTGTAGCATAAGCATGTTTAGTTTTCTTTTGTGTTATTCTGCTGGGGAAGGAGCTGAGATAATGCTAATGCATCCTGTTTTGTGGATGAATACATGGTAATGACCTCACAAAGTTCTATTTGTAATATTGAAGGGCCAGTAACCAACAAGCTCAGTTTTCACAGTCTTCTTTCTTCCCAGTTCTCTTTATTGCAAATACTTGCCAGAGTTAGGGTTGGGGCTAGAGTTATGGAGGAAAAATCCTCCATATACAGTTTTGAAGCAAGAGCCTCTCTATATTACATGGTGAAACTGAAGTTTGATTTTTCTGGGCTGCATTCTAAACACACTACTGACTAATTCACTGAGGAACACTCCAAAGCCTAGGCATGATGTTCTGTGAGGCTTGCTTTCACTTACAGCTGCAACAGAAGGATGGTTGTTCTATTCCAGAAGGATTTCTCTGCTGTTGGTGCCAGAGATCCCTTCATTTTCACTTCAGTTTTGGAAGACCTTGTGGATGTTAAAATGCATCTGGACAAATTCTCATTTTCAGTAAATCTGCCTTGTGGTTGCTGCCGCTGATTGACAAGGATTTGAGAATGACCATTCTAAATGCCAGGATAGCCATGATTTAACTTATGTTCCTGAGTGGAAATGTGTCCATACATCTAATTTGGCCTTTTTCCTTACTGTGTTACATTTAGTGACTCCTTTACCATTTTGCTAGGTCTGTAATCTTAAATTGCTTGATAACGTGATGGCTCCATAACTGAAATGTTGGCAATTCTTATAAGCAATCTAAAGCATTCTTCCACTTTATTTTCAACTTTTGCTATCTTCTTAAGCCTTCCTTTAATGTTTATAATAGTAACAAATATTTTAGTTATATATGACCTGTATATTGTTTTTGAACAGCATATATATATATATAAAAGCATTTACAGTCAGGGTAACACATTTGGCATTTTGCAACAATTTATTTCCCTAATAACATAGATTTAATGAAATTAATAGTTTTTCAACTTTAGATTTAATGCACTTCAACTACAGGATGTAACCTGTCGTCTTAGCAAATTTCTCCAAAACTCTAATTTAATTTTTGTATGTAATATTCATTCTACTCTTCTTGCTACAAAAGTATTGAATCTGTTAAAAGGGATGGGAAATATTTCTACTGACAGTAGAAGTGTATTTGGGGGGAAATGCAATATACTTATCACATCAGACTCCCGTGGGATTTTATTTGGTGGTTTTAATGTTAGCCTTTTTCATATCACATGCCTTTCTGGGCACTTCCAGCCTGTGAAACAAGGCATCATGGCACAGCCTGTCTAGGTGATGCTGTTGTTGGATTTTGCACTTGTTATTCTCCACTGTACTCCAAAGTTTACTTACAGAAAAGCATGGGCTGCGTTAACAAAGCATCTCACGATCCTACAGCAAACACTGTGGGCCAATTTTTAACTTGTTGCATGTTATGCTGTAGTACCCACATGTAGTTTGTTTTCAAACAAAGTACAGGTGTGCATTTCTTTAAAAAAGCAGTTATGAGTAATGTTTAAACTATCCATAGAGCTAGGATAGGGGTTTACTGTTTAATAGCTGGCCTGTTGCCAGTGCTCCTTTGAATATAGAGTACTGCTGCTTAAAGCAGGAATAACAAAAGATGCTGTTTTACATAATGCTACTCAATACCCTGATAAATTACTGGTCTACTAAGGTGAATCTGTATCTGAATTTTATTTTCAAAGAAGATGAAAAGATTGTTTTAATACATACTGTTTTGACATTTCTACCAATCTGTGTGTCTCAAAGAGATTTGTGTGTTTTTGTTGAATATGGTTTTACCTAGTATTTCCTGACTTCATAATTTTATTTTGTAATTAAGCAATATAAGACTATAAATAAGAGTGCTTAGAGAAAACAAAGACTAGTCAGACCTAAAATTCTAAATTGGATATATATTTTTAAGTATTATTCGAACCAGAGAAAAGAAGCACAAGTGAAATAGAGCTTAACCTCATCAGAGTCACTTGAGCCATGGAAACCAAGGGGTAGAAATTTCCCCTCCCTGGGCCTTTCTGAGGTATCCTGGTCATTGATTCTTATTAAACCCTTGGGAGTTTAGTATTTAAAATTCCAATGCCCATTCTGGCAAAAGTAATTTCAAGAACTACCTATTTAATGGGAAAGCCAATTGAATAATAAAGGCCATGAATTGTAATATATTTAGAATATATTCAGGGTTCCTCCCACGCCTCACCCCGCCCCCCGAGTATATTATAGTGTCAAAAAGCATGGCTAATGGGAAGTGCTGCTAAAAAGAGGTCCTGCCAGACCTGCTTTATCTAATCCTGAGGAATTAATTCAGAACTTAATAGGTTTTGCAGTTGTGGTTTGTTTTTAAAATATCAATAATTCTGAGTAGATTCAAGGTCTTTTTTTTGTTTTGTTTTGTTTGAGACGGAGTCTCACTCTGTTGCTAGGCTAGAGTGCAGTGGCATGATCTCGGCTCACTGTAACCTCCGTCTCCTGGGTTCAAGCAATTCTCCTGCCTCAGCCCCCTGAGTAGCTAGGATTACAGGTGCGTGCTACCATGCCCAGCTAATTTTTGTATTTCCAGTAGAGACGGGATTTTACCATGTTGGCCAAGATGGTCTCGATCTCTTAACCTTCTTATCCACCCACCTCGGCCTCCCAAAGTGCTGGGATTACAGGCGTGAGCCACCGCACCCGGCCTCAATTTTTTTTTTTTTGCTAACTTAGTCTTCTCCTCTCCTCTGTCTACCCTTAGCAATATATAGGTAAACATATCCAGCTTGTCTAACACATCACAGATTATTAGTTAACAAGGTGTAGATTAATGAGCTTTTATATTGTATTGCTGGATCTTTTGAGTTAATAACAATGGTAACTTGTCCAGAAGGCCTATCATCATTCCTAGTAGGTGGGCACAGAGTAACAGATATTAAGAAGCTTCCTGATGAGTCGTCACCTAGCAAAGGCCCTGTGTAGGGCTATATTATAGGAGTTACATTGACTTCTGGGGCATTCGAAGGTCTCCCCCCTTATCCATATCTCTGTCATTTTGCTTCTCCAGCCACGACAACACACTTTCCTCTCCAACTGCTCCCTCCCCACCAAAAAAGAAAACCCTCTAAAAGGCCAAGGAATAAATATTCTTAGAAGTAAAGTATCTTCATCCCATGCTGCCTTTTTCAAAGAGGTGTTAGGATATTTATCCTATTTCTGTATTTCACAGTAGCTTTTCAGGCTGTCCTGCTTATGTATAAGCTGATTTATACTGAGAAAAATCACTTTTGAATAAAGAGGATGAAATGACTTTACACCCCATTAAATACTCAGTCAAGCTTAGCCATGACTCAGTAACTAAAAAGTTCAAAAAAATCCAGTTATGTAATGTGCACAGTAACAAATTGCAAGAAAAACAACTTAATCTTCCAGTGACTAAGTAAGAAAAACTGTTGTCACTATTAAACATGTAGGAAATTGATAATTATTACAAACAAAGCAATACTCTACCCTAAATCTAGACAAATCACTGGACAGATGATAAGATTTTCAGCTTTCTCCTTTAAAGAGCTGTGCCTGGCTGGATGATGGGTTTTATACAAGTTTTTATGTTATTTTAGAATGTACGGATTTTTTTGTAAACACGCAAAGGGAAGGTTACAAACTCCTTAAACTTTAAAAAACCATCAAATCCTTTCTTTGCTACTTATATTCTATGCCAATTATAATATTCCAAGACTTACCTTTCTTCAGAATGCTTACACATGGAAAGGTTTATTTATAAATATTTGATAGGTAAATATTCCATAAGTATTTTCTAGCCCTTCTTTCTCCGTCCCTCCCTCAAATAACTTCATTACCCTCTCCTGGATAAACGAAATATCTAGATAATAAGAAAACAAAATCATTTTTTGTGAAATAATACATATGGACAAAAAATACAAGTTGTATTTTACTTCTGGTTCATTAAAATATTGTGTTTAGTTGGATTTTTTCCTCCTTTATTTTCAGAAACATTAAAGAAATTGTTTTATTTCCTAAAGGATAAAACTGGATATAGCCTCTTTAGTAGACACTATCACAGTTCTGTTGTTTGCTGTGTTCATTTGCTTAATGAATTGCATGAGAACAGTCACTGTAATGAAATATGTGTGCTGGGGGTGGGGGGAAGGGCATGGGAAATGTTTTATGAAAAAAAGTTATAAGCCTAATACTATGAAGTAACATCTAATGCAGTTCTTTTTAAGTGCAATATATTTATTTCTGCTAGAAATATATTATCAACCTTATGTAATATTTGAAGCATTACATATTATTTGTAAACAGCTTAAAATTATATATTAACCCAATTGTACATAAGTACAAATGTGTGGATATTAGTTTCTTTCATTAAAAATGGTGTTTTTTTAAAAATACATGTGCACCCATTTACACCTTTCATTCACTTACACTGTTTTATGATGTTTGGTACCTGTTTCCTCACCTGACAAAAAAGATTAGATAAGATTGTGGGTCCCAGCTGGCCACTCACAGGCTGGACACAGCCCAGGATTACTGCACAGTATTTTGGGTTTGTCTTTAGTTGCATTTGAAAGCCTTTGGAAAAGACATTGCTCTCAAGTTCCCACTGTTTTCCACTTTCTGCACCCAGTCCCCTTCATTCATGTATGCTACCCAACGAACCCTCAGAATCACATGATTTTGCACCTCTCTGTACTGAATTATACTGAAGACTCCATAAAACTTAAAAACTCCTGTATCTCATTTCAGCCATGAGCACTTGGATATGCTGTAATGATATTACACAAAGCAGAATGACACCAAATAAGATTAGCCAAACTGTAAGTCTTAATCCTCCTTCCACATGACAGTCCTTCAAAATATTTGATGTTATCATTACCCCCTGCTTTCAAAAGTCTACTCTATTACCCTTAATGTTTTGTGCATGCCTAACACCAACCTTTTAGAAATCTTTGATTTGGAAGGATTTCATGCTTAAGGAAGAGTTGCAAGAAGACCATAAAGAAACTCTGTACACCCTTTATGCAGATCCACAATTGTTAACCTTTTGCCCTATTTACTTTATCATGTGCATTTACAGTGAGTAGTGTGTGCATAAACACACATGCACACGCATAGATATGTAATATATACAAATTATTTTTCTGAACCCCTTGAGAGTAAGTAGCATGTCATGCCCCATTATCTCTAAGTAATTGAAAGTGTATTTCCTAAAAACAAGATTCCACTACATAATCACAGTAGGGTTAGCAACTTCAGGAGATTTAACAATGATGCAGTACTTTGACATATCGTCTGTATTCCAGATTTGTCAAATTACACAGTAATGTCATTTGTAGCATATCTTTTCTTCAGTACAGATCCACTTCAAGATCACATATTGCATTTAGTCGTCATGCTACTTTAGTCTCCTTAAATATAGTATAGCTCTTCAGCCTGTCTTTGTCTTTCATGGCAAAAGGATTCCTATTGTATTAGAAATCATGAATTCATACTGATACCTCTAATTCCAATGCACTCCCACAGAGTCCTCTTTTCTTGCTTTGCCCCATTCGATATCTGTATGGAATACATGGAAGAAGGCTCAACAATTACCTCAACGTATTTATTTACTCAACTCTACCATACACTTAAAACTAATTTCAGATTGCTTCACCTGTACAACTACAACACACAAACCTTCTAAAAAGAGGTCAGGGTTTGTTTGCATTGTTTCCGTGCTACTCAACTAACGGTATATAGCCAAATGATATGTTCAGCAGTTACTTTGATTAATTCATTTTTTGTCCTCCTGGATAGTTATGTTACTCATGTGCAATACAAGTGGGTTTATTTGTTCGGTTTGTTTGGAGTTTTAATGGATCTTTTCCTTCCTGTTTTTATTGATATTTTTAAAAAAATAGAAAATAATGTGCTTTCAACAAACTCATACATCTAATAAGTGATTATGGCAAGGTTGAATTATAGCAAGGTTAGAGGATACAAGATTAATACTTTAAAAGACCATTGCTTTCCTATATACCAGAAATGAACAATTGGAATTTGAAATAAACAGTTATATCATCACTAAAAAAAGAAAAAAGAACAAATAGGTATAAACAAAATATTCACAAAAGCTATATAAGGTAAACTACAAAACTTTGATGAAATAAATCAAAGAAGATCTAAATAAATGGAGAGATAGTCCATGTTCATGGATAGGTAGACTCAATATTGTGAGGATGTCTGTTCTTCCCAACTTGATCTATATATTCAATGCAAACACAACCAAAATTCCAGCCAGTTACTTGTGGCTAAGAACAAACTGATTCTAAAGTTTATTTAAAGGCAAAAGACCCAAAATAGCCAACACAGTATTAAAGAAGAAAAACAGAGGACTTACACTACCCAACTTCAAAACTTACTACAGAACTATAGTAATAAAGACAGTGTACTATTGGCAAGAGAATAGACAATTACATAAATGGAACAGAGAGCCCAGAACTAGGCCCACATAAATATAGTTAAATGACCTTTGACAATGGAACAAAGGCAATTCAGTGGAGAAATAATAATCTTTTCAACAAATGGTACTAGAACAACTGAATATCCACATGCAAAATAATAAGTCTAAACACAGACCTTAAATCTTTTGCAAAAATTAACTTAAATGGATCATAGACTTAAACACAAAATGCAAAACTATAAAACTTCTAGAAAGTAACAGGAGAAAATCTAGGTAGTTTTGGTTTTTTAGGTACAACACCAAAAGTACAACCCATTGACAAAAAAATTAACATGATGGACTGCATGAAAATTAAAAACTTCTGTGAAAAACATTGTTAAGAGAATAAAATGACTAGCCACACTCTGGGAGTAAATATTTGCAAAAACACATCTGATAAAGGATTCGTATTTCAAATATACAAAGAGCTCTTAAAACTCAACAGTAAGGAAAAGACAAATTATGGGCAAAGGATCTCTCTGAACAGATACTTAAAGATATACAGATGGCAAATAAGCATATGAGAAGATGCTCAACATCACATGTGATTAGGGAGTTGCAAATTAAAACATGAGCTACAACTACATACCTATTAGAAGAGCTAAAATTCAAAACACTAGCAATGCTAATGCTGGCGAGGATGTGGAGCAACAGGAACTCTCATTCATTGCTGGTGGAATGCAAAGTGGTACAGCCATTTAAAAAGATAGTTTGTCAATTCCTTTCAAAACTAACATAGTCTTATCATATGATCTAGCAAGTATGTTCCTGGGTATGTACCCAAGTGAGTTAAAATTTTATGTCCACTTAAAAATCTGCACATGACTGTTGACAGCAGCTTTATTCATAATTGCCAAAACTTAGAACTAAGATGTCCTTCAAAAGGTAATGGATGAACAGTCTGTGGTACATCCATTATCCATACAATGGAATATTTTTCAGCAATAAAAAGAAATGCACTATCAAGCTGTGAAAAGACTTGGAGGAATCTCAAATACATATTGCTAGTGAAAAATGAGCTATACACTGGGCCGTTCTAATTATATGACATTCTGGAAAAGGCAAAATTACAGAGATGGTAAAAAGATTGGTGGTTTCCATGGTTTGGGGGGAAAGAGGGAGAAATGAAGGGATGGCACACAGGTGATACTTAGGCCAGTGAAATAACTCTGTGATGCTACTGTAGTAGTAGATACATGAAATCATGCATTTGTCAAAACTCATACTACTGTGCAACTCAGAGTAAGCTATAATGTAAACTATGGACTTTTTAGTCAATAATGCACCAATATTGGTTCATCAGTTGTAACTAATGCACTACAATAATGCAATAGTTTAATAATAGGGGAGACTGCCAGGATGGGGGAGAGGGGATATACGGGACTTCTAGATTTTCTACTCGATTGTTCTGTAAACCTAAAACTGCTCTAAAAATAGCCTCTTAGTAAAACAACAACAACAATGAGATACCGCTTAACAACCACTGCGATGGCTATAATTATAATTACAATAACAAGTTGGCAAGGATGTGGAGAAATTGGAACCCTTATATATTGTCGGTAAGAATATAAAATGGTGTAGTCTGGCCATTCGTGAAAAGGATAAAAAAAGGTTACTTACTATATGACCCAGCAATTCCACTCCTAGGTGTACACCCAGGAAAAATGAAGAGATATGTCCACACAAAAACCTGTACACGAATGTTCATAGCAGCATCATTCATGATAGGCAAAAAGTGGAGACAACCCAAATGCCCATCAGCTGACAAATGGATAAATAAAATGTGGTATATCCACATAATGGAAGATTATTCAGCTATAAAAAATGAAGTACGATAAATGTTACAGCATGGATGAACCTTGAAAACAGGATGCTAAGAGAAAGAAGCTGGTCAAAAAGGATTACATGTTATATGATCCCATGCATGTGAAATGTCCAGCATAGAAATATCCATAGAGATGGAAAATAGATTAGTGCATGCCAGAGGCTGGAAGGAGGGAGGGATGGAAATGACTGCAAGTGGGTATGGGGTTTCTTTTAGGAATGGTGAAGATTTAAATTCTGTTAACACTTATAACTAAGACACTGCACTAGCCCTTTAAATATTTCCAAGTTTTAATTTTTTAAAAAAAGTCTACCTCGCTTTTTTTGAACCCAGGTATACAGCCTTAATTAAGAAATAGAAAAGCTGCAAAACTCTATGGTTTTTCTACTAATGGATTATAAATTGTCACTAATAAGTATCTCAAAAAGGGTTTCAATGGATGGTACCAAAGATGAGAGCATTTTAAAGTTCCATATTTATCTTTAGGGGATGGGTCCATACCTATGCGAAAGCAGAGCTCTGCTGCCCCCAACAAGTCTGGTGGTCTTGATATAAACACTTATTATTTATTTAGGGCTGTCTCACTCTCCTCCTTATTCTCTAGTTGCCATTTAGGCTACTAGTAGATAGAAGTAATTAGAAAATAGGAACAAGGAGGCCCACCCTACTTAGAGACTGGGCAGTGCAGGTGAGAAGGAATCAGAGGAATAAAGTTCAGGGATAAGGGGGAGACCAGGTTGGGGCTGGGCCAAAGAGATGAGAGAGAGATGAACTCAGCCCTCTGGGTGGGCAATGACAAGTGTAGGTACTAGAGGACAAACTGGGGGATAGATTGCAGAGTAAGACCCTCAGGGTGGAGTCTGAACACATAGCTGGAGGCAGAGGAGGAGGGAAGGAAAAAAGTGGTAAAAAGAGATCTTAGTACAGGCCACTGTATGACTTAGCAGGTGCATCTACCTAAATATTTGTACAAATACCAACTAGAATCAAATAAGTTTAAAAGACCTTATTTAGGCCATGTCATCCAAAGTATTTTATAGTTGAGGAAATCAGAACTAGAGAAACAAAGTCAATTGACCAAAGCATACTGGGCCTAGTCTAGTGATATATCTTCAACTCTATATTATAATCAAAGTTCAATCTTAAATCAACCTAAAATATTATATTATGTAAAATACAGCACACAGATTCATTATGTATCATTGGCACTTTTACTATGTTTTGCATTTAATCTGCCCATAAATATTCTGAAACTCATTCTTTAAATCATTTCCTGTTTGCCCCAAAAATACTCATCTCTAATCCTACTGTAACATCATCATCTACATTTCTGTTACATTAGGATTAGAGACAAATTCTGTTTATAAATAACTCCAAGAACAGTTTTTATATTTTATTTTCATGTTGAAAATCAGTCAGATTTGCTTCAGCCTCAAATAAAGTGTTTATGTAAAATTAAATGAGCACTGGCAGCAAGCTGCACTTTTTTTTTTACTAAATGGGGAAAATGGACCAATATAGTAGAGGCTTTTGCTTATTAATATTGAATGTAGTAATTCTTATATTAGTTACTTTGGTGGTAAATAAAAATAATCTCAATATGATGGAGTTTGTACATAGTATATTACCATCAAATCCAGGGAAAAATGGATTTTGTAGATTTGGGGATGTGGTACATGTATATAAGTATAGTTGTGTATATGTTGGTTAAGTCATTTAACAGTGATAACTGAGTACCAATCTGGTTCAAATGAATATGCATATACTATGCAATTGTGCAGTCTCTCTACTTGGAGCTGAAAGAATCTCCCAATTAATTTATGGATCACCTCCCTTCCTTTGAATAAGACATGACTTTATAAGGCTTGTCTTATCTGATAAAGGCCTGGAGTTGTTTATAAGGTATGTCGTATCTGACATAGGCCTGGAGCACTACATGACCAGGGCATGGGTGGCTTACAGAGCTCTAGTTTTTTGGTTTTGGGGTTTTTTGGGGGAGGCTAGGAGTGGGGAGTGGATAGCCCCCTCATGGACACAGAAAATAGATTGGAACTCTTGGAAATTCCAACTTGTTATTACAGATGCCTTTCTCCCATAGTCCAAAAGACAGCATTGTGCAAAGTATCACTTACAGATGCATTTACATCTAAACTTGCTGTATGCTTCACGGCAAGTTGGTGTCTTTCCACTTTCTCCTTGACGAAGACCTGCATCCAATATGAATTTAAAGAGGCTCTGTAAAGTAATTTGACAGCAGCAAATAACTATTTAAAAATGAGTCAATCCAAGATATGTAAATCCAAGAAAGGTTTTAGACTGAAGCAGTTGTTTTATAAAATAAACATGTCCAAAGACACTTTTTTAGTGGAGGCAACTTGCTGAAGAAGAATTTGAAAGGATCTTTTAACATTTATAAACAGACCAATTTGAAATTACCTAGAAAATAAGTAAGCTCCAAGAAGAACATACCTATGGCTATCCTATTTTTCAAAGGCAAAAATGGAGCTACAAAATTAAACAAAGGATGTACTTCATGTTTGAGTTTGTAGAAAAAATCTTAGAAAGGTATAATGAAAATAAATACAATTACTAAATAAAATAACTATGAGATCCTAAGAATTTTGCCACCATCTTTGGGAATAACTAATGCTGATAAAGTAGAGACTAATACTTTGGTGCCAATTCCAACTCCTTGCACTGTACAAAGGGCGAAAAGTATCTTAATGCATAAGAAATTATGAGACAGCACAAATAAAAACCAATCTTTTATGCAGAAAGTTTCAATTAAAGTGAAATTCATATTTTAAATTACCAAATTATAACTGGAAAAGTTTGTAATGTTTTCAAAATGGCCTTCGCTAAACTACCTTTATCTAGCCTGGAGGCTAGAGATGGAACTTAACTATCCACTTAAATTATATCTATGTATTTGTGCAAAGTTAAAACTTTAAATCTAATAAATTATTTGAATCAATTAAAACAAAGTCATTATTATTTGGAAAACTAAATCTTGGCCATGATGAATATCTTAATTATTTTGACATATGAAATATGCAGTGTAATTTTTATGTGGGGTTACATTTGGAATTTTCCTACATTTCATATTTAGTAAATGGATTTATTATAAGAACAGTGATTTTTTTTAAAGAATGAATTTAATAAGTAACTTTTGAAATTTTGATTTACAGATCATTATTGCCATCTGCTGGTTACATAGTTTAATTGCATTTTTTAAAATTCCCAATTGTTTTACTAAAAGACAAAGGAAAAAACTGAGGCAAGTTTTAGATATCCATAACCGGATTAGAGATCTCTATGTAAGACAGATAATTTGCAGCCAGGTGCAGTGGCTCATACCTGTAATCCCAATACTTTGGGAGGCAGAGGCGGCAGGAGTGCTTGAGTCTAGGAGTTTTAGACCAGCCTGGGCAACATAGTGATACCCCATCTCTACAGAAATAAACAAATTAGCTGTGTGTGGTGGCCTGCACCTGTAGTCCTTGCTACTCAGGAGGCTGAGGCAGGAGGATCCCTTGAGCCCAGGAGTTCAAGGTTTCAGTGAGCACCATCACACTTTAGCCTGTGTGACAGTGAGACCCTATCTTGAGGAAAAAAAAAAAGCTAAATCATATGCAGCCAACAGACACATGAAAAAATGCTCATCATCCCTGGCCATTAGAGAAATGCAAATCAAAACCACAATGAGATACCATCTCACACCAGTTAGAATGGCAATCATTAAAAAGTCAGGGAACAAAAGGTGCTGGAGAGGATGTGGAGAAATAGGAACACTTTTACACTGTTGGTGGGACTGTAAACTAGTTCAACCATTGTGGAAGACAGTGTGGCGATTCCTCAGGGATCTAGAAGTAGAAATACCATTTGACCCAGCCATCCCATTACTGGGTATATACCCAAAGGATTATAAATCATGCTGCTGTAAAGACACATGCACACGTATGTTTATTGCGGCACTATTCACGATAGCAAAGACTTGGAACCAACCCAATGTCCAACAATGATAGACTGGATTAAGAAAATGTGGCACATATCCACCATGGAATACTCTGCAGCCATAAAAAATGATGAGTTCATGTCCTTTGTAGGGACATGGATGAAGCTGGAAACCAGCATTCTCAGCAAACTATCGCAAGGACAAAAAATCAAACACCGCATGTTCTCACTCACAGGTGGGAATTGAACAATGAGAACACTTGGACACAGGAAGGGGAACATTACACACTGGGGCCTGTCGTGGGGTGGAGGGAGTGGGGAGGGATAGCATTGGGAGATATACCTAATGTAAATGATGAGTTAATGGGTGCAGCACACCAACATGGCACATGTATACATATGTAACAAACCTGCACGTTGTGCACGTGTACCCTAGAACTTAAAGTATAATAAAAACATATATATAAAAAAGCTAAATCATGAGACATCTCTGTTTCAAAGATGATAAGATAATGCAAGAATATATTGCATCTTATCTAATTATAATGTGCTATTTTAATTGTCAATTAATCATAGATTAAATTATCAACGTAACTGCTTTAAGTTATTAGTCATTATAGTGATTAGTTAGTATACAGCTAAAATGTGACTCAAATAACCATTCAAAATAATGAGGTCAAAATAAGTGACCACTGTTACAGAAGCTGTAAAAACATGAAAACATCCATGATTCTATTCAACTGCACATAAAACTAAGTGTCATGATTTCCCTCTTATACACAAATCTACTCCTCTCCTTAGTAGGAGTAGATACATAATGATTTAGGCAACTATCTCTCAGTTAACTAATGAACCTAAAACATGTATTACTGTTTAATAATTACTAACATATCACTTGATGACAAAGAAACCAAGTGAGCAAAATATTAATTGGAAGTGTTGGCAAAAATAGCAACAACTTTTGCACCAACCTAAAAATCCTCACTACTGCACTATAGGATGGCCGGTCTAGAACATAATAAAGGAACATTTGTTTAAGCATGTGCTGTGTTTTTGATGCTTTACAAGCATTAATTCATTCAATCATACCATCAGTAAGACAAATATAACTGTCTTCATTTTTCAGATGAGGAAATTAATCCTAGAGTGGCTAAATTACTAGCTCAAGGTCATACATTGGTAATCTTCCTATATGAGTCCCCTGTGTAAAAGATTTAGAGCAGCACATGGCACACAGTTAATTTTATGTGTTTACTAAACATATGAATCATAAAATATATCCTGCTTCTTTTTTCCTTTAACATTATATCATGACTATTTTCCTATATCATTAAATATCCATGCAAAATGACTTTAGTGGCTGTAATGCTTCACTATATGAATGTTTCATAACTTAGTGTTTGATACTGAGGCCACTTCTATTTTTTAACGATATAAATAATAGCACAATGAACATTCTTATAAAAAGATTAATTTTTTAAATGATAAAAATGACCAGATTTGTACTTTCAAGGGCTAGACCATGGGTAAGAGCATTTTGTATCCCATCAGGACACCAAGTGATGCAAAAGGCAATTGGAAACTCCAGAAAAACCAAACTGACCAAAAAGAAAAACAATCACTCCACTTCACTTATTGTTCCAAAACACATTAAAACAGTCATATTTTAAAATAAGGTGCTTTGAGTTTGCCTAGCCATTCAAGAATATATTCTTCTTAACCACCGTAAATACTTTGTATTTTAAATGCAGTATTGGATAGATAGAATTTATTAGCTGTTAAAACTTGGGCAAATAACTACATCCTGATGCTTGATTTTAAAATTTGCATACAGTCATTGCATGATTAAGTGAGAAAACATTTTGAGCACCAAACACAATGCCAGGAATGCAGAAATGCTGCTTGAAAAAAATCTCCCAAAACAAAAAATGAGCAGTAGTAGCACTTACTGAATTTAACTGAGTGAGAAGATAAATAGTACTGTCAGTTAAGTGCTCTAGACCTTCAGAAAAAGCATAATTAATATGGGCTGGAGAAATGGGCTGGGGCTTGGAAGGTGACAGCATTCAGATGGGCAGGGAGAAAAGGATGCAAAAGCCAAGGGATGGCTTTTCCACATGAATAAAGGAATTCAGCAGTTATGATGTCTCAGGTTGTGGACTTTACCTGAAATGACTGAGATGGAAGATTTTGTGCCCGAGGAAGTGGGAAATTAAAGTTGAAAAGGTATATTGGGCAAATATTGAAGGCATTGGTGAGCAAGCCTAGGACTTGATTTGTGGGCCACGAACATTTTTGTGCTGTGTTGCATCAGGAAAAATTAACCTGGCCACAATGAGCCAGGCTTTAGATTGGTCAGTTAGGGTATGGGAGTTCAATGTGATCCATCATCAAACAGATGGGAAGTGAAGCGGTGTGGGCTCCAGCATGTGGCCCGTGACAGAGGACATGGAAAATGTCAGTGGCCCCAGTGCATCTGTGCCAGCCGCTTTGGCCTCTTGTAGGGCTGTGCGGTGACTGGGAGCTAAGCGCTCCCCTCTTAGTTGGTCCTGGCTGGTGCTGAAAGCGCTTGAGCACACCGCTCCTAGGGCTGATGACTTCTGAGGAACCTTATTGGAAAAGCATTTTGCTCTAAGATTCAGTAAACGCTGTCCCGTGCCAAGGAAGTGGCGTCAACCTGAGGCTCTGGGATCAGACCCACCGGACTCACGCCGGCTCTGCCACTTGTTGCCCGCAGTCTCGGCCCGTTCCCTCTGCGTTGGCAACGGGCACTGACTGTCCGATACCTCAGCGATCGTAGGGGAGTAGAGACGTTCCTAATGCCGGGCGCACCGCCGGCGGGCCGGCGGTTCCGTTGGCTTCCCTGACACACTTCCTACAGTCATTTCTTTCAGCTGAGATCTTTCCCTTTAATACCTCGTTAATTAACGTGTAATCTTTTGGTTAAAATGTCACAGCTAAGACTAAACCCGAAGAAAAGAATGAAACCACGGGAAGTTCTTCAGACAGTCGCCGCAAGGTTATGGGCCGAAGTGGTGCAGGGGCGGCGCCCGGGGAAGCGACTGGCAGAGCTGTGCGCACTGGGGGTGCTGCAGGCGCTGGGGAGAGTGTGGAGAGGCTGCGTGGAGCTGCGCGCTCGGGGTGGGGGCTGCACTCCCAATGAAGCGCGTGAAGGGCAAGCGGTGATGGGTTCTGCGCCAGTGGGGCTGGGAGCCCGTCCGGGGCTGTACATGGGGCTGCGCGCAAGGTGAGGACTGCGCATGTGGGCTTGGGGCCTGCGCGCACCGGAGGCTGCAGGCGCTGGGGAGGGTGTGGGGGGCTGTGCGTGGGGCTGCCCTCACCGGAAGCTGCACGCTCTGGGAAGCGCAGAGGCGGGGGTGCTGCTCGCGCTGGGGAGCACGTGAGGGGACACTCAGGGACTGCCCGCGCGAATGGCTTCCAACGCATGCGCCCCACCCCACATTTCACAGTCGCCATGACGACCGGGAGGTCCGCAACGGCTGCGGGGACAAGTCCGTTGAGGCTGCCAGGCGAGTCAGGTCTCTCTGGACCTCGCCTGACTCGGCTGGGCTGTGCCTGAAATTGACCCAGCTCCACCATACTCCTTGATTATGAGAAAACAAGGAGTAAGCTCAAAGCGGCTGCAATCTTCCGGCCGCAGCCAGTCTAAGGGGCGGCGCGGGGCCTCCCTCGCCCGGGAGCCGGAGGTAGAGGAGGAGATGGAAAAGTCGGCCCTAGGCGGCGGGAAACTGCCAAGGGGCTCCTGGAGGTCCTCCCCGGGGAGGATCCAAAGTCTGAAAGAGCGAAAAGGCTTGGAGCTAGAGGTGGTGGCCAAGACCTTTCTTCTCGGCCCCTTCCAGTTCGTCCGTAATTCCCTGGCGCAGCTCCGGGAAAAGGTGCAGGAACTGCAGGCGCGGCGGTTCTCCAGCAGAACCACTCTCGGCATCGGTGAGGAGAGGGCAGGAGAGCCCTAGGAGGGAGCCGCATGGCGCTTTTCTTGAGTCTTGAAGGAGATCAGTTTAACAAGCAAGGGTTTGTGGGTGCCTAGTAGGAAATAATAGCAAGGTCCGAGTAGAAAGAAGTTGGCCAAAGATCTTGTCATTGAACCAGGGGAGAGAGAGAGATAGGGAGTATATTGGTTTGAAGGGCTGTCAGATCGCAGAGAGTGTTTTAAGGTCTAGGAGTTTTAAAGGCTGAGGGGAAGGATCAAGAGAAGATGATGAGATTAAGATTCCAAGAGAGGAAATAATTAGTGGAGCAAGTCTTGCAATATTTGGGAGGGGTAGAATTAAAGGTACAAATTTGAGAAGCTAACTGTGGAAAAGAGGAGAGAGAATTCCTTTTCTGAGATGGCAGGGAGTAGAAAAGTGAGGATTACTATATGGAGAAATGTTAAAGTGGAAATAAAAGAAGTTGGGAGTGTTGGTGTCTAATGGTCTTTGTTTCAGTGAAGTATGAGGCTGGGTCACCTTCAGAGGTGAGATTGATAGGATGCCGTGGTCCAGGGGACATTCTTCTGTCACAGCTTGGAAAGGGCATGTGATAAGCCCTTCAAGCATTTAGAATACTGGCATCGTTACACCATATCATTTTTTTTCAGATGTGGTATGTGGGTTAAGGGAGGGAGTGAGAGACACAGAAAGATTTTGAGCATCTTTGGAAAGCTGGATGAATTTGGTAGTATATTTGACCTTTTCCTTATATATCATCTGAAGAGTTTTTGCCAGTGTATATAATTGTTGGGAGAATTAGAAATAGGATACAAATATAGTTGAACAGGATAGTCTCTGTATATTTTAAAATTAATGAAGCCTAATAAACAGTTAATGAGCATCTTTACAACCATTTAAAGTTTTCAACCTTTTAAAAATTATAGCAACCGTGCTTGCATACAGTCCAAAAATGCACCATGGGCCATACTTTGCCTATCCTGGTATAAAACAAGTAAATCTTCCGAGAAGTATTTAAGATAAGCCCAGGACAGTTAGTAATATAGGAAAAGATCTGGATAAGCATGGTTGAGAATTTCAACACTGCAATTTTTTAATTTTTAAAAATTTAATTTCTTCAATAATTATTGAATTAATTTGCATTTATGTTGTTAGCCAAGTGAAGTAATTTTTGAGTTTTTAAGAGGCTATTATTGGTGGTTTATAAGATGACTTGCCAAGTATATTTAGGATAACCATAAGAAATACCATTATAAAATCTCAGAAGGGAGGTGGGACTTCTGGAATAGCCAAGGAAATGCACTCCTCCATGACGACAATGAAAATACTTGGAAAATTATCAAAATCATTTTCTTCAAAACTTTGGAAATTAACCAAAGGTTTACAACAATCTAAAGGACATTAATTCAAGAAAAGATGCTGAACCTCTATAAGAAAAGCAAAGTTTGTGGTGTTTTAACTTGTTCTATTACCCACTCTTCTCTCTCCAGAGGAATTGAAAACAAGCAGTTCCCCAACCAAACGGGCACAGGCTGCGTTTGCAGCTCCTGTAAAAGCTCCATACCCAGAGCAGTGTCTCCTAGCTCCCAGGTGAAGTCTTATGTATACATGGGGCGTTGGCACAGGTGACTCCAGACTAGTCTCCTAGGCCATCTAGTAGCTCCTAGGTCTGGGCTCTTGGAAAGAGCTTGCAATTCATCAAGGGTTGAGCTGCACATTGGGGCTTTTAGATGTGCTGCTGAGGAAGTGATTGCCTGCATTTAATCATCTTCTGATGAATGCTAGAGAAACTGATCTAGAGTGGTTCGTCTTGGTTAGAACTACCTGAAGCATACTGTATATACTTACTTCTTTTAAAAATTTCATATAAAGGAATAGAAAATAATACTGAAAAAAATCAAAAAAGGTCACAATCATCCATAATTCCATCACTCTTACCAATTACCTGAAGTAAAAAAACCCTCTCAAGTTTCTCCCTTTGCTTGTCAAGCCCTGCTGCAGAGAGGTAAGCTCTGTTCAGAATTTGCTTTGTGTCCTGGATTTTTTCCTATGCTCTTAGAGACAGGATTAGCTGGCCGTCTTGCTTTGTGTGCTATCTTTCTAGACATGTAAAATAATACATTTGAAATACTTGTTTTAATGGTATTTTATAATAAAGCAGCTATTAATGACTTTCCTTTTTTTCTTTATTCCAGCTGTCTTTGTGGCAATTTTACATTGGTAAGATTTAGTTTCAGTTTGAAATATTTAAAAACATTTGAATTAAAAATTGCCATCACTCTTTGCATACAGTAAAACAATAACTTCTGGCTATATTTGTAGAACATCTTTATGTGCACCAATTTATACATGTATTTTGCTTTTTTACAAACCTCATATGTGAAACAGCATTTACAAAATAGATGCATTAGGGGAATAGTCACTTATGAATTAAAATATTTTTGCTTTACCAAATAATTCACCACACGTTTCTTTAAATATCTAGCTTTTCTAGTGTATTTTGTATGTGTAGTTCATTTAAAACCTTCCTTTATTTTATGGTAATTATATGTTGCTAGTGAAATAACTTTTTTTTTTTTTTTGAGACAGAGTCTTGCTCTGTCTCCCAGGCTAGAGTGCAGTGGCGTGATCTTGACTCACTGCAACCTCTGCCTCCCAGGCACCAGTGATCCTCATGCCTCAGCCTTCCAAGTAGCTGGGATTACAGGTGTGCACCATCACACCCAGCCAATTTGTTGTATTTTTGGTGGAGACGAGGTTTCACCATGTTGGCCAGACTGGTGTCAAGCTCCTGGCCTCAAATGATCCACCTGCCTCGGCCTCCCAAAGTGTTGGGATTACAGGCATGAACCACAACACTCAGCCAGTGAAATAACTTTGGTGATAAAGTTTTAGTAACACCTGCCAATTGGAAATCAGGTAAAAAAGAAGATAAAGATTCTGCAGTGGGTGTACAGAGTTAAATGGCTCTGAGTCTTTCAGTGTGCAAGCCTGTGTACATTATTTTACAAAAGTGTTTATAAAAATTTGTAAAATAATATTTCCTTCTGGAATATTTTATTTTTACCTGTGCTCAGTGATTTCTACCCTTGGGATGTATGAGATCTGCCCCTGTGTTCTATTGACACAGTGCTGCTGTAGACGTTTAGTCTGCAGGGAGATTTTGATGTTAGAACTGAGGCTGCAATGGTAGAGAATATTCCTGCAGTTTTTGGTACCCTGGCATATGGCCTACATGTAAAGAAGGGTTAGTGGAAAACAGGGTTAATATATGGAACTTTGCTTTATTTTCAACTTCACTGGAAAGTCTGACTACATAACTTAGCTATAGCATAATTGTTGACCATAGCTAATTTTGTTTATCACATATGCTCCTTTCTTCACTGCCGACAGCTGTTGAGTTTCACTACTAAAAGGTCTTCAAGTACACACCTGTATTCTTTGGCACTTGAAAGTTTATCCTTTATGTGATATTATACTTATTGTAAGTCTGCTTTGATCTAAAGTAATTTCACTTAAAATTATATTCTGAACCCTTTTCAACAGTTATGGAGGTATTTCCCAAGGCCAGTACATTAGAATCACTTGAAACTTAAAAAACAAACACTAACCTGCCTCTGTTCTGATTTGGAGGCCTGGGATGGAAGGAAGGGTGAAAAAAGCCACAAGAATTTTAGATATACAATTGAGGTTTTGTTTTTTTTTGTTTGTTTTTTTTAAGACAGAGTCTCACTCTGTCGCCCAGGCTGGAGTGCAGTGGCATGATCTCTGCTTACTGCAACCTCCACCTCCTGGGTTCAAGCAATTCTCCTGCCTCAGCCTCCCTAGCAGCCAGGATTACAGACATGCACTACCATGGCTGGCTAATTTTTGTGTTTTTAGTACAGACGGGGTTTCATCATGTTGGCAAGGCTGGTCTCGAACTCCTCACCTCAAGTGATCTGCCTGCCTCGGGCTCCCAAAGTGCTGGGATTACAGGCATGAGGCAACGTACCTGGCCACAGTTAAGCTTAAAAACCACTGAGTTAAGGAATTTCAGGTGTGTGCCATACTGGATTATAAATGCTGAAAAACATACAAGTTAGTAAGCAAATTATAAAATTAATATAACAATTTATTGTTTTCTTTTTTATGGCTTTCTTATTGCTTATTTTACTGTTAGTTTTGAAACTCGTTCTTATTGTAATATGATACTTCATTTTTTTCTAGGTTACATTTAGTAACACTTTTTGAAAATGATCGTCATTTCTCTCACCTCTCATCTTTGGAACGGGAGATGACTTTTCGCACTGAAATGGTTAGGTTTCTTCTTCTAATGAATTAATTTGTGGTTTAAGAATAGCGAGACTATGAGGTAGAAATGTATTAGGAATTGAAATGAACTTCTGGTCAACTGCACTGTTTCATAAGCTATAACCCAGGTTTATTATTTAAATAGTAAAGTGTTTGAGATTATTTTTCTGTTACTTCATTATCTCTCACCCTTTCCTAATGCAGACTTCTTTTTAAGATAATAAAGATGAATTATAATAGCTGAGGAAAGAGGACAAAGAAAGCACTGAAGAAGTGATAAAAGGGAATGAAATGAGATGTTATCAGAAATTGCCTTCTCTTTGGCTACAGTTAGATTCCATGTTTTACCTGGGCCTTTTAATGATGACGATTATTATTTGGCTTTCTTTTGATTTCAAGATAATCTCTTTTAAGAGATAACTTTTTATATAATTTTAAAATAATTTTCTGTTTTTCAATACTTAATCTTTAAAATGGAGTTTTGTGCTGTACATATCTCACATAATTATTGTGAGGAGTAAGCGGGATAGCAAATGCCAAAATTGCGCAATTTTACATTTAGAAGACACCACAACCGTCCATCTTCCAGATCTGCTCACAGCTGGTCGGGGGCCTAGTGAAGCATTGAAACTGGCTCTCCTCAGTCTAGCCATTGCTTTTTGTTTAAATTATGGTAAAATTTAGATTTAAATTTGTAATAAAAAATTTCAATGTTTATCATTTAAGTGTACGATTCAGTGACATTAAGTACATTCGTATTGTCTTGCAACTATTACCACTGTCCACATCCAGAACTTTTTGCTATCCCAAACAGAAACTCTACCCACTAAACACTAATCACACCCAGCTCTATTTTCTGTCTCTGTGATTTTGCCTATGCCAGGCCCCTCAGTCACTGCTTTTTAATTTTCATCCCTATATTGCCCCTATAAAGTTTCAAAGCATTGGATACATTAACATATGTATGACATTTGAACTTTTTAAAGATATTTCCAAAGACAGAATATAAAATATTATTAAATAAAGAGTGTAACTGTGGCAGAGTCTGGACTTTGGTGACAGATCGCTGGATTCTAATAGCAGTTCTGCGCTTTATTGAATGATGGCTAGTCAGGTCACCTCTCAGATTCTCAGTAATCTCGTCTGCTCAATAGAAATAATGCCAACCTTAGAGGGGTTTAGGGAAAATGAAGGGAGATAATGAATGGCAACACATAGCAGAATACTTAACACAAAATAATAGCTGTTATTAGTAACTTTTTATATATTTAATATTTCCCTAAATATAGTCTTTTGCATATTAGATATCTTTTAATTGTTGTATTGCTTTGTTATCCTCCTAAGCAGAAAGGAAAATTCTTTATGAATTCATATTTTGCCAATCAACTATGAGGTAATGGCCTTTCAGACATCAGCTAAAACAGACCTGTAATTTAGTACTTACTCGTGTTGGATGAGGCAGATATGATTATAGCATATAGCATTTTTTAGGGAGAATGCATTTTAAACAATGTGGCCCTTTTTTGCTTTTAGATTTTAGGAGTGAAAGCAAGAAATTGTGTTGGGGAATTTCTTCTAGTTGGGGAAACTAGACACAATATGCTGTTGTTAATCCATGAATTTTAACTCAACAGCACTTTTACTATCCTAATGAAGCCTTTATTTTATATGCTGAAGTGTAAGACACTAAAATAATCTGCTTTTTAGTACATAGCGTTTGTGAGCAACAATAGTCAATTGACACTGAGCTTTCACTTTGCACAGAGGATTAGATGGAGCTATGAATTAAGCTAGAAGCACTGGATTCCTTGCTCATGATGCTTATGGTCATTATATTTTATTTCCTAAGAGCATGGGAAAAAAAGTAATTTTCTATATGCAAAGTTGTACAGAGGCATGAAAGCATCCCTGTTTATGATAGAATTAATCAGATGTCAACCTTCAAGCATCTCAAATGTGGGGGATAAAACCAGATTTGGGAAAATCAAACATATACTGTCTACACATTTTAAGACATTATTAGAGAAACTCTTTAAATTGTTTGACCATCCCTCCATCTCTTTAGTTTGAAAGCCTATAGAAAATTTGAAAGAATATTACAGTGATCACCTGAAAATACGTGTTCTTTAAAAACCAAGAATGCAAAATAGCGAGAAGTGATTAGGAAGTCTTATTATTAACCTTTTTTTTTTTTCAGAAAAAAAGTTCTAAAGAAGTGATAAAAATAAATATTTTAAAGTTTTAATTACATTGACAATATATGTCTTTTTTTAAAAAAAGGGACTTTATTATTCATACTTCAAGACCATTATTGAAGCACCTTCGTTTTTGGAAGGACTGTGGATGATTATGAATGACAGGCTTACTGAATATCCTCTTATAATTAATGCAATAAAACGCTTCCATCTTTATCCAGAGGTGAGTCATAATTTGAGACAAATAATATTTGTAGAGTGATCCTCTTTGTCAGATAAAAATAGTAAGCACAATCTTGTTAAGAAAGGGAGGGGACGTTTCAGGTTTATTAATTGTGTGTATCCTTATAGTTGAGTAGAATATCATAAGTTCCTCTCTTAAAATTTAAAGACCCCAGAAACTGTTCTCTCATGAACTCGAAGAATGAACCTTAGTGTGTAAATAATGGCCAGGGTAATAGACAAGCCAAATGGAAAAGAGAGTCATGGGAGCCAAAAAGTTCTAAATAGGGATGGGCTTTTGGCTTTGGACACCTCGTGGGTGAGCATGATGACCACGTGAAGGGACAGTAAGAGTGATGAGCTTGAATAGTGATCTTGGAGTTAAGTTAGTAAAGTAAGATTTATTTAGTCACACAGCCAGAAATCTATTACTATTTTCCAACACTTAGCCTAAAAGAGTATGGTTGTTATAGTAGTCTATAAATGCTAGAAATTTGAAAAACGGAGACAAAATTAGTGAACTCAGTTTGTGAACTCAAGATAAATGCTAAATTTGACACCATGGTAAATACTACTGTTGAGTTTAAAATTGTCTCAGAATCCAGCATATTAATGAAAACTTACTGCTTTCTAGTCCTTTATTCATATTTTTATAGCTTTTAAAAATTATTATTCTTTAGATTTTGAAATGCTTAAAACTACAGACTTAGAAAATAATATTCAAATATGTGTGATCAACCATCTAAAATAAATAAATGCTAATCTTTGTCATTTTTGCATCAGCTATTTTAAAATAATTAAAATATTATAAATACAGTTAAAATCACCTTTGTTCTGCTTCTAGTCCAACTTATACCTTTATTAAAATTTGATGTGTGTATCCATCCAATCTCTGTTTTCAGAGATTGTTTTATTATATGCTTTAAGTCCACATAAATGATCTCATACTGAATGTGTCACTCTAGGATTTTTTCTTCAAAATTGTATTTTTGAACTTTCTGTATATATATATTTCTTTAATTTTAACCGTTTTATGAATTGTAAAGTTTATGTATTTCCCCATCTTAATATATTATTTCCAATTTTTTGATTACAAGCAATGTAATCTAAAAGGTACACTTTTGTATGGTTTCCTTCTGTATATGTGCAATATTTTGTCTAGGATATATACCTAGAAGTGGAATTGTTGTTATAGAGTGTGAGCTTTTTCAGCTTTACCAGATATTGCTAAATTGCTGTCTGAAGCAAATGTAGCAGTTCACACTGCTGTCTAGAATTTTCTCATATCCTTATTAGATTTTGAATTGTCAGACCCTGTGATTTTTACTCTTACGATGGCTGTGATATGCTTTTTTGTTTTAATTTGTACTTCCCTTATTTATGGGGATAAATATATTTCCATGTTTAATAAGCATTTGGATTTGTTCTTCTGTCAACAACATATATAAATCTTTGTCACCAAATCAGCTTTTTTGAGGTATGACTTACATGTAATAAAATGTGCCAATTTTGAGTGTACCATTCTCTGAGTTTTGACAAATGTATGAAGCTATATATCCATCACCACAATTGAGTTACAAAACATTTTTGGAATGCCAAAAAATGCTCCATTGTGGTAACTGTCTTTTCCCCCATTGAATTAATTGTCTCGGTACAATCGTTGAAAATTGATTGACCACATTATATGTGAATCTGTTTCTGGACTCTATTATTCTCTTGATCTATAATTATGCCAATACCACACTGTCTTGATTACTGTCACTTTAGAATAAATCTTGAAAGTAGATAGTTCTCTACCTTTTTCCTTTTTAAAATTGCATTTCTATCTAATGTTAGGGTCAGCTTATTAATTTCTCAAAAAAAAAAACCTGCTGTGATTTTGGTTGGGAATATGTTGGATTTGTACATGTATCTGGGAAGAATTGACATCTTAACAATATTGAATTTTCCAATCCACGATCATGGTATAGATCTCCATTTTGTTGATTATTTTTAGTTTGTCTCAGCAATGTTTTGTATTTTTTCAATGTACAGTCTTCCCCAGTACTCTTTTATTATAAATGGTATTATTTTAAAATTTTTATTTTTCCATTTTTTGTTGCTTTGGTGTAGAAATATAGTTGATTTTGAATATTAACTTTGACCTCGATGAAGTCAGTGGTTCTAGTAGCTTTTTTGTAGAATCCTTTGGATTTTTCTATGCACATGATGATACAGTCTGTAATTAAAAGCAGTTTTACTTTCCAGTAGATATACCCTAAATGTTTTTAAACAGCTTTATTGAGGTATAATTGACATATGATAGCTGGTCATATAGATGAAGTGTAAAGTTTGATTAGTTTTGGCCCACCTGCAAAACCATCACCAGTCAAGACAATGAGCATATCCCTCATCCTGAAGTTTCCCTGTGCTCCTTGGTAATCCCTCCTTCCTTCATTTCTCTTCACCCACATCCCATCCCTAGGAAACCACTAATATTCTTTTTGTCATTATGGTTTAGTTTGCATTTTCTAGAATTTTATAGAAATAGAAACAGAGTTGATCTGTGCCTAGGTCTTAATTTATGCGGTTGACTGAGTGATGACACAGATAGATCAGTGCCGCTGAAAGAAGAATTTATGAGTAATACTTCCTTGGAGAAGAGGACAAGTCACATCACACAGAGCCACAGGAGAGAGATAGTTTGGTCAGGTGGAAGCAGTATTGAGGGTAAAGCCTAGGCCATCGCTTTTATTGGGGTTTCTATGGAAAAGGCAAAACTGGGCAGAGTTTAAAAAAGAAAAGAAATAAAATCAAAAGACAGTTGACAAACTGGGAGAAGATATTTGTTTGGTTTCTTTTTGTTTGTTTTGAGACAGAGTCTCACTTCATTGCCCAGGTTGAAGTGCAGTGGCGTGATCTCGGCTCCCTGTAGCCTCTGCCTCCTGGGTTCAAGCGATTCTCCATCCTCAGCCTCCGAATAGCTGGGATTACAGATGTGCGCCACCACGCCTGGCTAATTTTTATATTTTTAGTAGAAACGGGGTTTCACCATGTTAGCCAGGCTGGTCTCAAACTCCTGGCCTCCAGTGATCCTCCTGCCTCGGCCTCCCAAAGTGCTGGGATTACAGGCGTGAGCCACCATGCCTGGCCAGGAGAAAATATTTGTAATATATCTCACAGATAAAGGGCTAATACACCTAATATATAAAGAACTCTTAATTCTTTATATATTTAGCTTCTGGAGGCTTCAGGTGTCAATTTGGTGACGAAGAGAGCTGGAATGATGGCACTCTCATTCCTACAACAAGGAAAATAGCCGGACAAACTGCAATATAACACCTTTTCTTGAACCCTTCAGAAAACTGAAGTCAGAGGACAACCAACTCAAAATTTCAAGAAGGACAGGTGCCTGCAGAAAGCACAAAGAACTGAGCATTCTGCAATAGGAACTGCTTGACTGAGATAGATGCTTTTGAATGCCATATAAGCTGGTACAAAGGTTAAACCAGAAATTTTTTAATGAACTGCTACAGGCTTAGTGTGAGCTGGTATGAAATGTGAAGGTGAGCAGGCTCTGTCAGGGAAGATTGGGGAAGTATTTAGAGAAAGTTTTCCCTATGGTGCTGGCTAGGGGACAGGAAAAGCAATCATTGCTCAGACTCTGCTCACACCCATGTTGTGAAATCTCTCCTAAGGAAAAGAAAGCCATGATCTGCAGGGAGAACGGTATCAAACCCATTGTCTGAGGACACTGGTGGGTATCCAGTGAAGCTGGTGAAAGAGAACAGGCAGGAAAAAAAAAACCTAAATGTTAAAAAACAGTCATATTCCTTGAGGAAGGAACACTTATGAAGGGTGCAGCCCCCAAATCCCAAATTCACAGTACCTGTCTAAGACTGAGGCTTAATTGGAATATCAGAAAACCTGTCACTCTTCCCCCATTACATTAACAAGCCTTTGGTAAAAATCACAGTGGAATGTGACTGAGTGAGTTTTGCAAGGCATTTTCTTTCTAGGGAGCAGCACAAAGGAAAACCCAAAACCAAGTTCAAAACAAGGTACCACTAGAGGAATTTGAAATCACTAGTGTCCATAGCGGCAACAAACTCCAGCTTTGGTAACTATAGCAATTACAAACTTCAAATCCAGCCCACCCTAACTAGATTAACACAAATCCCTACAATAAAGACCTAACGGTAAGAAAGATGTTCTTAATTTCAAGCATAAAAATACTGACCTCTATGTCTACTGTCTTATACAACATGTCTAACTTTCAGCAAAAATTATGAGGCATACCTAAAGGTAAGAAAAAGCACAGTCCGAAGAGACAGAGCAGTCATCAGGCAGACCCAAAGAAGATACAGATATTGGAACAACTGGACAGGAGATTTAAGTAACTATGATTAATATTTTAAAGACCCAAATGGAAAAGACAGATGATATGCAAGATCAGATAGATAATTTTAGCAGAGTTGGACACTATAAGAATCAAAGGGAAATGCTAGATATAAAAAAAAGAAGTAAAAAATGCCTTACATGAGCTCATCAGCAGACAGCACAGCAGAAGAAATAATCAATGAGTTTGAAGATAGGTCAGTAGGAATGCAAAGAGAAAAAAAAGTGGAGGAAGGAAATGATAGAACATCTAAGAGCTGTGACACCATATCAAATATTCTAATATATGCATAATTAGAATCCCAGTGGGAGAGGAAAGGATGAGGAAGAATAAACATTTGAAAAATAAATGACTGAGAATTTTCCAAAATTAGTGACAGATACCAAACCACAGATCCAAGAAACTCAGAGAACATCAAAAAGGATAAATATCAAACAAATGCATGAATGAATAGATAAACAAACCAAACATGCATATGCAAACCTAGGGGTAAATGTAAACGCATTAAAGAGTATGAGACAGAGACTATCTCACAAAGCCTAAAATACTTATCGCCTGGCTCTTTATAGGAGAAGTTTTCTGACCTCTTATCTAACAGAATGAATAGACTAGGGATATAATGTGAGTTTCTTGGGCAGCACCAAGGGCTTCATTTGAGGTTGACGGTCTTGAATTGAGAACAAAACCAGCCAACAGAATTGTGTTCCTCCAGCTATAATCAGATTCCCAAGTATAAACACGGAGAAAATGGAGAGTTGGATTTAATCATGTTGGGTCAGCTTTCCCTTGGATGTAGAAAGCCAAAAAGAACATTGCTTGTGGCCTTCCAGCAATGTCAGCAGCAACAACAACAAAAGCCAGACAGTCTTCAAATTTACAACTTTTCCTGAAGCGGTCAGGAAGCTGAGGTCACAGGGCAATCAAATAACCCAAAATAAATTAAAAAGATAAAGCATGTGCAAGGAGAACAGAAACAAGCATTTAATTACATGGGTCATGCCACTAGACACAATGGTAAAGAATTAAACTCAAATTGTTCACCAGTCAGTCGGTAAATGCCTAGTATGGGTTAGCAAGGGTATTTGCAATTGCTTACAGACATTTTAACACAGACCTCATAAGGTGCTGACAAAAGATTAGCAAGAGTGCTCAGAAAGCATCCTCCATGGTAAAGCCTGGGAGAACAGGAGCCACTTAGAGAAAGGCGTGAAACCCACCCCCCGACCCTTCCTTATCTCCCCTATAAGTCTTACACTCTCTTATCTTAAACTGCTGGGGGAAAGGTAAACAATATCCTTTTCACATTACTGGTACAAAAATAGGCCACAGATCCTGATATGGTCCTTGAGCCTTACTTTTGCTAACCCCTTGATGCCTGTTTCATATCTTCTCTCTCCAGTTATCCCAAACCTCCTGTCCCCCTTTCACTCTCAGCAAATGACCTTGTTTTCTACTGTTTTCCCATGCCCATTATGTATTTCCTAGCTGTATCCCAGGTGCCTACTTCCTGGAATATGGAGTTGATTCAATATCATATTTGTTGAATGAATGAAACTATGCAAATTTCCTTGTGCTACATACTCAGTAGTCAATGGATACAACGTAAGCACAACCAAAATTTGGTTTATCTGTATCCTCACCTGCATTTGGTATTGTCACTATTTTTTATTTTACTCATTCTTACACATATGTAGTGATATATCATTATGGCTTTAATTTGCATTTCCCTATTGGCTAATGACAGTGTACATCTTTTTGTGCTTATTTGCCATCTGTATGTGCAACGTGTCTTTATGTATTTTGCTCCATTTCTATTTGAATTGTTTGTTTTATGAATTTTGGATCTTAGGATGTTCCTTATATATTATAGATGCTAATTATTTTTCATATATATGGCTTGCAAACATATTTTCCCAGTCTGTAGCTTGCCTTTTCATTCTCTTAAGCAGGGTCTTTTGCATAGTGTTGTTGAGTTTGTCTCAATTTTGGGGGAATTTCTGTCTATTTCTTCTATCAACTAAAAGAATTAGTTGAAAATACTAATTCTAGTTTTTTGACAGAGGGATTCTGAAGTCTCCTAGTAAAATTATGTATTTGTTCATTTCTCCGTTGACATCTATCTGTTTTTCTTCACATATTTTGTAGCTCTATGTTTGGCACATATGCATTTAGGATTGCAGGGTCTTCTTGTTGAATTTTTTAAAAAATAATTTAACGATGACTTTTTCTTCCTTCTCTGATAATTTTGCTTGCTCTGAAGTGTGCTTTTTTCTGATAATGGCATCGTCACTTCTGCTTTCTTTTCATTACTGTGTGTATGATAAATTCATCATTTTCCATCCTTTCACTTTCAGCCTGACTTTATTATTATATTTGAAGCGAGTTCCTTGTAAACGGTTGGATAATATTTTTAAATCCCATTTGTCAATATATCTCTTAATTGTTATGTTTACCAATTGGCCACTTACATTTAATATAGTTATTAATATGTTAGAGTTTAAGTCTGCGATTTTATTTTGTGGTTTCTATTCTTGGTTTTCAATTTCTGTTTGCTTTTATTTTAACCTTCTTGTGGCAGAACATTTTATTTGAACATTGTTTAGAGTTATATTTTGATTTATCTATTTTTTCAATATATCACTTTACAAAGCTTTTTTTAGTGGTTCTAGTGATTGTATTAACACAATTTATTACAATCTGTTGCTGCTGTCATTTTACTGTATGTTTTAATCATCAAACTTATTTTAAACTCGTTTTACACATATTTTATAAACTCAGGAAGAAAGTGAAAGCCTGTTTTATTTTATCCATGTTTTTTTATTTCTTCCTCTTTGATGTTCCAACATTCCTTCTTTTATCATTTCATTTCAGTTTAGGGGATTTTCTTTAGCTACACTTTTAGAATAGATGTCTGTTCTAAAAGTTCTGCTGGCTGCATTTTTTTAAATTTGTTTATTTATTTTTATTTTTTTTTAGTTTTTCTTAACTCAGAGAATGCAGTTTCTTTTCATTACTGAAGGATATTTTTGCTGGACATAGGATTCTGGGTCGATAGTTCCTTTCTTTCAGCATTCGGCAAGTGTTGTGCCATTTTGTTCTGGCCCTCCATAGTTTCTAATGAGAAATCCACTGTTAGTTGAATTCTTTTTCTCCTTTAGGTAAGGGTTTGTTTCTCTCTTGTTGGTTTCAGTATTTTTTTAAATTTCATCTTCAAAAGTGTATCAAAGTATAATGTTCAAAGTTCAAACGTTTTCTAAAGTATGTTGTGTTTTAGTGTGGATTTGTTTAGATTTTTTCTGTTTGAGATTTGCTCAGCTTCTTGAATATTTAGGTTTATAACTTTTGCCATATATGGGAAGTCCAGTCATTATTTCTTTTTCTTTCTTTTTTATTTATTTATGTATGTATTTATTTATTTTGAGACAGGATCTCACTCTGTCGCCCAGGCTGGAGTGCAGTGGTGAAATCTCAGCTCACTGCAACCTCTGACTCCTGGAATCAAGGGATCTGCCCACCTCAGCCTCCTGAGATGGGCAACCACCATACCTGGCTAATTTTTTTGAATTTTTTGTAGACATGGGGTTTCACTATGTTGCTCAGGCTGGTCTCAAACTCCTGGGCTCAAGCAATCTGCCTGCCTGGCCACCCAAACTGCTGGGATTACAGGCATGAACCACCGGGACCAGCCTCAGTAATTATTTCCTTGAATTCTTTTTCAGCCCTGCCTCTTTCCTGTCTCCTTCCAAGACTCCAATGACATGAATGTAGGATCCTTTGTTAAAGTTCCACAGGTCCCTAGGGCTGTTTTGTTTGTTTATTCTGTTAGCATCTGTTTTTTCTCTTTTGCTCAGATTGAGTAATTTCTATTGTTCTGTCTTCCAGTTTACTGGTTATTTTCTTCTATCTCTGCCATTCTCCTCTTGCGCCATCCATTATTTAAGGTTTTTTATTTTGATTATTTTATTTTTGAGTTCTGAAAATTTTGACTTTTCTTTATGTGTTCTATTTTTCTGCTGACACTTTTTCTTCTTCCAACTTCTATTTTACGTTCATGGGATACATGTGTGGGTTTGCTGAATAGGTAAATTGCATGCAGTGGGGGTTTGGTGTGTGGAGTATTTTGGCAGCCAGGTAATAAGCATAGTACTCAATAGGCAGTTATTCAGTCCTCACCCTCCTCATACCCTTCACCCTCAAGTAGGCCCCAGTGTCTGTTGTTCCCTTCTTTGTGTCCATGTGTACTCAGTGTTTAGCTTCGCTTATAAGTGAGAACACAGAGTATTTAGTTTTCCGTTCCTGCATTAATTCACTTAGCATACTGGCCTCTAACTCCTTTCATGTTGCTGCAAAGGACATTATCTTGTTCTTTATAATGGCTGCATAATATTCATGGGGTATATGTACCACCACATTTTCTTTATCCGTTCCACTATTGATGGCATTTAGGTTGATTCCATGTCTTTGCTATTGTGAGTAGTGCTGCAGTGAACATACATGTGCATGTGTCTTTATGGTAGGCTAATTTATATTCCTTTGGGTATATACCTAGTAATGGGGTTGCTGGGTCAAATGGTAGTTCAGTTTTAAGTTCTTTGAGAAATTTCCAAACTGCTTTCCACAGTGTTTGAACTAGTTTACATTCCCACCAGCAGTGTATAAGCATCCCCTTTTCTCCACAACCTCACCAGCATCTGTCATTTTTTGACTTTTTAATAATAGCCATTCCGATTGGGTTAGTGTGGTTTTGATTTGCATTTCTCTAATGATCAGTGATGTTGAACACTTTTTCATATGATTGATGGCCACATAAATATCTGATTTTGAGAAATTTGTGTTTATGTCCTTCACCTACTTTTTTTTTCATGTTTTAAAAAAGTGACATTGTATTATTACTATCCACAGGTGGGGCCTGCATGATGTGGTAGGTATGCTGGGCTCAGGGGACATGTGGGCTGTGAGGAGGAGATGATGACAGAAAGGCTGGATGGAAAGTGGGTGGGTTTGAAGGCCAGGCCCAAGGGGTCCTCAGTTCCACTTCTGGGAAGGGACAGCCTTGAGGAAGGAGTCATGGCAAGCCGCAGCTAGGCCACCAATCAGATTAAGAAATTTTGGGAAATCTAACTACCCATCGCTGCTGACAGCCAGTTTCTTCATGCGGTCAAGGACACCGGGGTCCTTCTGGTTCTTTGTAAAGGCAGCCAGCTCTTTATTCATGAAGCTTGGGAACTCCGTCTTGGAGAGATTGCAGTTGTAACCATCCTTTCCAGCATACTTCTGGAAAACAGCTATCAGGGACTCAATGCACCGCGCAGTCTCTGTAGGGCCGGAGATTTTTGCCATGTTGGAGCTGAGCAAGGCACGGGAGGCTGTGACTGGGAGTGGCACGGAGTACCCATTTTTTATTTGGGTTTTTTTTTACTTTCGATTTGTTCCTTATGGATTCTGGATATTAGACCTTTGTCAGATGAATAGTTTGCAAATATTTTCTCCCTTTCTGTAGGTTGTCTGTTTACTCCCTTGGTAGTTTCTTTTGCTATGCAGAAGCTCTTTAATTTAATTAGTTTGCATTTGTCAATCTTTGTTTTGTTGCAATTGCTTTTGGCATCTTCATCATGAAATTTTTGCCAGGGTCTATGTCCAGAATGATATTTTCTGTTTTCTTCTAGGGTTTTCATTGTTTTAGGTTTTACGTTTCAGTCTTTAATTCATCTTGAGTTGATTTTTGTGTATGGGGAAAAGAAAGGTGAAGTTTCAGTCTTCTGCTTATGGCTAGCCAGTTATCCCAGCATCATTTATTGAATAAGAAGTCCTTTTTCCTATTGACTTGTGTTGTCAGGTTTGTTGAAAATCAGATGGTTCTAGGTGTGTGACTTTATTTCTGGGCTCTCTATTCTGTTCCATTGGTCTATGTGTGTGTTTTTGTGCTAGCACCATGCTGTTTTGGTTATTGTAGCCTTGAAATATAGTTTGAAGTTGGGTACTATGATGTCTCTGGCTTTGTCCTTTTTGCTTAGGATTGCTTTGGCTATTTGAACTATTTTTTGGTTTCATATGTGTTTTATTTTATTTACTTATTTATTTATTTTAACCTTATTTATGTTGAAGGAGTATCCATATAAGTTTTAGAATAGTTTTTCTAATTATGTGAAAAATGTCATTGGTAGTTTGGTAGGAATAGCATTGAATCTGTAAATTGCTTTTGGTAATATGGTGATTTTAACAATATTGAATCTTCCTATTCATGAGCATAGAATGTTTTTCCATTTGTTTTTATTGCCCCTGATTTCTTTCAGCAGTGTTTTGTAATTCTCATTGTAGAGATTTTTCTCCGCTCTAATTAGCTGTATTCCTAGGTATTCTTTTATAAGTTTTTTTATTACTTTTTTTGTGGCTATTGTGAATGAGATTGCATTCTTGATTTGGCTCCCAGCTTGGACATTGTTGGTGCATAGACATACTACTGACTTTGGTACATTGATTTTACATCCGGAAAGTTTGCTGAAGTTTTAAAAAGACATATCTAGGAGCTTTTAGTAAGAGACTATGGGGCTTTCTAGGTATAAAATTATATTGTTTACAAAAAAGATAGTGTGAATTCCCGTCTTCCTATATGGATTTATTTTCTTTCTTTCTTTTGCCTGATTGCTCTGGCTGGGACCTCCAGTACTATGTTGAATAGGAGTGGGGAGAGTAAACACGCTTTTGTTGTTCCAGTTCTCAAGGCAAATGCTTCTAGCTTTTGCCTGTTCAGTATGGTGTTGGCTATGGGTTTTTCATAGATGGCTCTTACAATTTTGAGGTATGTTCCTTCAATGCCTACTTTGTTGAAGGCTTTTAAAATGAAAGGATGTTGAATTTTATCAAAAGTCTTTTCTGCATCTATTTAGATAATCATGTGGGGTTTTTTTTAGTTCTTTTATGTGATCAATCATATTTATTGATTTGCCTGTGTTGAACCACCCTTGCATCCTAGGAATAAAGCCTACTTGATTGTGGTGGATTAGCTTTTTGATGTGCTGATGGATTCAGTATGCTAGTATTTTGTTGAGGATTTTGCATCTATGTTCATCAGAGATATTGGCCTGAAGTTTTCTTTTTTACATTGTGGCTTTGCCACATTTTGGCATCAGAATGATGTTAGCCTTATAGAATGAGTAAGGGAGGAATCCCTCAAGTTTTTGGAATAGTTTCAGTATGATTGGTATCCGCTCTCCTTTTATGTCTGGTAGAATTTGGCTGTGAAGTCATCTGTTCCAGGGCTTTTTCTGGCTGGTAGGCTTTTTATTGGTGAGTCAGTCTTGGAACTTGTTATTGGTCTATTCAGGGTTTTCATTTCTTCTTGGTTAAATCTTTGGAGGTTATATATTTCCAGGAATTTAGCCATTTCTTCTAGGTTTTCCAGTTTGTGTCCATAGAGTTGTTTGTAATAGTCTCTCAGAGTTTTTTGCTTTTCTACAGGGTCAATGGTAATATATCCTTTGTCATTTCTGATTGTGTTTATTTGGGTCTTCTCTCTCTTTTTCTTTATTAGTCTAGCTAGTGGTCTATTAAATTTATTTGTTCTTTCAAAGAACCAACTTGTGGTTTTGTTGATCTTTTGTATGGTGTTTTGTGTCTCAATTTCATTCAGTTCATCTCTGATTTGGTTATTTCTTGTCTTCTGCTAGATTTCGGGTTGGTTTGCTCTTATTTTTCTGGTTCCTCTAGGTGTGATGTTAGGTTGTTAATTTGAGATCTTTCTAACTTTGAAGCGGGCATTTAGCTCTGTAAATTTTCCTCTTAACACTGCTTTAGCTGTGTTCCAGCAATCCTGGTATGTTGTATCTTTATTTTCATTAGTTTCAAAGAATTTCTTGATTTCTACCTTAATTTCTTTGTTGACTCAGAAAGTCATTCAGGAGCAGGTTGTTTAAATTCCGTGTAATTATGTGGTTTTGAGAGATGTTCTTAGTATTGATTTCTGTTTTTTTTGCTGAGACTATCTATTTCTCTGGTAAACTTTTCAAATTTTCCATTTGTTTTAAGCATGCTCATTAGAGTATATTTATGATTGTTGCTTTAAAATCCTTGATAATGCTAATATTTCTTTCATCTCTGTATTGGAATCCATTTATTTCTCATTCAGTTTGAGATCTTTCTGGATCTTGATGAGTGATTTTCACTTGAAACCTAGATATTTTGAGTATTATGTTATGAGACCGGATTTTATTTAAACCTGCTATTTTAACTAGATACCTCTGGTATCACTCAAGCAAAGGAAGGGGAAAAGGGGGAAGGCACCATCTTGTTGCTTTCAGGATCATCTGAGGTCAGGAGTTTGAGACCAGCCTGGCCAACATGGTGAAACGCTGTCTCTACTAAATATATAAAAATTAGCCAGGCATGGTGGTGGGCACTTGTAATCCCAGCTACTTGGGAGGCTGAGGCAGGAGACTTGGCTTGAACCCAGGAGGAAGAGGTTGCAGTGAGCCGAGATCATGCCACTGCACTCCAGCCTGAGTGAAAAGAGCGAGACTCTGTCTCAAAAAAAAAAAAGCCCAGGGAAGGTGGAAGTCTAGCTTCCCCACTTGGCCTTTGTTTATACGGTATGGGTAGAGCCACATTTTTTTTACTTTTGACTTTTTGGGTACTTTTTGTATATTTGTCTTAGTCTGTTTTGTGCTGTTTGAACAAAGTATCTGAGACTAGGTAATTTATAAAGAATAGAAATTTATATCTCACAATTCTGGAGTCTAAGAATTCTGGAGTCCAAGGAAGTCCAAGATCAAGGCGCCAGCAGATTTGGTGTCTGGTGAAGGCTGCTCTCTGCTTCCAAGATGGTGCCTTGATGTTGCATCTTCTGAAGGAGAGGAACACTGTGTCCTCACACGGCAGACAGTAGGAGAGTAAGATAGCTTTAATCTCACTCATGAGGGGGGAGTCTTCATGGTCTAATCACCTCTTGCAGGTCCCATCTCTTAATACTATCACATTGGCCATTAAGTTTCAATACCTGAATTTTGGATGGGACACATTCAAACTATAGCAGTGCCCATTGGCATTTCTGGATTGCCAGCCTCTTTAACTCCAAATCTCAGAAAATGAGGCACAAAGAGAGCCCACGGAACTCATAACCATATAAGTTATGGTACATTTCTAAATGTACATTTCTGCTTCTGGGCTCTACTCTATTGCAGTTATCTATTTGTCTATTGCTGTGCCAATATCATAGTGTCTTTTTACATTAGCTTCATAATACAGCAACAATTGATAGTGCAAATCCTCCTTTTTCAAGAATACCTTGACTGTATTTGGCCCTTTGCATTTCTGAATAACTTTTAAATCAGCTCATCAAAGTCAACAAAAAATGTGTTGGAATTTTGACTGGTAGAGCATTGAATCTATAAAGCTTTTTAATATCAAAACACGCAGTGTTTGTTTTTATGTCCTTGCGATAGTTTGCCAAGAATGATGGTTTCCAGCTTCATCCATGTCACTATAAAGGACATGAACTCATCCTTTTTTATGGCTGCATAGTATTCCATGGTATATATTATTATTATTATTATTATGAAGAGAATGTATTTACCTCAATTATCTCTTTGTTTTTATCTTTTTTAAGGTAATCATAGCCTCCTGGTATTGCACATTCATGGGAATAATGAATTTATTTGGACTAGAAACTAAGACCTGCTGGAATGTCACCAGAATAGAACCTCTTAATGAAGTTCAAAGCTGTGAAGGCATGTTTCTTCCAAAAATGCTGTCATTTGTAAACATTCATAAACATTTAATAATATTATGATTCACTTTTAAGAATTATTGTAAAATTCTGTTGTTGATTTAAAAAACATTAGAACTGACTCACATCAATGAGTATTTTACATTTTAAAATAGTTTTCTGAGAAGGCTGTGTACTTAAAAATTTGAGTATAAATTTTGGAATTTGAGTATTAACATATCCCATTGTAAGGCAATCTTGACTATAAGTTAGTCTTCTATTTCAGAATGAGAAGATACAGAAAGATGTTTTTTGGGGTAGCTGCAATATATAAATTTTGAGGATACATTAAATAGTCAAATATCTATTTGTAATAGCTAATGTATAAATTTAATTATGCATACATATTTAAAAATTGGATATGCCATAATAGATTGATTTAGAAATATTACTTTTTTATATATGCTCATAGTCCATGAGTACTATTAATAAAACTCTTCCTATTTATCTTCTACATTGGTTTCTTTGTCAAAGAACCACTTTTGGAATCATCTAACAGCTTTCCAGGATACATAGTGGTCACTTCCATTTAAGATGTTTGCATTTCAGCACTTTTACAATTCAAGTATGGTGCCGTCCCTTGAGACTCTCATTCAGAGCCACTTGTATCTGTTTTCATAACACTAACACTGTAGTTTTTTCTTTATTTCTTCAAATTCTTAACAACATGACTTACTATATTTTATGAATAAATTTTTAGACTTGTTTGTAACAACATTCAACTCTTGGGATATAAACTAAATCTATTTTCCTTACATTTTTTACTGATTCCCTCAGTAAAAATAGAATTGATGAGGATGTTTGAGGGGCAATTATACTTTTTTGTGTACAATGTAAAGGATTGGAGAAAATGCCTCATAAAATGAAAGACTTTGCAATGATTCAATCAGCTGGAAGGTGTGACCCTGTCTGAGTGGTGAAAATGATCACCTAAGTATGGTATTAGTTACATTCCCAATAAGTGATAAGTTAGTGTTTGGCACTTGGGACACAGAGATGAACCAGCTAGACGTGGGGCCTTACCCTCATAGAGCTTATGCTGTAAGGGGGCTGTTAGCAGTTACAACTGTGATGGATATTACAAATAAGAAAATAAGGTTACTGACACTAGGAGTAAGAGAGGATAAGTATTTTAAGAATAGGGAATAATATATTCAAATACCCTGAAACAAGAGAGAACTGAAAGAAGGCTAGAAATCCTAGAAGCGATGGAGAAGAAAAATGATGTGAAATGGTGCTGGGAATATAAGCAAGGATCAGATCATGAAAGGGGTGCACTGGTGAAGGATTTTATACTTTATCCATTGAAGAATTTTAACAGAGTTCCATTTTAAAACATTATTTAGTCAATGGTATGGAAAAAATATTAGTAAAGGAACAAAAGTAGGTTAAGGGAGGCCAGGTAGGAGACAATTATATTCTCAACAAGTGATTGCAGGAAAGATAATGTGGAAATGCCTGGGTATGAGAGAGAATTTGGAAGCAGAATGGACAAGACTTGGTAATTGTTTGGTAAGAGAGGAGAAGGTGAGTGAAGAATCATGTGAAACATAGTTTGGTTTCTAGCTTAAGTAACTGAGCTCCTTTGAGTGATAGGAAACATTTGAACAGCAGCAGGTTTGTATTGTTATGTTTCATTGTGTATGCATGAATTTGAGGTACTTGAGAGACCTCAGAGTGGGGACATCAAGTGGCTATCTGGCTATAAGAATAAGGAGAAAGTTCTGGATTAAATGTAGAGTTGGAGTCATCTGTATATAGATCATTGGAGCTGTGGATGTGGAAGAATTTCCTTATGGAGAATATGCAGATGGAGAAATGAAGGGGGGATATGACAGAGCCTAAGGTGGTCCAATATTAAAGAGTGGTACATAAAACAAGAGAAGTTACTAGAACTGACTGAAACGAGCGATCAGAGAGGCAGGGGGAATCAGAAGGCCAGCCTTCAGACCTTGGCTCCAGCCAGTTAAAGTGAAATAACCTTTGACAAGTTGAATATCTTATGTTCTGTTTTCTCAACCATAAGAAAAGTATGTTTATACCAGCTAATATCATAAACTTGTTCTGAGAAAAGTGTGGGATGATTGTTAAGTACATATTGCCACACACACACACACACATGATCTTCTATATGGAATATACTAAGATTCTAGCTATACATAATAATGGATCAAATGACTGGATCATTTCATATAGACTAAAGCTGTACCCTAAAGTCAAAACCATATCTTAACTCTTCCTAGAACCTAGCAAAAGATAAAAATAATGTAATGGATTTTCTTTTGTATTCATTAAGTGGTTCTACAGACAGTTCCAGACACTGAACACTAGCAGCATCACCTAAATAAATGTGAATCCCCAACAAATCATTACAGTATAATAGTAATTCATTGGAGGAAAGTATAAATGCAATTATAAAAAGTATAAAGTATAAGTGTAACTATATAATCACTCATTAAGGGTGAGCTTACATACGTGTATGTGTATATATACACACACATATATATACACACATACATATATATGTGTCTGCAAGCACACACACACACAAACTCTTATAAGGGTAAATAATTAAACACAGCAGCAATCTGGAAAGCAAATGCTTTCAGCAAATTCATGAGCTCTTGATTGCAAAGCACTGAGATAATTATGCCCAATTGCCTTAGAGTCATATATTCATTAAACACTGATTATCTGTATCTTTTCAAAGGATTGGGAGATCCTGCTTGCTTTTATGTTGGTGTAATCTTTATTTTAAATGGACTAATGATGGGATTGTTCTTCATGTATGGAGCATACCTGAGGTAAGACTACTACTGAATTAAGAGACCTTTCAGTGGGCTTTTACAGACTGGCTGATATTTGTTGATTAAATGAAAAGGAAAATTAATGAGATTAGATTCATATCAGGAAAGTTTGTGGATTTACTTGATTTTTCAGAAGCTTAACCAATATCATGTAACCAGAAACTGGAGATGTCACTAAAATTCTATCTCAAAGTCATCCCTTTTATTCTGTTGTTTAAACAGATTTCCTAACAAAGGCTTTAATGGAATATCTCCTAGTTCATGTGTAAAATTAATAAAACATTGGAGGAGATCTTTGGTTAGCAGTAGTAGCAGCTTATTTCTAATTGTATTCTCTAAGGATGAAATTAAGAAAGCAGTAGGAAAAATTGTGAATCACATGTGGCAGGCACTTACATCTGCTAGCATGTCTATCTTGATAAGAGTACCACGATGAAGCAGCAGCGAGACCAGTCTCAGGTGATAAGTTGAAATTAATTTCAACGGTCGTGTGTTTTGCCCCCACACTTAATTGCTCCCTGAGATAGCCATATCAGCTAGTTTTTGCCAATGAAAACTAAGTTGAGTCAGTTTTGGTTACATCCAGTAAAGTATCTGCCTTTCTCACAAAAGGACAGACTTAGCTGCCCCTTCTCTGTTTCTTCCTGCTTTTATTACACTAGGATGTCATGCCCAGAGCTGTAGCAGTCATCTTGTGACCATAAGGGAAAGGTCATAAAAATAGCAGATATATCTGGCCTACCATCCTTCTGCTGCTGAACCAATGCCAACAGATGCTTATCTTTCATTTTCTTGTTGAATGATACAATAAACAACATCCATATTGTGTAAGCCACTTTTGTTAGGTTTTCTGTTTCTTTCAGTGGAGCGCATTCCTAGCTGAATCATCAGGTTTCTTTACAATGTTATTCTTGTCATGCAAAACATTTAAAATTAAAATTAAAATTAATTGATAGCTTTAGTCTTTCAACAAATATTTATTGAGTTTTCATGGGGCTTATGTCAATATAGAGATTAGTAAATATACACACTCTTTGTTTTAGGAAGTTCTCAGCATAAAAAAGACTAGCATAGAATCAATGAAAACTAGTGACATAGTCAGTGTTGTGCCAGGAATACTATCCAGCACGGTACATAAAAAGAAAAGTAGTAATAAGTATAAGGATTGGAAAACTTGAAAAAAAAGAAATAAGTGTTCTTAAAAGTAGATTACATCATGTATCTAGAAAAATTTTAAAAGTTTATGGATACAGTATTTGCAATAATAAGAAAATTTACAATGTTACTAGATGTAAGCATTAATATTTAAACTCAAAATTATAAATTTTATACTTTAGCATCAAATAGAAAATGAAATTTTGAAAGGATGCTATTTGGAATAGCATTAAAAGCATGATATTCCTCAGAATAAATCCAACAAAAGATACATATGACAGCTATGGGAAAATGATTAAAACATTCCTGAGATATGTCTAGGAAAATCTAAGTGGAGAGATATTCCACGTTCATTGATTGAAGACTTGATATTAAAAAGCTTTATAGATTCAATGCTCTACCAGTCAAAATTCCAACATATTTTTTGTTGACTTTGATGAGCTGATTTAAAAGTTATTCAAAAATGCAAAGGGCCAAATACAGTCAAGGTATTCTTGAAAAAGGAGGATTTGCACTATCAATTGTTGCTGTATTATGAAGCTAATGTAAAAAGACACTATGATATTGGCACAGCAATAGACAAATAGATAACTGCAATAGAGTAGAGCCCAGAAGCAGAAATGTACATTTAAAGGCATTTGATATATGGAAGAGTGGGTATCGCAGATTGGTGAGTAAGGACAGGCATTTTAATAAATAGTGCTGGAATAATTGGGAGATCATATGGAGCAAGGAGATACTGGAACTATATAAGTAATACATCCAAGTTGGATTAAACACTCAAATATGAAAGACAAATTTATAAAATGTTCAGCGTATAATATAGAAAAAGTCACTTGGAATAAGAAGTGATTTCATAAACAAGATAAAAAAATCCAGTCATGAAGAAAAACTAATAAATTTGATGAAAAGAACTTCAGTTCCTCAAAAGAATTGTAGGATAAAAAATAAACCACAAAGTGAGTGAAGATATTTACAAAGTATATACCCCACCTACTATCCAGAAATTTCATTCATTAATTTGATAAATATTTATTGAAAGACTGTTGTGACCAGGAGCACTGTTCTAGGTGCTTGGAATACAGGACAGAGATCTCTGTCCTTGTGAAGTTTATATTAGAGTGGGAAGATAAAGAAGAAAGACAACCTGATAGAAAAATGGACAAATTGTTTATGAACTGATATTTCCCAGAAGAACACCAAATGGTCAATAAACATATGTAAAGTTGTCCACCATCATTAGTCATAAAGAAAATACAAATTCAAACCACAGTGAAATACCAACTCACATCTAATAGATTGATAAAGGAGCTTTCATCCACCACAGGTGGACATATAAATTGGTACAACTATTTTGGTAAACAGTGTACATTATCTGATAACATTCAAGATATAGATACCTTGTAACTCAGTAATTCTAATTTAAAGTATATATTCCCAAAAAAGTCTTGCATGTGTGTACTGGGAAGTACATACAATAATATAGTAGCATTATCTGCAATAGCTTCAAACTGGAAACAACCCAAATATCCATTAACAGAGAAATGAATACATTTTGGTTTATTAACATGGTGGACCAGTATACAATAATGAGAATGAATGAACTATACAGCTACACACAACATGGTTGAATCTTACAAATATAATTTTGAATGAATGAATCCAGGTACAAAATTAAAAAAAATACTCCATACTTCCATTTGTATTGTTTAAAAACAGATTAAAGTAAATCATAGTTTGATATGTATATAGAAATGGTTATGTTGATAATCTCAAAAATCAGGTCAGTAGCTGATTCTTATCTTGGAGGCTGGCAAGTGGAGACTCAGTATAATAATTTCTCTATTTCAGTTAATTATATGGCGACTACATGGACGTTCCTTTTACAATAGATCTATGAGCTAGAAATGTTATGCACTTTTCTATGTGCCATATAGAAAAAATATAAGCTCATTAAAGTATTTTGAGGGAAAAGGATTCCTTTGAGATTGTTTGGGCAGCTTTAAAAATGTTCTATTTTTTTAAAAAAGTTCTGTTTTTGGGCTGGGAGCAGTGGCTCACTCCTGTAATCTCAGCACTTTGGGAGGCCGAGGCGGGCAGATCATGAGGTCAGGAGATCGAGACCAACCTGGCTAACAAGGTGAAGCCCTGTCTCTACTAAAAATACAACAACAACAACAAAAAATTAGCCGGGCGTGGTGGCGGGCGCCTGTAGTCCCAGCTACTCGGGAGGCTGAGGCAGGAGAATGGCGTGAACCTGGGAGGCAGAGCTTGCAGTGAGCCGACATTGCGCCACTGCACTCCAGCCTGGGCGACAAAGCGAGACTCAGTCTCAAAACTAAAAATAAATCAATAAATAAATGAATAAATAAGTTCTATTTTTGAAAATGGTTTGTATTTCTTATCTTTTTTGTTTTTTCATATGGAAAATGTTACACAACAATGACTAAAATTTAAAAAATCAGTATATTTCATTAGGAGGGCTACCGAAGAGGTGCTAGTCTCTCTAAATTGGTTATATAGTCCTGGAATATAAAATACAATATTAGGCTCTATCTAGTCTTTAAGAAGGATATACAGAGTCAACCAATAGTGACTGTAGAGGTGTCATCAAAACTGTGAGGATATTGGAAACTGGCATTTGAGGAACAAAAGAAATAGAAATTTGGGGAAAACTTTTGTATTTGTTACCATGGCTACCCTCCCCACTGACACTAACTGGGAAGGTAGATATTCCGCTTCTATTCTTTTGGTGGCTAACCATAAAATTTTAACATACAGATATGATTTGTTCAAGTATAAAATACATTGATATCTTTCCCCTTCTTCCAATCAAACAAGGAATCTTGGAATGCTTTTCTTCAAAATATCCTCTCGTATCTTTTTTTATTATTATTATACTTTAAGTTCTAGGGTACATGTGCACAACGTGCAGGTTTGTTACATATGTATACTTGTGCCATATTGGTGTGCTGCACCCAATAACTCGTCATTTACATTAGGTATATCTCCTAATGCTATCCCTCCTTCTTCCCCCAACCTCATGACAGGCCCCGGTGTGTGATGTTCCCCAAACTGCGTCCAAGTGTTCTCATTGTTCAATTCCCACCTATGAGTGAGAACATGTGGTGTTTGGTTTTCTGTCCTTGGGACAGTTTGCTCAGAATGATGGTTTCCAGCTTCATCCATGTCCCTACCAAGGATGTGAACTCATCATTTTTTATGGCTGCATAGTATTCCATGGTGTATATGTGCCACATTTTCTTAATCGAGTCTATCATTGTTGGACATTTGGGTTGGTTCCAAGTCTTTGCTATTGTGAATAGTGCCACAATAAACATATGTGTGCATGTGTCTTTATAGCAGCATGATTTATAATCCTTTGGGTATATACCCAGTAATGGGATGGCTGGGTCAAATGGTATTTCTAGTTCTAGATCTTTGAGGAATTGCCACACTGTCTTCCACAGTGGTTGAACTAGTTTACAGTCCCACCAACAGTGTAAAAGTGTTCCTATTTCTCCACATCCTCTCCGGCACCTGTTGTTTCCTGACTTTTTAATGATTGCCATTCTAACTGGTGTGAGATGGTATCTCATTGTGGTTTTGATTTGCAGTTCTCTGATGGCCAGTGATGATGAGCATTTTTTCATATGTCTGTTGGCTGCATAAATGTCTTCTTTTGAGAAGTGTCTGTTCATATCCTTCATCCACTTTTTGATGGGGTTGTTTGATTTTTTTCTTATAAATTTGTTTAAGTTCTTTGCAGATTCTGGATATTAGCCCTTTGTCAGATGGGTAGATTGGAAAAATTTTCTCCCATTCTGTAGGTTGCCTATTCACTCTGATGGTAGTTTCTTTTGCTGTGCAGAAACTGTGTAGTTTAATTAGATCCCATTTGTCAATTTTGGCTTTTGTTGCCATTTCTTTTGGTGTTTTAGTCATGAAGTCCTTGCCCATGCCTATGTCCTGAATGGCCTAGGTTTTCTTCTAGGGTTTTTATGGTTTTAGGTCTAACATTTAAGTTTTTAATCCATCTTGAATTAATTTTCGTAAAAGGTGTAAGAAAGGGATTCAGTTTCAGCTTCCTACATATGGCTAGCCAGTTTTCCCAGCACCATTTATTAAATAGGGAATCCTTTCCGCATTGCTTGTTTTTGTCAAGTTTGTCAAAGATCAGATGGTTGTAGATATGCAGCATTATTTCTGAGGGCTCTGTTCTGTTCCATTGATCTATATCTCAGTTTTGGTACCAGTACCATGCTGTTTTGGTTACTGTAGCCTTGTAGTATAGTTTGAAGTCAGGTAGCGTGATGTCTCCAGCTTTGTACTTTTTGCTTAGGATTGTCTTGGCAATGCGGGCTCTTTTTTGGTTCCATATGAACTTTTAAGTAGTTTTTTCCAATTCTGTGAAGAAAGTCATTGGTAGCTTGATGGGGATGGCATTGAATCTATAAATTACCTTGGGCAGTATGGCAATTTTCACGATATTGATCCTTCCTATCCAGGAGCATGGTATGCTTTTCCATTTGTTTGTGTCCTCTTTGATTTCGTTGAGCAGTGGTTTGTGGTTCTCCTTGAAGAGGTCCTTCGCATCCCTTGTGAGTTGGATTCCTAGGTATTCTCTTTGAAACAATTGTGAATGGGAGTTCACTCATGATTTGGCTCTCTGTTTGTCTATTAGTGGTGTATAGGAATGGTTGTGATTTTTGCACATTGATTTTGTATCCTGAGACTTTGCTGAAGTTGCCTATCAGCTTAAGGAGATTTTGGGTTGAGACAATGGGGTTTTCTAGATATACAATCATGTCATCTGCAAACAGGGACAATTTGACTTCCTCTTTCCTGATTGAATACACTTTATTTCTTTCTCTTGCCTGATTGCCCTGGCCAGAACTTCCAACACTATGTTGAAAAGGAGTGGTGAGAGAGGGCAACCCTGTCTTGTGCTGGTTTTCAAAGGGAATGCTTCCGGTTTTTGCCCATTCAGTATGATATTGGCTGTGGGTTTGTCATAGATAGCTCTTATTATTTTGAGATACATCCCATCAATACCTAGTTTATTGAGAGTTTTTAGCATGAAGGACTATGGAATTTTGTCGAAGGCCTTTTCTGCATCTATTGAGATAATCATGTGGTTTTTGTCTTTGGTTCTGTTTATATGATGGATTACATTTATTGATTTGCGTATGTTGAACCAGCCTTGCATCCCAGGGATGAAGGCCACTTGATCATGGTGGATAAGCTTTTTGATGTGCTGCTGGATTCGGTTTGCCAATATTTTATTGAGGATTTTTGTATCAATGTTCATCAGGGATATTGGTCTAAAATTCTCTTTTTTTGTTGTGTCTCTGCCAGGCCTTGGTATCAGGATGATGCTGGCCTCCTAAAATGAGTTAGGGAGGAGTCCCTCTTTTTCTTTTGATTGGAATAGTTTCAGAAGGAATGGTACCAGTTCCTCTTTGTACCTCTGGTAGGATTGGGCTGTGAATCTGTCTGGTCCTGGACTTTTTTTGGTTGGTAGGCTATTAGTTATTGCCTCAATTTCAGAGCCTGTTATTGGTCTATTCAGGGATTCAACTTCTTCCTGGTTTAGTCTTGGAGGGTGTATATTTCCAGGAATTTATCCATTTCTTCTAGATTTTCTAGTTTATAGTAGAGGTGTTTATAGAATTCTCTGATGGTAGTTTGTATTTCTGAGTAATCGGTGGTGATATCCCCTTTATCATTTTTTATTGTGTCTATTTGATTCTTCTCTCTTTTCTTCTTTATTAGTCTTGCTAGCGGTCTATCAATTTTGTTGATCTTTCCCAAAAACCAGCTCCTGGATTCATTGATTTTTTAAAGAGTTTTTTGTGTCTCTATCTCCTTCTTTTAATTGTGATGTTAGGGTGTCTATTTTAGATCTCTCCTGCTTTCTCTTGTGGGCATTTAGTGCTATAAATTTTCCTCTATACACTGCTTTAAATGTGTCCCAGAGATTCTGGTATGTTGTATCTTTGTTCTCATTGGTTTCAAAGAACATCTTTATTTCTGCTTTCATTTCGTTATGTACCCAGTAGTCATTCAGGAGCAGGTTATTCAATTTCCATGTAGTTGTGTGGTTTTGAGTGAGTTTCTTAATCCTGAGTTCTAGTTTGATTGCCCTATGATCTGAGAGACAGTTTGTTATAATTTCTGTTCTTTTACATTTGCTGAGGAGTGCTTTACTTTCAACTATGTGGTCAATTTTGAAATAAGTACGATGTGGTGCTGAGAAGAATGTATATTTTGTTGATATTGGGTGGAGAGTTCTGTAGATGTCTATTAGGTCCGCCTGGTGCAGAGTTGAGTTCAATTCCTGGATATCCTTGTTAACTTTCTGTCTCGTTGATCTGTCCAATGTTGACAGCGTGGTGTTAAAGTCTCCCATTATTATTGTGTGGGAGTCTAAGTCTCTTTGCAGGTCTCTAAGGGCTTGCTTTATGAATCTGGCTGCTCCTGTATTGGGTGCATATATATTTAGGATAGTTAGCTCTTCTTGTTGAATTGATCCCTTTACCATTATGTAATGGCCTTCTTTGTCTCTTTTTATCTTTGTTGGTTTAAAGTCTGTTTTATCAGAGACTAGGATTGCAACCCCTTTTGTTTTGTTTTGTTTTGTTTTCTGTTTGCTTGGTAGATCTTCCTCCATCCCTTTTTTTTGAGCCTATGTGTGTCTCTGCACATGAGATGGGTTTCCCGAATACAGCACAATGATGGGTCTTGATCTTGATCCAATTTGCCAGTCTGTGTCTTTTAATTGGAGCATTTAGCCCATTTACATTTAAAGTTAATATTGTTTTATGTGAATTTGATCCTGTTGTTATGATGTTAGCTGGTTATTTTGCTCGTTAGTTGATGCAGTTGCTTCCTAGCATCGATGGTCTTTACAATTTAGCATGTTTTTGCAGTGGCTGGTATCGGTTGTTCCTTTCCATATTTAGTGCTTCCTTCAGGAGCTCTTGTAAGGCAGGCCTGGTGGTGACAAAATCTCTCAGCATTTGTTTGTCTGTAAAGGATTTTATTTCTCCTTCACTTATGAAGCTTAGTTTGGCTGGATATGAAATTCTGGGTTGAAAATTCTTTTCTTTAAGAATGTTGAATATTGGCCGCCCCCCCTTCTGGCTTGTAGAGTTTCTGCCAAGAGATCAGCTGTTAGTCTCATGGGCTTCCCTTTGTGGGTAACCCAACCTTTCTCTCTGGCTGCCCTTTACATTTTTTCCTGCATTTCCACTTTGGTGAATCTGACAATTATGTGTCTTGGGGTTGCTCTTCTTGAGGAGTATCTTTGTGGCATTCTCTGTATTTCCTGAATTTGAATGTTGGCCTGCCTTGCTAGGTTGGGCAAGTTTTCCTGGATAATATCTTCAAGAGTGTTTTCCAATGTGGTTCCATTCTCCCTGTCACTTTCAGGTACACCGATCAGCCGTAGATTTGGTCTTTTCATATAGTGCCATATTTCTTGGAGGCTTTGTTTATTTCTTTTTACTCTAAACTTCTCCTCTCGCTTCATTTCATTCATTTGATCGTCCATCACTGATACCCTTTCTTCCACTTGATCAAATCGGCTACTGAAGCTTGTGCATGCGTCACATAGTTCTCATGCCTTGGTTTTCACCTCCATCAGGTCATTTAAGGTCTTCTCTACACTGTTTATTCTACTTAGCCATTCATCTGATCTTTTTTCAAGGTTTTTAGCTTCTTTGCGATGGGTTCGAACACCCTCCTTTAGCTTGGAGAAGTTTGTTGTTACCGATCGTCTGAAACCTTCTCTCAACTTGTCAAAGTCATTCTCCTTCCAGCTTTGCTCTGTTGCTGGCAAGGAGCTATGCTCCTTTGGAGGAGAAGAGGCACTCCGGTTTTTAGAATTTTCAGCTTTTTTTCTCTGGTTTCTCCCCATCTTTGTGGTTTTATCTCCCTTTGGTCTTTGATGATGGTGACGTATAGATGGGATTTTGGTGTGGGTGTCCTTTCTGTTTGTTAGTTTTCCTTCTAACAGTCAGGACCCTCAGCTGCAGGTCTGTTGGAGTTTGCTGGAGGTCCACTCCAGACCCTGTTTGCGTTGGTATCAGCAGTGGATGCTGCAGAGCAGTGGATATTGGTGAACAGCAAATGTTGCTGCCTGATCATTCCTCTGGAAGTTTTGTCTCAGAGGAGTACCCGGCTGTGTGAGGTGTCAGTCTGCCCCTACTGGGGGGTGCCTCCCAGTTATGCTACTCGGAGGTCAGGGACCCACTTGAGCAGGCAGTCTGTCTGTTGTTAGATCTCCAGCTGCGTGCTGGGAGAACCACTAGTCTCTTCAAAGCTGTCAGACAGGGACATTTAAGTCTGCAGAGGATTCTGCTGCCTTTTGTTTGGCAACGTCCTGCCCCCAGAGGTGGAGTCTACAGAGGCAGGCAGGCCTCCTTGAGCTGCGGTGGGCTCCACCCTGTTCGAGCTTCCTGGCTGCTTTGTTTACCTACTCAAGCCTCAGTAATGGTGGACGCCCCTCCACCAGCCTCACTGCCGCCTTGCAGTTGGATCTCAGACTGCTGTGCTAGCAGTGAGTGAGGCTCCATGGGCATGGGACCTTCTGAGCCATGTGCGGGATGTAATCTCCTGGTGTGCCGTTTGCTAAGACCGTTGGAAAAGTGCCGTATTAGGGTGGGAGTGTCCGGATTTTCCAGGTACTGTCTATCACGGCTTCCCTTGGCTAGGAAAGGGAATTCCCCAACCCTTTGTGCTTCCCGGGTGAGGTGATGCCCCACCCTGCTCCGTGGGCTGCACCCACTATTGGACAAGCCCCAGTGAGATGAACCCAGTACTTCAGTTGGAAATGCAGAAATCACCCGTCTTCTGTGTCGCTCGTGCTGGGAGCTGTAGACTGGAGCTGTTCCTATTCAGCCATCTTGGAACCTCTCTCCATCCTTTCATATCTTACATGTTATTACCATCATTTAGTACTCCTGTTACCCCTCACAGCTGCCATCATTATTATTTCTGTTGTCAAATCTTACTTTGATTATTTTTAATTATACTTTAAAATTTAGGGTACATGTGCACAACGTGCAGGTTAGTTACATATGTATGCATGTGCCATGTTGGTGTGCTGCACCCAGTAACTCATCATTTAACATTAGGTATATCTCCAAATGCTATCCCTCCCCCTTCCCCGCACCCTACAATAGGCCCCGGTGTGTGATGTTCCCCTTCCTGTGTCCATGTGTTCTCATTGTTCAATTCCCAACTATGAGTGAGAACATGCGGTGTTTGGTTTTTTGTCTTTGCGATAGTTTGCTGAGAATGATGGTTTCCAGCTTCATCCATGTCCCTACAAAGGATGTGAACTCATCATTTTTTATGGCTGCATAGTATTCCATGGTGTATATGTGCCACATTTTCTTAATCCAGTCTATCATTGTTGGACATTAGGTTGGTTCCAAGTCTTTGCTATTGTGAATAGTGCCACAATAAACATACGTGTGCATGTGTCTTTACAGCAGCATGATTTATAATCCTTTGGGTATATACCCAGTAATGGGATGGCTGGGTCAAACGGTATTTCTACTTCTAGATCCCTGAGGAATCACCACTCTGACTTCCACAATGGTTGAGCTAGTTTACAGTCCCACCAACAGTGTAAAAGTGTTCCTATTTCTCCACATCCTCTCCAGCACCTGTTGTTTCCTGACTTTTTAATGATCGCCATTCTAACTGGTGTGAGATGGTATCTCATTGTGGTTTTCATTTGCAGTTCTCTGATGGCCAGTGATGATGAGCATTTTTTCGTGTGTCTATTGGCTGCATAAATGTCTTCTTTTGAGAAGTGTCTGTTCATGTCCTTCACCCACTTTTTGATGGGGTTGTTTGTTTTTTTCTTGTAAATTTGTTTGAGTTCATTGTAGATTCTGGATATTAGCCCTTTGTCAGATGAGTAGATTGCAAAAATTTCTCCCATTCTGTAGGTTGCCTATTCACTCTGATGGTAGTTTCTTTTGCGTGCAGAAGCTGTGTAGTTTAATTAGATCCCATTTGTCAATTTCGGCTTTTCTTGCCATTGCTTTTGGTGCTTTAGTCATGAAGTCCTTGCCCATGCCTATGTCCTGAATGGTAATGCCTAGGTTTTCTTCTAGGGTTTTTATGGTTTTAGGTCTAACGTTTAAGTCTTTAATCAATCTTGAATTAATTTTTGTAAAAGGTGTAAGGAAGGGATCCAGTGTCAGCTTTCTACATATGGCTAGCCAGTTTTCCGAGCATCATTTATTAAATAGGGAATCGTTTCCCCATTGCTTGTTTTTGTCAAGTTTGTCAAAGATCAGATGGTTGTAGATATGCAGCATTATTTCTGAGGGCTCTGTTCTGTTCCATTGGTCTATATCTCAGTTTTGGTACCAGTACCATGCTGTTTTGGTTACTGTAGCCTTGTAGTATAGTTTGAAGTCAGGTAGTGTGATGTCTCCAGCTTTGTTCTTTTTGCTTAGGATTGTCTTGGCGATGCGGGCTCTTTTTTGGTTCCATATGAACTTTTAAGTAGTTTTTTCCAATTCTGTGAAGAAAGTCATTGGTAGCTTGATGGGGATTCCATTGAATCTATAAATTACCTTGGGCAGTATGGCCATTTTCACGATATTGATTCTTCCTACCCATGAGCATGGAATTTCTTCCATTTGTTTGTATCCTATTTTATTTCATTGAGCAGTGGTTTGTAGTTCTCCTTGAAGAGGTCCTTCACATCCCTTGTAAGTTGGATTCCTAGGTACTTTATTCTCTTTGAAGCAATTGTGAATGGGAGTTGCCTCATGGTTTGGCTCTCTGTTTGTCTATTAGTGGTGTATAGGAATGGTTGTGATTTTTGCACATTGATTTTGTATCCTGAGACTTTGCTGAAGTTGCCTATCAGCTTAAGGAGATTTTGGGTTGAGACAGTGGGGTTTTCTAGATGTACAATCATGTCATCTGCAAACAGGGACAATTTGACTTCCTCTTTTCCTAATTGAATACCTTTTATTTCCTTCTCCTGCCTGATTGCCCTGGCCAGAACATCCAACAATATGTTGTATAGGAGTGGTGAGAGAGGGCATCCCTGTCTTGTGCCAGTTTTCAAAGGGAATGCTTCCAGGTTTTGCCTATTCAGTATGATATTGGCTGTGGGTTTGTCATAGATAGCTCTTATTATTTTGAGATATGTCCCATCAATACCTAATTTATTGAGAGTTTTTAGCATGAGGGGTTGTTGAATTTTGTCAAAGGCCTTTTCTGCATCTATTGAGATAATCATATGGTTTTTGACGTTGGTTCTGTTTATATGCTGGATTATGTTTATTGATTTGCGTATGTTGAACTAGCCTTGCATCCCAGGGATGAAGCCCACTTGATCATGGTAGATAAGCTTTTTGATGTGCTGCTGGATTCGGTTTGCCAATATTTTATTGAGGAATTTTGCATTAATGTTCTTCAGGGATATTGGTCTAAAATTCTCTTTTTTTGTTGTGTCTCTGCCAGACTTTGGTATCAGGATGATGCTGGCCTCCTAAAATGAGTTAGGGAGGATTCCCTCTTTTTCTATTGATTGGAATAGTTTCAGAAGGAATGGTACCAGCTCCTTCTTTTACCTCTAGTAGAATTGGGCTGTGACTCTGTCTGGTCCTGGACTTTTTTTGGTTGGTAGGCTATTGATTATTGCCTCAATTTCAGAGCCTGTTATTGGTCTATTCAGAGATTCAAATTCTTCCTGGTTTAGTCTTGGGAGGGTGTATATTTCCAGGAATTTATCCATTTCTTCTAGATTTTCTAGTTTATTTGCATAGAGGTGTTTATAGTATTCTCTGATGGTAGTTTGTATTTCTGAGTGATCGGTGGTGATATCCCCTTTATCATTTTTTATTGCGTCTATTTGATTCTTCTCTCTTTTCTTCTTTGTCTTGCTAGCGGTGTATCAGTTTTGTTGATCTTTCCCAAAAACCAGCTCCTGGATTCATTGATTTTTTGAAGGGGTTTTTGTGTCTCTATCTCCTTCAGTTCTGCTCTGATCTTAGTTATTTCTTGCTTTCTGCTAGCTTTTGAATGTGTTTGCTCTTGCTTCTCTAGTTCTTTTAATTGTGATGTTAGGGTGTCAATTTTAGATCTGTCCTGCTTTCTCTTGTGGGCATTTAGTGCTATAAATTTCCCTCTACACACTGCTTTGAATGTGTCCCAGAGATTCTAATATGTTGTGTCTTTGTTCTCGTTGGTTTCAAAGAACATCTTTATTCCTGCCTTCATTTTGTTATGTACCCGGTAGTCATTCAGGAGCAGATTATTCAGTTTCCATGTTGTTGAGCAGTTTTGAGTGAGTTTATTAATCCTGAGTTCTAGTTTGATTGCACTGCCGTCTGAGAGACAGTTTGTTATAATTTCTGTTCTTTTACATTTGCTGAGGAGTGCTTTACTTCCAACTATGTGGTTAATTTTGGAATAAGTGCGGTGTGGTGCTGAGAAGAATGTATATTCTGTTGATTTGGGATGGAGAGTTCTGTAGATGTCTATTAGGTGCGCCTGGTGCAGAGCTGAGTTCAATTCCTGGATATCCTTGTTAACTTTCTGTCTCGGGGATCTGTCTAATATTGACAATGGGGTGTTAAAGTCTCCCATTATTATTGTGTGGGAGTCTAAGTCTCTTTGTAGGTCACTCAGGACTTGCTTTATGAATCTAGGTGCTCCTGTATTGGGTGCATATATATTTAGGACAGTTAGCTCTTCTTGTTGAATTGATCCCTTTACCATTATATAATTACCTTATTTGTCTTTTTTGATCTTTGTTGGTTTAAAGTCTGTTTTATCAGAGACTAGGATTGCAACCCCTGCCTTTTTTTGTTTTCCATTTGCTTGGTAGATCTTCCTCTGTCCCTTTATTTTGAGCCTATGTGTGTCTCTGCATGTGAGATGGGTTTCCTGAATACAGCACACTGATGGGTCTTGACTCTTGATCCAATTTGCCAGTCTGTGTCTTTTAATTGGAGCATTTAGCCCATTTACATTTAAGGTTAATATTGTTATGTGTAAATTTGATCCTGTCATTATGATGTTAGCTGGTTATTTTGCTCGTTAGTTGATGCAGTTTCTTCCTAGCTTTGATGGTCTTTACAATTTGGCATGTTTTAGCAGTGGCTGGTACCAGTTGTTCCTTTCCATATTTCATGCTTCCTTCAGGAGCTCTTTTAGGGCTGGCCTGGTGGTGACAAAATCTCTCAGCATTTGCTTGTCTGTAAAGGATTTTATTTCTCCTTCACTTATGAAGCTTAGTTTGGCTGGATATGAAGTTCTGGGTTGAAAATTCTTTTCTTTAAGAATGTTGAATATTGGCCCCCACTCTCTTCTGGCTTGTAGAGTTTCTGCCAAGAGATCAGCTGTTAGTCTGATGGGCTTCCCTTTGTGGGTAACCTGACCTTTCTCTCTGGCTGCCCTTAACAGTTTTTCCTGCATTTCCATTTTGGTGAACCTGACAATTATGTGTCTTGGAGTTGCTCTTCTCGAGGAGTATCTTTGTGGCGTTCTCTGTATTTCCTGAATTTGAATGTTGGCCTGCCTTGCTAGACTGGGGAAGTTCTCCTGGATAATATCCTGCAGAGTGTTTTCCAACTTGGTTCCATTCTCCCCATCACTTTCAGGTACACCAATCAGACGTAGACTTGGTCTTTTCACATAGTCCCATATTTCTTGGAGGCTTTGTTTGTTTCTTTTTATTCTTTTTACTCTAAACTTCTCCTCTCGCTTCATTTCATTCATTTGATCATCCATCACTGATACCCTTTCTTCCAGTTGATCGAATTGGCTACTGAGGCTTGTGCATTCGTCATGTAGTTCTCGTGCCTTGGTTTTCAGCTGCATCCGGTCCTTTAAGGACTTCTCTGCATTGGTTATTCTAGTTAGCCATTCGTCTAATTTTTTTTCAAGGTTTTTAACTTCTTTGCCATGGGTTCTAACTTCCTCCTTTAGCTCAGAGTAGTTCGATCATCTGAAGCCTTCTTCTGTCAACTCGTCAAAGTCATTCTCCATCCAGCTTTGTTCCATTGCTGGTGAGGAGCTGCGTTCCTTTGGAGGAGGAGAGGCACTCTGATTTTTAGAGTTTCCAGTTTTTCTGCTCTGTTTTTTCCCCATCTTTGTGGTTTTATCTACCTTTGGTCTTTGATGATGGTGACGTACAGATGGGGTTTTGGTGTGGGTGTCCTTTCTGTTTGTTAGTTTTCCTTCTAACAGTCAGGACCCTCAGCTGCAGGTCTGTTGGAGTTTGCTGGAGGTCCACTCCAGACCCTGTTTGCGTGGGTATCAGCAGTGGATGCTGCAGAGCAGTGGATATTGGTGAACAGCAAATGTTGCTGCCTGATCATTCCTCTGGAAATTTTGTCTCAGAGGAGTACCCGGCTGTGTGAGGTGTCAGTCTGCCCCTACTGGGGGGTGCCTCCCAGTTATGCTACTCGGAGGTCAGGGACCCACTTGAGCAGGCAGCCTGTCTGTTGTTAGATCTCCAGCTGCGTGCTGGGAGAACCACTAGTCTCTTCAAAGCTGTCAGACAGGGACATTTAAGTCTGCAGAGGATTCTGCTGCCTTTTGTTTGGCAACGTCCTGCCCCCAGAGGTGGAGTCTACAGAGGCAGGGAGGCCTCGTTGAGCTGTGGTGGGCTCCACCCTGTTCGAGCTTCCTGGCTGCTTTGTTTACCTACTCAAGCCTTGGCCATGGTGGGTGCCCCTCCCCCATCCTCGCTGCCGCCTTGCAGTTGGATCTCAGACTGCTGTGCTAGCAATGAGGGAGGCTCCGTGGGCATAGGACCCTCCGAGCCAGGTGTGTGATATAATCTCCTGGTGTGCCGTTTGCTAAGACTGTTGGAAAAGCGCACTGTTAGGGTAGGAGTGACCCGATTTTCCAGGTGCCTTCTTTCACCCCTTTCTTTGATTAGGAAAGGGAATTCCCTGACCCCTTGCGCTTCCTGGGTGAGGCAATGCCTTGCCCTGCTTTGGCTCATGCTCGGTGCGCTGCACCCACTGTCCTGCACCCACTTTCTGACAATCCCCAGTGAGATAAACACAGTACCTCAGTTGGAAATGCAGAAATCACCCGTCCTCTGTGTCGCTCATGCTGGGAGCTGTAGACTGGAGCTGTTCCTATTCGGCCATCTTGGCTCCACCCCTCACCAACTCATCTTACTTTGATTTATCCACATTTCCCCAGTTCCTCCATTGACAATTGGTCCTTGCTACTCACACATTCTTTCTTTCAATTTCTTCCTCTTTGAAGTTCATCCTTTGTATTTTCTGAGTGAAACTTTATTAAATGGTAAATCATTTCCCATGAGCTTTCCTCTGCTGTTTTCTTCCTTTCTTCATTAATTCAACCAGTATTTATTAATCTTCCAAGTGTGAAGCTGGGGATATAGTAATGAACAAGACAGATAAAGAACCTGTCCCTGTCCTCATGGTGCTTAGAATGTGTTAGGCTAGGGAAGTGGTGTATGGAGGGAAGATAAATGGAAGCATAGAAACGCTACACAGATGTGGGATTGAGCATCTGCATTCTCATACACAGACATGATCACAAAAAGGCAATTTAAGAAATGGTTTTTGGCCGGGTGCGGTGGCTCACGCCTGTAATCCCAGCACTTTGGGAGGCTGAGGTGGCCGGATCACTTGAAGTCAGGAGTTTGAGACCAGCCTGGCCAACATGGTGAAGCACCGTCTCTACTAAAAATACAAAAATCGCCAGGTGTGGTGGCATGTGCCTGTAATCCCAGCTACTCGGGAGGCTGAGGCAGAAGAATCGGCTTGAACCAGGGAGGCAGAGGTTGCAGTGAGCCGAGATCGCGCCACTGCACTCCAGCCTGGGTGACAGAGCAAGACTCTGTCTCAAAACAAAACAAAACAACAACAACAATAACAACAACAAAAGAAATGGTTTTTATCTTTCATCTGATTTTTGTATTCTGCATTATTGCTTCTCTGGGACTCAAGTAAAGAATATTTGCAGTAGTTTAGACAGTTCTAAGTTAATGCTACATGAAACTGTTAGAATCTCATCTTCATCTCTCAGTCCCTTAAATCCAATTTCAAAAGATAAAAATTTGCTTTTATTCAGAGTATTCAAAGGATGTGATCTAGACTCTAAAGTGCTAGTCTGTTTCTTAAAAATGATTTTATGTGGCTGGGCACAGTGGCTCACGCCTGTAATCTCAGCACTTTGGGAGGCCAAGGCGGGTGGATCACGAGGTCAGGAGTTCGAGACTAGCTTAGCCAACATGGTAAAACCCTGTCTCTGCTAAAAGTAAAAAAATTAGCCGGGTGTGGCAGCACGCGCCTGTAATCCGAGCTACTTGGGAGCCTGAGGCAGGAGAATCGTTGGAACCCAGGAGGCGGAGGTTGCTGTAAGCTGAGATTTCGACACTGCACTCCAGCCTGGGCAACAGAGCAAGATCCCATCTCAAAAAAAAAATTATGTTCACACCTTATGTATTTTATTTAGAAAGTATTTTAGCTATAACAAATTATACAATTGAGATTAATTTATACGTACACTTTTTAGAATTATACATTCAGGATTTAAACTTCAACCACATGGGTATGGTTTAGTACTATGATGTTTTAAATATAGAAAACTGTGATTTTAAATTCTGAGGTAATTTTGTGAAAAACTCACTGTATTTTACATGAATTTTGATTGTATTCTCTGTTTTTTTTGTTTTTTTTTTACAGTGGGACTCAACTGGGAGGTCTTATTACAGTACTGTGCTTCTTTTTCAACCATGGAGAGGTTTGTTTTCTAGAAAGCAATTTTTAAGAAATAGAAGAGGCTGTAGAGGAACAAGGAAATATACTCATCAAAACAATATTTAATTGTATACTACTTATGACTTCACAATATTTTAAAGACCCTTGTGTAATAAGTTGATATTTTAAGCATGTTGATTGAAATGTTTAAATAGCTAGAATTTCAAACATGAAATCTCTTGCCTTATTTTTAGTAAATATATACATATACATATATTCTGTAGAGAAAAGGAAATATTGTACTTGTTGAGTTGAATCATATCATGCACATTATCTGATTTATTCCCACTAAACTTTTTTTGTGGGTGGTGGTAGCCTCACCATACAAGTTATGAAATTTAAATTTAGAGAAAGTTAAGTTACTTATCCACATTCCACATTTACTACATGATGAAGCTGGATTTCCCATTCTATATCTGTCTGCCTCTAAAACCTCACATATATATTAATTTATATTTTATAAATTATAAAATTATAGTTATATTTTATAAAAACTTATATATTATATATATATAACATATATATTCAACTTTTTATTGTGGTCAGAATAAGTAACATATGATCTGCCCTCTTAACAGATTTTTAAGTATACAATATAGTATTAACACAATGTTGTATAGCAGATCTCCAGAACTTATTCATCTTGCCTAACTGAAACTTTGTATACATTGCACTCCCCTTAACAACAATGAAAGAGGCCTCAGGCCTGACAGCAGGGACACAGTTAAGACACTGCCACCTGCTCCCTCACTTCTTTCTGTTACATCATGCTGTCTGTTCAGTAATGCAAAATGCTCAATTCAAAATAGACATTAACTTACTAATTCAGCCCAATGAAACATAGTCCACCTAAAAAAGAGCTCATAGAAGCTTATTTCAAATATGATGGATTCATTCAACAAATTATTGAGTACATACCATGTCCATGCTCTGCTAGATGCTGAGGATATGGCATTGAAAAAGAGAGAGATTCTGACTACTAGCTCTTGGGAGCAATACATTTAATATGTTATGTCACAGGTTACATAGGGTAGAAGTACTTTTTTTTTTTTTTCAAGATAGAGTCTTGCTTTGTCACCCAGGCTGGAGTGCAGTGGCGTGATCTCAGCTCACTGCAACCTCTGTCTCCCAGGTTCAAGCAATTCTCCTGCCTCAGCCTCCTGAGTAGCTGGCATTACAGGCATGTGCCACCATGCTCAGCTAAATTTTTGTATTTTTAGTAGAGATGGAGTTTCACCATGTTGGCCAGGCTGGTCTCGAACTCCTGACCTCATGATCCACCCACCTTGGCCTCCCAAAATACTGGGGATTACAGGCGTGAGCCACCATGCCAAGCCAGGGTAGAAGTACTTTTATCCATTGCTCTTGGGTTAATTTTTAAAAATCAATTAGATAAAGGAATCATAAAAATTATACATAAAATCCTTATATATATTATTTTAAAGCAAACAAATGCATTGTCATTCAACAATGTGCTGACATAAAGACAAAGGCTTTTCTCTGAGTGTTCCAGACAACTGTTGGTATAAGTTGACTTTCTTATATGTATCATAATTCCTCTTCCAACATTTACAATTTTGGTATCTTGGAAGAGAAGCAATAACTTTTAAGACTCTTGCAAAGTAATAAGAGTTCACATTCTTTCTAGAATTTCAGAATTTTTGATGGAAAATTTTTCCAATACTCTGACCCATATGTCTTAGAAGTAATTTTAAAGTTCGTATGAAAATTTAATACCTTTATTACTTGCATCACATTTGTAGTTCCCAAATACTTCTAGTTGTTTTTAAAATATATACTTAACCTTTTTTTACGGTACATTTTACAAATTCTGAGGCAATCCTAGCTATTCGAAGTGTGTATTTATATTCATTCCTACTTGTTATGTAGAAACTCTCTTGGTGCTTGCAAATGACCTAGGTGACATTTGTTTAGCTATTTGTCTTGGCATGCATATATCCCAAAGCCTGGGATGCCAGGATCATATGCCAGGATCATACTGCAGGGCTGGGCTGTGGATCTAGTTGGTCAGTTCCAGAATTTTCACAACTCTTATACGTACAATCTTGTTTGTCCCTTGGGTTTCCTTTTGCTCGGTCTGATATATCTGTTGCTGGTTTCTGGACATGGTAGTTAATTGCTGTCTACATAATGGCCTCATGAGTTAAGAGAGCTTCAAAAACTGAGAAGCTATGCCAGACACTCAGAAATGGGATCTAGTGAGCCTAGTATTAAAATTACTAAAACAAACTCACCCCTGGTTTTTTAATATGTTTGTTGTAGTAAATAGGATGTAAAGTGGGCATTTTGTTGATTTCAGGCCACCCGTGTGATGTGGACACCACCTCTCCGTGAAAGTTTTTCCTATCCTTTCCTTGTACTTCAGATGTGTATTTTAACTTTGATTCTCAGGTAACTTCGATTTATAAAACGAAGGCAAATAAATTATAATTTAAGTTTCTTAAAATATACTTCAATTCAGCACTTTGGGAAGCTGAGGTGGGTGGATCACTTGAGGTCAGGAGTTCGAGACCAGCCTGGCCAACATGGTGAAACCACATCTCTACTAAAATACAAAAATTAGCCGGGCATGGTGGTGTGCATCTGTCATCCCAGCTACTTGGGAGGCTGAGGCAGGAGAATTGCTTGAACCCAGGAGGTGGAGGTTGCAGTGAGCCGAGATTGTGCCACTGCACTCCAGCCTGGGCAAGAGAGCAAGACTCCCTCTAAAAAAATGTAAATATATATATTACATATATACACTTCAATCTATGAAGTTGTAATTACCAAATTTAGACCATTTTTTAGTTATTTTAAAAGTAAATTGAGTATAGAGTTAAGAAAATAATTCAAAATTGCTATGTAAAAATTGCTCTCCATTTAAGAGTGTAGGCTACAGGTTTTAGATAACTACATTATGTTTTAATAAACCAAAAGGTATGCGTTTGTATATAGTTTGCCAAGATTCAAAAGTTTTTGAGAAACAATTACATTTTCTCTTCACAGTTTAAGTACTCTGACATTGTTTTCTAACCTGTGGTTTTGATAACTGTGCCATGAAAAAAGTGTTCTGTGTGCAAATGAATTTGGGAAATGCGGAGTTAGATGGATAAGGAGTATATATATTCACATATTTATGAAGCATTTCTGAACAACCAATGTTTCTAACAGGACAACCAGTTTCATTTCAAACTTTTTTTTTTGGATACACTTTTTTTGTAGGGATTACATTTATAAGCATTTTAGATATTTAAGAGGTCTGAGAAATGAACAAAAAACCCCATAAGTGGTAGAATAGTATAAATAACCTTATCAGAGAAATAAGTTTGATAGAATACTAATGAGAACTCTCACTGAATGAAATAATGATCACTATCTCCTCCAAACTCCCAGAGGACCCCATTCTTCACCTACTAGTCCCTGGGAGATTCTGCCTTATATAAAAGTCATTTGTTTGTCTTCCTTATTTTTTAAAACAGTAAATTTATGAATCGTCTACACATACACAAATTTTTATTTATTTATTTAGAGATGAGGTCTTGCTCTGTCACCCAGGCTGGAGTGCAGTGGCACGATCGGCTCACTGCAACCTCTGCTTCCCGGGTTCAAGCGATTCTCCTGCCTCAGCCTCCCAAGTAGCTGGGATTACAGGTGCACGCCACCATCCCCAGCTAATTTTTGTATTTTTAGTAGAGGCAGGGTTTTACCATGTTGGCCAGGCTAGTCTCGAACTCCTGACCTCAAGTGATCTGCCTGCTTCAGCCTCCCAAAGTGCTGGGATTACAGGTGTGAGCCACTGTGCCCGGCCAATTATATGTATTTAAAAGTACCACTGGAAACAGGGACCATGCCATATTTATCTCTTTAACCACAGAACACTGCACACGTCCATGCAAATATTTGTGGCACTCAGATAAAGCTAATTGAAGAGTGGTAAATAGTAGTGTACTGGGGTGGCACAAACCTTGAGAATGGAGCAGGCTAACTTCTGATTTCTTACCAACCTGACAAGTATATTCTGCGGTTGAATTTGGATTTAGGAACCTCCTCCTCATTCAGATTTCTATATCTTTGCTCTACACTTTGCCTTCTCTCAAAGATTAGGTGATGGAAGCTGCCCATTCTTCATCACCCCTTGCTATTCATTCCCAGTTTAATTCCTAGGAAGGTGGGTTATTTTTATTTTTTGAAGTGATATCAGTCTGGTCAGTCAGGGGTTTCATGGAATAAAATGTCTTAATTAGAACATTTAGGGTTGTATCATTGAGGGCATGTGCTATACTCTGTGTCTTAGTCAAAAGTAATTTTTGTTTGAAAAATATAAGATTACAAAGTACATAATGAGTATTTTATGATAATATTAGTAAACAATATGAACATTTAGAATTTTGTTTTTGAAAATTTATATACGATTGTACAAAGATTCATCAAAATCCAATACAGAATTTATAAAAGGAAGAGTTGCAGTTTTACTATTTATGTAAAATGTTTGTGTTTCTTTTTTCATATCTAAAAGTTACTGTAATTCTCTGTGGTAAAAGGTATTGGTTCCCAATACATCTCAGTAATGCAGAATGGACAATTTAAACTTCCACATGCTTCAGCTGAATTCTAGAATGATTTTTTAATTTTTTAAGATTCCTTCTCCTTAAATTTTTCCCATAGTTTTTAACTTATTACTTTGTCAGCACTTATATTTCTCTTCAAAGTTTTTTGAAGCACAAAAGTTGTGGCATATAAAAGTTGTTGCTACACATACAGGAGAAGCATGTTGAGGTGTGCAGGGGCAGTGCTGCATCCTATTTTCTGACCTCCTTGCTGGAGTAATAAATTTCTAATGTCATGCATATGTAGAGGAAAAAGAGCTTTTGTATTTAAAATATTTAATGGTAAATTACAATGTTAATATTAAAACTCTAATTTTGATTGCTTCATGCAAGGAATGAAGTATTTCAAGTTCTTTTTAGTATACTTTAAGAAGTTAACTATATTTTGTTGTATTATAGTAAAGGTAATGGAATAATGTAGATTTTATCATTTTGCAATTAGTCTTTCTTTTCAGTGACAGCCCATTTTTAGGGTGAAACTTACTGGTATCAATTCTCTCTATTAAGGACCTCAAGCAATGATAGAAGGCCCTTCATTGCACTCTGTCTTTCCAATGTTGCTTTTATGCTTCCCTGGCAATTTGCTCAGTTTATACTTTTTACACAGGTAAGATGATTTTTTAAATTAATTTTTATTTTTATTTTAAGTTCTGGGGTACATGTGCGGGATGTACAGGTTTGTTATGTAGGTAAATGTATGCCATGGTGGTTTTTGCATCTATCAACCCATCACCTAGGTATTAAGCCCAGCATGCATTAGCTGTTTTTCCTAATGTTTTCCCCACCCCATCCCTTGACAGGCCCCAGTGTGTGTTGTTCCTCTCCCTGTGTCCATGTATTCTCATTGTTCAGCTCCCACTTATAAGTGAGAACATGTGGTGTTTGGTTTTCTGTTCCTGTTGCTGAGGATAATGGCCTCCAGCTCCATTCATGTCCCTGCAAAGGACCTGATCTTGTTCCTTTTTATGGCTGCATAGTATTCCGTGGTGTATATGTACCACATTTTCTTTATCCAGTCTATCACTGATGGGCATTTGGGTTAATTCCATGTCTTTGCTATTGTGAATAGTGCTGCAATGAAGACATGGGTGCACGTGTCTTTGTAATAGAATGATTTATATTCCTTTGCGTATATTAATTAAGTTGAACGCAAGATGTACTTGGTTGTTTCCATATAAATTTTTAAATATGGTTACATTTACGCCCTAAAAGATTTTCAAAATAGGGAATAAAGTTTACTTAAAGGTATGATTTTTATGAAATAATATAATTCCACATTCTTTTACTGTATTGGTTAGTTTGACAGATTTTAAGGCTCGGCATGTGAAAGACTTTTTGTATTATTTTTATTCACAAATGTTATTTTTGGTGTTTGAGATAATATCTGTATATATCTACCTATAGATTTTCCTTTTGTCCTGGGAATCATTCTGGGTGCCAAGCTACACAGCATGCCAAGGGCCAATCCTGCTCTTCACAGCAGGACGTTCTGCTTCTAATTCAGCTGAATGTTGGCTGTTTTGTCTGTATAGCAGAATTTTACCTGGAACCATTTCTGTGAGCTTTAATCATAAAGCTCATCATTGCTTAAGTGAGCTGAGCCCATATCCTGTTTCTAAAGCAACTACATAACTAGTAACAAGAAACTGAACTGGGGAAGCAGAGAGTAAATGGAGAATTTTGATGACATTTCATGATACTAAGATTTTCCATCAGAGCTCCTTCCTACATAACAAATGCTGATGATAATAATAATATTCTATATTGGAAGTGAGAAATTCTGCCAAGAAGTCTCATGCTGCCAATAGCCTACAAAGAATGAAATTATAACCCCAGCTCAATTGGTGCTGCATGTTTAAAGTATTCCGTCTGTTTAACTTCATAAAAGTTGGCCCCTTTCAGGTTATAACACAGACATTATTCTATGGTTTTCATTATTTGCACATGCCAACAGAGTAGAATAGATTTTTAATGAGCATCATTTCATTGCAAGCAAATTTATTAATCCAGTGATACTGATGAAACTAAGAAGCTCTTTGGGGCCGGGTGTGATGGCTCACGCCTGTACTCCCAGAACTTTGGGAGGCTGAGGCGGGTGGATCACTTGAGGTCAGGAGTTCAAGACCAGCCTGGCCAAGATGGTGAAACCCCATCTCTACTAAAAATACAAAAAAATTAGCTGAGCATGGTGGTGGGCTCCTGTAATCTTGGGAGGCTGAGGCAGAGAATTGCTTGAACCCAGGAGGTGGAGGTTGTAGTGAGCCGAGATTGCACTACTGCACTCCAGCCTGGGTGACAGAGTGAGACTCAGTTTCAAAAAAAAAAAAAGAAGTTTGATATTGCTGTTAATGTTTTTCTAGTCATTCTCTGGATATATACTAGGCTTTCATTTTTCTTTACTAATGTATATAGTTTTGTTTGTATGTGTGTGTTTCATGCTTACAGAGGGATAATTCAATGTTATTTTCTGGAAGTACTTTAAGATTTTATTCTTAATTGTGTTTTTCGTAGATTAAGGTTAAAATTAGTTAATTGTGCAACCACATCTGGCTAATTTTTAATTTTTTGTAGCGATGAGGTGTCACCATCTTGCCCAGGCTGCTCTTGAACTCCTGGGCTCAAGCAGTTCTCCTATCTTGGCCTCCCAAAATGCTGGGATTATAGGCGTGAGCCACCATGCCTGGCCCAATTTTTTTTTTATGACTTCTGTGCTCTCCTGGAATTTTCAATCCTATCAGTTATTTCCTTGAACATTTGAAGCATAGTTTAAAGATATATCTGATTATGCCAGAGAAGTGTTTGAGTGATCTCCAAGCTAAGAATAATTTTTATATATTTAGAGGGTTATAGAACAAAAATAGAAAAAGAATATACAAGAGACTGTATGTGACCAACAAAGCATAACATATTTATTATCTGGCCTTTTATATAACAAATGTGCTGATCCCTGATCTAAATCTTTTGTGGATCTATTTCTATCATGTTAGTGATAGTGTCTTATCTCCATCTATGTTGGGTTATTTTTGATGTGGTGCTGGACATCATACATGAAAAATTGGAGAGGCGAGTAAAAAGCACTGATAAATCTTGAACCACCTTTATGCAATCAGATTGAGATGATCCGTAGATGGGTTTCAGTCTTTCTGAGGGCTGCTTGATTTCTGGTTCACTATTATAGTATGGCCTTTTGAAACTCCAAACTAAAGCACCCTTCTTGGTGCACTCTGCTGAATCTGCTGAAATGCCTGCTCAGCTTGTTGGTCTTCCAACTGCCTCTCAGCTGGAAGGCATCTGCCTCTGTTGAAATTGGCAGATACCTCTGGGAGAAAAGTGGCCTAAAATGTCATGCTCATCGGTATAGATTGCCATCCATCTTTTTAATTCTGCATTTGCTTTGTTAATAGTCTGTGGCTTTTATACGTATTTAAAAAATATTTTTATTTATATATTTATATTTTTCCTAGCCATTCTAGTTCTTAGTGGGAAGGTTGGTTCAAATTCCTTTGCTTACCATTATTAGAACTGTAGCCCTCCTCTTATATTTACTTTGCCTGTGAATAGTAAAGTGTTAGTTTTCTATACTTTTTTTCACTTTTGCTTTTTTATATTATTTCAGATAGCATCATTATTTCCCATGTATGTTGTGGGATACATTGAACCAAGCAAATTTCAGAAGATCATTTATATGAACATGGTAACATTTTTAATATATATAAGTCAAATATTAAGATAGGTTCTCAGAGTTTATAAAATCGAAGTGATTCTGTTTTATACGGTACCTCCTCTTTGGTAATATTTAATACATATGGTATTGGTGATATCCAGAAGGAAAACTGGAAATGTATATTATAGATGACATATTATAACAGATTATACTTTCAACTGGACTGTAGATGTGTTTTATTCTCTAGAACTTTTATTTTTGTTTTACTTATTATTATTACTACTTTTAAAACTGCCTTTTCTTTCTCAGACATGAGATTTTTAGCATTTTGCCTGAATATGACACTCTAACTGAAATTTTATATTCTTGCAATTTTGTTTTTGGCTTAGGTCCCAAACATAGCTTCCTTAAAAACATAAAAAGTTAGTAAAGCTTCATAAATAATAGAAGTCCTGAAGTCTAACAAAAATATGATTAGTAAAACTGGTATTTATAACTAAGTCTTTCTTATTATATTACTCCATTGTTAAAACAATAGAAATCATAGACTTATTTTTCATTGTTCCAAGTAGCAGATGGAGAAAAAGTTAAATTCTGCCAGATAGAGTTTATGGTCTTGAATTTTAATACTTAGAATCTAGCAGTGACTTGAAATTCTGTTATCATTTGGCCAAGAGTCATTCATCTTTATGCAAATAAATTTGCATTAGAAATGGCTATATACCTACAAAATATGCATTATGCCAATATATGTAATAACCATAAAATGTATTTTTTTCATTTTTTTCAGATTTCAGTTACCCTTAGTTTCATTTTGATGTTTGGAAATTCAATGTACTTATCTTCTTATTATTCTTCATCTTTGTTAATGACGTGGGTAAGTGTTTAGTTCATAAAGTTGGTTTTTTTTAACCTGCCAAATAGCATGTTTTCCTGTCTAAAACAGGTATAAGAGAATAAATAGGCCCTTTCCTGATTATCACTCAACATGACAAAATTCTTCCCAAGCAAAGCTTTTTATCTGTCTTATCCTTGAAAAATACTATAGTAGGAAGTTTTTCTTTTTAAGACAGTGCCCAAGTAAATATTTAAAAATGATCATAAAGTAATAAGACTTACTTTAATCATATCCCATTTTATGATAAAAATGACTTCTTTTCTCCTAAGTCACTTGAGGAGGTTAAGTACTCATTGCAGTGACACTGCCATTGCCCAGAACATTTTTGGAACTCCTCTGAGTTTCCTTCACAGACTATGGCACATTCTTTAGTATGTCTTGCCTTTCAAGAGTGGATTTGATTTTTGGAAATGACCAAAATTTTGTGAATATTTTGTGTGATTGGGCTGGGTAATACAGATCTTGCTCAAACGATGGTGTGACAGTAAAGTCATAAGACCGATTATTTTGCACCTATAACTAAATTATTTCTGAAGGCAGTTTAGAAAGTGTAGTTCCAAACTACTTTGAGTGATGGCAAGATAATTAGAATAAGTGTGCAGTCTCCTCACGGGAACTACATGGAATGACACTCTTTTGGATATGTGTTTGGAAGGGTGGTTTAGTAAATCAGTTCTATTACATTGTAGTTATACTTCTGATATCTATAAGCCAGAACCTAGAATATTCTCCTGTACCTCCCATCTCCACACTGATCAGAAATGATACCAACTACGGTAATGCCAAAATATAGCACTTTTCCATGTATGGTGCAGTGATTTAATCTTTTGGGATTGCCCTTATGTTTTAACATTTTTGCTTTCCGTATCCTTCTTCCCTCATAGTAATCCCTCCTCTTTCTCTCCCAGAAAAAATGCTCTTTCTTTCCAACATTTTGTCAAACTATTTCACCATTACAGAGTAGAGGACTCCTAATAGTGTGCTCATCTACCTCTTTTAATGAAAACTTTTTTATTTTGAAATATAGTACAGATAAAACTGCATAAAGCAAATGTTTTGTGTGCTGACTTAGTGCTGGCTAATACTGATGAGTACAATGTCCCCTTCGTGTCTGCAGGGATTGATTCCAGGACACCCCCAACCCCTGTGGATACTAAAATCTGCAGATGTTCAAGTTTCTTATATAAAATGGTGTGTTATTTGCATATAATCTATGTACATCTTCCTATATACTTTAAATCATCTCTAGGTTACTTATAACGTCTAATGCAATATAAATACTATGCAAATAGTTGTATACTGTATTGTTTTTTCATTTGTACTTTTTAAACTGTTGTATTATTATTATTTCAAATATTTTCTATCTGCTGTTGGTTGAATCTGCAGCAACTGGAACCCATGGATGTGGAGGGCTGACTGTGTTATGTATTATGTGGCAAACATTCTTAAACTACCATTATATCAAAATTATAACTCTCTAAATGAGTGTAGAAGCCTCCATGTGACCTGTCCCAAAGCACTCCCTTGTACTGCCCTAAAACGATAATGACTATCTTGACTGCTATGATAGTAACTTTCCAGCATTCCTTTATAGTTTCATCACTTAAGTTTCTCTTTTTAGCTACAAGTTTCCTGCATATCTGCCTGGTTTTATCCTCATGAAATTTATTTGTTGAAGAACCACAGTCATAGAACATGTGGAGGATTTCATGGTCCAGATTTTGCTTTTTGAGTTCCTGTGGTGTAGCTAAGCATGTTCCTTTGTCTCATGGTATAGCTTGATATATTAGAAATTGGATCTGAAACTTGGATTGCTTCAGGCTTGATCACTTTTGCAAGTCTTTAGTATTGTTCTTTCATTAAAAGGCACATAATGTCTCTCTTTATGGTACTAGCCTTCAGTGCCTTATGCTGGCTCTGTTAATTCATTAGGGATTGCAAAGTGGTCACATTCTAATCTGTCATCTAAAGTTCATTTAGGAGAAGTAAAGTAAATGTTGATTTACCTCTTTATTTGCAAGTTTTAAAAATAATGAATTGATTCCCTGTCATCTTCCAAATGTAGGCTCTTTGGGCTGTGTATATGTGTGTTTAGGTTTCATTAGGAACATAGGGATTTAAACATTTTTTATGTATTTCAAGTTAATTGAAATTAACATCTTTACTCATTCTCAGATTGTTTCTTTGTTGACCAGGGGAGCCTCTTTAGGTTTCTACTAAGTTCTCTGACATGACACTCGTGGTCTGATAGCATACTTGTGTCATGTATGACAAGTTTTTCCAGGTCTCTCTTGTGTACTCCTGCCCAAAACCTGGAGGAAGCCATTCCTGCAAGGCACCCTCGTTGCCTTTACTGGGGAAATGGTGTTTTAAGACCGCAGTCTGGGACCCAAGGATGCTCATTGATACTGAGTAGGTCATTGTTTCTAGGCCTTATTAGTGGGCAGAGCTAGGAAATATTATAGGTTGCAGGCTCTCTTTCTTTAAAAATCTACCATGAAAATATGTGTGTGTGCATGCATTTATGGTAAACTAGCTCACAAGTTCTGATGGGTATTTCCAAATCAAATTCAAGAATGTAGGGTTTTTACTTAACTCTTTCTATCCTGTATTTGCTTTTGTTTCTTGTGGGTCTCAAGAAGCCAGGGGATGATAGAATATCATATATCCATTTGCCTTCTCCCAAAGTGTGTGCATGAGAATTGCTATACTGCACCACGCACATGATTATGAGAAATAAAGAATTTTTTGCATATCCTTCTTTCATTCTCTTCACCCATTTTATTTTTTTTACTAATTCTGTATCTATATTGTCAGAACAGAGTATTGCATACTGTACTTTCTGCCTTATCAACCTTATTTCATGTTTTTATGTGAAGAAATATGCATTTATTTATCACCAGTCTTTATGTCGTTATCTCCCAGTTATCTTGGTTATTTTAGTCTTGTTCTACAAGAGAATTCCTTCAATTCTGATGTGTTTGTCAGTTTGTTTTGTCACCTTTTACTTGAAAGTGAAGTTGGCTCTATGTAAAATTCTTGTCTCTTTTATTTTTACTTTTTCTTTCTTTTCTTCTTTTTTTTTTTTTTTTGAGACGGAGTTTCGCTCTTGTTGCCCAGGCTGGAGTGCAATGGTGCAGTCTTGGCTCACTGCAACCTCCAACTCCTGGGTTCAAGAGATTCTCTTGCCTCAGCCTCCCATGTAGCTGGGATTACAGGCGCCTGCCACCACGTCCAGCTAATTTTTGTATTTTTAGTAGAGACGGGGTGTCACCATGTTGGCCAGGCTGGTCTCAAACTCCTGACCTCAGGTGATCTGCCTGCCTCTGCCTCCCAAGTGCTGGGATTACAGGTGTCAGCCACCACGCCCAGCTGTCTCTTTTATTTTTTGCTTTGAGAACTTGTTTTACTTCTGTCCAAAAGGGTTGCTATTAAAAGTTATACAAGTTTTGATACGTTATAAACGTATCACTTTCTCTTGAATACTTTTTATCTTATTTCTTTTTTTATTTCTAAAAGTTTCTTCTCTTCACCTTTTATAGCTCTTAAGGCATTATTATTATGTTCATTTCCTCATATTCCTTCTAGTTTTTTATGTCTGAAATTATTTTTGTTTTATTTCAAATTATTTGATTTCTGTCAGCTCATTTCTCAGTTTTTCTAATTTTGATTTGTGTCATTCTTTCACATATTTTAGTATTTTAAAATATCTTATTTTAAATGGCTCATTTTGAAATGTAAGTTTTGTTTAATTGTTCAGTCTTTCATCCTTAAGTAACTGTGTTAGCTATAGGATTTTTCAGAGAAGCCCTTTATCAGCTTAAAGAAGTTCCCTTCTGTTCAGCTTGCTGAGTTTTTTCAAAAATGAATTTCGAAGATATGATATCATATAGTTTCTCTTTTCTGTTTTGTTAATGTGCTGCATTATATTGGTTGATTTTCAAATGTTATAGCATCTTTGCATTCCTTGAATAGACCTCACTTTGGTCATGCTGTTTTATTATTTTTTGTGGGATACAGCTTTCTAAAATTGTACTTACGATTTTGCACCTAAGTTCATGACAATAATTGGTTCATAGTTCTCTTGTGACATCTTTGTCTTTTTTGGTATCATGGCAATGCTGGCCTCATAAAATGAGTTATGAAGTGTTCCCTCTTCTCCAGTTTTCTGAAGAATTTGTGTAAAATCCTTATGATTTCTTCCCTAAATATTTGGTAGAATTTACCAGTGAAACCATCTAGGACTTTCTTTGTAGGAATGTTTTTAACTACAAGTTCCATTTCATTAATAAGGTATAAGGCTATTCGTGTTATCCATTTCCTCTTGAGTGAACTTTGGTTGTATCTTTCAAGGAATTTTTAAATTTTATTTATGATGTCAAATTCATTGACAAAGGCATAATATTTTATTTCTTTTATGTATCTATAGTATCTGTAGTGATAGTTCCTCTTTCATTCCTGGTATTAGATGTTTGTGTTCTATTTTTTTTTCTGATCAGTCTGGTTAGAGGTATATCAATTTTATTAATTTTCTTAAGGAACGAGCTTTTGTTTTCATTGATTTGCTCTACTGCTTTTGTTTTCTGTTTCATTGATTTCTACTCATTCTTTATTACCTCATTTCTTTTGCTTACTTTGGGTTTTGCTCTCCTTTTTTCCTAGTCCTTTTTTTTTTTTTTAAAGGTATAAAGCAAGGTCATTGACTTGAGACCTTTCTTGTTTTTTGTTTTTAAACACAGGTGTTTAGTGCTATAAACTTTTCTCAAAGTACTGCTTTATCAACATCCCACATATTTTGATAAAGTACATTTTTAAATTTATTTCATGTTATTGTCATACATTTTACTTAAACATGTGATATAGAAATCTCAATAAATTTTTGTTTTTACTTAAACAGTAAATTACCTTTGAAAAGTATTTGAAATTTTTAAAATGTTATATATTTACCCTGTAGTTACCATTTTCGGTGCATTTTACTTGTGTACAGCCAGATTGACCTACTGTATTCCTGCTGTCTGAAAGACCTCCTTTAACATTTCCTTTAGTGCAAATCACCTGGTCATGAAGTCTTTATTTTGCCTTCATTTTTGAAAGGTATGTTTCCTGGGTGTAGAATTGCAGGTTAACAGCCCTTTTATTTAAGAATTTAAAAGATGCTGCTTGACTTGTCTTGTTGTTTGCATTTTTTTCTTATGAAATCTGTTGACATCCCTACGCTTTCGTCTGTAAATAATATGTTACTTCTCTAGCTATTCCTAGCTAGAGATAAGATTTTCTCTTTACCACTGATTTTGAGCAGTTTGTTTATATAATGTGCCTTACTATAGCTTTCTTTATGTTTCTTGTATTTAGGATTAATTGAAATTCTTAGATCTTTAGGTTTACAATTTTTATCAAATTTGGAAAAATTTTGGTCATTATTTCTTCAAATATTTTTCTGCCTCCCCACTTCACTTTCATTTAGGGACTCTCACTACATGCATATGGGGCTGCTTGAAATTGTTCAGTGGTTCATGGAGCCTATGTTTATTTTTGTTCTTAATTTAATTTTGGATAGTTACTATTGCTGTGTCTTCAAGAGTTCACTGGTTGTTTTTCTGCAGTATCTAACCTGTTGTTAATCACATCCAGTGTATTTCTCTTTTAAGTCATTGTAGTTTTCATATCTAAAAGTTCATTTTGGATCTTTGAAGTATTTTTGTGTCTCTAGTTAACATGTTCTTTCTCTGTTACCACTTCTTCACCATGTGTAATACAGTTATACTAACTGCCTCAGTGCTTCCACCTGCTAATTCTGTCATCTGTGTCGGTTTCAATTAATTGTTTCTTCTTCTCATATCGGGGCTGTGTTTTCTTAAGTGTTTGCAGGCTTGGCAATGTTTACTTTGATGCCAGGCTTTGTGACTTTTACCTTGTTAGCTGCTGGATTATTTTCTTATTCCTATAGATATTCTTGAGCTTTTTTCTGTGATGCAGTTAAGCCACTTGAACATAGGCTGATCTTTTCAGGTCTTGCTTTTAAGATTTGTTAGCTGGAATGAAAGTACTGGTTAGTTTATGGCTAATATTGCTGCTCTCTGAAGCAAACTCTTCTGTGTAGACTACCTGATGTGCCCTTTGGCTGCACTATTTTATATTCCCACCAACAGTGCATAAGCATTCCAATTTTTCTACATTTTTGCCAAGACTTGTTACTTCTGGTTTAGTTTTGGTTTGTTTTGTTTTATAATGGCCATCCTAAGTTTTGAGGTGGTATCTCATTGTGGTTTTGATTTACATTTCCCTGATGATAAGTGATGTTGAACATCATTTTAAATACCTGTTGGACATTTGTATTTATTCTTTGGGGAAATGTTTATTCAAGTCCTTTGCTCATTTTTAAAAGAAATATTTGTGTGTGTGTGTGGTTTTTTTTTTTTTTTTTTTTTTTTTTTTTTTTTTGCTATATTCATCAGAGGTACTGGCCTGTAGTTTTCTTGTAGTATCTTTTTCTGGATTTGGTATCAGAGTAATGCTGGCCTCATAAAATGTGTATAGAAGTGTTCTCTTCAATTTTTTGGAAGAGCTTGAGAAGGATTGGTGTGAATTCTTATTTAAATGTTTCATAGAATTCTCCAGTGAAGCCATCTGGTTCGAGGTTTTCCTTTGTTGAGAAAATTTTTATTACTGATTCAATCTCCTTATTAGTTATAGATCTGTTGAGTTTTTTTTATGTTTTCATAATTTACTCTTGGTAGGTTGTATGTTTCTAGAAATTTATTTCTTATAAGTTATCTAATTTGTTGGCATATAATTGTTCATAGTTGCTCTATAATCTATTTTTCTTGGTATTTTAGTTTTTTAGGGTGAGAAAGTAAATGTGGTTCCTGTTATACAAACTTGGACAGAAGCAGAAGTTTCATTCTGATTGATTTTAGTTACTTTGGGTGAAACATTACCATGTTTCAATGAGGAAGATATATATATATATAATTATACTCAGAAAATACTTCCCACTATTCCTTCCAGCACATTCACTCTACCTTTCTTTTCACCCTGTTACTGCCTATTCGCTGTAGGTAAGAAATCTCATTAGTTTTCTGGTTGACCCATTTAGTTGGCTTTTTAAAGTACTAATAACTATTACATGTATATTTTTTATATCTCTTCTTCTTATATTAAAGATAGTCTTTTGCCTTTTTTTTTTTTTCATTTAACAACCTATCCTGAATATCAGTTCATAGAGATTTTCCTCATTCTTCTTGGTAGTTTCCTAGTGTTCTACTGTGGATTTACTGTAATTCAGTCACTCTCCTATGTCTGGGCATTTAGGTTGTTGCCTAACTTTTGCATTTACAAACAATGTTGCAATGAATCATCTGATACATTTATATTTTCCTATTGGAAGTTTAGTAATCCTGGCTCACTTTGGGAATTTCTACACCAACTAAATGATACAAAATTGGAATCCAAGTCTAAATAATACGCAAGTCCGAGAATTCAGTTTCTCATGAGAGCACTGTTTTCACCCCAAACTTGGGAATAAACAAATAACCTATCAACTTGTAGAGATGGTAGGTGAAGTATTCTTAGTCACTGTGTGTCTTAGTCAGTTTGGGCTGTTGTAACAAAAGTACCACAGACAGGATGGCTTAAACAACAGGAATTTATTTCTCACAGTTCTGGAGGCTGAGCAGTTCAAAAATCAAGGTGCCAACTGATTTGGTTCTTGGTGAAAGCCCTTTTTGTGGTTTGCAGACAGAAGCCTTTTTGCTGTGTCCTGACATGGTAGAGAGAGACATCAACTCTCTAGTCTTTTGTAATATGGGCACACTAATCCCATTCATGAGGGTTTCACCCTCATGACTCAATTACTTCCTAGAGGCCCACCCTCCAAACACTATCACACTGGGGATTAAAGATTCAGTCTGTGAATTTGAGGTGGACACAAATACTCAGTTCATAGCACTGCAGGTATAGTTTTGAGGACCCTAGCTTTATGTATTAGTGTCAATCCCAACTTCTTACCTTGCATAGACCCAAGGCCTCTTCTGCTGCCCTCCCCTTACAATACAAGCCTATAGTTGGAACCTTATTCTACAGGCCTTTATAAAGACTGCCAGGGGTGGTGCTTCTCTGCTGATTAATATTGTATTTTTTAAAAATAATATTTTTTCTAGCATCGGAGAAGTTCTTTCTCTTTCACATAAGTATATATTTTTTAAACATGTTTAAATATTTTATTCGGCAGTTTGGAGAGGAAGGATTTTCATGTTAGTTTAGTTCACTAACGTTGCTGGATAACTGACATACAGACTTGCATGGTTGCTCTCATCTGCTCACATACCATTTATCTTTGTAGAGGAATTAGCCTGCAGAAAATGGTCAGGGTATTTAAGTGAGGAAATAATGAGGCAACTTTTTGACACACAAACCATTTAACTCTCACCTCAAGGAAATTTGCCAAAATTTGTCCAAAATTTGAAAAATCAACAGTTAAGGAGGAAAATGGCTGGTGATAGCTGAGATGGAACAGGGTGGCTATATAATTTTTGAAATGTACCATTTATACAAAATATAAATGTTAATTGTATTGAATTGTTTCATTTTCCCTTATGTGCATTTTAGGCAATAATTCTAAAGAGAAATGAAATTCAAAAACTGGGAGTATCTAAACTCAACTTTTGGGTAAGATTCAATGTTTTTAATGCAGTTTATTTAAATTCTACTTTTTATTTCTATAAACTGAACACAGTTAATATGCTTTAAAATGCTAATGATTTATAGTTAATAAATAGCTACTGTCTTAAAAATAGTTACTATCTAAGGTAGATAGATATGTAAGGAAATAGTCCTTAGCAAGGACTAGAAATCATTTTCAAGAAGTTAGCTCACATATTTCACAACTAACTTTCAGGCCACTCTTCCTTTATGTTTCATTCTGCTATATCCATACAGCCTTGCTTTTTAAAATTTGTTTGTCTTGAGTTTCTCTCTCTAGCTTCAATTAACCTTCCCTTCAACATAACTCAAGTTTGTAGTTTCTTGCCAGCTTTCTCCTTTTCTTTCCTCTGCATCTATCCATCATCTGTCTCTCTTTCCTTCTGCTTCCAACTTTAGACTCTATTACTTTTGTCCTTTTAACATTTTCCTTACAGTCTCCCAGCCCCTTCTAATTTGAACTCAGCCACTACCTAATTTTTGTTTGGCTTCTTCCCAAATATGCAGATGGATGGCCCATATTACCTCCATGGTTTCCTAGTAAAATAAGTTATTAGGCAGGTAGTGCAACTCCTAAATTCTCTTACAGGAGACAGACAATATTCTTTTTCTCTGGTCTGTGATGTTCTTCTATTAAAAAATAAACCTTGGGCCACACACACTGGCTCACGCCTATAATCACAGCACTTTGGGAGGCCAACGTGGACAGAGAGCTTCAGCCCAGGAGTTTGAGACCAGCCTGGGCAACACGGCAAAACCCCATCTCTACAAAAAATAGAAAAACTAGTTGGGCATGGTGGCATGAGCCTGTGATCCCAACTACCCAGGAGGCTGAGGTGGGAGGATCGCTTGAGCCCTGGAAGGTTACAGTGAGCCATGATTACCCCATTGCACTCCACCCTGGGTGACAGAAGAAATGAACTGTATCTTTACATGTTATATATTGAAAGGATAAGTCTGGAAATGTTACAAGTTGAGGAGGTAGGTTCCTACCCACAATACAAGAGAACAAAATGGAAGGAGTTGCTATTTTCTCCTTGTTGGAGGCATTCTCCCATCCTTTATGGTGAAAATATAGAAAGATTTGTCCACTAAGTTGTTGAATGAATGGCATGATGCTTTTTTTGTCTTTTTATTATTCTTTGTTGGTTCTACCAATTTGACTCTTTACCCAGGTCACCTGTCCTTAGACATGCAGGCTTTGTAGAAATTCACATATCGACATTACACTTGTAATATATAATTCTTTCACTTCAGAAAAATTGAGCAATTTAATAACTCAAAAGGAGGTCAGAATTTCAGTTGCAAACTATTGAAAAATGACAATAAATAGAAGAGTGTCCATAAGCATCAAAAAAAATTCTGCCAAGGCTGCACTCAAAGGAAAATTAACTGTCTTCATTTTCAACAACATTTTCAGTAATAGACTGGAAAGAACATGAATTGACCAAGTTTTAAAATCAAGAATATCAAAGAAACAAAAAATCTAAGGAAGGAAAAGTTGAGATTTAACCAAATGTTCAGCTTACATGTTTTTTAAGCCTCCCTAGGTATTATTTTCTGTTTTTTGCTCTGTGTATCTTTGGCAAAAATAAGTATTTATTACACACAACCTGAACAAGGTATTTTTAGATATAAGTGATTCACTTTAGAGTTTAATGTCAATAGAAGCAAGTTCACTGTTTAATGGGAGACTCCAGTTTTTGGTGATGAAGTAATTGTTGAATTGAGCTCATGCTGAAATTTACAAAATTTACAAAGGGGAACTTTGTGTGCATCATGAAGCATGAGAATCATTACAAGAAGGGAAATGGAACCTCCAAGATAATCTAAAGCTCAGTACTAAGGCCAGATAAGGATAGTATGAGAAAGGATATTCTTACTTGTGAGCATAGATTCAAAATTTCACCTAGATTAAAAACATTCCTTACACACAAAAGTGTAAAAGATTAGTAACTCAAGAACAGCCATATATCTGATAAAGATAATCCACTTGTGATAAATCTGGCTTATTCTAGGAATCGAAAGATGTTTCTAGAAAATCCAAAAATGTAAATTATCGCACTAAGAGATTAAAAGAGAAAAATATCTTATGATCATCCCATTAGATGCAGAAAATAAAATTGATAAAATTGAACACCCATTTATAATGAAAACATTTAACACAGTATAAATAACAGTTTTCTCAACCCAGTAAAATTCTTCAGCAGTCATTAGTCTTACCGATAATAAGGTATTTAGAGTGTTCTGTTTAAAATCAATATAAAGATAAATGTGCTTTTTCACATTTTATTAAAGGTCCAAACTAGCCTAGTAATGCAAGAAAAGTAAATAATAGGAAAAGGAAAGAAACAGAAGCAAAATTTATTATAGTATCATATTTACCTAGAAAGAATAAAATAATTGACAAATTATTAGAAATTAGAAGAATTCAATACCATGGCTAGATATAAGTTTAATATTAAAAAATCAATTGGATTTCTATTCTTTGGCAACAAACAGAAAACATATTTTTTTAAAATATGCCTTATGTATTAGGAAGAAAAATGCATAGGATCTGAATGAATCTAACAAAATACATACAGTATTTGTATGGGGAAATTTATTTTAAAATTTCTAAGATATAAATAGAAAAATAAAACACATTTATGTGTATGAAGGTTCATGTAATGCAGTTCTCCCCAGTTGATGTTCAGATTCAAAGCAATTTCAGCAAGATTGTCTTAAAGGTCACATGTCACTAAATGATGCTGGGATAGTCTATCTATATGAGAAAAACCAGATGTTATACACAAATATCAGTTCCAGGCCTAGCCATTTTGAATGTTCCTAAGCTGGATGTCTTTTTGATATGTCTTTATAAATTTATAATGCTCCAGGCTTTTCTTGATTTTCCTTGTGCTAGCCTTGGAATCAGCCATTTTTCCAAGGAGCCCTGGTTCCTTTTAGAGGACAATGGTATTTGGAAACCAAGACCTGAGTGGTATGTGCACTCATTACTACCAGTGTGTCCTTGTTTCTAGGCCCTTTCACTGCACGTGTGTGCACACGTGTGTGTGTATGAAATCATGATTTCATAACTATAGCTCCAATCCCAGCCTAATGCTATAGAAAGGCAGACTAGTTAGGTACCTCAGAACGCACAGAAAAACACCACAGCCTGCCATCTCCTGAAACTCCATCCAGTGGCAGAAGACACTCAGAAAGAGGTTCCAGGGAAATGCTCTCTATGATGTGGGTCTGGTATCTACTATTCCCTCCAAGAAGCCTGCCCATGCAGGTAGCAGCAGCAGGGAACTAACAGGTGCCCTGCTAGGACTAGGCAGCCCAGGAAAGAGCCCTCTGCTCCTTACCGACCTCCTAGCCCACAATCCTGGTGTCTCTCACCCTCCACCTCATGGCAACAGGACATGGGAAGTACATTCTTCCTACACTGGTAGCATGATTTGGGGCTGAGACGGAGCACCAGGGCACCAGATGAATCAAGCTGACCAGAATAGCACTAGCACTGCAAAGGCTCTGAAAACTAAACTGTCATTGTAACTATAGCAAACAGAAGTAGGCCAGGACTTGCGTGATAAACCTAAAAACAAAGTGACTGTCTGCTGAAATAGAAATTTAAAATAGGATCCACAGTCTCTAACATAATATAAAAAATGTACTGGACACAGTAGAAAAACCACTCATCATAGCAAGAATGAAGAAAATAACAACTTGAATGAGAAAAGACAGTCAACAGATGTCAACACTGAGATGAATAGGATGTGGGGATTATGTGACAAGGGTTTTAAAGCAGTCATCATAAAAACACTTCAATGAGCAGTTTTAATTACTCTGGAAGCAAATGAAAAGGCTATAAAAGCTCACCACAGAATTTTTTTTTTAAGAAAGAACAACTTGGTGATTATAGAACTGAAAAATACAATAACTGAAATTAAAATTTAATAAATGGACTTGGTAGCAGAGTGAATATTACAGAGGAAGCAATCGGTGCTCTTGAAGACAGAACAATAGAAATCTCCCAATCTAAATTGAGAGAAAATCACAGGAAAAAGGACAGAGCCTTCGGGACCTATGGTGTAGTAACAAAAGATCTAATATTTGTATCATCAAAATTTCAGAAGGAATGGAAAAAGAGAGTGGGGCTGAATAGTATTTTAAGAAGTAATTGCTAAAACTCCCCAAATGTGGTGAAAGACACACCTGCAGAATCTGTACCTGCAGAGTGAAGATACTGAGCGATTCCCAAGTAAGACAAACCCAGAGAAATCCATGCCAAGATACATTATAAGTTAACTTTTAAAATGAAAAGAAAAAAATCTTGAAAGCAGGTATGGAGAAATGACACATCACCTACAGGGCAAAATTGAGTTGAATTGTAGCAGACTTGTCATGTGAAAGTAAGGAAGCCAGAAGGTTGGGGCAGAACATTTGTCAAGATGAATTACATATCCAGTGGATGTTTCCTTTAGGAATGAAGGGGAAATAGACATTCTCTAATCAATGAAAATTAAGATAATTTGTGGCTAGCAGAGAACCTTAAAGAATGGTTAATTGAAGTTCTTTTGTAAGGTTTGTGAAAGACCAGATGGTTGTAGATACGTGGTTTTATTTCTGAGTTTTCTATTCTCTTCCATTGGTCTATGTGCCTGTTTTTGTACCAGTACCATGCTGTTTTGGTTATTGCAGCCTTGTAATATAGTTTGAAGTCAGGTAGCCTGAGGCCTCCAGCTTTGTTCTTTTTGCTTAGGATTGTCTTGGCTATATGAGCTCTTTTTTTGATAGCATGGAATCAACCCAAATGTCCATGAATGATAGACTGGATAAAGAAAATGTGATACATATATACCATGGAATATTATGCAGTCATAAAAAGAAATGAGAACATGTCCTTGACAGGGACATGGATGGAGCTGGAAGCCATTATTTTCAGCAAACTAATGTAGGAACAGAAAACCAAACACTGCATGTTCTCACTTATAAGTGGGAGCTGAACAGTGAGAACACATGGACCCAGGGAGGGGAACAACACACACTGGGGCTTGTCAGGGGAGGGTAGGGGAAGGGAGAGCATCAGGAAAAGTAGCTAATGAATGCTGGGCTTAATACCTAGGTAATGGGTTGATAGGTGCAGGAAACCACCATGGCACATGTTTACCTATGTAACAAACATGCATATCCTGCACATGTACCCCAGAACTTAAAATTTAAAAAGTTCTGGAAACAAAAAGGAAATGCAAGAAGGAATCCTAGAATGTAGGGAAGAAATATAAAACAGCAAAATAGATACACAGAGGGGTAGATATAATAGACTATTCTTCCCATGTGTATTTCCTTTCGTGTACTTTTTTTGCTTTATTTTGTTATTCTTTATTTAGATTTTTAAGTCAAGGATTTAATTCATTTATTTTCACTCTTTCATTTTTATTGATAAAGCTTTTGAGGCCATGAATTTGCTTCTTATCCTTGCTTTAAATGTCTTCCTTAGTTTCCATATGGAAATGGCATTTGCCTGCCATGCTGCTGCCATCATTCTATTTTTCACCTTTCTGAATCTGTTTTTGTTTGTCTTCCCTGTGTAGCATAAATTGAGTCTGTCTTTGCTTTGTGAGATAATGTGAAAACCTTTGTTGTAAGTTTTATGTATATTTGACTATATTTGCTTTGTTTCTGTATATGATTCTCTTTTATTTTAAACTTTTTGAATTTAGGAAAGTTACTATTATTTCCTCAATTGTTGCATATTTTCAACTTCTTTAAATAACGTCTATACTTGAATGACAGATTGGCTAGATATAAAATTCTTGGTTCTCAATTTTTAAAGTTTCTTAAAAATACATCTACACCACTGCTTTGGTTTGTATGTTTCTTTTAACAAGTCTGATGCTAGCCAAATTCTTCTGTCCCTTATAAATTATGTGACTTTTGTGCCTGGAGGTTCTGAGGAATTTTTCTTCATTTTTCATAGTTCTACTGAAAGATGCCTTGAGTTAGTTTACCATACCAGATTAATTTTTTCCAGTACCCCCTGGATCCTTTCCAAATGCCGATTCAGGTCTTCTTTTATTTCTGGACAGTTTTCTTGGATTATAATTTAAACACTAGTTTTGATTCATTGCTGTGGTTTTCTTTTTCAGGCACTCCAGTTATAATTATGTGCCTTTCTTCCATTTCTACCACTTTCTCTGATACTTCCCACATCTTTCTCTGGTATCATTTTCATTCTTCATCATTGTTTTAGTGCCTTTACTTCAATTCCTTCATTATTTGAATTTTTCTTTTTATCATCTTGTGATTCAGTTTTTATTTTTTTTGATAGTATTCTCCTTTTCTTCCATTCCCTTTCTATGTCTAATAAACTCTTTATTTCTTTCTGCTTTTTTCCCCATTTCTGTTCTTGGTTTTTGAATTTCTTGTTTAAATTGCTTTTTTAATATTTCTGAATGCTCGTTTGAGGATATTTAGTTCAACTTTTAATTCTGCATAATATTCTTCTGTTTTGTGAGATTTTATCATTCAGTGGTGTGGATTTCATTAGCTGAAATATTTGATTTTCATGTTTGTTATCTTCTTAAAGAAGCTTTGGATATTTATAAAGGCATTTTTTCATCTATTAATTATTTTGTGTTTTCTAGTCCAAGTGCAAACCTCTTCTGAAAATGTAGCATAGTGTGATTTTTTTCAATGAATAACTTTTCTCTTTTTTTGTGCATGATGGCAGTAGTGATGGATAGTCTTTTGGTTTGGGTTCTCATTTTTCCTGCTGGATACTTTTTCCTTCTTGCACTCCCCTTTTTATCCTCCTTCCTTTCCAGAAATAATGCCTTTCTAACATCAGTGCTTTTGTTCCTACTCACTCTTAGGCCCTGCTCTGTACTCCCATTTACCAATCTCCCAGAGCTCTTTTTACACATAGGATGGACTTTTCTCTTTCTTGGGTTATTTTATTTCCAATTTTGACCCCTGTCTTTCCTTTTCTTCTTTATCCTTTTATGGGTCTCCCCTCATTCTCTGCAAAGGCTTAGGTCAGGGACTTGAGGTATAACTCTATAGATTCGTTGCCTCCTTTTCGATTCATAGGTAATTTGAAGTTTTTTGCCATGTATGTGGTTGTATTGCTCTACTTGTTGGTTGATATATGCAGAGATTTGAATTTAGGTTGCTGTAACTTTCCCCAGGCTAACCAGAAGTACACAATTCTTCCCTTTTTAATCAAGGCTAGTCAAAAAATAAACAACAACAACAACACAGAAGCCTCATTGCCGTTCTAGTTCATATTCCTCTTTCTTAAAGGAAAGCTTAAGTTTTCACATTTCAAACTGTTATTTCTTGATGATGGGCTCATATATTTCCACAGGAGTGGTAGAAGAACTTTTAAGGTAGTGTTTTAAAAAATGGATTTTCAGCTGAGAAATAATATTTGGAAACAAACACATAAACACTCCCTTTTCTTAACAGAAATCAAAAGGAAGTAACCTTTTAAAACTTCCTTTAGATTGGCTGGGTGCAGTGGCTCACGCCTGTAATCCCAGCACTTTGGGAGGCCGAGACGGGTGGATCACGAGGTCAGGAGATCAAGACCATCCTGGCTAACACGGTGAAACCCCGTCTCTACTAAAAATACAAAAAATTAGCCGGGCATGGTGGTGGGTGCCTGTGGTCCCAGCTACTCGGGAGGCTGAGGCAGGAGAATGCCGTGAACCCGGGAGGCGGAGCTTGCAGTGAGCAGAGATCGCGCCACTGCACTCCGGCCTGGGGGACAGAGAGAGACTCCCTCTCAAAAAAAAAAAAAAAACTTCCTTTAGATTTAGGATATGTATAAGCAGCCACTTTTCCGATGCACACGGGTTTTTTTCTTTGTTCAAATCCCCCCTTCCTCTGTCTCTGTACGGGGAGCTGTTTTCTTTTTCCTTCTTTCTTTCTTGGCTATTAACCTTTCACTCCTTAAGACAAAAAAAAAAAAAAAAAAAAGATTTAGGATATGTAGAATTCTAGTGTTGCTATATATTTTATACCAGTGTCATCAGTTTTAATTCTTTGCTTTTAAACAAGATTTTCTAAAGGAACTTTTTTTAAAAACTTCACCATTTATACCTCACATAATTAAATTTTTTCTATGTCATTTGTAGACATAATTGAATACTTTAGCTGGGTGATTTGTAGTTTTAAATACTGGACTTCTATTTTATTTTCTAGCTAATTCAAGGTAGTGCCTGGTGGTGTGGAACAATCATTTTGAAATTTCTGACATCTAAAATCTTAGGCGTTTCAGACCACGTAAGTACTTTTTAGTTAAAACATGAAAGTTCTTATAAATATGTAGCTGAATGAAAACTTTGAAACCATCTATTCTTATCTCTTCATTTTACAGAGGTTAAGTGCCTTCTCTAAGGTCTCTAGACGAGTTATTGGCAGAGTCAATAATAAAGTCTTGCAGTTCAGTGATCTTTGCAACCCACTAAAAAGAAAAAATATTCATGAATGCTGACTTGCCCTTTTAGTAAAAAAATACTAATAGTTTGTTAAGTAGTTATTTGTTTATATTTCAGTTAAAATACAAATAATTAGTTGTTTACATCATAAGTTATCCATTTATTGCAGATGTTAACATATGGGAGGCTGTCCTCAGCTTTGAAAATATAGAACTCTTAAAATCTCAATATTGTTTTATTTATTTATAACTGTGGACTAAAATCAATGTATGATTTGATGTTTTAAGGCCTTTCTTGTTATATAAAAAGAGAATGTTAAAAAATTTTGATCTTTTCATTTTCTAGGACATACATGCAGAGCATTTATCTCTCATGTAGTATTTCTGTTTGTTAATGTTTTAAAGAGTAGCCCTTTTCAAGGCCTAAGTCCCTGCTTAACTAACTGGTTTAGGGAATAGAAAACAATGCATGAATCTACTTTTTATTTCTAGCACTTTCTGTTTAGAAATAAGCATACATGAGTATATCATATAATAATCAATTTTGAAATTTACCTCATTTAATGCTATCCAATTAGGGCCCTGTTTGATGCTGAAATTATGTACTTTGGCAAGGGATTATAGTATTACTTCTCTAAAAGGTCAAATGCTATCTCTATGCAATATAACATGCAACATGTTTATATTAAATAAAATTTCTAAATGTAAGCATTTGCCATTTATTGCTAGTTTTGCATGGTGGTTTATTAGTTTATTTGTTGCTGCTGTTCTCTGGCATGTCTGACAGATTTCCCCATTCTCCTTTCCTTTTTATTGTTTTTAACTTTATTATATATGTCTTATGATAAACTTTATTTAGGCCTTCTAAGTTATTTATTTATCTGTTAAGTTTGTTCATGATTATGTTTCTTGCCTTACTTCACATTGACCCCCAGATCTTTACAAATCTAAATCTTTTTTTTTTTTTTTTTTTGTTTTTTGAAACACAGTCTCATGCTGTCACCCAGGCTGGAATGCAGTGGCCAATTTCGGGTCACAGCAACCTCCATCTCCTGGGCTCAAGCGATTCTCGTGCCTCAGCTTCCTGAGTAGCTGAGGTTATAGGCACGTGCCACCACACCTGGCTAATTTTTGTATTATTAGTAGAGATGGGGTTCCAGCATGTTGGCCAGCCTGGTCTCAAACTCCTGACCTCAAGTGATCCGCCTGCCTGGGCCTCCCAAAGTGCTGGTGATTACAGGTGTGAACCACCATGCCTGCCCTACAAATTAAAAAAAAAAAAATGCAAACACACTTCCTTGGTAGTCCTGAGTGACTTCCTTTATGTGACAGTTACGAGGAATACCTGAAATTATAGTGGTTTGGTTAAATTACTGTTAGTCACCAGGCCTATTCTAAATTAGAAAAATAAAGTGCAACTCTAAATTATCCTTGAGTACTGGTAGATTAGGAAAAATAATTGAATGAAAACCACTCATAATCATCAAATTTGTTATAAAATAATTTCTGTCACTATAAAATAATTTGAATTAAGAGTTTACTTGCCAAATATTTTCCTTTTTCTGGACTTCTGAGGATGCTGTGGAAAAATAATTGTCTCACCAAGAGCAGGTTGTATATAATCAGTAGAAAAATAGAAGTTCTGCATTGGGTTTGGTTGTTGGTATCTACTTTTAGCCTTGGAGATCAAATAGCTAAGTCAAAGATCAAAGTCGTATGTATAATTATTGTAATTCTTATGAGGATCAGGTCTCATATTCAATGGTTTGAATATATGTCTATAAAATATCAAGAAGTACCAAATATTGTAATCAGTCTGCGAGGCTTTGTGAAAATGACAGTGCACAGAAAGCTTATGACCTACAATGTATGTTGAAAGAGGTTAAGTAAAATAGTTTTTCATGATAAATTGTCTTATTATAAAATGTAATTAACTACATGGTGGTTTATTCTCAGCAGATATTGATTTTAGCTCACTCTTTATCATCTTCTCTTTGTTTTTTCTAACTTCTTTCTACTTTTCATTTTTCATGATATTTCTCTTTATTTTCAGTTATCTTGAGAAGTCAGCACATGGTATATTTGGTTCACTGTAGTTTTTTGTTTTCTTAGAGGGATGTCTAAATATATTGGATTTATCTGCTCTATAAACTTTGTTATTCTTACATCAATAAAGTATTACTGTCTATAGGCTATAATCACTTGTGTAATTTTAATTCATTTTACTTTATTTTCTCCCAGATTCGCCTGAGTGATCTTATAGCAGCCAGAATCTTAAGGTATACAGATTTTGATACTTTAATATATACCTGTGCTCCCGAATTTGACTTCATGGAAAAAGCGGTATGAATGTTTCTTTTTTCCTTCTCTACTAATATGAGTTTTTTGCTCTAGGTTTTTTAAAATCTGAAACTCAAAATTTTTGCTCAGAAACAGTCAACTTATTTTATATTTTTTACTGTAACTTTTGCTAATCTACATTCCTCACTTGTTTTTTTTGTCTGTTAAAAAAAAAAGATAGCCTCTATCTTATAGAGTTATTGATGATGGTTAAATGAGATAATCTGAGAAGAGTATTTAACATACTATATGACCCATAATAATTACTATTATTACAAATCAATTACTTTTGATAATCTAGGCCACTTGGAAATATGGGACCATTCAGGAAAAAGTCTAAATTCTTGTTTCTGTTTTTAAGAAATTCAGTTTTATTACAGTTAACACCCCAAATATTATAACATTTTTAACAAGGTGTTACCAAGAAAGGTATGCTACTGATGAGTTTTAATGAACATATAAAAATTCATTTTAAATTATACAAATGCAAGGTATTATTCTTTTTAAAAACTTCATGTTATAAAGCTTTAAAATATAGGCTGGGCGTGGTGGTTCATCCCTGTAATCCCAGCACTTAGGGATGCTGAGGCGGGTAGATCACTTGAGGTCAGGAGTTTGAGACCAGCCTGGCCAACATGGTGGTAACTCCATCTCTACTAAAAATACAAAAATTAACCAGGCATGTTGGTGCATGCCTGTAGTCCCAGCCTGAGTAGGAGGCTGAGACAGGAGAATTGCTTGAACCCTGGAGGTGGAGATTGCAATGAGCTGAGATCGCACCAATGCACTCCAGCCTGGGTGACAGAGTGAGACTCTGTATCAAAAAAAAAGAAAAAAAAATTGGCCTCTTTGTAGAATCATGGAACACAAGATCAGGAAGGGCTCTTAGAGACCATGCCATATAGTTCTTTCATTTGCAGATAAAGAAAAGCTTAAAAGATTTGCCTAAAGCACACACAAGCCAAGATCAGGACGTGGATTCTAATGGATTCTAGAACTCTCAATCCAGGGCTCTTTCCTCTATTTGTAGCTCAATTTTCTTCATAGGACATAACAAAGTTGCTACTGGATTGATTATTCCTTGTGTAATCATTATGAATTCTGAATTAGTGGTAAATAATAAAATTTTACATTCTTCTCTTATCCATCCAACCAGTCATCCCATTCATTCAAAAACTATTATTGACCACTAGTTATCCATGAGGCAGTTTGCTATAGCACGACAAATAGGAAAATGAACTGGTTTCTTGCTTTTAAGAAATGTATAATTTAGTTACATGGTAAATTACTCCTTATTACAATAACAGGTCATCAGAATTAGTTAGCCAATGTTATTTCTGTACTTATTCATAGTTTTAGTCATTAACTTTGGTTAGCGTTCTTTCTTGTTAGCTCTAGTTTCACTAATGAAAATAATGGAGCTGTGTAGTACAGAAAGTTACAACGTAGGACCCAGGGATCGGTAGACACACATTTTAAAACTTAGTATTATGTAAATAAAAAACAGAAAAGAAAAAATAGATATAGCAATTCTAGTTTTATTAAAATAATAAATTTTTCATTAAATTTTTGGAATACTTTTTATAACTATTTTTATAATTTTAATTATTTTATTAAGGCATGGAAGACAATAAATATATATTCTGCTGATGACAAAGAAATTTAACCTTTTACTTTTAAGGAATGTTATCATGGCACTTAGTTTGACATAGGTGTTTACTAATTTAATGTAAAAATTGTAAGTAACCATTTTGAATAATTTGGTATATTTCAGACTCCGCTGAGATACACAAAGACATTATTGCTTCCAGTTGTTATGGTGATTACATGTTTTATCTTTAAAAAGGTATTTTTAAACAAATTATTATTTGTTTTTGGCATCAATATAAGGACTATAAGAATGCAAATTGCTCAGAATTCCATGTTATTTTTAGGATGAACTCTTTCTCTCTCTAAAAGTTTGCTTTTTATTTAGATCTTTCATCATCGATCTTTTTATAAAAAGCCATGATAAAAGGTATTCTTATTTTTTCTTTCAAAAGATACATACCAGTCACCAACTGTGTATCAAGGACTACATTAACATTGTAGGTACACCCGGACAAATAAAACCTGGCCGCTCCTGTCTTGGAACTTACAATCCTGGATTATTGGGGGTGGGGGTGCAAACATGAAGCAAATAATCACACAAATGTCTAAAGAATTAAAATTTTTATAGGTGCTATGAAAGAAAAGTCCAGTGACAACAATGTTAGTATCTTTCAAATATAAAGCACAGTGAAGTCTTGATCTATTTTGAGTGGGCCTGCGTAGAAGAAATCTGTATAGCTAATTGAAAAATACTTTTCTACATGTTCACTGTTTTCATGACAGAAGAAAAGAACATCTCAATGAAAAAAATAATCTTTAAAATACCACTGGTAGGTTTTCTTGGTCTGGGTGGAGTTTATCTAAAAGCATGGTTAAAGACAGTGGGTATTTTTTTAAGCAGTCTTGAGCCATCTTTATTTATATTATTTACAAGCTATCAAGTCTTAAGCCAGTATGTATTTATTGTATACTTTTAAGCAGATAATAATAATGCAGTTTCCCTACCACCATACCAGTTGTGTTCTTGTTGAAAGGAGTTTTCTGTATTTACAGTCAAATTGCATATCTTCTCTATGTAGTTTTAGTTGCCACACTTCTCACTCCTTTGTTTACACAGAGATGTGAGTAATTTAAGAGTGAGAAAGGTATCTCCCTCGACATCTCTGTTGTTTCACCCTTGATCCAGTTCCCTGCAGACCACGTGGGAAGAGTCAGGATAAAGGAAACAAGGAGGAATGAGTAAAATGTGAGCAGGTTTACCGCCCTGCATCCTTTCGGCCCATGCTGGCTTAGAATGAAGATTTTCTCTACTGGCCTGTTTCTTTTCCATCAAGGCAAAATGTCAAATTATTCTTCTAAGGCTCCACTTAGAGGGGCCAATGCATGAATTAACTATTCAGCGGAGAGTCAGCAATGTGAGAGAAACTGATAGCTAGATCCGCAACTGCTATATTTTAAAAAATTAAGATCCAAGACTTATAAATACATTACTAGTTTCCAGACACACCACAACCTGAACTATGCATGTGCACTAGCAGGGGCATGTGCATACACACACACACACACACAGACACGCACACACACGTCCCTGCAGCCAGTCAAGTTTCATACACACACACGTGCACGCACACACACACACATACAAACATCCCTACAGCTAGCCAGGTTTCATACACACATACACACATACACACACACACACAAATCCCTGTAGCCGGCCAAGTTTCATACACACACACACACACACACACACACACTATCTCTCTCTCTCTCATCCCTGCAGCCAGCCAAGTTTCACTCCTTCCTTTCTGCTTTCTTATAAACCCCTCAGTCTTTATTTGTCCTATTGTGGCTTATTTTTCACCCCAAGGATACTTCTGATGGTCATTTAGTTTTCAATGATGTGAAGTCACTTCTCGGAAGGAGAAAAGGAAGGCATCTATAGTATGACCGTCCTGTTCCTGAGGACTCCCTTAAACATTAAAAAATACTTCTTTCCTTGGCAGAGTGTTTATATTAATGAATCAGAGCATTTTAAATATTGCAGTATTCCTTACAAAAGTTTCATTGATTTGATTCTATTCACAGACTGTTCGTGATATTTCATATGTTTTAGCTACAAACATTTATCTAAGGTAATTATATCATCATTGTTTTTAAAACATACAGTATTCCATTATTAAATAACTTACTGTAACATTAATTTTTCAAATGAATATGCATTAAACTTTAGCATTGTGATTAAGAAAGGAAATATGAGCCAAACTTAAATGTTTCCTTAAAAATATTATTCTTACAGATTTCTTATATGTATTTGGACTTGTTTTGGAGATATATATATTTGTGAACCAACTCAAAGTTTAAATTGATAAATTATAATATTAGAATTTAAAGTCAGTAAGCTAAAGATTTATTTTTTTTTATTTTTATTATTATACTTTAAGTTTTAGGGTACATGTGCACAATGTGCAGGTTAGTTACATATGTATACATGTGCCATGCTGGTGTGCTGCACCCATTAACTTGTCATTTAGCATTAGGTATATCTCCTAAAGCTATCCCTCCCCTCTCCCCCTACCCCACAACAGTCCCCAGAGTGTGATGTTCCCCTTCCTGTGTCCATGTGTTCTCATTGTTCAATTCCCACCTATGAGTGAGAATATGCGGTGTTTGGTTTTTTGTTCTTGCAATCGTTTACTGAGAATGATGATTTCCAATTTCATCCATGTCCCTACAAAGGACATGAGCTCATCATTTTTTATGGCTGCATAGTATTCCATGGTGTATATGTGCCACATTTTCTTAATCCAGTCTATCATTGTTGGACATTTGGGTTGGTTCCAAGTCTTTGCTATTGTGAATAGTGCCGCAATAAACATACGTGTGCAAGTGTCTTTATAGCAGCATGATTTATAGTCCTTTGAGTATATACCCAGTAATGGGATGGCTGGGTCAAATGGTATTTCTAGTTCTAGATCTTTGAGGAATCGCCACACTGACTTCCACAAGGGTTGAACTAGTTTACAGTCCCACCAACAGTGTAAAAGTGTTCCTATTTCTCCACATCCTCTCCGGCACCTGTTGTTTCCTGACTTTTTAATGATCGCCATTCTAACTGGTGTGAGATGGTATCTCATTGTGGTTTTGATTTGCATTTCTCTGATGGCCAGTGATGATGAGCATTTTTTCATGTGTTTTTTGGCTGCATAAATGTCTTCTTTTGAGAAGTGTCTGTTCATGTCCTTCACCCACTTTTTGATGGGGTTGTTTGTTTTTTTCTTGTAAATTTGTTTGAGTTCATTGTAGATTCTGGATATTAGCCCTTTGTCAGATGAGTAGGTTGTGAAAATTTTCTCCCATGTTGTAGGTTGCCTGTTGACTCTGATGGTAGTTTCTTTTGCTGTGCAGAAGCTGTGTAGTTTAATTAGATCCCATTTGTCAATTTTGGCTTTTGTTGCCATTGCTTTTGGTGTTTTAGACATGAAGTCCTTGCCCATGCCTATGTCCTGAATGGTAATGCCTAGGTTTTCTTCTAGGGTTTTTATGGTTTTAGGTCTAACGTTTAAGTCTTTAATCCATCTTGAATTAATTTTTGTATAAGGTGTAAGGAAGGGATCCAGTTTCAGCTTTCTACATATGGCTAGCCAGTTTTCCCAGCACCATTTATTAAATAGGGAATCCTTTCCCCATTGCTTCTTTTTCTCAGGTTTGTCAAAGATCAGATAGTTGTAGATATGCGGCGTTATTTCTGAGGGCTCTGTTCTGTTCCATTGATCTATATCTCTGTTTTGGTACCAGTACCATGCTGTTTTGGTTACTGTAGCCTTGTAGTATAGTTTGAAGTCAGGTAGCGTGATGCCTCCAGCTTTGTTCTTTTGGCTTAGGATTGACTTGGTGATGCGGGCTCTTTTTTGGTTCCATATGAACTTGAAAGTAGTTTTTTCCAATTCTGTGAAGAAAGTCATTGGTAGCTTGATGGGGATGGCATTGAATCTATAAATTACCCTGGCAATTTTTGGAATTCCTCCCTCCCTCCCTTCCTCCCTTCCTTCTTTCCTGCCTTCCTTCCTTCTCTCTCTCTCTCTGTCTTGTCTTGTCTTTCCTCTTCTCTTCTCTTTTCTTTTCTCTTTTCTCTTGTCTTCTCTTGTCTTCTCTTGCCTTCCCTTCCCTTCCGTTCCCTCCCCTCCCCTCCCCTCCCCTCCCCTCCCCTCCCCTCCCTTCCCCTCCCTTCCCTTCCCTTCCCCTCTTTTCTTTTCTTTTCTTTTCTTTTCTTTTCTTTTCACAGAGTCTTGCTCTGTCAGCCAGGCTGGAGTGCAGTGGCATGATCTCTGCTCACTGCAGCCTGGACATCCCGGACTCACGCGATCATCTCATCTCAGCTCTGCCAGTCAGCTGGGACTACAGGTGTGCATCACCATGCCCAGCTAATTTTTGTATTTTTTTGTAGAGAGGGGGTTTCACCGTGTTGGTCAGGCTTTTCTTTTTCTTTCTTTTTTAACTTTCAGAGGGGGTATAATTATTTGTGTTCCTGAATATTTATGAATTTTCTTCTAAACTTATTGTTAAAACTATTTATTGTATAACATTTTTGGATGGTTTTAGTAATGTCACTAGCATAAGCAGATGCCAGCAAAATGTATCGTATCAGTCACACATAAGTAAATTGCTACAAAACTCAAGAAGTAAATTGTGAAGAAAATTTCCTTCTGAGGGAAATATGATCTCAAATGACATGTTTTTTAGTGTTCAACTTTTATTTTCGATGCAGGGGGCACATGTACAGTCTTGTTATATGGGTATATTGTATCCAGGTGGTGAGCATAGTACCTAATAGTAATTTTCAAGTTACATTTTATATTTGTAAATAGAATATTTGATTTTATTTTGTGACTTCTACTTTATAGAATAGTTTTAGATTTATAGAAAAATTGTGAAGACAGTAGAAAGAATTTCTATGAACTCCATACTCCATGCTTGTATTTTTAATAAACAGCTGTGTATGGTTGTCAGAAGAGCTAATTAAGCTCTTAGGTGCATCTGTTGAAATTGTTTCCAAAATAAAGGGGATAATAGAACCATTCTATATTGTTCCAGACAGATGGAGCACAGGGAAATGTGTCTTGGCATTCTAAAAAAGAATGAATGGAGAACCCTGGACACTGTTCCCATAAGGAGTACATGAAGGGACTTGGGATATTTAATTGGATAATAGAAGATTGAAGGGTATGTGGCAACTGTCTTCATATATTGCAGAGGGTGTAATGTGGAAGCGACAGACTCGGAGGGGTCAATGGATGGAAGATAATTACTCAGAATATGGAAGTCTATGTATTGATTACATATTTGAAAGTGACAGGCCTGTTGTGTATGGGCAGAGGGTTCCGGGTTAAATCTCAAAAATAATAATAGCAGGGGCTAGTAGTAATACATTCTGAAAAACCAGCGTATCAAAAAGAGAGGGAATACTCCCCTCTCTTAGATCTGCTCCCCTGGGTGCTGATTGTAAGTAGCTTTGTATGTTTTATTTTAGAAAATACATATAGAAACACAATATTTTAAAAAAATAGAATTGTATTCTTCTTATTCTGCAACTTGTTACTTGTATTTAATAGTGTGTCTTGGGCCTCTTCCTTGATCTTCATTATATTTTATAATGGTCTTAGGATTTTATTGTTGACCATCATGCGTGACTGCCTTTCCCATATCAATGAAAGTTTAGATTATATATAACTTTTGTCTTAAAAAAACCAATGTTTTGAGGATTGAACATCCTGGTTCGTGTATCTTGGTACACTTATTCTAAGTATTTCTATAGTATGAAATATTTGAATTTGGACTGCTGATTATGAGGCCTGCATATTTTAGAATTTGTTAAAACTGAGAAATTATAATGATGAGAGTGTCCATTTCTCTGCAACTCCACCAACATCGTTATCAAGCTTTTAATTTTTTCTGATAGGTAAAAACAATTCATTTTATTGTATCAATTCTTTGTCAGTGGAGTTTTGCAGCTTTTCATGTGTTTGTTTACTATGTTTCTTTTTGACCTTTAAAAGTTGTTTTGTGGGTTTTTGTTGTTGTTGTTGTTGTTTTGTTTTGTTTTGTTTTTTTTGTCTCGCTGCTGTGTATGCAGTGGCACAATCTCGGCTCACTGCAACCTCTGCCTCCGGGGTTCAAGCAATTCTCCTGCCCCAGCCTCTGGAGTAGCTGGGATAACAGGCACCCGTCATCACACTCAGCTAATTTTTATATTTTTAGTAGAGACAGGGTTTGCCATGTTGGCCAGGCTGGTCTCGAACTCCTGAACTCAAGTGATCCAGCCACCTGGGCCTGCCAAAGTGCTGGGATTGCAGGCATGAGCCACTGTGCCCGGCTATGTGTTATGTTTTTGCTTTTTCCATAGACGTAACATTTTGTCTCTTATGTGCATTACATAGTTTCTTCCAAGATGTCAACTTATAGTTCATTTATGGTCTCTGCTTTGTAGAACTTCAAAATTTCTCTACAATCACAGTTATATATTTTTTCTGGGTTCATATGTTGCTTAGAACACTTCCCTATACGAAAAACATGAAAATTTTTTTTCATATTTTCTTTCATAAGTGTCTATTTACATATAGGTTATTTATTACTCTTGCGTTAATTTTGTGGTATAGTGACATAGAGGAGTCTACCTTTCCCCCTCTAATGAGGTATTGTCCCAACACAGTGTTGCATAAATCTTTTTTCCAAATGTCAGCTTTTATCACTTATCAATTCTCATTGTACTTGAGTCTGTTTTAGATTGTCTCTTATATTGATCTTTTAGTTTATAGGAAAGCTGCTTTACTTTTTTTTTTTTTTTTTTTTTTTTTTTTTTTTTTTGCAACACATTTTTATCTAGCCACATTACCAAACTTTCTTTCTGGTTCTGATAGTTTTTCCATTGATGTCTGGATTTTCTAGGCAGGTTATCATATAATCTACAAATAGTAATAACTTTCTAATATTTATACTTCTTTACTTTCTTGTCGTGCTAGAACTTCCAGAACAATTTTGAATTGCAGTGATGATGGGCTTGCCCTTATTTTGTTTCTGACTCTAAAGTGAAGAATGCCTTTAGTGTCTCACTGTTTCATTTACTGTTAGTATATAATAGATAGCCTTTATTTCATTAAGAAAGTTTCCTTGGCCAGGCGCGGTGGCTCACGCCTGTAATACCAGCATTTTGGGAGGCCAAGGTGGGCGGATCACGAGGTCAGGAGATTGAGGCCATCCTGGCTAACATGGTGAAACCCCGTCTCTACTAAAAATACAAAAAATTAGCTGGGCATCGTGGTGGGCGCCTGTAGTCCCAGCTACTCGGTAGGCTGAGGCAGGAGAATGGCGTGAACCCGGGAGGCGGAGGTTTCAGTGAGCTGAGATCGCGCCACCGCACTCCAGCCTGGGCGACAGAGTGAGACTCCGTCTCAAAAAACAAAAAAAAAAAAAAAAAAAGAAAGTTTCCTTTTGGTTTATATAAACCAGGATAATTTTAAAAATTAAATTAAAGATAGATGTTGAAAGTATATAATGTGTGAATTGTAACTCAATAAAGCAGTAAAAAATGAATGTTAAATTTTTTAAAAATGGCTTTAAAAATATTTTGGGGATTATTATATATTTTTTCTCCTTATTAATAACTACACTTGTTTTTAAAATTTGGTAAGAATGCTTAACATGTGATCTACCCTCTTAACGATTTTTTAATTGTATAATACAGTATTGTGGACTATAAGTATAACATTCTATAGTCGATCTCTCGAACTTATTCATCTGGCTTAACTGAAACTTTTAAAATATTCAGTAAATCATGCTGTGACAGATGTGCTGTCATCCAGGCTTTGTTGTTCCATTTGTAGAGTAGAGGCAGAGTAGATTTAGCATAATTCTGAAAAAAGGCCTCAGGATTTTCAAAGTGGTAAATGAACATTGGCTTCAACCGAAAGTCACCAGCTGCATTAGTCCATAACGAGGTCATTCTTTTTTGGATTTTTCATAAAACCAGCTTTTGGTTTTATTCCTTATATTTATGAAGGTTGTTCTCCATTTTATTAATCTCTGTTTATATGTTTATGTCCTTAGTTTTTCTTTTGGTGCACTTTTGTTGTTTTTCTGTGTCTAAAGTTCACATCATTTATTATCAATCATTATTGTGTCCTAGTAAATACATTTAAAGTTATAACTTTTTCTTTGAAGAAAACGCACACTGTATCCCATGATGTGTGTAGCATTACCATTAATGTTGATTTCTGTGTAGTCTGTGATTTGAGTTTTGATCATTTAATCCAAAATCACTTAGAAGAATGTCTTAAAATGTCTAACTAGTTTTAGGCCGGGTTCGGTGGCTCATGCCTATAATCCCAGCACTTTGGGAGGCCAAGGCGGGCGGATCACGAGGTCAGGAGATCGAGACCATCCTGGCCAACACGGTGAAACCCTGTCTCCACTAAAAATACACAAATTAGCTGGGTGTGGTGGCACACACCTGTAATCGCAGCTACTCGGGAGGCTGAGGCAGGAGAATCGCTGGAACCCAGGAGTTGGAGGTTGCAGTGAGCCAAGATTGCCACTGCACTCCAGCCTGGCAACAGTGCGAGGCTCTGTCTCAATAATAATAATAATAATAATAATAATAATAATAATTTTTAAAAATGTCTAACTAGTTTCTTCTGTTGTATATTTTGCCTTTAAAATTAACTTGCTATCTATTGAGATGGATGTTCAGTTTTAGTAAATGCTCTGTGAGGATTTTTTAAATGTTCATTTCTTATTTAGGGGAAGTTCAAAGTTACATGTTATATCATGTTATTAATAGTGCTATTCCAAATGGTCTAGTACATCAACTTATTTTTCTACTTTATCTGTTTTCTTAGAATGCTATCTTCACATACAACATTAAAAATGAATTTTTCAAAATTGTCTTGTAATTTTAATAGTGTTTGCTTTATATAGATAGTGCTGTTGTTCATTGCATGATTATTATAGGATTGTACTTTTATTATAAAGGATATTCTTTGCTTTACTTAGTGGTTTTTTGCTGTAAATTTTTCTTTGTATAAAATTAATATTGCCACATCTGCTTTCTTTTTTATAGATTTTCCTGGTTTACCTGTATTTATGCTTTTTTTTAACATTTTTGTGACATTTTGGTTTAGGTATATTTCTCATTGTTAGATTTTTTCTATTCAAATTCCTCTAATACCCGTTTTCTAATTGGTGAATTTAACCCATTTTCATATTAACTGTGATAACTGCTGTGTTTGTACTTCTCTCTGCCATCTGATTTTATGTTTTCTATTCATCGTGCTTTTCAAAAATTATTTTCTTGATACTCGCTGAATTGTTAGCTATATCCCATTTCTGTATTTCCTGGTGGTTTCTCTTAAATTATTATCAAATGTATTCATCTTGATATTAAGAATTCATCAGCATCTAAAACCTGTTACCACCAACGATAGTAGCTAACAGTTATTATTTCCTGTGTGTCTGACAGTATTTTAAGCTTCTTACCAGTATTAACTCAATAAATCCTCACAGTCACCTTGTGAGAAGGGAGTCAGTTATTCCCATTATTTGCAGATGAGGAAACCAATAAGAAGGTAAGTAATTTTCTGAAAGGCACACAGCTAGTGAGTAGTGGAGGCAGAATTCGTACTCAGGCTCTGTACCTAGAGACCTGCTTGCTTCAGCGCTGAGCTGTTGGAATATTTCTACTTGCCCCTGCCTAGACACCCTCTCCTTCCAGGTTATGCTGAAATTTACTTTCTAGATTGTTGTCTTATCTGTTATGTTTTAAGAAGTCTCTAAACACTTACATTAAAGACACCAGCAATCTTTGGACTTGACTTCAAATTTTACTGATTTATTTTTCCTTGACATGTAGAATTGGCATGCTTTCTGGGTGCTTTCTTACCTGAAAAAATGGCTTTATTTTGCCCTCATATTTGATTGATAGATTGGTTAATAGATATTTATGGGTTTCATTCAACATTTTGTTGACATTGCTTCTTTGTGTTCTAGCATTGAGCATTACAGATGAAAATTCCTATACAGTTTTTCTCTCTGGAAATTCATAAGGTTTGGAGGGGTGATGTGTGTGTGTTGTTGTTCTCTTATTCTTTCACTTTAGCCTCTCTTTTTTGAATTTCTGTTATTGCTTTTATCACATTATCTATTTCTTTTCTTTCTGTGTTCTCAGAGAATATCATCACTGAGTCTTTAATACTGTCAACTTCAGCTGTGTACATTTTGCTCTTCAACTTTCTTTTGAGGCTTTAAATTAGGCAAATATATTTTTCTTAGAATTTCTGAAAACTCCTTTTCACTGGAGCTTATTTTAATTATATGGATGCATTATCCTCTTAAACTTCTGTGAAAACAATAATTGGAGTTTTCATTTGCATTGGCTGTTTCATGAGAGGTCAAGCTTTTTGCTTATTTATTTTGATGTTTCCTTTTCATGATATCTGTGTCTTGGGATTTGGTTGTATATTCACATTTTTAATTAGCTACTTGATTTAAATAAAGTATCAGTAGTTACTTTCAGGGTTCTTGGTGATTATAATAATTACTCACCTACCAGGCTTCTTCCTTGCATGCAGCTCACTACAGGAATCTGTTGTGCCTAGAAGATTTCGGGACAAGTGGAGAAACCCCACTCCGTTAACTGCATACACAGGGAAGGAGCTATGAGGGAGACAGAATAATTTGGTCTCTACTATTACCTTAAGAGACCTTCCCCTGTCTTCGATTTAAAAAAAAACTACTGCATACAAAGGGTAGGAGCTACAAGGGACATAGAATAATTTGGACTCCATTACTACCTTAAGAGACCTTCCCCTGACTTCTCTTTTAAAAAACCTATGAGTCTCTGTACCCCTGAACTTACTTTCCACACCTATTTCTCTCTTCACCCCCAAAATCCATATTAGAATGCCCCTGCAGGCTATAAAGCCTTTCATAAAAGTAAAATACCCAGTCTTTTCAAGAGAACAATAAAATAGGCAGTCTCCTACCTCTTGTCTTACTCTAATATAAACTCCATGAAGATAAGTATTGTATCCATACTGTTCATGCTGCACAGCAGTTGCCCTTATCTGCAGGGCGACGCATCCCAAGACCCCCAGTGGATGCTTGAAACTGCAGAGAGTAACACACGTGATTGCCACCATCGGAACACATTTCTGTTCACGTCTTCCACCCACAGATTTAATGCCTTTTCCATCTTAACTAAGCACTCATCATGGACTGTGGCCATAACTTTTGCAGTTTTAGATGCAACAGCAAAACTAACATTAATTTTTTCTTCTTCTTCACAATTTCATGGGTAGATTTGTTCTTACCGTAGATCTTAGCAACCTCAGCATATGATGTTTTTTCTTTTGAGAACTTTCACCTTTTCTCTTAAAGAAAGCACTTTACAGCTTCTCTTTGGCATATCTCAACTGCCAGCATCACTGCTCTTGAACTTTGGGGCCATTATTAAGTCAGAAAAGGGTTACTTCAAAACAAGCACTGAGATACCACCAGAGTCCATCTGATAACTAAGATGGTAACTACATGACTAACAGGCCGGTGACGTATAGAGCATGGATATGCTGGACAAAGGGGTGAGTCATATCCCAGGTAGGATGAAGCAGGGTGACTTGAGATTTCACTATTCAGTATGGTGCACAATTTAAAACTTAGGAATTGTTTATTTCTTGGAACTTTTCGTTTAATGTTTTTGGACTGCAGTTAGCCACAGGTAACTGAAACTGTGGAAAGTGAGGATTGGAGGATAAGCAGAGACTGTGGTATTCATTTCATTGCACAGTGCCTAGAATACAGTAGGTGTACTATAAATATTTTGTAAAGGGACAACTTTTCTGAAACTAAAAATATTTATGTTTTACCCAATAATTTTTCTTCTGGAAATTTATGCTAAGGAAATATTCAGAGATGCTTACAAAGTTTTATGCATGAGTGTCCATGTTATTTGTAATTGTGAAAAATGAAAATAACTCAAAAGTTTAACAGTGGTCATCTAAAGTATTGTATACACTGTATATATAGGTTGAATAGAAGGTCATCCTATTCATTTATTAATGAGAGGTACAATCTCTAGGGATCTGTAAAATCTATTTTGTCTTAACCAAAGAACAAATTTTTGACATATCTTGAATAGGATGACTATAAATTATGACTTTTAAATTGTTGTAATTTTTGTACTATTATCTGATATTTTTATTTTTATGTATTTTCGTAAGTAGTTTAGAGATAGTCACATTTTAAAAATCTAAGATCAAGCAAATGAAGCTTATTTTTATGTATTCATAGTATAAAAGACCTTCAGTAAATAGGTAATATTTTTGTTTTATTCTAGAAAACAGCTCCTTGAACACAGTGAGGTAAAGCTTTCATTTTAATCTCTGGTAGACTTGTGTATTAAATTGTAGTTTGAGGATAATTGACAAAGGTATAACCTTGCTGCTGATGCACCTTCAGTAGTGAGTTGTTCAGCATTGGTGATAAATTTCTGCTGATCCTTCTCACTCTTTCATCTGCTCTTACTTTTGAATAGTAATAAGGATTTAAAAGCTAGAAGGCTGATTTATGACTATAGTACAGAATTAAATTAAATTGCATTCATTTAACAATAACAAGCATTCAGTTTCTAGCCTGCTGAGCTAATCAGCTACAGTCCATTAGGGCAGGCACCCTTGGCCCTGTGACTGGTGGCCATCTGCCACCACGTAGATTTGCTGGTCAGTCAGTGACAAGCTCAGAAGTGTTGAAGGATACACAAGATACTAAAGTCATGTTCCTGCCCTTCAGTATGGTAATTTTACAAAGGAGACAAATAAGACAACATTTTATATGGTGTAAAATTATTTTGTGGCATAAAAAGGAAAAGATCAGTGTGGGCTGGAAATATTTCCTATTTGATAGAACTTTAAGTGGGTCTTGAGGTAAAGGTCAACTTTACAGGAGTGGGTAACTGAATTTGAACTTAATAGAGATAGTTTATGACACATGTTGAGTATCCCTTATCCAAAATGCTTAGGACTAGAGGCTTTTCAGATTTCAGATTTTATTGAATTTTGGAATATTTACAGTGTAGTTACTAGTTGAGCATCCCTAACCTGAAAACCCAAAATCCAAAATGCTTCAATGAGCATTTGTTTTAGCATAACCTTTGAACATCATATTGGTACTCAAAAGTTTCAGATTTTGGAGCATTGTAGATTTCAGATTTTTGGATCAGGGATGCATTAGTAACTTTGTCACTTTACAGTGAGGCCCACTGTGTTGGTACTCCACCTCCTCACACCACCTCCTGCTCTCCCTAGCTCCTCTGCCTGCTCCATTTTCTTGCCAACTGCACTTATTGCCTTACAGTAGACTATGTAATGGATTTATTTATTTGCTATTTCTATGTATTGTCTGTCTTTCATTACTAAATGTAGTTAAATGTAATGCAAGGACAGAAATTGCTCACTGCTGTATCCGAAGCACCCAGAAGAGTACCTGGAACATAGTAGACATTCGATAAATTATTGCTGAATGAATACTGATAGGCTTATTACTAAGTTAGAAGATCCTTGTCTTAATGAATAATATAGTTTTAATATACTTCATTAATTTAAAAATATGAAAAGTAAAAATGTGATTTTGTCTTATTTGTGTTTTATAGCTGGCTTTTCACACATTGCAGTTGTTAGTGTTTACTGCCCTTGCCATTTTAATTATGAGGCTAAAGATGTTTTTGACACCGCACATGTGTGTTATGGCTTCCTTGATATGCTCTCGACAGGTAAGGGATTCATTCTTGTATAACAATACTATAAAAACTATAGCAGCTATACTTAGTAGTTACTGTGGCTTTGCTGACTAATTCAAAATATAAACACACTAAGTGTTTTTAACTTAACTAAGTTAAATGATTTAAAATATTACTTCATGATTCACTATAAGCAAGAAAAGCAATTTCAAGTGGCTTTGAAAAGTATTTCTGGATTTTAATTGATATTTCTATAACAAGTGATTAGGCAAACATTTCCCCTCTGTTAATATCCTGTCCATGAACATAACCTTTTAGAGTTCAGGTTTGTGTAAGAGTGCCTGGCACAGTGGCTCACACCTGTAATCCCAGCACTTTGGGAGGCCGAGATGGGCAGATCACTTGAGGCCAGGAGTTCGAGACCAGCCCGGCCAACATGGTGAAACTCCATCTCTACTAAAAATACAAAAATTAGCCGGGTATGGTGGCGAGTGCCTGTAATTCCAGCTACCTGGGAGGCTGAGGCAGGAGAATTGCTTGAACCTGGGAGGCAGAGGCTACAGTCAGCCAAGATCGCATCACAGCACTCTAACCTAGGTGACAGAGTGAGACTCTGTCTCAAAAAAAGAAAAAGAGAAAAAAAAGAGTTTCCTGGTGGCCAGGCACAGTGGCTCACACCTGAAATCCCAGCACTTTGGAAGGCCGAGGTGGGCAGATCACTTGAGGTCAGGAGTTCAAGACCAGCCTGGCCAACATGGTGAAACCCTATCTCTATTAAAATACAAAAATTAGCCGGGCATGGTGGTGTGTGCCTGTAATCCCAGCTACTCAGGAGGCTGAGGCAGGAATATTGCTTGAACCCGGGAAGTGGAGGTCGAAGTGAGCTGAGGTCACACCACTGCATTACAGCCTGGGAGACAGAGTGAGACTCTGTCTCAGAAAAAAAAAAAAAAAAAAAAGAGTTTCCTGGTTCACCAAAAGTACCCTGAAATACTCATCCAATACCAGAGTAGATGCAGAGAAATTGCTCTAATATGATCCTGTTTGGCTCGAAGAATCTATAAGAAATTCTGGGGTTCTATCACTGTTATCTAACATACAAAAGAACTAGATAAATTGCTAGAATATTGGGCCTAAGGTACTTCTACAAACACCTTACTTCGTTTTTATTATGAGTGTATAGCCTTAAAATATCATAATGCCTGTTTTCCTGAGAAGAATCTATATATATCATGCTAATAGGGCTTCCCTGTCTACTAACCATGTCCACAAAAGGCAGCCAAGGATGCAAGGATTTAGTTCTAAGATGTTTCACAGTTGTGATTTGTTTATTTTAATCCTTAGTAGTAAATTAGTACTAGAAGGATCAGGTATATCTTCCTTAATTCTTCCCAGGGGAGAGAAAGTTCCATTTTCACCTGGGCCCTGTAATGCCAATATATTCGTTGCTTTAGAAACAATCGGAGATGATAATTCTGTATACATGTGTGCTGATATCAAAGGGTAATTCACATTGGTTTGAGTAACAAGGTGAGAATTTATTGTTGACCCTACGGTACTCTTCATATAAGAACTAGAAATAAACGGTTTCTTTCGTTTCAGCTCTTTGGCTGGCTTTTTCGCAGAGTTCGTTTTGAGAAGGTTATCTTTGGCATTTTAACAGTGATGTCAATACAAGGTTATGCAAACCTCCGTAATCAATGGAGCATAATAGGAGAATTTAATAATTTGCCTCAGGAAGAACTTTTACAGTGGATCAAATACAGTACCACATCAGGTGTGTAGGTATTTGGTTATATGCTAGTTTTATACAAACATACAGACACATTTGTGTATACTATATATAATTATTGTCATTTCTGATATATGTGTGTATGTGTGTATGACAGATTTACAAATAGGCATTCATACTCTCACAGACTTTGAGCAGACTATTGCAATGTCAATCAATTAAACCCTTCCAAAAGGCAATTTTGCACCCCCTTTAAGCCCCTCCCAGATAATTATCAAAGAATTTAAATTAGCACCAGGAAATTAATGATTTTTCATAAGTTATGTCCTTTAACTCTCAGACAGCATTATAGCATTTTAACCATAACAATGACAAATCAAAGAAGTAAGTCTTTAAAAATGAAATTTCACACCTTGTGCCAGGCTACAGCAGAAGATACTTTTGATGGTGGGGAGTTAACCAGCACCGCTTCTGTCACTGCAATCAGTGCTGTCTCCTCTAATTCTGTAAAACAGGTCATTGGCAGAAGAGAAAATCTTGGATATTCTATTTTCTTCACTAAATCATCTCACAGAGATAGTATACATCCTACTTTTAAATACTCCAAAATTTTCTTTTTAGCTTACCTTCTTTTCTTCCTGTTTTTATTCAGAACTACCTCAAGCAGATAGATATTTTTAAATACCTTTCCAGAGAATAAGTCTATAACATTTTCTGTAACTAAATTTGTAAATCAAAGATTATTTTTAATATTTAGAAACTTACTCTGGTACAAGTTCTTCACTATGATTTATTTAAATTTTCTTATGACTCCTGAGCTTGTTTCCTTTTATTTCTTATTTGATAGCCACTTTTTTGCTAATTAACCTTCATTAAGGTAAATCTTTATAAGCTTTAAGTAAGATACTTGGTCTATAGCTTTCAAAGGGTGTAGGTGACAGTGCCTCGTTAAACTGCCAAGCCAGTTTAATTAGAATTTTAAAAGTAATCCCCAACTGACTTTTTCCACATAGGAGCTCAAGGTAATCACTCCCTTTCTTTACTCTCCCTTGCCCCTCCCCAGTTATAGCTATTTTTCCCAAGCTTTTAAAAATAGCTGCCCTTTTAATCTTTTCTTGTGTCTTTCTTTGTTCCAGTGTTTGTATTGGGTTCCTGACAGAGAGCCTACATTTGGCAACTTATCCTTCTAAGATAACTGCCACAAACCCCTGTCTCACTTTTAGATGCCTCTTCTTTGATCTTCTTTTTAATCTGTCTTATTCTCCTTTTAACTACCCTTATTATGAGTTATCTCATGGTTACCACATATTAAAAGCTGTATGAAGTTTTGTAGTATTAGTGGAACTAGTGCTTATATTGAGGTCTGCCATATACGGTTGTATAGTTTGTGCACTGCACAAAGGTGACCAATTGAGAGGATAAGTGAAAGCTTAAATCCAGCTTGTGGTCCACTCATCAAGCCATGTATAATGGGGCTCTGTCAGGTCAGGGGAATACCTTTTTCTAATCTGTATAGTAGGCTAAATGGAGACTTCCATACAGTGATAGGAAAATATCTGATTTTTCCTTGTTAATGCTCATTTACTTCACAGCCAAAGAGACAGAAAGTGGAGTGGGAGGGTATTTCTTCCTCTCCGTCTGCCATAGATGACAACTCAGTGGGTCCAGCTCTTGCTGGACAGGTGTGCCTAGTTTTTTTTGGAAGACCCTGGCCCTGGGCTTTCAATTCTTCTTGCTCAGCATTTCCCAACCTTAGCACAGTTGACATTGAGGCTGTCCTATGTATTACAAGAAATCCTTGGCCTCTATCTACAAGATGCCAACAGCATCTCCTCCCTCCTCCCCATAGCATGACATCGAAAAGTGTCTCCAGAAGTTGATAGTGCTCCCTAGGGAGCAAAATCATGCCTGCCTGAGAACCACTTCTCTAGCTTAACAGCTTGTCATCATAAATTATTGAGTCTCCAATAATAAATACACATTCTTTGACTAGCTTACATATTTTCAAATTTGAGGCATATAAAGAAATTTTCATTCAAAGTTGCACTTAGAATGCTTAGTTATACTGGAAGGTAAACACTCAGGGTTCTTAAAGTTTTTAATTTATGTGGGTACAGAGCAGGTGTATATATTTATGGGGTAGATGGGATATTTTGATACAGGCATACAATGTGTAATCATCACATCAGGGTAAATGGAGTATCCATCACCTGAAGCATTGATCCTTCGTGTTACAAACAATCCAGTTATACTCTCTCAGTTATTTTTAAATGTGCAGTAAAATTTTGTTGACTATAGTCACCCTTCTGTGTTACCAAACACTACATCTTATCCATTCTATTTTGTTTGTGCACATTAACCATCCTCACTTCCCCTCCACCCCCTCACTATCCTTCCCAGCCTCTGGTAACCATCATTCTATTCTTGATCTCCATGAGTTCAACTCTTTTAATTTTTAGCTCCCACAAGTAAGAACCTGCAAAGTTTGTCTTTCTGTACCTGGCTTATTTCAATTAATGTAATGACCTCCAGTTCCATCCATGTTATGGATAGGATCTCATTCTTTTTTTATGACAGGTTCTCATTCGTTTTTATGGCTGAATAGCACTGCGTTGTGTCTACATACCACATTTTCTTTATCCATTCACCTGTTGATGGACACTTAGGTTGCTTCCAAATCTAGACTATTGTGAGAAGTGCTGCAATAAACATGGGAGTGCAGATACCTCTTCTAAATATTTATTTCCTTTCTTTGGGGTATATATCTAAGAGTAGGATTGCTGGATCATTTTGTAACTCTATTTTTAGTTTTTTGAGGAACCTCCAAACTCTTCTACATAGTGGTTGTGCTAATTTACATTTTCACCAAAAGTGTATGAGAGTTCCCTTTTCTCCACATCGTTTCCTGTCTTTTGGATAACAGCCATTTGTTATTGCCTGTCTTTTGAATAATAGCCATTTTAACTGGAGTGAGATGCTATTTCACTGTAGTTTTGATTTGCATTTCTCTGATGATCAGTGATGTTGAGCACCTTTTCATGTACCTGTTTGCCACTTGTATGTTTTCTTTCGAGAAATGTCTATTCAGATCTTTTGACCATTTTTAAAGTAGATTTTTAGATTTGTTGTTTGAGCTCCTTATATATTCTGGTTATTAATTCCTTGTCAGATTGGTAGTTTGCAAATATTTTTGCTTATTCTTTGGGTTGTCTCTTCACTTTGCTGATTGTTTCCTTTGCTGTGCAGAAGCTTTTACACTTGATGTGAACCCATTTGTTCATTTTTGCTTTGGTTGCCTGTGCTTCCCAGGTATTTACTCAAGAAATCTTTTTCCAAACCAAAGTCCTGGAGAGTTTCCCCAAAGTTTTCTTGTAGTAATTTCAGAGTTTGAGGTCTTAGATTTAAGGCTTTAATCCATTTGGATTTGAGTTTTGTATATGGCAAGAGATAGGGGTGTAGATTCATTCTTCTGCATATGGATATTCAGTTTTCCCAACACCATTTATTGAAGAGATTGCCCTTTCCCCAGTGTATGTTTTTGGGACTGCTGTAAAAAATGAGTTTACTGTAGATGTATGGATTTCTTTCTGGGTTCTCCATTCTGTTCCACTGGTCTGTGTGTCTGTTTTTATGGCAGTACCATGATGTTTTGGTTACTATACTTCTGTAATATAATTTGAAGTCAGGTATTGTGATTCCTTCAGTTTTGTTCTTCTTGCTCAGGGTAGCTTTGGCTATTCTAGGTCTTTTGTGTTTTCGAATAAATAAGGATAGTTTTTTCTATCTCTGTGAGGAATATCATTAGTAGTTTGATGGGGATTGCATTGAATCTGTAGATTGCTTTGAATAGTATGGACATTTTAACAGTATTGATTCTTCCAATGCTTGAACATGGAATAGCTTTCCATTTTTTGTATCTTCTTCAATTTCTTTCTCCAGTTTTGTATAGCTTTCATTCTAGAGATCTTTCATTTCTTTGGTTAATTTCTAGGTATTTAATTTTATGTGTGGCTACTGTAAATGGAATTACTTTTTAAATTTTCTTTCTCAGGTTGTTCTCTGTTGGCATATAGAAACGTTAATGATTTTTGTATGATTTTGTATCCTACAACATTACTGAATTTATCAGTTCTAATAGTTTTTTTTTTGGTGGAGACTTTAGGTTTTTCTAAATATAAGATCATATCATCTGCAAACAATGATAATTTGGCCTCTTCCTTTCAAATTTGGATGCCCTTTCTTTCTTTCTCTTGTCTGATTGCTCTATTTAGGATTTCCAGTACTATGTTGAATAATGTGGTAAAAAGTGAGCATCCTTGTCATGTCCCAGGTCTTAGAAGAAAGGCTTTCAGTGTTTTCTCACTCAGTATGATACTGCTTGTGCATTTGCTGTATATAGCTTCTTTATGTTGATTAATGTTCCTTCTATACCCAGTTTATTTGAAGGTTTTTATCATGAAGGTATGTTGAATTTTACCAAATGATTTTCCCGCATCTATGGAGATGAGATGATCATATGATTTTTCCCCTTCATTGTGTTGATATGACGTATCACATTGATTTGCTACGTTGAACTATCTTTGCATCCCTGAGATAAATCCTATTTGGTCATGATGAATAATCTTTTTAATGTGTTATTGAATTCAGTTTGCTAGTATTTTGTTGAGGATTTTTGCATTAACATTAATCAGAGATTTTGGCCCGTAGTTTTCTTTTTTTGATGGTTCTTTGTATGGTTTTGGTATTAAAGTGATATTGGTCTCATACAATGGGTTTGGAAGTATTCCCTCTTCCTCTATTTCCTGGAATCGTTAGAGTAGGATTGATATTAGTTCTTCTTTAAATGTTTGATAAAATTCAGCAGTGAAGCCATCAGGTCCTGGGCTTTTCTTTGCTGAGAGACTTTTGATTAGAGATTTGATCTCATTACCTGTGATTGGTCTGTTCAGGTTTTGGATTTCTATATAGTTCAATCTTGGTAGGTTTTATGTATCTAGGGATTTATCCATTTCTATGTTTTCCGATTTATTGGCATACAGTTGCTCATGGTAGTCTCTGATGATCCTTTAATTTCTGCAATATTGGTTATAATGTCTCCTTTTATTACCTCTGATTTTATTTATTTGGGCCTTCTGTCTTTTTTTCTTAGTCCGGCTAAAGGTTTGTTAATTTTATCTTTTCAGAAAACCAGTTGATCTTTTATACTGTTTTCTTCATTGCAATTTCATTTATTTCTGCTCTGATCTTTATTATTTTATTTCTCTTACTAACTTTGGGTTTTGTTTGCCCTTTTCTAGTTTTTTAAGAAGCATCATTGAGTTGTTAATTTGAGGTTTTTCTTCTTTTTTGATGTGGGCACTTACAGCTATAGACTTCCCTCTTAATACTGCTTTTGCTGTATCCCATAGGTTTTGATGTGTTGTGTTTTCATTATCGTTTGTTTCAAGAACATTTTCAATTTCCTTCTTGATTTCTTTATTAACCTACCAGTCATTCAGGAGCATATTCTTTAATTTGTATGTTTGTAGAGTTTCCAAAATTCCTTTTGCTACTGATTTCTAGTTTTTTTTTCCATTGTGGTCAGAGAAGATACATTATATTGTCTCAATTTTTAAAAAATGTTTTAAGGCTTGTTTTGTGGCCTATCCTTGTTTTGTGGTCTATCCTTGAGGAATGATCCATGTGCTGAGGAGAAGGATGTGTATTCCTTAGATGTTGGATGAAATGTTCTGTAAGTATCTATTAGGTCCTTTTGATCTATAGTGCAGATTAAGTTCAGTGTTTCTTTGTTGATTTTCTGTCTAGATGACCTGTCCACTGCTGAAAGTGTGGTGTTGAAGTCTCAGGCTATTATTGTATAGGGATCTGTCTCTCTCTTTTGCTCTGATAATATTTGCTTTATATATCCGGGTGCTCCAGTATTGGGTGTATATATATTTACAATTGTTATATACTCTTGCTGAATGAACCCCTTTATCATTATATAATGACTTTCTTTGTCTCTTTTTATAGTTTTTGTCTTGTAAGCTATTGTGTCTGATGTAAGTATGGCTATTCCTGCTCTTTTATGGTTTCCATCGGCATGGAATATAATTTTCCATCCCTTTGTTTTCAGTCTATATTTGCCTTTATAAGTAAAGTGTGTTTCTTGTAGGTAACAGATTCTTAGTGTTTTGTTTTATTATTCAGCTACTCTTTGTCTTTTGATTGGAGAGTTCAGCCCATTTACCTTCAGTGTTATTATTGTTAAGGACTTGCCCCTGCCATTTCGTTATTTGTTTTCTCATTGTTTTGTGGTCTTCTCTTCCTTCCTCTTTTTCTTTCATTGAAGGTGATTTTCTCTGGTGGTGTGTTTTAGTTTATTGCTTTTTATTTTTTGTACATCCATTTTATGTTTTTAAACTTGAGGTTACCATGAGGCTTGCAAATAATATCTTATTATTTGCAATATTTTAAACTGATGACAACACTGATTGCATAAACAAATAAGCCAAAAGAAAGCTAATAAAAATTCTAAACTTTAACTTCATCTCCCCACTTTTTACCTTTTTCTTGTTTCTATTTATATCTTATTGTACTGTCTCTTGAAAAGTTGTTGTATTTATTTTTTATTGGTTCATCTTTTCGTCTTTCTACTTATCATATAAGTAGTTTATATACCATAATGACACTGCTATAATATTGTGTTTCTCTGTGTACTTACTATTACCAGTGAGTTTTGTACCTTCCGATTATTTCTTCCTCATTAATGTCCTTTTCTTTCAGATTGAAGATCTCCCTTTAGCATTTCTTATAGGTAGGTCTGGTGTGAATGAAATTTCACAGCTTTTGTTTCACTGGGAAGTCTTCTCCTTTAGGTTTGAAGGACATTTTCTCTGGATACACTACTCTCAGGTAAAAGGTTTTTTCCTTCACTTTAAATATGTCATGGCATGCTCTCCTGGCCTGTAAGGTTTCCACTGAAAAGTCTGCTGCCAGATCTATTAGATCTCCATTGTATGTTATTTGTTTCTTTTCTCTTGCTGCTTTTAGGATCCTTTCTTTATCCTTGACCTTTGGGAGTTTGATATTAAATGACTTGAGTTAGTCTTTGGGTTAAATCTGCTTGGTGTTCTATAACCTTGTGCTTGAATATTGATATTTTCTCTAGCTTTGAGAAGTTCTCTGTTACACTTTTGAATAAACTTCCTACTGCTGTCTCTCTCTACCTCCTCTTTAAGGCCAATAACTCTTAGATTTTTCCCTTTAAAGGCTACTTCTAGATCTCGAAAGTATGCTTCATTCTTCTTTATTCTTTTTTCACCTCCTCTGTGTATTTTCAAGCAACCTGTCTTTAAGCTCACTAATTCTTTCTTCTGCTTGATCAATTCTGCTATTAAAAGACTGATACATTCTTCAGTATGTCAGTTGCATTTTTCAGCTCCAGAATTTCTGCTTCTTTTTAATTATTTCAATTTATTTGTTAACTTTATCTGATAAGATACTAATTCCTTCTCTGTGTTATCTTGAATTTCGTTGACTTTCCTCAGCACGGCTATTTTGAATTCTCTGTCTGAAAGGCCACATATCTCTGTCTGTCCAGGATTGGCCCCCTAGTGCCTTATTTAGTTTGTTTGGTGAGGTCATGTTTTCCTGCATGGTTTTGATGCTTGTGGATGTTTGTCGGTGTCTGGGCATTGAAGAGTTAGGTATTTATTATAGTTTTTGCAGTCTGGGCTTGTTTGTACCCATCCTTGTTGGAAAGGCTTTCCAGGTATTCAAAGGGACTTTGGTGTTGTGATCTAAGTTTCTGGTCGCTGCAGCTGTATCTGCACTAGGAGGCACCCCATGCCCAGTAATGCTGAAGCTATTGCAGACTCTTAGAGGTACTACCTTGGTGGTCTTGGATAAAATCCAGAATTCTCAGGATTAGCAGGCAGAAGCTCTTGTTCTCTTCCCTTACTCTCTCCCATATGGAGTCTCTCTCTCTCTCTTTCTCTGTGCTAAGCTGCCTGGAGCTGGGGGTGGGGTGTGATATAAGCATCTCTGTGGCCACCACTACTGGGAATGTGTTGGGTCAGACCTGAAGCTAGCACAGCACTGGGTCTTACCCAAAGCTCATTGTAACTACTGCCTGGCCACCACCTATGTTTGCTCAAGGTGTAGGGCTCAACAGTCAGCAGGTGGCAAAGCAAACCAGGCTGGTGACCTTCCCTTCAGGGTGGCAAGATCCCCCAGGTCATAGTCAGATCCAGAGATGCTGCTGTCCAGGAGCCAGGGCCTGGAGTCAGACACCTTAGAAATCTACCTGATGCTCTATCCTACTGCAGCTGAGCTGGTGCTGAAACCACCAGACAAAGTCCTTCCCACCCTTCCTTCCCCTTTCCCCAGGCAGAGGGGTCTCTCCTCATTTCCACCACTACCACAGGCCCATGGGAGGTAGTGCCTGGCTACCGCCGACATTCACTTAAGGCCCAAGGACCTTTCAGTCAGCTTGTGGTGAGTGCTGCCAGGCCTGGAACTCACCCTTCAGGGCAGTGGGCTCTCTTCCAGCCCAGGGCAGGTCCAGAAATGCCACCCAAGAGCCAAGGCCTGGAATCGGGGACCACAAGAGCCTGCTTGGTGCTGCTCCCCACTGCGGCCAAGCTGGTACCTAAGCTGATTTTTGGTTCTTATGAAAGTGCTTTTTGTGTAGATCATTATCACATTTGGTGTTCCTGAGGGGAGGATGAACAGTGGAGGCTTCTACTTGGTCATCATGCTCCACCTCCTCTCCAATGTAGTTTTTTATAGTAGATCTGAATAATGTCTTATCTTTGTTACTGATTTTATGGTGCTGATGAAAAATGATAGTAACCTTCACAATTTTGTAATTGTTTTTTATACAAAAGTACCAGGAAGTAAGCATTTGGTCTTCTGGTATTTCAAGAGATGAAATGGAAGCCAGATAGATTTTGATGTATCTCTAGTTATGACCAAATTTATACATGTTATTACTCCAAAAAGTACTAGCAGCAAGTAATGAAATGATTTCATGGCATGTATAAATGGTGTCAAGTCAAATGGTAACTCTGAGAACTTAAAGATGATCTGCGGGAAGAAAACAATGCTTTCCTTTTTTATGGCACATCCGCAGGACCACAGTTCACCAGCCACAAAAGTCATTGGAAAAAATGTCCCATGAGACTTGCCCTTCATAGCAGTCTCTCAGCTCCTGGCATTTCACATTATTGGAACAGATGTGACATTTTACATTCTTTTTGTTTCATGTGTGTCTGTAGTCCTGCTGTTAGCATGGTACTCTAGCATAGCAGGAAGCTTGAGTGAAGCAGCTAAGAGGGCAGGCTCTGGAACTTCCTAGCTGTACAGTCTTGGGCAAGTCACTTAACTTGGCTGTGTCTCTTCATCATCTACAACAGCAGTCTGCAACCTTTTTGGCACCAGGGACTAGTTTCGTGGAAGACCATTTTTTCCACAGAATTGGGGGTAGGGGGTGGTTTCTGGATGACATTGTTCCACCTCAGACCATCAGGCATTAGATTCTGAGTGCACAACCCAGACCCCTCACATGCTCAGTTTGTAGATTCTACAAAGTAAGAACAGAGGACCTACCCCTTAGAACTGTGAAGATTAGGTTATTTCTTGTTAAAATATGGAGCACAATTTCTAGCCCCAAGATAGTATTTAACAAAAGTCAGCTATTATTGTAGTAGATAATGAATAACTATTGAGTCAATAAAAGAATGAGGTCCATGGTCATGTAAATAGGCATCATCCTTCTTAATTTGGGTTCACATATTAGAGGTAAGTTTAACTTCTGATTTTCTTTAAAACATTTAATTGAAGAATATATCCTTTTTTTTTTTTCAGATGCTGTCTTTGCAGGTGCCATGCCTACAATGGCAAGCATCAAGCTGTCTACACTTCATCCCATTGTGAATCATCCACATTACGAAGATGCAGACTTGAGGTTGGCAGCTGATGAGTATTTCTTCAAGACTCACTTGGCAACTCCCAATTCTTAGGAATTGGGAAAATTTTACACACACACACACACACACACACACACACACACACACAAACTCATCCTCATTTTCATACTGGAAGTTAAAAAAAAATGACAATAACCATCCAGAAATGACAATACGTACCTGTTGCCTCTGGAGCAAGCAGACCTCTGAAAAACTGAAAAATGCAAAAGCCAGTTTTTCCCAAAGTGACAACTGTGTCACATATTTATGATGTGTGTATGTATTCCAGTAAAACTACTAGGTAGTTGGAAGAGTAGGTAGGATGGATTTTACTCACAGCCATGGTTTGCCAACCCCTGCTCTACACCACAAGCCCCACTCTGATTTAAGAAATGATTTCTAGATCTTACTGGTGGCCAATGACTAGCTTTTTGTGACAGGTAGAAAAAGTACATGAAAGTTGCTATTATATATTACGTGCTTTCATGAAAATTTAGAGTATTTTTACTAGTCGATTATGAGAACTCTAGTTTCCATTGATGTCTAAAAGTTTTGCTTTCCTTAAATGGCTGGTTTAAAAAATTATTTTGGTTATTCTAGTAGTTGTCAGGGTAATCGTTTTTAAAAGTGGATTTTTGGCCTATTGTTAGAGGCAAATGTTTAAATTATTTAAAAGTTTTAGGTCTGCTGTCTAGGAGCCAGGGCTTGGAGTCAGACACCTTAGAAATGTACCTGATGCTCTCTCTGTTCTACTGCGGTGAACTGGCGTGGAAACCACTGTGGTGACTGAGCATCCCATATGCTTGAAATTCTAAGCAACATCCAATGCATAAGTGATAGTTTGTTAGGATTTTGTAAGAACTCCCACTACAGTCAAATCACCTATTGTACCATATTTTGGTGACCATCCCCATTTCTCAAGATTCTGCGAAGGTGCTTTTCCTACCTCTTCTGACACCCTGGATGCCCATTGTCTAAGTGTTCTACTTGATACACTAAATTTCAATTCATGTATTTGTCAGAGCTTCTTTAGATGAAATTAAGCATTGAAAGATGTGTTTTTCACTACATTCAGTCTCTGTCAGAATATATTCTCTGAAAACTGTGAATTATGAGAAGAAAATTGTATATCCTAAGCTGCTCTCTGCTACCCAGTACAACTTTAGACTATCTTATACAGTAATGAGCAGTATATGCAAAATTAAATTGCTGTAAGTTTTATTACATTCAAAATATAAGTAGGAATGTGGAAACTGCCATCCCCAAAATAATTGATGCTGTTTTGAGTCATGTATATCGGTGTTCCATCCAGTGAGTATTGAGATTTCAATTTGCTAGTAAGATTTTTTTAGTCTATTCTATTATCATTTATTTTAAAATCTTTTAAATTATTGTTTAAATTTAAAGGGCTCGGACAAAAATAGTTTATTCTACATATAGTCGAAAATCTGCCAAAGAAGTAAGAGATAAATTGTTGGAGTTACATGTGAATTATTATGTTTTAGAAGAGGCATGGTGTGTTGTGAGAACTAAGTGAGTATTAACCCTATGCTATCTGATATGGTATATTTTTGAGCAACAAATGTTTCACTTTATTATAGTAGTCCTGATTCTTTAAGAATTTTTATTTTAAATTTATTAAAATATTATCCTGGTACCTTAGTTTAAATTATTTCATCTAGAGACATAAAACTATACTATCAATGAAGTAGAATTTAATTCCAAACATTATAGTATATTTAATATCCTGATTTTTCAATTTAACATCTTCCACTTAGCTTTTTTCATAATTTTTGAAATATTTATGAAAATTTTTATTAGATATCTGAAATATGGATTTGAATTTACAACAAAGTGAGATATTGGCATTCTGTATTATAGCTGAATTATATTGGATTTGTAAGACTTAAAAGAAAAGTGACAAAACCCAAAATGACATAAGGAAAACATTCCTAATTAAAATTTTTTAATTTCTGAATTTCGAATCTCTAAAAATCATAAAATTCTAAGGTGTGTAATTGATCTTATGAGGCCTTTGTTTAGGCTCCTAAGCACAGATATTAGCTGCTGCACATGACAGGAAATTCAGGCACATTAATTGTCTCCTAGAATGACACATTGGCAATCAGAAGAACAAAACAGGTTCTACAGTCACTTCAGTATATCATTTACAATGTGCAAAAAGTTTCAGAGATGCAAACTAAAATGAGAAAGTATGACCAATACTCTGAAAAAAATAAGTTAATAGAAACCGATTCAAGTAGGTCCAGATGTTGGATTTAGCAGCCAAAGACTGCAAAGCCACTATTACAAATACATTCAAAGGCTTAAGAAAAATGTATTCAATGAATTAAAAGAAAACATGGTATCCATGAGTGAAGAGCTATGGAATCTCAGCAGAGAAATAGAAACACTCCAGCCCCCACGGAAATTCTAGAGCTGAAAAGTATAATAAATGAAATGAAAATCATTTAAATGTACTCAACAACAATTTTGAGATGAAAACAGAACATTTGAACAGAAAATGCAGTGAATTTGAAGATAGATCAAGAGAGAATAGTTAATCAAAAGAACAGGAGCCAAAAAGATTGAAAAATAACCAAAGTCACAGACCTATGTAACATTAAGTAGTTCAACACATGCATAATTTTAGTATTAGATGTAATGAAAAAAAGAACATTACCGAAAAAATATTGAAGAAATGTTGGCCAAAAATTTCTCAAGTTTGATAAAAGCTACTAACTTAGAGATCCGCTAAGCTCAACAAATCCAACTGAGTGAAGCCCAAAGAAAACCAAAGCAAGGAACATTATAGTCACAACGGTAAAATCAAAGATTAAGAGAAAATCTTGAAAATAAGAGAAAAAAATGATGTGCTATATAAACATCTGACTTCCCAACATAAATAGTGGAAATTATCAGACACTGGAATGATTATTCAAAGTGCTGAAGAAGAAAAATCAACAATTCTCTATTTAATGAAACTATCTTTTTAAAATGGAGGCCAAAAATACATTTTCCAGATCAACAAAATCTAAGATAATTTGTTGGTAACAGGTTTATACTTCAAGATGGACAAGAAGTTCTATCAGCTGCTGAGAAATGATGCCAGATGGTAACTCAGATATACAAGAAATACTCAAATGTGCTGGAAATGGTAAATATGCAGATATTAATCACTATACGTTTTTCTTCTCTGAAAATCTTTAAAAGACATTATTTAAGGCAAAGGTGATACCATTATATTTTTTAGTTTATGACAGAAATTAAATATACATGTAGCACAAAAATTGAGTAAACTGTGGAAATGTACGATTTACTAGAAATAACCCAATTTAAATGGTAAGTAAATCATGATATGTTAAAGATGCTTGTTGTCATCCCTATCAAAACCACTCAAAAAATAAATAAAACAGTGGGGAAAAAAAGAGCATAATGGCAAGCCTAGATATGGATAAGCCTGGATACATTAAGTGAAATAAGTCAGCCACAGAAAGATGAATAGTCCATGTTGTCACTCATGTGGAAGCTCAAAGAAGTAGCTCATAGAAGTAGAGTAGAATTGTGGTAATTAGAGGCTGAGTGGGAAGGGTAGGGAGGAGAAGAAGATAAGGAGAGGTTGGTTAAGAGATACAAAACTACAGATAAATAGAAGGAATAAATTATAGTGCTCTCTGGCACTGTAGAGTGAATATTAGTTAACAGTAATTTATCGTTATATGTCAAGAAAGCCAGAACAGAGGATTTTGAATGTTCCCAGCACAAACAGATGGTAAACGTTTGTGGTGATGGATAGCCTAATTACCCTGATTTGATCATTACACATTGTAATTATGCATTGAAATATCACTCTATACTCCATAAATATGTACAAGTATTACTTGTCAAGTAAAAGTAAAAGGGGAAAAACCCTAAACATATAACTAACCTAAGACCCAGCAATTGTATTGGGCATTTTTTCCCAGAAAGGTGGAAAGTTGTGTTCATACAAAATTCTGTAGAAAAATGTCTATAGCAGCTTTATTTGTAATAGCCTAAACCTGAAACAACCCAGATGTTTTTCGCAAGGTGAATGATTAAATAATAGTGATCTATTCATACCATGGAATACTGCTCAGCAATAGGGTCAAACTATTGATACACTCAAGATCCTGGATGAATCTCCAGAGAATTGTTTGAATGAAGAAAAGACAATCCCCAAAGGTTACATACTGTATGATTCCATTTGTATAACTGTCTTCAAATGACAAAATTATAGATATGGATGATTTGTGGTTGCGAGGGGTTAGGGTGGGGTGGGAATGTGGGGGGAGTATAGTATGTGTGGCTATACAAGGGATCTCTGTGGTGATGGAAATGCTCTCTTTCACCATTCTGTCAATGTGAATTATCTGGCTGTGATATTATACAAATGTTCAAAATGTTACCATGGTGGAGGACACTGTCTAAAGACTGTACAAGAGCTACTTGTATTATCTCTCACTTAATGTGGATCTCCAAATGTCTTGAAATAAAAAGTTTTTTTAAAAAAACAAAAGAGCACTATAGCAAGCCTATATCAAACCATATCAGTAATTTCAAAGTGAAAGAGGACTAAATTCTTCCAAACAAAAGGTGGAGATTGGCAAACTGAATACAAGAGCAAAACCTATCTATGGACTGCCTGCAAGAGGTGCATTTTAAATACAGATATGTATATTGGCTGAAGGAAAAAGAATGGAAAAGATATCATGTGAGTAAACATTAGAAAAGCTGAAGTGAAAAATGTATGAATATCAGAGAAGATAGATGTTAAGACAAAGAATATTACTAGAAATGACTATGTTTTATAATGCAAAATAGTTCAGTACAGGAGAAAGATACAATAATTTGAGTGCATATGAACTTAAAAGAGAATTTCAAAATATATGAAGCAAAAATTGACAGAACCCAAAAGGCAACAAACAAGATTAACATGGAATTATAAAAATCACTCAATCCAAAATAAGGCAGAAGAAGTGGAAAAGGGAGATGAAGATCAGATGGAACAAAGAAAACACTGAGATGACAGACTTAAATCTAACCATATCAATTATCACATTAAGTGTAAATGGACTTGTGGTAGGCTGAATAATGAGCCCCCCACGATGGCCATGTCCTAATTCCCAGAAATTGTGAATTACGTTACTCACATGGAAAAAGGAAATTTGCAAATGTGATTAAATTAATGCTCATGAGATGTGGAGATTATCCTTATTATCCAGGTAGGACAAATGTAATCACAAAGTCTTTATAAGGAGGAGGCAAACGAGTAAGAGATCAAAAAGGCGATGTGATGGTAGAAGCAGAAGTTGGAGTGATATAAGGCCACAAGCCAAGGAAGGAGGCCAGCTTCTAGGGCTGGAAAAAGCAAGGAAGTGGATTTTCTTCTAGAGCCTCCTGAAGGATTGGAGTCCTGCCAATACTGTGATTTTAGACTTACGAGCTCCAAACTTTGAAAGAGAATAAATATATGTTGCTTTAAGCAACTGTTTGTGGTAATTTGTTATAGCAGCAATAGGAAACGAATATAGCTCTAAACACCACAAATGAAAAGCAAGAACTGTCAGATTGCACAGCAAAGCAAGACCCTACTATAGGCTACTTTCAAGAAATTTACTTAAATATAAAGAAACGAAGAGGTTAAAAGTTAACAGATAGGAAAAGGACATGTGATGCTACTACTTGTCAGTGAAAGCTGGTGTGACTGTAATAACATCAAAGTATATTTGAATGCTAAGAATATTATCAAGGTTAAACAAGGATTTTTAAATGAAGAAGGGATCTATATTTCAAGAGGATGTAGCAACCCTGAACATTTATGCACTTAGATAACAGAGCTTCAAAAATATGAAATACAACTGATAGAACTTTAGGAAAAATAGACAAATCTACAGTATAGTTAGAAATTTTAATGGCCTTCTCTAAATAATTTGTAGAACAAATAAAAAGAAATTTGGCAAGAATATGGAAGACTTGAATGATGCCATCAACCAATATGACCTAATTGACATTTATAGTACATACCACCCTAGAACAGCAAAATAGACATTCAAGCACACGCAGACTATTTATCAAAAAAGACCATTTTCTAGGCCACAAAGCAAGTATTGACACATTTAAAATACTTTAGATCATGTAAAATACAATCTCTGACTACAATGAAATTAAATTAGAAATCAGTAACAGAATTCTATATGGAAATTCCCTCAAATGTTTAGAAACTAAGTAATACACTTCCAGATAATCCATGGTCAAGAAGAAACAAAAGGAGGGTTAGTTTCAACGTATGTTGACCTAAGGGAAGATGAGAACACCATCCCGCTATTTGTGGGATGCAGATACAGCAGTAGGGAGATTTGTTTTTATGTTGAATGCCCATAATAGAAAAAGAAGAAAGGCCTCATATCAGTCACTCAGCTTCACCTTAAGGAACTAGAAAAAAAGAATAAGTAAACTCCAAAGTAAGGAGAAGAAAAGAAAGCATAAAGATTAGAATCAAAATCAGTGTGTATTTCCTCCTAAAACAGGGAAAAGTCAGTAAAACCAAACACTGATTCTTGAGAAGATTAATAAAATTGATAAATTCCTACCCGAACTAAAAGATTGAAGACAGAAATTACTAGTATCAGGAATAAGAAAGATTTTATCACTACAGGATCTGAAGAAATGAAAAGCATAATGAGGGAGTTTTGGGAACAACTTTATTCCACTAAGTAGGACAAAATAGATAAAATGGACAAGTTCCTTGAAAGATGCAAAATCAAAGCTCACTTAAGAAATAGAAAATCTTATATCTATTACCTTATTATGAATGACCTTGTATCTATTAATAAAATTATATTTGTAGTAAAAAGAATGGTCACAAAGAAAACTTCAAGACAGATATCTTCACTGGAAATAATTCCAATTCTACAAACTATTCCAGAAAATTCAAAAGGAGGGATTACTTCCCAACTGGTTCTGTGAGGTCAGCATTATCCTGATACCAACATGAGAGAAACATTACAATAAAAGGAAACAACCAATCAAAATTTATCATGAACACATATGTGAAATTTTTAAGTAAAATTGCAACAAATGAATCTAGCAATATATTAAAGAAAGACAATACATAATGTACAAGTGGAGTTTATCCCAGGAATGCAAAGTTGTCTCACTATTTGAAAACCAATCAAGTGAAGTCACCATAGTAACAAACTGAAAAAGAAAGACCGCATCATCGCGCATCATAGTCTCGTACATTCAGGAAAAAGTATTTGACACAATTCAGTATCCATAACTGATTAAAAACCCTCAGCAAACTAGGAGTAGAAGGTAACTTGCTACTAAGAATCCAAGAATATAAAATTTCTGGAAGAAAATATGGAAGAAAATTATTGTAACCTTGGATTAGGCTAAGATTTCTCAGATACAGTAACATAATCATGATCCACAAGAGAACACATTGATAAATAGGACTTCATTAAAACTGTAAACCTCTGCTTTTTTATAAACAGTGTTAGGAAGAATTAAAAGATAAACCACAGTCTGGGAGAAAATATTTTCAAAGCCTATGTCTGATAAAGGACTTTCTCTAGATGTATAAAAAACTCTCAAAACCCAATAATAAGAAAACAACCCAATTAAAAATGGACAAAATAGGCGCAGTGGTTGGCTCACGCCTGTAATCCCAGGATTTGAGGAGGCTGAGGCGGGTGGATCACCTGAGGTCAGGAGTTCGAGATCAGCCTGGCCAACATGGCGAAACCCCATCTCTACTAAAAATACAAAAAGTTAGCCAGGTGTGATGGTGGGCGCATATAATCCCAGCTACTCGGGAGGCTGAAGCAGGATAATTACTTGAACCTAGGAGACGGAGGTTGCAGTGAGCCAAGATTGTGCCGTTGCACTCCACTCGGCGACAGAGCAAGACCTTGTCTCAGAAAAAAAAAAAAAAAGGACAAAAGGACAGATGGCAAATAATCACACAAAAAGATGCTTGATGTTACTAGTGATTTGTGAAATGCAAATGAAAATTACAGTGAGACGTAACTAAATACTTAATAAAATAGCTATAATTGAAAAAAAAACTGCCAAGTGTTGCTGACACTATGGAGGATTTAGAACTCTCATACACCAGTGGTGCAGAAGTAATATGGTACAACCACTCTGCAAGACAGTTTAGCAATTTTGTAAAACGTTAAACATACAACTACTGTATTTATTAAAATAAAAGAAAGCATATATCCATCCCAGTAATTGTACACAAATGTTCATAGCACTTTATTTTCTGTATTAGCCCCAAACTGGAAACAATCCACTTATTTATCAGCAGATGAATGTATAAACACACTATTAGAATATCCAAACAATGTAAATATTACTCACTAATAAAAATGAATAAACTATTGATACAGCAATATGGATGGATCTCAAAATAATTCTACTGAGGACAAGAAGCCAGACAAAAAAGAAAGCATGCAATAATTAGGATTACAAAAGGGCAGAAGTAAACTTTTGGGAGAGATGGATATGTTCATGATTTTTATTGTGGCTGCTGTTTTACAAGTGTATACCTATGTTAATATGTATCCAAGTGGATACTAAATATGTGCAGCTTATTGAGTAATTATTGAGCAATTACGCCTTAATACATCTGCTAAAAAAATCTGGCAGACTTTTACCCATAATATACAAAGAACTCTCACACCTCAATAAGAAACAACACAAAATTTGGCACAATATTTGAATAGAAATTTCACCAAAGAAGATATTTTGAATCATCCATAACCATACTATAATGATTAAAATTACAAAAACTGATACAACTTAAACTCTCATGCATTGTTGGTGGAAATGGAAAATGGCGCATCTACTCTGGAAAAGAGTTTTGAACTTGCTTATAAAGATAAATCCACACTTAATCATACATAACCATGCAACCCAGCAATTCCACTCCTAGGTGTTTCCCTAAGAGAAATGATAACATATGTCCACAAAAAGCCTTGTCCATGAATGTTTATAGTGGCATTGTTCATGGTCACCAAAAACTCAAAACATCTCAAATGTTCATTAACTTGCAAATGGATAAACAAATTGTGTTCTCTATATACAATGAAATATTATTTAGCAACAAAAAGGAAGGAACTACTGAACCACAACAGAAGTTGTAGGAACTACAGCTCAGATATGAGTATCAAAAACATGCTATGGTAAAGAAGCCAAAAATGAAAAGACTACATAATATATTTATATGAAATTCTAGAAAAAGCAAAACTATAGTGCAGAAAGCACAGTAGTTGCCTGAGGCCATGTTTGGGGAAGATGGTAGATTGCAAAAGGGCACAGGGAACTTGTGGGGGTGATGGAAATTTTCTGTATTACGATTGTGGTAGTTCTTACACATCTATACACATTTGCCCATACCTGGCAAACTTTACACATAAAATAGGTGAAGTTTTATTGTTTATATAACTTATACTTCAATATAGATATTAAAAAATTAGAAATCAATTTTGTCTGACTCCTTCCCTTTAATGACTGCCATGCAGGATTACTCTCTAGGGAGGAATAGTGTCTCATTTAGCCCAGTCATAGAGCCACCCAAAATGGGAAAGCATTGAAGAAAACAAATTGCTGTAAGAGTCTCCTGTCCCTGCCTTGGATCATTTCATGCTAATCCAAGGCAGTTTACGCTAAAAAATGTGAAATTCATCAGGAATTCGATTAGGTTTTAATTTGTCTTATTTTACTACAAATGGGCCTTATGTTTAGATGGTGATGGCACTTGGAAAGTATATTTATGTTTGTTTCATCTTGAAAGTGTGCTTTTACATATATATTTATGAATGTATATTGAAGCTTTATTATTAGGATATGTCTTTCCCTTGGTTAAATGAGATGTGAAAATGCAACATGCTTAATTTCATTCTATTTTTTAAATTTCTAAACATTGAAATTGTTTTTTGAAATGACGCTTTAAAATATTTAACTTATGAAATAAATTTGTCTCTGAAAATCTAGATGTTATGTATCTATTGTCTCTAGACAGCAATACATTTCTAATATGGATATATATGTCTGTCTTTTTTCAGGCCTGGTTGCAGTATGCTTGAAATCTGGGATGTGGAAGACCCTTCCAATGCAGCTAACCCTCCCTTATGTAGCGTCCTGCTCGAAGACGCCAGGCCTTACTTCACCACAGTATTTCAGAATAGTGTGTACAGAGTATTAAAGGTTAACTGAGAAGGATACTACCCATTTTACTATGGCACAATGCCGTGTGTCAAAAACAATCACCCTTTGGCTTATTCACATTAATAAAAATCACAAGCTTTAATAACAGACACTTAAAAATAAGATAAAAATGGATTGGAAATTTTTCTGATTACTAAAAGGTAAATTACTTTTCTGTTCATTGAATGTCAGCCTTATTAAGCTTGTCATATAAGTTATTAAATCATTCATGTCATACTGCATAAACAAATGTTCATTTCAGAATTTTAAAGAGAAATGTATATAAAAGAACAATGAATTTTAATAAATCAGGGGTATGTAAGTCCTTTTTCATCCAACTAGGTGAATTGCTTCAGATTTTCTCTAGTACCAGAGGGTACCTCCTCAAACTCTTTGAACCACTTAAGGCAGAAGAATGCAAGCTCTGAAATGACATCCTTAAAATGCTGATACTGGTCACAGCCTCTTTACCTCTGTGAGGAAATTGTAACAGTGTGTCTTTTAAGGTGTTTTTATTTTACCAGCCCTTAAGAAAGATCTCTAATACCTTTTAATACTTTTTTTTAATAATTTCAAGTTGAAGTGTTTTTAAAAACACTTTGTTTTGTAATGTTTTGAATCTCTTGAGATGTGTTTACCCCACTAGATACATATTTGCCACTGGTTAGTTCTCCATCTAAGCTCAAGAGGTTATTCATCTCTCTTTAGATTCCAGTGGCTTTTCTTTTAACATCCAGGTAAAACAGAAACTGCTATGGTATACAACCAAGTTTTGGGGTTAAACATAATCAGAAAAGAAAATCCAGTTAAATTTATGAAGTGAGATTTTCAGATCCTAGATCTTGAATAAAGGAAAGGTCTTTTCATCTTGATGGCCCCAAAGCTTGTTGGTCATGGTCTTTATTTCTGGCCACTATCTTCTTAAATAATATATTTTTAAGCCCTCATTTATTTTTGGTTTTGGGTGAGGAAAGTCATGTTTTCTAAGTCCTCTCCCCTAATAAAACCTACCCAACAATAGTGCTTTGAAAAGTGGTAGTTATCTTGAAGATACTCTTGCCAAATGCAAAGATAAACATTCTTTTTGTCTGCTTTATAAATATGAAATATGCCAGATCTATAGTATTTTAATGTGCATCTACTTTAAATGAGTCATCTTGGGGTTTTTATAATTCCCTTATGTTCTTGCCCCTCTACACTTGAAATAACAAAATGCCTTAATTTTATGGATTAGTTCTCTTATAGTAGACAGGCAGCTATATGCAGCAAAACCAATAAAGTTATTTTTCAACTTTCATAGTTGTAAAATATCTTATAACAGAATACAAAACAGCTAAGAAAACATGCCACATTTTATTTTAGCATTTTCAAATAATTTGTTTTTGGTGTAAGCACAGGATAAAAAAGGAGAGCGTCAAAGAAAAGAGACATAACACCTAACATTCATAAAAATTAACAAAGTATATTTTGGATGATGTTTTTACAGGAAATATTTTAAATAAGTTGGTAGAACTTTTAAAATGGTACTGTATTAGCTAATAAAATATTCAGTACAAATATATGTTTGGATTTATGCATTAAAAAACTAATAAAATTATTTCCAACTTTTGTATTTGTAAATTATTTTGGTACAGGAGACAAAGCATCTAAGAAAGCATGCCACACATTTTACTTATTTTAGCATTTTCAAATAATCTGTTTAAGTGATGTGTGGGGCAAAAAAGGAAAAGAGACATAACACCTAACATTCATAAAATTAAAGTAACACATTTCAGATGATGTTACAGTAGCAAAGACTTGTAACTAACCCAAATACCCATCAATGATAGACTGGATAAAGAAAATGTGTCACACACACACCATGGAATACTATGCAGCCATAAAAAAGGATGCGTTCATGTCCTTTGCAGGGACGTGGATGAAGCTGGAAGCCATCGTTCTCAGCAAACTAACACAAGAACAGAAAACCAAACACCGTATGTTCTCACTCATAAGTGGGAGTTGAACAATGAGAACACGTGGACACAGAGAGGGGAACATCACGCACCAGGGCCTGTTGGTGGGGGGTGGGGGTGGGGGGCAAGGGGAGGGAGAGCATTAGGACAAATACCTAATGCATGCAGGACTTAAACCCTAAATGACGGGTCGATAGGTGCAGCAAACCACCATGGCACATGTATACCTATGTAACAAACGTGCATGTTCTGCACATGTATCCCAGAACTTCAAGTAAAATAAATTTTAAAAAGTCAGTAGAACTCAACAAAAAATGGATGAGCTGTACTAATAAAATGTTCCATACACATACGATGTTTTCATATATATGTTATTTTCATGTACTATCTGTGTTAAGTAACTGTAAAGCCCTTGAAGATCCTGTTTTCTGTCTTTTCTCATCCTTCACAATGCATACATTTTGAAATTGAAATTGTTCTCATATAAAGGGAGAAATCATAGGTTGCTGGGCTTACTAGCCGTGTTTACACGGGCAGTGCTCTTTCTTAGCCATTTAAAAATGATTCTGTATAGTCTTACACAGAAGGCAATATACTATGATGGAAATAGTGTGAGCTGTGCAATGAGATGTATCTAAGTTTGAATACTGCTTCTTCCATTAGTTAGGTACCTACCATGTATTCAAAAGATATTCATTAAACACTTACTGTATGTCAGGCACCCCATGGTGGGGGCAGCTGTTTCCTGCTGTCAGTTCTGCAAAGGTCAGGTATTGTTGCTGGCAGGTTTGCTTTGAGTCCTCTCATAGTTACTATCAACTGACCAATATCCTTAAGTTTTTTTTTTTTCAGACAGTTTCAAACTCACAAAAGTGGAGATCAGATTCAGATTTGATTTTTGACAAGAGCACTTCAGAGGCGGTACTTCTGATTGCAACAGGTCAGGAGGCATATAATGGCCAGCTGTTTCTCTTTTTGTGTTGTTAAGGTTGATCAAGTGGGTTCAGGTATTATCAGCCTGGTCCATCTAGCATAACTGTCCAATCAGCCTTTTTCCTAGTAGTATTGGTTGGCATTAGACTTTTTTTTTTGAGAGAGAGTCTCGCTCTTGTCACCCAGGCTGGAGTGCAATGTCGCAATCTCGGCTCACTGCAACCTCTGTCTCCTGGGTTCAAGCGATTCTCCTGCCTGAGCCTCCTGAGTAGCTGGGATTACAGGTGCCCACCACCACGTTCAGCTAATTTTGTATTTTCAGTAGAGATGGGGTTTCACCACATTGGCCAGGCTGGTCTTGAACTCCTGACCTCAGGTGATCCGCCCACCTTGGCCTCCCAAAATGCTGGGATTACAGGCGTGAGCCACACTGCACCCGGACTCAGTTGGCATTAGAGAATGGCATGGGATAGGATAGGGAATAAAATTAATTCAAGGACAGAAGATTTATGGGAACAACTTACTCCTGTTCATTCCATTTTTTTCCCTGTGACAGCTTTCCTCACCTCTTTGGTCTTAGACCTAGTGGACCTGCCTTTGACTCCCATGGTGTCAGGGTGAACAAGCCATCTTAGAAGTTTATAAGTGCAAACCATAAGCAATTGAGTATGCATATGTTTGTTGGACTTACAACAAAAATGCTCTACATGTAGCAGGTGTTCAGAGAAGGTTAGCTGTTATTGTCATACGCTATTTTAAATCCTATGTTTGTTTGTTTGTTTATTTATTTTTTGAGACAGAGTTTCACCGTTGTTGCCCAGGCTGGAGTGCAATGGCGTGATCTCGGCTCGCCACAACCTCTGCCTTCCGGGTTCAAGGGGTTCTCCTGCCTCAGCCTCCTCAGTAGCTGGGATTACAGGCATGCGCCACCACGCCCAGCTAATTTTATATATATATATACACATATATATACACACACATGTATATATGCATTTATATATACACATGTATATATGTGTATATGTATATATACATGTATACATGTATATACATATGTAGATACATGTATATATGTACATACATATGTAGATACATGTATCTACATATGTATATACGTGTATATATGTATGTATATACATGTATACATATGTATACACGTGTATATATGTATGTATATACATGTATACATATATACACGTGTATATATGTATATACATATGTATACACGTGTATATATGTATATACATATGTATACACGTGTATATATGTATATACATATGTATACACGTGTATATATGTATATACATATGTATACATGTATGCATATCTATATACGTGTATACACGTGTATACATGTGTATATACGTGTATATATGTATATATGTGTACATGCACATGTATATATATGTACATACATATGTATATATACATGTATATATATGTGTATACGTATATATATGTATATATGTGTATACGTGTATATATATACGTGTATATATATACGTATATATATATACATGTATATAGTATTTAGTAGAGACGGAGTTTCTCCATGTTGGTCAGGCTGGTCTTCAACTCCCAACCTCAGGCGATTCGCCTGCCCCTGCCTCCTAAAGTGTTGGGATTACAGGCATGAGCCACTGCGCCTGGCCAAAATCCTGTTTTTAAACTTCATTTGGTAAAAAAATAGTTTCTCATGTTATAACTAATGCTTTGTAAATTGTTTTATGCTATAGATATCCAAAAATGGGTATGTGGATATCCATTTTGAGGATGTGCCATAATTTATTTAACCTCTCCTTATTTTTAGGTATTTAAATAATCTAAAGTTACACTATAGTGTGTATTTGTATAGTTCAGCTTTCTAACCTAGAATTCTCATAGTGTTTAGCAGCCAGGCTCATCTTCTGTGTACAGGGCATTCTGTCCATATGACAGTACTTTTCTTAGGTAAAATTCACCTAATCTTCTGAAGTGCAATCCAATGGTAGGAATTTGTCAATAAAAGTTTTCAAGCAGCTGAAAATGATGCTGTTCAATCCAAGCACTAAAGTCACTGTATTGAACTTATAAGAAAGTGCACTGGTGCTTTTTCAGAGACTATTTATTCTTCTCTTATGTGTAACTAATCCAGTTTTTCAACTGATTTCCCAACTCTTAAAAAATAAGGGATGGGAAACTGGAAGGCAATTTGAGGAAAGATATTAGATGGAGGCACAGTGGAAAGTGAAAGGAGTAACTGACAGGTTGACAGTGATAAAGGATAAGGAAAAATTATAAATTCAGATGGAAGAACACAAAGGCACAAGACTCTAAGCGATATGATGTGCTTGCATAGAGATTTACACAGTCAGTCTCCCCAGTCATCGAATTACAGCCTGGAACAGCAACAAATATTCTTAACCATGACTTTGACATTTTAAAAAATGTTTAATATTTTTCTGTTTAAAATAAGGGCACTCCTGGTGCGATGCTCATGGCTGTAATCTCAGCACTTTGGAAGGATGAGGTGGGAAGACTGCTTGAGCCCAAGAGCTCGAGAGCAGCCTGGGCAACAAAGTGAGACTCTGTCTCTACAAAAAGCTTTTGAAAATTGGCTGGACACAGTGGCACGAACCTGTAGTCTCAGCTACTTGGGAGGCTGAGGAGGGAGGATCGCTTGAGCCTGGGACATTGAGGCTGCAGTGAGCCATGATTGCAACCCTCACTCCAGCCTGGGTGATAAAGCAATACTCTGTCTCAAAAAACAAAACAAAAAACAAAACAACAACAAACCAAGGGCAGTCTGTAAAGCTATAGTGTATAGTGGTAAAGAGCCTAGGCTCTGGATCCCAGTCTACTGAGCAATGTCACTTATTTGAGACTGACCTTAGGCATGTACTTAAAGTCTCTAATATTTATTCTTACCTATGAATTTAAAAAAGTAACATTACCTACCTCATGCGGTTGTGCAAAGATTAAATTCGGTAATGCATTTGAAGCACTTAGCAATGAGCCTGGATAATAAGCACTCAGTAAATTATCACTATTAAAATCAATAGTTGTAAAACAAAATTCTCCTAAAAAAGTTTTATTAGAAATTATTTTAAAATGATAAAAGGTATCATTAGAAAAATTAAGGTAATGAAATTATTTTTTTCTTGATGATATTGTGTTGGTGAGGCATTAGAGTGATAAATACTAGTTGATTAATTTAATTTAATTAATCTTTTTCTTTTTGAGACAGAGTCTCGCTCTGTCACCCAGGCTGGAGTACAGTGCTGCCATCTCGGCACACTGCAACCTCCACCTCCCTGGTTCAAGCAATTCTCCTGCCTCAGCCTCCTGAGTAGCTGGGACTACAGGTGCATGCCACCACGCTAGGCTAATTTTTGTATTAGTAGAGATGGGATTTCACCATGTTGGCCAAGCTAATCTTGAACTCCTGACCTCAAATGATCCACTCACCTCGACCTCCCAAAGTGCTGGGATTACAGGTGTGAGCTGCTGCACCTGGCCAGTTGATTTATTTAAATATCAGCATCACAATTAAAGTCAGGCATCCTAATTAAAATTTTCTGACTCTTAAACATAAAGCTTTATGTTAATTTAACAAGCAAATTTAACAAATTTAACAATAGCTTCTTCTTGTTCAGGCTAGAAAAACAAAACATTTGTTGGCCTTTATTCTTATTGATTTATATGATATGCAATACTAGAGGAAATAATTATTCAATTTGATCCAGCAACCCCATATTAATACTACATTCTTCCAGCCAGGAGATCAGGAGAGGAGTTGGTCCTAGCTCTGTCATTAGCTTTCTGTGAAATCCTGAGCAGGTCATTTGGGGTCTTGATCACTGTTTCCTTACCTGTTAAATGAGAACATAACTCAAATGCTCTTGCTGGCCTGAGAGCACAAACAAGGCCACATAATTCTGATGGCTCTTATCAGCCCTTGCTCCACCCAGATTTCTCACCCTGCAGTCCCTGCAGCCTATTACTTCCGATATCCCTGGGTAGTGGAGTGGGGAGGCATCTCAAATGTTCTCTTCAAGTCTGATCTGGTTTCCCACAATTTCTTATTGCCAAGGTACCTTAGTACCACTTCTTTTGCCAATGCCCTTCCAGAGAATGATGGCTTCAAGGCCATTCATTGTTGATCTTGAGTCCTCAGAGTATCCCAAACTGCACTGAGCCCATGGTACAGTGAGGATCAGGCATGATCTCCAGCCAGTTCTGCTCGACATTTGTTAACCCAACACCAAACTTGCTCTCCTTACTCTCAGATACTGATGAAGTCATTCACAAAACTAGTTCTTTCAGCATCTATCCCCCAACAAAGGCTCAAAAACAGCTCTTTCAGCTACTGGCAGTTGATTGCCATCTCGTTTCCCTCCTCTGTCTGGCTATTACCTCACCCCAGAACTTTAATCTTGCTCCCTGACCCTCCCACCCAAAGCAAAAACGAGATCCTTTCCTAGAAACCCATGGAAACATAGAATGATTAAAAAAGAATTGATTTCTTAAAAAAAAAAAATGAGTAGGCCGTGCATGGTGGCTCACACCTGTAATCCCAGCACTTTTGGAGGCCGAGGCAGGCAGATCATGAGGTAAGGAGATCGAGACCATCCTGGCTAGCATGGTGAAACCCCATCTCTACTACCAACACAAAAAATTAGCCAGGTGTGGTGGTGGGTGCCTGTGGTCCCAGTTGCTTGGGAGGCTGAGGCAGGAGAATGGCGTGAACCTGGGAGGCGGAGGTTGCAGTGAGCCGAGATCGTGCCACTGCACTCCAGCCTGGGCGACAGAGCGAGACTCCATCTCAAAAAAAAAAAAAGAGTAATGAGGTTCTATATGTAGTCAATGAGGTTCTTTATGTAGTCAATATCAATTTATAAAGAAATTACAGCTGTCCCTCTATATTCATGGGAGACTGGTTCCAGGACCCCCTGCAGATACCAAAATCCACAAATGCTCAAGCCTCTTATATAAAGTGGTGTAGTATTTGCAAATAACCCACACACATCCTCCTGTATACTTTAAATAATCTCTAGATTACTTATATAATGCCGACCCATCTCCTCATTCATGTGGATTCAACATAGTGCTCAGTGTGTGGCAAATTCAAATTTTGCCTTTTGGAACTTTGTGAAGTTTTTCCCCCCTAAATATTTTTGATCCATGGTTGGTTGAATCTACTGAAGTGGAACCTATGGATACAGAGAGCCAACTGTATTTCTATTAATGTTTCCAGTTATTTCTATGATATTTAAGAGAACAAAAAATATTTTTATCATCTTTAAGCCTGTTATGAGCCCCTCATGTCACATGGTACACAGCAATCCTGTAATCAAATTCATCCCAGGCCACACTCAGCATCAATGATTAACATGCTGCCCCTGATGCTACTTCATTTCCTGAAGGCTGCCAGAAAGAGGTGGTACAAACAAGAGTTTCCTGACATAACTCCATGTGCATAGGAATGTAAATTTAAAGCTAATCACTGAGAAATAAAAATTTTGAAATTGTTCAATTTTTAAAAATTCACTCTGTTCCTAGCACCACCAGCCAAATAATCCTACCTTAATTCTACCCTAATCCTGTTTTACAGCCTGGACTCAGCTAGACCCTGCTACTAAAACATTAAACCAAAGGATATTGAGGATTCCTTTCCGCTCTGTATCATACGGTTATATACTAAAGGCACATAGTATTGTGAGGGTGATAAATGCAAACAAAATTAAAGAGAACAAAAGACAACAGTACTGAAGGAGCACAGAAAAGAAGAATGACATCAGGGAATGATTATTAGTCTTAGCTTTGGAACTGGAACTTGAAGAATGAGTAAGATTGGCTGGGTGGAGTTGAGATGATACGGTTTGGCTGTGTCCACACCTGAATCTCACCTTGAATTGTAATAATCCCCACGTGTCAAGGTTGGGGCCAGGTGGATATAATTGAATCACGGGGGTGGTTTCCCCTATACTGTTCTCATGGTAGTGAGTAAGTCTCGCGAGATCTGGTGGTTTTATAAACAGGAGTTCCGCCGCACACGCCCTTTTGCCTGCCGTCACGTGAGTCGTGCTTTTGCTCCTCCTTTGCCTTCTGCCATGATTGTGCGGCCTCCCAGGCAGGTAAGACTGTGAGTCAATTAAACGTCTTTCCTTTATAAATTACCCAGTCTTGGGTATATGTTTATTAGCAGTGTGAGAACAAACTAACACATGAGGTAAGGGCAACCCCCAGGAGAGAAAACCATAATGTTCTTTTGGGGAAGAACTCTCTCTCCTTTGTTTTTTGTGAGTCTTTCATAATTTTTCTTTTAGCAGTTTGTTTCCATCAATTACTTTAAATTTAATGTCATCTTCTCACGAACAAATTAGTATTACAAAGCAATTTATTGTCTGATCACTGAGCCAGTTATAACTAAATGCTACTGATTAACATGGATATTTGGTCCTTGCTTAATGTTATTTCAAAAATTAAATTTTCAACTTGTTGAACTGCCTATTCTCAGATCTTTTCATAGGAAATAATCTAGTGCCTTAAGCTGCTTGGACTATACAGGAGCCCATTAAAGTTGATTAAATTTTAATTTGTTTCTAATGAATCCTATTTATATTTATTCTCCCATCATATTGTTACTTATCAAATTAACTCTATTTCACTTGTCACTTTTTTTTATAGAAAAATGGAGTTTATTTTCTGTCCATTTTAAAGCAAAACGTCTAGATTTGTTTTCTGTAGCATGAGATTCTAAGGTGAATTCCTTAGTCTATAAAGCAAGGTTTCTATTTCTTCTTCTTCTTCTTTTTTTTTTTTTTTTTTTTTTTTTTTGAGACAGAGTCTTGCTCTGTCACCCTGGCTGGAGTGCAGTGGTGTGATCACGGCTCACTGCAGCCTTGACCTCCTGGGCTCTGGTGATCCTCTCACCTCAGCCTCCTGAATAGGTGGAACTACAGGCACGTGCCACAAAGCCCGGCTAATTTTTCTATTTTTTGTAGAGACAGGGTTTTGTCATGTTTCCTGGGCTGGTCTTGAACTCCTGGGCTCAAGTGATCAGTCAGTCTTGGCCTCCCAAAGTGCTAGGATTATAGGCGTGAGCCACTATGCCCTGCCCGTGGTTTCTACTTCTAAAACCACCAGAGAGACTGTTACAACATCATTTTTATCTATAAAACCAAGTTTTGGTTAGGACATATAGAACACTGAATGGAAAACTACATTGGGATTAACAAAACCTAGTCCTATATTAATTTTGCATCAGATTTGTATCATCCTGGATAAGCACATGGACCTCTGAATTGTGGTCTCTTCATTTCTATCATCATTCCTGTTATGTTTGTGGGAATGGTGGGAGGGTTAAAGCATTGTCAAAAGCCTTAGTTTATTCTTTGAATCTCTGTGGTGCTTTTGAAAACTATTGTTCAATCAACTTAATCTGGGATGAGGTAATATATACAGTAGTTCAATACTAGAAATCATTGCCTGGTGACCAGAGCCAGTGATTTTAGGTACATGAGTTTAAGTATAATTTCAAATTTAAACTTTAATGTAACCAAGTAGGTATCTCTTTGTGAAATCTCCCCTGCTATCCTAGAAATTTAATTTCTCCTTTCTAATTCTGTACCTTGTATAACTAATTTGGCACATATCTTGATATACTGTAATTTTTAGGGTCCGCTATTGTACTGCACATTCCTTAAGGAAAAGCGCTGGACTTCATTTATTCTCAAGGGCAGCAGGGTGGAGAATGAGTAAGACACAGGCTCAAAAGCCAACCTGCTGGCTTTAAATCCAGGTTACACCACTGGCTGTCTCTGTGATCTTAATATCTCCCTCCCTTAGTTTTCTCAGTTTTAAAATGAAGACATTAATAAAAGCATCTTGCTAGTTGGGATGAAATAAATGAATATATGTCACTGGGATCAATTCAAGTTTTATGGACCTAAAGTTTAAATAATTTTGTAGTACTCCTTAAGAGAAAGAAAACAAAATTTTGTGTGGAAATATATTTAAAGTGATGAAAGAACAAGCTACACACACAAAAAAAATAAAATACAGAATGTAGCAAGCTATCTTAAGAAAACTAAGAGCCTAATATACCTCTATAATTTTTCCTTCTTCTTTGGCTATATGTTCTTTGATTGTATTTTCATATAAAAAGTTAAATATTGAGATAACAGAAAGATTTTAGTATTCAGCATAGCTGATTGAAGTTTGTTTTTTATTAATCATTTAGAAACGTTTATCTCTGCTTTACAGCTCATCAGTAGTGTCATACACATTTTTAGGATTATTGTCAAATTTGGGAAAGCCTCTATCAAGATATTATTTCTGGCCTGCAACTTCATGTTACAATGCCTGGTAAGTTTTCATGATGAGTGGTTGGAGTGTTCCTGGAGGTCAGTCCAACACTGAAGGACTAAAAATAGGTTGCTTCTACAAGACCGTGACTGCCAAACACAAATATTCTCTAGAACAGAAACTAAATATATGATGAATTTAATTTCCCCTTAACTGGATCTGCAAAATTCTTGTAACTTCCATGCCACTCAACATGACATTTTGCAGAATTTTAGGATGTATCTGTTTAGGTGAACACATTGCTAAAACCTCTTCCAAAGTTTTGAAAGGGGCTGTGGAAATGAGGGGACCTGAACATTAGCTTCATTAGCTTCATGGTAATCTGTCTGCTGCTTACTAAGAACTGTGTAACAAGTGACTATCCCAGCACAGTTAGCACAGCACACAAGCAGGGGCACACCAAAGACTCAAACCGCTAGAAAGACATCTTTCTTCCTTCATCCTAGCTGAGAGTTAATTCCTCAGTGTGGAAGAAATTAAGACTGCTACCAGCCTTCCTTGAATTCCCTCCAAACCCATGTGAGTAAACTTCTGCATCATTTTCTCTGCTTAGCACTCTATTTTCTCACCAAACTGATGCCCTGTCAGGAGTTCCAGTTCATTTGGCTAGAGTGAGAACATCTGTTTAAGTTATCTGTTGTTGCCTAACAAATGTCAAAGAAAAAAATTATTCGTGACACTCGGTGAAGCACAGTAAGGCAGACATTTTTCAGAACATCTTGGTAGGTGAAGGGATGGCACAGTGGGGTCCTGCAGTAGGGGAGAGAGATTGTGCTCAACCTCAAACAACAAAAAGGTGGACATTTCTATCTAGAAGAAGCAGGGTGGGCTCAGTGGGTGGAAAATTACTAACTGGAAACATCAGGGGTAAGGGAAGATTCTGGCTGAACTGACCTAACAGGATTCTTGCTAAAGGCAGGCAGTGCTGATCAGACATCACCTGGGTGCCGGTGGAGGGGGCGGAAAATGATCAGGTATCGAAGGTGATCAGATACTGAGGATGGGGAATTCTGGCTAAATGGACTTGGCAGGATTCTTGTTAAAATTGCATTCTATAAGGAAGGATACTGGAGTCCAAGAAGAGACTGATCTAACTTTGATTCTTTGTCACAAAGTATCGAAAAACAGCTGCTTAAAACAACAATTTTATTGTTCATAATTCTGTGGGTTAGGAATTAGGTGGGGTTCACTGGGTATATCTCATCTCCCTTCCATGTGGTATCAGCTGGGGTCACACATGCTGTTGCATTCAGCTGAGAGCTCAGCTGGGGCTGCGACATTCAAGACGGCTTCACTCACATGGCACCTAGGCTAAGTGTGACTGGAATGGCTGAGGACTGGCTGGATCTCTTTCTCTCTGTCTCCTGGAAATCCATTATTTAACAGCACGACTCTTGCTTCCATGCTGGCTGGATCCTAACACAATGAAAATGGAAGCTGCCAGGTCTCTAAAAGGACAGACCCAAACTGGCACTGAGTATTGCTGCTACATTTTCTTGGCCAAAACAAGTCACAAGTGAGCCCAGATTCAAAGGGAAGAAAGATAGGTTCTACCTCTTGATGGGAAAGGCAACATGCATGTTGGTGGCCGTCTTTACAGACAATTTTCTACAATGTGTCCTCTGGCCACAACAACTCACGTCTCTCCGATAGGCAAAAGATACCCAACCTCCTTTCCTTCTCTCTACCTGCTAAAGCCTCATCTAGTTACCCATTAGACTTAAACTCCAGTCTGCATCCAGTCCTGATAGCTCTCTGTAGAGAATAAGAGACTTTGTAAAGAGAGAGACCATGCAGAGTGGAAACAATGGATCCAGGTTGACAGCCAGCACCAAAGCCCCAGATGGATGAGCAAGACCATCTTGGACCCTCCAGCCCTAGTTGAGGGTCTCAGACAGCACCATGTGGAGTGGAGAAGAACCACCTCAACTGATCCCTGCTGGAATTTCTAACCCACAGAGTCATAAGTAATAAAATTATTATTTTAGGCCACTAAATTTTTGGATATTATGCAGCAATAGCTAGCTGAAACAATATTCGACTTAGACTTTATCTTCATTTATTTCTTGCTTTTATTACCGTAGGATTTGACTTGGATTCACCTTTTGTCATTAAGCCTGACATTGAGTTTCCATTCCTCCACCCCGTGTCCCTTAAGCTTGTTTGCCCCAGATTCCTCATTCTCTGTATCAGTGTCTGTGGCCAAAATCATCAAATGTTTCATGCCTCCCTTCCATACAACAAAGATCATTGGATTTGTGATTAGGATCTCATAAGTTTCCATTTCCATGACAGATATGTGGATAAGAGCTAGGTTGTGAGATTGAGGAGTGGTGAAAAAAACCCAAAAATAGCCTGTGTAAACTTTACAAAGTTTGAGAATAAAAGGAGAGTAGGGGATGAGGAGATAGGTTAAGGGGGGTGGGGATGGGGCTAAAAGAGGAAAAAAGAAATAAATAGAAATTATATAAATAAAAATAGATGTGTATATAGATATTTACACATCTATATACCTGTACCTGTCTATACTTGTACCTGTCTCTGTATCTACATCTATATCTTTATTCCAGGCCAAGATGTGACTATTTGAAGACCTGAAGCAGTTCTGAAAAGATTTAGGAAATATAAATCCAAGGTGTCTAAAATCTCACAAAATCACCAAGGATGATGATTGAGAAAGCATAGAGAGCAAAGTTATGGGTCAGAAATACAAACTTCTTGTAGAAAATGACTGAAACAAATCCTTCATACAGTATCATATTTCATGACAAAATTAGATTAAGAAAATCCCATCACATGCAGAGGAAAATAATTGTGACTTGCCAGCTTCTCTATCTTCAAATAAGCTTATGCTGAAGATAGAAAATCAAGGAAGCAGACAAAATGTTGAAAATTCCATAAGAGACTGCATGACAAAGCTGGCATATGAGGCCATTATGATCTTATATTTACTAATATTACTGTTCTAACAAGTTCCTCAGTGTGATATTCTGAAACATTACCATGTGGCAGAAATCAAAAGTAAATGTCTCAAAATTCACTACATACCCTGAAAGAGAATTTAAAGAGACAGTTATATATTCAGTACCTTCAAATCCATGGAACTAACTGTTACACTGAATTGGTTCTAGGATACGGTACAACAATGAATTTTGTGAGGATTAAAAATGCCTTCATGGGATGGAAGATTATCATATCTCTACTTCCAATGCAAATGAGAGACTAGTTCCTAAATCACATACTATAGTATCACTATTTTGCATATACTCATGAAATAGTACTTCCAGAGACAGAAAATCAAGTTGCCCTAAAAATGATGTCACAAAGGGCACACTCGTATAAAAATGGCAGCAATAGCCTGACAGCCTTACCACAAAAGGTTACCTCAGGCAAGAAAATGATATATGTGATCATTTTACCAAATGTTTTGTCATGACATAATGAGTTGCCATTTTTCTGTTTCCTGTAACACTTTCCTTGCCCCCTCCCCTACCTACATGGTTTTTGTTCCATCAACACCTCACTTCTAGGTACCAGTAATTGAGTCAGTTTTTGCTGTGGTAACGCTGCAGAAAAACAAGCTAAATGTATTTATTTTCACAATACATGTGGCTTCAGGCTGCAGATGACTGAGGGCTGGCTCTATGTGTCTTCTCTTCTTAGTTTGGGACTTGGTCGAAAGAGCCACCTCTCACTGCACATGCTGTTCTATCATGGCAGAAGATGGGAACAGCAAGCTGTGATGAATCAAGCAATTGTGCTTAAAGCTTTTGTGCAGAATCAGCACATTGCTACTTCTGCTCATATCCTGTTGGCCAACCCCCAAAATCAAGGAGGTGAGGAGAAATACTCCTTTCATAATGACCACCTTACACGACAAAGGGTGGGGGTGGGATATTCTATTACAAAGGGGGGCTGGGCGTGGTGGCTCACACCTGTAATCCCAGCACATTGGGAGGCCGAGGCAGGTGGATCACTTGAGGTCAGGAGTTCAAAACCAGCCTGGTCAACATGGTGAAACCCCATCTCTACTAAAAATACAAAAATTAGCTGGGTGTGGTGGTACACACCTATAATCTCGCTACTCGGGAGGCTGAGGCACGAGAATGGCTTGAGCCTGGGAGGCAGAGGTTGCAGTGAGCCGAGATTGTGCCACTGCACTTCAGCCTAGATGACAGACTGAGACTCTGTCTCAAACAAAAACCAAACCAAAGGAAAAGAAAACCCCAAAATCAAACAGGGAGCAAGGAGTTGGAAACAATTATCTAATCTATTGTCACTTCAAAATAGTACCTTATTTCAGGGTGACATTAGTTCATTCATTCATGAATTCAACACTTATTGAGTACCAAATATATACTGGATATTGCTCTTAGTGCTTGGACTACATCAGCAGACAAAACAGACAAAGCCTTCTCTCGTGAGGTTTATATTCTAGCTAATATTTCTAAATAGAGTACTGGAACCTACAATTCAGGTTTGCTTGCTGTTGTCCGTGAAGTTAGGTTTGGTGGTGATCTTTCACTTGCTTTTGGACTGCTCTTTTTTTTGTTTTGTTTTAAAATGATTCTACCTCTGCCTCAGCAATGCTATTTATGAACATTTTGAAGTAGGAAGTGATGCCAGATTATAATTACATGGGTTTATATATGTGAATTCTCTAAAATGTTGCCAGATGATGTTATGTAAAAATGTTAAGTATAAATTGGGAGCTGAAATAATGCCCAGAGAAATATTTGTTATCCACACTAACCAAAATTTTGAAAAAGGGTACAAAATATTATTAGAATGAAGAAGATCTAGCATTCGATAGCACAACAGGGTGACTATAGTCAATAATAATTTATTGTACATTTAAAAATAAAAGAGTAAAACTGGATTGTAACACAAAGGATAAATGCTTCAGGGGATGGGTACTCCATTTCCCTGATGTGATTATTACACATTGCATGCCTGTGTCAAAATATCTCATGTACCCCATAAATATGTACACCTATGTACCTACAAAAATCAAAAGTTAAAAGTAACAAAACAGAGGAAGGAAAGAAACAGAAGACACCATCTGAAAAGGCAGAGATCCAGCATACAGAGAAGATGGGGAGTTAGACTTTCTATGTCCCTTCCTAAGTCATATGTTCACTCATGATTCAGTTATTTATCCAGTGCTTCTTTCTCATCTCCTACTATGTTCCCTGTTCTCTCGTAGGTGCTGGGAATACAGTAGTATGCAAAAGGGACAAATCTTGACTTCATGAAGCCTATGTTTTAGCAGAGGGAGAAAAACAAGTAATTAAGTAAAATACGTAAGATGCCACATGATGTTTGGAAAGTAAAGGTCATTGTCAAAATGGTGAGAAGAGTCTAATTAACTTAATGTAGTTAATAAAGAGCTTAATAAAGGTTAGTAATTAATAAAACAGTGCTTAAAGCACAAGGGATATGCTATGCCCTGGAGCTAGTAACAGGGAGAAGCTCTTCACACCTGCAAGTAAGGAGAGGGAGAAGTTACTCAGAGAAGGGAGCTGAAGGGAGAGAGCTGCTTGATAGGGAGTGTGGTCCTCACAAAAGGGAGGCAACCAGCTGGCCATGGTGGCTTACACCTGTAATCCTAGAACTTTGGGAGTCCAAGGCAGATGGACCACCTGAGGTCAGGAGTTCAAGACCAGCCTGGCCAACATAGTGAAACCCTGTCTCTGCTAGAAAAAAAAAAAAAAAAAAAAAAGGCACAAAAATAATTAGCTGGGCATGGTGGCACGCGCCTGTAGTCCCAGCTACTCAGGAGGCTGAGGTAGGAGAATCACTTGAACCCGGAAGGCAGAGGTTGCAGTGAGCCGAGATCACGCCACTGCCTCCAGCCTGGGCGACAGAGCAAGGCTCCATCTCAAAAAAAAAAAAAAAAAAAAAAAAAAAAAAAAAAAAAAGGGAGGCAGCTAACACACTGGGACTTGGCAGGAGTGGAGCTGGGAGAATAAATTCCCAACCTCTTTCTCTTCCCTCCTTGGATCTCGTTCTGCTACCTTTTATTGGTCAAACCCGACAGGAAGCGGAAGGACAGCAGAGCTTGTTGATGGAGAGCATCCGGTCGGCCTCCTGGTACACGTGGCAGGGCTGAGACGGTGGCAAGTGAATATGGGGCTGGGGCTGGAAGACATCCGGGGCAGATGACGGTAAGTGCTATGGTGAAAAATAAAGTAGGAAAGAGAGACAAGGAGGAAATACGGTAAGGGACTGACATTTTGAAATAGGGGGCTCAGAGGAGGCCTAAATCAACAAGATTGTGATATTTAAGCAAAGACTTGGAGGCTGAGGAATCTGAGGAAAGAGTATTTCAGGCAAGGGAATGCAGATGACAAGTCTCTGAAGCAAAACATTCCCTTGGGGCTGGAATGGAGTCCAGCTGCAGCCACAGCGGGGATGAAAGCAGTCAGCGAACTGCCCCAAGTGGGGCAGCTTCTGTGACCCCTCCACTTTGGGGTCTGAGTGGGCACTGCTCCTACCTGTTCTCTGCCTGTGAGCACCTGGGAGAGACTCTTAGGGTGTAAGTGAGGAGGGGTGGTAGTGGGGCTCTATCTTTTGTGCCATGACCCTGAAGAAAAGAACCTTTGTCCTTTTGAAATGGCATCGTTTGTGTGGGATAAAACTTGAGGTTCATTGTCTAATGCCAAGGAAATCGAGGATGCCGACAAACACAAGGAGTGAGTTTAAGAGTAGAGGCTTAATAGGTGAAAGAGAAAAGAGAAAAGCTCTGTCTCCTGCAGAGAGAGATGGGTTTCCGAGTGGGTCTTCCAGTTTTGTGGTGAAATGCACGGGGTTTTATAGACGAGCTTGAGGATGCGGTGTCTGCTTTACATAGGGCCTGAGATATTGGTAGGACCAGGTGTGCTGTTTGCATAGCACACGAAGAAACTGGCCGCCCCACCCTAATCTTTTATTATACAAATGGGTTCCCTACCTGGCTAATGCCATGTTGCCTGCCTCTTTACTGTACACGTGGTTGACAAAAGGGAAGATGGAGCCTCCATGTTGAACATGCCTGGCTTCCATTGTAGCCTTTTCCTGTTGGCACAGCTGCCAGCATTCACCCGTGCGAGCTTCTAGCTTGCTTTTCTATGCTTGCAGCTTGATTTTTCAGGCTGCTCTTTGTCAGAAAAGAAATGATTTGGGGGTTGCTTTTGCATTAAAAGAGAAACCTTGCCAAGGACTCTCTTTCCCTCACTATCTGCCTTAATAATTTCTTTCTAGCTCCTGTATCACTTTCTCTCCCTCTCCCTATCTTTCAAATTTTCCTTGGTTAATAGAGGCAGATGAAGGAATAAAGCAATCTTTGAGATGCAATTTTCTGACTTTTCTTCTTAATTTCTAAGCAGATTTGAAGAAAATTACCTGATTTATGTATGTATGTTTGTATTTATTTCTATTTTTTTGAGACGGAGTTTTGCTCTTATCGCCCAGGCTGGAGTGCAATGGTGTGATCTCAGCTCACTGCAACCTCTGCCACCTGGGTTCAAGTGATTCTCCCGCCTCAAGCCTCCTAAGTAGCGCCTGCCACAACATCCAGCTAATTTTTGTATTTTTAGTAGAGACGGGGTTTCACCATATTGGCCAGGTTGGTCTGGAGCTCCTGACCTCAGGTGATCCACCCACCTCAGCCTCCCAAAGTTCTGGGATTACAGGCATGAGCCACTGCACCTGGCCAAATTACCTGTTTCAAAGAAAACTATTGAGAACCTTAGAATTTTAAAATTTAACCTCCCTCCCCACCCACCCCATTCCTGTGAAGATATATGTGAGGACAGGAGGGGAGCTATAGCAAGAAACTCATCCTCTCACTTGTGCCATGGTGTGTACACCATTCTTTTCTGAAACACAGAGAACTGTACTGAAAGATATAATAACATATTTTTCGAATTGACTTTTCCATGGTGACACTAAAGTGAGTATGATAGAATTGTAAGAGGAAAAAAGCAATTCTGAGCAGTTGACCCTGTCTTTAGAGAAAATGTAGGCATTTTACTCATCTATTTTATCTGCTTAAATCATATGGATCAAATGAAATCTTAGGTACAAAGGGTGAAAATGCTTGTCAGAAGCCTTCATAAGAATAAATTCCTATTCAATAGAAAGTGATGATGCTGTGACTGTGTCTAGATTTTTAAGAGGATTTTGGGTTATTATTCATGTCTCCAGTGGGCCTACGCAGACTTTATTATTGATCCTTCAACAGCAGGAAAGTAAAAGCAGCAGAAGTGTTAAATGTATAGAAAAATTATCTTTCATGAATTATGAAGAATATTCCCGTAAATAACATCACGATATGATCTGCCAGAAGAAAAGCAAGAAAGTCAGATTTTCTTGGAGTGATTTTTCTAAGACAATCATTAGTTTGATGTTTAAATGTTTTGAATTTCTGATTTCCATTTCTTCTGAATGCAGTGGAAATTACAGATTATTCCTTTACTGCCTTTTAAAATGTAAAGTCAGTCTGTAGTCTATAAATTGGGTTTCCTTTGAATCCACAACTACACTAGAGTGAAAGGTATATTACCACTTTGATTTCTGTTCAAGAAAGAAATATATTCAGTATTATAAAGAGAAATTGAAGCAGGCTGCTGGATAGTATATCTGATCTGTGACTTTCTTGGATTTGGTGACAACAGAGATGAATATTTCACTCTTAGTTTTTTAAAAAAGCTGTTGAAGTTGCATTGGCTATTATTTCTACGATAATACCTTTCCCAGAAGAGTCTAGACTAATGCAAAATCTTCTGGAGTCATGGAAAGTAAAATGTTGTTAAAATGTCTAATTATCTGAGCGCCAGTGCCCATAAGTGCCATAAGTTATCATTATGGAATCTGTAAACAATTAATAGAGCAGCTAACTTTCCAGAAGTTTCCTAATTCTCTTCTCATCCAGAACAATGAAATAATGCTGAATAAATAGAGGATATGTTACATACTACTGAAACTGCATATGGGTAAAGAAGGCTGGGAAAAGATGCTGTGTTTGAAAATAAGTATGGCTGGTTGCGGTGGCTCATGCCTGTAACCTCAGCACTTTGGGAGGCCGAGGTGGGCAGATCATTTGAGGTCAGGAGTTCGAGAGCAGGAGAATCGCTTGAACCTGAGAGGCAGAGGTTGCAGTGAGCCAAGGTCGTGCCACTGTACTCCAGCCTGAGCAACAGAGTGAGACTCCTTCTCAAAAATAAATAAATAAATACATAGAGTAGTACACTATTGTCTTGCAAACTGACACAAACCTTTTGGGCATTTATACTTCTTAGATAATTTTTTGATAGAGATAGATTATAGCTAATATTTGAAAGTAGGTTTGTTGTCAACTTGACTGAGCCATGGGGTATCCAGACGTTTGGTGAAACATTTTGGGTGTCTGTGTTTTTGGATGAAATTAACATTTAGCTTGGTAGACTGAGCAAAGCAGATTGCTCTTCTTAATGTGGATAGGCCTCATCCAATCAGTTAAGGCTTGAGTAGCACAAAAAGGCTGACTCTTCCTCAAATATGAGGGAACTACTCCTCCCTGACTGCTTTGAGCTAGGACATTGGTCTTTTCTGGCCTTTAGACTCAGACTGAAACATTGGCTCTTCTTGGGTCTCAAGCCTGCTGCTTTCACACTGAACCTTGGCTCTCCTGGAGAGAACCTGGCTCTCCTGGTGCTCAGGACTTGGGACTCAGGCTGGAACTATACATTGGCTTTGCTGGGTCTCCAGCTTCCTGACTGCAGACCTTGGGTCTTAGACCCAAAATTGCATGAGCAAATTACCGATTATCTATCTGTCTGTCTGTCCATCCGTCCATCCATCCATCCATTCATCTGTCCATCCATCTATTTATTCTTTCATCCATCCACCCTGTTGGTTCTGTTTCTCTGGAGAATTCTGACTAATACAACACCCAAAGAAATTACACACACACACACACACACACACACACACACACACACACATAATGTGTACATGCGTATCCCCTAGAGAAAAAAGTAACTTCCTATTTTATGGACCAGGAAAGTGGAGAACATTATCCAAGAACACATATAGAAATAGATGGACTTGGGATTTGAATCTAGGTGTGTCTGACTCTAGAGGAGACCTCTGATGAAGACTATTATCTTTACTGGCTTGAACAATGAGCAGTTTACTTAGCAAATTGTGGATGAAATATACATGAGGAATAGTACATGAAAAAAATAATTCCTAGGGAAATTTCTATTTTGTATTTAATATTCATTCTCTTGTTCTTTAGAATATATCCTGGATCCTTAAAACAGCACAGATGAGTTAAATCTATGAATTTATTCCCAGCAAATGAGTGCTTGGGAATATGTCTGATGCATATTTGAGGGTTTAACAACTCCGCAACATGCTCTAAAAATAAAAATAACACGGCACATGCTGTACATTCACTTGTCAAATTCCTTACATCACTGTGTGAACAGTTTTGTGATTCCTGGAAATACTGACTCGAATGTTTTTCTCATTGGCCCTTACAACTCATAACAAATCCAGGAAGCTTCTGAGAGACTCTCTTAATGGAAATCATCTTTTAAAATGAAGAAGCTTTATCGATTAAAATAAAACAGCAAGCTCCAAACATGTGGCTCTTAGTTTTAGGTTTTATCAATACTTGTATGGCTTAGGCAAGTTTATGCATATTACTCTGATGAAGAATTCATTTTCTAGTAACAGAGATGGAAGTTAGCAGCAGATTCTTTTTCTCTCCTTACATGAGTATGCCTTTCCTCAGAAATACCAACCCACAAGGTACAAATAAGGTTAGGAGTCATTAGTGCCTCAGCTTTCCTTTTTTGAGGTCCAGTGGAGAATGGAGATGGAAGTGCTAGCTAAAGAGAAGAGATGTACCACAGTTTATTCTCCAGGACGAATGGAGCATGGATGTTCTGTTCATGGACACTTGGGTTGTTTCCAGTTTTAGTTTTTATAAAGACGCCATGAACATTTTTTGCACAAAAAATAAATAAGGAGGAGAGATGGAGGCTACAGTTTTTTTTTACTCCAGGGAGAATTTAGCTCATGCTGGTGTGGAAGAGGAGGGTTGGGTCCTCTTGGCAGCCTGTGGGTCTCTGAAGGAAATTGGGACTTCCTAGTTGGTTTGGTGGAGTCACTTTCATCAGAGATGGAGAAGCATTGACTGACAGTAGAGGTGTGGACATGATGTGCACTGTGTTGTCTCAGGGTCAGCAGCAGTGTGGCCACCAGGCATTCCCTGGTATGGGGCCAGTCAGGGACTGTCCTTCCTGACTCTTATTCAGACTAGCCAGCAACTTGGGGACTAGTCTGCCCAGGCACAAGTCATCACCAGTTCTTTAACAATACACAGTGAAAGCCAATCTTGTTCTTATAATTCATAGAATAGATGCCTAAGTTAAAATAGCTACATTATTAAGTTGTTTTCAGCCAGCTTATCAACTGAGTGTTTGTGTGTGATGCCCAGGGAAATAAATTCTAAGTATAAACTGGCATTTGTTCCGGGGGACTAAGTCACGGGGACTCTTACGGGGTGGTTCCCAGAACTCCTACCAAAACACAGCTTTGCATTAATATGGTTGTGCGTTAATAAAGATATTTCACCTAACTTTGTATAAACTGCCTGAAAAAAATACTTTTTTTTCCTTCAGTGTTTCTGTTTTTTTCCTATCAGTGTTTTTCCTATTAGTGTATCAGTACATTCTGTTCTTTTAAAAAACTTCTTTTATACTTGAGAAATTTTTGCTACTCTTTATATAATTTTGTTCCTTACTTTTCTCCTCCATGTTATGTCATATACATCTTCCATATTGGCATAGTTAAAAAAATGTATTCAGATATCATTCACATACTATAAAATTCACCCTTTAAAGGAATATAATTCAGTGTTTTTCAGTATATTGAGGTTGTATAACCATTAACACTAATTCCAGAAGTTTCAGCCCCCCAAATAAACTTCATACCTGCTGGCAGTAACTACCCATTTCCCTCTTTCTCCAACTCCTGGAAACCACCAATCTATTTTCTCTCTATATAGATTTGTCTATTCTGGACATTTCATGTTAAGTGGAATCATATGATATGTAGCCTTTTATGTCTGGCTTCTTTTAGTTAGCACAGTGTTTTCAAGGTTCACCACTCTGTAGTATAAATCAGTACTTCATTTTTTTGGCTTAGTAGTATTCCATTGTATGGCTTAGTCTTTTTTAAACAATATTTTTAGTGAATACATAGTATTGGAAAGGTGGCTATACCATCAGTAATATTATTCTATAGAAATTTAAATTTTTCTGTTACAGATAATGCTGAGGAGAATTACTTGTGTGTTTTTTTTTCTCTCAGATTTAGAATTGTTTTCATAGACAGTGCCTTCTCTCTGTACCCTCACATGGTGGGAAGGAAGAATGAGTTACCTTGTGCCTATTTTCTAAGGGCACTAATTCCATTCATGAGGGCTCTTCCCTTATGACCTAATTACCTCCTGAAGGTATCACCTCCTAATACCAGTGCCTTGAGCAGTAGGATTTTAACACACAAATTTTGGGAGGATATAAATATTCAGCTTATAATGAGAGAGAAAGAGAGAAAAAGAGAGCAATATTAATAGAGGTTGAAAGAGATAGAGAGACCTTCAAAGACAGAGGTGGCCCAGCCAGCAGACATCTTGGAGGACAGTGGATTTGATTTGGGGCCTAAAAGAGAGTAAAATATGGATAGAAAGAATGCAGCAAGGAGGATATTCTTCAGAGAAAGGATTTACAAAAATAGATGTGGCTAGAGTAAATCTAGCATCCATGGCAAGTGAGAAGTGAAAGGTAGGACTATAGGGTAAAATTGCAGAAGGGTTAGTAGGCCAAGCTAAAGAGTATAAGCTTTATTCTAAATGTAATTGGAGGCCGGGCCCAGTGGCTCACACCTGTAATCCCAATGTTTGGGAAGCAGAGACAAAGAGAATTGCTTGAGGGCAGGAGTTCAAGACTAGCCTAGAAAACATATGAGACCCTGTCTCTACAAAAAATACTTAGTCAGCCATGGTGTTGGGCACCTCTATAGTCCCAGCTACATAGAAGGCTGAAGCAGAGGAACGTTTGAGCCCTGGAGGTCGAGGCTGTAGTGTGCTATGATTGCACCATGGCACTCCAGCCTGGGTGACAGAGTGAGATCTGGTCTCAAAAACAAAAAATGTAATGGGAGATTTTGAAACTTGTTGAGAAAAGTAGAGCATGAGAGGAGTCGTATTTTTAAAAAAATTCATATAGACAGCAGGGAGACACATTAGGAGGCTGTAGTAATAATCTTGGAATAGAACTGGGCCTATTCTTAAGAAAGTGGACCTTCTGGAAGTATTACCAAAAATAGAAAACAAGAATCATTTTAAAGAGATAGTTATAGGACTTTATTAAATAAGAATTATAAATAAAATTAAAAAATAAAGTCAACACATCTGCGTTCAAGACCAGGGAACAATGGGTGTTTCATTATTGACAGATTTATTGAAGACAGAAGCGGGGGATCTGATTTGGGGATGATTACAAATTCAGATTTGAGACATATTTTGTTGAGACCATAGTAGACTATATTAATACACACTTTCCTAAAACATATGCTGCTTTTGTACATCTAATGAAAATTTGCATTGGGAGTACTTACTCCTTCAAGGAATCTTTGGTCAACCCTTTCGTAAAAATAAGATACTTTATTTTATTTTTATTTTTTTGAGGCAGGTTCTTGCTCTGTTACCCAGGCTAGAGTGTAGTGGCATGATCACTGCTCAGTGCAGCCTTCACCTCCAGGGCTCATGTGATCCTCCCACCTCAGCCTCCCAAGTAGTTGGGACTATAGGCACATGCCACCACACCTGGCTAATTTTTGCATTTTTTTGGTAGAAACAGGATTTTGCCATGTTGCCCAGGGTGGTCTCGAACTCCTGGGCTCAAGCAGTCCACCCACCTTGGCCTCCCAAAGTACTAGGATTACAGGTGTGAGCCACTGCGCCCAGCCAAAAGAAGATATTTTAATGTAAATTTTGTTTTATCTCTTTTTTTTTTTTAGACGGAGTCTTACTGTGTCTCCCAGGCTGGAGTGCGGTGGTGTGATCTTGGCTCACTGCAACCTCCGCCTCCTGGGTTCAAGTGATTCTTCTGCCTCAGCCTCCTGAGTAGCTGGGACAACAGGTGTGTGCCACCACGCCTGGCTAATTTTTGTATTTTTAGTAGAGATGGGAGTTTCACCATATTGGCCAGGCTGATCTCGAACTCGGACCTCATGATCTGCACCCCCTCAGCCTCCCAAAGTGCTGTGATTACAGGCGTGGGCAACTGTGCCTGGCCGCCCGTTTTTGTTTTTTTTTTTTTTAAGACAGGGTCTCGCTCTGTTACCCAGGCTGGAGTGCAGTGGCACCATCTCGGCTCACTGTAACCTCTGCCTCCCAGGCTCAAGTGATTCTCCTGCCTCAGCTTCCTGAGTAGCTGGGATTACAGGAGTGTGCCACCATGCCTGGCTAATTTTGTATTTTTAGTAGAGATGGGGTTTTGCCATGTTGGCCAGGCAGGTGTCAAACTTGTGGCCTTAAGGGATCTGCTGGCCTCAGCCTTCCAAAGTGCTGGGATTACAGACGTGAGCTACTGCGCTCAGCCTTAAATCATTATTTTATAAATTTTGTTTTTCCTTTGTTGAATTTTTGAAAGCAGCATATACTTGTAATGTTAGCTGATTGTCATCTGTGAAAGCTAAGGAAGAACTTCGCTATGTATCCTTCCTTTATTTCCACCATGGCCCAGAGTCATTTACACTGCAGCCCTAATTCTCAAATTTGGCTCTATATTGGAATTGTCTGGGGAGTTTTAAAAAATACTGATGCCTGGGTTTCATTCTTAGGGCTTCTGCTTTAATTGGCCCAAGGAGCCCTGAGCATTGGGATTTTTAAAAGCTCCCAAGTGATTCTAATGTGTAGCAAACTTTGAGAATCACTGATTCACATCCAAAAATCATGGAAGAAAAACATTTTCCTGTGGGCTGAAGCCTAAAGGTAATCAAGATAAATTTAGTGAGTATTAGAAAGTTTAAGATGAATGATCCTTGCCTTTGTTTAATTCTGTTTGCTTGTTTTTTCAAATGTTCACAATCAGCGAAGGAATGGTGAGTACTGCGAGGCAGCCAGTATTTCCAAAGAATTCAAGAGATAGAGGTTGCAAATTCTCCAGATTTCTAGCCACTTTGTGGTACTCGGGGGAGTGAGATGGTGCTCTCATGGTACCCAGGGAAAGGGTTACAAGAGTGGATGGGGCTCATGGAGATGAGTGCCAGCACTGGGGCCATCCATCCTCAGGAGGTGGCCCTCCCTGGCTTGCTAACCACCTCCTCTGCCTCAAATGTCCGGAAACTCTGACATTAACACCCACCCATGATGGGTCTGCAATTCCACTACTCAGACACTCAAGAATTTTCCATATTATATTCCTTCCCCCTTTACCAACTGAAAACAAAAATAAATTGTAAAATCTACTGACCCAAAATGCCTTGCTATATTTTATAATTTATCCCATATTCTATATTATTTCCAAATAAATGGGTTACCAAATAGTTTGCCATAATGTCAAAAGCCCTGTTGACGCTAGCTACTAAACAGAGTGAAGAATGGCACCTATGGCAACACCTATAAGCAACAATTTCTTTAATCAAGGGAGATTAAATTAATTGCTTAACAGTTACTGTAACTTTATGAACACAAAATAATTTAAAATGTAGAACAGTTTAATCTGAAGGTTAAATTTCATTACAAAACAATAAAAAAACCAAACCAACTTTCAAAACATATTGACTGGCCAGGTGTGATAGCTCAGGCTTGTAATCCCAGCACTTTGGGAAGCTGAGGTGGGTGGATCACCTGAGGTCAGGTGTTCAAGACCAGCCTGGCCAACATGGTGAAACTCCGTCTCTATTAAAAATACAAAAATTAACCCAGCATGGTGGCAGGTGCCTGTAACCCCAGCTACTTTGGAGGCTGGGGCAGGAGAACCGCTTGAACCCAGGAGGCAGAGGTTGCAGTGAACCGAGATCGCACCACTGCACTCCAGCCTGGGCGACAGAGCGAGACTCTGTCTTAAAAAAACAATAAACAAAGAAAACCTGACATGCCTTATATGTGGACATCAAAGCATAACCAGCAGGTAATAATATTTAATTGAGAAACTTGCTTACTTAAGCAAGGATCATAAGCTGTTTAAATTATTTTAGTTTCAGTTCTAAGTTTCCAAGATGGTAGGTGCTGCATTCCAACAGGAAATGTGAGATACTTGAGTTATTAAAGAGTTGAATTAAAACTCATTGTATGATGCCTAAATTGCTCTTCCACATAAGGTTGTAAATGAGTTAGAAGTTTGGAGATTGGAGGAGGATTCTGAGAGGGCTGTTTTGTCCTAGGAGGTCTTACATCCTCCTCCCCAAAGGCAGGGGTGTGTGTGTGTGTGTGTGTGTGTGTGTGTGTGTGTGTGTGTTTCTTCCAGCAGGGGTGTGTGTGTGTGTGTGTGTGTGTGTGTGTGTGTATGTGTTTGTTTCTTCCAGCCTTGGGACTGCATTTATCTTGTCCAAGGGTGCTGCCTTGAGAGAGGTGAGAACCAAGAGAAAGGAAAGTGGAGATATATGCCAGGGGATAAGAGGAAAGCTGCAAGTGACCACCCAGAAAAACTGTTTCACTCTAGGGAAAGGAATACTGGGGAGAGTCCCTGTGATCAGCCTCCAAAAGAACTGACTGAAGCTGCTCAGTGAGAAAACAGTGGCATCAGCCAAGTAAGATCCTTTTTCTCCTCATTCCTTCTTCAAACCACCTGCCTCCAAAGACCATAAACTTGACTAACAGTCTATCTGAAGATAGGCAGAAGCCAAGAATGTCCCTTTTTGTTTCTTAGACAGTCCAAACTCAGGGAGACTTGAAGATTAACCTTGAACAGTTTTTGACTGTTTCAGTGGATTGGACATATCAGTTACTAAACTGAGTTTATGTTTTTGGCTAAGTGATGGAAAACTTTTTATTGCCTAAAAATGACGATCAAAGTTGTAGAAGTTGCTCTAAACATTTTCAAGGTCAGAGAAATACCTAGTCTCACTGAAAGGCTGTGGAAAAAATGAAGCCGTGTTTTGAATAGGCACCATAAGTTTTGCATGCTTTATTTATTTTATTATTATTTTATTTTGAGAGGGTCTTGCTGTCACCGAGGCTGTAGTGGGGTGGAGCAGCCAGAGCTTACTGCAGCGTCAAACTCCTGGGCTCAAGTGATCTTCCTGCCTCTGGCTCTGAAGTAGCTGGGACTGCAGGTGTGCACCACCACAGCCTGCTAATTAAAAACATTAATTTTTTTTGTTTGGTAGAGACAGGGTCTTACTATGTTCACAGGCTGGTCTTGAACTCCTGGCCTCAAGCAGTCCTCCCACCTTGGCTTCCCAAAGTGTTAGGATTACAGACATCAGCCACTGCACGTAGCCTGCTTGCTCAATTTTAGGGATATAGGCCTGTTGTACTGCAGGAGAATTGCTGGTACCAAAACATGAATCCTACAAAAGGAAATTGCTAAGTAGTAGACATTGCCTGCTGGAAACTCACCTGAAAAAAGTATAATAACATTTGAACACTCCTCCCTATGCGTTTTCCACTGGCCCCAGAGAAAAGTAAAGAGGATACCCACTACCCATTTATTTCCAGAGTGGGTTCATTAACCTCTGAGCACCACTTGACTTGGGCAAGCTTAATATGCAATCAAAAATCTGACTTTAGGTAATACTGGCTGCTCTAAAAGGGGTGGTATTCTTTTCTCTTTCTACTAATGTACAAGTCAGAATGTTTGTTTGTTTGTTTATTTATTTTTGAGACAGAGTCTGACTCTGTTGCCCAGGCTGGAGTGCAGTGGCATGATCTCAGCTCACTGCAACCTCCACCTCCTGGGTTCATGTGATTCTCCTGCCTCAGCCTCCTGAGTAGCTGGGATTACAGGCATGTGCCACACCTGGCTAATTTTGTATTTTTATTAGAGATGGGGTTTCACCATGTTGGTCCAGGCTGGTCTTGAACTCCTAACCTCAAGTGATCCACCCGCCTTGGCCTCCGAAAGTTCTGGGATTACAGGTGTGAACCACTGCACCGGCCCAGAATGTCCATTTAAAAGAATCTTATTCTTTGTATTTCTAAGGTGACAATATGCAAATATAGGACATAATCAGGCATGAGGAAATGATTTTGACCATCTAATAAATATGGTGGCTAGTCTCTGAGGCAGTGCTAATTATTCTAGTTTTGATAATTTTACATCAGAAAGGAGTAGACAGTTGTCCCACGGCAGTGGAAAAATATTTCTTCTACTCTTATTATATTTCATTCCCTCTACTGCTAAATAAATACAGTCCTGGAGGTAGGTGGTAGGGACAGTTAAAAAAGAAGGGTCAACATGGGAGAGCTGAATGCAAATTTTGGAAACTGAAGCTTATACTATTATTACTTATTTATTTATTTATTTTTTAATGAGAGTGTGTCTCGTTCTGTTGCCCAGGCTGGAGTGCAGTGGCACAATCTCAGCTCACTGCAACCTCCGCCTCTCAGTTAAAACGATTCTTATGCCTCAGTCTCCTGAGTAGTAGCTGGGATTACAGGTGTGCGCCACCATGCCTGGCTAATTTTTGTATTTTTAGTAGAGATGGGGTTTCACCATGTGTCCAGCCTGATCTCAAACTCCCGGCCTCAAGAGATCGGCCTGCCTTGGCCCTCCTAAAGTGCTGGAATTACAGACATGAGCCCCTGCACCCAGCTTATTACTGTTATTATTATTTTTTAATTTAAGAGATGATGTATTTCTGATTATACTGTGGATTCTTTTAAACCTCATCCCCTTGATTTATAGCTTAGCTTTACTTCTCAATATTTTCTTGCCTTTCTGTCTTACAGTTCATCTCTGAGAACATGTTTTGCACTTTTTAAAGGCCCTGCTGACGTTCTCAGTACCATTTTCTTTATAAATTGTTTTTAGTAACCTGGCGCATTCTAAAGGTACGCCATTCTATAGCTTAAGTTTTATCCACAGTTTTATTGCTACCATATTTTATTTGGCAAGTACTATCTTCATGGAAAGTACCAGTTAGACAGAAAAATCTAAATAGATTTTTTTTTGATTTCCCAGGAAATTTGATTTCCTTGAGATTAACCTGAGGCTTACTTTAACCTAAAGGTTATTATTAAAATTCTTGCCTGGGTGCAGTGGCTCATACCTGTAATCCCAGCACTTTGGGAGGCCCAGGCGGTCGCATCGCTGGAGTCTAGGAGTTTGAAACCAGCCTGGCAACATGGTAAGACCCCATCTCTCCGAAAAAAAAACAAAAACAAAACAAAACAAAACAAAATTAGCCAGGTGTGGTGATCCATGTCTGTAGTCCCAGCTACTCAGGAAGCTGAGATGGGAGAATCGCCTGAGCCTGGGCGGTCAAGATTGCAGTGAGCCGTGATTGCACCACTACCCTCCAGCCTGGGTGACAGAGTGAGACACTATCTCAAAAAAAAAAAAAAATTTTTTTTAATCATTTCAGTTTTATCATTATGACCAAGCTATACATGATTTAGTACCATAAATGCCATTCTGTTTTTGCTTTGCATATTCATTTGTTAAATATTTTAATTTCAGAGATTTGACCTATTTTAGGAAACTTCTTCCATAGTACTACTCTTTAAAACTTCTATTAACATTTTTTGGGTAGTTTGTACTGATCTTTGACATAAACAGAGTGTTCGCTAGATAAAGTATTACCAATTATATTTGAACCTTGACCACTTAATAACCTTGATATCAGAGTATAATACATTTCCCCTTGACTATGGTCTATACTTTTGTAATGTGTTTTTATAGCTAACTATTATATGAGATTTACCTCAATTTTCAGGAATTTATTTCTTTATAAATATGATATCCATTAAAAAGCTTTATATGCTTTAAAAATAGTTACTTGCACAATATATTGTAGGTAAATACATAAATAGTATCATTTTATAGATTTTCTTAAAGGTCCAGTATATTTTTTTCTTTCTTTTATTTTCTGTTTAGGCTTGGATTTCCCTATCATTACTCTCCCTGCACCCCTTACATCAGCTCTGGTATCCTGGAGTTGGGTGAAGGAGCTGATGTAAGGGGTACAGGGAGAGTAAGGATAGGGAAGTGATTCATAACTTAGTATGAACCACTCCAATGAATTCTATGAATCAATCCAGTAAATCAACCTGCAGTTTTCCTTGCACTTATGTAATAATACCTTACTGATATGTGTGTATATATATATATATGTATGTGTGTGTGTGTGTATCCAAATAATATAGGACTTCCAAATACAGGGATCTCCTTCTCACTTTCACTTCCCCAACCTCACCACAAGTGTAATTTTATATGATTTTCTACTTCTTGCAAATTGGAAAAGAAGTAAAATTAGCCTTATATGTAGACAACATGATCTTACATTTAGAAAAAGCTAAAGATTCCACCTCAAAGCTGTTAGAATTAATAAACAAATTTAGTAAAGTTGCAGGATAGCCAACATACAAAATCAGTAGCATTTCTATATGCCAACAGCAAACAATCTGAAAAATAAATCAAGAAAGTGATTTCATTTACAATAGCTATAAATAATATAAAATACCCAGAAATCAATTTGACCCCAAATTTGAAAGATCTCTACCAGAAAAACCATAAAACACTGATGACAAAAATTGAAGAGGGCACACAAAAAGGATATTCCATGCTCATGAATTGGAAGAATGAATAGTTTTAAAAGATCATACTACCCAAAGCAGTTTATAGACTTAATGCAATCCCTATCAAATAGCAGTGACATTCTCCACAGAATAAAATAGACAATCCTAAAATTTATGTGAAACCACAAAAGGCCCCCAAAAGGTCAAAGCAATCCTGAGCAAGGAGACCAAAGCTGGAAGTGTCACACTACTTGACTTCAAAATATACTACAAAGCTATAGTAACTAAATCAGCATGGTACTGACATAAAAACAGACCCATAGATCAATGGAACAGAATATATAAAAATCAAATAAAAATGCATTAAAGACTTAAATCCAAGACGTGAAACAATGACACTAATAGAAGAAAATGTTGAGACAATGCTCCAGGACATTAATTTGGACAAAGATTTTTTGTGTAAGACCTCAAAAGCACAGACAACAAAAGCAAAAAGAGATAAATGGGATTACATCAAGCTAAAATGCTTCTGAACAGCTAAGGAAACCATCAACAAAGTAAAAAGACACAGAATAGGAGCAATATTTGCAAATATCCATCTGACAAGGGATTAATAACCAGGATACATAAGGAGCTCAAACAATTCAATAGCAAAAAGCCCAGATAATCCAATTAAAAATAGGCAAAGGATCTGGATAGGCATTTCTCCAAAGAAGACATACAAATGGTCAAATGTATATAAAAAATGCTCAACATCACTAATCATCAGGGAAATGCAAAACAAAACTACAATGAGATGTCATCTCACTCCAGTTAGAGTAGCTTTTCATCAAAAAAAGACAGGGAATAGAAGATGCTGTTGAGGATGTAGATAAAGGGGACGCCTTGTACACTGTTGGTGGGAATATAAATTAGTATAGCTACTATGGAGAATGATATGTAGGTTTTTCAAAAAACTGAAAATAGAATTACTATATGATTCATCAATTCCACTCCTGGGTATATACCCAATATAAAGGAAATCAATATATTAAAGAGGTATCTGTACTTATATGTTTATTGCAAAAAAACTCAAAATAGGCAAAATATGGAATCTGAGTATCCCTTAGTGGATAAATAGATAAAGAAAATGTGGTATATACACACAGTGGAATATTAGTCAGCCATAAAAAGAATAAACTCAGTCATTTGCAGCAACATAGAAGTAACTGGAGGTCATTATGTTAAGTGAAATAAGCCAAGCACAGAAAGACAAATATTGCCTGTCCTCACTCATATGTAGGAGGTAAAAAAATGGATCTCACGAAGAGAGAGAGAGTAGATTGGTGGTTGCCAGAAGCCAGGAAAGATTGGGAAAGGAGTGGGTGAAGAGAGGTTGTTAATGGGTACAAATATCCACTTAGAAAAAATAAGACTTGGTGGTGGACAGATCAGTAGAGTGACTGTAGTTAACGTTAATTGATTGTACATGTCAAAATAGCTAGAAGAGAATAATTCAAATGGCTCAGGCATAAAGAAAAGATACATTTTTAAAGTGAAAGATATCCCAATTACCCTGATTGTATGAATATAAGAAATTATTATATGACCCACAAAAATATGTACAGTTATGATGTATCAATAATAAATAATTTTAAAAAGAAATTTCAATGACCAATACATTTATAAACTATATAAATACATGACATGGTGGGGAGGAGTGTCTAGCTTATACCTAAATGATTTCCATTGGGATTTAGAAATACCTGGCAGGTTGAAGAAGTGAGTCAACCAATATCCATTTATGTGAAGGTGAGGAGACTCAGGGAAGGAAGGAGTGAGAACTTGTCTTGAGGGAAGAGAACAGGCAAGCATCAATACAAAACAAAAAGAGTCATTGGAGGCGGAAGAGGCAATTCTGAGCATTGCAATTACTGCTTAGATGAGTAGGTCTCTGTTTTTCTCCCCAAAGCTTTCTGTCTGATTCATAACATAATGCATGCAGCTGGGAGGAGGTAGAACAATGTAGATGATGACTGAGAGGCTGTTTTCTTAAAAGGGGCTCAGCACCGCTACTTTTATATATTATTCAATAGAAATGGACAGAGGATTCTGCCCCTTAACTATGAAATACCTTGAAGTTTTGTATCTCTGGCCTCAGGGCATCGGTATCAGTGTGACCAGCAAAGGTAGTGGTTCCATGCAGAAGTGGCAGCAATAGCAAGCCTACCTCTCATATAAATAGACTGAGTGGTACCCAGTGGAGGTGGCAGCAGTAACTTACGGAGGAAGGTGATTCCCTGGATTGAGAGTGGAGCCCAACAATATTGGTGGAGCCCAAATAATATTGCTATTCCTTTTTCTGGACACCTGAGTTAATGGCAAAGTCCCTACATGCAGTTTTTCAGGCAGTGGAGACTGCAGATATCTTTGAAGGAAGCCAGGTCAGGAGAAAGAAGAAATTGGCAGATGCCAAATGGTAGTCAGCAGGGCTTGTGTCTCTTCTCATGTGAGATATATATGGGCACAATTAAAAGGACTGTGGTCTGGCTGGGCACGGTGACTCACGCCAGTAATCCCAGTACTTTAGGATGCTGAGGTGGGTGGATCACTTGAGCTCAGGAGTTTGAGAGCAGCCTGAGAAACATGGTGAAGCCCTGTCTCTACCAAACATACAAAAAATTAGCCACGTGTGGTGGCTTGCACCTGTAGTCCCAGCTACTAAGGAGGCTGAGGTGGGAGAATCGCTTGAGCCCAGGAGGCGGAGGTTGCAGTGAGCTGAGACTGTGGCAATGTACTCCAGCCTGGGTGACAGAGCGAGACTCCATCTCCAAAAAAAAAAAAAAAAAAAAAAAAAAAAGACTGTGGTCCTACGATAGCAAATGGAGACGTGAACTAGTATTAATAATATGGCCTCCATTTAAAATCTCCATAGTGTGGCATGAGGGGAGAAAAAATAGAGAGAAAACTGTTGAATTTCACTAGTAGTCAAAGAAATTCAAATCTAAACAGCAATGAAATATACCCCTCTTCCTGTTTCATGTTGGCAGGTACTGAGCAAAGATTATGAATATGCCCAATGCTTCCAAGAGTGGGCCTTTCTTTTATGCTGCTGATAGGTCTATACATTGGCATAACTCTTCTGAATGGCAATTCAAGAATAAGTAAAAAGATTCTCATGTAATAATTCTATTATCTAGAATGTAAAAAGTTAATGAAGTAACACAAAGATTTATCTTCTCAGATATTCATCCTAACATTATCCTTTTTTTTTTTTTTTTTTTTTTTTTTGAGATGGAGTCTCGCTGTTTCACCCAGGCCAGACTGCAGTGGCGCTGTCCCTCCCGGGTTCACGCCATTCTCCTGCCTCAGCCTCCGGAGTAGCTGGGACTACAGGCGCCCGCCACCGCGCCCGGCTAATTTTTTAGTAGAGACAGGGTTTCACCGTGTTAGCCAGGATGAGTCCCGATCTCCTGACCTCGTGATCCATCCGCCTCGGCCTCCCAAAGTGCTGGGGTTACAGGCATGAGCCACCGCGCCCGGCCCATCCTAACATTATTCTTCAGGGCAATAATTAGAGGTAAGTTAGAAGAACCATAATAATATTTCTTCTTAGAATTTTTTATAGTTTCTGATTTTCTTTGGTAAACATGTATTACTTTCATAGAGGGGAAAATAATAAGAATCAGTAGGCAATTCAGATGTTAAAATAAAAATACAATCAAATTTTAATTACTTCGGAGTCACATGGCCGTGACCTGAATGGCTTATGTGTGGTCCACTACCAAAACAAGACAAAAACACTGTTCTTCAGGTGATTTATAGTGTTCATGTAGAAGAATATGTCAGATAATAAATTTAATTTCAGCAATTGCAGCAAAATTAGAGAAATTTTCCACCTATCCTATTTTCCTTTCACACAGTTGTCGCATTTTAACTGACTGGAACATCCAGATGTAACCAAAGAATGTTGGTTCTTTTTTTCTTTTTTTTTTTTCTAAGATTGTATAAAACTTTTAAATTAAATTAAATTTATATTTTAAATAATTTTATTTATTTTAGATTCACGGGGTACATGTGCATGTTTGTTTTATAGGTATATTGTGTACTGGTGAGGATGGGGCTTCTAGGGTTCCCATTACCCAAATAGTGAAAGAATATTGTTTCTTTTCTCAAGTAGTGTCAATACATGTGTTTAGATCCCACATACACTTTCTACATTAAATTTAAAATAAGTTAAATTCTTATGAAAAAAGAGGTGGTGGACTGAGAGAAGGGGAACCTAACCTAATATTTAAAAGGAATATAAAAGCAAAGAGGAAGTTGCAAGACACAGAGTTATGTTAACATATTTATTTTTAATTTTAAGAAGTTATGATAGGTTCTGATTCTAAAGTAGCATATTGTTATTTCTATTTTATTAGGTTGGTGCAAAAGTAATTGCTGTTTTTGCAATTGAAAGTAAGGTATCATATAAATGATACCTTAATAAGTTCTCTGAGTGAAGCTACTTTATAATGTTGGGGTTATTAAGTATTTACAAATCTCTGTCATCCTCTAGACAGAATCCATATCAAACTGGTCACAAGACTTGTTCATTTCATTCCTAAATGTTCCTCAAATCCTTTCTTTGCTTTCCATTTTTTCCCACCACCAGCATTGGTTCAAACAATAGCCTCCTTAGTGGTCTCTGTGCAGCCTTTGAGTACCGTCATCAATCCATTTTTTTAAAATAATGCTTGTAGGTTGATGTCTTAAACAAGCAAACTTTCTGCTTAAAAAACTCAAATCCGGCCGGGCGCAGTGGCTCACACCTGTAATCCCAGCACTTTGGCAGGCCGAGGCGGGCAGATCACTTGAGGTCAGGACTTCAAGACCAGCCTGGCCATAATGGTGAAACCCTGTCTCTACTAAAAATACAAAAATTAGCCGGGAGTGGTGATGTGTGCCTGTAATCCCAGCTACTGGGGAGGCTGAGGCAGGAGAATCACTTGAACCCAGAAAGCAGAGGTTGCAGTGAGCCGAGATTGTGCCACTGCACTCCAGCCTGGGTGACAGAGTGAGGCTGTCTCCAAAAAAACAAAAAACAACCCAAAAACTCAAATCTTTCATTTTATTCTGAAGATAAAGACAGTATTAATCGACGTGGCCTACAAGGCCCAGTCAATTCCCACTCTCTTTCTTGTTCTCTTTCCCTTTCAGCCACACAGCCACATGGGCTTAAGTTGTTCTCATATTCTTCAGGCCCCTTCCTATTAGTGGACCTTGGTCCATGCTGCTTTCTCTGCCTAGAACTTTCTCCCATTCATCGTTCAGATTTAGTTTCCAGTGTTTCTCCATCCCTTCCTCAACACTTCAAAAGCTTTCATAGCCCATGTCCTTCTATTTTATTGTACTCCTTATGGTTGCAATCTTACTTTTGTGTGTAAATAATGCTTGTCTTTATAGACTATAAGTTTCATGAGGGGAAAGTCTTGCTGTTCTTTTTCATTGTTGTGGTTATTTTGTACTGTTCAAGTCACACCTCTGAAACCCACTAATTCTGTAACCATGGACAAGTTGTTTGATGCCAAATTTGAGCTCCTTCCCTTTTATTCTCTTTTGGGCAGGGTGCTTTTGTTGCCTAGACTCCCTTGTTAATTAGATGTGACTATATAGCTGAGTTTTGGCCAAAGGAACACGAGTGGATGTGATGTGATTTATAGACTCTAAGGCCCTAGGATATGTCAATATTATAAGAGGGAAAGAGCCTGAATCCTTGCATGACCTTGTTGAAGATTGCTTAACCAATATTCCTACATTGGACTATGCTATGAAATATAAATTTTTATTGTGTTAAGCTACAGGAATTTTGGGCTTTATCAGAAAGGTAGTATTACTTACCCTAACTAAAACAGTTACCATATATGAGTTGACATTTCCATCAGAAAAGTGGAGACAAATAATGTTTACAGTATAAAGCTTTGATAGGGATTAAAATAAATGGGTATAATGCCTTGCATGTTGTAGTTATTCAATTGATATTACTATCATTGTTATCTTTATCGTTTTACTGTAATTATTTTTTCCTCCTCTCGGGAAAAATTATTCCTCTGTCTCCTTTGCTATTTTTTATTTTCATGGCGAACTGGAAATACTTTCATGGTGGAATTAAAACACTTTCTCTTTGTTCATTAGAGAAGATACGGTATTCATAAGATTTTTTTTTAAAAAAAAAAACAGATTTGTAAGAAAGCTTCTGTCTTCTTTATTAACAGAGCCTGTGAAGGAGGTGATTTGTCAAAGAAGCTACAGTGGTTTGATTCTTAAATATCCCTCCATCTTGCAAAGCTGTTATTTCTTTCTTTCTATAATTTCTAAGTGAGTTTTAGCATGGAATTAAGTGTTGCAAAAGGATGAGTTGATTCTTCTTGGAAACAACTCCGCAACTACTTCTGTAGTAGTATTAATGCCCCAGAACAGCAACAAAGAAAGGACACTTTTGATAAAAATTAATAACAGTTATTCGAGTGGTACAATTGGGCTTGTGCCCTCTTCTCTTTCTGCCTAGAGATTTAACATTTTAAAATGAACACTCCTGAAACCTCCCTGGGGTCATTGAACTCCATGCTTATTTTACTTTGTCTCTCAAGCAAACCTAGGCTGTTAAGATTTATCCAACATACTTCCCCACCCCCCTGCCCAGAAATTGATCAATAGCCAAGAATGTGAGCAGAGTCCAAATACAGGAAACAAAACCTAACCTACTACATCTCGTTTGCAGCTTGTTCTTGCCTTTACACCTTGGAAACACATCATTCCAAAGCTCATTTGGGAAGCTGTTCATTGTTAGCAAGTCCCTCTGTGGGGAAGGTGGGTCTGTTGATGTAGCAGTTATAGGTGTTTACCCAAGAGTTATTTCTGGTTATTGTAATTAGTTGCTCTTGCTGATTTGTGACTTAAATAATTGTCTCATATATATTCAATCATTATTTAAATACTTTGGCTGCAAGGCATTTAATTCAAGGTTTGAATTCAGGAAGAACAACATTAGATATTGGGAGAGTTTTAATTTTTTCTTCTTTTCAGATATTTTGGCTAGGTTCTAATTAAGCTGCTTTATTTTAAGAATTAGGCTAAGACATCTTACCTGGGTATCATTTCCAAAGTGACTTAGACATTTTGGAGTGATTTTAGCCTTACAAATATTTATGGATTGTATAATTGCAAGAGTAATAGTGATCATGATAATCATAACTGAAGTTTATTGCCCACTTTCTATGTGTCAATCACTGTGTCATAGTCACAAATAAGTAGTTGTCTGCATTATCTTTAATTTTTTAATTTTTAAATTTATTTTTTATTTTTAAAATCTTTCAAAATTTTCTGTTTTTATTTTAGATTCAGGTGTACGTATGCAGGTTTGTTACAAGGGTATATTGTGTGATGCTGAGGTTTGGGCTTCTATTGATCCCATCACACAGATAGTGAACATGGTACCCAATAGGAAGTTTTTCAACCCTTCCACCCTCCCAATTTCCCTCGTTTTGGAATCTGCGGTATCTACTGTTGCCATTTTTATGTCTACGTGTACTCAAGATTTAGCTCCCACTTATAAGTGAGAACATGTGATACTTGGTTTTCTGTTTCTGTGTTACATTGCTTAGGATAATGGCCTCCCGGTCCATCCATAATTTTTAAATCTTTTTTTGGTAGTGACAGGGTTTCACCATGTTGCCCAGGTTGATTTTGAACTCCTGGGCTCAAGCGATCTGCCTGCCTCAGCCTCCCAAAGTGCTGGGATTACAGGTGTAAGCCACTGGGCCCAGCCTTAATTTTAATTTTTAAAGAAAGAGGGAGAGTGGTTGCTTTGATCTCCATCCTTCTAGAATGTAGCTTTTGGTATTAGGCATGATTTTCTGCTACTGCCTTTGTTTTTAACCTTTAGGGTTGGATGCAGTCAAGCTTTTAGCATTTCCTTAGCCATTTTTCTTATCAGTCTAGAATTAACTCCTCTTTTAGGCTTAAGACTAAGCCAGCAAAAAAAAAAAAATTACTTTTAAAATACATAATACATATAATTTTAGCTTCATAAAACACACATCAGTATATTATTGTATATTTCTGGAAATAGACATTCATACACAAAAAACCCAATCAAGTAATTCATACACAAAAAATTGAGTTCAACACAATTTTTAAAACACCTTCTTCCTATAAAATCTTCAGGTTTTTAGTTAAACCTTTAAAAAATTTTTTGGAGGGTATCTTTCTAAAGAGATCAATATGATTAAGACCCTGAAACCTCCGAATAAAGTGTCTACTTCAATAAATATGTCATATGCCTGTATGAAGCACAGCACCCAAGGATTTTTTGGACTGAATAAATGCTTTAAAGTGTAAAACAAATATCAACAATGTGCAAGAATTGCTTACAGTTATATTTATTTAAATTTCAGTTTCTACACATGCTTCCTGCTAGAAAAGGATTATTTACTTCTAATACAAACAACTCTCTACCCTCTGGCTTTTAACAATGCAGGTTTCCTCTGAGGGAAAAGTTACTCCAGTTTATTCTATTTCCAGTTACTGAAGTTAAGATTTGGTTGTTGCAAGAGTTTCTTTTAGTGAAATAGGCTTCTCCTGGGAAGGAGTTTTTAGCCACCTTATAAGAATGACAACCTCCACTGGAGAAGATAACTTCTTCTGAAGGGATGCTGGATATTTTAAATCCATCATTTCTAGGATGTGTCTTCCTGAGGATTCAGAGAATTTAGCAATTTTGCATTGAAGCAATCTGATGGAAGAGTCCCTGGCACCCTGTGGATGCCTGTGGATATACTCTGTATAAACTATGAGATTAGAGTATTAGTGTTAATATTAGATATGTCAGTAATAAGAGTATATTATTAGATGTATTAAATTAGTATTAGATTGGTATTACATTACATACTAACTAAATATTGGATATTAAATTAGATATTAGTATTAGATCAAATATATTAGATTACTATTAATATTAGATGTATTTATAGTAAGATTATTAGTGTTGGATGGCATAGGATGGTATTAGATCACTTCACCGGTGATGGGAGAAGAGGGACCCAATAGTGTTTCTTAAAGGGGACAACACTTTCCACGTGGGAGGCATTTGATGAAGTTCTGGGAGGAGTTGGAAGTTATTTCAATAAGATGAATTCTACAAATATTTGTTGCCTAGGACTAGTTCTGCATTATATCTGGCAGTCCTACACTAGCAAGAATTGTTCCATAAGGACAAATCAAAATTAAAAATAAGAGGCTTTCCAAACAATTGAATGTTATTCAGTGCTAAAAAGAAATGAGCTATAAAGCTGTGGAAAGACATGGAGGAATCTTAAATGAAAGACAGGGAGGAATCAAGTGAAGCTACTCTGAAAAGGCTGCAAAGTGTATGATTTTCACTGTATGTCATTCTGGAAAAGGCAAAACTGTGAAAATGATAGTAAAAGGATCAGTAGTTGCTAGGGGCTAGTGGGGAGGGAGAGACGAATAGGCAAAACACAGAGGATTTTTAAAGCAGTGAAACTACTCTGCATGATACTATAATGATAGATATATGTTGTTATATGTTTGTCAAAACCAATAGACTGTACAACCCCAAGAGTGACCCCTAATGTAAACTATGGACTTTGGATGATAATGTGTCAGTGTATTATAGATTCATCTATTGTAACAAATGTTCCACTCTGATGTGGGATATTTATAGTGGGGCAGGTGGTATATATGTGGTGGCAGAGGGTATATGAGAAACCTCTGTACCTTCCATTCAACTTTACATGAATCTAAAACTGCTTTAAGGTTTATTTTAAAAAGAGGCTTCTCTCTTGAAAATAAGGAAAGAGATTCCTCTGTTTCCCCTTTCTTAGAGCATTTACTTTAGAAAACTTGTAAGTACTTTCTCCTCTTCTTGAAATGTATATAAAGCCTTTTGAAAGCTAGATAGAACTTTTGTTTACTTTATGACCCAAGTATCTTTCTCAAGAACCTGGACACCACCTCTTTGAAATATAAACAACAAAGAAGATAGCACCCCTCTCTTCCAGTTTCTGTGAAAGGGTAGGAGCCTAACTTCAGGGGCTTCTTGCTCCAAGTTGCAAAAGTACCTCCTTTCATCAAATAGGAGAAGCTTGCTTCTGCCCCGGATAAAGTCAATTAGCTAACACAGATGGTCACCCTAATTACCAGGTAAAGTTAGGATGAACCATGTGGAACAAAGGGTGCTGTCAAGTCCTCTTACTTGAAGACTAGTTATTGTTTATCTTCAAATGATGTATGTAATGGGTTGTACCTACCTGCCTTGTAATCTCTTAGCAGATCGCCTGTGATATGCATCACATTCTGGTTTAATGTTTATTCAACATTAAATCTTTTTTTCTATCTTTGCAGAGAGGATTTCTAGGTTGGGAATAGATTTTGTTTTTGGTTATACTTCCCCAACAGCTCCTATGGCAATGGGGAAACCAGAGTGCACATCGTTCTTACGGGTCTAGGAGAGTAACATATGGGAATGGTTGTGGTTTATTTGGTCACTCATTTTTTCAATGACCTGTTGTTATTTTTTAATTTTTTATTTCCATAGGTTCCTGGGGGAACAGGTAGTATTTGGTTACATGAGTAAGTTCTTTAGTGTGAGTTGTGAGCTTTTGGTGCACCCATCACCTGAGCAGTATACACTGCACCCTATTTGTAGTCTTTTATCCCTCACCCCCTTCCCACCCTTTCCCCCTGAGTCCCCAAAGTCCACTTTGTCATTCTTATGCCTCTGAATCCTCATAGCTTAGCTCCCACTTCTGAGTGAGAACATACAATGTTTGGTTTTCCATTCGTTAGTTACTTCATTTAGAATAATAGTCTCCGTTCTCATCCAGGTTGCTGCAAATGCCACTAATTATGTTCTTTTTATGGCTGAGTAGTATTCCATTGTTCTATATATATATATATATAAAAAATATATATATATAAAAAATATATATATTATATATATAAAATATATATATTATATATATAAAATATATATATAATATATATAAAATTATATATAAAATATATATATCAGTTTGTTATATATCAGTTTGTTATATATATATATGTATATATATATATATGTGTATATATATATATATATATATACATATATATATATATATATATATATAAAATCAGTTTCTTTATCCACTCATTGATTGATGGGCATTTGGGTTAGTTCCATGTTTTTGCAATTGCAAATTGTGCTGCTATAAACATGTGTGTGCAAGTATCTTTTTCATATAATGACTTCTTTTCCTCTGGGTAGATGCCCAGTAGTGGGATTGCTGGATCAAATGGTAGTTCTACTTTTAGTTCTTTAAGGAATCTCTACACCGTTTTCCATATTGGTTGTACTAGTTTACATTTCCATTAGAAGTGTGGAAGTGTTTCCTGTTCATTGCATCCATGCCAACGTCTACTCTTTTTTGATTTCTTTGATTATGGCCATTCTTGCATGAGTAAGGTGGTGTATCAGATTATGGTTTTGATTTGCATTTCCCTGATTATTAGTGATGTTGAAATACTAACATTAGTGATGTTAGTATTTTCATGTTTCTTGGCCTCAATGACCTACTTGTTTTTAAATAGTATAATTTTTAGGTTTAGTTACAGCATAAAGAACGTGGGTACTGGTGATTCCTTTAATATTTGAGTGTTTGGTCCTTTGCTAGGAGGATTTCTACAGTCTTTAAGTTATAAGGAGAGATACATTTACAAGTCTTCAGAGTGAAGAATCTCAATGGGAGCCATGAAATTTCTGAGTGTATGCAAAATAATCAGGGAGTGCTTATATAAATTGAGTCCAAGGATATGGGCCTCAGACTCCTAAAGGCAATCTCTTTATTCTTTTCAAGTTCTGAAGCCTATGGTGTAGCAAGTTGCAACACACAACTTAGTGAATTCCATCAGTGTCATCATCAATACTCTCATTAGTGTCTTGGTTTAAATCTCTGGTTATTGGTACTTTCAAGCATGCTGAGAAGGTAACTCAGAATTGCTTGGGATGATGTCAATGATGTCACAGTTTTCTCTGTTGGTCATGAGAGAAATTGCTTTGGATGCCTCCATCTCTTACTTCCTTGCAAAAATCTCTTAGAGTATAACTAACAAATGAAATGAAAACTGTCTTCATTAACTAGTATGCTTCCCCTAGCTGTGGAAAGATGTAACATTAAATATAGGTGAGTTCAAGTAGTCAAAACTGTTCATGTATTTGTTATTTTATAGCCTTTCGTACTGTATCTGGCACATGGATATAGACTATATCTGGAAATAGACATTCACACACAAAAACCCATTCAAGTAATTCATACACAAAAAATTAAATTCAACACAATATATGTTCTGTACAGTGTTGAATTCAATACAATGTAAAAATTGTGTTGAATTCAATATAACAGTGTTTGTCACATGACAGGCACTATGTAAGTATTTGCCATTACCATTGTTACTTGTCATACATAAGAGAACTTGGTCAAAAACAGTCAGCCTTAAAGCTCTAATTTGAAGTATCCAATTAAGTAGTTGAGACTTATGATCTTAAGTTGATATCTTACTAAATTTATGCTTAATATAAAAATAAGAGAAGTTTAGATTCAGCTTATTAAAAGTTTAATTTGTTAGATACATTAGTATTATTTAGTGCTTACAGAGGTTTTACCTGAGAAAAGTAGTTAAAAGGGAAATTATCATTTTAAAAACTTTTTTATAGTAAAAGGGATCTTTAATTAATTAGTTTATAACATTGCAATATTTTTAATTAAGTTTGCAAATAGGACCAAATATTCACAGGCTCTTTGAAAGTTATTGCAACAAATTTATTATTGGATCAAAGAATATATTTTTCAAGCTAAATTTGAGTGAGAATGGAGTCTCCAGGTTTTTACTTCCTTGTAACAGCTTCAGCCTAGAGGGGAAAGGGCATTTCCATTGGCATCGCACAGATTGAGTACAGAGGGAATGTGGGAGAACTGCACAGATTCCAGTAAACTTCCATCTTCTGCTCTGGACTGGGAAAGTTCTGAGGAGCTGACTTCTCATGTTCCTCTCTTTCAAGTGTCTTTTGCTTTGATGAAAAACATTACTAGATGGGTAAAGCATGTATACACAGGTATTTCATGTGTAATTTGAGTAGCCATTCAGGTGGCGGTGGGTGTCAGAGGAAAGGGAGGGTGAAGAAACCAACCCTACCCTCCTCAAAATGGAAGAACTGCTAAGCATGACGTAGCCTACCAGTTAGAGGAATAAAGCTGGTCTCAACAAATAATAGACCTTTAATGTTTTACTGGACAAACACTGTGGCCCTTTTCAAGACTATGCTCTCCGCATCCCTTAACATGAGGTTTTGACATTTGCTAACTTGTGACTATCCTTTCTTCCTCCTAATATCACAGCATTTTCCCTCCACTTAGTAAGACAAAGCCCCTCCTCCACTGTATTAGTGTAAGGAGACCTGCTTCTGCCAGAAGAGCCAAATAAAAGGCAATTTTCTGAAGGAGTCTTAACTTCTACTTATGGATAAAAGGAAACCTGTAATTTTGAGGCTTTAATGGATATGGTAGCTCTCCAACTATTGGTTAGTAAGTTCCTTCTCCATTTTCTTCATGCAATGCCATCCTTAATAAATGAGAAAGATTTATTTTTATTTATTTATTTATTTGTTTATTCATTCATTTATTTATTTTTGAGATGGAGTCTCACTCTGTTGCCCAGGCTGGAGTGCAGTGGCATGATCTCAGCTCACTGCAACCTCCACCTCCCGGGTTCAAGCGATTCTCTCGCCTCAGCCTCCTGAGTAGTAGCTGGGACTGCAGGCACGCGCTACCACACCCGGCTAATTTTCATATTTTTAGTAGAGATGGGGATTCACCATGTTGGTCAGGCTGGTCTCAAACTCCTGACTTCAAGTGATCCACCCGCCTCGGTTTCCCAAAGTGCTGGGATTACAGGCATGAGCCACTGTGCCCGGCCAAGAAAGGTTTATTTTAGACTCTTGAGTCTGTGATGTCTTTTCCACAAGAGGGGAGGGTAACAAAATTTTGTCTACTGATGGAGCCCTTTGTAGTAGGGAGGATAAAGAACCATTATAGCAATTTTAAAGAGCATGCATACTTTTATTTTCACTTTCATTGTAAATATTTCTGTTTTTCCATTCTCTTTGGATAAAAAAGGTTTGCTGATTTTGCTGCTATACATGTCTCCCCTAGTGTATAAAGTGTTATGGCCTTTATTCTGAAATTGTTTCCTTTCAGATTTATTGTTGACTTTGTTTCTAGGTTGCTGTTTTCCTAAATACTAACCAAGCATAAAATCTAATGTCACATACATTTCTGCCCCTCTTCTTTGACTTACTAAAATTTAAATAAAGCTCAGCCTATTAAAGTATAAGTGTTTTTTGGGTGAGATTTCTGACTTAATACATATTCAAATATACTTAAAATTCAAATGTAGCAATCACTAAATTATAGTTGCCCAAATTATAGTATAATTCAAACATCTATTTGACAGTTTCTTAAAATAAATGGAGAATAGTTCATTGTAAATGGTAATTAAACAGGCAACTGAAACCCATGACTTAATAAATGTTTTGGAGCTTAATTTAAAGCTTCCATATGCTCTGCAATCATTAGCAAATTCTCTTGTCAGTTAGTGTGTTATATTTATTTTTATATTGACAAAATTGAGATTCAAAAAAAAATTTTTTCCAGGCTTGCCAAGTTAATAGAAAATCTGAAAAGAAATCCTAGCATTTTTTGATTTTTTTTTTCTTTGAGATGGAGTTTTGCTCTTGTTTTCCAGGCTGGAGTGCAATCGCGTGATCTCAGCTCACTGCGACCTCTGCTTCCTGGGTTCAAGTGATTCTCCTGTCTCAGCCTCCTGAGTAGGTGGGATTACAGGCATGCACCACCACACCTGGTCAATTTTGTATTTTTAGTAGAGATGGGGTTTCTCCATGTTGGTCAGGCTAGTCTCGAACTCTTGACCTCAAGTGATCTGCCTGCCTCGGCCTCCCAAAGTGCTAGGATTACAGGTGTGAGCCGCTGCACCTGGCCTGATTTTTAGTTTGTTTCATAAAATTTTTCTTTTTGCAATTTTTTTTTCAGTCCATCAACTCAAATGAATAGGCTATTGAGCATCCATGTGGAGGCCTTATAAGAAGTCGTGATGCATTAAAATTGTTTTCAGATTATAACTAGTGGCAATTTGGAAAGTGGATAGGAACTAGGAGGAGTTGATGGAGGAAAAACCAGACAAAAGGCCATTTCACTAGTCCCACTAGACATTTGGAAGGCTTGAAATGAAGTAGTGACAATAAGGATAGAGAGAGGGACTAGATATGCAAATTAGTCTTATAAAAATTGACTTGATTTGGTGCTTTGTGAGATGTAAATATTGAGGCTGACCTAAAAGTTGAAGAAAATATTGACATGTCTAGTATGAGTGACTAGGTGAATGGTGATGTCTTTTACCAAAAGAAAAATTTCTAAGGTGGGATAGGTGGGTTCATGAGCAGGATGATAAATTCAGTGTAAAAAAATACTTATTTTTAACAAATAAGCCATAATTCTGGTACAAAATTTTAAAAGTATAGAAGAATATATGGTGAAAAGTAAGTTTCTCTTTTTCTTTCTTTCTTTCCTTTTTTTTTTTTTTTTTTGCTGTTTAACAAAGCAGTTCTCATAAATAACACTTCAAACAAGCAGAGGACATGACATCCAGGCACTTTACTGCTTAAGCTTACATAATACAAGGATAGTACTGGAACATTCTAGATGATGAGGTAGCAGTTATATCCATTAGTTTGTTTCTCAAATATTGGATGTCTAAAGATTGCACAGGTGCTGGATTTCATTCTGTTTGCCAATAAATCCTCTCATAAATGTCTTAATTACAGATATCTATACTGTTGATTACATGAGAACCAGGTAAAGAAGGGCAAAAGGGATCTCCTCTGGGGAAAGTTGAATAGCCAGGCTGTTACCTCCTGCACACACGCACACACACACACGCACACACACACACACACACACACATAAAGCCCAACTCCTTCCAGCATGGAAGCCACAAGCATCCTTTCTTAATGGCTTTTGATCATTTATCCTCCCCCAACCTAGGTTTTATTGAGGTATAATTTACATAAAAATTGTATATATTTACAATGTACAACACGATGTTTTGATATTCATATACATTGTGAAATGATGAGTACAATCAACCTAATAAAAATATCTACCATTGGCCGGGTGCGGTGGCTCATGCCTGTAATCCCAGCACTTTGGGAGGCCGAGGCGGGCAGATCACGAGGTCAGGAGATCGAGACCATCCTGGCTAACACGATGAAACCCCATCTCTACTAAAAATACAAAAAAAAATTAGGCATGCGTGGTGGTGTGTGCCTGTAGTCCCACCTACTCAGGAGGCTGAGGCAGGAGAATGGCGTGAACCTGGGAGGCAGAGCTTGCGGTGAGCAGAGATCGCGCCACTGCACTCCAGCCTGGGCAACAGAGCAAGACTCCGTCTCAAAAAAAAAAAAAAAAGAAAAAAATATGTATCTACCATCTCACATAGTTATCTTTCAATTTTGGGGAGAGGGGATGGTGAGAACATTTAAGATCTACTCAGCAAATTTCATGTATATAACACAGTATTATTAACTATATTCACCATACTGTACATTAGGTCTCTAGAATTTATTCATCCTGCACATCTTAAACTTTATACCTTCGATCAACATTTCTACATGTTCCCCACTCCCTAACCCCTGGCAACTACCATTCTGCTCTGTTTCTATGAATTCGACTTTTTAAGATTCCCTATATAAGGGAGATTATGCAGTATTTGTCTTTCTGTGGCTGGTTTATTTCACTTAAAATAATTTCCTTCAGGTTCATCCATGTTGTTGCAAATGACAAGATTTTCTTCTTTTTTAAAGGCTGAATAGGCTCGACACAGTGATTCACGCTTGTAATCCCAGCACTTTGGGAGGCTGAGGCAGGTGGATCACTTGAGGTCAGGCGTTTGAGACCACCCTGGCCAACAGGTGAAACCCCATCTCTACTAAAAATACAAAAATTAGCTGGGTGTGATGGCGCATGCCTGTAATGCCAGCCACTTGGGTGGCTGAGGCACGAGAGTGGCTTGAGCTGGGGAGGTGGAGGTTGCAGTGAGCTGAGATGGCAGCATTATGCTCCAGCCTGGGTAACAGAGCAAGACTCTGTCTCAAAAAAAAAAGGCTGAATATTATTCTATTTGTGTGTGTGTGTGTGTGTGTGTGTGTGTGTATCACATTTTCTTGTTACATTCATTTGTTGATGGACACTTACGTTGATTCTATATCTTGGCTACTGTGAATAATGCTGCTATGAATATGGGAAGGCAGATATCTCTTCAACATACTAATTTCATTTCCTTTGGACGTATATGCAGTAGTGAGATTGCTGGATTATATGGTAGTATTATTTTTAGCTTTTTGAGCAACATCCATACTACTTTCCACAAAGGTGGTACCAGTTTACATTCCTAAACAGTGTACAAGAATTACCTTTTCTCCACAGCCACACCAACACCGGTTATCTTTCATCTTTTTGATAATAGCCATTCTAAAAGTATGAGGTAATATGTCATTGTGATTTTGACTTGCATTTCCCTGATGATTAGTGATGTTTTTAGTGAACCTGTTAGCCATTTGTATGTCCTTTTTTTTTTTTTTTTGACAAATGTCTATTTAGGTTTTTTGCCCATTTTAAAATCAGGTTATTTGTTTTCTTGCTATTGAGTTGTTTGAGTTCCTTATATATTTTGGATATTAACCCCTTATGAGATTTATGGTTTGCAAATATATTCTCCCATTTAACAGGTTATCTCTTCACGCTGTTGATTGTTTCCTTTATTGTACAGAAGCTTTTTAGTTTGATGTAATGCCATTTGTATTAGTTTTTGCTTTTCTTGCCTGTACTTTTGGAGTCATGTGTAAAAAAATGGTTTCCAAGACTAATGTCAAGAAGATGTTTCCCTATGTTATCTTTTAGTAGTTTAAGAGTTTCAGAGCTGACTTTTTAAATCTTATCCATTTTGAGTCAATTTTTATATATGGTGTAAGATAAGAGCCAATTTTATTCTGCATGTGAATATCCAGTTTTCCCAATATTATTTATTGAAGAGATTATCCTTTCCTCTTTTGTGTTCTTGGCACCGTTGTTGAAGATCAATTGACTCTAAATGCATGGATTTATTTCTGGGCTGTCTGTGTTGCTCCATTGGCCTATATGTCTGTTTTTATGCCAACACCATGCTGTTCTGATTACAATAGCTTTGTACATATATTGAAATCAGGTAGTGTGATGCCTCCAGTTTTGTTCTTGCTCTAGATTGTGTTGACTGTTCGGGGTCTCCATGGCTATTCATGGCTCCACATGAATTTTAGGATTTTTTTTCCTGTTTATGTGAAAAATACCGCTGGAATTTTGATAAGGATTGCATTGAATCTGTAGATTGCTTAGGGTAGTGTGGACATTTTAACAATATTTATTCATCTAATCCATGAACACAGGATGTCTTTCCATTTATGTCTTCTTTGAATTTGTTCATCAACCTCTTGTAGTCTTCAGGGTACAGATCATTCGCTTACCTGGTTAAATTCATTCCTAAATATTTAATTTTTTTTGATGCTACTGTAAATGATATTGTTTTCTTGATTTCTTTTTCAGATAGTTTGTTGTTAGTGATTATAAATGTAACTGATTTTTTATGTTGATTTTGTACCCTGCAACTTTATTGAATTCATTTATTAGTTCTAACAGTTTTTAATTTTTGTAGAGTTGTTGGGGTTTTCTATATATAAGGTAATGTCATGTACTTATTTCTTTCTGAGTAGAATGTCTTTTCATTTTTTAAATCTTGCCTAATTGCTTTGGCTAGGACTTCTAGTACTATATTGAATAGAAGTGGGGACAGTGAGCATCCTTGTCTTGTTCCCAATCTTAGTTTTCTACCATCAAGTATGATGTTAGCTGTGGGCTTGTCATATATGGCTTTTATTATGCTGAGTTACGTTTCTTCTATATACCTAATTTGTTGAGTTTTTATTGGGAAAGCATGTCAAATTTTGTCAAATGCTTTTTCTGCATTCATTGCAATGATGATATGATTTTTATCCTGTATTCTCTTAATGTGATATATTTATTTACTTGTGTATGTTGAAACATCCTAGCATCTCTGGGATATATCTTGCTTGATCATAATACATAATTGTTTTAATGTGCCATTAAATTTGGTTTGCTAGCATTTTGTTGAGGATTTTTGCATCTATGTTCATCAGGGTTATTAGCCTGCAATTTTCTTTCTTTTTTTCTTTTTCTTTTATTTTTTTATTTTATTATAATTATTTTTTAGATAGAGTCTTGCTCTGTTGCCCAGGCTGGAGTGCAGTGGTATGATTGAGGCTCACTGCAGCCTTGACCTCCTGGGCTCAAGCAATCCTCTCACCTTAGCCTCCCAAGTAGCTGGGACTACAGGCTCTCACCACCATGCCTGGCTAATTTTTGTATTTTTTGTAAAGATGGGGTTTCATCATGTTGCCCAGGCTGGTCTTGAACTTCTGAGCTCAAGTGGTCTGTTTGCTTTGGCCTTTCAAAATGCTAGTTTTACAGATGTAGGCCACTGCTCAAGTGGTCTGCTTGCTTTGGCCTCGCGAAGTGCTAATATTACAGACGTGGGCCACTGTGCCCAGCCTGCCTGCAGTTTTCTTTACTTGTAGTGTCTTTATTTGGCTTTGGTATCAGAGTAATGCTGACTCTGTAAAATGAGTTTGGAAGTGTTTCTTCCTCTTCCGTTTTTTGGGAGAGTTTGAGAAGGATTGGCATTAATTCTTCTTTAAATGTTTGGTAAAATCCACCCATGTAGCCATCTGGTCTTGAGCTTTTCTTTCTTAGGAGGTTTTTGATTACTGATTCGATCTCCTTACTTACAAATGGTCTGTTCAGATTTTTATTTTATGTTATTTTATTTTTTGAGACAGGGTCTTGCTCTGTCACCAAGGCTGGAGTCCAGTGGTGTGATCATGGCTCACTGCATCCTCAACTTCTGAGACTCAAGCAGCCCTCCCACCTCAGACTCCAGAGTAGCTGGAACTACAGGCATGTGCCATCATGCCCAGCTTATTTTTGTAGTTTTTGTACAGATGGGTTTTGCCATGATGCCCAGGCTAGTCTTGAACTCCTGGGCTCAAACAATCCTCCTGTCTTGGCCTCCCAAAGTGCTTAGATTACAGGTGCGAACCACTGTGCCAGCCCTGTTCAGGTTTTTTATTTCTTCTTGATTCAGTTTTGGTAGGTTGTAAATTTTTAGGAATTTATCCGTTGCCTCTAGTTTTTTAGTTTTTTGGCATAGTGTTGTTCATAATAGTCTTTTATGACCCTTAAAAATTTCTGCAGCATCAGTTGTAATGTCACCTCCTTTACTTATAATTTTAATTATTTTAATCTTCTTTCATTTTTTCTCAGCTAGTCTAGCTAAAGTCTTGCCAATTTTGTTTCAAAAAAATCAACTATTAGTTTTATTGATCCTTTCTTTTTAAAACAGAATCAAATAATGAATTTTATTTTATTTTTAGTTGACATGTAATAGTTGTGCATATTTATGGGATACAGAGTGATATTTTGATACATGTACACAATGTGTAATGATTAAACCATGATAATTAGCATATGCATTACTTCAAACATTTGTTATTTATTTGTATTGTAAACATTCAAAATCCTTTCTTTGTTCAACTATTTTTATAGTTTCTCTTTCTTTTATTTCTGCACTGATCTTTATCATTTTCTTCTTCCATTAACTTTGGGCTTAGTTCGTTCTTTTTCTAGTTTCTTGAGGTATAAAGTTAGGATGTTTATGGAAATCTTTCTTTCTTCTTACTATGGGCATTTATCACTAGAAACTTCTCTTTTAGAACTGCTTTTGCTACATTCCGTAAGTTTTACTATGTTGTGTTTTTATTTTCATTTTTCTCAAGATATTTTTTATTTCACTTTTGATTTCTTTATTGACTTATTGGTTGTTTAGAAGCATATTGTTTAATTTCCATATATTTGTGGATTATGTAACTTTCCTTCTGTTATTGGTTTCTTGTTTCATATAATTATAATTGGAAAACACTTGATATTATTTCAGTCTTAAACTTGTTATGACTTATTTTGTTGTCTAACACATCTATTCTGGATAATATTCTGAGTGTGCTTGTAAAGAATGTGTATTCTGCTGATGTTGTGTATACATAACAATAAGGATTGTTACATATATGTCTGTTAAGTCCATTTGTTGTATAGTGTTGTTCAAGTCTGCTGTTTCCTGATAGATTTTCTACCCATTATTAAAAGTGGGCTATTGAAGTCCTCTATCACTATTATTATGTTGCTGTCTATCTCTCCCTTTAGTTCTGTTAATATTTGCTTTATATATTTCTGTGTTCCAATGTAGGGTGCATATATATTTACAATTATTTTATTCTGTTGATGATCTAATCCTTTTGTAATTGTATAATCACCTTCTTTGTCTCTTTATTTACTTAAAATTTGTTTGTCTTTTTGGCTTAAAGTCTATTTTATGTGATATAAGTATGGCTACCCTGTTGTCTTTTGGTTACCATTGCATAGATTACCATTATTTCATCCATTCACTTTCAGCCTATGTGTATCTTTAAAGCTAAAGTGAGAGTCTCTTGTAGGCAGCATATATTTGGATCTTGTTTTTTTTTTTTTTTAAATCCACTCATCTGCTCTGTCTTTTGATTAGAGAATTTAATGCATTTACACTTAAAATTTTTATTATTAGGTAAGAAATTACTATTGCCATTTTGTTGTTTTTTGACTGTTGTGTGGTTCCTTTGTTTCTTTCTTCCTCTCTTGCTGTCTTCCTTTGTAACTTAACAATTTTTTATAGTGGTATAAATTGATTCCATTCTCTTTTCTGTATCTACTATAGGTTTTTCTTTGTGGTAGCCAGAAGGCTTATATAAAGCATATTATAGTTTTAGCAGTCTATTTTAAGATAATAACAACTTAACTTTGACTATATACACAATATCTATACTTCAACCTCTCTTCCCTCCACACTTTATGTAATTGATGTCACAATTTACATCATTTATATATTGTGTATCCATTAAAATATTATAGCTATATTTTAATACTTTTGTCTTTTAAATTTTATACTATGTTTAAAAGTGGCTTATGTAGCACTATCAAAATATTAGAGTATTTTGAATTTGACTATATTCTTACCTTTATAGTGAGTTTTATACCTTTTTATGTTTTCATATTGTTAGTGTCAATTTGTTTCAACTTAAAGGACTCCCTTTTATATTTCTCATAAGGTAGATCTAATGGTGATGAGCTGCCAGAATACTGGGATGCTGTTTTGGAAAGGGAATATTGTTTCTAATTTACCATTTCAATCTTGTACTGAGTTATAAGTCCAGGTAAAATCAGAAGATTGAAGTCTGAATATTGAAGGTAGAATATTGAAGTCTACTGCTATAAGACAAAAATTTCAAGACTGGCATGGAGATCTAAGATCTGTACATATCATCATATGCTCATTGGCTTTGAATACTTGCCTGAAAGATTGGCATTTGGGATAAATAAACCCTGGAAACCAAAGGCTTGGTTTATTAGCCTCTATCCAGAGACCTCAAATTAATAACAATAGGAAGGAGCTGCTAATGTTAAGAGGATTTCTCCCCAGTGACTTCCTCAGAAGTGAGCTTCGAAAGCATTGACAGGAACAATCTTCCTAGGGAGTAGAATTAAGAAACTCAGAGTAGGTGGCAGTCATTATTTATAGCTTTCTCCTTTCTGCTAAGTCAGTTACTAGTTTTATATACACTTTCTGCCTTTTTATTTATTTTATTATTATTTTTTGATATGGAGTCTTGCACTGTTACCCAGGCTGGAGTGCAGTGGTGTGATCTCGGCTCACTGCAACCTCTGCCTCCTGGGTTCAGGTGATTCTCCTGCCTCAGCCTCCTGAGTAGCTGGGATCACAGGCACCTGCCACCATGCCCAGCTAATTTTTGTATTTTTAGTAGAGACAGGGTCTCACCATGTTGGCCAGGCTTGTTTTGAACTGGCCTCAAGAGATCTGTCCGCCTCAGCCTCTGAAAGTGCTGGGATTACAGGCACGTGCCACTATGCTTGGCCTCACTTTCTCTCTTAAAAAATTTCTGATATCTCTAAATCATTCAAAGAAACAGTTACTGGAATTATTAGAGTATGTGTTCCATCAAAAGGAAAAAAGTAAATCTGAGAGGATTTAAAAACTAAGCAACAAATGAAACAAAACATTTTAAAATAAAAAGTTGAATTCATTGAATTTTCCTTTTTCTTTTCTTTTATTGATCTTACAGATATATTTGTTTTATTGAAAATTTGTATATAAAACATTTGGCGCCCCAGATTTCTTACCTTATAAAAAATTATAACAGATGCTTATTGTATCAAAAATGCTGTATACTTAGAATACCAAATTCTGAATGGTAAAATCTTCAGTTCTTACCCACCACTTTGATTTTTGAACTTAACTAAAAGGCATATGCACTCTCCTGCCAATGATATCCAGACATGAGATTGGAGTATTATTTTCTTGAGGAAAGGCTTCCAGATATTCGGGGTGCCTCAATGAAAAGACTGGCTGACTTCTCATTCAACCCATAATGAAGCTCATGGGTTAACAAATGCCATCCACCATGAATGTGGAGCCTTCAAAACACTGTTTTAATATTTCACTGTGAAATATAAAATTAATTACATATCACTAGACATCCAGAGAATAACTCCAGACTGAAAGGCAGATTAAAACAAACAGGCAAACAAGTGGAAAAATGTAATCTTTAGATTATTGAGAAGAACTCTAAATAAATTTATAAATAATGTCCTCAGATAGATAATAAAAATGCGGAGAACATGAAACAAGAACAAGGTACCCTAAAAGATAACCAGTCAAAGAACAAAAAAACTCCCAAAAAATAAAATAAACAACAAAATATAAGATTAAATAGAATGGTGAACTTAAAAGTTGAAGAAAAGTTCAACTCAAAAGTTAATGAAATTTTCTCAGAAAGCTGGACAAAATGCCAAATAATTTGGAACATAACAGATAAAAGATAGGAAAATTTGAGGATTTATCTTGGAGGACCAATAGCTTACCACTAGTAGTCATAGGAAGCAAAAACAGAAAAAAGTAGGGGAGAAAATTAAATGACAAAAAAGTTTCCAAAAAACTCTCAAGGGCATCCAAATCAAGATTGGTAGGGCATACCAAATGCCAAAGACAATAAATTTTTAAAAGGTTTATATCAATTTTATATCATGTGAAATTTCAGAGAAACAAGAATAAGGTGAAGATCATAAAAGCTTTCAATAAAATAAACCAGCTATGTACAAATAAATTAGAATGGCTTTAGATTTCTCAATATCAATACTGGAAATTGGAAAATAATAAGGCCAAGTCTTCAAAATTTTTAAAGAAAATATTTTCCAAGCTTGAATTTTATATTTAGTGGAGCTGTTAATCAAGTATAATGAGGGAAAATAAAGAAATATTTATATATGTTAAAACTCCAAGTTTAACTCATATCGCCCTACTCTCAGGGAGTTCCTAGATTAGACGCTTTAGCAAAATGAGAGCGTAAACTAAGCAATAGGAAGACTTGGGATGAAGAAAACAGAGAATTCTGCACAGGAAAACAACCATGAAAATTTCAGGATAACAACTATGCTGAGGGTCAGAAAAAAATCCTAACTGAAGTAGAAGGATGGATTATTCCAGGAGAAAGGACAACACGGAAAAAAAGTGAAATTGCTGTATTATTTGATATGTTTGAGCATTGGGGAGAGAATTCTATAAGTTCTGTAAGTAAGGGAAAGTTCTATAAGTAAAGGAAAGTTCTATAAGTAAGGAATATGACTCATGATAATGTAAGCACTAACTATGACCCCATTGGGATGATAGGGAAAGGGTATGAGGTGAAGGGGGCCATATCAAGGAGTCAAAAAGTAATGACAAAACGGATAAATCCAGAAGTAGCAGCATACACATATTTAGAAGCACAGAGGAAATAAAAAACAGCAAAATAGTTGAAGAGTTAACTGTCTGAGGGCAGTAACTGGGGGTGGCATGTGGTTGAGAGAAGAAGTGCTTTTTTGGATGTATCTTTTGGTAATATTTGATTTTTAAAAACCATGTGCAACTATTAAAACAGTTGCAACTATTTTTAAAAATAAAGATATATTTGATATTATTCTAATATATATATAATGAAAAACTATTTTCAAAGATATGACAGAGGAATATAAAGAAACTCTAAGACTAAAGAGTCTGACATAGTAAAAATAAAACTGAATATATCAATCAACATACTATTAATTGTATAAAGACACATGAGAGGGAAGGGGGAAAAAAGCAAATTACCATTATCATAAACATTAAAACAGATGGAAGAAATAAGATGAGAATGAAAAAGTCTTTAGCTTTCAAGTTTAAAACAGAAACTCAGTTCTGAGCATCCTATTACTGACATATAATTAACACTCGAAAAATTTTGTTTCAGCAAAATCACTGGTAGAAAAGCTGACATTTTATATTCTTTAAGTTATTAGATTATATTTTGATTTTGAGGAAAATGAAATTCAAGAGACTAAGAAAAATGATACAGAACAAAGCTACAAGCAACTCACCAAAATGTTGCTGATAAAATTAATATGAGACATGAAATTCATTAAAAAGCATTATTTGGATAAAGAACCATTTCCGAAGATCTCTAGAATGAAAGTTCAGGAAATAGGAGAGTAAATAATAACGTTTAATAAATATGAAGAATGCAGAGAAAAAAAGGCACAATGAGTGGTTTAGAAATTGTATTTCACCTGAAAACCAAAGGCTCATTGGTAAGTGGAGTAGACCCAAAGAAGAAATGTTTTAATGAAAATGTTTGTAATTATTGATACATTTGGGTTTAAATCTACCATGTAGTTCTGTGTTTTCTTTTATGTACCTTTTTATTCTTGTTTCTTTTCTTCCTTTCTTGCATTCTTCTAGATCTAGATTTATTACTTATTTCTGGACATTCTATAGGCACCCCTTTATTTGTTTGGATTTTATTAAAAGACAAATTTAAAAATTAATGGTAATACTAACATTTTTTCCTGCCAATTAAGAACAAAAATTGTTAACATCAATTTGAAGTAAACATTATTTGGCAATTAATTCATTTATGTACTATCCCAATGTAATTTAAGAATTGTAGCACATATTTAAAGTCAATTTATTCTACATTGACTTTGAGTTATTGTATATTCATGAAAAAAAACTAAAACCAAATCCTCAGAATTAAGTATTCAATCTTCTGAGGTGAGAGTGAGCATCTTACAACTAATCATATTATATCTGTAATTTTTCTAACTTATGCTCTCACATTATCACTTTGAAATCTTTCAGCTGTTACTATTTTTATAGAGCCTGACACTAATGGATCTGGACTATTCTTTGTTTATATTGAGTATTCTATATGAATTTCTCTGAAACAAATTGCATTAAATTTTACAATGATAATTTTAATGTGGAATGGTTTAATTTCTTAAGGATGCTTATACAGGCTAGAGTAACTGCACCTTTATTATTAGGAAAGTCTATCGACTAAAAATCTTTTATGTTGAAAAGGTTCTTGAAACTTCATTTGACCCAGTCTGATGCCTCTAGACAGGTACTATTATTCTCATTTTGTTTCTGGAAGAACTGAGACCTAGAGTAATCAAACTGCTAGCTTAACCTCTCACAACTAGTAAGTGACAGAGGGTAAAGGGATATCTGAGAATCTTATAAGGACACTACAATTTTCTTCTAGTAAAATACGCTGATCTTTTTTTGGTGCATGTTAGATCAAAAATCAAGATGAAAAGTAAATAATTTTAGTTAATCTGTTTTTCCATATCTTCAAGGTCAGTGTACCATAATTCATTTCTATCCCTCCCCCAAAATCAGAGGAAAAGAGAAATACATAATCTTTAATAGAAATTACTTCATTTGAAATGAGCGTTTCATGATTTCAATCTCCTCCTGACATATACTAATTCAGTAGCAGAAGAGTAAGATCAGGATGGAATCTATTTTCAGATGTCTTGACACAGTTCCTTCGATTTCTCCTTCAATCTCTTGGATGAGACTTCCATAGTTAAATCCAACCATGTGCAGTTTAATAGTTCAACACATTCTAATATACATGCGTTTTTAATAAATACAAAATAGCTCTGAAGGACAAGTTAATGGTCTTAATCTCACATTTATTTGCAATTACACTTTAAATAGATATCCAATTTTAGTTTTCTTCTCTAACATATAAAAATTCAACAAGAAAAATAGGATGCAGTTCAAATATTGGTGATGAATAATACCCAGTTAGACTAAGCTTATTTACAAATGAAGACATCGACTTGGATTCCAGTTCTATTCTGTATTATGCTACCCTTGGGAAATTTGCTTTAAAAGAACTCCATTAAGTACTATTTGTTAGTGGCTTGCAAACTCGTATGTGTCAAAAGTTTTCACATGTGTTGTGGTCTGGAATGAGCAGAGCCAAGCCCAAATTGAGGTATGAATATCTTTGTAAAATGTTCTTTTTTTTTTTCAAATACTAAAGATTAACAAATAGGCATAGTGGATGATTTTGTATCTGTATGGTAAATCAGTGCTTAATAGTTAACACTACTTTGCCAAATACTGATGTTACTCATAACCATTCCCACAAAATCTATTTCAAGTATTTTGTTCACATTTTGGCTTTGGTTAGTCTTCAAGAGTATCACTTATGGATGTAATAAAATATTTCAAAATTGATAATGACAGGAGACAGATAAATTCCTAGGTAGACAGGGATGGGTCCCTGGTGAAACCTGACCTTCAAGCCAAAGACAGTTTAAAGCCTGAAAACTGGGCTGCTGGTTCCGGATAGAGTCCATGACTGGAGTGAGAACTTTTGTCTCTGTCTTACTCTCTCTCTCTGGATTGTTTCCTTCTGAATGACGCCTTTTAACCAATTGAATGGTGCTTTTTCCAAAGACCACCCATGGACCAATCATCATTCACTCCCCCATTCTGAGCCCATAAAAATCCCGGACTAGCCTTACAGGGAGTGACCCCCTTTCTGGCCCCCTCTTGCAGCTGAGGGCGACCTGCTTTCCGGCCCCTTCTTGCAGTTGAGAGCTTTCCTTCAGTCACTCAATAAAATTCTTCTCTGCCTTACTCACTCTCTGGTGTCCATGCACCTTACTGCTCTTGGTCGTGGGACAAGAACCCAGAATTCGCTGAGCTGTGGGGAGCAGGAACGAGAGAGCTCTAATATGCCCCTGTTTGCCGGGCTGTGGGTGGCAGGAAGAGAGAGCTGTAACACACCCCCATTTGCCCAGCTGCAGGTGTGAAGAAGTAAAGCTGCCAGGTGCTGCTCCCTCCTGCTCACCAAGCAATGGAAATGAAAAAGCTGTTGGGCATCATTCCTTCCCACTCGCTGAACTACAAAAGCCTCAATATTTCTTGGGAGTCCAGACCTTGGGACTCCCCAGGCAAGAGCTATAACAGCCCTTGGGGCTTTGCAGGTGCTTGCATCTCTGAGTTTTCAGGTGCCATCACATTCCCATCTAGATGCTGGTGCCCAATGCAGAAGCTGCTCATGGCATGCCCGTTCCAGCCGCGGGTTGAGTGTGGAGCTGTGGTGGGTGCGAGATCAGGGCCAGGGCATGAGCTGAATGCAGCCTGCCGGTTCAAGCTGGCAGAGTGAGCCCAGCAGGCCTGAATGAGGCCCTGGGCAGAGGTCACGGTGGCTGCAGAGATTTCTGGCTGGTGAAGTGGCACCAGTGGAATCCTGTAACATAATTAGGTGTTTGCTGATGTGACCTGGTATGGTGTTTCTCAAAGTAGAATCCGAGGCCTTTGTGGTCCACAGATATAATCCTATGAGAGTTTTTAAATTTTGTATTTTATGTGGATGAAAATCTTTAAAAAAAAAAAACAATATATTTGGGGTTATTTGCATGTCTGCCTTACCAATTGTGGTGATTTCAGTGCTCCTGTCTGCTTTTGTGTTGGTCAGGAGCTCATCTTAAGTAATGTTTGTGTATTCATAGGGCAATAGGCTCTTCGCATCACCAGACTCAGTGGACATATTTTCGAGGTTAAAGAATTCTCAAGTTTGAGATGTACTGGTTTAGTTCATTAGAAATGAGGACAAAGCTGAGTTTTTAATCTGGTTATTTTATTGCTCTTGAGTCCCTTACATATTTTAGATATTAACCCATTATCAGATGTATGGTTTGCAAATATTTTCTCCTATTCTGTAGGTTGCCTCTTCACTCTGTTGATTGTTTCCTTTGCTATGCAGAAGCTTTTTAGTCTGCTGTAATCCCATTTATCTGTTTTTGCTTTTGTTGCCTGTGCTTTTGGGGTAAAATCCAAAAAATCCTTTGCTCAGACCAATGTCATGGAGCTTTTCCCCTATGATTTCTTCCAGCAGCTTACAGTTAACAAATGGGCAAAAGATTGAAATAGGTATTTCTCAAAAGAAGACATACAAATGCCCAGGAGACACAAGAATATATGCTCATTACCACTAATCTTCAGGAAAATGCAAATTAAAACCACAATGAGATATCACCTCATACCTGTTAGAATGACTGTTATCAAAACGATGAAAAACAAGTGTTGGAGAAGATGTGGAGAAAGAGGAACCCTTGTATACTGTTGTTGGGAATGTGAATTAGTACAACCATTATGGAAAACAAAACAGAGGTTCCTCAAAAAACTAAAAATGGAGCTACCACATGATCCAGCAATTCAACTACTGAGTATATATCTGAAGTAAATATGATTAGTATGTTGAAGAGATATCTGCATTCCAATGTTCATTACAACATGATTCACAATAGCCAAGCTATGAAATTAACCTCATTGTCCATCAGTCAATGAATGGATAAAGAAAATGTGCCACATATACACAATGGAATACTATGCAGCCTTGAAAAAGAAGGAAATCCTGTCATTTACAACAACATGGATAAATCTGGAGGACATTATGTTAGTTGAAATAAGCCAGGCACAGAAAGACAAGTACTGCATCATTTTGCTTACCTATGGAACCTAAAAAAGTCAAAGTCATAGAAGCAGAAAGTAGAACAATGGTTACCAGGGGCCAGGGGGTCAGGGGATGAGAGAGATGTTGGTCAAAGGATACAAAATTTGAGCTAGGTAGGAGGGATACGTTCAAGAGATCTATTGTAAAACATGGTGACTTTAGTTAATAAGAATGTATTGTATGTTTGAAATTTGTTAGGAGAGTAGATTTTAAGGGTTCTCAACACAATAAAAGGATAAGTATGTGAGATTAAAAAAAAAATAAGGACAAAGCTGTTGCCTATTGCATAGACCAGTACTTCTTTGGAGAGGTCTATGACTTGGCAAATATTTAGTCATACATTTTTGGGGGCTGTTGCTATCTTTTCTGATAATTTTCTGAAACACATTTTTTTAAATTGGGCCATGTAAAACTGCCTTGATTAAAATAATGAGTCCCTGTTCTCAGTTTACACTATCTTCCCAGTAGGATTTTCTCTCTTCCCTCAAAAGTCTACCTGTGATTTAAAGACTACCTTTTGCTCTTAACCTTTCTAAATGACTCTAAGTAAAAGTGATATATATATATTTTTGTTTTGTTACCATTTTCTTGATATCCTGAATACCATTTGCTTTGGAATCCAAGTGTAGTCTTACTTGTTTCCACTGTTATTGGTAATGATTCATGTTCTTCCTGGTGGCATCTATTCAGCAATATTATGGCTAGAAAGGATTCATCAAACTATCTGGTTTATTTCATTGTCAGATAAATTATTGCAATTCTTATGAGAAAGTGAAAGACTTGCCCAAAGCCAAAAACTATCCAGCAAGAACTTATATCCATAGCTTTCTTTCTTTTTTTTAACTTTTAATTTCAGGCGCACACATGTGGGTTTGTTGTATAGATAAATTGCGTGTTACCAGGGTTTTGTGTACACATTATTTTGTCATGCAGGTAATACACATAGTACCCAACAGATGACAGTTTTTCAATCCTCTCCTTCCTCCCATCCTCCATCCTGTAGTAGGCCCTGGTGTCTACTGTTCCCTTTTTTGTGCCCATGTGTACTCACTATTTAGCTCCCACTTATAAATGAGAACATGCGGTATTTGGTTTTCTATTCCGAGATTAGTTTACTTGGGATAATGGCCTCCAGCTCCATCCATGTGGCTACAAAGGATATTATCTCATTCTTTTCTTATGGCTGTGTAATAGTCCGTGGTGTATATGTACTACATTTTCTTTATCCAGTCTACCATTGTTGAGCATTTAGGTAGATTCCATGTCTTTGCTACTGGGGATAGTGCTGGAATGAACATACGTATGCATGTGTCTTTATGGTAGAACAATTTATATTCCTTGGATATATAACCAGTGATGGGACTGTTGGGTCAAATGGTAATTCTGTTTTAAGTTCTTTGAGAAATCACTACACTGCTTTCCACAGTGGCTGAACTAATTTACATTCCCATGAACAGTGTACAAGTGTTCCCTACCTCTGGAGCCTTGCCAGCGTCTGTTATTTTTCGACTTTTTAATCATAGCCATCTTGACTTGTGTGAGATGGTATCTCACTGTGGTTTTGATTTGCACTTCTCTAATGATTAGTGAAACATACATAGCTTACTGGTACAGCAGAGCTCTTTCCTGGATATCAAGTCTCTGGTCTAAATATCCTCAAACAAGGAGTCAGAACATCTTTTCACAATAATTAACATATGCTGCCACTTGCTGATGTTGAGATCCTGAGTTTAGTGCATTTTTGATATAATTGAATTTAGTATTCACCACAACCCTATTAGATAGGTACTCACTACCTGAATCTGTTCTGAATCATTCTAATCTCCCACATTTCCTTCTCTTACTACTTTGTGCATAGATAGTTTTGCTTATAACTATGAATACGTGGTGGGGAAAAGTGCAGATCATGCTTGCTTAGTGATCGCTACTACTTTTGCAGGGCTTTCTTCCCCAACCCCTGCTTTTTTCCCACCAAACCCTAATTTAATATTCCTCTGAAGCTTCATCAGAGTTATGTAGAGTTCCTTTTCTTGTTCATTTTATACTGATAAGATGCAAAGTGTTAACATCTTCAAAGCAACATCATATTGTGAGATAACGATTTCTAAAATTTCCTATTGCTTAGCTGATTTAATCAGTTGTGTTGCAGCAGATGCATTGTCATGCTCCCAGACTGATAGAGATTAATAATTAACAGTTAAATAATTGAATCACAGTTCATACTTACTGCTTACTTAGGACAAAATAGAGTTGCTATTTCTTTACTTTAGTACAAAGTGTAATCTTCTAAGATGGATTCTTTTGTCAACATAATTAATATGCTTTAAAATTGCCTTAGATATCAGTAATGACAAATCAGTAAAAGTAAATATTTTTCCAGTGTTAACAACTCTGATAACATAGACATTTGGCAAATATTTTCCTTTTACTAGGTTTGTATTTTAATATTAGCACATGGCTATGCTATTATACATGTCAGTTGCAAACAATTTTGTAAAACAGTCAAGATTTGAGGATACTGTTTTAACTTAGAGTCTACTTACTCAGTCTAAACTGTAGAAAAACTTTCATTGCTGTTTATTCTTCAAAAATGTCTTTAAAATATTTTTTAAGTGAAAGAACAAAGAATAAACTCTTTAAAATAGTTTATTGGAATAAAAATTCACATTTTTTTGGCTGAGGCTATTGTAACAATGCTTATGATTTTATAGGTCCTTCTTATTACCTTTTAAACCTATTTCTTAGTATTGTTTTCTTCTTTAAAGAATTAAAGATTTCCATTAATAAGTAGCATAATTAGCTAGTAATATTCAAAAAATTTTCATAATGTTTTAGAAATTTTAATTCATCAATTGTTTCTTGAGTATATCCTATATGCAAGATTATAAACTAAATGCTGGGACTTTCTGGTATAATGCAAAAAAAAACTTTTCTCTGCCCTCTGGGAGTTTTTGGCATCTGTATATTTCTCTTGACTCATCATTTTGGTGGATTAGAGTCTCTGTCTTCATACCACAAATGGGAATGTCTTAAGGGAAAATCTGCCTTTACCTTTGCTTTTGTCCCTCTGGAACATGAGTGTGTGTGGTAGGTTGAATAATGGCACCCAAAGATGTCAGGTACTAATCTCTGGAATCTGTAAGTTTGACATTATTTGGAAAAAAGGTATTTAAAAATGTGATTAAATGAAGAATTTTGAGATGAGATTATACTAGATTATCCAGCTGGGCCCTAAATACAATCACACATATCCTCATAAAAGAGAGGAAAATGGTAGTTTGAAACACACACACATACACAGAGGAGAAGGTGGTGTGAAGACAGTGACAGAGATTGGAGTGATGTGGCTACAAAGTAAGGAATCAAGAAGCCACCAGAAGCTGGAAGTTAAGTGGGGAAGGAGGCAAGGAATGGATTCTCCCCAGGAGCCTCTGGGGGAAGTGCGGCCTTATTGACAGCTTGATTTTAACCCAGTGATATTGATTTTGAACTTTCTGGCCTGAAGAACTTGAGGAGGATGAATTTTTGTTGTTTTAAGCCATGTAGTTTGTGATAATTTGTTACAGTCACCATAGGTAACTATATACGGCAGGTAAACCACTGAATGGTAATGGGTAGGCTGTGGGGTAGCACAGAAACAGCAGGAAGCTGTGGATCCCAACATACCCGAGTTTGTTTCCTGGCTCTGCCACTTTCTAGAATAATGCACTTAAATTCTTTGAGTTTCAAGGTCCTTGTTTGTACAAATGGGAATAGAAAAACCTCTCTATGTGATTGTAGTAAGTTAATTATTTAAAAATCCTTATAAGAGCACCTGGAATTGAGTAAGTGTTCAATAAATCACAACTCTAATCATCATCAATGTTTAAAACCTGCTAGCATTGAAAATCTTACTTCCATGCTTAGAACGTGATGCTTTGTTTCTCACTCTCAAGTGCCTGAAAAATAGGAGCACAGAATAGAGCTACAGAAAACCATGTGCAAAAATACATCAAACTGGATACCAGAGCATTTTATTCTTTGCCAGACACTTGAACTACCCATTTTAACTGCCTCTCTACTTGTTAAGGAAACTCTTGTGTTCAGCTAAATCAAAATGTTATTGGCTAAGGTATGGATTTAATGAGTGTTAATTAAGGTGAATCATACTATTTCAAATGCTGCCATTGGCCCAGAATAATTAATTTTGTAATAAACAAAATTTAATGTTTTCTCAATTAAAAATTGGAAGCAGTGCAAAGGAAACCCAGGAACTGATGGCAACAGTAAAGCATGCAAAGGAGGAGATCCTGGTGATCCCTGACTCTACAAAGTGAGACCTACTTTAGGTGCCCTGAGAGGGGATGACTGGCTGAAAGATGTTACTTCTCCCAATTCCATTCTCTGCTCAGGAAAGGCTCTTTCGAAGGTTGAATTTCTTGGTGATTCTTTGTGTCACTTCTGAAATTATATTGCACCTAACTTTGAATTAAATTTGAGTAATCTAAGTTAATGGACAATGGCAGCAGAAGTAAAAGCACTGTAAAATGTCCGTCTTCATCTCTGAAAGAAAGGCAGCAGCCCCAGTCAGGGGCTTATAGATAAAACTCCCATCTGCCTGGAACAGAGCACCTGGGAGAAGGGGCAGCTCTAGGTGCAGCTTCAGCAGACTTAAACGTTCCTGCCTGCTGGCTCCGAAAAGAGAGCAGCAGATCTCCCAGCACAGTGCTCAACCTCTGCTAAGGGACAGACTGTCTCCTCAAGTGGGTCTCTGACCCCTGTGCCTCCTGACTAGGAGAAACCCCCCAGCAGGGGTCGACAGACACTTCAATAGGAGAGCTCCAGCTGGCATCTGGCCAGTGCCCCTCTGGGATGAAGCTTCCAGAGGAATGAGCAGGCAGGAATCTTTGCTGTTCTGCAGCCTCCGCTACTGATACCCAGGCAAACAGGGTCTGGAGTGGACCCCCAGCAAACTCCAGCAGACCTGCAGAAGAGGGGCCTGATTGTTAGAAGGAAAACTAACAAACAGAAAGCAATAAAATCAACATGAGCAAAAAGAACACTCATGCAAAAACTGCATCCAAAGATCATCAGCATCAAAGATCAAAGGTAGATAAATCCATGAAGATGAGGAGAAACCAATGCAAAAAGGCTGAAAATTCCAAAAACCAGAACGCCTCCTGTCGTCCAAAGGATCACAACTCACCAGCAAGGGAACAAAACTGGATGGAGAAGGAGTTTGATGAATTGACAGAAGTAGGCTTCAGAAGGTGGGTAATAACAAACTCCTCTGAGCTAAAGGAGCATGTTCTAATGCAATGCAAGGAAGCTAAGAACCTTGATAAAAGGTTACAGAAACTGAAACTAGAATAACCAGTTTAGAAAAGAACATAAATGACCTCATGGAGCAGAAAAACACAGCATAAAAACTTCGTGAAACATATGCAAATATCAATAGCCAAATCAATCAAGCAGAAGAAAGGATATCAGAGATTGAAGATAAACTTAATGAAATAAAGTGTGAAGACAAGATTAGAGGAAAAAGAATGAAAAGGAATGAACAAAGCCTCCAAAAAATATGGAACTATGTGAAAAGACCAAACTTATGATTGATTGGTGTACTTGAAAGTGACGAGGAGAATGGAACCAAGTTGGAAAACACACTTCAGGGTATTATCCAGGAGAACTTCCCGAACCTAGCAAGACAGGCCAACATTCAAATTCAGGAAGTATAGAGAAGCCCACTCAGACACTCCTCGAGAAGAGTAACCCCAAGACACATAATTGTCATATTCACCAAGGTTGAAACAAAGGAAAAATGTTAAGGGCAGCCAGGGAGAAAGGTCAGGTTACCCACAAAGGGAAGCCCATCAGACTAACAGTGGATCTCTCTGCAGAAACCCTACAGGCTAGAGCAGAGTGGGGGACCAATATACAACATCCTTAAAGAAAAGAATTTTCAACCCAAAATTTCATATCCAGCCAAACTAAGATTCATAAGCAAAGGAGAAATAAAATAATTTACAGACAAGCAAATGCTGAGGGATTTTGTCACCACCAGGCCTGCCTTACAAGAGCTCCTTAAGGAATCACTAAATATGGAAAGGAAAAACTGGTACCAGCCACTGCAAAAACATATCAAAATATAAAGACCAATGACACTATGAAGAAACTGCATCAACTAATGTGCAAAATAACCAGCTAGCATCATGATGACAGGATCAGATTCACACATAACAATATCAACCTTAAATGTAAATGGGCTAAATGCCCCAGTTAAAAGACACAGACAGGCAAATTGGATAAAGAGTCAAGACCCATCAGTTTGCTGTATTCAGGAGACCCATCTAAGGTGCAAAGACACACATAGGCTCAAAATAAAGGAATGGAGTAATATTTACCTAGCAAATGGAAAGCAAAAAAAGCAGGAGTTGCAATCTTAGTCTCTAATAAAACAGATTTTAAACCAACAAAGATCAACAAAGACAAAGAAGAGCGTTATATAATGGTAAAGAGATCAATGCACCAAGAAGAGCTAACTATCCTAAATATATATACACTCAATACAGGAGCACTCAAATTCATAAAGCAAGTTCTTAGAGACCTACAAAGAGACTTAGACTCCCACACAATAATAGTGGGAGACTGTAATTCCCCCTCTCAATATTAGATCAACGAGACAGAAAATTAATGATATTTAGGACTGAACTCAGCTCTGGACCAAGCAGACCTAATAGACATCTACACAACTATAAACCCCAAATCAACAGAATATACATTCTTCTCAGCACCACATCACACTTATTCTAAAATTGACCACATAATTGGAAGTAAAACACTCTTTAGCAAATGCATAGCAGACAGTCTCTCAGACCACGGTGCAATCAAATTAGAACTCAGGATTAAGAAACTCACTCAAAACCACACAACTACATAGAAACTGAACAACCTGCTCCTGAATGACTACTGGGTAAATGGCAAAATTAAGGCAAAAATAAATAAATTCTTTGAAACCAATGATGAGAACGAAGACACATTGTACCAGAATCTCTGGGACACAGCTAAAGCAGTGTTTAGAAGGAAATTTACAGCACTAAATGCCCACAGGAGAAAGTGGGAAAAATCTAAAATCAACACCCTAACATCACTATTAAAAGAACTAGAGAAGCAAGAGCAAACAGTTTCAAAAGCTAGTAGAAGACAAGAAATAACTAAGATGAGAGCAGAACTAAAGGAGATAGAGACACAAAAAACTCTTTAAAAAATCAGTGAATCCAGGAGCTGTTTTTTTGAAAAGATTAACAAAATAGACTACTAGCCAGACTAATAAAGAAGAAAAGGGAGAAGAATCAAATACACACAATAAAAAATGATAAAGGGGATATTACCACTGATCTCACAGAAATACAAACTACCATCAGAGAATATTATAAACACCTCTATGCAAGTAAACTAGAAAATCTAGAAGAAATGGACAAATTCCTGGACACATACATCTTCCCAAGACTAAACCAGGAAGAAGCTGAATCCCTGAATCGACCAATAACAAGTTCTGAAATTGAGGCAGTAATTAATAGCCTACCAACCAAAAAAAAAAAAAAAAAAAAAAAAAAAAATCCCAGGACCAGACGGATTCACAGCTGAATTCTACCAGAGGTACAAAGAGGAGCTGGTACCATTCCTTCTGAAACTATTCCAAACCATAGAAAAAGAAGGACTCCTCCCTAATTAATATTATGATGCCAGTATCATCCTGGCCTCATAAAACCAAAACCTGGTTGATACCAAAACCTGGCAGAGACACAACAAAAAAAGAAAATGTCAGGCCAATATCCCTGATGAACATTGATGTGAAAATCCTCAATAAAATACTGGCAAACCAAATCCAAGCAGCACATCAAAAAGCTTATCCACCGTGATCAAGTCAGCTTCATCCCTGGGACGCAAGGCTGGTTCAACATACACAAATCAATAAATGTAATCCATCACATAAGCAGAACCAATAACAAAAACCACATGATTATCTCAATAGATGCAGAAAAGGCCTTTGATAAAATTCAACACCCCTTCATGCTATAAACACTCAATAAACTAGCTATTGATCGAATGTATCTCAAAATAATAATAACTATTTATGGCCAACCCACAGCCAATATCATACTGAATGGGCAAAAGCTGGAAGCATTCCCTTTGAAAATTGGCAAAGACAAGGATACCCTCTCTCACCACTCCTATTCAACATAGTATTGGAAGTTCTCGCCAGGGCAATCAGGCAAGAGAAAGGAATAAAGGGTATTCAAATAGGAAAACAGGAAGGCAAATTGTCTCTGTTTGCAGATGACATGATTGTATATTTAGAAAACCCCATTGTCTCAGCCCCAAAACTCCTTAAGCTGATAAGCAACCTCAGCAAAGTCTTAGGATATAAAATCAATATGCAAAAGTCACAAGCATTCCTATACAGCAATAATAGAGAGCCAAATCATGAGTGAACTCCCATTCACAATCGCTACAAAGAGAATAAAATACCTAGAAATACAACTTACAAGGGATGTGAAGGACCTCTTCAAAGAGAACTACAAACTACTGCTCAAGGAAATAAGAGAGGACACAAACAAATGGAAAAACATTTCATGCTCATGGATGGGAAGAATGAATATCGTGAAAATGGCCATACTGCCCAAAGTAATTTGTAGATTCAATGCTATTACCATCAATCTGCCAGCGACTTTCTTTGCAGAATTAGAAAAAACTACTTTAAATTTCATATGAAACCAAAAAAGAGCCTTTACAAACAAGACAATCCTAAGCAAAAAGAACAGAGCTGGAGGCATCACACCACCTGACTTCAGGCTATACTACAAAACTACAGTAACTAAAACAGCATGGTACTGGCATGAAAACAGATATATGGACCAGTGGAACAGAACAGAGGTCTCAGATATAACACCGCACATCTAAAACCATCTGATCTTTCACAAACCTGACAAAAACAAGCAATGGGGAAAGGATTCCCTATTTAATAAATATGTGTTGGGAAAACTGGCTAGCCATATGCAGAAAACTGAACCTGGACCCCTTCCTTACACCTTATACAAAAATTAACTCAAGATGGATTGAAGACTTAAACATAAGACCTAAAACCATAAAAACCCTAGAAGAAAACCTAGGCGATACCATTGAGGACATAGGCATAGGCAAAGACTTCATGACTAAAACAGCAAAAGCAATGGCAACAAAAGCCAAAATTGACAAATGGGATCAAATGAAACTAAAGAACTTCTGCACAGCAAAAGAAACTATCATCAGAGTGAACAGGCACCCTACAGAATGGGAGAAAATTTTTGCAATCTACTCATCTGACAAAGGGGTGATATGCAGAATCTACAGGGAACTTAAACAAATATACAAGAAAAAAACAAACAACACCATCAAAAGTGGGTGAAGGATACGAATAGACACTTCTCAAAAGAAGACATTTATGTGGCCAACAAACATAAAAAGCTCATCATCACTGTTCATTAGAGAAATGCAAATCAAAACCACAATGAGATACCATCTCACACCAGTTAGAATAGTGATCATTAAAATGTCAGGAAACAACAGATGCTGGAAAGGATGTGGAAAAATAGGAACGCTTTTACACTGTTGGTGGGAGTGTAAATTAGTTCAACCATTGTGGAAGACAGTGTGGCGATTCCTCAAGGATTGAGAACCAGAAATGCCATGTGATTCAGCAATCCCATTACTGGGTATATACCCAAAGGATTATAAATCATTCTACTATAAAGACACATGCACACATATGTTTATTGCAGCACTATTTACAATAGCAAAGACTTGGAACCCATCCAAATGCCCATCAATGATAGACTAGATGAAGAAAATGTGGCACATAACCTGGAATACTATGCAGCCATAAAAAAGAATGAGTTAATGTCCTTTTTAGGGACATGGATGAAGCTGGAAACCATCATTCTCAGCAGACTAACACAGGGACAGAAAATCAAACACTGCATGTTCTCACTCATAAGTGGGAGCTGAACAATGAGAACACATGGACACAGGGAGGGGAATATCACACATCAGGGTCTGTTGGGGGGTGGAGGGCAAGGGAAGGGAGAGCATTAGGACAAATACCTAATGCATGTGGGGCTTAAAGCCTAGATAATGAGTTGATGGGTGCAGCAAACCACCATGGCACACGTATACCTATGTAACAAACCTGTGCATTCTACACATGTATCCCAGAACTTAAAAGTATAATAAAATAAATAAATAAAATATCCCTCTTATATCTCTCTTCCTATATGCTATAAAATTTTTATTAAGACATGAAAGTATAACTGAACATGGAGCGAAAATGAATTTATATTTTTGCATGGGAAGATTCACCCCTGTAAATGTCAAGTCTTCTCAAAATAAAAGTCAATGCAACCACAGACAAAACTTGATGGGATTTAAAAATGGAATTTAAAAGCTAATGCTAAAGGTCATGTGTAAGAGTAAATATCTGAGAATTGTCAAAAAAATTATAAAAAGGGAAAAAGAAAAAGGAAGAAGTGATCTGATTAGATGTCAAATTGTTCCATAAAGCTAGAATTTTGTTTAAGTATCTATAGGCAATAGATGAATGAAGAAAAAATGAGTAAACAGAAATACACCTATGTATTTAAAGCCTAAGCATATGGTAGAGTTTGCATGTAGTGGTTAACTACTTAGCTAATAGCATTAAAACATTAGCTATAGATCTGAAAAGAAAATGCAAGATTGCTAACATACTATACATATAAATGAATTTTAGATTGTCCATACATAACAAAACTAAAAAAAATACAAAAAGAAAATTAAAAAAGTTTACCAAATTTTGGATTGATAAAAGATCCTACTAAGCAATAAACACATCCCTGAAAAAATAAAGGGATGACCTAAATTTTTGGTTATCAAAAATTTTTATGTTTAAAGACTTAAACAAACTTAAAGGCAAACAGCAGAGAACATATTTGTGACATTTGTTAGTAAAGGTAAATATTCATAAAATATAAACTTTCTAAGAATGAATAAGAAGGAAAGTGACAACTCACAAAAATTAATAAATGTTAAAGATTTAACACATGTATGTATGTTAATGGGAGTGGTCCACCAGCAAGAGGGAAAGACTGATAATTCATGACAGGAGAGTGACCCAAGGTTTAACATTCTCCTTCTCTCTTTTTTTTTTAATTCAACACATTTTTATTGAGCATCTACTATATATTTAATTCAACACATATTTATTGAGCATCTACCAGTTAGTGTTCCAGGTACTGGGATATAGCTTTGAGCATGTTCCAGTACCTAGGACCTGGATCAAGGAGATCTCACGGAGATTACATTGTGTTGGAGAAAAATGGACAAGTAGGCTAGTGTGTAAATGATCTGACTTCACATAGAAGGCTAAGAGGAAAATTTTTAAAAAATAAAGCATGGTAATGGGATAAAGTAGGTGGGAGGTTGTAGCTGAATTGGTGATGGAGGTTGGAGGATAATTTAGTGGTTACCATTTAATAATTTCTAAATGTTACCTTCTAGCAAATGCTTGCAAATTATTTATCTACCTAATGAAAAGATGCCATTCAAAATAAAATAGTAAGCTCAATGGATAGAAACATCAAAAAAGTTTCCTTTCCATAGTACCATGTTCTACTTTTCTATTGTTTTTAAAATCAACACTTTTATTATAGAAGTAGCACATTGTAGTGAAAATAATTAGATCATATAAAAGATCATTAAGAAAATAAAATCACCACAATAAAAAAAATCACTTTTAAAATTTTACTATATATCTCAAGTTTTTTTCTGTGCATACAGAGATATGATTTTGACATAAGCAACTTTGTAACTAGCTTTTTGAACAAACAGCATATAATGAACATCTTTTTTATTGTTTTTTATTTTTAATATTCTTAAAAAGGATATAAGTGATGAGTTCTACAAAAGATGAGAACTATTCCTTGCCAGATGTAATTGGTAGAAACATGGAGATGAACAAGTTTGCAGGTTAAATGTGTAGAGTTGGTGGTTGCAAGATGAAGGGATTGTCATCTTATGGCCTTAGTTTTTGTAATGATGTAGACTAGAGACAAAGTTGCTAGCTGAGGATAAGGAGAAGGGAGGAAAAGTAAGTGGTGTGAGGGGAGTAAGAGAGCAGACTTACTTGGAGTAGGATTGCTAGATAAATTTGATAGGTCATATGAGGTTTGAGATGACTGATGCGAAGTGAAATAGTTTACTCAGGTGTATGGCTTTGTCCAACTATTTTCAGATGCTGAAATGTAAATAACAGAGAAGGCAGAGGATTCACAGACAACTAAAGAATGAGTTCAAATTGTCTTTGTTGGAAGCTTATCAGTTGACAGGTAACTATCTGTAGGCTATTCCATGTGGGGCAATGTTAGGCACTAAGAAAAATGTAAAATAGAAGAAAAGATTTCCTGTGAAGATATTAGAGTCTAAATGAGAGATAATGCCTATCCAAGAAAGAAGTCAACAACAAAGCATTGGTACAAGGACATCGTAATGAAAGATTATTTGAATTCTCTCATAGGTAAGAGAAAAAGTGAATTTGGGGAATTTGGGGGTTCAGTGCACAGTGAAGGGAATATTTACTGGAAATCCTTCCTGAATGATGTAGGAAGTCAGTGGCATCAGGGAAATGCATGTAAGAACACAAACTTGAATCTCAAGGAGAAGAAATTTTTTAAAAAATGGCTCCATTATTTTGCCAGGACTAGTTTACTACTCACATTTAGGTACTGGTCAATTTACTTACATCAAGATTACTTTCTTACTGTCATCTTAGGATAGTGTCATGTATTGGTTAAGTGTACAGATTTTGAGTTAGAGAAGTCTAGGTTCAATAAAAATTCCACCACTTATTAACTTATCAATCTTGTACCACAAACCATGGAGAGTTTGAGATTTTTATGCCACTTTCAAGCTAGCAAGTTAGACTGCCACAATTTTATGGAGACTGGCAGAAGACAAGAGACTCTGGAATCAGTGACAAAGGACTTTCTTACTCATAGCAAGCAGATGGTATGAGCTTCATGTCAGCCTAGTTTCCCCTTGCCCCCATGTTTCAGGGAAAGTGACACAGCCACCACAGTAGTTTGTGTTATAGCTGAAGGATCCTGAGTTTAGGAAACCCGAATCTTTTTTAAGGGTGCTGCCAGAAAGCCTGTCCAACTTTTGCCCCAGAGGAGGACATTATTATTATATACTATTTTTTAAAATTTTACTTTAAGTTCTGGGATACATGTGCTGAACATGCAGGTTTGTTACATAGGTATACATGTGCCGTGGTGGCTTGCTGCACTATCAACCCGTCATCCAGGTTTTAAGCCCCGCATGCATTAGGTATTTGTCCTAGTGCTCTCCCTTCCCCTTGTCCCCCATTCCCCCAGGCCCTGGTGTGTGATGTTCCCCTCCCTGTGTCCATGTGTTCTCATTGTTCAACTCCCACTTATGAGTGAGAACATGCAGTGTTTGGTTTTCTGTTCCTGTGTTAGTTTGCTGAGAATAATGGCTTCCAGCTTCGTCCATGTCCCTGCAAATGACATGAACTCATTCTTTTTAATGGCTGCATAGTATTACATGGTATGGTATACATGTGCCACAGTTTCTTTCTCCAGTCTATCATTGATGGGCATTTTGGTTGGTTCCAAGTCTTTGCTATTGTAAATAGTGGAAGGACATTATTTTTATTATCCTGAAAAGCAAGCAAATCTATCCTCTGCTCCAGAAGGAGATACTGTCACTAACTTCCATGGTTATTTGCTATACAATTATCCTAAAAAAGATAGTCCAGAACAAATGCTGCAAAACCTCTTTTCAGAAGAAATGCAGAATTGCAAGAAACATTAACTATCCCCCAAAACCTTTAGAAAACAACTTGACTTCTCAGAATGATTGAACCCTCCAATTAGTTTCCAACTAGAACACTGAGGCCTCAAGCAGCAAGTACTCAGAGGAATATATGAAGCTAGAGGCCTTAACACATCAATGGAGTATTTTTTCCTTGGTTTTCTGATCTGTGAAAATGGAGGTGATAACTATTCTATAGTATTATTTAACCAGCTAATGTTAAATCATTAAATCAGCCAGTGTAGGAATCTGTCCTGAATTTATTATGCATCCTAAAATATTAGTGTTTCTTCCCTTCAACTGGAATTAGGACCCATTCTTGAGAAACTGAGATGAGTACATAGGTTTTTTGAATCTTCATGCCTCTTAAATTTCTCTCATATTTATCTTCATTTCCGTTGCAGAGTTCTTACATGTTTGAGCCTTGGAGAATTTTATGTTCCCTGAGTTTAAGTTATTTTCACTTCAAGCCTGAATAGTGTACAGAACTGAAAAGAAAACCTAGATATAATTTTGTCCTAACTCACTATTTTATAGGTAAGGGACTATTATCTTAGATTAAATAGGCTAAAGTAAATTTTAAAAATTCTTTTGTTTAAAATATTCATAATTTCCTAATATCTATGCCAAGTCTATTTGACAATTTAAAATATCAGGAGGACTAACTCAAAGTTAAGATAGATTAAAACATAAACATATATACATTGCCAAAATGTAGAACTGCAATAAGACATCATTTATTTGCTCACTTAAATAAAATAATTGTGATAGAAACAAGTTCAGTTTTCTCAGCTAAAAATGGGGAATATAATAAAACTTGCCTTAGAGCAAGAGTTGACTGAGATAAAAAGGACTTTGTAATTTGCAAATTGCAGTTTTACAAAAATATTCTTCTGTGTTTTTAGAAATAAATAATTGTGAAAAACAAGAAATATAGCATTAAATGCAATAATGAATAAGAAAGCATCTTGAAAAGTGTAAATTTGTTGCATAAATCTAAGTTATGGAGACTGTAGAAATACCAAATGTCACCACTTTAAGTAGTTGGTACCTTAAACTATATAAGAGAAGCCCCATTTTTTTTTGGCTTACTTTCAAAAATTTTGACTATAACAAAATAACATTGTGTAAGTCATAGGTTGGTCAGGAAAACAGAAACATGTCTAGGTGTTTCAAGCAGGAGTGGATTTGAAATAGGATGTTACAGCACCAGGAGAAAGGCTGGGGCAATAAAAGTCAAAGAGAGTTGCAGTTTGCTTTTGGGAAATTAGAAAGATGCAGAGATAATTGAAAAAATGTCATGAATGATCTTGGTGGCCAGTACCATCAAAGTGAATGATTTGCAAAGCCCCTACTAGCTTAGCTGCTGCAGAGCTTCCTGTTGGCTATCTTCTGAAGCCCATACTTGTGTCTGCTGCTCCAAAGGAGCAACAATAGTTTTTGCTTCTTTTTTGCCTGCCACATCTCATGGGTGTTTCTCACAGGAAGAATCTAAAATAAATTCTCCTGGCAAGGGATACTGGAAAGTATAGCTGTTAGGTGTCCAGTGTATAAAATTTGAACGGGAGTATAGATGAAGTGGGAACAAATACTAGTAGAGGAGAACAAACAAACAACTCACAGAAAACATGCCATCATGAAAACACTGATATAGTAAAGTGCATATCACATTTATATACGCTTGTTATCATAAACTGAATCCCATTCCACCACTGGTTTGAGCCCAGCCTGGGCAACATGGTGAACCCCATCTCTACTTTAAATACAAAAAATTAGCTGGGCATGGTGGTGTGCACCTGTAGTCCCAGCTACTCGGGAGGCTGAAGTGGGAGGATTGCTTGAGCCAAGGAGGTGGAGGTTGTGGTGAGCCAAGATTGTACCACTGCACCCCAGCCTGGGCGACTGAGTGAGATCCTGTCTCAAAAAAAAAAGTTGGGGGTGGAGGGGTGTACCAATTTATTTGCCAACAAGCAGAGCAGGATTCCTATTGCTCCACATTTTCAGCAACACATGTAAGAGTTTAAAATTACGCTAATCTGCTGGGAGAGTAATATAATCTAATTGTGAATGTGATTTGTATTACCCTGGGTGCTAATAAGTAAAAGTATGAAAATGAGCAAAACATTTCACCAGACCCTTCACAAGGAGGGAAGGCACATGTCGTTTTTCATGTCCCAGTGCATGAACTCTTCCTGTCTCGCATCATTTGCACATTATCCTATCACAACCCAGGCTGCTCTCTCCTCCCTGCTCTGTGTGTGGCTGGCTTTTTCTTGTCCTTCAGTGTTCAGCTCTCTCTGAAAGGCCATTTTTAGCCATCTTATCTAAATGTGTCCCTTCCCTGTTTTCCTCATCAGGATATCTATGGTTTTGCTTGGTACCATTTATCACAATTTTTGTACTTATCTATTTGTTTTCTTGTTTCTTTCTTTATTTTGCTAAATTATAAGTGCTACAAGGGATAAGACTATGCCTATCCAGTTCATGATGCTATCCCATTTTGAATGGCGCATAGTAGATGCTTCATAAATATTTGTCAAAAAATTGAATGAAATGACTTGTGATTGAAAACAAAGTTAAATTAAACTTTAATCTTTTTCTTATAATTTATGCTTAAACAAATTCCATATGTAGTAAAGAGAGTTAAATATTAATAGTGATATCCTCAAAGTGTTAGAAGACTCATATATAGGAGACAATTTTTCTAAGCCGTTGTCATAAAGGAAAAGGTTGATTAAATAGCCTAGCTAAAGATTAAAACTTTCTATTACATAAAAATTTCATAAATAACATTCAAAGACAGATAACTTAAAAAATTTTGCTAAATATATAATGAGTACTATATAAATTATATATATGGTAACTTTAAGAAAATACAAATCTCAGTATTCAGCAAGAAAAATGCTAACAGACAGTCACAAAAATAGATGTGGCCCAATAAAGGAATTTTCTACAAAAAGATATAGATTCAATGAACATATTAAGAGACGCTTAACTTCTTTTGGAATTACATATCTCAAGTGAAACAGAAAAAGTTCAATTAAAAGAAATAATATTATATAGGAAAGGATAAAAAGAATAATTTTATTTGTTTTGGTGCATTGAGAACAAAAATGGGTCCTTTTATATCTTCTTTCTGGGAGTTTAAATTGTCATAACTTCTCTATATTAAAGTTGACTGGAACAGTATCCTCTTATAGCCAGGCATTTATTCTTTGTATATTAGACAAACAAATGATGATACATGTGTAAGGTTAACTGTAGGATTGTGTAAAATTATGAAAAATCAGGACTATCTGAAAGTATTATTAGGAGGGCATAGTTTAACTAAATTGTGGTATAGAACTATAAGATAGAGTAGTATACAGCCACTATAATGTGGTTGTTATTTATGCCATGGAAAAATATGCACAATATATGTATATATATTGTATATATACACAATATATGTATAGGTACTCAATATATATATACACACACTGCAAACTCTTTCTTCAGCTGCAACATATATATATGCATACATATACTGTTTATATAAAAATATACACACACCACACACAATATATATTCAACAACATAGAATAGGTATATATACATACATACGTATATATATGTATAGCTAAACATATATGTTTAGCTATTCTATGTTATTGCTGTTTTTTAAAGTAGCCATTTTGCTTTTCTAAGCATTATCATCCATCCATGTATTAAAAAACACGGTTATCTTTGGGTACTATGTTTATAGCTAATTGTACCATTTCTATATGAACATTATATAATTATTATATTATGTAACATAAGCAAACAAATATATAACATAATCCCCCAAACCCAATGTAACTATTTTCACTTACAAAAGAGAAGTGAGAGTATAGAGAATACGAAACTGTTTGGCAGAAAAAGCACAAAATGTATACGTATATGAAAAATAATACCTAAAAACATTGGAAGTTTCTTAACTGTTTAAGAAACAGAAGTTTTCTGTTTCCTTTTGGTATGTATTTAATCCACTCAATATAGTTCCCTCACTGTAAAAAATACACTTGAAATTTCTCATGAGAAAGCTGATTGTCAATTTCCTGTATTTTTTTGGCTTTAGTCACAAGTATGGCATACGTGACTATTTCAGAACTTCCATTTAAGTAAATAAGAAACTTCATAGATACTTAAGAACTATTACAAAGAAATCTTGGATTTCTTTCCAACTTTAAATGCAGTCTTTTCAGTTTTATTTCAAGTCTTAGAGAAAACCTACACATATATATTTATTTTTTGTCTTAGGTGAGTAAGTTCACATCCTGCTGGACAATTGGGATGTTTATTTTTTCCAGATTTATAAGCAAAGTTCAGCTTCCTTGAACCTTGTGGGCTAGAGGTCATTTAAAATTTCCCAATTATGTTCCTTAATATTGTACAGTCAAAAGCTAAATGAAACACACTGGGAAGCTTTGCTATGCTATCCCTGCTCTGAATGGTTGGTGAAAGTTGTCAGAGTGTGGTCTCTGGATCTGATTTTAAATATTGATCCTGAAACTGACTGTGAGATCTGAGGCTGGCTAGCTCCTTGAAGTTTTTGTCCCCTAGTTTTCTCTTTTTAAAGTGGGCATAATATTGTACTTATTTCATTAGGTTATTATGAGAATTAAGAGAGAAAAGGCCACAACAATAAGGAATTTCTGGAAGATATAAAACAGATGAAGAATACGTAATCCAATATAAGTTAAGGAAATAAAAATGTGAGTTTTCCCAGAAGAATCCAAGAATAACCCCCACTCTAGTTGAGTATGGATAAAAGCCAGGGCGATGGGCAGTCAACATTTTAATTAAAGAATGGAATAACAGTTGTGTTCATTCCCCCACTCTCAAGTCAAAGCCCACTAGTAAAAGTCCTCTGAAGTGGGAGTTTTGATGCCAAAGATACTCTGAAAGAGTGCCTAAGCCTCATTGTACAATTTAAATGTCCACCTATAAATATATAAATAGGATTAGGTAATTAAAAATTAGCAGTTATTTGAGAAAAGTCAATATCATGAAAGAGAGGCTCAGATTCAGGAAACAGGAAAAGAAATGGCCCAAGGCAACAGAGTTAATACAGGGAAAAGAGAATGTTTTAGAATAAACAAAATAAGTATCCTAGAGATTTGAAGCATACTTTGCCCATAAAAAAGAAAAGTATATTATGAGAAAGAAGCAATTTTCTTGGAAGTTAAAAACTTTTTGATAAAAAAGAGAAAGAAATGACTGAACTAAATAGCAGAGTGGACATTACTGAAGACCGCATTACTGGACTGGGTGATGGTTCAGAGTGCTACATCCAGAGCTGAATGCAAAAATCCAAGGCAAACACATGAGAGCAAAGATAAGTGTCATGGAGGTAGATCTAGAGAAATGTATGGTTTTGTGGAGGTATTGAGAAAGAACAGCGTGGGGAAGATGAACAAATAATTGAGGAAATAGAATAATGACTCTAGTCTTTAGATTGAAGAGATCCTCAGACTGGTGGGTAGAAGGATTCAGGGTGGTGGGGCGTGGGGACAGCACATCTATGCCTATAAACAGCATGGTGACATGTCCGAACGCCAAAGATAAAGAAAATAGCAAGAGCCACAAGAAATAAAATGCAAAGTACCTGTCATAAAAATATCAGACTAAATCACACGACTCATTAATAACACCAGATACGTGAAGATAAGGCAGTGATACCCTCAAAATCTGAGACAGTGCTGTTGTTTTAGCCAATACCTTTATACAGAAAATTGGTATTCAAGTGTGAAAGTAAAATAAAGACATTTTCAGACTTGTTAGTCTCAGAAAGTTTACCATCTAAATACTCTTTGGGAGAATTCCTTGAGGCAGGAATCCAGAAAAATCCAGGAAAAGTAAAAATAAATTGAAAAAAGGGGAATTTATGATATAAAAATAATATAAAAATATTATTAAAGCATTCAGAAGAGAAAAAAGTCAAAACCCCGTGATTTTTTTCCCTCAAAACATGCTCGTTAATGTCTTTTGATAAAGAAAAGAGAGAGAAACAAAGACACAAAAAAAGAAAGTAAAAAAGGGAAATTGCCAGAAATAGAATGAATAACCAGAGAAAACAAAGAACCAACGAATAGCCCCCACCTCATCCCAAAGTCCTGATTAATCCAACATGAAAGAAAAAAGAGAGCAAAACATAAACAATCAGAACATGAAACAAAATGGCAGGAATAAGGCACAATTTAGACATTACAGTGAACAACGATGATTAAATCACAGAAATTGTCAAATAGTTAACAAACAAATGAGCAGGAAGTTTGAAAATAAAAACAGGTAACAATAAAACAGCAAAATGATAATAAAGTTGCAGTAATATTAAAATTAGAAAGAATATTCAAGGTGGAAAGGATTGCATGGCATCATGCCATTATGCTAATTATAATACAGTATGAGGTGCTTGTATCTTTATGCAAAAATTATAGAGCAAAAATGTTAGGGATACAAAGAGATTTTAAAAAGCCTTTTATGTTTTCATCATTGTTGTAACAAATTATCACAAATTTAGTGGCTTACAACACCACAAATTTACTATCTGATTCTCCAGCAGTCTAAAATGGGTCTCACTGGGCTAAAAGCAAGGTGTCCTCAGGGCTGTATTCATTTTCAGAGGCTCTGAGAGAAAGTAACAATGATGGTATATTGTTGACAGTATTTTCAATAGTGCTGTTTCCTTGCCCTTCCCAGCTTCTAGCAGCCTCCCACATTTCTTGACTTATGGCCCACTTTTTCCATCATCTACTTTTCAGAGCCTTTGTGATTACACTGGGACTATCCAGATAATCCAGGATAATCTCCTTTTTTTTTTTTTTTGAGACAGAGTCTTGCTCTGTTGCCTAGACTGGAGTGCAGTGGCAGTGATCGTAGCTTACTGCAGCCTTGACTTCCCGGGCTCAAGCAATCCTCTCATCGCAGCCACCTGAGTAGCTGGGAGTACAGGTATGCACCACCACACCTGGCTAATTTTTTTATTTTTTGTAGAGACAGAGTCTCGTTAAGTTGTCCTGGTTGGTCTGGAACTCCTGGGCTCAAGCGATCACCCACCTCAGCCTCCCAAAGTGCTGGGATAACAGGTGTGAGCCCGGCCAATCTCCCTATTTTAAGGTCAGCTTTTTCGCAATATTAATTCCAACTGAAACCTAATTCTTCTTTGCCATGTAAAGTAACACATTTACAGTTTTCAGGGATTAAGATATGGATGTCTTTGGTGGATCATTATTCTGCCTACCCCAACTCTGTTCTCAGAAATAGTCAAATCGAGAAAATTAAAAATATAATTATAGGGGATTTAAATAACAAAAAAATTTGAATTAATATCTAATGAAGAATTTTGTCTTGAACAGAGAATGAATATTATTTGCAAATACCTATGGAACACAAATATGTTTGATCATATATTGGTTCATAAAGAAAACTTCAATAAAAATAATTAAAGCCCACATTCTCTGAACTCATAACAATGTAAACAGATTAATAATAAAAAGATAGGATAAAATGTATTCAAGTTAAAAAAAGTGAAACACTTTTCTAAATAAATTGTTGTTTAAAGGGGATGTAAAGATTGATATTACAAACCATCTAGAAAACATGACAAATAAAAATGTATTCAGAGAAATGTCTATAGCTTTATATGCAATTACTTGAAAACAAGAAAAATGGAATAGCTGAGCATTCTAATTAGAATCAAGAAAAGTAATTAAAACATGCTAGGAAAGCATTAATTATAAAAAAGAATAAAATAGAGAACAAACAGAAAAAGCAATCAAAGCTGCTTGGCTCTTTGCAAAAATCAGTAAGTGAGACATTGTTTGGAACACACTTAGAGAAATAATAAAAGACAAAATATGAAAGAGAATATAAAGTACATAATGGGACTTCCTTTTCCATAGTGGCTTAGGTCAGTTCGCCAGACTTTCCTGCTGTAAACTATTAAAAATGCTGGATGAAACATGTAAACTATATTTTTTCTCTTCTCTTTTCTCACTGCAGCCTCAAACTCCTGGGTTTAAGTCATTCTTTCACCTCAACCTCCCCAGAAGCTAGGACTATAAGTGTGCACCACCACGCCTGGCTACTTTTCAGAATTTTTTTGTGTGGAGATGAGGTCTTACACTATGTTGCCCAGGCTCTTCTTGAACTCCTGGCTTCAAGCAATCCTCCTGCCTTGGCCTCCTAAAGTGCTGGGATTACAGGCATAAGCCACAGCACCCAGCCTACTATATTATTAAAAAGCACTAAAAATCTGACAAAATAGTAAAAAGATATCAGGCCAAGGTTGAAGAGGATTTGGGAAGTCAGAGAGATAAGGGGAGTAGAGATGCTACTTTGTCCTCAGAGTTTTGCCCATTGTTGTCAATTTGAATACCGACTTTGACAGCTTCCCAGGAAAAGCTAACAGAAATCAAAGCCCGATAATTTTCAAAGTAGGATGTCTAATAAGTGACTGCCCTCACTTTAAATTGTGAACCCAAGGAGCCATACTCTCAGGGCAAAAAGGAACTAGTAGTATACTAGCACTCAAGAAGCTGGGCAGCCCTCAAATTATGTCACCCGGGAGGTCCAAAATATGTCAAGCCACAAATGTAATTTAAAATGGTACCAGACTAATATGCTCCAAGGACACTCTAAGATCTTCTCTGGAGAAATATATTTTCATTCCAGGCTTCAAGTTATTTCTACAAATAATACTTTATTTATTTATTTATTTATTTTGAGATGGAGTCTCACTCTGTCACCCAGGCTGAAGTGCAGTGGCACAATCTCGGCTCACTGCAACCTCCTCCTCCCAAGTTCAAGCAACTCTCCCTGCCTCAGCCTCCTGAGTAGCTGGAATTACAGGTGCTGCTACCATGCCTGGCTAATTTTTTATATTTTTTAGTAGAGACAAGGTTTTGCCATATTGGCCAGGCTGGTCTTGAACTCCTGACCTCAGGTGATCCACCAGCCTTGGCCTCCCAAAGTGCTGGGATTACAGGCGTGAGCCACCATGCCCAGCCTTTTTAGGGTATTACATACAGCATATAATAATATACAGCATACAGTCAAAGACAACACAAAGAAATGAAGTATTACAGATTAGAACCAGCAGACACTATAATCAAAAGAAATCCTGCAAATCTATAGATACTAGAATTATGACAGTCTGTAAAACAACACTATTTACTATTTAAATAAAAGGCAAAATGAAACTGGATTCAGGGGACAGAAATCTATCAAATGTGATCTAGCAGATTTGAAAATGAATCAAATAGAACAAGTTAGTCAAACCTGGAGAAAATTTATGTACAGACAGATAAGGCAAAAAAAAAAAAACTATCCAGAATGAATCAGAAAGTAAAAAAGATGAGAGGAAAATAGGTGAAGAAACAATACTAGATAAGATCGTAAGGACTAACATGAACTTAACTAAGCATTTCAGAAAGAGTGGAGAGAAATAATAGGTAGGAGGATATTTGGAGAAAATTTTTGAGAAATAATGAAAGTCAACAATCAACAAGTTTTTTTTTGTTGTTTGTTTGTTTTTTTTTAAGACAGCGTCTCACTCTGTTGCCCAGGCCGGAGTGCAGTGGTGAAATCTCGGCTCACTGCAACCTCTGCTCCCGGGTTCAAGTGATTTTCCTGCCTCAGCCTCCTGAGTAGCTGGGATTACAGGTATGTACCACCACGCCTAGCTAATTTTTGTATTTTTAGCACAGACAGGGTCTCACCATGTTGGCCAGGCTGGTCTCGAACTCCTGGCCTCAAGTGATCTGCCTGCCTCGGCCTCCCATTGTGCTGGGATTACAGGCAATCAATAGGCTTAAGCACAACAAATCACAAGTAGGTTAAATATAATGAAATACACATTGTAATAAAGCTACAGAAAAAATATGATTTAGAGAAAAACATAATTCTGTTTAGTGGATTAAGGGTTAGACTGACAGTCAACTTCTCGATAGCACAATAGAAACTGGAAGCTAGGAGGCAGTAGATCGATAACCTCAATGCACAGAGAAGCAAATAACTGCCAGCTCTGAATGTCTGTACCCAGTGGAAGTATTCTGTAAAAGAGAAGGTGAAATAAAAACATTTTAAAATAAAAATATATAGTCTGTCACTAGAGAAATTTCTAAAGATGTACATGAGATGGAAGGACAGAGATTCCAGAGGGGGGAGGGCTGGGATGCAGAAAAGAATGAAAAAGAAACAGGTAAATATGTCACTAAATCTAAAGGGGCACTGACTTTATAAACAAAAATAGTAATGTCTGTGGGGCTAAATATGATTATTTATCATGTGTATATATAGTGATGATAATGATGATGGTAATAATGACCATTATTTAATGTTTAGTACATCCCAGAGATTGTGCTAGGTGCTTCTATTACATAATCTCAGTGAATCCTCATACCAACCCATGAGGAAGGTACAATTGTTATTTCTGTTTTGCAGGTAAGGAACAGAAAGATAAAGAGATTACGACTTACCTGAGGTCACACACTGGTAAGCAGTGGAGCTGGTACTTTGGTTCCAGAATCTATGCTCCTAACTATGCTATGCTGCTTCTTATTTCATCTGGAAGAGTGTACACATACATTCTTAAAATCAATAAGCGTTTAGCAAGTTTGATGGATACAAAAATGAATTTATTTCTATGAGCAAAAAACAAATAGTTAAAAAATAATGGCACAAGTGTGTTAAAAATGATCAAGTATTCAGAATAAATCTATGAAAAGATACACAATGCTGCATGGAAAACAGTTTTAAAAATGGAGGGATTTTAAAGATCTAAGTAAATGGTGACATAATTCATCTTCAAGAATTGAAGACTGCATATTGTAAAGATGTCAGTTTACCCTAAATGATGTATAATTCAATGTAATCCCAGTCAAAATCTCATCAATGATTGGACATGTAAATTGATTAGCTGATGCTAAAATTATGTGAAAATTCCAGAGGCAAAGAAAACCAAGTCAATTTTAAAGAAAGTCAAAGCTGGAGATTTTAAACTCCAGATATAGAGGCTTATTACAAAGCAATAATAATTGAATGAGTCTGATATTCAGGATGTACAGAGAAGAGTTGACACACACAGCAGGCCTGAGTGCTAGCGTTTGGTAGGACTGTTTAGAAAGGTTGACCGTGGCTGGTATCTGAGAACTTGACTTTTGGGAGGGTTTCCACCACTTTAATGGATAAGAGTGGCTAACTATGCCTAAACTCTTTGTGCAAACAATTTGGTTTATACTTAACACCTGTTCTCCTCCTGGAGCCTAGAATTTTTGCATATTCCAGGCAAAGCATGCCCATTGACAAGCCACCAATAAAAACCTTGAGTGCTGAGGCTCTAATGAGCCTCCCTTTGACCCAACAATTCCACTCCTAGGAATATATTTTAGAGCTGCTTGTGAGTATCTGCGTCAAGATACATGTATGAGTGTTCCCTTCAGCATTGTTTGTAACAGCATTGTTTGTATCAGTTTTATCCCAAAGCTAGAACCAATCCAAATGACCATGAAGAATATAATTGATAAATAAATTGCAGCATATTCACTCAAAGGAGTAGACTATGGCATTGAAATTGTACATATGATAGCTACTGGCAACAACACTGATGAATTTTATGAACATAATTTTGAATAAAAGAAGAAATAAATAGCATAGAACATATAGCATGATTCCATTTATGTTGTTTATAACTGGGTGAAACTAAACTTTATTGTTTAGGCATGCATGTATAGCCATAGGTCTAAAAAGAAAAGCAAAATGAACAAAAAAAATCTCAAGGGTTATAAGAGTGGTCATTTCCCTAGGGAAGGTAGAGGTTCTGATTGGGAATGGACAAATGGAGGGATCCTTGGTGCTGGCAAGACGTTATAGTTTGAGTTGTGATGACATAGGTGCCCATTTTATATTAAACTTGAGAATTTGTGTTTTACACATTTTGTTCTATTTTATAGTAAAACGCTTATTAAAATAATTTTCACATGGCTTTATTCCAATAAATTTCAATCTTTAGTTGAAACAGATGTGCTTCTTGGAAAATAAAAATTGATACATCAAGATAGAAAGCCCCTCTCAAGTCCAACTGTGCCAAAAAGTACCATGCAGGAGGACTGCTTAGTGTGAATGAATCTTTCAATTTTTTAAAGGAAGCTAGAAAGCTGAATGTTTACATGAAAGCTCCTAGTTTCTTTATTTCTTTTTTTTTGAGAAGGAGTCTCACTCTGTTGCCCAAGCCGGAGTACGGTGGAGCGATCTCGGCTCACTGCAGCCTCCTCCTCCCAGGTTCAAGTGATTCTCCTACCTCAGCCTCCCGAGTAGCTGGGATTACACGCCTGTGCCACCACGCCTGGCTAATTTTTGTATTTGGCCAAGCTGGTCTCAAACTCCTGACCTCAAAGGATCCACCCACCTTAGCCTCCCAAAGTGCTGGGACCACGGGTGTGAGCCACCATGCCCAGCCAAGAGCTCCCAATTTCTAAATGTAGGTTCAGACGAATTTTAAACGCTGTGTGAGCCAACAAAACACATCTTCAAGGTTAAAGTTCGCCTGTGAGCATACACCTGTAATCACAGAGGTTTGGCCTCAAAGGTAAAATAGAAAAGTTAAAAGACTATCAAGGTTTCCAAGTTAACTGGGAGTGAGAGAGTTAGGTATATTTTGAAAATTATTTATATACTTTTTTCCCCTCTGCCTTTCTGAGCACGTAACATTGACCCCATTCTACTTGAAACATCGAATCATTCATTGGCCTGTGGGAACAAATTAGTAATTTTTCACTGTACAAATTTAAAGACCAAGATAATATTTAGTTTCTGATGTTTAAAAGCTATTTTCTTTTGTGTACTACATCAGCAAGCAGTAAGTAGCCATGAGTGGATCTGGGAACCAGATAATAGTCTTATATTCCAAATAGTTAAGCTCCCCGTAGGTAAATCTAAAGAATCCACAGAGAATTCAGCATGTTCTTGCACTCAGTGATACCTTTTCTATAAAATAGACCTCTCTTCTAATGAGAAAAGCCTAAATAATTACTTGATGTCATGCCAGATATGTAGCAGCAGGACAATGTTAGTCAGACAGGGAATAGGTATTGAGAGAGCCAAGCAAAGTGTCCATTTCTGGAATCAGTGATTTAGGAGTTAAAAGTTCGATGTGAACAGTAGCTTAGAAATGAGAAATCATGTCAGAATCTAGACAAGGTATTTGCAGCACAGTCACTACAGAACAAGATAGTGTGAGAATCATTAGGTCTCAAAAGTCCATGGAGGTAAGATCTAGAACTGCCCTGTTTGATATGGTAGTCTGTAGCCACATGGGGCTAGTGAGCACTTGAAATGTGTCAAGTCTGAATTGAGATGTACTGTTAAGTGTAAAACATGCACTGGCTTAGCAGACATTATTTACTAAGAATGTAAAATGTCTCATTATAAATTTTAAATTTTGATTACATGTCAAAATGATAGTATTTTAGATATATTGGGTTAAATAAAATATATTGTTAAAATTCAAAAGCAAATTGATGATGTACAAAACCCAAAGAGACAAATAAATATAAAACAAATAATAATGATTGTTAAAAATCTAGCTCTTTCTCCAGTCAGCACCACCAAAGCATCAGTTTTATGGGCCAGTGATATGAAATATTCAAAGAATAGATGTTTTAGACTTTTAGAGACTATAGTAAAAGATAGAGAGATTCTTAACTCTTAAAAATGCATCTTACTGTGGCAGTGAATACAGTAATATTATAGTTCTATGTGTCCATATCTTCTTTCTTTCTATGAGATTGTAGAAATACACATACACTATGATGTACCCATACCCTTGACTTGGAGGTCCAAACTATCATTAGAGTCATCTTTCTGTTCTCCAGGGTTAACTACCACAGTGCTTCCAATAGATTTACTCATGGAACATTAATTAAAATAACTTGTCCAGGAATATACTTAATAGTTGAGTCTCTTGGTGGGTGCTTCAGAGATCATTCTGCTACATTACCTAAGCTTGTAGTGTTTTGCTCGGAAATGTTTCACTCTTAAGAGATTCACATAATTTATAAGAATGATGTGTAGTTCTGCATGTGAAGAGAGCTGAAATCAGCAGATAAAGATGTATGAGGTAACTAAGCAGGCCAATGATGAATCTCATTAGCAGGATTTCAGCTGCTTGGCTAAGGAAGGTCTTAGTGTTTTTATTAGACTGAAATGTAAATTACTTGCCTTCATGATTATTCTTTAAAACTATAATCATATTTTGTGTCAGGTGAGACTAAAACTATGCCTGTGATGACACCACTGAAGCATCTATGGCATGGATACCCACTCTTCTGTCAGAGTCCACATGTCAGCCAGTACCAAGGTGACAGGAGATTTCTATTACCAAGATGCTCAGTACCTTGTGAACTGTTAATAATATCATTTTCTTTTTCTCTCTTTTTTTTTTTCTCTCTCTCTCTCTCTCTCTCTTTCTCTCTTTTTTTTTGAGATGGATTCTTGCTCTGTCACCCAGGCTGGAGTACAGTGGTGTGATCTTGGCCCACTGCAACCTCGGCCTCCTGGGTTCAAGCAATTCTCCTGCCTCAGCCTCCCAGGTAGCTGGGATTACAGGTGCGCATCATCACACCTCGCTAATTTTTTTATTTTTTGGTGGAGACGGGGTTTCACCACGTTGGCCAGGCTGGTCTTGAACTCCTGACCTCAGGTGATCCACCCACCTTGGCCTCCCAAAGTGCTGGGATTATAGATGTGAGCTACTGTGCCCGGCCAATAATATTATTTTCATACACAACTCTTTTTTCTGTGGGACTTTTGGGTAAGACATCTAAAATATGGTATGTCCAGGATTTTAGAGACTTCTTTTAGGAAACTGAAATGCTTCTGCCCTGGCATTTCCTCATGAGAGGAGTTGTTGATTGTGCTTATTTAAATGAAGAATAAAGATGCATGAATTGTGAACATCGAGGAGTTCTCTTACCTGGGTATTGGTCTGAACAATAATAAATTGTGTTTAGAATCCCTGTGTATGAGAGTAAACAATGCAGAATTCAGCATGTACATTATAATGAAAACTGCTAAAATTTCTTCTTATCATCTAAAAGCAGCTACAGAATGACGAAGTTGAGTGTGATTTGACTATGTGGAATAATGCCAGGATCGCTGCTCTGACAACTATAAATGATGAAAAAGGAAAAATATCAAAGAATGAATGTTGTTGTTGTTCATTCTTGCCACCAAAATGGCACTTCAATGTTTTTCTGTAGTGAGCAAAGTGGAAAGCTGATTTCTTGTCTTGGCAGACCCATGAAATTAGCATGAATGTGTTCTCTTTTTACAGGTCAGGAATCATAATTTTTCATAGTTTTATATTACCAGCAGATACTCATTTATATATATATATATATATGTATATATTTTAAAAGCCTGTTAGTATCTGGGAATTTCTCTTTGATGTCATTTTTCTTAAGAGAGTCAAAGTTTTTATAAACTAAAAATTGCTAACAGAACATACCTAAAATATCAGTCATCTGACTCTATCTTTTGCACAGTTTTCCATGTTTTGATTGCTCTGACAAACATTTCTAATGATTCAGAAATTATGTTTATTTTGGTAGACATAGTTCTGTTTTCTACAAAATTAGATATAAGGCTTCAAAGACATATAATAAGGTCATCATCCTACTAGTAGTGGTTTTGCAAGTAGTAGCAAAACTGTACCTTTTCTCTTTTATATCTTGATATTCAACTGGTAAAATAAGATTCATTTATTCACCCATTTAATCAATATTTATTTTGTGTCTGCTATGTGCTTAGAACTGTTGGGGATATAATAAGAATAAAATAAAGTTTCTATCTTCATGGATGTAATTACTAGTTAGTAGACCAAAAACATACATATATACACATACACACATACACATGCACACACATGTCATAACATAATACAATAGGATGTCAGGTGGTGATACATGCTATATAAGGAAAAACACAGAGGAATGAATAGAGTAAGGTGTTATTGGAGGGCTGATTGGACACAGAGAGTGAAGGGGTGTTATTTTAGGCAAGGTGATCAGGGATAGTATCTCTAATGAGGTCACACTTGAGCAGAGACCTGAATGAAATGAGAGAACAAGTGTCAGGCATTTGGCCTGAAGGAGAAGAGCATGCTAGGCTGTTGGAACAGGGTGTGAAATTTGCCTCGGAGGGCTCAATAGGACTGCGTTGGAACCCCTAGGAAAGAAAACAGAGGATCCGAGTTTATGGAAGAAAGTCAAGGACATTCTGCACGTTTCTGAGTAGTGAAATCTGGCTCATTATAGTAGAAAACCAGCTCAAGAGATGGCTTAGCCAGAAATAAAGCAAGCACATTTAGCTGGAGCATTCTGGTGTTAAATCTCTTGGGAACTGAAAGCATATAGATATAGTATCAGAAGTTGAGGTGCATCTGGCTGTGTAAAGGAGACCACCCAACATTTGGTGAAGTCAGTAGGGCAAAATCCCAACACCTGACACATGACTAACAAATATTAATTAATTCATCATTTCTATTCCTCACTTTATTTCTCTTTAAGGTTCCACTTCAGTTTTAAGGTAGCAACATATTCATATGTTAAAAATGTGCAAGTTTCTTAAACATATACACAGATTGACTCACACACATCACCAACTTTTTTCCCAATTTTTAACATCAGCCAATAATTTGCAAGATTTGTTGTCTATAATTTGTCTTTATTTCATTTTCTGAATTTGAATTTGCATAAAATAATATGGTTTTCTTATTTCATATCCATTATCTTCTACCCAGTATACTGAGAATCCTCCCCTATCTTCCAACTCCCCACGTTGAGAAATCATTATCTTAAGGCATTCTATACCTGCTCAGGTTTTCTTTGGTAATATTTACTTACATGAAGTGGTCTGGTTTACTTACAGGGGCTGCTCTGGATAAACTACATGTAGTTTCCATTAGTAGATAGGATTAAAAATGTTTTCTCCATCTTGATAGTTTAGTCTTCTGTTTCTTGTTGTCCACTGACACTGAAAAGTTCTTTTATTAAAATAAGCAGAAAATCTAGTAAGATTTGTTGATTCCACAAAAGAGGAATTATCACAGAGGAAACAAAGTAAATTTGCAAGAACAAGTATTTACTGAATACCTATAGTGAGTTGAGGATGTAGCAGTGAATATAATATCCACAGTCCTGCTCTTTGGATCTACTTTAATCTGATTGGAAGCAGGTGAAGAATAGCTTTAATGACCCTGGAAGGTTACTTTGAAATGTAACTTAATTCATTCTCTGGTTTCTAGGAAGATAGAAATTTTAGTCAGAATACCATTTGTCTATTTGCTGGTTAAAAAATTATAAAGTAATAAATTAATTCTGCAAACACACTCTTGGACCACAGCACAATAAAAATAGAATTCAAGAGTAAAAAATCAGTGAAAATAATGCAATTACATGGAAATTAAATAACCTGCTCCTGAATGACTTTTGAGTGAATAATGACATGAGGGCAGAAATCAAGAAGTTCTTTGAAACTAATGAGAAAAAAGATACAACATACCAGAATATCTGGGACACAACTAAGGCAGTATTAAGAGAAAAATTTGTAGCACTAAATGCCCACACCAAATAGTTAGAAAGATCCCAAATTAACAACCTAATGTCACAACTGAAAGAATTAGAGAAGGAAGAGCAAACCAACCCCAAAGCTAGTAGTAGTCAAAAAATAATCAAAATCAGAGCTGAACTGAAGGAAATCAAGTCATGAAAAACCATTCATAAGATCAACAAATCAAGAAGTTGGGTTTTTGGAAAAATTAATGAGATAGGCCTCTAGCTAGACTAATAAAAAACAAGAGAAGATCCAAATAAACACAATTAGAATCAACAAAATAGATGTTACCATGGATCCCACAAAAATAAAAATAACCATGACAAACTATTATGAACGCCTCTATGCACACAAACTAGAAAACCTAGAAGAGATGGATAAATTCCTGGACACACATATTCTCCCAAGACTGAGCCAGGAAGAAATTTCTCCCCTGAACAAACCAATAACGAGCTCTGAAACTGAATCAGTAATGAATAGCCTACAAACCAAAAAAAAGCTGAGGACTAGATGGGTTCATAGCTGAATTCTGCCAGATGTACAAAAAAGAACTGGTACCATTTCTACTAAAACTATTCCAAAAAATTGAGAAGGGACTCCTCCTTAACTCATTCTATGAGGCCAGTATCATCCTAATCCCGAAACTGGCAGAGATACAACAACAAAAAAGAAAACTTCAGGCCAATATCCTTGATGAACATTGATGCAAAAATCCTCAGCAAAATACTTGCAAACGGAATCAAAAACTGAGTCCACCATAATCAAATAGGCTTCATTCCTGGGATGCAAGATTGGTTTAACATATGCAAATCATAAGTATGATTTATCACATAAACATTACTAAAGACAAAAACCACATGATTATCTCAATGCAGAAAATGCTTTCAATAAAATTCAACGTCCCTTTATGTTAGAAACTCTCAATAAGTTATGTATTGGAGGAACATACTTCAAAATAATAAGAGCCATCTATGACAAACCAACAGCCAACATTATACTGAATGGGCAAAAGCTAGATGCATTCACCATGAAAACTGGCACAAGACAAGGATGCCCTCTTTCACTACTCCTATTCAACATAGTTTTGGAAGTCCTGGCCAGAGCAATAAGGCAAGAGAAAGAAATAAAGTGCCTCTAAATAAGTGAGGAAATCAAACTATCCCTGTTTGCAGACAACGTAATTCTATCCCTAGAAAACCACATAATCTTGGACCAAAAGCTCCTTCAGCTGATAAACAACTTCGACAAAATTTCAGTAATTTGAACACAAATTACTAGCATTCCTATACACCAACAACAGCCATGTTGGGAGCTAAATCAGGAGTGTCATCCCATTCACAATTGCCACAAAAAGAATAAAATACCTAGGAATACAGCTAATCTGGGAGGTGGAAGATCTCTACAATGAGAAATACAAGACACTGCTCAAAGAAATCAGAGATGACACAAACAAATGGAAACACATCCCATGCTCATGATTAGGAAGAATCAATATTATTAAAACGGCCATACTGCCCAAAGCAATTTATTCCTATTTAACAACCAATGGCATTCTTCACATAACTGGAAAAAACTTCATATGGAACCAAAAAAGAGTCTGAGTAGCCAGGGCAATCCTAACCAAAAAGAGCAAAGCTGGAGGCATTGTGTTACCTGACCTCAAACTATACTACAGGGCTACAGTAACCAAAACAGCATAGTACTGGTACAAAAACAGACATGTAGGCAAATGGAACAGAATTAGAGAAATGCAAATGAAAACCACAATGAGATACCATCTCACACCAGTCAGAATGGCTATTGTTAAAAAGTTAAAAAATAACAGATGCTGGCAAGGTTGTGGAGAAAGGGTAATGCTTATACATTGTTGGTAGAGTGTAAATTAGCTCAACCATTGTGGAAAGCAGTATGGCAATTCCTCAAAGAGCTAAAACCAGAAATACCATTCGACCCAACAATCCCATTACTGGGTATATACCCAAAGGAATATAAATCATGTTACCATAAAGACACACACATGTGAATGTTTATTGCAGCACTACTCACAATAGCAAAGACATGGAATCAACCTAAATGTCCATCAATGATAGACTGGATCAAGAAAATGTGGTACGTATATACCATGAAATTCTATGCAGCCATAAAAAAGAATAAGATCATGTCTTTTGCAGGAACATGGATGGAGCTAGAGGCCATTGTCCTTAGCAAACTAATGCAGGAACAGAAAACAAAATACTCCAGGTTCTCACTTATAAGTGGGAACTAAATGATGAGAACTCATGGACACATAGAGGGGAACAACAGATGCTGGTGCCTATTTGAGGATGTAGTGTGGGAAGAGGGAGATGATCAGGAAAAAATAAATATTGGGTACTAGGCTTAGTATCTGGGTGATGAAATAATCTGTACAAAAACTCCCTGTAGCATAAGTTTAGCTGTATCACAAACCTGCATATGTACCCCTGACCCTAAAATAAAGTTAAAAAAAAATTTTTTTAGGTAACTTTGGTTTAGATACTTAAAGGTTGCTGAGGTTTTGTGCTTTAGTTCTTTTTCTGCTAAAATTGATGTGAGGTATTTTCAACTTATTCCACTGGTTCTTTTTGTAAGTCTTTTCTGCTTGAATCTTAGAAAAAAACTTGCTGATTTCAACAAATATTAAATAAAAATTCTCTGTAGTGTCCATTTTATATAAATGTAATATTTTAGAACTACTCCTAAATTCTATTGGCACAATCTAGTAAATGTGAAGAAGGGTTATTAAAAAGAGTATATCAGTTTTTTTAAGTTTTAGAATAAATTAACAGCTAATAGAAAAACAAAACCTATCTCAATCAAAAAACCTGTCTCAATTTAAAAAAAAAAAACAGGAAATGGAAGGCTTGTTTAGAATTGAAAGGTGAATGATGCTTCTTTCTTCTCAATGATTTTTTTAACTAACCGTAATAAAGTCTTCTTTGAGGTGCAGTAATAGTGTGACATAAATAAAACAACAAACTTATCTAAAAAGTATTTTTCTTCCCCACTCATTTTTTTTTTAATGGCAAGTTCCAATTCCCCAACAGAGAGTTTCTTTTCAGAGAACTGCTGGGTTTTTAAAGTTTGCAATGAGTTCTTTTTTTTAAATTTAATTTAATTTTTAAAATTTTTCCATAAGTTATTGGGGTACAGATGGTATTTGGTTACATGAGTAAGTTCTTTAGTGGTGATTTGTGAGATTTTGGTGCAGCCATCACCTGGAGCAGTATACACTATACCATATTTGTAGTCTTTTATTCCTTATCCCCTCCCACCCTTTCCCCCAAGTCCTCAAAGTCCATTGTATCATTTTTATGCCTTTGTGTCCTCATAGCTTAGCTCCCACATATCAGTGAGAACATACGATGTTTGGTTTTCCATTCCTGAGTTACTTCACTTAGAATAATAGTCTCCAGTCTCATCCAGGTTACTGCAAATGCTGTTAATTCATTTTTATGGATGTGTAGTATTCCATCATCTATATATACCACAGTTTCTCTATCCACTCGTTGATTGATGGGCATTTGGGTTGGTTCCATGATTTTGCTATTGTGAATTGTGCCGCTATAAATTGTGCAAGCATCTTTTTCAAATAATGACTTCTTTTCCTCTGGGTAGATACCCAGTAGTGGGATTGCTGGATCTAATGGTAGTTCTACTTTTAGTTCTTTAAGGAATCTCCACACTGTTTTCCATAGTGGCTGTGCTAGTTTACATTCCCACCAGCAGTGTAGAAGTGTTCCCTGTTCACTTGTTCCCATGTTCACATGTTCCCTGTTCACTTGTTCCCTTGTTCCCATGCCAACATCTGCTGTTTTTTTATTATGGCCATTCTTGCAGGAGTAAGGTGGTATCACATTGTGGTTTTGATTTGCATTTCCCTGATCATTAATGATGTTGAGCATTTTTTCATATGTTTGTTAGCTACTTGTATATCTTCTTTTGAGAATTGTCTATTTATGTCCTTAGCCCACCTTTTGTTGGGATTGTTTGTTTTTTTCTTACTGATTTATTTGAATTTGTTGTAGATTCTGGATATTAGTCTCTGTCAGATGTATAGATTGTGAAGATTTTCTCCTACCCTATAGGTTATCTGGTTACTCTGCTGACTGTTGCTTTTGCCGTGTGCAAGCTCTTTAGTTTAATTAGGTCTCAGCTATTTATCTTTGTTTTTATTGCATTTGCATTTGTTTTTGGTCATGAAATCCTTGCCTAAGCCAATGTCTAGAAGGGTTTTTCAAACGTTATCTTCTAAAGTTTTTATGGTTTTAGGTCTTGGGTTTAAGTCCTTAATCTATCTTGAGGTGATTTTTGCATAAGATGAGAGATGAGGATCCAGTTTCATTCTCCTACATGTGGCTAGCCAATTATCCCAGCACCATTTGTTGAAAAGGGTGTCCTTTCCTCACTTTATATTTTTGTTTACTTTGTTAAAGATCAGTTGGCTATATTTGGGTTTATTTCTGGGTTCTCTATTCTGTTCCATTGGTCTATGTGCCTATTTTTATACCAGTACCATGCTGTTTTGGTGACTATGGCCTTATAGTATAGTTTGAAATCAGGTAGTGTGATGCCTCCAGATTTGTTCTTTTTGCTTAGTCTTGCTGTGGTTATGTGGGCTCTTTTTCGGTTCCACATAAATTTTAGAATTTTCTTTTCTAATTCTGTGAAGAACAATGGTGGTATTTTGATGGGGATTGCATTGAATTTGTAGATCGCTTTTGGCAGTATGGTCATTTTCACAGTATTAATTCTACCCATCTGGATATATGCTGCAGTTGTTGGATGAAATGTTCTGTATTTATCTGTTAAGTCCATTTGTTCCAAGGTATAGTTTAAATCCATTGTTTCTTTGTTGACTTTCTGTCTTGATGACCTGCCTAGTGCTGTCAGTGGAGTATTGAAGTCCCCCACTATTATCGTGTTGCTGTCTATCTCATTTCTTAGGTCTGTTAGTAATTGTTTTATAAATTTGGGAGCTCCAGTGTTAGGTGCGTATAAGTTTAGTATTGTGATATTTTCCTGTTGGACGAAGCCTTTTACCATTATATAATGTCCCTCTTTGTTTCTTTTAACTGCTGTTGCTTTAAAATTTGTTTTGTCTTATATAAGAATAGTTACCCCTGCTTGCTTTTGGGTAAGTTACCCCATTTGCATGAAATGCCTTTTTCCACCCCTGTACTTTAAGTTTATGAGAGTCCTTATGTGTTAGGTGAGTCTCCCAAGGCAGCAGATAGTTAGTTCGTGAGTTCTTACCCATTCTACAGTTCTGTATCTTTTAAGTGGAGCATTTAGGCAATTTACATTCAATGCTAGTATTGAAATGTGAGGTACTGTTGCATTCATTGTGTTCTTTGTTGCCTATGTTTTTTTTTGTTTGTTTTTTGCTTTTTAATATGTATTTTTGTTTTATAGGTTCTGTGTGATTTATGTTTTAAAGAGTTTCTGTTTTGATATGTTTCCAAGATTTGTTTCAAGATTTAGAGCTCCTTTTAGCAGTGCTTGTAATGGTGGCTTGCTAATGGCAAATTCTCTCAGCATTTGTTTGTCTGAAAATGACTGTATCTTTCCTTTATATATGGTGCTTAGTTTCACTGGATACAAAATTCTTAGCTGATAATTGTTTTATTTGAGGAGGCTGAAGATAGGGCCCCAATCCCTTCTAGCTTGTAGGGTTTCTACTGAGAAATCTGCTGTTAATCTGATAGGTTTTCCTTTGTAGGTTACCTAGTGCTTCTGTCTCACAGCTCTTAAGATTCTTTCCTTTGTCTTAACTTTGGATAACCTGATGACAATGCACCTAGGCAAAGATCTTTTTGCGATGAATTTTCCAGGTGTTGTTTGTGCTTCTTGTATTTGGATGTCTAGGTCTCTAGCAAGGCTGGGAAAGTTTCCCTCAATTATTCTCCCAAATGTGTTTTCCAAGCTTTTAGAATTCTCTTCTTGCTCAGGAATACCAATTACTACCAAGTTTGGTCATTTAAAATAATCTCAGACTTCTTGGAGGCTTTGTTTATATTTTCTTATTCTTTTTTTCTTTGTCTTCATTGGATTGGATTAATTAGAAGACTTTGTCTTTGAGTTCTGAATTTATTTCTTCTACTTATTCCATTCTGCTGCTGAGCCTTCCCAGAGCATTCCACATTTTTAAAAGTGTGTCCAAAGTTTCCTGAATTTTTTTTTTTTTTTTGAGATGGAGTCTTGCTCTGTTGCCCAGACTGGAGTGCAGCGGCACCATCTCGGCTCACTGCAACCTCCACCTCCTGGGTTCAAGTGATTCTCCTGCATCAGCCTCCCAAGCAGCTGGGATTATAGGCACCTGCCACCATGCCTGGCTAATTTCTGTATTTTTAGTAGAGTCAGGGTTTCACTGTGTTGGCCAGGCTGGTCTTGAACTCCTGACCTCAGGTGATCCACCCTCCATAGCCTCCCAAAGTGCTGGGGTTACAGGTGTGAGCCACCATGCCTGGCCAGTTTCCTGAATTTTTTTATTGTTTTTTCTTTAAGCTATCTATTTCCTTGAATATTTCTTCCTTCACTTCTTGTATCATTTTTTGGATTTCCTTGTATTGGGCTTCGCCTTTCTCTCATTCCTCCATGATTAGCTTAATAACTAACCTCCTGAATTCTTTCTCAGTAAATCAGCAATTTCTTCTTGGTTTGGGTCCATTGCTGGTGAACTAGTGTGATTTTTTGGGGGTGTTGAGCCTATTTTGTCATATTACCAGGGTTGGTTTTCTGGTTCCTTCTCATTTGGGTAGGCTCTGTCAGAGGGAAGGTCTGGGGCTGAAGACTGTTGTTCAGATTCTTTTGTCCCACAGAGTGTTCCCTTGATGTAGTATTCCCCCCCTTTTCCTATGGATGTGGCTTCCTGTGAGCCAAACTGCAGTGATTGTTTTCTCTCTTCTGGGTCTAGCCACCCAGCGAGTCTACCTGGCTCTGGGCTGGTACTGGGGGTTTCTGCACAGAGTTCTGTGAGGTGAACCGTCTGTGGGTCTCTCAACTGTGGATACCAGCGCCTGCTCTGGTGGAGGTGGTGGGGGGTACAATGGACTCTGTGACAGTTCTTAGCTTTTGTGGTTTAATGCTCTATTTTTATGCTGGTTGGCCTCCTGCTAGGAGTTGGTGATTTCCAGAAAGCATCAGCTGTAGTAGTGTAGAGAGGGACTGGTGGTGGGCCCAGCCCTAGGACTCCTAAGATTATATGCCCTTTGTCTTCCACTACCAGGGTAGGTAGGGAAGAACCATCAGGTGGGGGCGGGGCTAGGTGTGTCTGACCTCAGACTCTCCTTGGGTGGGTGTTGCTGTGGCTGCTGTGGGGGATGGGGGTGAGATTCCCAGGTCACTGGAGTTGTGTACCTAGGAGGATTATGGTTGCCTCTGTGGAGTTATGCAGGTTGTCAGGGAAGTGGGGGAAAGCTGGCAGTCACAGACCTCACCCAGCTCTAACACAAACTGAAAGGCTGGTCTCCCTCCCACCGTGCCCCACTCCAACAGACCCAAGTCTGTTTCCAGGTGAAGGGTGTGATGGGCTTGAAAACTTGCCCTGGGCTACCCACCACCCAGCTGCAAAAGAAAAGGGCTTGGTTCTTCCCCCGCCTGTGGAGTCTGCACGCCGGATTGGTCCCCTTCCCAGAGTTCTGGCCAGAAGGCTTCTCACCCCATTCAAATTGTTACAAAGTTCAGATAGAGATTTCCTTCTCCCTGTGGAGTTTTACCCCCTGCTCCTCTGGTCACCCTTCCGATGGATCCCTGTGGTGCCAGGCAGGAATGGCCTGCTAGGGGATGCAGTGAGCTCCCAGGGCCTTTCTGATGCTTCCTGTACCCCTGTATTTCACTGGGCTCTCTAAATTGTCTCAGCTCCAGGTAAAGTCAGAAACTTCTTCCGCAAACAGACCTTCAGCTTCTCCAGTGGGGGTGTGTGTTTGGGAAAGGAGGGTTTCCCTTTCCCACTTCTGCAGTTGGGGCACTCACAGTATTTGGGGTGTCTCCTGGGTCCCACAGGAGCAGTCTGCTTCCTTCAGAGGGTCTGTGGGTCCTCTCGGGATTGCTGGCTTGTACTTGCAGTCAATCTGTAGCTAAAATTCACAATGTGAGCTTTCAGAAGCTGCTCTGTCCAGAGCTGCAATCTAGTCCTGCCTCCCATCCGCCGTGATGATCCGTAATGAGTTATCTTCTAGATGTTTAAAGAGCTTAAACACACAAGCTCTCCGGTTGCTCCCAGTGTAGCAAAGAGCAAGAAAGTCTCTATTTTTCTTCCCTCTGTTGAGAATTAATGAAATGTTAATTATATTACTTTTAATTTATTGTCAAATGAGTTTTATTTTCTAGAGTGACAGATCATTCTCTCTGAGCAAATGATACTAAATTAAGACTTTATAATTCTCGGAAGTGTGAGAGATAATGTTGTTTCTCCTTGTTTGGGCAGTCAATATTAACACCCCAGATTTAAACAACACTTACACATTCACACACAAGTCTGCTCAGAGTTATTGCTTGAATTGTCATTTTTATGAGGCAGTAGGACTCCATTCAAGTTCCCTATGTCTGTCAGTATTTACCCAAACTAGAAATGTTCCACGTGATACATGGCCTTGAGCATTTTATATAAAAATTGTTTACTGAGAACTGTGCTATGCAATATAATAGCTAATAGCCACCTGTGGCTATTTTAATTAATTAAAATAAAACAAAATTAGATATTCAGTGTCTTAGTCACTCTAGCCAATGTCAAGTACTCAATAGCCACATGTGGTTTGTGGTTTATGGCTGCTATATTGGACAGCACAGATGCAGAACATTTTTAGAGAAGTCTGTTCAACAGTGCTGATTATAGGACTATCCAATTAGTAGGGTTTTTTTATTTTAAACAAACAGCATCATTATTTACTTTTTCTGTTCCCTTAATCCCTGGAGGACATATCTATAAAATTGTTTCTAAAAATACATTAGTAAGCTTAATAATGTATTTGCTATCATGTACATTGTATGACCTCATGCTCTAGAGCAAAGATCTTCCCATTTTGTTATAAAAAATTTACTTCTTGCCTCTTGAAAGTGAAGAGGTTTTGGATGGTGGGATACTGACAGGCTGGGTTGGCCAATGGGGTGAAGGTTCTAGTGTGACTAACTGTTCCAGTTTGCCTGGGACCAAATGGAGTTCCTCCCATGTGGACATTCAGTGCTAAAACTTGAAAAGTTCCAGGCAAACTGGGATGAATTAATTACTTTAGGTGGGGCTGTAAGCCTGAGCTTGAAATAGGACAGCCCTGTTGTTGAAATCTTGGCTATACTGTTTACCAAGTGATCTTGGAAAAAACAATTGGACTCTGATGAGCCTAGAAAATGAATTTCTAAATACTTGTACTCAGTTTTGAATGAATATATTGAATGCATTCACTGTGGAAATGTTATTATAATTAATGATAACAAAACTCCTGAAATATAGTACTTGCTTATTAAATGATAGCTTTATTATCATTGATATAGAATTGATGGCAAATGTAATATAGAGATAGCAAAGATCCTTGAGAAAGAAGTTCTCTATTTATCTGATCATTAGCTGCTCAGTTGTTACCATATGTTGAGATGGTCATTTTGACTGATTTGGGTCATGCATGTCTTTACATCAGAATTCACTTAGAATCAACAGAGATGGTTATCAGCAACATAACTGACTGGAAAGTTAATGACATGGAGACCTCTGATTTATGATATTAAGGAAATTAGGTTGAGGTATTTAAAAAAGAGGGCAAACATCCTGTCCAGTAACTTTCCTATTTCCAAGGATTAGTATATATAATAATTATTTGAGCAATGCTTACTGAAATTGAAATTCAGGGCAAATAATTACAGAATCTTCAGGTTCCTAATACTATTAATAGATAACATAATTGTAGTAGAGAATGGCCATCGTCTTTCACTATATGTTCTCTCCCTTTTCCTTTTATGATAGACCTTTCAAATTTCAGCTGAACACATGGACACTCAGAATAAAGACCATAATTACTCACCTTCCTTGCAGCTAGTTGTGGCCATCTATATTTGGCCAATAGTATGTAAGCAGGAGTAATGTATGCAACTGTTTTTTCTTCCCCTCTCCTTCTGGGTCCTTGTGGTTGAAGATGACCCTCAAGTTCTGGCTTTGCCTCAGGCTTTGACACTGCAATACTTCTGAATTGCCCATGCTCAGATACAGAAAAGGAAACTAAACTTCTATCTTAAGTCACTATTATTTTGAGTTTTATTTTAGTAGTTCATAGTAGTAGTTAATACAATAGAACTAATACAATAATCAATATAGTACTGGAGTAGAGGGTGAATATAATGGAAACATTTTCAGATTTTAAAATGCATTTACCCTCATTGTTCCGTGTAGATTTCATTAACCAATTTATGAAAGAGAATCATTTCATCATGTGGAGTTTTCCAGTGTAAATATCTGTTTGCTCTTCTATCAAGGTAAACAGGTTTTATTCATGATAATACAGTATGTACAGACATAATTTTTTTATAGTTTAAAAAGTCACTTTTACATTTGTTATTTTAATCTTTGTACAAATTCTATGAGATATTATCATTTCCTTCATTTTGTAGATGAGAAATCTGAGATTGAGTAACTAAGGACACATGTTGCCAGTAAGTAGTGGGTCTCGAATCCAAATTCAGAGATGAAAACCCACCAATGAATCCAGCATGTAATTACATTTCTCTTTTCTATAGGCAAATGTATGATTGTGAGTAACAGCTGTTATTATTTGGTGAAAAACTAGAAAACCTTCTAATGTGGAGATCATGGCTTCTATCCCAGTAGTTAGTATTCCTGAAAAGGTTCCTTGGATCATTAGTGACTACCTTAAAAAGAGATTCTGTGTCAATTGTTCAGAAAGTGCTGCAAACTCTTCCTGTCCTGAAGTTTCACATTTGTCTATTAAAGACCTTGAGAAATCCCATTGTAAAGAGGCCTATTTAACTTAAACTCTGCCTTGTTCAAACTCATTCCTACAGAACCACCTTTTATGTATATTTTAAGCAGAACGCCCTTTAGTAAGTCCTGCCATACTACAAGACAGTTCTTTTTCTGCTAGAGACATATATAATAGTGGTCTAAAATTTGAAGACATTTTATACACAATAATTTAATGAGCTTCTAGCCATATGCACAAAGTCCTGTACCCACAAAGATGCTTAGGGATTTGAGTTATGTGGGAAGCAGACAGCTCATTCATTCTTGGACTTTTATGTTCCCCAATTCTTGGAAAGTTCTTTTTATGGATTTGGCAATACCAGTTATTCCTCAGGGAAATTGTGTCTGCTATAGATCCCATTCTGTATTACTAATTTTTTAGAGTTCTCTGACTCAGGATAAGGCAAATGTATTTTAAGTTGCTTGATGGGAAAATTTTATAATTATATGTACACTACATAAGGCCATGAGACGGGGCACTATAGTGATTATGAGAAAATTTAAAAAAACTATTAATAATTTCCCAGTTTCCTCTGTGGAAAAAACTAGAAGGAGACTGCTAATTCCTTTGAAGATTTTCCAAACTGAGAAATGCTTATTGACTTTAGATTTTTAGCTTTGATATATTATTTACATATTAGATTCTTTGTCACCAAAGAGCTTGGAGTTTCTGTATTTTAATGTTAGAGAACATGGAAGCCAACCTGGATGATTAAAAAGCCCGATATGACTGTTATAATTATTATATTATTACTACCTTTTGCTGTAATGGGACATACATGGCAATGGCCATGTTTATTAGGGCTGGAGACAGGACTATGAAATATTCCCTGGGAAGCCTCGAGTTCATAAAAATAGTCCTGATTTTAATAAGATGACTTAGGGTTTAATAACTATAAGAATACCAAGGAGACCAACTATTTTAAGAATAGAATTCTCTGCAAAATAATTTGTATGTTTAATGTAATTTTAATACAAATCTTCACAGACGTTTTTTGTGAGATTTGACATAATCATTTCTAAAATCATCTGGAAGAACAGATGAGAATGTCCAAAAACATTCTGAGAGAGAAAAATTTTGTGTGAAATTGAACTTTCACTTGCAAATATTAAAACATATTATAAAACTTCAGTTATTAATGTACCATAGTAGTCACAAAAGAATAAATCATAGATGTAGAATAGAAAGGCAAGAAATAGACTCTAAAATATATAGAAATTTATACCAAGCTAAAGGTGGCATTTTAAGTTGATGGTGAATGGCAAGATGATTTAATAAAACAGAAAATATAGCATTGTCATTTGGACAAAAAAAGTAGATTTTCCCTCATCCCTTTGTTGAAATAAATTCCTGAGAGTTTAAAGAGTTCAAAGTAAAATTAAGAAGCTATAAAAATTTAAAAGTATAAAAATTTTTCCAAGGCTAAAAGCAAAAGACAAAATAAAATACTGATACATTTTATTACATAAAAAATTTCAAAATTAGAAGGCAAACTGGGGAAGTATTTGCAACATATATGACTGACAAAAGTTTCCTATCTTTAATATAACAAAAACTCTCACAAATTATTAAGTAAAATATGTTCTCATTAATAGAAACATGAGTAAAGGAGTGAATAGGACATTGGAAAAAGAAAAGATGATACATATATAAACTTAGTAGTCATAAAATAATTTAAAAATATGACAAGTTACAATAGAAAAATAAAGATTTTTTTCAAAAAAACTATTTTTTGGTGGGGGTTAAGTAAAATGAAAATCACTTTCATTGCTGGTTGGAAAATAAATTAATATCATCTTTATGAAGGTCAATTTGGTAATATATATCAAGTATCTTATACATGCTGAACTCCTCAGATTCTTAATTCTACTTCAAACAATTAATCCTAAGAAGATACTTAAATGTGCACAGAATTTATGTATAGAGGTTTTTATTGTTAAAATTTAGATATTCCCTAAAAGATGAGTTTTTATTCCATAGAATATTGTACTTAAGACTATCAGCCTTGGAGGATGCAGGTCTGGTTTGAATCCCAGTTTCTAATAAACATTATGCCCTTAAGCAAGTTGCTTAACTTCAAAAATGCTTGCCTCATGAGGACGTTCTAAGGAATAACTGATAATATATGTAAGGTGCTTTATACAATACCCAGAATTCCTCAATAGCAGAGCTCAATAAATGGTAGTTACTGTTATCATTACTATTATACATAGATGAATACATAATTTTAGAGAATATTGTCATTGAGAAATACCTATGATAAAATATTGTGGCGAAATCTAGACACGATACTGATTCAGATACACACATACACCAAATGAAGGAAATACAACAAGTGCGGTAGAATGGTAGATGATGATTTGTTTTATTTACACTTTGCTGAATTTTCTAAATTTTTTTTAAATTTTTTTTAATTTTTTTTTAGTTGGAGTCTTGCTCTGTCACCCAGGCTGGAGTGCAGTGGTACAATCTTGGGTCACTGCAACCTCCGCCTCTGGGGTTTGAGCAATTCTCTTGCCTCAGCCTCCTGAATAACTGGGACTACAGGTGCTGGCTACCACACCAAGTTAATTTTTGTATTTTTAGTAGAGACAGGGTTTCACCATGTTGGCCAAGCTGGTCTCGAACTCCTGATCTCAAGTGATCTGCCTGCCTCGGCCTCCCAAAGTGCTGGGATTACAGGTGTGAGCCACTGTGCCTGGCCTGAATTCTTATTTTTTAAAACAATGTATCAGTAGCCATTTTATGACCTGGAAAAAAATTCTCTGAAATAACCTTTAGGGAGTGTACTCATATTGTATTAGATGGAATATGTTCAGGTAGACTGGAACACTGTATCTAAGAGCTCCATAAGCAAAAATTAAATCTTTTTTTTTTTTTTTTTTTTTTTAGTTGTAGTGGCATTCATTTTCATACTATATTATTGAATCAACTTACATATTATGATTTACCTTTTTCTTATTGACTCTTAGATTTTGATGAATATTTTGGCTGCTTTGAAGAGAAATTTAGAAAGCTGTATCACATTTAGATGTAGGCAAGAGAAGATGTACACCATGTGAACATACGCACTGGGAAGGACACAGATATCCCTTCTGTATTCAGTCAGTTTACCCCTAATTATCCATAGTGTACTGTATGGTATTTGCAGCCTTTTAAACAAAAATCATTAATTAACTTCAATGCTGTTCATTATACTATAACTGAAATATGCTTTGAAATACAAAAGGCATTTTTTTCTTTTAAAATTTTAAACATTTTAAATGTTATTGTAGTAAGAGTGCATAACATGAGGTCTGCCATTTTAACAAAATTTTAAATGTACAAGCAATATACTTAACTATTAATAAGCGAGCTATAGGTTCAATGTTGTATAGCAGATCTCTAAAATGTATTAATCTTGCATAATTAAAAGTTTATGCCCATTGATTAACAATTTCCCATTTCCCTCTATTCCTACCCCTGTTAGCCACATTTCCACTCTCTGGTTCTGAGTTTGACTCTTTTAGCTACTTCATATCAGTGGAATCGTGTGCTGTTTGTCCTGCTGTAACTGCCTTATTTTGCTCGGCATAATGTCTTCAAGGTTCAGCCATGTCATTGCATATTCTTTTTATGCCTGAATAATATTTCATCGCGTATATCACATTTTCTTTATCTATTGATCTTTTGATGGACATTTAGATGTTTCCACATCTTAGGTATTGTGAATAATGCTGCAATGATCACCAGGGTGCTAATCTCTTCAAGATCCTAATTTCAATTCTTTTGGATAGATACCAAGATCACATACTAGTTGTATTTTTAATTTTTTGAGGAAGCTTCATCCTGTTTTATGTAGTGGCTGCACCATTTTGCATTTCCATCAACAGTACACAGGGTTTCAATTTCTTCACATCCTTGCCAGCACTTGTCTTTTCATAAGTGGCTTGTTTTCAGAAATTTAAGAGATTTCCACACTTGTTCACATGTGTGTCAAGATGGGCACTTTCTTCTATTAGCATATTTATCATCTTTGTCCAATATCAACACATAAGAAACAAAGAAAGAAAATATACTCCCATCCTCAGATTCCCTTAAATTGTACAAAAATTAAATACCTAGTTAAAGAGTCTTTTTACATATCTAAATCAGTTAAAATAAATTATGTTATTCAGCAGTAACAAACATCCTCCAATATTTCAATGACCTAAAACCATAGAAGTTCATATTTTGCCCCACTACATGTCCAATAAGGATTAGCAGAAGTGACTTCCTCATTAGTCATTCAGATCCCCAGGCTTTTGGGGTCTGCTGCCCCTCTAGTACATGGGAAAAAATGAAGTGGAGCATTGAAGACCAGCAATTAAATACTTCCACAGAGAATGACATATGTCACTTTGTTCAAGTTCATTGGCCAAACAAGTTAGCCATGGTGGCAGGAAGGTATAATCTCGTGTGACCAAAGGAGAGTGAAATTCCATATTGCTGAGAAGTTAGTAATATCTGCCACACACGTCCAATAATATTATATCATCTCTCTTAAAGTGAATTCTAATCCCCAAAATCACATAGATGAAAGACTTATTGTGAGGAAGTAAAAGATTGCTTTTCTATATTCATGGCCAACTATAAAATGAGATTAGTTTGTGATGTGCCTAATGAAATGATACTATCATGCATTCCAAAATTAACAGAAACTTATTTTTTTACATTGTAAAAGTACATGTTATCCATTCTGCAGGAAGAGATTACTCAAATTCCAAGTTCAAGCAAGAGAAAAACCAATATACTTGCAGTCCAGAGAGTACAGCGGTTTTTCTTACTACTTTTTATATTTCCTTTCTGTGAGTTCCTCATTTGCCTTCTGGCTATTTGAAACCAGGAGATGGAGCCACACAATTGAAGACATTCTAGCACCCAACTTCTCTGGGTGCTTCTGAGCAAACTCTTCCCATTATTCAAGAAATGGAGTTTAACTGACAAACTTGCAAAGAGAAAAGACGTTTATGCCACTGTCTCATTCTCTTTATAAATAGATTAATTTACAATAAATATAAAAGAAATATAGTTGGGTCATATGTTCAGGACTATTGTTTTACAAGAATAGTTTACATTTCACAAATGTTTCTTCTGTATCCTAGCTATGTGATAAAAAAATACATATTCTATTCTACATATCCATTGTTCCATGGAAAGTGTGCATCAGTCTGTAGTGGTCATTAAGATCCTTTTGGCTGAAACATAACAAAATCTGATATTTTAATAAAGCCTTAATCAAGGGTGAAGTATCTTATATGCTAACAAGGGCCAGAAATGTACACTGATGGATGACATGAGCTGGGTGGGAACTGTTGTAAATGGAGACTGCATGAGTATGTATGGTGATGAGGACTTTTATTCATATCTAGCTGATTGTGGCTATGGGAAAATGCATTCTGTATTGCCGGATTTCTTATTTTAAAGAGATACCCAAATCCCATATTTTACATGACATACATAGATTCTCAAAATTTAAACAACAGTATTTTCAAAAACTTACAAAAACTCTCCAGGCTAAAGAAACACCTTGGGGCTACCAATTTATGACCTTATTTTAAATAGTTTAAAGATATTTTTACATATTTTGTCTCATGAGTCCTAATAAGAAATGCTACAAAGTAATTTTTATGATTGCTATTTTACAATTGTGGATTATGAGGCTAAGAGCATCAGGTAATTTTCCTGAAGTCACAAAGTCAGTGTGTGCATCTTTTGATACAATTCTATCTAGTTTTCTTTCCACTTCGTTTTTTTTTTGTTTGTTTGTCTGTTTTTTTGAGACAAAGTCTCACTCTGCTGCCCAGGCTGGGGTGTAGTGGCAGGATCTTGGCTCATGGCAACCTCCATCTCTAGGGTTCAAGTGATTCTCGTGCCTCAGCCTTCCAAGTAGCTGGGATTACAGGCGTGTGCCACCATGCCCAGCTGATTTTTCTGTATTTTTAATAGAGACTGTGTTTCACCATGTTGCCCAGGTGATCCACCTACCCGGCTTCCCACAGTGCTGGGATTACAGGCCTGAGCCACCACGCCCAGCCTCTTTCCACTTTTTAAAGCTTTTTTTTCTGAATATTGAAATGCATATGGGATCAGACATCTGGATATTTTTCTGTCCCTAATTTCTGTTGTTTCCATGTGACTTTGAATTTGATCACTTATTGCAATTCATTTGTTAGATGGGGGGACTACTAGACCTCAGCTTCTATGGTCACCCCCAGCTGTGAAACCCCATTGTTTCCAGGCAACAACCTCATTGCAGAGACTCAGGTCACCAAATTACATTATGGCCATGATAGTTTTGTTTGTAATGACTAGTCAGCAGATGTAGGTTACCCTTCTGGCCTATGCTATTTACATTTTTGTTACTCTGTTTCTTGTCTCCACATGGTCTAAGAACACCACATCTGAGATCCTGAATGAATTTGGTCTCTCTTTTTAAACTAAGAACTTTGATATTGATCTTTCACTTTTTCCTAGATATATATATTTTCATAATGTTTAAGTATAAATTTCAAGGGGTAGAGCAGAGATAAAGGGGCAAAAAGGCAATTCTTGCCTGGAGCTATCCGTTAATTATAAGCTCTACTCTATGACTCTCAATGAGTTTCTCTACTCCTTAATTAAATAAGGGGCCATTAAATCAGTAACTCCAAGGGCTATTAACTCCTTATAATACTTTTAAATATAAATGCCTATTTTCTTGTCTCTTGAGAAAATTCTTTGAATAGCTATTTAGTTTTTAAAGAGGTTAGGAGATACCGTGGGAATTCATTTGAACTGAAAATGCACTCTGCCATTTGGATCACATCAAAGGGGTTGCCATAGTTTTCCTCTCATACTTTCTTCTTGGCTACCACCACACCTGAAGGACTTAAGACAGTCATACAGAATTAAGCTTTAGAGTGGCTAGAGAAGGCACATTTAATTAGAAGCCAGGGTTCCATAACTGTCCAGTATGGGCCTAGCACTGCTAGGCACTTTATATATACCATCTTACAGGCTCTCCCAACACCAGATGACAGATGTCAGGTCTCTAGGTTTAGAATGGTTAACTAACTTTCCCAAGGTCACATGGCTATTTAGTGATGGAACTTGAATTAGAATTCAGGACAGGTTCAAAGCTCTTTCTCCTTGTGATGGTTAATTTTATGCATCAACTTGACTGGGCCACAGGGTGCCTAGATCAGCTCTCGTGGGTCTGTAGCTTACTAGGTGAAGATCATGGGACTTCTCAGTCTTCATAATTGTGTAAGTTAATTTCTTATATAAATCTTTTTCTGTCTTTGTACAAATATGTCTATTTTTCTTGTTTCTCTGGAGAACCCTGACCACCACACCCCCTTACAGGTCACAGCTGTATTATTGTTCTCATTCCACATTTGATTGTGTGTCAGTCACTTTGATTTCTGTCCATCTTTTTGCTCCATTTATAAGAATTATTTGAGAGTCATCATAAATGGAAACTAATTGTAACGAAAAGAAAAAGTTTTGAAATCTCAGGTAAATTTATTAATTTATGTAAACTTAGAACACTGCCAGAGATATGCCAATAAATAAGTTTGCTTTTAAAATTATTATTATTTTTGTTACCTTTGTACCATTGCAAGCACAATGTTTTGCAAAGACAAGGTATTCAATACATATTTGTTAAATAAATGAGAAACAATTTGAGGACCTAATTATTACTGGGGCACGTTTCCTTTCATTTAGTTAAAATCTCCGCCATCATCTCTGTAATATAGGGAAAAAAGCCTTTATATGGTAGTATCTTTAAGTTTACAAAACTCACATTATTCATTCCCTAAAAATAGTCTTCAGTTGCAGTTTGCCTCTTGCCACATTTAGATAGGTTTCCCACATCACACAATGTTATAGCAACTTTGTGGCTTCCTATTTTCATTGTACAGACTTCCCAATGATTTTGGAATCCAAATCTTATGTCAATATTTTCATACATGAGTATGGATAGAACATATCATTTCAATAGAGATTAAGAATAATTCAGTGGAGAAAAACTTGGCTTAGGAGTCAGAAAGTGGAGTATGTGTGTTTGAGTCCCAATTCCACAACTTTCTAATTATGTTGTTAACCTGAAAAACAGGAATGACAACATCTGCTCCATGGGCTGATTGTGAGGGAAGAATGGGTTAGTTATGAAAAAAAGACTTTGTTAACTGTAAAGCATTGTATTAATATAAATATTAATAATTCAAATATCCATGTAATTTTCTGAAATACATGTAGAATATGTTGCATTAAACATCAAAGTTATTCATAACAACTGCTAGAAATGACCACTGCCATGCATTGTGGCTTCCCCGAATGTCTTAAAATTTAGCTCTTACAATTAATAACTATATAATACTCCATGTGATATTTTCTTTAACTAGTTTTAAATCTCTAGAAGTATTAGCATGTACACTTACTAAAAGACAATTCCACACGCTAGAATGGGATGATTTTTAGTTTAGAAAATACGGTGGCCAAAGATTTCTGGTTCCTAAAATACATTCTGAGAATTTCTTTGTTACCCAATTTTACCTTGCCAAAGCCATGAATCATGTTATCTTGTTGCTAATATGTTGACAAATTGGTTGAAAGATATGTTGATCATTTGCAAAATTTAGAACTTTGATGAAGAACAAATGGGTTTACATATCGAATCTAATTTGTCTTAGTGAAATTGATTGAATGGATTTTTATGTCAAATACAGAGATTTTTTAAAAAAATAGCACAGATCCATTGGTTGATGCTTTTCATACACACTCATATGACCAAATTTCAGCTGAGAAAAACATTCTATCTGAAACGGACTGGTTTTATAAATCTTTGAAACCAGCACAGAGTTAATAACTGAACTCCTCTTGGCTTCATTTAAAAGATCTTAAAGTATTTCTCACAATAAACACACACTGCTGCTTTATAAAGGGCTTGTTTACCACTATGATTTCTTGTAAAAGCAGCAAAGTGTTTTATTCAGAACAACCAAGCCACATAATATCCTAATTTTTCCATTTTGTTTCCATTTAAAAATTTAATAGCTGCATAGGAGCAATTATAAGTTTTCCCTTTTCTCCATAACCCCGCCAGCATCTGTTGTTTTTTGACCTTTTAATCATAGCCATTCTGACTGGTGTGAGATGATATCTCAGTGTGGTTTTGATTTGCATTTCTCTAATGATTAGTGATGTTGAGCATTTTTTCTATGCTTGTTGGGCATGTGTATGTCAGATTAAGCTGAATTTTTATGTGGGGAATAGTGGTTCAAATAAATTTGAAATTTTTTAACTTTCTACCTGCTTCTCTGGGTAAAAGCATCTGTGGTCTTTATAAAATTGTAATGGAATGCGTTGATTTGTACATCTGCGTAATAAAGAAAATGCACATCAGACTATGCTTTCACATAAATGATAACAGTTTTCAGGAACAAACCTAGTCTTTTTGGACTTGGGCGAGATGAACCATGGATAATAGCCATGGATAATAGGATCCTATTAAATATGCTTGATACAGTGCTTGGGACAAAGTAAGAGCTTGCCAAATGTTAGTTCCTCCCTTTGCCCATTTTCTCCTGCTTTTTGAAAATTGAATCTCATATTTTTCTTCTATGTATGGTTAACAGTCATTTAAATTATCATTAACATTTATTTTTTGCTCAGAGCATTTATGTGAAACTGGGGTCAAAAAATTTGCCTTATTTCACAACACCTTCTAGTTTCTTCTGAGATGGCTTTGTTTTCATATTACACACTTCTGCTACCTCTGGCATGGATTGAGTTTACAGACATTCTTCCAGCACATTGAAGAAAATATCGAAGTTTAAAATAAAATATGTTACTATGTATATAGTTAAAAAGCACTAAAAGTCCATTTTAGTCAGTCTTTTTTACTCAAAATACAAAATCAAATTTAAAGCTTCCCTGGATGTAAAAGAGGAACTAATGGTTTTAGGATACTTTTGTTTTACATTTCCCCTTAAAAACAGAACCAACAACTTTAAAAATGGAGTGAAGATGACTGAACTAGTAAAGTTAATACATCTGATTTATTATGGAGGTGAAGAGTAAAATTGGTTCTGAATTTTGTGACTCAACACCTAACTGAGTAATCCATTATGGTTAAAAATATCCTATGATAGAACACCCAACTCTTATATCTAGAACAACATGCAGCCCAGGGCAGCTGAATGTTGTTGAAAAAACTACACAACTGTGCATAATTTAAAATTTATGATCACTGATCTCAAATGGACCAACAAGTCTGACATTTGTCTAATAAATGTACTTTTGTATTCTCACATGACTATTTTACATTTTCTTCTCTCTCCTCAAATCTCCCACGTTCTTTTCCTTTCTCTCTCAGCTGATGAATTCATCTCATGCTTCACTGAGAAAGAAGAGGCAATCAGATGAGAATTACATCATCTTTCCAATGGCAAATATGTCAACTTATCAGCATCTGTGCCTATGTATCATAGTCTCTCTCCTGTGACAGTGGAAAATTGTCCCTGCTCTTATCTCAACTCTCGTCCTCCACTTGGGTCCCATCCTGTCTCACCTACATGAAGACAAGCCAGAAATTAATGCTCTCTTTCTTTTCGTAGAATTCTCTCTCTCTCTTCTCATTCTCATGACTTTCCTCATATCTCTTCTCTCCCGTATCATGAAACTTCTCAAAATGTCTGCATTTGTTGTCTCTTCAGTAGCTTCCTATTTCCTTCTCAACTCTATTTAGTTTTCATTCTCACTACTCCACTGAAATGATTACTGATGTGTTCTACATTCTCACTTGTTTATCTAATAGATATCTCAAACACATCCACATATATTTCCTTATATATTAACATATTCAAATATATTTCCTTATGTCCCCCATGTGAAACATGTTGCTTAAATGCTGCTTAGCTACTCTAGTGAGGTTTTATTTTAAATTGAGTTGTAATTTATAAACAGTTACATGTACAAATATTAACTATATAGTTTGATATTTACCTTCACATATGCATTTGTAAGCACCTTCTAGTCCAAGATGCAGAACACTGTTATCCACCTGGAAAGTGCCCTCATGCCTCTTTTCCTGTCAATATTTCTACATGTACTATTTTGTGACTTCTGTCATGATGCGCTAACCTTGTCTTGAGCATTATATAAATTGAATAATACAATGTCTACTCTGTGTACCAGGTATAATTCATTGAAAATAGTTTTTTGTTTTGTTTTATTTTGCTTTGTTTTTAGCTGAAGAAGCTTTTAGGAATCCAAATCCCGAACAGGTGGGAATGAACTGGAAGATGGAAATATAAAATGCAAAGTTTTTACACTGTTGGGGGGAATATAAATTAGTTTAAACATTGTGGAAGACAGTATGGCGAGTCCTCAAGGATCTAGAACCAGAAATACCATTTGACCCAGCAATCCCATTACTGGGTATATACCCAAAGGAATATAAATCATTCTAATACGAAGACACATGCACACGTATGTTTATTGCGGCACTATTCACAATAGCAAAGTCATGGAACCAACCCAAATACCCATCAATGATAGACTGGATAAACAAAATGTGGCACATGTACACCATGGACTACTATGCAGCCGTAAACAGGAATGAAATCATATCCTTTGCAGGGACACGGATGAAGGTGGAAACCATCATCCTCAACAAACTAACACAGGAACAGAAAACCAAACACCACATGTTCTCACTCATAAGTGGGAGTTGAACACTGAGAACACATGGACCCAGGGAGGGGAACATCACACACCAGGGCCTGTTGGGGGGTCGGGGGTGAGGGTAGGAAACTTAGAGCACAGGTCAGTAGGTGCAGCAAACCACCATGGAACAGGCATACCTATGTAACAAACCTGTACGTTCTGCACATGTATCCCAGAACTTAGAGTAAAATTTTAAAAAATGCAAAGTTACTGGCTTCTTCATGGAGACAACTGTTTTTGTGGTTTGCTGTTTTGTTAGAGTGCGGATTCTATCCACCAACTATTGAGTTCATCTTCAAGAAGCAAGTACATGATATGACATATCTGGATTTCAGGCTTGGAACTTTGAATTAAAAACATTTTTAATTATCCATCTAAATTTAAAAGAAAGATAATTTCAAATCAGTGCTTTCTTACCTTGCTTCATTATTTTATGTCTTAAGTCTAATTACTTCAATATCTGATAACAGCATCATCTACTTTGGTCATTAGGATTCCTCAATAAAAAAGAGATTGTATGTTTTTTTATTTTGTTATTTTTTATTATTATTATACTTTAAGTTTTAGGGTACATGTGCACAATGTGCAGGTTAGTTACATATGTATACATGTGCCATACTGGTGTGCTGCACCCATTAACTCATCATTTAGCATTAGGTTTATCTCCTAAGAGATTGTATTTTTGACTTGGCTATTAAAATAATTAAAATTAGCCATTTCTTTGAAAAAAATAGTATTTTTGAAATTTATCCTCACTAATGCATGTATCAATGGTTCCTTCTTAATGCTAGTAGAATTCTATCACATGAATGTACCACCATTTGTTTATATCTTTTCCTCTTGGTGGACATTTTTCTATTTAATTTATTTCTAATGTTTGTCATTTTCTTTTTTAATTTGCTCCTTTTTTTAGCTTCTTGAGAATAAAGTTTTTATCATTAAATCTATACATTTCTCCTTTTTAAATTTTGCATTTAAAGAGAAAATTTTCTCTAAATCAATGGTTAAACTGTATCTCACAAATTTTGATATGTTACATTTTCATTATCTTTCAGTTCCTTGTGATTTTCAATTTAACTCTTGGGTTATTTAGAACTGTGTTACTTGATTTCCAAATGTTTTGGGATTTTCTGTTTGTCTTCTGTCATTGATTTCTAGTTTAATTATTGTGGTTAGAGAACATACTCTGTATGATTTTAGTGCTTTGAAATTTATTGAGAATGGCTGTATGTCCCAGCATATAGTCTGTTTTGGTTACTATCCCATGTTCACTTGAAAATAATCCTACAGTTGTTGGGTAAGATCGTGTGTAAATGTCAAGGTCGAGTTGGTAAATAGTGTTGTTCAATCTGCCCTCACCTTCTCCAGTTTCCCTGATTTTTTCTGATTTTTTTTTTTGTTGGCTCTCTCTACACATTACAGAATGACCTATATTAAAATTATGATTATAAGCTTGTCTATTTCTCCTTTTGGTTCTTTTGGTTCTGTCCATTTTCCCTTCATTTATTTTAATTCATATTGTAAGTAATACATGTAGGATTTTTATGTCTTTCTGGTGAATTAGACCATTTATCCATATGAAATGCCCATTTTTTCCTCTAGAAATATTTTTTGTCCTCGTATCTCATTTGATTGATATTAATATTTCCACATCAGTTTTCTTATGGTTAGCACCTGTACGATGTAGTTTTTCTTTTACTTTTAACTATTTGTATCTTTATGTTTAAAATATATCTCTCGAAATAGCAAATAATTGGTCTCTTTTTTAAAAATTCCATGACAATATCAATTTTTAAAATTAGTGTTTATCTATATTTTATGTAATTACTGATACAAATTTAACTAATTTACTATTTTAAAACATTTGCTCCCTTCATTCTTTTTTCTTTTATTCTTTTCTCTTTCGAATTAACAGGTTTTTTCCCATTCCATTTTATTTTTTCCTGTCTTTTTAGTTACAACTCTTTGCATTACTTTTTTTAGTGTTCACTCTAACTGGTGAAACTCCCCAATATGGTAGCCACTAGAAAAATGGGGCTGCTTAAATTTAAATTTACATCAATCAAAAATTAAATAACTGCACAAATTTAGTTTCTAGTTGTGGATTTTCTCTCTCTCCCTCTCTCTCTCTCTCTCTCTCTCTCTCTCTCTCTCTCTCTCTCTCCCTCTCTCTCTCTCTCTATATATATATATATATACACACACACATATGCATATATACTTACTTATTTGTTATATGTAGGATCATAACCTCCTGCAATGGGATATGTGATAGCAGACACCAATTGCAAAAAAAAACAATCTTAATGCTCATCCCTGAGCCTAGTGTCAATCCTTTCAAACTGGAAGTGGATAAAATCTATCCTCACCTTCTCCAGTTTCCCTTTCTGCTCTTCCTCCCCTGGTTTCCCCTGTGAACTCCTCTTCTAGATGTCACAAAGGATGAATTTCGTCAGGGTGTGGTCCTATGCCCTCTTCTCTCCTCACTGTACATTTCCTGGGTGCTCTTACTTAGCCCTACAGGAAGACTGTGTCTTATATTAACTTAACCTGGAGGCTGTTTGTCCAGGGTCTACTGTCTATTGGACAGAATCACCTGAATGTCTTACTATCAACATATTCCCAAATAAAAAAATTACCTGCTGTGTGATCCTTCTTTTGTAGTCCTCTTCTTGGATTGGTGGTATCAACTTTACCTCACTCCAGTATGCAATGATTTACTAACTCTTAGTACTTATACTTCTAAAATATTTGAAAATGTGTTCTATTATGTCCAGGGCTCACAATATCACATAAGATGATGAGACAACATCTTAAATAAATAAATGTCATTTGAAGTTCCAAGGAACTTTTTTCTCAAATGCATTTTTTAAGATACTTTTCCCAAAGTTGTTCTAGAATGCAAATCTAATCATGTTTTTTTCTCTGTAAATAAATACACAAATTACAACAACAAAAAGCCTTTGTTTGTGTCTCATTTCCTATAGGATAACACTACTACCGCCATTACTACAATTTCACTGCTAGTTTTCTTTTGGCTACCCGTAATACTACAATTACTGCTACTGCTACTATGATTTCTAACTTCCATTTATTGAGCATGTACTATCTACTGGGCAATGACTACTTTATGTAATATACCACTTAAAAACAAGAACTTTAGTTTAGACACATCTATGTTTTAATCATACTGCAGCCATTTAATAGAAAATTATTTAATCTCAGTTTCCTCAACTGTAAAATGTGGATAATAATAATATCTAAGGTATAACATTATTCTCTGAGAATTGAATGAGATAATCATGTAAAGCACATGACATTATATAGTAAGTGGTCAATACATAGTAGCTATAGTATTAATATTATAACAATTGTTATAAACACATTATCTATCATTTCTAGCTCAATCCTGAGTCTTATCCTCAACTTGACAAGCAAATAAATTAGGGTTCAGAGATATTAAGTGTAGAGATGTTAAGTCCAAGTTCATACAGCTAAGTAGCCCAGCTAGCATACAAAACCATGATCTTTTCACTGTCCCTTCATGCCATATTTGTACATTTCAAAAAGCTGGTTGTACCTAATTTCCCAGGATCACCTTTTCTGCTTTTTCTCTAATCCTCTCTTCTTGACCCAATGAACCAATTCTTGTCTGTCCTCACAGCAGATCCCTCAGTATCCCTGAATATGTGATGACATTTCCCTCCCACATTCCTTGCCCCCTCTCCTCCAGCTTTGTCCTTCCCCAGGCTCAGTGCTTGTGACATCTCCTCTGCCAAGCTGTTCTAGCATCTGCCTGCTGCCTGCTCTCTCTTCACCTCCCACTACCGCACCTCTTTAAACTTACATGCACGTCAGACTGTTATTCATTTATTTGCTTATCTTTCCAGTTCGCTGAGTTTCTCTAGGACACGAAGTTTGGATTTACTAATTGGCAAATTCCTAGGCCTATAATTAGTATTTACTGTGTGTTTCCTTAAATAAATAACAAATGAATAAATGAAAAAACGAATGAGTGAAAAATATGTTTAAAGGCATTTGAAGTTGAGAGAAGAAATCAGAGTTAGGAAGGGAAGTATCTCATCTTTCCTTTCTGTTTCCTGTGCTAAAGTTATGCATCCTCTGGGCTTGGTTGTTTAGTGAGCCTTCTGTGATTATCAGCAGTCAGGCAGTGCTAGTACTACAGGTTACACAGGACTACTTTAGCCTTTGTTTCTAAGTGATTACTTAGGTGACTTGAAGGAAGTTGGGATAGACTTCCTGGCTTGACCTTACTTGGATTTTATTATATTTTTCCAGCTGACTGCATGGAAACCAGTTGTAAAAGGCAGAGAATTACCAGAGAATACCTGGGCTGAATGCACCATATACCCTTCAAGTGATTAGGGTCTAAAAACCTCTGGGATGTGTGTGGGGTTTTTTTTTTTTTTTTGGTTTGTTTTCTGTCCTGGGCAGACACTGAAGTATTTTCCAGACTAGAGAAAAGGGACACGCAAAAGAGAAACACTGGGCCATGAGACACAGGACGGTTTCAGACAACGATAAAAGAAAAATATGTCAAGGGAAAATCTATAAAGCTATCAACATGAATAACACAGTAGATATCAGAGCATATAACTGAGGACAACTCAGTACCATGATATGGAAATCATGTGCATAAAGACAAACCATGTGAAGGAAACTAAAGAAAAATTAAACTGTATAACACAATAAGAAAGTTAGATTTCCAGAAGTGACAAAACATGAGCAATTTAATTTGAACAGTTTGTGCAAGTAAGCTTGTGCCTGCAGCACTGTGGTATATAAAAAGAAATTTGGAAGTGTTATTATGCCCACTACTCTTATTCTTTGGATGGTAATTACCAGACAAACCAAAAAGAAAGGGGTTGATATTTTTAAATCCCTACTATGTGGCAAGCAATTTACATAAAATATCTAATTGGGTCTTTTCAACAATTTATGAGATACATATTATTATTCCCATTTGCTCAGGGAGGTCAAAAAGTGTGACTAAGGTACATGGTGCAGTAGCAGAGTCAGAATTCAAACCAGCATTTACAACTTGGCTGTTTGGTGCAAGATGTCTAGCTGTTGGTCTGTCTTGGCTGAAAATTTTTTTTGTCATATTGACACAAACTCTTTATTAGCAATAAATAAATAAACTTTTTTTGCAACAAAGAGAATTTTTTTCACATAAGAATAGAAGGTGGCTGTGCAAAATGGGTACCTACAACCTGCCACATAATGTAAGAAAAATCCCAACAATTAACAATTCATTTTTTCAATAGCGTATTAATCACAGAACAATTAAACAGCTAGGTAAAAAAAAAAACCCTACCTATATATTAGAAATACATTTCAAGTCACCCATAGTTTCAACATACTTTAAAATGGATAGAAAAAATTTTAACTGGCTTTACAAAACAGTACCTATTTAACTAACTCATGTACCATTGCTTAAAAAGTATACGCAGAATTCTAACCTCAATATTTCCTTGCAAATCGGCCTTTAAATTTTTATCTTGTTATATTTTTTAGGGACAAGGTCTTGCTCTATTACCACTGTAGTGTAGTGGAATGATCATAGTTCACTGCAGCCTCAAATTCTTGGCCTCAAGTGATCCTCCCAACTCAGGCTGGCTAATTTTTAAGTTTTTTTGTAGAGACAAGGTCTTTTTTTTTATATATATACTTTAAGTTTTAGGGTACCTGTGCACAACGTGCAGGTTTCTTACGTAAGTATATGCGTGCTATGTTGGTGTGCTGCACCCATTAACTCGTCATTTAACATTAGGTATATCTCCTAATGCTATCCCTCCCCCCTCCCCCCACCACACAAGAGGCCCCGGTGTGTGCTGTTCCCCTTCCTGTGTCCACGTGTTCTCATTGTTCAATTCCCACCTATGAGTGAGAACGTGCGGTGTTTGGTTATTTGTCCTTGCGATAGTTTGCTGAGAATGATGGTTTCCAGCTTCATCCATGTCCCTACAAAGGACATGAACTCATCATTTTTTATGGCTGCATAGTATTCCATGGTGTATATGTGCCACATTTTCTTAATCGAGTCTATCATTGTTAGACATTTGGGTTGGTTCCAAGTCTTTGCTATTGTGAATAGTGCCACAATAAACACACATGTGCATGTGTCTTTATAGCAGCATGATTTATAATCCTTTGGGTATACACCCAGTAATGGGATGGCTGGGTCAAATGGTATTTCTAGTTCTAGATCCCTGAGGAATCGCCACACTGACTTCCACAATGGTTGAACTAGTTTACAGTCCCACCAACAGTGTAAAGGTGTTCCTATTTCTCCACATCCTCTCCAGCACCTGTTGTTTCCTGACTTTTTAATGATCGCCATTCTAACTGGTGTGAGATGGTATCTCATTGTGGTTTTGATTTGCATTTCTCTGATGGCCAGTGATGATGAGCATTTTTTCATGTGTCTGTTGGCTGCATAAATGTCTTCTTTTGAGAAGTGTCTGTTCATATCCTTCACCCACTTGTTGATGGGGTTGTTTGTTTTTTTCTTGTAAATTTGTTTGAGTTCATTGTAGATTCTGGATATTAGCCCTTTGTCAGATGAGTAGGTTGCAAACATTTTCTCCCATTCTGTAGGTTGCCTGTTCAGTCTGATGGTAGTTTCTTTTGCTGTGCAGAAGCTCTTTAGTTTAATTAGATCCCATTTGTCAATTTTAGCTTTTGTTGCCATTGCTTTTGGTGTTTTAGACATGAAGTCCTTGCCCATGCCTATGTCCTGAATGGTATTGCCTAGGTTTTCTTCTAGAGTTTTTATGGTTTTAGGTCTAACATTTTAAGTCTTCAATCCATCTTGAATTAATTTTTGTATAAGGTGTAAGGAAGGGATCCAGTTTCAGCTTTCTACATATGGCTAGCCAGTTTTCCCAGCATCATTTATTAAATAGGAAATCCTTTCCCCATTTCTTGTTTTTGTCAGGTTTGTCAAAGATCAGATAGTTGTAGATATGTGGCATTATTTCTGAGGCCTCTGTTCTGTTCCATTGGTCTATACCTCTGTTTTGGTACCAGTAACATGCTGTTTTGGTTACTGTAGCCTTGTAGTATAGTTTGAAGTCGGGTAGCATGATTCCTCCAACTTTGTTCTTTATGCTTAGGATTGACTTGGCAATGTGGGCTCTTTTTTGGTTCCATATGAACTTTAAAGTAGTTTTCTCCAATTCTGTGAAGAAAGTCATTGGTAGCTTGATGGGGATGGCATTGAATCTATAAATTACCTTGGGCAGTATGGCCATTTTCACGATATTGATTCTTCCTACCCATGAGCATGGAATGTTCTTCTATTTGTTAGTATCCTCTTTTATTTCATTGAGCAGTGGTTTGTAGTTCTCCTTGAAGAGGTCCTTTACATCCCCTGTAAGTTGGATTCCTAGGTATTTTATTCTCTTTGAAGCAATTGTGAATGGGAGTTCACTCATGATTTGGCTCTCTGTTTGTCTGTTATTGGTGTATAAGAATGCTTGTGATTTTTGCACATTGATTTTGTATCCTGAGACTTTGCTGAAGTTGCCTATCAGCTTAAGGAGATTTTGGGCTCAGATGATGGGGTTTTCTAGATATACAATCATGTCATCTGCAAACTGGGACAATTTGACTTCCTCTTTTCCTGCCTTTTTTTGTTTTCCATTTGCTTGGTAGATCTTCCTCCATCCCTTTATTTTGAGCCATGTGTGTCTCTGCACGTGAGGTGGGTTTCCTGAATACAGCACACTGATGGTTCTTGACTCTATCCAATTTGCCAGACTGTGTCTTTTAACTGGAGCATTTAGCCCATTTCCATTTAAGGTTAATATTGTTATCAGTGAATTTGATCCTGTCATTATGATGTTAGCTGGTTGTTTTGCTCGTTAGTTGATGCAGTTTCTTCCTAGCCTCGATGGTCTTTACAATTTGGCATGATTTTGCAGTGGCTGGTACCGGTTGTTCCTTTCCATGTTTAGTGCTTCCTTCAGGAGCTCTTTTAGGGCAGGCCTGGTGGTGACAGAGTCTCTCAGCATTTGCTTGTCTGTAAAGGATTTTATTTCTCCTTCACTTATGAAGCTTAATTTGGCTGGATATGAAATTCTGGGTTGAAAATTCTTTTCTTTAAGAATGTTGAATATTGGCCCCCACTCTCTTCTGGCTTGGAGAGTTTCTGCCGAAAGATCAGCTGTTAGTCTGATGGGCTTCCCTTTGTGGGTAACCCGACCTTTCTGTCTGGCTTCCCTTAACATTTTTTCCTTCATTTCAACTTTGGTGAATCTGACAATTATGTGTCTTGGAGTTGCTCTTCTCGAGGAGTATCTTTGTGGCATTCTCTTTATTTCCTGAATTAGAATGTTGGCCTGCCTTGCTAGATTGGGGAAGTTCTCCTGGATAATATCCTGCAGAGTGTTTTCCAACTTGGTTCCATTCTCCCCGTCACTTTCAGGTACACCGATCAGACGTAGATTTGGTCTTTTCACATAGTCCCATATTTCTTGGAGGCTTTGTTTGTTTCTTTTTATTCTTTTTTCTCTAAACTTCTCTTCTTGCTTCATTTCATTCATTTGATCTTCCATCAGTGATACCTCTTCTTCCAGTTGATCGAATCGGCTACTGAAGCTTTTGCATTCATCTTGTAGTTCTCATGCCGTGGTTTTCAACTCCATCAGGTCCTTTAAGGATTCTCTGCATTGTTTGTTCTAGTTAGCCATTCATCTAATCTTTTTTCAAGATTTTTAACTTCTTTGCCATGGGTTCAAACTTCCTCCTTTAGCTCAGAATAGTTTGGTCGTCTGAAGCCTTCTTCTCTCAACTTGTCAAAGTCATTCTCTGTCTAGCTTTGTTCCATTGCTGGTGAGGAGCTGCATTCCTTTGGAGGACGAGAGGTGCTCTGATTTTTAGAGTTTCCAGTTTTTCTGCTCTGTTTTTTCCCCATCTTTGTGGTTTTATCTACCTTTGGTCTTTGATGATGGTGACTTACAGATGGGGTTTTGGTGTGGACGTCCTTTCTGTTTGTTAGTTTTCCTTCTAACAGTCAGAACTCGCAGCTGCAGGTCTGTTGGAGTTTGCTGAAAGTCCACTCCAGACCTTGTTTGCCTGGGTATCAGCAGTGGAGGCTGCAGAACAGCGGATATTGGTGAGCAGCAAATGTTGCTGCCTGATCATTCCTCTGGAAGTTTTGTCTCAGAGGAGTACCCGGCCGTGTGAGGTGTCAGTCTGCCCCTCCTAGGGGGTGCCTCCCAGTTAGGCTACTTGGGGGTCAGGGACCCACTTGAGGCAGTCTGTCCGTTCTCAGATCTCAAGCTGCGTGCCGGGAGAACCACTACTCTCTTCAAAGCTGTCAGAGAGGGACATTTAAGTCTGCAGAGGTTTCTACTGCCTTTTGTTTGGCTATGCCCTGCTCCCAGAGGTGGAGTCTACAGAGGCAGGCAGGCCTCCTTGAGTTGTGGTGGGCTCCACCCAGTTAGAGCTTCCCAGTCACTTTGTTTACCTACTCAAGCCTCGGCAATGGCGGGCACCGCTCCCCTAGCCTCGCTGCCGCCTTGCAGTTTGATCTCAGACTGCTCTGCTAGCAGTGAGCGAGGCTCCGTGGGCATAGGACCTTCTGAGCCATGCGCGGGATATAATCTCCTGGTGTGCTGTTTGCTAAGACCGTTGGAAAAGTGCAGTATTAGGGTGGGAGTGATCTGATTTTCCTGGTGCCGTCTGTCACCCCTTTCTTTGACTAGGAAAGGGAATTCCCTGACCCCTTGCACTTCCTGGGTGAGGCGATGCCTTGCCCTGCTTCGGCTCACGCTTGGTGCACTGCACCCACTGTCCTGCACCCACTTTCTGACACTCCCCAGTGAGATGAACCTGGTGCCTCAGTTGGAAATGCAGAAATCACCCATCTTCTGCGTCACTCACGCTGGGAGCTGTAGACTGGAGCTGTTCCTATTTGGCCATCTTGGCAGTTTCTTCGAGACAAAGTCTTGCTATGTTGCCCAGACTGGCCTTGAACTCCTAGCCTCAAGTGATTCTCCCGCCTTGGCCTCCCAACCCTTGGCCTCCCCTCCCAAAGCACTGAGATGACAGGTGTGAGCCACCAAGCTTGGCCTGTGTCAGTTTTTGACATGCCTTTCTCACTAAGCTCAATCATTTCTAGTTTTTGTTTTAAAGTGAGAGATGTGTGACCATTTCATTTGAACACTTAGTGGCCATTGTAGGATTATTAGTTGGCCAAATGTCAATATTGTTGTATCTCAGGGAATAGAGAGGCCTGAAGAGAGGGAGAGAGATGAGGGGTAATGGCAGGTTGGTGAAGCAGTCAGAACACACACAATTATGGATTAAGTTCACTGTGTTATAGGGGAATGGTTCATGGTGACCCAATTGCAGATCACCATAACAGATATAATAATAATGAAAAAGTTGGAAATATTGAGATAATTACCAAAATGTGACACAGAGGCACGAAGTGAGTGCGTGCTGTTGGAAAAGTGGTGCCAGTAGGCTTGTAAAGCATCATTGCCCTGCAAGGTTGCCACAAACCTTCAATTCATAAAAAGCGCAATATCTGCAAAGTGCAATAAAATGAGCTATGCTTGTACTTACAGAACAATTATTAACTGTCTCATATTTGATTTACATCTTTTTTCTACAAAGCAATATAAATTATGTTCAAGTCTTTTTTGTCTCTCTTCCACTCTCCCACTCCCTGACTTGCCTTCATTTATAAGAAAATACTAAATTTGGTGTGAATTACAGATGGCCAGCTGTTTGCTACAATTTCTGCTTGCATTTCATAGTTTAGAGTTGTCACTGGGAAATGGCTGTTCAGCCAGTGGCTACATTTCTAAACTCCTCTGTTTAGGTGTGGACTTCTATTTCTCACCAATGCAAATCACTTCTTGCCAAAGTTTTACCAAGCAGTTGTCCTCTCTCTACATTCTGTTTTTCTTTTCGTTGGCTGGATGTTTAAAGATTGGCCTCTGAATCCCTGAATCAATCATGGAGGAAGAGTATGTGATAATAAGGAAAACCTGCACTAGACAATTATGTGTGCAATAAATCAATTATTGGGTTAAGCCACAGAAATTTTAGTATTACTTCTTAATTACACTAACCACTCTAATTACTTAAGGACTCTAATTTCATTTTAATTTCCATAGATATGACTCAAATCCTATTTTTTACCTATATTTTCCTAATTAATTATTCTAATTAAGCAATATTTACTATTTTGCAGATATGTCCTAATTGTACTAATTAATCCAATGATAATTTAATTATTAATTTCTTAATTACCTTAATGATCCAATTATTATTACTTGAAGATGTTGGTCAATAAATTTTTATTTGTCCTTTTTAGAAAATGTACATGAAAAATATTACTCCTGATATGCAAATTATTTTTTCACAGATAAGTTTTCGTGTTGAAGGTATGTATTTATACATATGCAATTATAGCTGCAAAAAAATCATTTCTTTTAACTGCTGTATAGAATTCCATATTATGAATAAGTCACATCAATTGTCTACTTTCGATGCTCATTTAGGTTACCTTCATTTGTCCCTTCTATTTTGTTATTTTTAAGCACTGTTGTAATGATTAACTTTCTATAGTTTTCTTGAGCATGAATGCAAAAACCATGCTAGGATATATGCCTATATTTAGAACTGCTTTTAAAAGTTTTATGAGACAAACATTGACTTATGAGACAAATCTCCAAAATGGTTCTATCCATTTATATTTCTACGGTAACATATAGCATTCCCATTTCTCTGCTTTCTTGCCAACACTAAAGTTTTTGACAGTTTGATGATGAGAAATGATATCTTCCTGTTTGAATTTTCATTTTCCAAATAACTGATCATTTTGTCAGGTCATTTGGGTTTCCTCTGCTGATTATTACCTTTTCGTATCCTTTGTCCATTTTCTGTGGGATTATTTTTCTTTTTTAAGTTGATTTCTGGAGGTTTAAAAAATATTTTGTATACGAGTTTGGTTATCTTCTCCCTTGTTTGTTCTTCACTTTCAACTTTAGTTATATGTCTTTTGTTGAACATGCACTTTCAATTTTGATATAACCAATTTTTGATTCATCAAATGTGTAATTTTTCTTTTGTTTTGTATAATGCATGCTTCCTTATCATCAGTGTTAGAAATTTGTTCCATATATATATGGAATATATGTGTGTACGTATATGTATTTTATATATATATATGTATTTATATATATACACTCCTCTATTTCTAAGCTCCTCTACTATATTAAAATATATATATATATATATATTTTTTTTTTTTTTTGAGATGGAGTCTCCCTGTATCACCCACGCTGGAGTGCAGTGGCGTGATCTTTGCTCACTGCAACCTCCACCTCCCAGGTTCAGTGATTCTGATGCCTCAGCCTCCCAAGTAGCTGGGACTACAGGCACTTGTCACTATGCCTGGCTAAATTTTGTATTTTTAGTAGAGACTGGGTTTCACTATGTTGGCCAGGCTGATCTCGAACTCCTGGCCTCAGGTGATTCGCCTGCCTCTGCCTCCCAAAGTGCTGAGATTACAGGTGTAAGCCACTGCTCCTGGCCTAGTCCCTATATTTTCTTCTAATATTTAAAATTATTTATTTTACACATAGATATTAATCTAGCTGAGGCTTATTAAGATAGATATCTAATTTTATTTTTTCCATGCAGAAAACCAACAGTTCCAATATCACATATTAAATAATTTTCATTCCATCTCTGATTTGTGCCCTATGGGCACTTTCTAGCCATGTGACTTGGGCAAGTTACTTAATGTCTCTGTAAAATGAGAATAATAATAATAATAGTACTTTCCTCATAGTGTTATTATGAGTAATAAATTATATATAAGTAAAATTATATATAATTATATACAAATTATATATAAAAATTGATTATATATAAATTATGTATGTAAAACTGGGAGCAGTATCTGCCATGTGGTTAGCACTATATTAGCCATTATTGTATCATATCATATCAACAATCCTGTTTTTGGAAGTAAGCATTTAACTAAAAATCTTTAGATGAAGAATATGCATTTTTATAGGCAGTGCATATTTTCATGATTTATTAGTCCAAATAAGAGCCAATTACTTCAAGAGCCAGCCATTTTAAACTTTCCCTGATCATTAGAAGGAGCCGTATTTTGACATGGGTCATATACATGAACTCCACAAACATTTATTGTATACAGAAATACTGTAAATGTGACAATTTATTTGAAAAAATAATTATTGATGAAATATTCTTTAGCATGTATGGAAATGACAGTTGAAGTAATACTGAAATGCCCAGCCCTTCCATTTTGAAGCACCAGGAGGTACCAGAAATTAATTCTGAATTTGACACAATGATGGAAATTACAGATAAAAAGAGAGGACATATACATTTAATGACATATGGACAATAAGCAATGAAAACAATAATAGACATTAAACAACAGAAATGAAGGTTACAACAAAGGTGGAATATATGTAAAACTGGCAGAAGGATATAAAGAATATTAAACAAGGCTCCTAAGTAAATTGTCTTATCCTGGATCTCAGAAATTTAATAGGGGCAGAGGGAAGATTTGAACCCAGGTCTACCTGACTAAAATCTGAGCTCTTAACTGTAGTAAATCTCTTCTTTTATATAGAATGTGACAAATATGTGAGATGAAGAGAAAGAATAATTTAGGTTTGAATCCTGGCTGTGCTACTAATAGATCTGTGGCCTTGCCTAGTTTCCTTCTCACTAAATTGGGAACAATCATGACTACCTTCTATGGTTGTTGTGTGAGATGTTTGTGATGCTCCTGACACACCTAGGTGCCTAATCCATGTTAATTCCCTAATTCCTTTCCTAAGAAAACATGTTGCCTGCATGATTAGCAATTAGATTAAACCATCCTCAGCTTCTTTGTACAAGTTATTTCTACTGAAAACTTGGACTTATTTAATTCTGCACATTTTTAAGAATAAAAAATTGCAGTAAAAGAAAGTATGACTTTGTGACTTGGAGACATAAACAGCAGCCCAATGTTGAGCACATATAAGGATGCCCACATACATGCCTGGTTTTGTCCCTTCCAACTCAGTCCCAAGGCACTGTTTCCTTATAAAAACTTGTACCCAGATTATTAAAAATGCCAGGCTTGGAATGATTCAAACTTTAGCAAGTACTAAAGATTCTAGAATGACAAGAAAATGTCTTGGCATTATGAAATAATGTTATGTTTATGGCATAATTTAATTATAAGTACTAGTAAACAGATGAGGTACTAGTAAATGGATGAGAAAAGTGTTTGAAGAGGAGGTTTGCCACCGTCACCCAGGCCTTTGATAATATGACTTCTAAACTCATTTTCAGACAAGAGTAAACTTGGAGTGGATGACCTGAATTAAGGTCATGGGGAGCCCAATCAAGATATAGGGTGATCTAAGAGACGATATGGAGTACAAAGCCAGAAATACAGTCTGAATATTGTATTAATGTGAAGAAGCTAGACACGGAGACAGAATCTAGGTATAAGGAATGGGACAGAAATTGGTCATAGAAGATTAGTGCAAGAGGGTTCATGATGGGAGGGAAGAAGGGGAATAGGAAATGTATCCTGAAGCCCTGCAGTGTGTCCACCCTGAGCTCTGTGTGGCATGGAAATCATAAAAGAACCCAAGGTGCCTAAGACATGTATCACTACCAAGTAAAGTGCCTCCTGCGCATAGTGCTATAAGATGAGACAAGAACTTTCAACCTAATACCATTTCAATATGAAGAACTTGCAAAATGGAAGAAGGGAATGTTTTGCAAACTGCACCTGGAACAGTAAACCCACACTCTGAAATATATGCAGTTGTCAAAATGCCAGTAATGAGATCTTTACAGATGCTGTAGTGAAAAAATTCCAGAGCTTATTTTGATGTCAGTGATATTTTTAATGAGTTGGCCACATCACATTTTCATGTCAGAGTTGTAGTTTTCATGTCCAGCATGTGTCAGTTCACAGCTGGAACTTTTAAAGACATTGTTAGCAGCATGATGTCACTTTATAACCACAGCTTTTTCAGTTAAAACACAGTTTATTCATATTCAGTGTATACTTCTGTTTTTTATTTAGAAGCTCTCTGAATTAGAATTTTATATCTATATCTATCTATATGTGTGAAGATATATTTGTGTGTGTATAATCTTTAGTTAAATACTAAAAGAATGTCTGTCAATATATTTCACATGACCAGTTATACTAAAGAAGCAGAAAAGGATTTAATAGTTGATATGGTTTGGCTATGTCCCCACCCAAATCTCATCTTGAATTGTAGCTCCCATAATCCCCACATGTTGTAGAAGGGACCCAGAAGGAGGTAATTGAATCATGGTGGCAGGTTTTGCTCATGCTATTCTTACAATAGTGAATAAGTCTCATGAGATCTGACAGTTTTACAAAGGGCAGTTCTCCTGCACACGTCCTCTTACCTGACACCATGTAAGACGTGCCTTTGTTCCTCGTTCACCTTCCGTCATGATTGTGAGGCTTCCCCAGCCATGTGGAACTTTGAATCCATTAATCCACTTTTTCTTTATAAATTACCCAGCCTTGGGCATTTCTTCATAGCAGTATAAAAATGGACTAATACAGTAAATAGTACCAGTAGGGTGGGTTACTGCTATTAAGATACTGAAACTGTGGAAGTGATTTTGGAACTGGATAATAGGCAGACGTGGGAATAGTTTGAAGGGCTCAGAAGAAGACAGAAAAGTGTGGGAAAGTTTAGCACTTCCTAGAGACTTGGAGGACACAGAAGACAGGAAGATGTGACAGTTTTGAACTTCCTAGAGATTTGTTGAATGGCTTTGACTAAAATGCTGATAGTGATTATGACAATAAAATCCAGGCTGAGGTGGTCTCAGATGGAGATGAACTTGTTGGGAAACAGAGTAAAGGTCACTCTTGCTATGCAAATAGACTGGTGGCATTTTGCCCCTGCCCTAGAGATCTGTGGAACTTTGAACTTGACAGAGATGATTTGGGGTATCTGTTGGAAGAAATTTCTAAGTGGCAAAGCATTCAAGAGGTGACAGAGCATAAAAGTTTGGAAAATTTGCAGCCTGATGATGCAGTAGAAAAGAAAAACCAATTTTTCTTTTTTCAAGCCAGCTGTGGAAATTTGCTTAAGTAATGAGGAGCCAAATGCTAGTCACCAAGACAAGGGGGGAAATGTCTCCAGGGCATGTCGGAGGCCTTCCTGGCAGCCTCTCCCACTGCAGGCCTGGAAACCAAGGAGAAAGAATGGTTTCCCGGGCTGGGTCCAGAGCTCCCCTGCGCTATGCAGCCTCAGGACATGGCGTGCAGCCTCAGGACATGGCGCCCAGCCTCCCAGTTGCTTTAGCTCCAGCCATTGCTAAAAGGGGCCAACGTACAGATCAGGCCATTGCTTCAGAGGGTGCAAGCCCCAAGCCTTGGCAGCTTACACATGGTGTTGGGCCTATGGGTACACAGAAGTCAAGAATTGAGGTTTGGGAACCTCTGCCTAGATTTCAGAGGATGTATGGTGTATTAGTACGTTTTTACTTTGCTGATAAAGACATACCCGAGACTGGGAAGCAAAAGAGGTTTAATTGGACTTACAGTTCCACATGGCTTGGGAGGCCTCAGAATCATGGTGGGATGTGAAAGGTACTTCTTACATGGCAGCAGCAAGAGAAAAAAAATGAGAAGGAAGCAAAAGCAGAAACCCCTGATACATCCATCAGATCTTATGAGACTTATTCACTATCACAAGAATAGCATGGGAAAGACCAGCCCCCATGATTCAATTACCTCCCGCTGGGCCCCTCCCACAACACATGGGAATTCTGTGAGATACAATTCAAGCTGAGATTTGAATGGGGCCACAGCCAAACCACATCATATGGAAACTTAAATGTCTAGGGATAAGTTTGCTGCAGGGGCGGGGCCCTCATGGAGAACCTCTGCTAGAGCAGTGTGGAAGGGAAATGTGGGATTGGAGCCTCTACACAGAGTCCCCACTGGGGCACTGCCTAGTGGAGCTGTGAGAAGAGGGTCACTGTCCCCCAGACCCCAGAATGGTAGATCCACTGATAGCTTCCACCTTGCACCTGGAAAAGCCACAGACACTTAATGCCAGCCAATGAAAGCAGCCAGAAGTGGGGCTGTGCCCTGTAAAGCCACAGAGGCAGAGCTGCCCAAGGCCATGGAAGCCCACCTCTTGCATCAGTGTGACCAGGATGTGAGACATGGAGTCAAAGGAGATCATTTTGGAGCTTTAATATTTGACTGCCCCACTGGATTTTGGACTTGCATGGGGCCCATAGTCCCTTTATTTTGGCCAATTTCTCCCATTTGGAATGGGTGTGTTTACCTAATGCCTATACTCCCATTGTGTCTAGGAAGTAACTAACTTGCTTTTGATTTTACAGGCTCATAGGTGGAAGGGACTTGGCTTGTCTCAGATGAGACTTTGGACTGTGGAATTTTGAGTTAATGCTAAAATGAGTTAAAACTTTGGGGAACTGTTGGGAAGGCATGATTTGTTTTGAAATATGAAGACATGAGATTTGGAAGGGGTCAGGTGTGGAATGATATGGTTTGGCTGTGTCCCCACCCAACTCTCACCATGAATTATACTAATCCCCATGTGTCAAAAGCAGGGCCAGGTGGACATAATTGAATCATGGGGGCAGTTTACCCCTTACTGTTTTCATGGTAGTGAATATGTGTCATGAGATCTGATGGTTTTATAAACGGGGGTTCCCCTGCACAAGCATCCTTGTCTGCTGCCATGTAAGACATGCCTTCCTTCCCCTTCGCCTTCCACCATGATTGTGAGGCCATCCCAGCCATATGGAACTGTGAGTCCATTCAACCTCTTTTTCTTTATAAATTATCCAGTCTCGTATATGTCTTTATAAGCAGTGTGAGAACAGATTAATATAGTAGGAGAAATTTTTCCAAGAGTTGGGAGAAAATAGGCACCCTTAGAAACACAATGGAAGCAGATTTTTGTTAATGTGAGTTGAGTAAGTTTATAATTAGAGATAGAAAGTGAGGACTCTGATCTTCACCATGCAGGAACAACATGAACACATACAAGAGGAATCAGCAGGACGTGGACTATGCAAGAAGAAAAAGAATACAGGGGGCATCAGAACAGGCTGATCTTTCATCTGTAGCTGGTACTCCACTGTATATATTCCTAGTAGTCCATGTGTTAAATGATGTAGCTACTTAGCAAAGGTGTATATATTTCTTGTTTTAAAGTATGAGTCCAATCATCCTCACCTAATCTATTATTTTCATAAAAACCCTGGAAAACAAGTCTCCTACCCCAAGAAACAAATCTTATGTCAGGATATGCTGTACATTGTATATTCATAATCACGTATGTTTTCATTCAACCTATCCAGTCACAGCTTTCTGATAGCATTGAGTGGAAACTTCTGCGTGTCAGAAGCCTGAGAAAGAAAAAAAATTATATATAACTTTCCTATACCAAGGAGTGGGATGTGCCTCAGTAATCATGCTTCTTTTTCTGTTACATATGGAGGACCCTGGTGTCATTCCTGATTCTGTTCATTCCCTTGTAACTCATCACCTGACACTCTGTCACCAAGCTTCATAGGATCCACCTCAAAAACATAACCTAACTTGACCACTTCTGACTAATTCTGCAGTTACCATCCCCATCTGAGTGACCCCGTAGTGGCCCCTCAAATGGACTCCTGGATTCTGCATATGCCCTCATATTCTTTTCACCCTCAACAGCTGAAATAATCTTTTAAAAAGTAACATTCATATTGTATCATATTCCTCCTCCAAATTTTCTAGTGATTTTCCACTATAATTTGAGTATAACTCAAACTCCTTGCTGGAACCCAGAAGGCTCTTTATGTTTGGCCCCTGATTCTCTCCCCAGCTTGATCTCTTACCTCTCTCTCCCTGGCTCACAATTGTCCATCCACAAGGGTCTTCTCTCTGTCCCTTGACCATGACATGTTCCTTTCTTAGGATATTTGTACTCAAGAGTCTTCTCTGCTTGCAGTGTCCCCCTCTGATGCCTTTGCATGGCTGGCTGCTTCTCCACATTTACGTCTTAATGGAAATCTCACCTCTTCTGAAAATGTTTTTCCTATTACCCACATCTACAGACGCCAAAGACAGCACACCCACTCCTGTCTTCCAGTCAGTCTCTATTCCACTACACTGCTTTATCATCTGCATAGTAATGATTGCTATGTGGAACTGCATTATATCTGTGCATATGTTTGCAGATGTCTGTGTTTGTCATCTATCATCCCTCCCCACCCCATACACATGAGACATCATCTTTATGAGGGCAGCAACTTTATCTGTCTTCTTTCCCGCCACATCCCCAGTGCTTAGAATAGGGAACAGCACATAGTAGGAAGTGTCTGGCAGATACTAGCAGCTTAGTAAACTCTTGAGTGATGTGTAAAGCATATTTATATAGTAAGATAGAAAATTTAACTCCCAGAGGTTCTCTTTTGGGGAACAAATTGCTTGTATGGAAGGCATACTTTAATAAGTCATTGCTGTGCAGAACGAGACCCTAAAGGATTCTTAAGCAATAAAAATAGTTGTTTAGTTGTTCTACATGAGGCATAGAGAGGGATTCACTTTATTCCTGAAAGAGAGAAGGAGGTAAAGTGAGAAAAGGACAGAAAGAGAAAATTGAAAGCTAAATATTCCATAATAATGTTGATCTTTTAATGATTCCCATATATGCATCTTGTCATTGCAATATGTGTGCTAGGAATGGTTTTAACCCAGAGAAGAGTGAAGAGTTCTATTTGGCATCTGAAGCAACACAGTCTACCAGGACTAGGAGGCAGAAGAAACCATGAGTCAAGTCTCTGGAGAGCTAGTAAAATCTATGAAGAATGGATAGACTTTGCCAAGTCACAGAATTGGTAGAAACCTGAACATAGTACGTACTTCAAGCACCTAGAGGCAAAGGGCCTGAAATCATAACTAAATTCCATTTATGTTTCTCATATGCTGATTCGAACATTCACTAGTTGAATTCTCTGCTTTCAGTGGTTGAAAATGAATTCTTCCAGGGTCGGAGCTTGTAGGCAGGTGTCTATCTTTACAATGACACAATCTATTGCTATCTCTAATAGAAGACTGGTGTTCTTCCATATTTATAAGCCTGTCATACTTGTCTTTCAAGGTTGTTAAACCATGCGTTGGAGTCTTTTTTGAAAAAGCATATTTAAAAATTAATTTCTTTATTTCCAGAGTTTTCAACTTCAAAATATGTGTAACAAAATTGTAAATGTTAGAAAAGTCATCATTAGCCATAAAAATAATAAGCTCAAAGGTAGAAAAAAAACTAAATGTGTTTCAAAAGCCCTTCTTGATTATGAAGGATAGTGAATAAAAAGATATATACTTAAGTATTTTCTCACATACAATAGTGTCATTGTCCTCTCCAATTGTTTACTTTTTCTTTTCTACAGGATACAACAAATTTTATTTTTATGATACCATGACTTGGTTCTGCCCACTCATCATATTCATTTCCTATTTCTTCAGGAGTGGATATTTGTTTGGTTTTTTGTTTTCTTTTATTATGTTTTAATCTTTTTTCTTCTGCAAACAAACAAAACTCACACATATTAACTCTGCAAACTTGTAAATATTGTTGGCTTTTCTGAGGATTTTTGACTTTAGCAATACTATTTCACTGGACTTCAAGACTAGAGAATCAAGAGAGAAGAAAGAAAGGAAGAGTATGGAAAGTGACTCAGAGCTCCCAGTGTGCAGGCACTGTCCTCTTTCAGTCCTCTGCCAGGGTCCTTGCTCCAATAATGGTATTTTAGCTTCAGCACCAAAGAAACTCAGTTTATCTGTAAAATCACAAGCAATTATTCACCCTTGGCCATGGTTGAGTTAATCTAATGGATTTAAGAATTAATTATCTAGGTAGGAGTGTATGTGGGTGGTTTAAAATGTTTGTACATTTAAAGCTTTGTGCGCTTCTAAAGGGGACTGGAAAAAAACGCCTTTTCCTTTGTAAAAATCATGGAACGTGTACAGGCAGCTATCTTTATGAAGGTCAACTTCACAAGCACTTCTACATGAGTTGAAGTTTAATTGGGCAACTGTTGTTTCTAATTTTCCACAGGGTTGCTTTTAATCCTTCAGTATTTTTTTTCTGTTTTCCATTCTACTTTAGCACTATGCACAATGTAGGAGTAAATTTTTTTGTAATGGTGGAGTTGTTTCCTATATCACACCATCTGGGGTTTAAAGTAAGATTCCAAAGTAGAATAAAAAAGCATCTCCCAAGGTCAAGCTCCATGCTCCAATTTCAAGGCTTCTTTGGCCTGCCAATGACCTATGGCATATTAATGCCCTCTCTGCACCTCTGCATTTTTGTGGTGTCTCAGACCATCTACATGGACATCAGAAATGGACATTTCTTTTGTTCTTGAAACATGCAGGGCCTGGGGGAAATTCTGTAGTCTTCCCTCTTTTCTGTGCCCTATTCAGGAAAGGGACATGGATCTTATTTTCCTAAGTCTTCAGATCTGTCTAGGGTCCTATAACCTCTGACATCCCACTTTGACTTTCTCTGGGAAAGGCGTAGAGTCCCTGCAATTTTCTAAACTTTTTGTTTCCTCTCTGATTCTTTCCTTCCTTGTCAGATACACAACAGTTCAGGCATTTATCCTTGGTTGAAACCATCTTGTTTAGTTTTATGTTGACTTGTCTACTGTCAGTCTCTCATCACTAGAAACTAAAGTCCATGAGATCAAGACTTCTACCTCATTCACTTCAATATTCCCAGTGCCTAGAACAGTAGCTAGCACACAGCAGGCACTCCAAATATTTTTGAATAAATGAATGGATTAGGGGCCATTTTATTTAGTCGTAGATAGGATGACTTAAAGAGAACAAACCGGATCAATCAACTGACCAGATGAATTTAAGCAACGTTATCAAGTTCCTTTGACACTAGTTTTATTTCAGAGAGTGATGTAATGTAATTTCCATGGATACAGAGGGTACCAATCTCTTTTTGAAAAAGGAATATCCAAGTGACAGGAATATCCCAGAGTGAAAAGTGTTAGATGTGTGCCAGTGGGGGAAGGAAAGGAAGGACATTTAGGGGAAAACAACTGTGGTTATATTCAAAGATGAAATGTCTTAAGCCCTCAGTTATTACCCAGAGCAGGATTCTGAATCATGAGAAACTGTTCTCAGCTGAATATTCTGCTATAGCTAAGAAGGGCAACAAAACTGTAACCCTGATCAGAACCTTTACTGGAAAGTACACATAAACATGTGCAAATCTCCTTTCAAATAATGAAATAATGGCAAGTACAAGGAGTTGAGGTTAGGTTTAGTGGCTACTACTAGAAACTCCTTGGGCAACCTTGATTTCTGCAATTCAAGAAACTTATGATATTGTTGGATAGGGTCAAGAAAAGTGACAATTACAATTATCTCTTTGATTCAAGACAGTGTGCCTGAAGGGGTTGTTCAATGAAGACTGACTTCAAATATTAGGGTCTTTAGTGAAGAGAGTTGAGAGGAACCAAGAAAGACTAGGAAATATAAATAAAGCCAAAATAATGATAACAGAAAAAGGAAATGAAAATATATTAAGCACTAATGCTAAGCTAGTTGCTTATATAATCAAATTTAATATTCACAACAGCTTCATAAGCCAAGACACTATTATTGTCATTTCACAGAGGAAGACATTGGGACTAAGAAATGGTAAGCAATTTCCTAGACTCACACCCCAGATCTGACTTCAGAGCCTCTGTTCATTCCATTTTTAATGATTGATTCATCAAATCTTGTTATATCTGAACTAGTATATTTGCAGGACACCTTAAAATGAAGGAGAAATAAGTTTAGGACAAATAGATTAGAACTACTTCTAATGGCTATTAGTGTGATATGACTTGTGATGTAAATGAGCCAAAGATAATGCTATAGTTTGAATGTGTCCTCCAATTTCATGTGCTGGAAACTTAATCCCTAGTGCAACAGTTTTTAGAGGTGGCACCTTTAAGAGGTGATTAGGTTATGAAGGCTTTGCCCTCATGAGTGGATTAATGCTGTTATTTGGTTGGTTATCAAGGGGGTGTGTTCCTAATAAAAGGATGAGTTTGGCTTCCTTCTTTCTCTCTCTCTCTCTCACCATGTTATGACACAGCAACGAGGCTCTCACTATATGTGGACCCTCAATCGTGAACTTCCCAGCCTCCAGAATAATGAGGCAAATACATTTCTGTTCATTATAAATCACCCAGTCTGTAGTATTTTGTTATAGCAGCACAAATAGACTAAGACAGATAGCTTCTGTATATTGATCACTTGGCTATTTAATATTTCTTTAGTGCAGGCTGAGCAGCAGAGCAAATTCTAATATTTACACATCCAACTGTTTGAAACAAACACCAAATAGCACATTTTTAGCCATTTAGAGCCTGCCTGTTTCGAATATTCTGTGAAACTGTGCCCAATGTCTGCTAGCAAATTGTAAGATAAGCCTGGAGCCATAAAGACCGTAAGCTACAGTCCCTTTGGAACTCTGTATTTGGAGAGTCCCTGTTGTGCTGCTGACATTGCCTAGACACATAACCACCTATTTAATTTCCCTCTTCCTCTAGAGTTCCCTTGCTCTCCTCCCTTTGTGAGTAGTTATCAAGCTGTAGCCTCCAGATAGACTCCTGCTGTGAGGGACTTCCTCACCATGTAAATCCGTCAAAGTGAAGTGCTGCTCAGTAAAGATGTGTGTGCTACTGCCACCTCGTGGTCACATGTTTTTTCTTGATCAGCCCAGCCCGCAGATTTCTAGAACCCCCTACGTGAATGAAAATGTTTTTTAAAAAATGTCTTGATCTTGATTGATATCTGAGCCACTCCTGATTATTGGGGAAACTACACCATTTGGGAAGCTCCTTTATCTTAAGGAATTGATGTCAAGAAGACTAATCATACTCAAAAGCAGCTTTTAAAAAATAAAGTAAAATAGGTTACTTAAAGTTAAGCCTTCTCAGAAACTTTAATATGTGTATCCTTTCCATGGCTCTCAAAAGACCTCTAAACATTGACCTAAAGTATGTTTAATAAGAAATTATCTCTTATTATTATCAGAAAGTGGGTCTTAGTGTTGGAGACCAGAATATGCCACCCCAAAATATGCTTCTTTGGCTTAAGAATTATTTTGAGTTAATTCTTTGGAGAAACTATAGACACAGGAGAAGCTTAAAAACAGAGCAGAAGTTACCATTTGTAAGAGAAATTTACATCTATAAGGGAAATCTCCATTTGTAAGGGAGTTTCCTCTTTGCACTAGCAAGAGAAAGATGGCTCTAAATCACTAGACATTCTTACCTATGAAGAAGGCACTGACTTAAATCTGCCCAATGTAATAAATAAAGTTTCAGTGCCACAAAAGAAATGCACTCAAATATAAAATTTTCTTTTTAATTCTCAGCAAGGCAATGTGCTTCTATAGAAGGGTGCGCCCTTACAGATGGAGCAATGGTGAGCGCACACTTGGACAAGGGAGGGGAAGGGGTTCTTATCCCTGACACACATGGCCCCTGCTGCTGTGTTGTTCCTCTATTGGCTAGGGTTAGACCGCAGAGGCTAAACTAATTCCGACTGGCTAATTTAAAGAGAGTGACTGGGTAAGTTGTTTGGCGGGAAAAATGGTTATGGCAGAGCAGGAAATCAGAATGAGTCTGGGCGGAGAATGAGCAGGTAATTGGAATGAGTCAGGGTGGAGTAGGCAATCAGAATGAGTCAGAGTGGAGCAGGTAATCGGAATGAGTCAGAGTGGAGCAGGGAATTGGAATGAGTCGGGGTGGAACTGGTAATGGGAATGAGTTAGGGTGGAGCAGGTCATCGAAAAAGGTTGCTTTATGAGGAAGTTAAGTTTAAAAGTAGAAGACAAATAATTGAACATACTGACATATTGATTCCTTGAAGAGAAATTTAGAACTCATATCTAACACTAACAAAACTTACATTGGTTTACTCTGCTTTTCCTGGTCACCTCCCCATAACTAGTACCATAAACACCTTTCTTTCAGCTAAAGATGGTATTTAAGGCTGAATTCAAAGCCACCTTTTTGAGATTTTCTCATTTCTTTATCTCCCGTGTATACATGAGATATATAAGATAATAAACTTTTTTTCCTCTTGTTAATTTGTCTTTGGTTATAAGGATCTGTCCCAATTAAGAAATATGAAGAGTAGAGGGAAACTTACTTCTTTCTCCCCTGTGCTGGTCAGGGCTTAAGTCTGAGCTAAGGAGATTATTTTTTTTTTTCATTTCACAACCTTGTTGATCCATCTCATTGAATGTTCCTTTCTGGATGCCTTCATAGCTCTACACAGGCACCTTGAAGTGCAGGGAAAGCCAACATTTCTAAATAAGTTTTAGAAAAAAGAAATTCCTTATGCTCTAGAGTATATATCTCTTACAAAATTTCTTTCTGATTCAGGTTTTAAGGATATAGCTTACTTATGAGTCCATATTAGAATCCATGACTCCTGACTCCATTCATTCTAGATTACTTTATAGGAGCATGAAAGGATAACCATACATCTTCATGTGTGCTCTCTCTTTAGATTTAGATCTGCTATTAGGAAACCTGCCGGGTTAAGTGAATTATCAGTTGTTAATGTTATATCATCTTTTCATAACAGAATAGCCTCATACTTTGAGATTCTTGAGTCAGTAAGCTACCTTTTTGCTTTTTTGACTTAGGATAGTTCTGACCTGGTGAGGTGTGCTCACAATGAGGTTTCCTCTAAAAGTTATTTTTCTACTTTCTTCTGTTAGCAAATTCACTACAGATTGAATGCATTTGGGCAAATCTGTGGGTTACTGGATGAAGGATTTTTATAGGAAGGCTATGGGTTGTCAGTGGCCTCCGTGCTTTTGGGCATGTACATCTAAGGCTATGCCCTTGTTTACACTGACCAAAAAATAGAATGGCTGCTTAAGGAGGGTAAAGCTAGGACACGGGCAGTTACTAACAGATGTTTTAATCTTTCCACCTATTGGCTTTCTGGTAATTGCCAAATGAGGGGGTTTGGCTCGTCTTGCGTGAGCTTTTTTTATATAAGGGTTTTGTTTTTAGGATATAAGAGTCTATCCATAGACAACAGTACCCGACCAATCCTAAAATTTTCGAAGTTCTTGTTTGTCTCCGGCAGAGGCAAGGATATGATACCTTCAATCTCTTAAGCTCAATTCTCTGTTTGTCTTTGCAATTAAATGACTTGTTCTAATATTTGACTAAATAAATTTGGAGATTCTGTAAACCCTTGGGGTAAGACTGTCTATTGGTCTTGCTATTTTCGACCAGAGTGAGGATCTTCTCACTCAAAGGCAAATAGATCCTGGCTGTCCTCTGCCAACAACCAAGTCCAGAAGGCATCTTTTAAATCTACTACTGTAAACCAGTGGTGACTGGGGATCCTACCGATAATAGTATAAGGATTGGGAACAACAAGGTGGGTAGTTTGGACTATTTGATTAATAGCTCTAAGGTCTTGCACTAAGTGGTATGACCCATCTGGCTTCTTTACAGGCAGTATTGGAGTGTTATAGGGAGACATACAGGGTTAAGAAGCCCACACGGAGAAGACATTCAATTATCAATTATAGGTTTTAAATTTACCCTGGCTTTTAAAGGAATAGGGTACATTGCTTTCTCTTTACTATTCCCCCAGGGGTTTTTAAGTAAACATAAACTGGAGGAATCTGTAACTTTCCTCAATTCCTGTCTTTTGGCCATATCTTGGGATGAATGTGTTCTTCATCTGCAGTGGTGAGCAATAGGGAGAGGTGGAATTTTCCATGATTGATTTGGAGGCCTAAGCCTAGTTCTAGCATTAAATTTCTTCCTAATAGATTTGTCCCTGCTTCCAGAATTAACAGAAATTTAATATTAGCTGATTTGCTTTTATATATGACTTTTGTTCTTTTTCCTATTTGGGACATTCTCTTTTGAGATGACCTATTTTTAATTGGAAACATTTGTTTTGTCCTCTTTCTCTCCCTTTGCCTCTCCCTCTCTCTTTGTCTCTCTCTGTTTCTCTCTTTCTCTCTCTCTCTTTGGCTCTCTCTTTCTCTCTCTCTCTCTCTCTCTCTCTTTGACTCTCTCTCTTTGACTTCCTCTGTCCCCTCTGTCATTCTCTCTCCTGTAAGGTTTTTTTTCTCTCTACCTTTGAGTCTCCTGGCTTTACTCTTTTTACCCTTTATATTGCTTGGAGAGTGGGGGTCTAGGTTCTTTATAGGTTCTGGCCCCCTGGGTAGTTTGTTATATGGTAGACAGCAGAATTTTTGCCTTCTGCTTTTGTTTTTCTTCATCTCTTCTTACATATACTTTTGGGGCTTCTCTTAGAAGGTCTTCTATAGGTTTATCTTTCTAATTCTCTATCTTTTGTAATTTCTTGTTAATATCTGGCCAACTTTTAGTGACAAAATGAAGTTTTAACATTCCTTGCCCAAGAGGATCCTCAAAACCAAGACCAGTATATTTTCTCATTTGTTCCTTTAATCTGTCTAAAAATTCTATAGGCCCTTCATCTTTCCCTTGCTGTATATCAAATATTTGGGTAAGATTCTGGGTTTGGGGTACTGATTCTTTAATCTCCTTTATTATCAATTCCCTAAGGTCCTGCATATTTTCTTGGTAGGCTGTGTTGTTATTGTCCCACTGGGGATCTTGGGTGGGAAATTTTTGATATGCTGTAGGAATGTTTTGGCCAGGAGGGTGTTCACATTCCTAGGCTCCCATAGCAGCTCCACGGATCATGCCTTTCTTCCCCTGAGAAGAGGAGAAAGGGAAGTTCTGAAGATCCTTTTTACATTGCTCTATCTCACGCTGAAGTCCTTTTAGGGAAGGGTAGGCTGATAGTGGGCTCTTGGGACGATTCCCAAAAGGCAGGGTTATAAGGAGGGGGGGACAATAGGGAAAGGAGAAGAGCCTGGGACAGCAGCTGCTTTTTCTTGTTTTTGGTTTTATCATTCTAATATTTTAAAGTTAGGCCTAGGGGATTATTAGGGGGAATATTGTTGCTAGCTTTATCCTTTTTATCTCTTACCTTACTTGGGGTATTTCCCATTTTTGGGGTGAGGCTCAGTTTCCCCTACTGGAAATTTCTTGCCTTTGGGGTGAGGCTCAATTTCCCCTGCTGGAAATTTCTCACCTTTTGGGTAAGACTCGATTCCTTACCTCTTTTTAACCCCCAAGATACCCCGACCAAGGAATACTTCACCACCCCTGTGGCTTTTCGTGCCTTGGTATGTCCCAACCAAGGAATACTTCACTGCCCCTGCGGCTTTTCCTACCTTGGTCCCAACCACTAGGGAAATACTTTGCCACTTTTGTGACGTTTCTTACCTTGGTCTGTGCACAGAGTTTCCTAGTCGCCGCTGTATGTAAGGATCCTTTCCCGAGGTCGCCAGCTGGTTTCTTTCCATGGTGCTGAGAGTCCAGGTTTATTCATCACACCAAGTGGGTCTTGATTCCTTACCCCTGAGCCCACCGCAACGAGGCCGTGGGGTGCACCTCCTCACGAGAGAGGACCGGAGACTGCCCCTGGAGGAGAATGGCTTCCCCATACAGGCCACCAAATTGTTAGAAGCAAATTTTCCGTGCCGCAAAAGAAATAGCACTTGAATATAAATTTAATTTTCTCAGCAAGGCAATTTTACTTCTATAGAAGGGTATGACTCGTGGATGGAGCAATGGCGAGAGCACACCTGAACAAGAGAGGGGAAAGGGTTTTTATTCCTGCCGCAGGTAGCTCATACTGCTGTGTCATTCCCCTATTGGCTAGGGTTGGACCGCACTGTCTAAGCTAATTCCGATTGGCTATTTTAATGAGAGCACGGGTACCAGTCAGGGTGGCAGAGTGAGTAGTTTGGCAGGAAGGATGGTTAGGAACAGGTGACTAAAGATGACTCAGGTCAGAGCAGGTGACAAGGGTTGATTCAGGATGGAGCAGGTGATAGAGGCTAGGAGGGGGTTGTTTACTGAAACTAGGGGCAAGGAGACAAAGAGAATGAGGAAGTTAAACTTTAAAATGAAGAACAAAGAACAGGGAAGCTGAACATACTGATACATTGGTTCTTTGGAGAGGATCTCAGAACTCATTGTACTTAACAATTTACAGGCCAAAACCTTTGAAGAGGAATTTATTAAATTCCTACATTTTGATATATAATTGTACTAGAAATTAATAACAATATCCAGAAAAGTGCTAAACATTTGGAAATCAAACAGTATATTTCCAAATAAACCACTTGGAAAATTACAAGAAGAATCAGAGAACTTTTTAATGAAATGGTAAAGAAAATACATAATATCAGAATTTGTATGAACCAAATTAAAGCAATGCCTAGAAGAAAATTTGTAATTTTAAAGACGTTCACTAGAAAAGAAGAAAGTTTTCAAATCAATTATCAAACTTTTACTTAAGAATCTGGTCAAAGAGAGTAAATTAAACTCAACGATAGTAGAAAGATAACAGTAATGTTAACAGTGAAAATAAATAAAATGGAAACTTGACAAGACATAGAAAAAATTATGGACTCAAAAATTGGTATTTTGAATGATCAACAAGATTGATAAACCACTAACTAAAATGGTCAAGAAAAAAAGAGAGAAAGCAATCAGACAAGACAAAGAAATAAAGAGAATCCAAGTTGGTAAGAAAGAAGTCAAATTATCCTTAATAACAGATGATATAATCTTATATTTGGAAAAACCTAAAGACTCTACAAAAAAGCCCTATTAGAACAGATAAATTAATTCAGTAAAGTTGCAAGATACAAAATCGACGTACAAAAACCAGTAGCCTTTCTATATGCCAGCAGTGAACAATCTGAAAAAGAAGTTTAAACAGTAATCCCATTTACAATAGCTGCAAATAATTAAATACCTAGGAATTAAGCAAGGAAGTGACAGATATCTACAATAAAAACTATAAAACACTGATGAAAGAAATTGAAGAGGACACCAAAAATGGAAATATATCCCATGTTCATGGGTTGGCATAATCGATATTGTTAAAATGTCCATACTACCCAAAGCAATCTACATATTCAATGCAATCCCTATCAAAATACCAGTAACATTCTTCACAGAAATAGAAAAAAAAAATCCTAAAATGTATATGCAATCACAAAAGACCCAGAATAGCCAAAGCTATCTCAAGTAAAAAGAAAACTGGGGCTATCACATTGACTGACTTCAAATTATACTACAGAGCTATAGTAACCAAAATAGCATGGTACTGGCATAAAAACCAGTACATAGATTAATGGAACACAATAGAGAACACAGAAACAAATCCATACATCTACAGTGGACTTATTTCTTACAAAAGTGCCAAGAACAAACACTGGGGAAAAGATAGTCTCTTCAATAAATAATGCTGGGAAAACTGGATATCCATATGCAGAAGAATGAAACTAGACCCCTTCCTCTCTCACCATGTACAGAAATGAAATCAAAATAAGACTAAAGACTTATACCTAAGACCTTAAACTAGGAAACTACTAAAAGAAAACATTGGTGGAAATCTCCAGGACACTGGACTGGGCAAAAATTTCTTTAGTAATACCCCACATGCACAAGCAACCAAAGCAAAAATGGATTAATGAGATCACATCAAGTTAAAAGGCTTCTGCACAGCAAAGGAAACAATAAACAAACTAAAGAGACAACCCACACAATGGGAAAAAATATTTGCATCTGACAAAGGATTAATAACTAGAATATATAAGGAGATCAAACAACTCTATTGAAAAAAAATCTAATAATGTGATCAAATAAAAGGGCAAAAGATTTGAATAGATATTTCTCAAAAGAAGAATATAAAAGGCAAACAGGCCTATGAAAAGGTGCTCAGCATCATTTATCATTAGAGAAATGAAAATCAAAACTACAATGAGATATCGTTTCATCCCAGTGAAAATGGCTTATCTCCAAAAGACAGGCAATAACAAATGCTGGCGAGGATATGGAGAAAAGGGAACCCTGGTACACTGCTAATGGGAATATAAATTAGTACAACCACTATGGAGAACTCTTTGGAGGTTCCTCAAAAATCTAAAAATAGAGCTGCTTTATGATCCAGCCATCCCACTGCAGGGTATATACACAAAAGAAAGGAAATCAGTGTAACTAAGGGATATCTGTACTCCTATGTTTGCTGCAGCCCTGTTCACAGTAGCTAAGATTTGGAACCAACCCAAGTGTTCATTAACAGGTGAATGGATAAAGAAAATGTGGTACATATACATACTGGAGTGCTATTTAGTCATAGAAAAGAATGAAATCCTGTCATTTGCAACAACTTGGAGTAGAACTGGAGCTCATTATGTTAAATGAAATAAGCCACACACAGAAATACAAATATTGCGTGTTCTCACTTATTTTTGGGGATCTAAAACTCAAAACAATTGAAGTCATAAAGATAGAAGAAAGATGGTTACCAGAGCCTGAAAAGGGTAGTGGAGGGGAAGGTGAGGGGAACATGGGTATAGTTAATGGGTACAAAAATATTTAGAAAAAATGAGTAAGACCTACTCTCTGATAGCACAGCAGTGTGACTATAATCAATAATAATTTTATTACATATTTAAAAATAACTAAAATAGTATAATTGGATGGTTTGTAACACAAAGGATAACTGCTTGAGGGGATGGATACTCCATTCTCCAGGATGTGATTATTACACATTGCATGCTTGTATCAAAACATCTCATGTACCCCTAAATATTTTTGACAAAGTATACCTACTATGTACCCACAAAAATTAAAAATAAAAAATTTTAAAAAGAGAGAACATGAATTACCAATATCAAGAATTAAAGAATGGTATTCACTGCAGGTCTGATATCAAAAATGAGTAAAGAAATATTACAAATGACTTTTCACCAGCATATTTATAATTTAGATGAAATGGACAAATTACTTGAAAACTGTAACTTACTGATTCAAAATGTAATAGAAAATTTAATAGTACTTTCCTATTAAGATTATAAATTAGATGGTCACCTTATACATAAATAAAAAGCTTGTGTGTGTGTGTGTGCATGTGCATGTGTATAAAAGCTATTATTCTGCAGTATAATAATCTCACTATGATACTGTCTTCCCTTAAAAATAAAATGTAAATCTCTGGATATTGGATATTGGGCTTAGTTAAATGAATATTATATAAGGCTAAATAAGTGAACAATGGGAAGGATTCCCATTACTTTCTGACAATAACTAAAAGTCTTATGTTGAAATATAAATATGAAACTGTTTCATCTGTTATATTCAATTTTTTTCAAGAGCTTTTGTTATTCTCTTAAAGTTTAATTCTCAGTAAACATGTAAGTTTAATTCCTCTTACCAGCATAAAAGCTGAACTCTGCCTATGCATGTATGAATGAGCAAAAAATAAAAAGCAAAATCACGGAAACTCAGCTATAGCTGTAGAAGTCTATGTGAAGACAAGATGACACCAGTTAGTTTCTTTAAAAAAAAATTTCTTTAGTGTCTGTGTCAGTAAACACTGAACCCAGAAAAGAAATTGACTGGCAAGTGAAAACTTTCAAAATCTTACATTCGTTTTACTAGCTGGGTCTACCCCAACAGGCACTTATAATTGTTTAAGGAGAAGCCACAGAGATGAAAATAGACCAGAAAGTGTGAAGGATATAAAAATCATCTCAGAGTTCTGTTCTCCAAAATAGCCTGTTAGAAACTCATATCCCAAGTGTTGCAAGGAGTCTGACAACCATACAAGCCAATTTCACCTTGTTTTCTTGTAATACAACCAGTCAAAGAATGGTGAGTTCCCAGTTTTAACACTAAAAGGACAGCACACTTGTTGGTTCTTACCAGATCTTAGACTCCTCTTTGATTTAGATCTAAACATGGCCTTAGCTATGGCATGTCCTGAAGGCCATCACTTGCTGGGTGTTCTCAGAATAGAGTTTGGTTTTTGTTGTTTTTATTCTGGAGGTGACTAAATAAAAAATGTACAGAACAAAAAGACTCACTGGAGAGCCAAGCAAGGCTATTTATTAACAAACCTCTAAATATTTTGGCAGAATTTGTTTTTTCTGTTGTTGATTTCTGGCCCCCCAATATGGGGCTCAGAGAAAACTCAAGACCCCCCAAAGGAGTTGCCTGAACCTGGCACTAAGATACCAGGTTGGGCCCATTGAAGCCTTCCTGAATTTAAGCTTCTTCTGGGGTGGAACTGGTAAGTCCTCCTGAGCCCCCGAGTCCTCTGTTTACAGAACCTATTCACGCTGTAGGCTGACATAAAACATGTAAAACAGAAATAAATCATAATAAATATATCGAATTCTGTATTTGTGGAAAATTTGCTATAATTCCAGAATATTGCTGAATATCACAGTGATTAGAATAATAGTAGTTTAGGAAATTGAGGGTATCAAGTAAAAAGGAATAAAAATAGATTTGTTCAGCTAAAATGTTGAAGAATGTAAGCCAGGTTTCACTGGAAAAGAGGAAGAGTAGGTGGAGTTCAGCAGCTGAGGATAAGTGGGTAAGGCTTAGCAGGACGCTGGCCTTTCACTAACTTAAGTCCTTAAGGGCACTGTTTGAGCCCAAGCTGAGTTTCTTCTCTTTTCTCTCCACTATAGGACCTTTAAAAAAGTTGAACTATTGTCTACTTTTTCCTGTGCTCTAGCCCACCAATTTCCTGTGGCTTTCTATCATACTTTGCTCTGCTCCCACACAACTGTGAAAGGAAATGCAATTTCCTGTTTTTTCCCCTAACTCTTCAATACCCAGAGTAGGTTCATAGATGTTATTTGGGTCTAGGAATGAAGTGGGGCTTCTCCATTGCCCTTTCCTTCTAAATTAATTAGGATTTTGACTATGTAGGGGAGAAAAGATAATTTTATCTCTACCCTCCATAGTTCTTAGCTGGGATCCCCTCTTACCAAAAGACAAATTAACACGAGAAAAGCAGAATTATAATAACTTGTATACCTCTTGTATATGTAGGAAAGGAAAGATTTCTCACCCATTGCTAGATTCATGGTTGAGGTGCCTATAATAAAAGATACGTTAATAAGTGAAAAGCATAAACATTTATTTAATGTAAGTTCTATGTGACATGAGAGCTTTCAGAAAAAGCATACACATTTATTTAATATGTTTTATGTAACATGAAGACCCAAAGAAAATAATATATATATATTCATCGATTTGATGAAGAGTGGACAGTTGTGTAGATGTATAGTTAGATAAAGGAGATATAATCTAATAGCAATGTCAAAAGACAAAATTACAACAAATTTAAAGATCCCAACTGGCTTTATTGAGATTCTAGAATCTCACTTCATTCCACAAAATAGAATAAGTATCCCAATTAGCTGAGCAGAAGAGGCTGGTTTAATAGACAGAGAAGGACTGAAGAAAGAAGAAACAAAGAACAAAAAGCAGATTGGTCATTTTAGAGTTACTTTTGAGGACTAAACTTTGACCTTTTTTTTTTTCCCTATTGCCCAAATTATTTTCTAAGGGTCCTCGGGAGTCATATTTTATAAACCATAAAATTTTGTTAAACAAGTTTTGTTTCTTTTATTAACCCAGTATAATGTGACTTACTCTCCAACCTGACTCTGGTATGGCATCACATGACAGATAGCAGAACTCTTTATCTTTAAGCATTCCTTTATACTGACTCCAAGTCTTTAGACAAAGCTTAACTCTTTCAAGCAATTGCCAACTAAAGAATCCCTAAAGCCCATTATGACTTGAAAGCCCCTTGTTTCGAGATGTCCCACCTTTTCACATTGAACCAATATATACCTTCCATATATTGATTTATGATTTTATCTGCAATGCCTGTCTTCCTGAAATGTATAAAACCAAACTGTAACTCAACTACCTTAGGCACACTTTCTCAGGACCTTCTGAGACTGTGTTTCCCTTGGCCATGGTCATTCACATAGGCTCAGAATAAACCTTTAAAAATATTTTGGCAGAATTTGGTTTTTCTGTTGTCAATTCCTGGCCACCCAATATGGGGCTCAGAAAAAACTCAAGATCCCCCCAAAGGAGTTTCCTGAACCTGACACTAAGGTACAAGCATGGGCCAATTGAAGCCCTCCTAAATGTGAGCAGCTCCTCAGGTGGAAGTGGTGAATTCTTCTGAGCCTCAAACCTCCCATTTGGTTGAAAGTTTTTGGCTTATTCTGAGCTGTCTGTTCTTTTCCTAGGAAGTTGTTTGGGATCCTAATTTTGATTTGGATGTGCATTTAAAGGGTCTTCCCAGTTGCCTTTTCCTTCCCAAATAATCTCCATTGGCTTTTCTGTGTACTTGCATGAAAGATCAAACTGTCCTTTTTGCAGGTGAGTGAGAGACTGAGTTCCTTAGCTTTGAAGAGAATGGGGCATTTTGCTCAGCCTAGCTGAAAGGTGCACCTGGATGACTGGGGGCCCAGGAAGAGTGTTTGGGGGTGACTCACTGTGACATGTAGTGGTCCTACAGAGAATCCCCAAAAAATAAATGGAAAGAAAGTTTGTGCACCCTTTCGGAGGTGATAGACTTCCAAAGAGAGAAACTAGGACACATAAGAGGGAAGAAACAATTCAGCGGTGAAACACAGTGGAGTCCTACCCGCAGTCAGCACACATTGATCCACCAAACTAAATCATAAGCCTCAGTCCGGTCCTTCCTTTTTAAAGAGACATGGGAAACAAATCCCCTATAAAAGAGGAAACGAAAGGAGGGCTATTCCCTTTGGAGACTCAATCTGGTTTTATGTTTGATAATTATGGTGCTTCTACTTGAAAGTGCTTGTGTAAATGGGAAGATCTTATTAAGAATGACCAGTTCTAACGGTTCCAAAATGAAGAACTTTTGATATTTCCAAATTAATTTTCTTGCATGCTAAATTAGAGCAATTAGGCTGCTGAATCAAGGAAAATAAATGAGAGTCATACTTTAGCTGGCACCTAGAATGATCCAAAAGAGGGAATGATAAACTTGCCTCCCCTTAGGAAGTTAATAAGAAAGTATTTAAGACCATCTCAGAATTGAAGACACTAACATAAGCCACTTCTGAAATGAGAGAGGCTCCAAAAACTGTCTCTTTTTCTATTCCTCCTAATCCTTTGCTCTCTGAAATTTCTTGTTGATATGGTTTGTTCTGTGTCCCCAGGCAAATCTCATGTCAGATTGTAATCCCCATTGTTAGAGGTGGGTCCTGGTGGGAGGCGATTAGATCATGGGGGCATATTTCCTCTTTGGTGCTATACTCATAATAGTGAGTGAGTTCTCATGATATCTGGTTGTTTAAAAGTATGTGGTACCTCTCCAACCCCTTCCTTCTGCTCCTTTCATGTAAGATGTGCCTGCTTTCCCTTTACCTTCCATCATGATTGTAAGTTTCCTGAGGCACTCTTGGCCATGGTTCCCATACAGCCTATGGAACTGTGAGCCAATTAAACCTCTTTTCTTTATAAATTACCCAGTGTCAAGTATTTCTTTATAGCAGTGTGAGAATGGACTGATGCACTTGTCTAGACTATTTCATTTTTCCTTCTCCTCCTTCCCCTATTCCCTCACTTCAAACTACAAAGTGGCCAGAAATAACTAGAGGAGACAATAAAATAGTATTTGCACCTTTTAGAATAAAACCCACCAGGAAAAGGGCTCCTAATGAAACTGCTTCTGCAAGAATTATTGTAATAAGGGAAATCTAACATAACTAAACTCCATTTTGCTTCTACCCTTAAATTGCTTTTGCTCATTCTTGCCCATTCCTTGAACTAACCTCCTCCTGTTCAAAGTTTGGAACTGTATTATAATGACAAATAAAAGACTACAAGGTTAAGAATTATGGTAGGGGCCTGAACTTTACTAAAGAATAGGCACAGTTAAACAGTAACCATTTATTCCTTGCTTAACTTGCGATATAGTTTGGATACTTGTCCCTGCCCAATCATGTTGAAATGTAATCACCATTGTTGGAGGTGGGGCTTGGTGGGAGGTGATTGGATCATGAGGGTGGATTCCTCATGAGTAGTTTAGCACCATTCCTTTGGTGCCATCCTTGTGATAGTGAGTGGATTCTTGCAAGATTTGGTTGTTTAAGAGTGTGTGGCAACCCCCGGACCTCTTTCTTGCTCCTACTTTTGCCATGTGACATGTAAGCTTCTGCTTTGCCTTCTGCCATGGTTGTAAGCTTCCAGAGCCCTCTCCAAAAGCAGATGCCAGGGCTGTGCTTCCTGTACCCCCTGCAGAACTGTAAGCACATTAAACCTATTTTCTTTATAAATTACCCAGTCTCAGGTATTTCTTTATATCATTGCAAGAATGGCCTAACACAAATTTGCTTTTATATAATTGCTTACTGCCCCTGAGTCACATAACTGGAGGTCACAAAATTTACAACTTTCCCAACTGCTTCTATAGATAATATCATTAATGTGAGACCTAAAGAACTGGTCTTTGAGATGTTTTTCTGATTTAGCATTTTGGCAGAGCAAGAGATGCCACCTGGACATGTGACCCATACCAAGGAACTGATTCAGTGGATCCTGCAACCCCCCTTCTGGAACTGATTCACCTGCATTTCTGATACCCCTATGACTTTACCCCCAGCCAATGAATTGTTTCAGTTCCCTGGAGGTAGATTTGAGAAATATCTCCTGCCTCCTTGCTTGGATGGCCCTAAACTCTTTCTCTGCTGCAACGCCTGCTATTCTCCATGTATTGGCATTTTTGGAGCCATGAGTAAGAAGAAACTATCAGGCTGTAACACTAACATATTGTATAAACAAGGGACCAAATTAGAGTTAAGATCCCAGCTATCTGGATTCCCCAACCCGACCCAAGATCCCTTCAGGTTTACCAAAGAATTCCAATTAATGCATAAGACCTATGATCCAGAGTTTTCTGACCTTTATCAGCTAATTGAGTGATTGGTCCCCAAAAAAAAGCCAAAAAGTGGCTTAGGGCTGTGGGTTGAAATAGCCTTTAGAAAATTTTGACAAAATAGATAAAAATGAAGAGAGAGAAGTGCAGGGGGAGCTTTGCATCTGCCTCTTTGAGAATTTACCACAGATATTTTCTAAAGTTACAGATTGGACAAAGGTACAATAATGTAAAATACACCCAAATGAAACCATACCTGACTATGACATTAGGTTTGAAGAAACATCTAAATGACATTCAGGGATACTTCCTGAAAACTTTAAGCATGGTAGAAGTGACATCTTGCTAAGTTCTGGATTTGTGTAAAGCTTAGATGATGAGTTAATGACCTTGATAAAGAGAAACAATATGGCTTGAGCTTCTGTGCCCACTGACTACCTTGTCACCCTTGCTGACCAGTTGTCATAAATGATCATTGAGAAGGAAAAGGAGACAGCCTCTAAGATTGAGTTTACAACTAAGATAACTTAGTACCAAACTGAGACATCACAAGGGTTTCATTCCCCTCAGAGTTTCCAGCAATCCAAAGAGGAAGCAATTGTGTACTATTGCCAAAATAAACAAAAACAAAACAAAGCAAACAAAAAAAAAAAACCCAAGACATCTTAAAAAGGATTGCAAAAAACTTAAATGAGTGTTTGTGCAAAGGAGGCAGAAGGCCCCAGAGGAAGGCACCACAAAAACTCAAGGGAGTTGAGGGATGATCTAAGGGAATATAGAGGGTTTCCCCTCTACTTCTAACAAATACTTTAAGGGAAGTTAAAATATCCATAAACGGGGAAAATGCCAGAGCCCTTGTTGACACTGGTGCTACGCTTTCAGTCCTTAACCCTACCTTAATGCAAAGCCCTCTTCTTTGGAATAAAGATAGTCGAAATAGTAGGGGTTTCAAAGTCTCCAGTTATAACTTTTAAATCAAGCCCTCTTCAATTTTAATTAGGAAAATGAATAGGGCATCATGTTTTTCTTATAGTAGATAGTGCCCCCATACATCTGCTGGGATGGGATTTTCTGAAGACCTGTAATATCCACATCTCATTTTCAGAGAAGGGAGAAATGATCCTCAATTTGGGAGACACAGAAGACTTACAAAAACCCACAGGTAATATTATACTTGCTAAAGTTAATCAAGAATTTGAAGTGATAATTAGAGCCTTTCTTATCCAAAGTACCAGATTCTTCATGGGCCAGATATCAAAATAATTATGTCAGTAGTTCCTCTAGAAATAACCATAGATAAATATAAGCCTCTGCCAAACATTAAGCAATATCCCCTTCAATATAAAGCTTTACTGGGAGTCAACCCAATCATTCAGGACTATTTAGACAAAGGACTCATAATTCCGTGCATCAGCCCTTGCAGTACACCAATCCTCCCACCTAAAAAGCCAAATAGAAAAGGCTGGAGATTCATTCAGGCCCAAAGACCTATAAATAAAACAACCCTAGACATCCTGTTGTTCCTACCCTCAACATCTTTCTGTCCAATATTCCTATTACCACCAGCCACTTCTCTGTCATTGACTTATGCAGCACTTTCTTCAGTACACCTGTAGAGCAGAATAGCCAGTATCTTTTTGCCTTTACTTGGGCAGATCACCAATATACACAGATGGTCTGCCCCAAGGGCTATTCCATGAGTCCTACCTATTTTTCTCAAATATTAAAGGCAGATTTAGATGACACTGAATTTCCAAATGGATCTAACTTAATTCAGTATATAGATGGTTTGTTGTGTTCATCCCCGCTGACAAAATGCAGAGAAGACACTGTCCACCTGTTACAACAGCTTGCTCTGAAAGGACAAAAAGTCCACAGATAAATTATAATTTTGTTTGTTTCAAGTTAAGTAGTTAGGACATATGAATTCCCTGAGGGGACTACTAATAAACCCTGAGAGAATCTCTGCCATCATGACCTTTACCATGCCCAAAACAAAAAGACAATTAGGAGGGTTCTTAGGGTTAACAGGCTATTGCAGAAGTTCAATTTCAAATTACTAATTAATGTCTCAGCTCTTAAATAAAACACTGAAACAGACACAACCAGACCCAATCTTCTGGGAAGAAAGCGAGAAACAAGACACAGAGGATTTAAAACAGGTTCTTTCCCAAGTAGTTGCTTTAGGTCATCCCAGCTACAGTCTTCCCTTTTCCTTTTTGTACATAAAATAAATGGAAATACTCTAGGAGGATTAACTCAAAAACAGATGACAATCATAGTCCAAGTGGTTATTTCAGGCAACAATTAGATCCAGTAGCAAGAGGACAACCCCTTTCATGAGGGTCATATCCGTTGTGGCCAGGACAATTTTATGTATGAATGTTGAAGAATTTGCCCTAGGTCCCTGCTAACCACCTATGTCCCCCATTCTGTGGAATATCTCCTAAATTCTCATCACACTCAACACTATTCCGTGAGCTACCTTGCCTCTTATGAGGTGCTCTTGCTTTGTGCCCCTAACTTCTCTTTTAAGGGCTGTAACACTCTTAACCCTGCTAACCTGCTCCCTCTTGCAGATGAACAGTGAGAAGAAAAACACCACAGCAGTCTACTGATATCTTACTCACCCCTAGGGAAGATTTATAGGAAACTTCTGTCAAGAATGCTAACTTAATTTGGTTCACAGATGGTTCTTATTTAAGGGATGATCAAGGGTATTATTGAGGAGGACACACCATCACTTCCTTGGTGGACATAATTGAAAACACTCAATTCCAAGGAGTAACGTCAGCTTCCTAATTCAGTTCCTGGCTGAATTAATAGTATTAACAAGGGCTTTGCAGTTGGCTGAAGAAAAGGTGAGAAAGATATACACTGATAGCCTTTATGCTTTTGGAGTAGCCCATGATTTTGTCATGCAATGGAAACAGAGGTGATTTCTCACCATATTGTGGAAATCTATGCAAAACAGGCACCAAATCTTGGAGCTCTTAGAAGCAAATCAAATGCCAAAGCAGTTTCCACTCATAAAAATTCCTGGGCGTTCAAAAGATAACATTGAAGAAGTAAAGGGAGATAATCCAGCTCATGCTGCAGCAAAGAATGCTACCTTAGAAAGATGGCCTGTTCTATATGAGAATGTATCCTTTGCCCTGCCAATGCTCTCCCTCACTAATTTTCTTTTACAATACCAACAGGCATTAACCCCTTGAGATAAACACATCTGGCAGGAAAGGGGAGGTGTATTTGACCCAAATAGAGAATTGTTGGTAGGTGCTAACAAAAAAACCCCATAGTTCCTATAGGTGCACAATTACCTCTCTTTTAATTTATTCATGAAATGACTCATCGGGCCCCTGAGAAAATGATATTATGGGGAAAACAATATTTCTGGAAACCATCTTTTACAATAGTCTAAAAGGTATACTCTCAATGTGCCACATGTTCAGAACATCACCCTGGCAAGCGCTTACATGGCTTCCACAGTCATTTTCCTTTGTCAGCAGGACAATTTAAAGTATGGCAATTGGATTTCATCCAGATGCTGCTGTCTCAAAATTATAAATATGTGTTGTTCTTGGTTTGTATGTTTTCTCATTGGGTAGAAGCATTTCCTTGTCAGAGGAGGCTTCTGCCTTAATGATAAGCAACATATTATTAGAATCATTCCTATTTGAGGAATCCCTTCTGAGCTACATAGTAATTGTGGGACTCATTTTATTGGACAAGTTGTTCAATCCATTTGCAAAATCTGGCCCATAATACAACACTTCTATTGTGCCTATCATCTTCAATCCTCCAGATTGGTAGAAAGACAAATGGCACAATAAAAACTCAATTAGCTAAGTTAATGGAGGCTTCTAACCTCCCTCAGCCATAAGTTCTCCCCCTGGCATTGCTTAATCTTATATACACTCTTTTTGGAAAACATTGTTTATTACTTTATGAAATAATAACAGAAATACCCACGAGGCTGGACAAGGGCTTGTGGGAGCCAGCCTTACTCAAAGAAGAAGTATTACTGCCAGGGACTTCTGAAAACTTTAAAAAACAATACAAAGCTGGTAACAGAGTCTTTCTGCAGGGAGTTCCCAGAGGCAGAAGACTCCAAAGATCACAGACTATAACCAGGTGACTTTGTATACTGGAAAATACACCAACTGAAAGACTCCCTATAACCCCACTGGAAAGGATGGTACTTTTAAGTAACTCTTGTGCTGCAAAATTAAAGGGAGTTGCTTCTTGGATTCACATCTCACACCTAAAATGGGTGCCTGGCCATATCCTGACCACAGCTGAGCCTCTGAACTGGTCTTTACCACTCACCTGTGATCCTGAAAAACAGCCAAGGCTCAGCTGGCCTTCAGAGCAATGACCAAAGTAGCTATTCTTCCAGACATTGAATCAGGCCAGTCCTCAGGAATCCTGAAATAACTCTCATTCTTACTTTCCTTGCAATAGGATATATTGCTGAAAACCCTAAATGTTTAATGGGTATGGTTATTAATTTCCTTGTTAAAATCAGAAGAATGTTTTACCTGCTCACCCTCATTCCCATAATCTCCTCTATTTGCTTACTACACAATCCTTTTCTCTTCAAACCTGAAAACTTCTCCTGGTTCCCTGCAACACTCAGGGAGCCAGTGGTTCCCGTAGATAGATTTCCTGTGGATAGAGTTCATGTTATTTGGTATGACATAGATCATGGTGAAATGATGGCTATAAGGAGGAATGGTTGCACTTTAAACATTCCCTGAGGTGCCCTCTTTTCAGGGTACCTCTATTGTCAGGCTCGCATCAAATATGATGTTGTCATGCCAAGTGTCAGGTTCCAGCCCAAGCTGAGGTCTGAGAGAAGAGGGTGGATGGGTAGTGGGTAGCTGAAAGAACACTTGGGGGGGCGTAGGCAGATGAAATATGGTTTTATTGTGCTCTTTCTCTCTCTCCATCTACCTTTGTCTTGGCTGCCCACTCTAGCTGTAGCCCCTCTCAGCACCTGGCTCTGTGGCTCCTGCTTCTCCCACATCTGTACTGTACTCCCTGGTGTACTTGCTGGTTCCTGGATCCCCCCTGTCTGCCTGCAAGGCAGCCGGCTCTCCCTGACAGGGTCAGCAGCTTTACTCACTCTCTCTGGGTGTGAGCCCCATGCACAGTATCAGCAGGACAGTTATACCATTTACAGACAATAGTGGCTCAGAGCCAAGTATGAGCTTACATAAATAGGTTTTGTAATGAACAGAGTTGTGCACCTGCACTGCAAACTCACTGAGTCATGTTTAAATGGATGTTTACTTTGGCCTGTTCTTGACCCACAGCACATCCATTTTCCTTACACTCCACCCACTAGGCCGAGGGAGACATAGGCCTTGGATCCACAGGTCTGACATATAGGCCTGATACATAGGTTTTGAGCATACAGGCCCAACACACGCTTGACACATAAGCCTGAGACATAGGCTCTGGGCATACAGGCCCTGGACACACAGGTCCAATACACAGGCTTTATACATAGGCTCTAGGCACACAGGCCTGAAACATACATAAGCCTCTGGGCACACAGGCCCAACACACAAGCTTGACACATAAGCCTGATACATAAGTCTGGGCACGCAGACCTGATACACAGGCTTGGCACACAGGCCCCAGACACACAGGTCTGACACATAGGCCTTATACATAGGCTCTGAGCACACAGGCCTCGGACACACAGGCCTGACACATAGGCTTTATACATAAGCTCTAGGCACACAGACTTGACATATACATTAGCCTCTGGGCACACAGGCCCAACACACAAGCTTGACACATAAGCCTGCTACATAAATCTGGTCACACAGGCCTGATACACAGGCTTGGCACACAGGCCCTGGACACACAGTTCTGACATATAGGCTTTACGTTCTAACCCCTAGGCTGAGGGAGTTCTTCTAGTGGGGACACATGCTCACAGGGCAGAACCCTGGACGCAGAGGCCAGTGCGGTAATACAGGAAGCAACAACTCCAGGTTATGGCAGGCAACAAGCCCATGGTGATGTTACCCCAGGGTTGCTTTATACTTTGGGGTGTCTGTGGTGGGGGTACCACATGCTCTCCTACTAACCAGCCCCATCCATCACGGAAGCTATGGGTCAGCCAGGGGACAGGTAACATTACCATTTGTCTCCATACCTGATTGGAGAAGGTTATCCTTGGTGTGTATCTGTAACTGAAAGGGGGTGGTGGCCTGGTGCAACAGTGCTTTCCCCAGGGCCAGCTACCTTTCCGTGGCAGCTTATTTAAGGTTTGGAGCACCAGGTCCAACCTTGAAATACAGCCCTACTTGGACTGGTGGCCAACTAGCCAATTCTGTAACTTCCAGGTAGTTAACCCCAAGGTTAAGCCTTGATAAACTGCCCAGCTATTGGTGCAGATTACCATAGGTGTCACCTCCTTGGTGTTGGGGAAAAGCTGAGTGTTGGGGAAAGAGCTGAGGCAGGGCTTGCATGTCTGACATAATGTAAAAGAGTCTTGGAACATATCCGGGGTCCAGGGTCTAAAACCCCTCATGGTTTTTGGAACACCAAGCTCTGTGCCAAAGGGTGGAAGGCTGCCCTGCCGCACCACAATCTAAGCCCAGGGTATAAAACCCCTCATGGCTTGGATGGAATCCAGGGCTCAGGGCATAAACCACCCCCCACCCCCCCACCCTTGTGGCCTCTGGAATGTGTCTAGACTTGCTGGCTCCTTGCTTCTAGCATTCCCAGGCTCCTAGAACGATTGTATCCTAAACTAGAAGAACATGTTTCCTGTCATCTCAAGTAGCAGAACGTGTTCCATATGCTTCAAAGAAAATGCTAAACTGTCACAGCTATAAGTCACGCGTTGATGCACCGCTACCTTTCAACCCCCACATCCTCACCACCTGTTTCTTTGTTTGATCACCAATAAATAGTGCAGGCTTCCAGAGCTCAGGGCCTTTGCAGCCTCCATACTAGTGTTGGCCCCCTGGTCCCACTTTCACTCTTGTCTTTTCTCATTCCTTTGACTCTGCCAGACTTCGTAGCCTCCAAGGCCTAGTGTTGGGTCTGATCACCCCAACACTTGGTGATCACCACCCATATTGCTCTAAGTTCATCCAATTGGCTACTTTGTCCACATCCAGTTTCAAACCATATGGTGTCAGTACTAGGTTGGACTGCGACAGTGGTCCAGGCAGCACTAGCACCTCAGCTAGACCCATTTGTATACCATGCCATGTTAGGAATTGAGGATACCCTTCCTTAAATGGTGATGGCTCAGGGTCTAGGGGTGTCTCAGGCCCCTTGGCCTTATCTTGCATTAGGACTACAGGTCCCAAGACCTCTTGCAGCTCTGCTGCTAAGGGACTTGGACTGAGTGTACTCTGCTGCTCTAAGTAGGTGCCCCACTTTGCTAAAGTGGATGTCTGCACTGTCCCAGTCTTGGGGATCATTATCCATGAGCACACCCATCCTGCTATCTGGTAAGTCATCCACATGACAGCCGTAGCCCATGCTGTCACGCTCTCATGAGCCTGAAGGGCAGCATATACAGCTGCTAGCTCTTTCTCTATCAAGATATACTAGAGCTCAGCTCCCTTCTGTAGTTGGGACCAAAAGCCTACTTGCATTCTAAAGTGCTCTGTGTGCTGCCAGAGGCCCCAGCCAAAACCGTCTTGGTCACATGCCCATCCAATTCAAATGGGTGCCCCTGGTCAACTACCCATAGGGCTTGTGCCTGCTGAATAGCCCACTTGCTGCCAGGAAGGTGGTCTTTGCTGCATCATCCCAATCCCAGGCAAGAGGGGTGTTGCTGCTTCTAAATCTGCAAGAGAATCAGAGGTTAATATAACGTCATCAACAAGACCATGATGTATGGTGGGGCTATGTGCACATAGCCCTGCAACAACACTGTGAAAGTCCATTGTCGCCCTCCCATGAAGGCAAACTGTTCCTGGCTCTCTTGAAAAGAATGCATTAGCCAAGTCCATCACATAATGGTACTGTCCCAGTTCTGTCAAGCGGTCCGTCAAGTCTGTGATAGACATCACAGTGCCAAGCTGTGTAAAATATCCACCCCTAGAATGTATTCAGGTATGGGAGATACATACACAGTGTATAAGCAGGGAGCCAAGCAGCCAGTGCCAAGGTGAAAAGATACAAGTTTCACTTTCACTGACTGGCCTTCACAGCTGTTTATATATGCAGCCTCACCAGCACCCACTGTACATTTGTGGGGGACCAGCGGATTGCCAATTCCACATGTGGCCTCTGATCATCCAGTGTTCCCCCAAGCCAGACACCTCAGCCAGTCCCTAAACAAACAGAAAAGGCTTTATACCCCCGCCTGGCTACAGCAAATGTCTTTGAGCTGAAGTACCTGGGTGCCATTTATCCATTCCCCTGATGCTGGGTCACCCCAAATGTTTCTTTTCTCTATTTTTTTAAATGAACAATGCTTCTATGAATATTCTCCTATGTGCTTTCTGGTATAGATGTGCATGAATTTCTCTGGTTTAGGAATGGCATTACTGAATTGTAGGATATGCACAAGGATCTAGAACTAGCAATACTATTTGACCCAGCAATCCCATTACTGGGTATATACCCAAAGGATTATAAATCATTCTGCTGTAAAGACACATGCACACGTATGTTTATTGCAGCACTGTTCACAATAGCAGAGACTTGGAATCAACCCAAATGCCCATCAATGATAGACTGGAAAAACAAAATGTGGCACATATACACCATGGACTGCTATGCAGCCATAAAAAGGATGAGTTCATGTCCTTTGCAGGGACATGGATGAAGCTGGAAACCATCATTCTCAGCAAACTAACACAGGAACAGAAAACCAAACACTGCATGTTCTCACTTATAAGTGGGAGCTGAACAACGAGAGCTCATGGACACAGGGAGGGCCACATCACACACTGGGGCCTGTCAGGGGGTGCGGGGCTAGAGGAATAGCATTAGGAGAAATACCTAATGTAGACAAGGGGTTGATGGGTGCAGCAAACCACCATGGCACGTGTATACCTATGTAACAAACCTGCACTTTCTGTATATGTATCCCAGAACATAAAGTATATATATAAAAAAAAGTTGCTTAAAAAAAAAAAAGAACATAATGAACTCTAAAATATTTCTCAGGGCTAGCCCTATATTTATATATGTGTACTCTCATGATATACTATATAAGATTTACCATTAAATTTTCAAGACCTCTCTATAAGTAGTTTTTTATATGTTTTCTAGCCCATTAAATCGAAATAAAATGTTGTCTTATTAACTTATCAGTTTGAAATAAAATGATAAGTCCTACAACCAGAGGTATAATAATATTAGGATAAAAATAAGCCAACAGTATGTAATTACACTGGTATTTTGAAATCATATTGGTATTTTTTAAACAGCTAGAAAACTATGGTCCTGAATTTAAAAATTATCCCAGTGCTGTCGTCTGAATCTGTCCCCCATATGTTGGAACTTAAACCCCAGTGTGATAGTATTAAGAGGTAGGATCCTTGAGAATTCCATACCCTAGCATTTTTAGTGACTGAAATAACGAAAATTCAGATTAGGCCCTTGCCTGCTTGCACATGTTAATTACTTGCTTGTTCCCACAACATAATTATAAATTGCTTATGTACTACTGTTTCTTTGTCAAGTATGGGGAGATAACTTCAAGGCCATTGAAAATTTTGCAGAAAGGAATGAATGCTTTTAAGACATTGCAACCAGCTGATGATGCCCAGAAGTCTGGTTGCTCAAGTTGTTATCTGAGACTGAAGAAACACAGATTTTCCCCTCTGTTACCTGAAACTCCCCCTCTGTTACTTGCTAACCACATAAAAACTCCCTGCTTCATCTCTTTGTTCAAATGGATCTGAGAGATTTTGCCCTCTTGCCTCCTCACTTGGGCCGAATCGAATACATTTTTCTCTATCACTAAGCATCTCCAAGTTTTGATTGGAGTTTGATTCCAAGTTTGGTTTGATTTCAGCTGCGCATGAGGTACAGGAGCCTGAATTTGGGGTTCTGCAACAGGGCCCTTAGGACGTGATTAATCGGTCTTGTCTACCTTTAGAATAGGCTTAGTGTTCTTATAAAAGGGCTAAAGGGAACCAGCTAGGCCCCTTCTGTCCCTTTTGCCCTTCTGCCTTCCGCCATGTGAGGATGCAGCAACAAGGCACACCTGTTGGAAGCAGAGACTAGCCCTCACCAGATGCTGAACCTGCTGGTGCCTTAATCTTGAACTTTCAGCCTCCGGAACTGTGAGAAATAAATTTCTGTTCTTTATAAATTATCCAGTCTTGGGTATTTTGTTACAGCAACATGAACGAAGACACCTAGACATGAAAAATCCCAATATAGGCTTTCTCTTTATTTTTCTATCATAATTTATTATAAAGTATTACATTTAGCCTATGAAGCTGTAAAGATATTGTTGATTCTTTGTGGAATTTATAATCTTAGAGGGAAGAGATATCATTATAATGTGGGGTAGAAAATTATATATACCTCAAGTGTTTAGAGATAAGATGCTCTTGGAATTCAGACTGGGTAGAAACATTTCTTGTTAGAAGGATGGGGTGAGTGTGCCCTAAAGTCACTTATAGGAGGAAGTTTGGTGCATCAACCGGGGTTAATCTAAGACAAAGAGCTAACTGACTATGGAATATCAGGGAAAAAGTCACTGTAGTTCCTATTCCTTTCAGTCAACCAATGCAAATGTTGATTAAGGACCACCCTGTCTAATCTTTTAAAAACCTTTGGGAGAGGAGGTTAAAAAAAAAAAAAGAGACAAGAAAATGTGTGGGCCGACCATGGAATGCAAGCACATAGGAACAGAGCATGCTGAGGAACTAGACAAAACTCCAACTTCGCAGGTGAATGTCCTGAGAAAGTTCCCAGGTTTATGACTTCACGGAACACCAAACAGAAGTCTAAGAATTTTAAACGTAGTTCATGCACAATCACAGTAAATTGTTCTGCAAGTGGATGTTGTAATAACACTCTGGCTACAGACTATTATTATTAACAAATATTTCATTTGATTAAGTGACTTTTTGAAGGGCTCTAAAGAAGTTGGCAACAGAGCTAAAATTAGAAAGAACTGAAACTCTTGCTTCTTAGTCCTGTGTTTAAACTTACATTAAATCATAAGGTTTCTTTGCAAATAGTAGTACTCATGAAGTTGAATTATTTTTTTAAATTTTAAAACAAGCCAGCTTAGATAGATATTCTCAGACCATAATAATAACATCTATTATCTACTCAACACCTACTTTGCTCCAGGTATTATTAAGTACTATATAAATTCTATTTCTAACTCTTACAACAGTGCAAATTAGATATTCAAGTCCACATATTCTCAGATGAGAAAATGGAAGATTGAAGTTTTTGTCTAGCATCACATGGCTGGCAAACCAGAATTTGTGCCCAAATATGCTACACTATAATTTTGTTACTACATTGATCAAAACGTATGTACTGAGATCCTAGTATGTTGAAAGCACTTGAAAAGTCACACACATACTAGCAAACTCTTCATTGCAATTCAAGCACTGCTTACTCTTTGGCTTAGAATTTTATCTATTGGGTGTAGACTCTACAAACCCAGGGCTGTGCCATCTACCTGGATGGACTCATATGTGCACTGGCTTCCAATATGGCCTAGCCTTTCCTCTCTGTATTCCAAGCAACGAAAAGAGAGCAGTGTTTTTTCATGTTATTATCATCCGTAACACATAGACGGTGCCTACTGGTATTAATTGAAGAACTAACACTGTGTGTCTGCCAAATGTCAATATTGTTCCAAGTACTTTTGGCATGTAATCTTTACAAGAACTTTACATAGATATTAATATTACTCACTCCTCCCGCTTTTTTTTTTCTTTTTTTGAGCTGGAGTCTTGTTCTGTCGCCCACGCCAGAGTGCAGTGGCACGATCTCCACTCGCTGCAACCTCCGCCTCCCGGGTTCAAGTGATTCTCCTGCTTCAGCCTCCTGAATAGCTGGGACTACAGGCACTTGCCACCACGCCTGGCTAATTTTTTGTATTTTTAGTGGAGACAGGGTTTCACCGTGTTAGCCAGGCTGGTCTTGATCTCTTGACATCTTGATCCGCCTGCCTCCTGACCTGTAATCCCGAAGTGCTGGGATCACAGGCGTGAGCACCCGGCCACTTTCCCCCGCTTTTAAATGAGGATATTGAATTACAGAGAGGTCAAGTAACTGGACTAAGATCTTACATTGATAAGTAGAGTAGCATCTGAATCCAGTAGTCTGATTCTAAAGATTGGGCAATGATTTACTCTGCTCTACTTCTCTTAGTGAAAGGAAGCTGGGAGAAGGTGATGTAATTTTCCTAAGATACATCATTATTAAGAGGACCAGATGTATCTTACCCTGACATTTCAATAGCTGATGCACACAAAATTTTTCCTTCCCTTCCCTTTCCCTATCTTCTCTTCTTCCTTTATCTTTTCTTTCTTTTCCTGCATTGTTTAATTTCTTTCTAAAATTTAAGAATTATACAGATAACACACCAATATTTTCTTATAAATATTCATTACAAAAACATGTTAATGTTTCCTCCACTGCATGCAGAGGAGAGGCTGCATTCAGAACTTGTAGGAATACATCTATGAACTTCACATATACACTTTGATTTCTCTTTTAGATGTGTTTATTGCAATACAAATGTAATCATATGATGTGTATATAATGTGACTTGCTTTTTGCAAGAGCACCAGCATACTTTGGACCTCTTTACATGTCGGTATGTATTTATCTTTCTTATTCTTTTTTACTACTGTGCCTCCCCAAATGTACCATAATTTATTTAACTATAAATCTTTATTTATGTATAGTTACAAGGTTTTATATTTATACATTTATTTATTCATTTATTTAACATATATGATTTTTAGTTATATACCTTTTTATTATTTCAGAGAAGGCTGAGATAAACATGTTTGTATAACTTTGTGTGTATATTGTTATTTTGAATAGATACTTAAAAGTAGAACTGCTGAGTCTAGGAAGGCAATTGCAAATTTTAATTGAAATAACAAATTACCTACCAAATAGGTAGTAGCAATTTAATGTACACCCACCATGTTGGAATGCCTGTTTTCGAATATGCCAACAGTAGATACTATCTAATTTAAAGTGTGCACATCTGATAGCCAATAATACATAATTTTTACATGATTTTTATCAAGCTGAATATTTTTTCAGATATTGCTGTTTTTCTATCTTTGTATTTTTTTCTTTGTGTCTTTTGTCCATTTTTCTATTGGTTTATTTACTTTTTCTTGTTTATAGAAGCTTTTGTATTATCTAGATGTTAAATGTCAGTTTATGAAAAGACCCTTGCTGGTTTTTAAATTTTTGCATATATATAAACACATACTTCTTTTCCTTTCTTTTTTCGTCCAGAAGTTTTTATAGGGTCAAATGCATGAGTCTTTTCTCTTAAAAAGTTAGGGTTATTCCTTACTTAGAAGGATTTTCACTACTCCAAGATTATTTTTTAAAATTTCAATGTTTTGCTCCAAAATTTGTTAATTCCATCTTTTCCCATGTAGAGGTAAATATTTTTAGTGAGGTCAAGAGCAATCTTGTCTAGGCTTACAGTCTGTTAGAAAAGTGACACACACAATTCTCTTTCTGATCTTAGTGCTTGGTAGTATGTGGCAGTATTGATCTCAGTTTTAGCGCATATGGAGGAGAGTCCCTCTTCTGCTGCAGACAGATTTTAGGTCTTCTAAAATCAGCAAGTAAAATGCAGTGGCATTTAGACTGGTTTTTCTCACATTGTTTAAGCATTACAGTACACCAATGACTATTTTCTGGAAGCGGCCAGAAATACTTCCCGGTAGAAATTGTTCTCTTTTGATCTGGGAGCTGTGGGAAGTATCATGTCTCAGGGCAGCTTTTGCAGTTATAAATGGATCTTTGGATGGATTCATGAATAGGACTTGATTAATGATTTCAAAGGAAAATGGGCCCCGGTACTTAGGCTGGTGGAGGTGTTCCATACAACTGTTAGCATGGAAAGGGATCTTAGAGAATACCTGGTTCAATGTCTGCAATTACAACTGAGAAAACCAAGGCAATAGAATGTCATTTGTTTCAGGTCACTCAACTAGAAGGACAATAACAAAATATTGTACAAATGATCTGATAAACAGAGAACTTTGTTAGGCTTAGCAACAAACTCTGTGGGTTGCTGTGCTGACCTCTTAGCATTCCGACCTTTGGGAAATATTTCAACCTTTGAGACTGTTTAGAATCCCATCCCAAAATATGAAAGAATAAATGTAACCCTGTAAATGCTCCCTCTAACTCATTGCTATCCTAATTTCCCCCATACCCTAAAGGACCACAGATCTCTGAGGTTTAACCTTACATTAAAATTCAATCGGTTTTTCTCATTTTCAAAATACTTCCCCTGAACGATCTCATTTGATTCTCATTTGAAATTAACTCAACAAAAGTAAATAAACAATAGGTTTCAGGTGTCACTAGAACATGCTGTGATTGCCACATGATACTGTTTGTTCACTATCCCACTACCTTAGACTTTTACTGATATAGTATTTTCTTTCTTTGGGCAGTTTGTTGACTCCCTCAGTAAAACCCTAAAGAAGTGCCTAATACACTGTAGGAAATCCATAAACTTAAAAAAAAAAGTTTGCCCTTGCATAAATTGTTTATTTATTTATTTATTTATGAATAGGTGATATTTCTACAACAGGGTAGACTATCGAAAGTTACCCTTGGCCGGGCACAGTGGATCACACCTATAATCCCAGCACTTTGGAAGGCTGAGGCAGGCAGATCATTTGAGGTCAGGAGTTCGCTACCAGCTTGGCCAACATGGTGAAACCCCATCTCTACTAAAAATACAAAAAATTAGCTGGGCGTGGTGGTGCCTGCCTGTAATCCCAGCTACTCGGGAGGGTAAGGAAGTTGAATCACTTGAACCTGGGAAGCGGGGAGGTTGCAGTGAACTAAGATCACATGGCTGCGCTCCAGCCTGGGCGACAGAGTGAGACTCCGTCTCGATGAAAAAAAAAGTTACCCTCTACCCTCAACCTTGTCCCCTGACCACGCAGTTTCCCTCTCACAGGGATACTCCTTGGCCAGCACCTAGCAGCTAATTTAGATCTAGTTGGCATCAGCTCCACGATCTAGGAACGCCTGCCAGTGTCTCTGTACCTGGTAGCCCATTCTTTTCTCTGGGTACTAATCAATGTTTCATTGCGTGTTTACCAAATTTAAAAAACATCACAGACTTTAAAACAAAACCCCACAATCAGAACCATATTTCAGTAATACACACACACACACACACACACACACACACACACACACACCACACACATACATTTCAGGAAACAATACTTACCCTTGCTATATAAAACATGCCCTAATATTTTCACTTGTTTCATTTTTTAGATAACCCACTAAACATGCACCTATATATTTTATCTCCCCAACTCAATTAAATGATATTTCTTATTTTTCTTGTTATAGAAGTTAGACATTTGGTTAACTATAGGACTGAGTTACTCAAGTTTGCCAGTTTTCCTTGCAACCTTGCTCCCACCCCTCCCCCATTTCAAGATAAAGGAATTTAAAATTAAGAGCAGAGACACAAGGGCTACCAGGGTTAAATAGCAACAACATGTTAAATGCTGGGCCCTAGATAGGCAAATGATAATAGCTTTAGCTGTAGCTTCCTCCTGGGAAAACACAGAAGCTGATGGCTGATGGTTTTCTGCTACACAATCTCCAGAAGTAGAGGTCCAGGTGCTTGTGTAGGAAGCAGAGCTAAAATCCAGCCTGGGATCCCTTCACCAAGGCTGCACTTGCCCAGATGGTGCGATTTTTCCACCAGGAATTTTTTACCTGGGCTGGGGGAGGCACATGAAGTGGATTAGACTCTTGTTACTGGTTGAGGGTGTCCAAGTTCTTGGCGTTTTGAATATAGGATTGGACAAAATGCACAAATAAAGCAAGGAAAGAATGAAGCAACAAAAGCACAGATTTATTGAAAATGCAAGCACACTTCACAGGGTGGGAGTGGACCTGAGCAAGCGGCTCACGGGCTGGTTACAAAAATTTCTGGGGTTTAAATACCCTTTAGGGGGTTCCATTGGTTACTTGGTGTACACGGTATGTAAATGAAGAGGCTACAGTGAAGTTACAAGGTTATTTTCTTGGTGTACACCCTACGTAAATGAAGAAAGAGGATGAAGTAAAGTTACAAAGTCATTGACTTGGTTTAGGCCCTATGTAAATGAAGAGGATATTTCCTGTCATAGCTGAAGTGTTTCCGTTTGATTTGGTTCTAGGAATTCCTTAGGTTCCCTGCCTCCAGGCCCTGTTCTCCTGCCTCAGGCTTACACAGAGATGTTCAAGAAATGTCCTGACTTTCAGCCCCACTTCTTATTCTTACTTCTACCATAATGGACAATTCTCTAGGCCAAGTCTCTCCTTGGATTCAGTGGGGCAACTGATCTGTCTCTCCTCAGCTTTAAGTCCTTCTTTATACATTTTGAGCTACAGCTTTGTCTAGCATGTTTTGACAGTAACCCCTTCCGCTCATTTTCTTTCAGAGGGCAGTGGCACACACTTGCACTCCCAGCTCCTCTGGAGGCTGAGGCAGGAGGATCACCAGAGCCCAGGACACCGAGGCTGCAGTGAGTTATGATCATATCACTGCACCGCAGCCTGGGTGACAGCGCGAGACCCTGTCTCTAAAGGAAAACCCCAAAAGCCAAAAAATGATAGATAGCTTTTGTTAGCTAATGGTTCTTCTTTTTTACTTTTTGTGTGTAGTTTTCCTTTAATATTGTTATCATTTGTATTTTTCATTTAATGAGTGGTTTAGAAAGGAAGTCGGGTAACACTACGTGTTCATACTGAACCAGAATTCTCAGATAATTTTTTTGTTGATTAATTTGTACATACAAATAAACATAGATAATACATATGCAAATTACAAAGCACAGTGGCAACCCACCCTTTAATTAAGAATTAGGCCGTGGACAATTCCAAGGAAGCTCCTCGATGCCCCTCCCCAGTTGCATCTCCCTCCCTCACCCAGAGGTAACCACTTTCCTGGATTGTGTGTTTACTCTTTTTGTTTTTTTATAGCTTCATCACATAGGTGTGTGTTCCTTTTGCTATGTTGGAAGCTTTATAAACATTGACTCCTGTGTAATTTTTTGTGACTTGCTTTTTTTTATTTAACATTCATTTCTAAAATCATCTCTGTTGATGTGAGTAGTTTTTTTTTTTTTAATTTTTACAGCTGTGTAATACAAATATGCTGCCATTTATCCATTCCCCTGATGCTGGGTCACCCCAATTGTTTCTTTTCTTCCTTTATTGCTTTAATCCATGTACAATGCTTCTATGAATATTCTCCTATATGCTTTCTGGTGTAGATGTGCAAGAATTTCTCTGATTTAGGAATGGTATTACTGAGTTGTAGGATATGCACATGTTCTTTCTTACAAGATAATGCTAAATTAGTTTCCAAAGATTTTTAAAAATAAAATTACACTTCTAAAAACAAGGAATTCTCAATTTTTCCATATTCTTGACAACATTTTGCATTGTCAGACTTTTAAAGTTTTCCTATTCTCCTGGGTATAAAATGGTTTCCCATTGTGATATTATTTTCTTAACTTCACATTGTGTATTCTGTATTACATAATTCAGAAAAGCGTATAGATAGTGAGTGTGCAGCTTGATAGAGTTTCACAAACTGAGCACACTGATCAAGAAACGAAGCATTACAAGCACCTCAGTAACTCCCCTGTGTTCTTTTCGACTTACTTTACTCCTAAAAAAAACCACTCTCCTGACATTTAACAACTGTCCATGGTGGGCAAATCTACGCAAACCTAGCCCCAAAGTCCGAGGAATTGAGAGGCTGAAGAAAGAGGCTAGACAAATTCAGTTTCTTAGAAAAATACTGGAACTTATGAATAGAAGTCGTGTTTGTATCTCGAGAGGTGGCAAGACAAGATGGTGGATCCCTGTGCTGTTACCCCACAGACCCAGGGCTTACATGCTGTAGAGAAAGCGTATGTGTGCTTCAGAAGAGATGTGTAGGACAGCTGCTTAAGGGCAGGATTTGTGGTAACTACACCCTCTTACACAAGAAGCAATAAATAAACTAGAAATCTTAAGAGGCCTTCCCAGAACTAGGGTTAATCAGTAACCAACACGTTAGATTATCATCTAAGATGGAGTTGCTTGGCCTTCACAACATATATTAATCTATTATGTACTTTTTTTTGGCATCTGGCTGCTTGCTTTGGTGCTATGGTTTTGAGATATATGCATATTGTGGTATGTGGTATTAATTTTACATGTCTAGTGAGAAACAAAAATGAAATCCTAAGCTCCCCAACTGACTGAACCGACCTACCTCTTGTCCTAGGGGACTCCAGAGAAACCTTGAAAACTGGGTTCCTGGCCATGATGGGGTGTGAGGTCAGACACGCCTCATTATACCTGCTCCCTCCCTAATGGCCATTAGGCTTTCTTCCCTAAGGGCTAACAGAAACCAGCCCTTTCAAAAGACTACCGTTTTGATATCAACCAACTGCCTGAAGCTATCCCTCCTCTTTTTGCCTGAGAAGACACCGCTGACCACAGAATGGTTCTGGCTAGTCTATGGAGAATGCACAGTGAGGGTTTGTGTGTCCTCTGCATCACTATTTGATGTCAGAGGACTGAAAACTCCATCCTCAAATCATGCTAACACCACTGTTTTTGAACATGGGTCCCATGGAGAGGCAGGAAGCTCAATTGTGTTTGTGTACATTTCTCCTTTCATAAATGTTTATGCCTCCTTCTATAGCTTATTGAGTATGTATACTAGGCCACCCCATTCAGAATAAATTTCTGTATTATTCTTCTGATCCCCAAAGTGTCTGTTTCTGGCTTCTGGCCAGAGGCTATGCTTCCCAGCCTGTCAGAATGGCCACCCTGCAGGCTGCAATGCTTTATGAGAAATAAAGGTCTCCTTTTCAAATTTACAAACCTCATCATTCTTCAGGTGACACTAACAAGATCATTGTACTCCACTCCTTTCTCTCTTTTTGTCCTATGATTCAACACATTTGGGACACAAAAGGTTTAGAACTGCTGCCCTCAGCAGCCTGGAAACCTGACTTCTGTTGTCCTGTCTAATGGGGAAATACGGAGTGGAGGATGAGAGAGAGAAAAAAAGAGATTGGAAGCCAAGATGACACTGGACCAGAGTAAGAAGGCAAGGGAGCTCAGGACAATGCCTGTAAATGGTCCAGAAGTGTCTGAGTCTATTGGCCATGTGGGTGGTCAGCTTGCTTTAACTAGGCTTAAATAAGCAAGCGTATGTTCACTCACTGTGTTAGGGGCTGAAGATTCAATTGTACACAGATCTTGCCCTGAAGAAATTCAGAATATGAGAGAGGGGAAAAATCTATAGACAAACAAATAATTGAAATATAAAGTGACAGGAACTATGCTGGAAGCAGTGGCACCTAGAGGGAGCATTCATCTCTGCTTGGGAGAGAGGGGTTCAAGAAAGACTTGTCGAAGAAAGCATCCTTTACCTCAGTTTTTAAATTATAAGGAGGAATTTGTTATGTGAACAGAAATATAAAAACAGAAGAGTTTCTAGGCATAGGGGATAACCTGCAAAGGAATGAGTTCTTAATAGTTTAGTGAAGGGGTCTGAAAACTGCATTCAATAGGTAGCAGAATATATTAGTAGGCACTAAATGTTGAAGACATAAAAGAATCCTGATTGTGAAGCCCTTTGTATGCCATGGTAAGGATTTAGGGCATATCTACTAAGCCACTAATGTATTTTGTGTAAGGGAGTAACAACATTGGATGAGTGTTTAAAAACCATTACTTTGAAGGGAATGAGGAGAATTGATTGTTAAGTAGATTTGACAAAAAGTTACTCCAGCTCCATCTGCAGATATTTTTAAGACATTTTGCTCCATTCTTGCTTACTTCATTCTTGCTCTATTCTAGTGTCCATCTGTTGCACACACTTTGGCTAAGTGTCCTTTCCCACTGGATGTTTTTACTTTTAGGACTTGACAAGAGAAAGGGGCTTCTATGTTTTGGGGAATGTAGATGAAGGAAAATTAATAAATTCAGTTGATGACATTGGACTGCTTCTATCATGGAAAGGGCAGCATTTTGTTCTTACCAGAACAGACATTTACTCTGAATATATATTTGCCTTCCCTGCATACAATGCTTCTGCCAGAACTACCATCCATGGTTGTACAGAATGCCTAATCTACTATCATGGTATTCTACACAGCTTTGCTTCTGATCAAGAAGCTCACTTCACAGCAAATGAAGTGTGGTAATGGTATCATGCTCATGGAATTCACTAGTCTTACCATGTTCCTCACCATCTTGAAGCCCTTGGCTAAATAGAACAGTGGAGTCGTCTTTTGAAGACTAAGTTACAGTGCCAGCTAGGTAGCAATGCCTTGTAGGGCTGGAACAAGGTTCTTCAGGAGGCCATATATATACTCTGAATCAGTGTCCAATATATGGTACTATTTCTCCCATGACCAGGATTCATGAGTCAAGGGCTGAAATATGTAAACATCATCCAACGACTCTGCATCCTCTTCTGGGGAAAGGGTTAGTGCATTCTTGAGTGTATGCAGGACAGTTGTATTGTGTTAGATGGAAGTATGACCATCTTACTGTCTTATTTGAAGACTAAGTATGGTTTAAGGAGATGAATATGGGTGCCAAGGTGCAAGGGGTAGACTTGTGAAGGTTAATTTTATGTGTTAACTTTGAGGTGGTTTTGCATGGGATTGACATTTAAATTGGTGAGCTTTGAGTAAGAAGCCCTCCATAATGTGGGTGGGCCTCATCTAATCAGTTAAAAGCTTGAAGAGAACAGAAAATACAGCCCCCCTGAGCAAAAGTGAATTCTCCAGCAGACTGCCTTTGCACGTCATCTGCACCATCAGCTCTACTCAGTTTCTACCTGCTAGCCTTTAGATGGGAACTGAACCATTGGCTCTCCTCGGTTACCAGCCTGCTGGCCCACACTGCAGATTTTGGACTCACCAGCCTCCATAATTGTGTGAACCCATTCAGTATAATATGTATATACATGAACATGCTATTGGTTCAGTTTCTCTGGGAGGACCCTCACTAAAACATTTATCCTTCAGATTTTTCTTGTATAGTATTTCACATGACCTCAATCTGTGGAGAGATTGAGTATACAGGAGAGTCTGCTTACAAAGCAGTGGGGGTTCCAGAGGGCAGAAGGCAAACATTTTAGACAAGATAACCATGGGCAGCCAATTAAGTCTTTGGAATAAGTGACAATTCATGGAAACTAGGAAGTTTGGGTAATGAGATGCCCCATGATACTAAGTTAAATAACTAATCTTCACACCGAAAATTGCAAACCCCAGGAGAGCATGAAGAAATTCCAAAGGAAATATGTAATCTAGATGCTGCTTGCAGTCTTCCCTGATGCATTTTTGGAAAGAGATCCTCTCTACCTCATTAGGGCACCCCTAGAAGCCAGGGTGCTGAGACCACACCTCCCAGGAGAGGGGCTGTGGTGCAGCATGGCCTAAGTCTAACAGGCTCTTCAGAAACTGTTGACTCCTTCTTCTCGTCTCTCTGAACAGCAAGTTCTCGGTGTTCATCTCTGGAGCATTGAGAAAGAGAATTTTTTTTTTCTGTTTCCCTAAACAAAGCACTTCAGCATTTTACATCCCTGCTGGAATCTCTCAGGGTAGAAGAAACCACTTTTTGGAGTTTATGTCTTACAGTTATAGGCAACAACAGTTCCTTTTCTCAGTTTGCCTGCAGCAACCCTGTGATTACTATGTCCTATTCCAGTTAGAACTCATTTGTGTGGGAAATGTGTCATTATGATCACCTCCAGCCACACTGGGGATTAAGTGGCTCTTCTTTTAGGGTGCCTAAATGCCTCTGCTGACCCCAAATTTTTCTGCATAATCTATCACCTGAAATTTCCACCATTAATGATCACTCTTTAGGGCTAAGGTAGGATAAGTCATATTAAACTGCAAAAGATGCAAAATTAAGTTATTATTAGTTACTAAAGTCTTAGGTATAAGCATGTTTATCAGCTTTAATCTAGACATAATCATGAATCTGAGGAACAGGGATCCAAGAAGGGCAAATTTTATGAGGAATGAAATGAAAGGAGTTTGGGAAGCTTTAACTGTGAAGTTCTGGGGGAGACAGACATGGCGATCTCCCAGAGGAGGGCCTCTGGGGAGTCAGAGAAGCATGAACATCTGGACCCTTACTGGGGTTTCTGCTAGGCAAGGAAACTCCAGCAGGTTTCTTTTAGCATTCCTCTAGGGTCACAAATGCTGGAAGAGATAGAGCTAGACCCAGAACTGGAAAAAAATAACACTAATCTTCCTTCCTATCTGTTTCAGACCAGAAGCTTCTTTAAATTAAAGCCTGAGTACCCTGGAAGCAATACAGTGATTGCCTTAGACAGAATTCTTGGTTCTGAAAATGCTTTTGCTATCTTGGGTAAGGAGTAGAACAGCAAGAGGAATCAATATAGGCACTGTAGGTGAAAACAGAAAATATGTACTCTTTAAAAGTTTGTGTTGGAGGTTTCTGAGATAGAATAGAATAGAAATTGGGAAATAAAAACAAAGTAGCAGAAAGGAAGGAGACATAAAGTAATGCTAATGGCTAGTAGTATTTTGGATGGCATGAGTGATAAAAGTGGGAGGGAGGGAGGGAGAGAGAGAGAGAGAGAAAGAGAAAGAGAATGAACTCATCACCATAGGTCTAAAGAGCTCTGATAAAATCATAGCAGTTTCCTGAAGTATGGGCCACTAAAAAAATCATAGCAGCTTAGAGACATTTCAGGTAGCTACACAAAATGAAAGTCTTAGAAACAATGCAGCAAATGAATAAATGAATGGAATTGACATAATGGTCTTTTGACTGAATGAAAAGCACAGCAGGGTGTTTTGTGGCATTGTGAGCTCAACAAGAAAATACACAGTGACCTATTTGATGTATTCTATTTCTGACTCATCTATGAGTTCTATGATAAGAGACCTCTTCAAGGAAAAATAATATTGTGGTTCAGAGTGCATCTAAAATATTTTTCAAATTTTATATAATTTCTTGGTGAATTCCTACAATCTATACACATAAAGATCAAGAGGTACAGGAATAAACTGTTTCAATCTACTGCATTTTGTGGTGAATTAATTGATTAACAGCCACCTCTTATTTGGTGCCTGTATTTCTTTTTTATTTATTATACTTTAAGTTCTGGGTTACATGTGCAGAACGTGCAGTTTTGTTACACAGGTATACACGTGCCATGGTGGTTTGCTGCACCCCTCAAACCGTCACCTACATTAGGGATTTCTCCTAATGTTATCCCTCCCCTAGCCCCCCACTCCCTGACAGTCCCCAGTGTGTGATGTTCCCCTCCCTGTGTCCATGTGTTCTCATTGTTCAACTCCCACTTATGAGTGAGAACATGTGGTGTTTGGTTTTCTGTTCTTGTGATAGTTTGCTGAGAATGATGGTTTCGAGCTTCATCCATGTCGCTGTAAAGGACATGAACTCATCTTTTTATGGCTGCATAGTATTCCATGGTGTATATGTGCCACATTTTCTTTATCCAGTCTATCATTGATGGACATTTGGGTTGGTTCCAAGTCTTTGCTATTGTGAATAGTGCCACAATAAACATACGTGTGAATGTGTCTTTATCATAGAAAGATTTATAATCCTTTGTATATGCCCAGTAATGGGATTTCTGGGTCAAATGGTATTTCTAGTTCTAGATCCTTGAGGAATCACCACACTGTCTTCCACAATGGTTGAACTAATTTACACTCCCACCAAGTGTTAAAGCATTCCTATTTTTCCACAACCTCTCCAGCATCTGTTGTTTCCTTACTTTGTAATGACCACCATTCTAACTGGCATGAGATGGTATCTCATTGTGGTTTTGATTTGTATTTCTCTAATGACAAGTGATAATGAGCATTTTTTCATATGTCTTTTGGCTGCACAAAAGTCTTTTTTTGAGAAGTGTCTGTTCATATCCTTTGTCCATTTTTTGATGGGGTTGTTTTTTTCTTGTAAATTTGTTTAAGTTCCTTGTAGATTCTGGATATTAGCCCTTTGTCAGATGAATAGATTGCAAAAATTTTCTCCCATTCTGTAGGTTGCCTGTTCACTCTGATGATAGTTTCTTTTGCTGTGTAGAAGCTCTTTAGTTTAATTAGATCCCATTTGTGAATTTTGGCTTTTGTTGCCATTGCTTTTGGTGTTTTAGACATGAAGTCCTTGCCCATGCCTATGTCCTGAATGGTATTGCTCAGGTTTTCTTCTAGGATGTTTATGGTCCTAGATTTTATGTTTAAGTCTTTGATCCATCTTGAATTAACTTTTTTGTATAAGGTGTAAGGAAGGGGTCCAGTTTCAGTTTTCTGCATATGGCTAGCCAGTTTTCCCAACACCGTCTATTAAATAGGAAATCTTTTCTCCATTACTTGTGTGTGTCAGGTTTGTCAAAGATCAGATGGTTGTAGATGTGTGGTGTTATTTCTGAGGCCTCCATTCTGTTCCATTGGTCTATATATCTGTTTTGGTACCAGTATCATGCTGTTTTGATTACTGTAGCCTTGTGGTCTAATTTGAAGTCAGGTAGCATGATGTCTCCAGCTTTGTTCTTTTTGCTTAGGATTGTCTTGTCTATGCGGGCTCGTTTTTGGTTGCATATGAAATTCAAAGTAGTTTTTTCCAATTCTGTGAAGAGAGTCAGTGGTAACTTGATGGCGATAGCATTGAATCTATAAATTACTTTGGGCGGTATGGCCATTTTCACAATATTGATTCTTCCTATCCATGAATATACAATCTTCTAAATATACAGTCATGTCATCTGCAAACATAGATAATTTGACTTCCTCTCTTCCTATTTGAATACCATTTATTTCTTTCTCTTGCCTGATTTCCCTAGCCAGAACTTCCAATTCTATGTTGAATAGGAGTGGTGAGAGAGGACATCCTTGTCTTGTGCCGGTTTTCAAAGGGAATGCTTCCAGTTTTTGCCCATTCAGTATGATATTGGCTATGAGTTTGTCATAAATAGCTCTTATTATTTTGAGATACGTTCCATCAATACCTAGTTTCTTGAGAGTTTTTAGCATGAAGGGGTGTTGAATTTTATTGAAGGCCTTTTCTGCATCTGTTGAGATAATCATGTGGTTTTTGTTATTGGTTCTGTTTATGGGATGGATTATGTTTATTGATTTATGTATGTTGAATCAGCCTTGCATCCCAGGATGAAGCTGACTTGATCGTGGTGGGTAAGCTTTTTGATGTGCTTCTGGATTCAGTTTGCCAGTATTTTATTGAGGATTTTCTCATTGATGTTCATCAGAGATATTGGCCTGAATTTTTTTTTGTCTTTGTTGTATCTCTGCCAGGTTTTGGTATCAGGATGATGCTGGCCTCATAAAACGAGTTAGGGAGGATGCCCTTTTTTCCTATTGTTTGGAATAGTTTCAGAAGGAATAGTACCAGCTCCTTTTTGTACCTCTGGTAGAATTCAGCTGTGATTCCATCTGGTCCTAGACTTTTTTTGTTGGTAGGCTATTAATTACTGCCTGAGTTTCAGAGCTTGTTATTGGTTTATGCAGGGACTCAATATCTTCCTGGCTTAGACTTCAGAGGGTGTATGTGCCCAGGAATTTATCCATTTCTTCTAGATTTTCTAGTTTATTTGCATAGAGGTGTTTATAGTATTCTCTAATGGTAGTTTATATTTCTGTGGGATCAGTGGTGATATCCCCTATATCATTTTTTATTGCATCTATTTGATTCTTCTCTCTTTTCTTCTTTATTAGCCTTGCTAGCAGTCTATCTATTTTGTTGATTTTTTTCAAAAAACTAGCTGCTGGATTCCTTGATTTTTTGAAGGGTTTTTGTGTCTCTATCTCCTTCAGTTCTGCTCTGATCTTAGTTATTTCATGTCTTCTGCTAGCTTTTTCTGGTAAATATTCCTCCATCCCTTTACTTTGAGCCTATGTGTGTCTTTGCATGTGAGATGGGTCTCCCGAATACAGCACACTGATGGGTATTGACTCTTCATCCAATTAGCCAGTCTGTGTCTTTTAATTGGGGCATTTAGTCCATTTACATTTAAGTTTAATATTGTTCTATGTGAATTTGATCCTGTCATTATGATGCTAGCTGGTTGTTTTGCCCATTAGTTAAAGCAGTTTCTTCATAGTGTTGATGTTCTTTACAATTTGGTATGTTTTTACAGTGGCTTTACTGGTTGTTCCTTTCCATGTTTAGGTTAATATTGTTATGTGTAATTTGATCTTGTCATCATGATGCTAGCTGGTTATTTTGCACATTAGTTGCTGCAGTTTCTTCATAGTGTCATTGGTCTTTATATTTTGGTGTGGTTTTGCAGTGGCTGGTACTGGTTTTTCCTTTCCATATTTAGTGCTCCCTTCAGGAGCTCTTTTAAGGCAGATCTGGTGGTGAGAAAATTCCTCAGCATTTGCTTATCTGTATAGGATTTTATTTCTCCTTCACTTATGAAGCTTAGTTTGGCTGGATATGAAATTCTGGGTTGAAAATCCTTTACTTTGAGAACATTGAGTATTGGCCTCCATTCTCTTCTGGCTTGTAGGGTTTCTGCAGAGAGATCTGCTGTTAGTCTGATGGGCTTCCCTTTGTGGGTAACCCAGACCTTTCTCTCTGGCTGCCCCTAACATTTTTTCCTTCATTTCAACCTTGGTGAATCTGATGATTATCTGTCTTGCTCTTCTCGAGGAGTATCTTTGTGGTGTTCTCTGTATTTCCAGAATTTGAATGTTGGCCTGTCTTGCTAGGTTGAGGAAGTTCTCCTGAATAATATCCTGAAGAGTGTTTTCCAGCTTGGTTCCATTCTCCCTGTCACTTTCAGGTACACCATTCAAACGTAGATTTGGTATTTTCACATAGTCCCATATTTCTTGGAGGCTTTGTTCATTCCTTTTTATTCTTTTTTCTCTAATCTTGTGTTCTCTCTTTATTTCATTAAGTTCGTCTTCAATCACTGATATCCTTTCTTCCACTTGATCAGTTTGGCTATTGATACTTGTGTATTCGTCATGAAGTTCTCGTGCTGTGTTTTTCAGCTCCATCAGGTCATTTATGTTCTTCTCTACACTCTACGTGTTCCTTTGGCTCGGAGGAGTTTGTTATTACCAACCTTCTGAAGCCTACTTCTGTCAGGTCATCACACTCATTCTCTGTCCAGTTTTGTTCCCTTGCTGGCAAGGAGTTGTGATCCTTTGGAGGAGGAGAGGCATTCTTGTTTTTGTATTTTCAGGCTTTTTGCACTGATTTTACCCCATCTTTTTGGATTTATCTACCTTTGGTCTTCAAATGGGGTCTTTGACTGGATGTGCTAATCCTTTCTGTTTGTTTCTTTTCCTTCTAACAGGACCCTCTGCTGCCAGTCTGCTGGAGTTTGCTGGAGGTCCACTCCCAACCCTGTTTGTCTGGGTATCACCAGTGGAGGCTACAGAGCAGCAAAGGTTGCTGCCTGGTCTTTCCTCTGGAAGCTTTGACCCAGAGGGGCACCTGCCAGATGCCAGCCAGAATTCTCCTGTATGAGGTGTCTGTTGGTCCCTACTGGGAGATGTCTCCCAGTCAGTATACACAGGGGTCAGGGATCCGCTTGAGGAGGCAGTCTGACCCTTAGCAGAGCTCGAACACTGTGCTGGGAGGTCTGCTGCTCTCTTCAGAACCATAAGGCAGGGATGTTTAAGTCTGCTATAAGCTCCCTGGCTTCAGCACCCCTTTCCAGGGGAGTGAAAGGTTCTGTCTCACTGGCATTCCAGGTGCTACTGGGGTATGGGAAAAAAAAAAAAGAGCTCCTGCAGCTGGTTTGGTATCTGCCCAATTGGCTGCCCAGTTCTGTGCTTGAAACCCAGGGTCCTGGTGGGGTAGACACCAGAAGGAATCTCCTGGTTTGTGGGTTGCAAAGACCGCAGGACAAGTGCAATATCTGTGCCAGAGCTCCTCAGGCTCAGACCCTCACAGCTTCCCTTGGGTAGGGGAGAAAATTCCCTGACTCCTTGTGCTTTCCAGGTGAGGCAATGCCCCACCCTGCTTTGACTTGCCCTCTGTTGGCTGCACCCACTGTCCAACCAGTCCCAATGAGATGAACTGGGTACCTCAGTTGGAAATGCAGAAATCACCTGCCTCTCACTGGGAGCTGCAGACCAGTGCTGTTTCTATTCGGCCAACTTGAGGTGCCTGTATTTCTTTGGTTTATCTCCCACCATAAGCATTAATAAAAATTTCATATTAGTTCAGGAAGATATTCTGTTTCTCTTAATTTGGAACCATAAACACTAATTACAGCTACCATATTGCATGTGTCGTATTCTCATATTTAATGATACAAAACAATGGCCTTTTATAGAACACTCCTTCAAGGAAAGCTTAATTCCTACAGAGCCAAAGCATAGAATCAGCTGAAGTAAACATGCATATAAAGATCTAACCAAAAGGAGATTCTGGGAGGCTTTACACTAGAAATGAATTATCCCCACTCCCAACCCACAAAAAGCTTAGTAAATGTGCCCTGCAAACTTTTGATAGCACATCCAACTTATTGTAGTCAGATAATAGCTTAAAGTTCAACAGGATCACAGAAAATACAGAAACTAGAGGTGAAAATAATTTAGAGTTAGAAGTTGGAAGTTGGGGGTGATTTTGTACAGCTGTCTGGTGTTATGATGATAAGGTATTAATATTTATACTTGGAGATGAGGAGACTGAGGTCTGAGGCCACCCAGCTAGTTTATGGGCAAGGAGTGATTAAATCCTATGTTCCCATCTTTTTTGGTACATGTTATCAGAGTTAATAAAAAAATTAAAGAACCTTTTTTATGATATTTTATAAAAGCAGAGCTAAAACCCTAATATATTAAGTGAGAGAGTTCAAAAAGGAGATTCAGGGAAAGAATGCTTATTCTTATCAAATTAATAACTTAGGAATTTACAGCTATATGACCTAGTACAAGAGAGCTTGAAGAAAGAAAAGTTTTCTTCAATTAAGGTGGGGTAAAAGAAGGAAGGAATAATTTTTAAAAACAACTTTTCATAATTTGTATTAATCTTTCAAATTTTTCTTCTGTATTATTTCACCTAATCACAAATTCATTCACAGAAGCCCAATGGAATTCTTTATTAATACATAAAACAATTGGGCATTCTTTTTTCCATTACAATCATATTTCCACAGAAAGTTCCTCTAGGTTGTTGGAAGAAACTATGTTTTTATCTTTTTTATGCAGCACAAATTTATTTAATTCATATTCTACTACTCATTATATATTTTAAAATATCACTATGTTCAACAGGAGGAAAAAGTTATGAACAAAATGATAACTTTTTCCTGTTATACTGCAATAAAAATCTGATTTCTTCTTTGTTTAAAATGTATTTTAACACATTAATCAAAAGTAGATAGGATAATTTTCCCTTTGTTTGAGAATGTATTTTATATCTACCTTTCCCTTTTGGAAGTTTGGGAAATGAAATATACTTTGGGGTGAATTTTTTGCAAGGCGTACTGTGGACAGGACAAGATAAGCCAATGTAAAAACCTTACATCTTCATAACTTAAAATTTTGGAACTGACCAAATATTATGAGACTAAACAGGCTGGACAAAGAGAATCAAAGGGCAATAGGACTTGAAGCAATTGCAAAGATCATCTCTTTGCCCTTATATAAAATTATAACTAGATCTGAGACTTTTTATTTTAAATGCAGAAAAACATATTCTACTAAAAAAATTTTCCCAAAATTCCAGTTGGAAATGAAGCACCTAAGCAATTTTTAAGCAATTAAAGGAAATAAAAAGTGCTCATTGATGAAAACTTTAGTAGACGAATAGAGTATCCCCATCAATAAGTTACATTTGCTGCCTATTCAAGGCGCCTTTGAAACAAGATGATGATGATCTAGGCAAAATTTTCATTCTCTTCAAATGACTTTATTTTTAGATCAACTTCAATAAGGGTCTTGCTTCGTGTGATAAAACATGAAAAACTAGAATCTGATTCTTGATAAAATCTCAGATACTAGTTAATATGGCCTGCATTATTACATTATTTATATTTAAATTCACAAAACATTTCTTTGAACTTTCATATGTCATTTCATTTCAAGGCACCTCTCTTTTTGAAAATCTTATCTGGATAAGGTAGGATGAATATCATTTCACCCATTGTACAGATAGAAAAACTGAGGCAAAGAGCAGTTAGGTGAGTAGTTAGAATTGACTCTAGATTATAATGTTTTCTTCTTCCTAATACACAGATGTCTCTCTAATTAGCAGTGTTTTTCAAACTGGAGACATGAGGACCATAGGCTAATCTAATACACACATTCAAATACTTATAAATACACATTCTGAATGTTTTGGAAGACTACTTTATAATTGAACATTCCCATAAGATTTGTCTCCAAAATTGCATTTGTGTTTTTGATAACAAAATAATTTAAATTTGTGATTTATAACAAAAGGCCAAAGGACTTTAAGACCTGCTAGAGAAACAAAGGCTCGTGATAGTTGACTCAGAGGCAAGCATAGGGAGAAATAAGTTACCACAAGGTCAGAATTGTCAGAGGTGCACCAAATTCAACGGAACCTACATTATTAATCTATTAATATTGATAAATTAATATTAGTAAAATATTAATATTTAAGGTAAAAAATTGACACTGAACAAGTGGAATCTTGAGAAGTAAATAAATTTTATTTTTGTCTTCCATCATTTCTTAAAATGTATTTGATGGGGATAATTTTTCCATGCTAAGAGTGACATATGAGACCAGGGCTAGCCTCATAGCATATCACAGCGTATTCACTCACTCCAAGGTAAGAAAAAGTCCTCTGGCCACTTTGCAAACACAGTTTGGCAAATTTCATGCTTCTGTAACAATTGCCTATATCCAAATTTAGAAAATTTCCATTAATCTAGAAAATTCCCACTAGCAGCCATAAAAAAGAGCAAAATTTTGTCCTTTACAGGGACAGGGATGGAGCTGGAAACCATTATCTTCAGCAAACTAACACAGCAACAGAAAACCAAACACCACATGCTCTCACTTATAAGTGGGAGCTGAATGATGAGAACACATGGACACATTGGGGGAACAACACACACTGGGACCTGTGTGTGGAGGGGGCAGTGAAGGAAGGAGGGAGAGCATCAGGAAGAATAGCTAATGGATGCTGGGCTTAATACCTAGTGATGGGACGATCTGTGCGGCAAACCACCATGACACATGTTTACCTGTGTAACAAACCTGCACATCCTGCAGAGGTACTACTGAACTTAAAATAAAAGTTGAAGACTTTTTAAAAAATCTAGAAAATTCCCCTGGGCTCCCCTTAAATCAGCCAACATTTCTTCAGAGGCAATCAGTACTTAGATTTTTATCATCCTATATTAGTTTTGCATATTTTTGAGCTTCATCTAAATAAGAATCAATTAGTATTCCTTTATGTTTACCTTCTTTTGGCCAACATAATATTCTTAAGATTGGCTCATGTTGCTATGTGTTCAGAAGTTTATTCTTTTTTGTTATGTGTTATTTCACTGTATATATATACTATATGTAAATAAGCCAAAGTCATTCATTCTCCTTTGATTAACATTCGGGTTGTTTCCAGTTTTTGACTGTTACAGTTGCTATGAGTATTTTACTTGAGTCTTTTTGTAGAAATATATTTTCATTTTACTTCTGTAAATGCCTAGGAGTTGAATTGCTGGATCATACAGTAAGCATATATTTAAATTTATGAGATACTACCAAATATATCTCCAAAAAGCTTGCTCCATTTTGCACTCTCACCAGTAATTTTGGGAGTTCCAGATGCTCTGTATCCTTACCAATACATGCAATTGAACTTTTTAAATTTTGGGCATTCTAGTATGTATGTAGTATCTCGTGTGGTTTTAACTTGTATTTCTCTGATGACCAATGATGTTGTGCCTCTGCTCATGTAATTGTTGGTCATTCACTAATCCTTGTTTGTTTGTTTGTTTGTTTGTTTGTTTTGAAGAAGAATCTGTCCAAAACATTTGTTTATTTTCATTGTTTTATTTTGTTATTAACTTGTAAATGTTCTTTATATATTCTGGATAAAAATATATATCATTTTCTTCAGTATGCATCTTGAGTTTTAATTTTTTATTGATGTTATTTGATTTTTATCAATATCTTTTGAATAGTAGAATTTTTAATTAAAGTTGAATCTATCAATTTTTTTTTCACAGGTAATACTTTTAGTGTCCTGGCTAAAAATTCCTTGCTGTACAAGGTAATGGAGACTTTCTTTTATATATTCTTCTAGAAGTTTAATAGTCTCAGTTTTTATATTTAAGCCTATAATTCTAATTAATTTTTATATTTGGTGTGAGGAAAATAGCATAGCTTCTTTTGTCCCATATTGATATCCGGTTGTTTCAGCACTACTTGTTTAAAGATTATCCTTTTTCCATTGAATTAAGCTGTTGACTTTACACAATCAATTTGCCATATGTATGTGGGTCTATTTCTGGAGTCTCTATTCTATTCTATTAAATTATTATTTTAAAATCATAATACATTAATTAGAAATGTGTTTTTAAATTTCTAAATATTTGAAGGATTTTCTAGATATCTTACTGTTTTGTATTTATAATTTAAATCCATAAATTATATAGATGGAGTGAGAGCATACACTTAAGATTTCAATCCCTAAAAATGTACTGAGACTTATTTTATGGTCCAGTATAGGCTTATCTTAGTGAACATCCAAAGGATGCTTCAAAAAAAATGGTTATTTTGCAGTTTTTTTTGATGTAGTGTTTTATAAATGTCAGTAAGATCAAACTGATTTTTACTGTTGTTCAGACTGTCTGTATCTTGAATTATTTTTGGTCTATTTCTTTCATCAGTTATGTGGGGAAGAGGAAAGACTGCTAAAAAAGTCAAACTAATTTGTGAACTTGTCTTTTTCCTTTTTAAGTTGTGTTAGGTTTTTGCTTCGTCATTTTTAAAGCTCTGTTATTAGTGAATGTACATTTAAGGTTGTTACGTCTTTCTGAAGAAATGCCTTTATTGTCATCATGAATTGTCTCTATCTCTGAAATCTACTTTGTTTGAAATTAATATTATAACACCAGATTTCTTATGCTTACAATTTGTTTGGTATATCTTTTTCTATCCTCTTACTTTTAATCTATTTGCTTCTTTGAATTTAAAGTGCACCTCTTTGAGACAGTGTGTAGTGACAGTCTCTGCTTTAAATGGGAGAGTTTGGTTGGTTTATTTATATTTAATGTATTTATGGATATAGTAGGATTTAATCCTAGCACCCATTTGTTTTTTTCTCATGTCCCTTAAGTATTTTGCTTCTCTCCTGCTCCTCTCCTGAATTTTTTTGGGCCAATTGAATTTATTTGTTGATTATAGTATTCCATTTACAAGGCTAGCGGTGTTCATTTTTACCTTAACAAAGTCTATTCAGAGTCAATATTTTACCACTTCACATTTCATACCTGATCTACTTCCTACTTACTCTTAATCATCTGAATCTTCTCAGTTCCTATTTCATACTTCTCACATTTCCACTTCTCACTTCACAAATTTGATAACTTACAATAGTATAATTGCATTACCCTCCCTATCATTCATTGTGATAGCATTGCCTATCTTTTATTTTGATACACTAAATAACTCCAAAACTATATCATTATTATTTTTTACTTTAAAGAATAAGTATCTTTCAAGAAAATACTAGGTAATAACAGTAACTTTTTATAATACTGACTTATTTTCTATTTCCAAGCTCTTCTTTCTTCCTGTAGAGTTTTCATCTAGTATCCTTTACCTTTAGCCTAAAGACCATTCTTTACAATTTCCTGGGGCTCAAAAATGCTGCAACAAATTTTCCTACTTTCGTTTTTCTGAAATATTTTTATTTCAGTCCCCTTTTTTGAAACATGTATTGCTGGATGTATAATTTTGGGCTGGCAGTTTCTTCTCTTTCTATTGTCTTCTGTCCTCCACTGTATTTGAGGTAACTCAGCTATCGTACTTATCTTCCCCCATATGTAATATGGCTTTTTACATTGGTGGAACCCCTTCTCTGTGGCTCCTTTCTCTTTAGTGGCCTGCCCTGAAAATTCTAACTATTCCAGCAACCTCAAACTTTCTTCTGTCTCCTTTGACCTGTGAGAGTGCTACTTTCTCTTTGGGCTTCAGTTCTATGCATCATGATATGGAAAGTTCTCCCAGAAAGAAAGTTGGAGTAAGTATAGAGCTCACATTGTTTACTTCCATTCTCTCAATGATCATGAGAGAATCATTGTGAGAGAATGGTTATTATGAGTAGATCTGTATGATCTACTAATGACCAGAAAATAATAGAATAGTTTCACACATTTTTGCAGTTTTTTCTTTGTGTATGGCAGGAAACTAAGTTGGATACAAGCTCTTCATCATGACCAATTACATATTCTTAAAGTTACTTTTCTGGGTCACATTCCCACATTCACCCCTAAAGGGATTCTTGCTTTATATTTAATAGTTTAATCTCCAGGAAAGTGCTTTGGAACTCAAGCAAAAAAATGATCTCTTCTTCATGCTCCTGGAAAGAAACTCCATCTCAAAGCTTTTGTACTTTCAAAAGTTATTGCAAAATCCTTTGTTATTAAGCCCCAGATGACCTCATGTATATGACAAGTAACCTCATCTATTGGGCAGAGTTAATATGGTGTGTTATGATCCGACGGAGCTGAAAAACACGGCATGAGAACTTCATGAAGCGTACACAAGTATAAATGGCCAAATTGATGAAGCAGAAGAAAGAATATCGGAGATTGAAGACCACCTTGCTGAAACAGAGCATGCAGACAAGATTAGAGAAAACAGAATGAAAAGGAACAACCAAAGCCTCTGAGAAATATGGGACTATGTGAAAAGACCAAACTACATTTGATTAGTGTACCTGAAAGTGATGAGGAGAATGGAACCAAGTTGGAAAACACACTTCTGGATATTATCCAGGAGAACTTCCCCAACTTAGCAAGACAGGCCAACATTCAAATTCAGAAAATACAGAGAACACCACTAAGATAAGATACTCCACAAGAAGATCAACCCAAAGACACATAATCGTCAGATTCACCAAGGTTGAAATGAAGGAAATAATATTAAGGGCAGCCAAAGAGAAAGGTTGGGTCATCTACAAAGGGAAGCCCATCAGAGTAACAGTGGATCCCTCTGCAGAAACCCTACAAGCAATAAGAAAGAGGGGCCGATATTTAACATTCTTAAAGAAAAGAATTTTCAACCCAGAATTTCATATCCAGCCAAACTAAGCTTCATAAGAGAAGGAGAAACAAAATCCTCTCCAGACAAGCAAATGCTGAAGGATTTTGTCACCACCAGGCCTGCCTTACAAGAGCTCCTAAAGGAAGCACTAAATATGAAAAGGAAAAACTGGTACCAGCCACTACAAAAGCACACCAAAATATAAAGACCAATGACACTATGAAGAAAATGCATCGATTAATGTGCAAAATAACCAGCTAGCATCATGATGACCGAATCAAATTCACACATAAAAATATTAACCTTAAACATAAATGGGCTAAATGCCCCAATTAAAAGACACAGACTGGCAAATTGGATAAAGAGTCAAGACTCATTGGTGTGCTGTATTCAGGAGACGCATCTCATGTGCAAAGACACACATAGGCTCAGAATAAAAGGATGGAGAAATATTTACCAAGCAAATAGAAAGCAAAAAAAAGCGGGGGTTGCAATCCTAGTCTCTGATAAAACAGACTTTAAACCAACAAAGATCAAAAAAGACAAAGAAAGACATTACATAAAGGTAAAAGGATCAATGCAACAGGAAGACCTAACTATCCTAAATATATATATACACCCAGTACAGGAGTATATATTATACAGCAAGTCCTTAGAGACCTACAAAGAGACTTAGACTCCCACATAATAATAGTGAGAGACATTAACACACACTGTCAATATTAGACAGATCAATGAGACAAAAAATTAACAAGGATATTCAGAACTCAAACTCAGTTCTAGATCAAGTGGATCTAGTAGACATCTACGGAACTCTCAACCACAAATCAACAGAATATACATTCTTTTCAGTGCCACATGGCACTTATTCTAAAATTGACCACATAATCGGAAGTAAAACACTCCTCAGCAAATGCAGAATAATGGAAATCATAACAAACAGTCTCTGAGACCACAGCACAATCAAATTAGAACTCAGGATTAAGAAACTCACTCAAAACCACACAACTACATGGAAACTGAACAATCTGCTCCTGAATGACTACTGGGTAAATAACAAAATTAAGGCAGAAATCACAAAGTTCTTTAAAACCAATGAGAACAGAAACAACATACCAGAATCTCTGGTACACAGCCAAAGCAGTGTTTAGAGGGAAATTTATAGCACTAAATGCCTACATCAGAAAGCTGTAAACATCTAAAATCGACACCTTAACAACACAATTAAAAGAATGAGAAGCAAGAGCAAAAACAATTCAAAAGCTAGCAGAAGACATGAAATAACTAAGATCAGAGCAGAACTGAAGGAGATGGAGACACGAGAAACCCTTCAAAAAATCAATGAACCCAAGAGCTGTTTTTTTGCAAAAATTAACAAAATAGATAGACCACTAGCTAGACTAATGAAGAAGAAAAGAGAGAAGAAGCAAATGCACACAATAAAAATGATAAAGGGGAAATCACCACTGATCACACAGAAACACAAACTACCATCAGAGAATATTATAAACACCTCTACACAAATAAACTAGAAAATCTAGAAGAAATGAATAAATTCCTGGGAACATACACCCTCTCAAGTCTAAACCAGGGAGAAGTTGAATCCCTGAATATGCCAAGAACATTCAGGCATTAATAGTCAACTAACCAAAAAAGCCCAGGACCAAATGGATTCACAGCCAAATTCTACCAGAGTTATGAAGAGGAGCTGGTACCATTCCTTCTGAAACTATTCCAAACAATAAAAAAAGATGGACTCCTCCCTAACTCATTTTATGAGGCCAGCAGCATCCTGATACCAAAGCCTGGCAGAGACACAAGAACAAAAAAAGAAAACTTCAGCCCAATATCCCTGATGAACATCAATGCAAAAATCCTGAATAAAATACTGGCAAACTAAATCCAGCAGCACATTAAAAAGCTTATCCCCCACAATCAAGTCAGCTTCATCCCTGGGATGCAAGGCTGGTTCAACATACACAAATCAGTAAACATAATCCATCACATAATCAGAACCAATGATGAAAACCACATGATTATCTCAATAGATACAGAAAAGGCCTTTGATAAAATTCAACATCCTTTCATGTTAAAAACTCTCAAGAAACTAGGCACTGATGGAACATATCTCAAAATAATAAGAGCTATTTATGACAAACCCATAGACAATATCATACTGAATGGGCAAAAGCTAGAAGCATTCCCTTTGAAAACCATCACAAGATAAGGATGCCCTCTCTCACCACTCCTATTCAACATAGTATTGGAAGTTCTGGCCAGGGCAATCAGGCAAGAGAAAGAAATAGAGTGTATTCAAACAAGAAGAGAGGAAGTCAGTTGTCTCTCTTTGCAGGTGACATGTTTGTATATTTAGAAAATTCCATCATCTCAGCCCCAAAACTCCTTAAGCTGATAAGCAACTTCAGCAAAGTCTCAGGATACAAAATCAATGTGCCAAAATCACAAACATTTCTATACACCAGCAATAGACAAGCAGAGAGCAAAATCATGAATGAACTCCCATTCACAATTGCTACAAGGAGAATAAAATACCTGGGAATACAACTTACAACGGATGTGCAGGACCTCTTCAAGGAGAACTACAAATCATTGCTCAAGGAAATAAGAGAGTACACAAACAAATAGAAAAACATTCCATGCTCATGGATAGAAAGAGTCAATATCATGAAAATGGCCATACTGCCCAAAGTAATTTGTAGATTCAATGCTATTCTCATCAAGCTATCATTGACTTTATTGCAGAATTAGAAGAAACTATTTTAAATTTCATATGGAACCAAAAAAGAGCCCATATAGCCAAGGCAATGCTAAGCAAAAATAACAAAGCTAGAGGCATCTTGCTACCTGACTTCAAACTATACTACAAGGCTACAGTAACCAAAACAGCATGGTACTGGTACCAAAAAAGATATATAGACCAATGGAACAGAACAGAGACCTCAGAAATAACACCACACATCTACAACCATCTGATCTTAGACAAACCTGACACACACAAGCAATGGGGAAAGGATTCCCTATTTAATAAATGGTGTCGGGAAAACTGGCTAGCTATATGCAGAAAACTGGAACTGGACCGCTTCCTTAGACGTTATACAAAAATTAACTCAAGACAGATTAAAGATGTAAATGTAAAACCCCAAACCATAAAAACCCTAGAAGAAAACCTAGGCAGTACTATTCAGAACATAGGCATGGACAAATACTTTGGGACAAAAACACCAACAGCAATTGCAACCAAAGCCAAAATTGACAAATGGGATGTAATTAAACTAAAGAGCTTCTGCATAGGAAAACAAACAAAAACTATTATCAGAGTGAGCAGGAAGCCTACAAAATGGGAGTTAATTTTTGCAATCTATCCATCTGACAAAAGTGTAATATCCTGAATCTACAAGGAACTTAAACAAATTTTCATGAAAAAAACAAACAACTCCATCAAAAAGTGGGCGAAGGATATGAACAGACACTTCTCAAAAACAAAAGACTTTTATGTGGCCGACAAACATATGAAACAAAGCTCATCATCACTGATCATTAGAGAAATGCAAATCAAAACCACAATGAGATACCATCTCATGCCAGTTAGGATGGCGATTATTAAAAAGTCAGGAAACAACAGATGTTGGAAAGGCTGTGGAGAAATAGGAATGCTTTTACACTGTTGGTGTGAGTGTAAATTAGTTCAACCATTGTGGATGACAGTGTGGCTATTCCTCAAGGATCTAGAACCAGAAATACCATTTGACCCAGCAAGCCCATTACTGGGCATATACCCAAAGGATTATAAATCATTCTACGATAAAGACACATGCACATGTTTGTTTACTGCAGCACTATTTACAATAGCAAAGACTTGGAACCAACCCAAATGCCCATCAATGATAGACTGGATAAAGAAAATGTGGCACATATACACCATAGAATACTATGCAGCCATTAAAAAGGATGAGATCATGTACTTTGCAGGGACATGGATGAAGCTGGAAGCCATAATTCTCAGCAAACTAACACAGGATCAGAAAACCAAACACCATATGTTCTCACTCATAAGTTGGAGTTGAACAATGAGAACACATGGACACAGGGAAGGGGACAACACACACTGGGGCTTCTCAGGGGTTGGGGAGCAAGTGGAGGGAGAGCATTAGGACAAATATCTAATGCATGCGGGGCTTAAGACCTAGATAATGTGTTGATAGGTGCAGCAAACCACCATGGCTCATGTATACCTATGTAACAAACCTGCACATTTTCCACATATATCCCAGAACTTAAAGTAAAATAATAGTAATAGTAATAAAAAGTAATAGTAATAAAAAACAAAGTCCTGGCGGGGTGTGGTGGCTCACGCCTATAATCCCAGCACTTTGGTAGGCCGAGGCAAGCAGATCATGAGGTCAGGAGATAGAGACCCTCCTGGCCAACATCTTGAAACCCTGTCTCCATGAAAATACCAAAAATTGGCCAGGCATGGTGGCGCATGCTTGTAGTCCCAGCTATTTGGGAGGCTGAGGCAGGAGAATCACTTGAACCCAGGAGGCAGAGGTTGCAGTGAGTGGAGATCATGCCACTGCACTCCAGCCTAGCAACAGAGCGAGACTCCATCTCAAAAAACAAAAAACAAAGTCCTCAGTCAATTCTACAAAAAATACTATGCTGTGAAGGCACTTCAGAGGTGGTCCACAACGACCAACCATTGAATGCAGGCTTCCTCTATGGAGGAGAGGAATGGCTTTGGGTAGCTTGTTAAGGTTGAGGTCACAAGACAAATTCAGCTGAAAGCTGCCAGCTGCTAACACTCTCAGCATCTGGGTGAACACATACCTTAGCCCTGAAAGGCAGCAGGAAACAGGTTGATAGAATTATTCAGCTGCTCTTCAAGGACAGAGCCACAGACCCAGAGAGTAGAATCTTGAGCTACAGCAAGTGGAGCCTCCAGTCACAGAGGATTATTCCCAGACCTTGAAGCCTAATGGATTTTGCCCTGCTGGATTTCAAAATTGCTTGTGACAAGTAACTTTTTTCTTCCTTTTATTTTCTCTCTTCTGGGATAGAACTGTCCATAACTGTTATTCCATGCCTGTTCCATCATTATATTTTGGAAGTGGATAACTGGCTATCTCACTTCACAGGTACATAGAAGGAGAGGAATTTTGCCCCAGGATGGGGCAACTCAGGAGTAACTCTGCTCCTCTCAGTGAAATCCTGGGTCTGCTTTTCAGCACAGTTTGCTTTCCAGCTACAAGACATGTCATCTCTATGTGTGTCCATAGTGACTTTCTGGCTTTCATGCTGTACCTTAAGTTGGTAGGTGGCTGACCTGTGTAACATCATGTGTCTAAAAGATTAAAAATATTGTTTATCACAAGAACAAACCAACATCAAAGCTAGCATGAGAAAAGAAATAATTAACATTAGAGCAGAACTGAATGAAATTGAGACCCCAAAATCTATACAAAGAATCAATGAAACCAAAAGTTGGTTCTTAGAAAGGATAAGTAAGATTGAAAGATTGTTAAATAGATTAACAGATTAAAAAAGAGAGAGGATCGAAATAGGCACAATCAGAAATGACAAATATGACATAGCAACCAATCTCACAGAAACACAAAAGATCCTCAGAGACTACTATGAACATCTCTGTGCACACGAACTAGAAAATGTAGAGGAAATAGATAAATTCCTGTAAACACATGATCTCCCAAGATTGAATCAGGAAGAAATCGAAACCTTGACACCAATATCTAGTTCCAAAATTTAACCAGTAATAAAAAACCTACCAATAAGATGTATTCACAACTGAGTTTTACCAGATGTACAAAGAAAAGCTGGTACAAACTCTACTGAAACTATTCTGAAAAACTGAAGAGAAGGGACTCCTTTCCAACTCATTCTATGAAGCTAGCATCACCCTGACATCAAAACCTGGCAAAGACACAATGAAAAAGAAAACTACAGGCCAATATCCCCGATGAACATAGGGGTAAAAATCCTCAACAAAAGACTAGCAAATGGATTTCAATAGCACATCAGAAAGTTAATTCACCATGATCAAGAAGGCTTCATTCCTGGGATGCAAGGTTGGCTTAACATATGCAAATCAATAAATGTGATCCACCACGTAAACAGAATTAAAAACCAAAACCGTATGATCATCTCAAGCTCCATGGAAAAAGCTTTCCATAAAATCCAACATCCCTTTATCTTAAAAATCCTCAAGAAACTAGTCATCAAAGGAACATAATTTAAAATTGTAAGACCCATATATGGCAAACCCACAGCTGATACCATACTGAATGGGCAAAAACTGAAAGCATTTCTCTTGAGAACTGGAATGAGACAAGGATGCCTACTCTTACCACTCCTGTTCAGCATACCACTGGAAGTGCTAACCAGAGCAATCATGTTAAGAGAAAGAAAAGGCATCCAAATTAGAAAAAAAAAAATCAAACTATCTATCTTCATGGATGATATGATTCTGTATCTGGAAAACCCTAAAGACTATACCAAAAGACTCCTGGAACTAATAAAGTTTACTTCTGTAAAGTTTCAGGAGACAAAATCAACGTACAAAAAGTCAGTAGCATTTCTATACACCAATAGCATTTAAGCTGAGAGACAAATCAAGAATGTAATCCCATTTACAATAGCCACACATAAACAAATAAAATACCTACAAATACATCTAAGCAAGGAAGTAAAAGATCTACAAAAGACCTACAAGGAGAACTACAAAACACTGCTAAAATAAATCATAGATGACATAAACAAATGGAAACATATTCCATGCTCATGGATTGGAAGAATTAATATTATTAAAATGGCCATGGTGCCCAAAGCAATCTACGGATTCAACGCTATTCCTATCAAACGACCAACCTTATTTTTCACGGAATATATTCTAAAATTCATATACAACTGAAAAATAGCCCAAATAGCCAAATCTATCCTAAGCAAAAAGAATAAAGCTGAAGGCCATCACATTACCCAGTTTCAAATTATATAAGGCTATAATAACGAAAACAGAATGTACTGTACAAAAACAGACACAGACCAATGGAACAGAATAGAGAACCCAGAAATAAAGTTGCACACCTATAGCCATCTAATCTTTGACAAAGTCAACAAAAATAAGCAATGGGGAAAGGACTCCCTATTCAATAAATGGTGCTGGGGTAGATAGCAGGCTAGCCATATGCAGAAGAATGAAACTGAACTCTTACCTTTCACCATATGCAAAAATCAACTCAAGATGGATTAAAGATTAATGTTACATCTCAAAATACAAGAATCTTAGAAGAAAACATAGGAAATATCATTCTGGTCATCTGCCTTGGGAAAGAATTTATGATTTATGACTAAGTCCTCGAAAGCAATTGCAAAAAAACAAAAATTGACAAGTGGGACCTAATTAAACTAAAGAGTTTCTGTACAGCAAAATAAACTATCAACAGAGTGAGCAAATAACCTGCAGAATGAGAGAAAATATTCACAAGCTATGCGTCTGACAAAGGTCTAAGATCCAGAATCTATAAGGAAATTAATTGAACAAGCAAAAAACAAATAACCCTATTAAAAATAAGCAAAAAACATGAACAGACTTCTGAAAGGAAGCCATACAAGTGGCCAACTACCATATGAAAAAATGCTTCACATCATTAATCATCAGAGAAATGCAAATCAAAACCACAATGAGATACCATCTCACACCAGTCAGAGTGGCTATTACTAAAAAGTCAACAAACAACAGATGTTGGCAAGACTGTGGAGAAAAGGGAATGGTTATACATGATTGATGGGAATGTAAATTAGTTCAGATACTTTGTAAAGCAGTTTGGAGATTTCTCAAAGATCTTAAAACAGAGTGATCATTCAACCCAGGAATCCCATTTCTGGGTATATATCCAAAAAAAAAAAAAAAAAACAAATCATTCTTCCAAACACACACACACACACACACACACACAGACACACACAACAAACACAAAACAAAACACATGCACTTGCATTTTCATTGCAGCAGTATTCACAGTAGCAAAGACATGGGATCAACCTAGGTGCCCATCAACAGTGGATTGAATAAAGAAAATGTGGTACATATAAACCATGGAATACTATGCAGCCATAAGCAAGAATGAAATCATGTCCTTTTCAGCAACATGGATGCAGCTGGAAGCCATTATCCTAAGCAAATTAATGCAGAAACAGAAAACCAAATACTGCATATTCTCACGTATAACTGGGAGGTAAACGTTGGGTACTCATGGACATAAAGATGGCAACAATAGACCAATTATGCTGTAATATAATAGGCTTATTCTTCTCCTATATTTTATTACTCTGTCTTAATCATTCCTATTGCCAAGTGACTTGCCATGGTTTATTTGCCAGTCATCACAGGAGGAACATACAGAGATATTTTTCTCAATAAAGAATGTTCTACAGCTCACATTTAGTCTAGGGTAATCTGGGTTCTCTGTTGTGTTCAGAGTTTAACAATTCATTGTTACAATCTAATCCTGCAGTTAGTAAATGGTATTTTGAAGACTTCATAAAAATATAACTGACAGGTTCAAATCTGTTTTTAAGTTAAAAGAAAGATATTTTTTCTTTATTATAGGCCTCTCTTTGGTGACTTTGATGCAAGACTAGTCATCATTTAGGGATTATTTTACTCTACTTACTATTAGTCCCCACCCAGAACATACGGGAAAATATACCCACTATCAAATATTGGGGACTGCTAGAGGGGAAAGGGAGGGAGGGAGGGAAGAAAGTGTTGAAAAACTAACTTTTGGGTACTATACTCAGTACCTGGGTGACAGGACCATTCATGCCCCAAACCTCAGCATCATACAATATACTCATGTAACAAACCTGCATATGTGCCCCTGGATCTAAAAATAAAAGTTGAAAAAAAAGAGAAAAGATAAAAAGTATTTCAAGATATACTGAAAAGGTACATTTCTTTTAGATTCAATGGAATTTCTTGCTTTTTCTTCTTTCTCTACTTTTCTAAATACATTTAAATTCTTGGATCTCAGGAAATCATTGTTTTTAGGTGTTTATTAGTTTTCTGACACTCTTCATGCTCAATTTGTGATTTAATACACATAATTATTTTACATACAAATAACTCTAAAAGTTTACACAAACGATTGAATTTAAAGGGCCAATATATACTTTTTTATTCACTTGTTAACTTATTTTCAAAATAATGGGCCAGTTAACTAAATTCAACTGGGTTTTTTTTCTTCTTTTGTTTTTTTAATTTGCTTGCTTGATTGGTTAACCACTTGCAGGTATGCAAACATGAAAGATGAAAAAAATTGAAGAGGGTAGTGCAAAAACCATCTTACATGCCTAGAATTTTTCCAGAGATCCTAAAAGATTTGAGTATAAGAAAGGCAATGTGCATTTGAATTGCTTGGAAGCAGCTGCAGTAGCAAATTGAAGCAAAGTAAGTCATTCTGCCTCTTCTCATTATATGAAGGCAAATACAAAATTATTAAAGATATATAAATATTTATCAAAGGACTATTTTTGTATATACCGATATTGGATATTGGCTGTATTTTTCCAGATGTTCTGGGTGGGGGACTAATGCTGAGTAGAGTAAAATATCCCCAAATGATTACCAATAATCTTGTATCAAAGTCCCCAAAGAGAGGGCTATAATAAAGAAAAACATGTTTCTTTTAACTTAAGAGCAGATGTAAACCTATGATTTGTGTTTTTATGGAGTCCTCAAAATACCACTTACTAATTGTATTTGTGGGCATAGATTGTAATAATGAATGGTTAAACTCTGAACACAACAGAGAGCCCAGATTACCCTAGACTGAATGTGAGATGTAGAACACTCCTTACTGAGAAAAAATATCTCTGTGTGTTCCTCCTGTGATGACTGACAAATAAACCCTAGTAAACCATTCAGCAATAGAAATGACTAAGTCAGAAGTAAGGAAATACAGGAGTAGAATAAGCCTATTATATTGCAGTATAACTGGTCTAATTCAAAGGAACAAACTGGTAGTTTCTTATCATAAAATGACTCCAAAGAGCAGCATCATTAAAAGTTGTTCTAAGTTGTTCCAATAGGTCTTTAAAACCAGTAACTGCTAGGAAACTTGTATCAAGTAAATGGGAATAAATAACGATATAAAAGGAAAACCAGATCAAACAGAAACATCAACAATAATGAGGTTAGCAGTAGTTAAACTCTCTTGGACACACATTTGTTCCATGGATTTCAAGGTTAAAGAAAGTTCAACTTACAAATCCTTAGCAGGATAGCGATCAGTGACCCCTAAACACAGAAGAGTGTTTATTTTGCAGCCTCCTGTGGGTGCCACAACAGGGCTTACAGTTCAACTGAATCCACTTCACATATGCATTTTATCCCTTCAAGGGAGATTAGCAGAGGGAAGATGGGCAGAAAGGCCCAAATCTTTCATTTTTGAATCAACCCCAAATTTTCCTCCCACCCTCATATGTGTACAAATGATGTACTTAGTCCTGATGCTCACATATTCCAGTCTTGTACTAAGAAAATATCTTAAACCATCAAACAAGCTCCAGTGATTTCTAGTTCTTTGACAGAGTATCCAGCAACATTTCAGTCCTTGGTAGGGGAAGGGAAAGGAGAGGGAGAGGGAGAAGGAGATGGAGAGGGAGAGGAGAATCATTCTTTACAGAGGAAAAGTACACAGCAATGGCATTCTGGTGTTTTACTTTTGTGTTAAATATGTCTCTACTTGAAGGGGAAATGTTTTTACTGAAGGAATAACATGTTCTTACTTCTTTCAAAGGTAAGTTTTAAATTTGACTAATAAATCAAATTTTTGTCTTATTTCATGCTATTTGCCCGGGAATGTACTACACCTTTTGGGAGTAGAAGAGGGATGAATGCATGATTCCTGCACCAGAAATAGTGTAACTGAACACATTAAATAGTTGAGAAACAAATCAGGATACTAATTTGTGAGGCACAGACTGAAGGATTTCTGTGAAGTTGGAGCATTCCATTTGGGATGCGCTGACAGAGAAGTTTTCCGGGAAGAATTGTGACTTGTGTTAGACCGCAAATGTCACTTCAAGGCTATGCTAATAAATATACAGTAACAGGAAAATCAATAACATTTTCTCACGCTTACTATTTCCTGATTCTAGGTCTTTGCTCATGACATTCTTTCTCGTCCAGAGTATTGCTCCCCGCGATGTGATCAATTACTTCTTCCAAAATCTGGCTCTGAACACACCTCCCCAGGAAGTCCATTCTAGTATTTCCTTTGCACATCATCATTTTCAATAATTCCATCTGGCTGTGCTACTTTTCATTTTAATTGCTCTTAGGTCATTGGCTCGGGCATGCTGTTTTGTTGAGCTTGAATTACTAATATGCACCAAATGTAGCATTTGTTCATTTAATATTATTTGTTTTCTCCTTTATTCTTTCACCATCCAGAACAAGTTTTCACACCTAGTAGGTTTCTTGGTTTATGTGAATTTGTTTTTCTGAACTTTGAGAATCAGGTGGAATTCAGAAAAGCTCTTCTAACTTCTCATAGATTTCTCTCTCTCGTACCGTTTTTTTTTAAGATGAAGCTTAACTTACTGAGTTTTTCCTTCTTGATTCCTTTCTCCCACTTTGGCCCAGACTTTCACCTTTGCTTCTCCTTGAAGTTTCTAACTGGCTCAATATTTTTAAATCTGCTTTTTTTGAACTATAATTTGCATATAAAATTGCAAACTTTGGTGAGTTTTGACATATGCATACAATATTATAACTGCCATCTCAACTATCATGATCTAGAACATTCTATCTCCCTCAAAATTCCCTCATGTCCCTTTGAAGTCAATCCCTTCCTCTCCCCCAAGCAACCTTTGATTTTATTTCCATCCCTACAGTTTTTTCTTTTCTAAAATTTTGTGCAAATGGAATCATGCAGCATGTCATTGGTCTGATGTTAAAGCTTATGCTCTTTACCTAGACGTACTCCCTGTCTTTAAAAACAGAAAATGGCGAAGTAGTTAAAGTGAGCTGAAATTGAACCCATTGCCCAGGGTTGCTCCTTGGCTGTCAGAGGAATCCAGTGTGGCTTCATTCAGACACAAACAGCCTCATTAATAATCAATAAAACAAACTTTGAGCAACAAATATTAATTAAAAATAACTGAGAGAGACCCTCGGGATCCACGAATAAGTGAAACATGTTTCCTAGGGCTTGCTGTTAGTAGGATAGGGAAGGCAAGAGCAGATGAAACTCTAATACATAGAAAGTAAAGGAGGGGGTTACAGGCAAAGCATTTTAAGAGTTCAGTGGAGGAGGAGAGCATTTTAAACTAGGGAATCAGAAAAATCATTTAAAAGAGTGGTATCTTTGATCTTAACCTTGAAAAATGAATATTTTAAAAGGTGATGGTGAGGTAGTATTTTAAGTGGCTCATAAAGTAGTTTTAAGGCAATTTCAAGAAAGGAGTTCCAAAATTATTTTGAGTAAAAACAGTATTCCCTGAACAATTAAATAGTTTTATAAAGTGACTGATTTGAAAGTGTGTGCTATTTCTGATTGCATAAATGAGAGTAATCGTATTTTCAATTGATTCTTTCATTCAACAGCCATGCTCTATTCTTCTGTGAACATACTAGTAATAGCTTGTAATTATGGATCACTTGCACTGTGTTAAATACTTTACATGTATTAATAATCAAAAAAAGTCCTATTTACAGGGAGGAAACAGACCCAGAAAGGTTTAATAACTTGTCCAAGATTATCCAGTTGGTTTGTAGCATACTCAGAATTTGAACAAGGACATAATTTACATCTGTACTATTTCATCAAGCCAAACTAAACAGACAGAGTTTAAAATACGCATTATGTGTTAACTTTGATACTTTCAAAAGTAATTAACTGAAAATTAATGCTTATCTTACTCAACAGATAACATCCTTTTATAGACTTTTTTTTTTTTTTTTTTTGAGACAGGGTCTCATTCTGTTGCCCAGGCTGGAGTGCAGTAGCACCAACATGGCTCACTGTATCCTTGACGTCCTAGGCTTAAGTGATCCTCCCACCTCAGCCTCCTAAGTAGCTGAGACCACAGGCATGCACCACTATGCCCAGCTAATTTTTTTATTTTTATTTTGTAGACACGGGGTTTTGCCGTGTTGCCCAGGCTGGTCTCGAGCTTCCAGGCTGAAGCAATCCTCCCAAAGTGTTAGAATTACAGGCATGAGCCACTGTGCTGGCTGTTTTTGCACTTTTATACTCTACAGCATATATATTGGTCCCATTCATTTTCAGTAGCCAATTTTCACACTCAATATCTCCGTTGGGTAGAAAAAGAATATAAACATCTTATTAGAGACATAAATATAATTTTGCCTTAAATGGGCATTCAATCTGTATGTTTATACATTTGAAATAACAGACAAAAGAATATATGGAAAAGTCTTTGAATTTCCTTAAGCCACATATTTTTAATAAAATCCCTGCATATTTCTAAGAAGGAAATATCAGTTTCAAAAATCAGGGAGCTAAGTCTTACTACAAAGACTTACTGGCTGCTTTGTGTGGAAATTTCTAGTTAGGGAAAATTTAACTTCAGTCATTCTTTAAAATCTTGGAAAAAGAACATAAATGTTTGTTCCTGATTTTGAATAGCAGCGTAAAATGTATCTCATAAGAATAGCCTAGAACTAAGATTTATTTATTTATTCATTCATTCATTCACATTTTAAATTCAAGAAATATATAGGGCATTCTATGTGCATTGTACAATAGTAGAGGATGCAAAGGATACAGAGATATATGAAAAAAGGTGCCCTCCCTTGTACAGTTTACAAGTTAGTTTAGGAAATAAAACATGCTCAATTAACTAGAATGCAAGGCAGTCTATGACACAAGGAAGTCCATTGCAATTCAACTCAACTAACTTCACTCTGCATTTGTTTGTCTATGTTTTTCTAGGCATTGAAAATACACATATGAATAAAAACACTTATTTTCAGCTAGAAAAGGTCTTGGAATAAAGTTGGTCTTTATGAGGAATGATTGTGGAGCATTTAGAGCTTAGGAAGTAAGTTTTTTGCCTTCAGAGGTGTTATTCATGGCCTAGTGTTATTCATGGGTGACTTATTGAAGATACTGAAAATGCGAGTTAAAACATTGATTGATTGGTTGTATTTGACCATTGAATTCCTTCAAATCTTGAGACCCTATGATTTTAAACTTCTGCATGCTTCTTGCAGAGGTAAATAAGTGTTTCAGAAATTCTCAAACCATCATGGGTCAGCAGTTGCCTACTCCAGGTTCACTCCTGTGATAGAGGAGTTGAATTGCTCCGTAGGAAATTCTAATCGTTAGTTTTAAGCATAGACAGTCTAATTAGCCTGGAAAATACTGTTTGTTGTTGTCTTTTTTCTTTTTTTTTTTAAAAAAAAAACCTCATTCAACAAGCATGTTTATGCAAACACAGCATTACTTAAAAACTCTGAGGTGATCACAAAGATTGATAAAAATTCAGTATAGCTATCTTAGCCCTTTTAAAAATGGCTTCCTACAGTTTGTCCAAAATCAGAACTTTCTTCCCCAAAAGATTTGATTCACTTCAGGTAGCATACAGGGTGTTATATTTGACAACAATTCATTGAGTTTATCAAAAGCAAAAGAAAAAATGGAGCTCTATTATAGAAAACAGTATGATGTGGCTACAATGCTAATTTTTTAGAATTGATTTTGAAGTATTGTCCTCGAAGTGAGTCTACTTTCCTATTTTGGTTTAAAGTCTTGAGAGTAATAAGAATAAAGTATTTTCCCTTCCAAAATAGCAATGTAAATTTTCATTTTGTTTATTCCTATAAAATGAATGATAAATGACTAGGTTTTCTAAAATCTGTGAGACAGTGTAAATTTCACTGTTAAATTTTACTTCTTACTCTTTCACCTAAAGGCTTCTGTTATAAATCTTTTTCTCAGAAGACTTTTGTAATGATTCTAAACGCTCACTACATGGATTTTTCATGAGCAGTTTTATCCTGCCATGAGTCTAATGAGCATCTAATATAGCAGATGGTATGAACCTGGAGTCTAGAAGCAGATGAAGGGATTTATTTAAAGTTATAGAAATACATCCCACCAATGTTTGAATGATCTTAATCATGGTCTATGTAGTTAGAACACCAGGATCACTGAATGGCAAAATAGGGTTGGTTTGGTTGCTTACAGACAGAAGTCAGAATGAAAAAAACATTAGAAGAACATGTTTGCTGTTATAAAGTGGGTCTGAAAGTGTGTTGCAATTTAAAACTGATTATCAAAATAGCAGTGTGTAGCAGTGACTAAAACTGTAGATTTAGAGTGAGATTGGCTAAGTTTATATCCAGGCCATACTGCTTACTAGCTTTAACAATTTTCTTGAGACAAGTTTCTTAACCATTTGGTGTTTTAGTTTCCTCATGTTTAAACTGGGGATATTAGCAACTTTAAAGTGGGGATAGCAGGGTTGTTGTAAGGATTGAATGAGTAACACATGTAAAGAACTTTGACCAGTGCCGAGCATAAGAAACTTGTCTAAAGTAAACAATTACTTCTCAAGCCTGTGAGTGAGGTAGGCTTTGTCAAAATCCCTACTTTAAAGATGAGGAAGTTAAGGCACTAAATAATTAAAGATTTTGCCCAAGGCAAACAGCCAGTAAGAGGCAGATTTGAACTGGGATTTGAACCTAGGCATTGTGGCTTGAGATTGTATACAATGACTCCAATATATGTGAGACATTTTGGTTAAAGTTTAGTGGTACTGTCAAGGTTAAGTTTCAGTTTGTTAAAATATTCAATGCTGCATAAGAAAGATGCCTTTAAAATATGACCATTGCTAATAAAAACACAGTTAAGCCTGTTTTTGTTTGTTTGTTTGTTTCTTTTATATATATATATATATATATATATGCTTTTATTATACTTTAAGTTCTAGGCTACATGTGCACAACGTGCAGGTTTGTTACTTATGTATACATGTGCCATGTTGGTGCGCTGCACCCATTAGCTCGTCATTTACATTAGGTATATCTCCTAATGCTATCCTTCCCCCCTCCCCCCCACCCCACAACAGGCCCTGGTGTGTGATGTTCCCCTTCCTGTGTCCAAGTGTTCTCATTGTTCCATTCCTGCAGCCATAAAAAATGTTGAGTTCATGTCCTTTGTAGGGACATAGATGAAGCCTGTTAAGCCTTAACAGGGAAAAGAACAAAAGTTTCCTACAACTAGTAGCTGAACATTACTTCAAGTGATAAAGGGAGAATGTTGTCATAAAGGCTGCATTTAGCTGAAATTTGAACCACTGGGAGAGGATGAGTAGTTTATTATACAGCTCACCCCTTGGGAATATTAATCTAATAAAATTCAATAAATTCCTTCCATTATTTTTCTTGGCCCACTAGAAAGTCAATAAAAGTCAAAGTTAGAGTGACATCAAGTCAGATTCAAGTGAGAGTGGGAATCTTAAGGAAACTGCATTTCACAAATGTGTTTTTGACTTTTCTGGACTGGCCAGTTATATTTATACTGTAATATCTACAAGTGATGGTTTGACATGTTAGCTTCCTGAAGCCACCTGTTTTCTGAAGCAGTGAAGCATGACACAGGACAGTGAAATTGCCATTCTGACACTACAGTATAGTTCAGTTGTTTTGAGCATGAATGCTGGGGTCGGAACAGTTGAGTTTATAATTCAGCTCTGCTATTTTCTTGCTATGTGACCTTGGACAAATTACTTAATGGCTCTGTATTTCATTTTCTTCTTGTACAAAATAGGAATAGTAACAAAACCCACCTCACAGGGATATTGTGAGTATTAAATGAGTTAACATGAGTAATCTTGGATGGATGCCCAACACATAGAATAATGTAAAAGCTAACTATTGTTGCTGGTGGCCCAGAATGGCCTTATTAGTTTGGCTGATGTATCCCCTAGTGGTGAACATATCTATGTTTTAGTCACAGTGTATATGGTAAAGTAAAACCTTAAAACCTCAATTTAAACATTATAAGGCTAATCCAATCTTTTAATGAACAACACTTCGATGTGCTAAGGAAAAAGGAAATATAGCACCATCATATATACATATATATATATATATATATATATATTTTTTTTTTTTTTTTTTTTTTTTTGAGACAAAGTCTTCCTCTGTTGCCCGGGCTGGAGTGCAGTGGCACAATCTCGGCTCACTGCAACCTCTGCTCCCCAGGTTTAAGGAATTCTCTGCTTCAGCCTCCTGAATAGCTGGGATTACAGGCGCATGCCACCACGCCCAGCTAATTTTTTTGTATTTTTAGTAGAGACAAAGTTTCACCATCTTGGCCAGGCTGGTCTTGAACTCCTGACCTCGTGATCCACCCCCGCCCCCCACCCCAGCCTCCCAAAGTGTGGGGATTACAGGCGTGAGCCACTGTGCACGGCCAGCACCATCATATATTTTAAGAACTAACAAAAGAGGAAGCAACAAAGTTTAACTTAACTAGCAGAAAATTCCCAATTTCAAACCTTTCAGGACATCTCCTGAGGTCAGCTAAAGTTTAGCCGCATTTCCAGTTGTTTCTAAATCTATCATATGATGCATTCATCATTGATAAATTCTGACAATACTGCCCATGTGTCCTAGTTTAGTCCTTTCAAACTTCTGAATCTCAATTTTCTCATTCATTAAACCAAAGTACCCTTGGCCTGCCTTACTCACTGGATAGTTGGGAGGGAGGGGAGAGACTGTATCTAAAAGAAGTTCACTCTATCTAAAGTATCAAGATATATTGGGCAAAATACAGTATTATGTTAAGAATGATTCTTAGGTATTACAAGAGCTTCAGGTTTAGAAAAGCAAATTAATTTAGCCCACCACAATAATAAGAACAGAAAATTAGACTAAAATTTTATAAAGGTTTTCATCGATGTTGAAATAAAAAGATGTGCTGATTAAAATAGATTTGTAAGTTCCTGCCAATATTTCATTTACAGAGAATATTACTCTCAGATTTTGTAAGACCATCATCACTCCACTAAAAAATGAATGCTAAAAGCTACTAAGAACTTGAGTTTATACTTCGAATTCCAGGCTTTTATGCAGGCCAGAGAAGAGATGAGTTCTGGGTAGAAAGGCTTTTTGGGACTTTTCACACAATATTAGATGAATGGTCCCCTCCTCTGCCGGTATGTACTGAATTCCTCTTCTCAGGTGTCAGAAAGAGCAGCCACAGCCTGAGTTCCTTCACCTTTCCACAGTCTATCATTGCATTCAAAATGTAAAAGAACTCATTGACCCAGCAATTCCTCCTGTAAGAACTTCTGTGGAAATACTTGCACTAGCATGCACTGGTATATCATATGTGTACTATGCAGCGTTGCTTGCAATACTGATTGCTAAAAATTGGAAACAATCAAAATGTTCATTTATCTGGAGTTATTTAAATAAATGATGACACATTCCATCTAAGGAATGCTTATTCTGTGTATTCAAAGCATTTAAAAATGAAGTAGATTTCCATGTATGGCTATGGAATGGTGTTCAAGACATATTAAGTGAAAACAAAAAGCTCCACTATAGTATGTGCAGTATGATCCCATTCTTGCAAATATAAAGCTTTTTCTTTCTCCTTTTATCCATATGTAAACATGCACACGTATATTTTACAGAGAAAGATGTTTTTGAAAATGTATACCAAATGTTAATAATGGTTTGTTTGGAGAAGTGGGACTTGGGGGAAAGATTAATTTTCTACTTTGTGCATTTCTGGATTGTTTTGATTTCTTTTTTTTGCAACAAGTAAGTGTTACTTTTCAATCAGAAAGAAAATTTAAACACACACACATGAACTAAAAAAATCAAGATAAGTGCTTTAACCTCCCTTTTTAGCACCTGGCTGTTTCTTTCTCACCATTATCCTTAATTTGCCAGGGGAATCAAAGTTCAGCTCTAGACTGTGTGCATAGATTCAAGGTCTAAATGTTCAACTGAGAGGATCTTCTAGATGCGGAATAGCATGGGTGAACATGCCCACCCCCTTCATTCTAGGACAACTTTTATGAATAGTAGTTTATGTAACTGTCTTTATGAGTCACACTAAATTACTGCCAACGCATGCCATTTGTATTATACTTTATCACTCTATTAAGAATCCCTGCACACCTGCTGAGAGTCTGCTTTCAATATTTCATTATTGTACGTGTGTCTCCCCAAATTCAAAATTTTCTTGATCAGTTGGATTTTATATTTTTTAAACTAAAAAGGCTATATTTGTATTCTTTTTCTAAAATTTTCTTTGTAGTAACATGTTCTCTTGGTCCAGATTATTAACTACATTGATCTGTAAATCCCATAAACTGGTTGAATGTCCATTGAAACTGTAACAACTGTTCTACTTAGTAGACCGCTGCCAATATTGGACAGCCATGTGACAACTAAGTGTACCAGCTTCAAAGCTGTACTACCAAATGCAGTCACTATTTACCTTCATCTCTTCCCATTTTAATGCATGTCTGAAATTATTTTCATGATAAATCAATGCCTTTTTGGTTTAGAATCAAAGGATTTTCTGGTATTCAGTGAAACAATAACATGGACTCCTGCTGTTTGTCAGGAATACCTTTTAGAATGTTGTCATTCCCCAGATACCATGATAGCCAATAATATCCCCCATAAGATGCAATAAAGCATCACTAAAGAATTTAAGCAATTTCTTCAAATCTCTAATATATAAATACAATAATACTGAAGTTATGTTTGAATCATTTGAACTTCTTTCCTTCATGGAGGTTTTTATTGTTTTTGTAATATATTTTAGAATCAAACTATTTTATTATTTACTAAAAGTCCCCATGTACAAGAAAACAAGCAAAAACAATGAAACTGGCTTGAGATGTGGATACTTGGCTGACACCTAGGTTTATTCACTATGGAAGAAACTCACTCCCACATTGAAGCCTCATGACACCTTGATGCAAATTTGTAATCTTAGTAAAATTACAAGCTATCATGAGAGTCTAGGGGCATTTATAAATAATCTAACCATGAAGTTTAAATTTGCGCATGTTAAAGTCTATTATATTTAGGGTGAATTAGCCCATCTCTTTGTAGCAACTTCTCACTTTGCAGAAGAAAAGTGAGCCACTATTATATAGCTCCATCCTTGCCAGTTCCTTCAGTCTCCAAGTTACCTTTTCAAACCTTTATGTGCAGCTCAGTAGAAAAGGGTACAGATGAGACAATATGTTTCCTTTGTTTTAGGGTTCATGTTTCTATTGGATTGAACACTGATTTATAGCCTAAACACCTGTCATTTCTAAGCTATGATCTTGATGAGCTCACTTAATCTCTCTCTGGTCCACAGTTCCACATTGCAACATGACCTGTTAAGGGGAGAAAGGTCTGTAAGCCCCTGAGCTTCGGAATTAAATATCTACCTGCTTATTTGATAACTCCAGCTGAATATACTTTGGATATCTCTTAATCACCACAAACATAGTATGTCAAAATATTGATTATTAAAAACATTGTTAATAATTTTTAATTATTTTTAATTTTTCCCATCAAATTTGTTCTTATCTTTACCCACTTTGGCTAGCAGTTCCACTATATATTGAAGCTTTCAGGCCAAAAACCTAGAAGTCCTATCCAAATCCATCTGTTACTGTCAGCTTTACTTCCAAAATACATCTGATCCCTGCTCGTTATCTTCACTTCTCATCATTTCCAATGCTACCATTGTTTTGTTAGCCTTCTCTTTACCCCATTGGTGAGGCAGGCATTGCCATCCTAGGGTTGTGGGGGTGGCCGAACATGACACCTGACACTGGGCAGATGAGAGGGACAGCAGTTTATTAGTCACATATACTCACAGCCCAGGAGACAACACACACCAGGCAGAGCAGAACAAGGAGCAGAGAGAACAAGCAAAGGCTTAGAGGCAAGTTTTATAGTAGAAAGAGGATGAGGTGCACCCTAGTTCTGTCGAAAGGATGTGATTGGCTTGTTTGAATGATTCATGGGTTGGCATATTAATCAAGGTCCTTCAGAGAAACAGAACCAATAGGATGTGTATATTCATAGACATATATGAGAGGATCTTTATTATGGGAATTGGACCACATGATTATAGAGGCTGAGAAAGCCCACAATATGCCATCTGCAAGCTGGAGAACCAGAAAAGCCAGTGGCATAATTCAGTCTGAGCCCAAAGGCCTGAGAACCAGAGGAGCCAATGCTGTAACTCCCAGTCAGAAGCTGAAGGCCTGAGAAGGGATTAGGGGGTGGGGGTGCTGGTATAAGTCCCAGAGTCCCAAAGTCAGAGAACCAGGAGCTCTGATATCTTAGGAGAGGAGAAGATGGATGTACCAGCTCAAAGACAGAAAGCAAGAATTTACCCTTCATCTGTTTTTTTGTTCTATCCAGGCCCTCAAGGGACTGGATGATGCCCACTGACATTGGTGAGGGCAGATCTTCTTTCCCCGGTCTACTGACTCCAATGTTAATCTCTTCTGGAAACAGCTTCACAGACACAGCCAGAAGTGATGTTTGCCCAGCTATCTGGGGATGCCTTAACCCAAAATCAGTCTTCACAGCAGGAAATTAGGCAGCTGACTTGTACTCTAAGGCTCAGAGCAGGATTTCCTCACTATTGACTGCACATCAGAATCACCTGGGAAGCACTGACAAGCAATTGATTCTCAGGCCCACACCAGATAGATTAAGGTAGAATCTCTGGAAATGAAGTCCTGCTGTATTTTAAAGTCTTCCCAGGGTTCTCCCAGAACTGCCAGCAGCTGTAGCAAGAGCTCTAGTACCTGAAGACAGAGCTGAAACTGAAGTCTTGAGTGCAGGACACCGCCCAGGCCCAGGGTGCCCCAGGGGAAGAGGCCTGGAGCAGAGTCAAGAAATTCACATTGAGGGCGGGGTTACTGGTGCCCAGCTACTCTCCTACCACAATCTATTAGTTTCTTAGGGCTGTGTAACAAAGTGCAGTAGACCACTGTATCTGAGGTTTTGCTTTCCACAGTTTCAGTCACCTGCTGTCAACTGCAGTCTGAATTTTATTATCTCACATCATCACGAGAAGGGTGAGTATAGTACAAAAAGATATTTAGAGAGAGACCACAGTCATATAATTTTTATTGCAGTATATTATTTCAATTTTTCTATCTCATTGTTGTTAATCTCTTTCTGTGCCTAATTTATAAATTAAACTTGATCATAGGTATGTATGTATAGGAAATAACATAGTATATATAGGGTTTGGTACTATCTGCTGCTTCAGGCATCCACTGAGGGTGTTGAAACATACCCCCAGTAGATAAAGAAGGACTATTGTACCACAAACTGAGTGGCTTAAACAACAGAAATTATTGACTCCCATGTGGAGGCCAGAAGTCCTAAATAAAATTGTTGTCAGAATTGTTTTTTCTGAAGGCTGTGAGAAAAGAATCTGCTCCAGGCCTCTTGCCAAGCATCTGCTGATTTGCCAGCAATATTTAGTGTTCATTGTTTTGCACCTTTCTGCCTTCGTCTTCACATGGCATTCTCCCTGTGTGTGTTTGTCTCCAAATTTCCCCTTTTTGTAAGGACACTCAACACATTGAATAAAGGGTCCAATGTACATTAGTATGACCTCATTTTAACTACAACTGTAACAACCCAATTTCTGAATAATGTCACATTCCAAGATACTGGGAGTTAGGGCTTCAACATATGTATTTTGGGAGTACACCTAATTCAACCCATAATTCAAAAACATAAAACTAGGCCAAACATATGATGTGACTTCTCAGTCCTAGCCCAGGACTGAGATCCTTGGGAGAGTGGAAGTGCATGAGCTGAGCTCTGGCTCTTAGGTAGGACACTCTCCAGGACTAGGAAGGTGGAAGTGGAGCCAAGTAGAGCACTGTGGTCTCCCTGAACTGAGGAGCCAGAGATGGGCTGCTGAAGCTGCTGGAATTTGCAAGGCAGAGTACAGGAAAGGAGAATCTACAGGGTTGGCTAGGAGAAGGGGACAAAAATCTACCTGGAAGTTTCCTGCAGGTCTTTGCCCAAGAGTAGGGCTGATGTGCACAGGGCTAAACTCTATGAGGCCTAACAGAAGGTGGCCTTTGCAGATCTGAGAGCTGAAAGGAGACACCAGAGAGAGCCCAGTGCTGGGAACACAGGTGTGCTGACTTAGCCAGTGTGTTGAGAGCAGGCAGAGCACCTCTGACAGTCTACTGAGATCTAAGAAAGTCCAAAAATTAGAAGTAAGGGCTATCCCCTTGGACTAAAGACAAAAGTGAAATACATTCACACTAACAAAAATAAATAAATAAATCAAAGTCTGATCAAAAGAATTGATTCATGAGCTGCCTGCCACAACAACACATACCACCAATTGAAGGAAGACAGCCAATCCAGACTCACTATAATGTATTATCCACAACATCCAGCTTATTAGGAAAAATTACTGGATATGCAAGCAAGTAGGTAAAAGTGATCCATAACCAACAGAAAAAAGTGTCAGGCCAGGAATGGTGGCTCATACCTGTAATTTTAGCACTTTGGGAGGCTTAGGCTGGTGAATCACTTGAGGTCTGGAATTTGAGACCAGCCTGGCCAACATGGTGAAACTCTGTCTTTACTAAAAAATACAAAAAAGTTAGCCTAGCATGGTGGTGCATGCCTGTAGTCCCAGTTACTCGGGAGGCTGAAGTTGGAGGACTGCTTGAGTCTGGGAGGTGGAGGTTGCAGTAAGCTGAGATCACACCACTGTACTCCAGCCTAGGTGACCGAGTGAGACTTCGTCTAAAAAAAAACAAAACAAAGAGAGTCAATAAGCCTTGGCTCCTACATCACATTGCACAAAATTATTGCAAAATATTGCAAAATATGTCAAGATGCAAATGTAAAAGTTAAAATTATAAAACATCTGGAAGAAGAGGCAGGAGAATAGCTTCATGACCTTGGGGTTAGACAAGAATGTTTTATAAAGGACACAAGAAGCACTAACTATAAAAGAGAAAAAGTATTAAATTGGACTTTATCAATGTTAAAACCTGCATATCAAAAGACAGTATTCAGAAAACAAAACTGCAAGTCACAGATTGGAATCAAGTATTTTCATTTCATATATCTGACTTTTATGACTAGGATGTATGTTCTATAAGTCAATGAGAATAAGACAAATACCTCAAATGTTTTTTAAAAAATAAAGCAAAGACATCTTCTATACAAGAATTTGTACAATGGCCAATAGGCACATGAAAGGACCAATTAAAACAATAGAACAAATTCACTTGTATTGGAAGTGATTAACATTTTAAAAGAGACTGAAAAAAATATTGGTAAGAATACGAAACAAATATAACCCTTATACCTCATGCATAGGAAGGTAAACTAGTGCAATCCCCCTGAAAAACTGTTTGACAGTTTCTTACACAAACATCCCCATACCTAGTTATTTACCTAAGACAAATGAAAAATTACATTTCCATTAATAGGAGTGATATGGTTTGGATTTGTTCAATAGGAGTGACATGGTTTGGATTTGTGTCCCCACCCAACTCTCATGTCAAATTGTGATTCCCCAGTATTGGAGCAGGGGCCTGGTGGGAGGTAATTGGATCAGGGGGCAGATTTCTCCCTTGCTGTTCTTGTGATAGTGAATGAGTTCTCATGAGATCTGGTTGTTTAAAAGTATGTAGCACCTCCCCCTGCTCTCTCTCCCTCCTGTTCTGGCCATATGAGACATGCCTTCTTCCTCTTTGCCTTCCACCATGATTGCAAGCTTCCTGAAGCCATCATGCTTCCTATATACCTTGCAGAACCCTGAGCCCGTTAAAACTCTTTTCTTTATAAATTACCCAGTCTCAGGTAGTTCTTTATAGAAATGCAAGAACAAACTAAAACAAGGAGAATGGATAAAGAAATCATGGAATATTTATACGATGCACAATAGAAAATTAAAAATAGAGTGAACTGTGTTCCACTTACAACATGGATGAAATTCAACATTGTATTTTATTGTATTTCAAGAAGATTACCTTATGTGTGATTCAAGTTATAGGGAATTTAAGAATAGTCAAAATTAACATGTGATAGCAATCAAGATGGTGGTGGGGAATTGAGGCACAAGGGAGGGGAAGGAGGCACAAGGGAGGGGAAGGAGGCACAAGGGAAATTTCTAAAGTGGTAAACATGGTCTAATCTGGATTAGGTTGTTGGTTTCACAGGTGTAACCTGTCAAAAGTCATCAAATTGTACACTTAAAAATCTGTGAATTTTATGGTGTGTTTATTGGATTTTGATAAAAACATTTCATAATTGAAAAAATTAAAAAGAAGGGAAAATTAAAAAGAAGAGAAAAGAGAGGCCACTATGGCAAAAAGCACAGTAAAAAAAAAATTTGTACCTATCCTCCACTTGGACTGGCTCGTTTGTTATTGATTTAGTTTGCCAGACATGGGTGGGTGGGTTCCAGGCAGAACACGGTGGGATTCTGAGCAGTTTGTTGTAGGCTATGGGAGCTATGGTTACCCACTGGAATTCTGTTGGGGGCTTCAGTGCCATGCAGGCATTGTGAACCACTATGGAGCCTGGCTTTCAGCTGATCCTGGGGAAGTCACAAAAAGTGGTAGCAGAGCTGCTTCCAGATGACATGAGGCTAGGCATTGACTACAGTAGTCTCCAGTGGAAGTCAGTGGTGTGTATATCTGTTATTGGCTTTTTGGTGGGTCTCTCATATTTGTTCAGATTTATGCATTAGGCTAGAAGCTGACTTTTGGGAAAGAAAATGCAGGTTCTGCAAATACTGGCTGCACCAGTTCTGATGAAGCATCCATTTCTTGGCATACTTAGTTCTGATCAAAAGGAATATTTAGATATTGAGTAATTTTTAGAAGATACCAGCCTAGAAAAGGAATCGTAAAAGATACAAAGTCTTGTGGACGCATACATAAAGTTGAAGAGACCAACTCAGTCCTGAAGGAGGAAGTAATTTCTTCTGTAAAAGAAGTAAATAAGGAGAGATCTAAACCCTTAAGACTAGAGGGGATGATGACTGAAATAGTAAGAATGATTCATTTACCAGAAGATGATGTAGGAACCATCACATTGCAAGATTTTCCAAGCACTGCCATGGCTGGGGCTCCCTTCTGTCATTCTCCAGGGGTCTGAAAATAGAACCCTTTTCTTCTATTCAGACTGTGTCTGTTCTCTACCTCCCACTCCAATATGAGGTTCATTCTTGTCCGTGCTTCTAAAAAGCACTTAAGAACCCTCCTCCATAGGCTGGAGTATTTTTGTTCAACGTCACCTTTCAAAAACAAATCTGAGTTTCTTCAAGGCTAATTCAAATTTCAAATGAACCAACTGTTGGACTTCCAGAAATTTTGGACTTAAAAAAAATGGTCTGTCTTCAAAAGAAATTTTAATCTCATTCATTATCATCTTAAGAACTGAAGACACTTGAGAATCCAATTTCAAAATAAAAGCTTGATGAAACTTAGTTCTCAGAATAGTGCTTTGTAAATATTATTTTATATAAACTTTATAAGTGACATTTCTATTTTTTATATTGTATACATATTATGTTTTGTTTAATATGTACTATTTAGCAAAAAGAGACATTGGAAATTCAAAGGCAATTTTGCTTTGTCCAGACCTATATTTATGACAGTTATAAATCAAATAAAAAGTAAGAAAATACTTTTGTTATTAATAAATATTGCTTTGTTAAAGAAAAGAAAAAATTAAATGAACATATCACATATAACTGTGGGGTGCAGCTAAAGTGATATAAAGGAAAATTTATAGCATTTAATTAAATGTTTCTGTTCAAGAATAATACAAATGTTTATATTACATAAGAATAAAGGCTAAAAAGGAAAAAAAAGTTTATTCTTCTTTGCAGCAGCTTTTAACAATCCCAGTTCCTAGGCTACACCCTGGAACATTTAAATCAGAACCTCAAGATATGAGACTAGGCACCCGTATTGTGAAGCTCTCCAGGTGATGGTCATGTGTGGTGAGATTGAGCAATTGCAACAAAAGCCAAAATTGACAAATGGGATGTAATTAAACTAAAGAGCTTCTGCTGAATGTTATGGTACACAGAGCATTATAACATATGTAATTTCACTGGTAAACATGGGTTTACCAATAAAATTATAATAAACAATAATAAACTAATATTACAGCTACTTTGTCTTAATTATCTTATAATAGACCACTCCAACTACAAAATAATATTCCCATATAAATAGAATACACAAAAAGAGTTGTCAACAAAAGCATACTCCCAAATAAATTGACAAACAAGGTGATGGTGTGATACAATAGAAAGAAGATTAAAGTTTTAATCAGGAGATCTATTTATGGATCTATTAATAAATTAGAAAAGATTAAAAAAATTTTCTCTTTAGGTATGGTATTATTATTGTCATTAGTTTTCTTATTTCTAAAACATGGGACTGAACCAAAATGATTTCCAAGGTCCTTTATAGCTCTCAAATTCTTTAATTTTAGAATGTGTAGAAAATTTTAGGGCTAAAAGGATTAAGATTGAATTTTGATGTATTAGGCATTACACCTTATAATATACTTAAATGGAAAGAACAATAACTCATCTCCTAACAGAGGCATCTCTAAATATTTTCTATCTCTTTTTTTATATACATATACTTTAAGTTCTAGGGTACATGTGCCCAACGTGCAGGTTTGTTACATAGGTATACAAGTGCCATGTCAGTTTGCTGCACCCATCAACTCGTCATTTACATTAGATATTTCTCCTAATGCTATCCCTCCCCCAGTCCCCCACCCCCCAACAGGCCCCAGTGTGTGATGTTCCCTGCCCTGTGTCCATGTATTCTCATTGTTCAACTCCCACCTATGAGTGAGAACATGCGGTGTTTGGTTTTCTGTCCTTGTGATAGTTTGCATAGAATGATGGTTTCCAGCTTCATCCATGTCCCTGCAAAGGACATGAACTCATCCTTTTTTATGGTTGCATAGTATTCCATGGTGTATATGTGCCACATTTTCTTAATGCAGCCTATCATTGATAGACATTTGGGTTGGTTCCAAGTCTTTGCTATTGTGAATAGTGCCGCAATAAACATACGTGTGCATGTGTCTTTATCGTAGCATGATTTATAATCCTTTGGGTATATACCCAGTAATGGGATTGCTGGGTCAAATGGTATTTCTAGATCTAGATCCTTGAGGAATCGCCACACTGTCTTCCACAATGGTTGAACTAATTTACATTCCCACCAACAGTGTAAAGTATTCCTATTTCTCTACATCCTCTCCAGCATCTGTTGTTTCCTTTTTCATGATCACTATTCTAACTGGTGTGAGATAGTATCTCATTGTGGTTTTGATTTGCATTTCTTTGATGACCAGTGATGATGAGCATTTTTTCATATGTCTGTTGGCTGCATAAAGTCTTCTTTTGAGAAGTGTCTGTTCATATCTTTTGCCCACTTTTTGATGGTGGTTGTTTTTTTCTTGTAAATTTGTTTAAGTTCTTTGTAGATTCTGGATATTAGCCCTTTGTCAGATGGGGAGATGGCAAAAATTTTCTCCCATTCTGTAGGTTGCTTGTTCACTCTGATGATAGTTTCTTTTGCTGTGTGGAAGCTCTTTAGTTTAATTAGATCCCATTTGTCTATTTTGGCTTTTGATGCCGTTGCTTTTGGTGTTTTAGTCATGAAGTCTTTGCCCATGCCTATGTCCTGAATGGTATTGCCTAGGTTTTTTCCTAGGGTTTTTGTGGTTTTAGGTCTTACATTTAAGTCTTTAATCCATCTTGCGTTAATTTTTGTATACAGTGTAAGGAAGGGATCCAGTTTCAGCTTTCTACATATGGCTAGCCAGTTTTCCCAGCACCATTAAATAGGGAATCCTTTCCCCATTTATTGTTTTTGTCAGGTTTGTCAAAGATCAGATGGTTGTAGATATGTGGTGTTATTTCTGAGGCCTCTGTTCTGTTCCACTGGCCTATATATCTATTGGTGCAAGTACCATACTGTTTTGGTTACTGTAGCCTTGTAGTATAGTTTGAAGTCAGGTAGCATGATGCCTCCAGCTTTATTCTTTTTGCTTAGGATTCTTTTGGCTATGTGGGCTCTTTTTTGGTTCCATATGAACTTTAAAGTAGTTTTTTCCAATTCTGTGAAAAAAGTCAGTGGTAGCTTGATGGGGATGGCATTAAATCTGTAAATTACCTTGGGCAGTATGGCCATTTTCATGATATTGATTCTTCCTATCCATGAGCATGGAAAGTTCTTCCATTTGTTTGTGTCCTCTTTTATTTTGTTGAGCAGTGGTTTGTAGTTCTCCTTGAAGAAGTCTTTCACATCTCTTGTAAGTGGGATTCCTAGGTATTTTATTCTCTTTGTAGTAATTGTGAATGGGAATTCACTCATGATTTTGCTCTGTTTGTCTATTATTGGTGTATAGGAATGCTTGTGATTTTGGCACATTGATTTTTTATCCTGAGACTTTGCTGAAGTTGCTTATCAGCTTAAGGAAATTTTGGGCTAAGACGATGGGGTTTTCTAAATATACAATCATGTCATCTGCAAACAGAGAAATTTGACTTCCTCTTTTCCTACTTGAATACCCTTTCTTTCTCTCTCCTGCCTGATTGCCCTGGCCAGAACTTCCAACACTGTGTTGAATAGGAGTGGTGAGAGAGGGCATCCTTGTCTTGTGCCGATTTTCAAAGGGAGTGCTTCCAGTTTTTGCCCATTCAGTATGATATTGGCTGTGGGTTTGTCATAGATAGCTCATATTATTTTGAGATACATTCCATCAACACCTAGTTTATTGAGAGTTTTTAGCATTAAGTGCTGTTGAATTTTGTTGAAGGCCTTTTCTGCATCAATTGAGATAATCATGTGGTTTTTGTCATTGGTTCTGTTTATGTGATGGATTATGTTTATTGATTTGCGTATGTTGAACCAGCCTTGTATCCCAGGGATGAAGCCCACTTGATCATGGTGGATAAGCTTTTTGATGTGCTGCTGGATTCGGTTTGCCAGTATTTTATTAAGGATTTTCACATTGATGTTCATCAGGGATATTGGCCTAAAATTCTCTTTTTTTTAATTGTGTCTCTGCCAGGCTTTGGTATCAGGATGATGCTGGCCCCATAAAATGAGTTAGGGAGGATTCCCTCCTTTTCTATTGATTGGAATAATATCAGAAGGAATGGTACCACCTCCTCTGTGTACCTCTGGTAGAATTCAGCTGTGAATCCATCTGGTCCTGGAGTTTTTTTGACTGGTAGACAATTAATTATTGCCTCAATTTCAGAACCTGTTATTGGTCTATTTAGAGACTCAACTTCTTCCTGGTTTAGTCTTGGGAGGGTGTATGTGTCCAGGAATTTATCCATTTTTTCTAGATTTTCTAGTTTATTTTTGTTGAGGTGTTTATAGTATTCTCTGATGGTAGTTTGTATTTCTGTGGGATCAGTGGTGCTCTCTCCTTTATCATTTTTTATTGCCTCTATTTGATTCTTCTCTCTTTTCTTCTTTATTAGTCTGGCTAGTGGTCTATCTATTTTGTTGATCTTTTCAAAAAACCAGCTCCTGGATTCATTGATTTTTTGAAGGGTTTTTTTTGTGTCTCTATCTCCTTCAGTTTTGTTCTGATCTTAGTTATTTCTTGCCTTCTGCTAGCTTTTGAATTTGTTTGCTCTTGCTTCTCTAGTTATTTAATTGTGATGTTAGGGTGTAGATTTAAATCTTTCCTGCTTTCTCTTTTGGGCATTTAGTGCTATAAATTTCCTTCTACATGATGCTTTAAATGTGTCCCAGAGATTCTGGTACGTTGTGTCTTTGTTCTCATTGGTTTCAAAGAACATCTTCATTTCTGCCTTCATTTTATTATTTACCCAGTAGTCATTCAGGAACAAGTTGTTCAGTGTCCATGTAGTTGTGTGGTTTTGAGAGAGTTTCTTAAGGCTGAGTTCTAATTTGATTGTACTGTAGTATGAGAGACAGTTTTTTGTAATTTCTGTTCTTTTACATTTGCTAAGGAGTGCTTTACTTCCAGTTATGTGGTCAATTTTAGAATAAGTGTGATGTGGTGCTGAGAAGAATGTATATTCTGTTGATTTGGGGTGGAGAGTTCTGTAGATGTCTATTAGGTCCACTTGGTCCAGAGCTGAATTCAAGTCCTGGATATCCTTGTTAATATTTTGTCTCATTGATCTGTCTAATATTGACAGTGGGTTGTTAAAGTGTCCTGTTATTATTGTGTGGGAGTCTAAGTCTCTTTGTAGGTCTCTAAGGACTTGCTTTATGAATCTGTGTGCTTCTGTATTGGGCGCATATATATTTAGGATAGTTAACTCTTCTTGATGAATTGATCCCTTTACCATTATGTAGCGGCCTTCTTTGTCTCTTTTGATCTTTGTTGGTTTAAAGTCTGTTTTATCAGAGACTAGGATTGCAACCCTTGCTTTTTTTTTTTTTTCTTTCCATTTGCTTGGTAGATCTTCCTTCATCCCTTTATTTTGAGTCTATGTGTGTCTTTGCACATGAGATGGGTCTCCTGAATACAGCACACTGATGGGTCTTAACTCTTTATCCAATTTGCCAGTCTGTGTCTTTTAATTGGGACATTTAGCCTATTTACATTTAAGGTTAATATTGGCATGTTGGAATTTGATCCTATCATATTGATGTTAGCTGGTTATTTTGCCCATTAATTGATGCAGTTTCTTCATAGCATCAGTGGTCTTTACAATTTGGCATGTTTTTGCAGTAGCTGGTACCAGTTGTTCCTTTCTATGTTTAGTGCTTCTTTCAGGAGCTCTTGTAAGGCAGGCCTGGTGGTGAAAAAATCTCTCAGCATTTGCTTGTCTGTAAAGGATTTTATTTCTCCTTCACTTATGAAGCTTAGGTCAGCTGTATATGAAATTCTGGGTTGAAAATTCTTTTCTTTAAGAATGTTGAATATTGGCTCCCACTCTCTTCTGGCTTGTAGGGTTTCTGCCAAGAGATCAGCTGTTAGTCTGATGGGCTTCCCTTTGTGGATAACCCGACCTTTCTCTCTGGCTGTCCTTAACATTTTTTCCTTCGTTTCAACCTTGGTGAATCTGACAATTATGTGTCTTGGGGTTGCTCTTCTTGAGGAGTATGTTTGTGGTGTTCTCTGTATTTCCTGAATTTGAATTTTGGCCTGCCTTGCTAAGTTTGGGAAGTTTTCCTGGATAATATACTGAAGAGTGTTTTCTTACTTGGTTCCATTCTCCCCACCACTTTCTGGTACATCAGTCAAATGTATATTTGGTCTTTTCACATAGTCCCATATTTCTTGGAGGCTTTGTTCATTCCTTTTTATTCTTCTTTCTTTAATCTTGTCTTCTTGCTTTATTTCATTAATTTGTTCTTCAATCACTGATATCCTTCCTTCCACTTGATCGAATTGGCTATTGAAGCTTGTGCAGGTGTCACGAAATCCTCATGCTGTGGTTTTCAGCTCCACCAGGTCATTTAAGGTCTTCTCTACACTGTTTATTCTATTTAGCCATTCATCTTTCCTTTTTTCAAGATTTTTAGCATCCTTGCAATTGGTTAGGACATGCTCCTTTAGCTCAGAAAAGTTTGTTATTACTGCCCTTCTGAAGCCTACTTCTGTCAACTTGTCAAACTCATTCTCCATTTAGTTTTGTTCCCTTGCTGGTGAGGAGCTGCAATCCTTTGGAGGAGAAGAGGAGCTCTGTTTCTGGAATTTTCAGCTTTTGTGCTCTGGTTTCTCCCCATCTTTGTGGTTTTATTTACCTTTGGTCTTTGATATTGGTTACCTATAGATGGGGTGTTGTTGTGGACGTCCTTTTTGTTGATGTTGATGCTATTCCTTTCTGTTTGTTAGTTTTCCTTCTAACAGTCAGGACCCTCAGCTGCAGGTCTGTTGGAGTTTGCTGGAGGTTCACTCCAGACTCTGTTTGCCTGGGTATCACCAGCAGAGGCTGCAGAATGGCAACTATTGCCATTGTCCCAGAGGGGAACCTGCCTGTTTGAGGTGTCTGTTGGCCCCTATTGGGAGGTGTCTCCCAGTCAGGCTACACAGGGGTCAGGGATCTACTTGAGGAGGCAGTCTGTCCATTCTCAGAGCTTGAACGCTGTGCAGAGAGAACCACAGCTCTCTTCAGAGCTGTCAGACAGGACGTTTAGGTCTGCAGAAGCTGTCTGCTACCTTTTGTTCTGCTATGCCCTGCCCCCAGAGGTATAATCTAGAGAGGCAGTAGGCCTTGCTGAGCTGTGGTGGGCTCCTCCCAGTTCGAGGTTCCCAGCTGCTTTATTTACACTGTGAGCTACTCAAGCCTCAGCAATGGCAGATGCCCCTCCCCCAGTCAAGCTGCAGCATCACAGGTTGATCTCAGACTGCTGTGCTAGCAGTGAGCAAGGCTCTGTGGGCATGGGACCTGCTGAGCCAGGCATGGGAAGGTATTTCCTGGTCTGCCGGTTGCTAAGACCATGGGAAAAGTGCAGTATTTGTTCAGGAGTGTACCATTTCTCCAGGTACAGTCTGTCATGGCTTCCCTTGGCTAGGAAAGGGAAATCCCCCAGCCCCTTGCACTTCCCAGGTGAGGCGATGCCCCACCCTACTTCAGCTTGCCCTCCATGGGCTGCACCCACTATCCAACTAGTCCCAATGAGATGAACCAGGTACCTCAGTTGGAAATGCAGAAATCACTTGTCTTCTGTGTTGATATCGCTGGGAGCTGCAGACTGGAGCTGTTCCTATTCGGCCATCTTGGAAGCAACCCTCTCTTCTATCTCTTTTTATAAGTCCTTATCACCCTCTTATCTGACCTTAGAATTTCATCTCTTCCTATTGTTGTACTCATTAGTCCCAAAACATTGCTCTGAACAAATTTTCTTTCTTTTTTTAATTTCTTCTAAAAAACAAACAAACAAACAAGAAAAAAATGGGATACATGTGCAGAACGTGCAGGCTTGTTACATAGGTATCCGTGTGCCATGGTGGTTTGCTGCACCTGTTGACCCATCCTCTAAGTTCCCTTCCTTCATCCCCCAACTCCCAACAGGCCTTGGCATGTGGTCTTCCCCTCTCTGTGTCCATGTGTTCTCATCGTTTAACTCCCACTTATGAGTAAGAACATATGGTATTTGGTTTTCTTTTCCTGTGTTAGTTTGCTGAGGATAATGGCTTCCAGCTTCATCCATGCCCTTTCAAAGGACATGATCTCATTCCTTTTTACGGATGCATAGTATTCTGTGGTGTATATGTATCATATTTTCTTCATTCAGTCTATCATTGATGGGCATTTGGGTTGGTTCCAAGTCTGCTATTGTAAATAGTACTGCAATAAACATATGCGTGCATGTGTCATTATAGTAGAATGATTTATAATTTGGGGGGCATATACCCAGTAATGGGATTGCTGGGTCAAATGGTATTTCTGGTTCTAGATCCTTGAGGAATTGCCATACTGTCTCCCACAATTGTAGAACTAATTTACATTCCTACCGACAGTGTGTGTAAAAGCTTTCCTATTTCTTCACAGCTTCACCAGCATCTGTTGTTTCCTGACTTTTTAATAATTGCTATTCTGACTGGTGTGAGATATATCTTTGTGGTTTTGATTTGCATTTCTCTGATGATCAGTGATGAGCTTTTTTTCATATGTTTCTTGGCTGCATAAATGTCTTCTTTTGAGAAATGTCTGTATCCTTTGCCAACTTTTTGATGGGGTTGTTTTTTCTCATAAATGTGTTTAAGTTCCTTGTAAATTCTGGATATTAGACCTTTGTCAGATGGGTAGATTGCAAAATTTTCTCCCATTCTGTAGGTTGCCTGTTCATCTGATGGTAGTTTCTTTTGCTGTGAAGAAACTCTTTAGTTTAATTAGGTCCCATTTGCCAATTTTGGCTTTTGTTGCAATTGCTTTGGTGTTTTAGTCATGAGGTCTTTGCCCATGCCTATGTATTGAATAGTATTGCCTAGGTTTTCTTCTAGAGTTTTTATGGTTTTCAGTTTGACATTTAAGTCTTTAATCTATCTTAAGTTGATTTTTTATAAGGTGTAAGGAAGGGTGTAAGGTATAAGGAATTTCAGTATTCTGCATATGGCTATCCAGTTTTTCCAGCACTATTTACTGAATAGGAGATCCTTTCCCAATTGCTTGTTTTTGGCAGGTTTTTTGAAGATCAAAAGAGACAAAGAAGGGCATTACATAATGGTAAAGGGAACAATTCAACAGCAAGATGGTTGTAGATGTATGGTGTTATTTCTGAGGTCTCTGTTCTGCTCCTTTGGTCTATATGTCTGTTTTGGTATCAGTACCATGATGTTTTGGTTACGGAAGCCTTGTAGTATAGTTTGCAGTCAGGTAGCATGATGCCTCCAGCTTTGTTCTTTTTGCTTAGGATTGTCTTGGCTATACAGGGTCTTCTTTGATTCCATATGAAATTTAAAACACTTTTTCCTAATTCTGTGAAGAATGTCAATAGTAGTTTGATGGGAATAGCATTGAATCTATAAATTACTTTGGGCAGCATGGCCATTTTCATGATATTGATTCTTCCTATCCATGAGGATGGAAGGTTCTTCCATTTGCTTTTGTCTCTATTATTTCCTTGACCAGTGGTTTTTAGTTCTCCTTGGGGAGATCCTTCACATCCCTTCTTAGCTGTATTCCTAGATATTTTATTCTCTTGGTAGTGATTGTGAATGGGAGTTCACTCATGATTTGGCACTCTGCTTGTCTATTGTTGGTATACAGGAATGCTTGTGATTTTTGCACATTGATTTTGTATCCTGAGGCTTTGCTAAAGTTAAGTATCAGTTTAAGGAGTTTTTGGGCTGAGATGATGGGATTTTCTAAATATAAAATTATGTCATCTGCAAACAGAGACAATTTGACTTCCTCTGTTCCTATTTGAATATGCTTTATTTCTTTCTCTTGCCTGACTGCCCTTACCAGAACTTCCAATACTATGTTGAATAGGAGTGGTGAGAGAGGGCATCCTTGTCTTGTACCAGTTTTCAAAGGGAATGCTTCTAGCTTTTGCCCATTCAGTATGATATTGGCTGTGGGTTTGTCATGAATAGCCCTATTATTTTGAGATATGTTCCATCATTTCCTAGCTTATTGAGAGTTTTTAACATGAAGGGATGTTGAATTTCATCAAAGGACTTTTCTGTATCTGTTGAGATAATCATATGGTTTTTGCCCTTGGTTCTGTTTATGTGATGGATTATGTTTATTGATTTGCATATGTTGAACCAGCCTTACATCTCAGGGATGAAGCCAACTTGATTGTGGTGGATAAGCTTTTTGACGTGCTGCTGGATTTGGTTTGCCAATATTTTTTGCATTGATATTCAACGGGGATATTGGCCTGAAGTTTTTTTTTCTTTGTGTCTCTGCCAGGTTTTGGGATCAGGGTGATGTTGGCTTCATAAAATGAGTTAGGGAGCAGTCCCTCTTTTCAATTGTTTGGAATAATTTCAGAAGTAATGGTACCAGCTCCTCTTTGTATTTCTGGTATAATTCAGCTGTGAATCCACCTGGTTCTGGGCTTTTTTTTTTTGGTTAGTAGGCTATTAATTACTGCCTCAATTTCAGAACTTGTTATTGGTCTATTCATGGATTTGACTTCTTCCTGGTTTATTCTTAGGAGGGTGTATGTGTCCAGGAATTTATCCATTCCTTCTAGATTTTCTAGTTTATTTGCATAGACATGTTTATAGTATTCTCTGATGGTAGTTTGTATTTCTGAGGGGTCAGTGGTTATACCCCCTTTGTCATTTTTTATTGTGTCTATTTGATTCTTCTCTCTTTTCTGCTTTATTATTAGCTAGTGGTCTATTTTGTTGATTTTTTCAAAAATCCAGCTCTTGGATTCATTGATTTTTAGGTGGATTTTTCATGTCTCTATCTCTTTCAATTCTTCTCTGATCTTAGTTATTTATTTTCTTCTGCTAGCTTTTGAATTAGTTGTTCTTGGCTGTCTAGCTCTTACAGTTTTTATGTTAGGGTGTCAATTTGAGACCTTTCAACCTTTCTGATGTGAGCATTTAGTGCTATAAATTTCCCTCTTAACAATCCTTTAGCTGTGTCCCAGAGATTCTGGTATGTTTTCTCTTTGTTCTCATTGGTTTCAAAGAACTTCTTGATTTCTGCCTTAATTCATTATTTACCCAGGAGTCACTCAGGAGCAGGTTGTTCATTTTCCATGTAGTTGTGTGGTTTCCAGTAAGTGTCTTAATCTTGAGTTTTAATTTGATTGCACTGTGGTCTGAGAGACTGTTTGTTATGATTTCTGTTCTTTTGCATTTGCTGAGGAGTATTTTACTTCCAATTATGTGGTCAATTTTAGAATAAATGCCATGTGGCACTGAGAAGAATGTATATTCTGTTGATTTGGGGTAGAAAGTGTTGTAGACGTCTACTAGGTCTACTTGATCCAGAGCTGAATTGAAGTCCAGAACATCCTTGTTAATTTTCTGTCTTGTAGATCTGTCTAATACTGACAGTAGGGTGTTAAAGTCTCCCACTATTATTGTGTGGGAGTCTAAGTCTATTTGAAAGTCTCTAAGAGCTTGTTTTATAGATCTGGATGCTCTTGTATTGAGTGCATATATATTTAGAATAGTTAGCTCTTCTTGTTGAATTGTTCCCTTTACCATTATGTAATACCCTTCTTTGTCTTTTTTGATCTTTGTTGGTTTAAAGTCTGTTTTGCCAGAGACTAGGAATGCAGCCCTTGCTTTTTTTTTTCTTTCCATTTGCTTGGTAAATTTCCTCTATCCCTTTATTTTGAGCCTATGTGTGTCTTTGCATGTGAGATGGGTCTCCTGAATACAGCACACCTGTGGTTCTTGACTCTTTATGCAATTTACCAGTCTGTGTCTTTTAATTGGGAGCATTTCGCCCATTAACATTTAAGGTTAGTATGTTATGTGTGAATTTGATCCTGTCATCATGCTGCTATTTAGTTATTTTGTATACTAGTTGATGCAGTTTCTTCATAGTGTCATTGGTCTTTATATTTTGGGGTGTTTTGCAGTAGCTGGTACCAGCTTTTCCTTTCTATATTTAGTGCTTCTTTCAGGAGCTCTTGCAGGGCAGGCCTAGTGATAACAAAATTCCTCAGTATTTGCTTGCCTGGAAAGGATTTTATTTCTCCTTCTCTTATGAAGCTTAGTTTGGCTGGATATGAAATTCTGGATTGAAATTTCTTTTCTTTAAGAATGTTGATTGTTGGCCCCAAATCTCTTCTGGCTTATAGAGTTTCTGCTGAGAGGTCTGCTGTTAGTCTGCTGGGCTTCCCTTTGTAGATGACCTGCCCCTTCTCTCTGGCTGTCCTTAATGGTTTATTCTTCATTTCGACCTTGGAGAATCTGGTGATTATATGTCTGAATGGTATTCTCTATATTTCCTGAATTTGCATGTTGGCCTTTCTTGCTAGGTTGGGGAAGTTCTCCTGGATAATATCCTGAAGTGTGTTTTTTAGCTTGTTTCCATTCTCCCTGTCTCCTTCTGGTACTCCAGTTAATGGTCAGTTTGGTCTTTTTATGAAGTCCCATATTTCTTGGAGACTTTGTTCATTCCTTTGTATTCTTATTTCTCTAGTCTTGTCTGCCTCCCTTATTTCAGCCAGATGGCCTTCAAACTCTGATATCCTTTCTTCCATTTGGTTGATTCGGCTAGTGATACTTGTGTATGCTTCATGAAGTTCTCGTGCTGTGTTTTTTAGATCCATCAGGTCATTTATGTTCCTCTCTAAACTGGTTATTCTAGTTAGCAATTCCTCTAACCTTTTATCAAAATTCTTAGCTTCTTTGCATTGGGTTGGAACATGCTCCTTTGGCTCACCCTAGTTTTTATTACCTATCTTCTGAAGCCTACTTCTGTCAATTCATTCATCTGATCCTCCATCCAGCCCTGTGCCCTTGATGGAGAGATGTTGGGATCATTAGGAGGAGAAGAGGCACTCTGGCCTTTGGGGTTTTCAGCATTTTTTTGTTGATTCTTTCTCATCTTCATGAGTTTGTTTAGTGTTGGTCTTTGAGGCTGCTGACCCTTGGATGGGGTTTTTGTGGGACATTTTGTTGTTTTTGTTGATACTGTTGTTGCTTTCTGCTTGTTTGTTTTTCTTTCAATGGTCAGGTCTGTTTTCTGTAGGGCTGATACAGTTTGCTGGGGGTTCTCTTCAGGCCCTATTCATCTGATTCACTCCCATGCCTGGAGATGTCACTCAAGGAGGCTGGAGAACAGCACATATGGGTACCTGCTCCTTCTTCTGGGACTTCTGACCTCGAGGGGCACCAACCTGATGCCAGTAGGATTGCTTCTGTATAGGGTGTCTGACAACCCCTGTTGGAGGGTCTCACCCAGTTGGGTGGCATGGGAAACAGGACCCATTTAATGAAGCACTATGTCCCTTTGTGGAGTGAGTGTGCCTCACTGGCCCAAAACCCACTCATCTGGGCTGCCTGGATTCTTCAGAACTACCAGGAGGAAAGGCTAAGTCTGCTGGTCTGCAGAGACTGCAGCCACCCCTACCGCTAGGGGTTCAGGCCCAGGGAGCTCCAGGTCTATCCCTGAGCCTCTGCCTGGAGCTACTGGAGTTCCTGCTGGGAAGCCCTGACCAATGAAAAAGGATGTGTCAGGATCAGGCCTGAAGAGGCACTCTGGTCACAGACTGCCACAGCCAGTGTATTGGGCTGTTGGGGACAAGTCTTGGGACCAAGCCATTCAGCCTCCCTGGCTCCAGCAGGGGAAAAGCACAGCCTGGAGCTATAGAGATAGGTGCTGCCCTTCCCCGACCCAGGGGGCTTAGCGTGTTAGGCAGTTGTGAGTCCCAGTGCTGGCTGCTGCCCCTCCCCTAAGGAGCTCAAAATGCTTAGACAGCAGGCAGCCATAGCAGCAATCCTGGTTGCCCCTTCCCCTGGGAGTTCCATAGGCTTAAGCAGTTTGCAGCTGAGAGGGTGTTAAGAGTCTGTGCATCCTAGGGTTGGGACGCTAAACCCCAGTAGTGTGGGTACACGAGTGGGATCTTCCAATCTGTGGGTTGCACAGTTCTGTAGAAAAAGCCTGGTTTCCTTGGCTGGGCAGCATGCTCACTCACTGCCTCCTTTGGCTTGGGGGAGGGACCTGCCCGATTCTGTGTGGATCTCAAGCGGGCCGCTGCACCGCACTGTTCTTCCTTGTCTCCATGGATCACATCAGCCTCCTAGTCAGTTCTGATAAGAGAAGCTGGATACCTTGGTTGCTAGTGAAGGATCACACACTTATTTTTTTTGATGGGAGCCTCTGAAAGCTGCTGTTTCTAGTAGGCCATCTTGCCCCCCCAACCCAAAATTTTCATTTGAGTATAATCAATCACCTTTTTACAATAATTGACAATTATTAGTATGGTGTCTACAACACCAAAAATTTTACAACTTCAGTTCTTCAGATCAAGAATATGTATGATTTTCTTATTAAATGAAGTAAAAAATTATATGCATGAGTATGTATGATATCAATAAGTTACATTGTATCAATAGCTATACTATAGCAATAAGCATAATAATACTGTTAAACTACTTCAACTAAAGAGGCAAAAAATCACCATGTTTTTCTTACTCTCACATATATGGTGGGTTGGGGTTCATCTGGGTTTTAGCCAATGGATTGTCTAAGGTTGGGATTGTCTAAGGTTGAGTTTAGTCTATGGCTTGGACTCTGGTGGCTCTTATCCTTTATCATTCAGTAGCTGAGATAAAAGGTGGAAATGTAAAAGAGATGAATGAAAACATACAATGCCTCCTAAGCTCTAGGCTCAGAGCTTAGAAGGCTCTAGTTCTGAGAATTTCTAGGCTCAGAAAGTTTATAAATTATATTCCTGTCTCAAAAGAGCTGATGATTTTTAGCAAAACACTTAAAACAAATGTGGCAGTTAAAAAATAATAACTTAAGGTTGCTTTTAGATGGCTTTTTAACTAGAACTTCTTCCTGGAAGGCAAAAAGATTTCTTCTTTTGCCTTCCAGGAAGAAGAGAAAGAAAGAGGAAAAGGTATGTGAAGTTTGGTTGCTAAAAGTACCTTTTTGGATACTGGTATTATCTGGTTTCCCCCTTCTTATTCTTGTGAAGTACAATGAAAAATTCACAAAATAAGGACTGCCTCAAAGGCTGCTAGGCAGGTTACCTCCGTTGACTGAAAGTAAAATATAATAGACGCCTAACTTCCAGACACAGAAATGGCTTAGAAAATTAAAAAAAAAAATACATTCTGACTTGATATTATTGTTAGCTCCCTGACTCCCCAGGCCCATCACTGAAGTTCCTCTCTGTAAGTGCAGTCTTGAGCTGGAGTTCTGGTTTACCATAACAATGTCTTAATAACAGAATCCAATCTGTTACATAGTGGGGTTCAGAATTCATCTTGCTGCCATAACTTATTTCTTGTGTGTTCAGGATGATATCCAGGTTCCTGAGGTCTCCAGGACCCAGACTTCTCTCCTCTTTCTTCACTTCTCTGGAACAGCCAGGATAGTGGAGTAGAAACTGTCCAGCTGGACTTCTTGGTTGACTCCCTGACAGTAGCCTGCTTCTTTTTTTGATTGACAGCTGTCTTGCCAGTTCTTTATTTGGAGCCTGGGGCTTGCTCCCACATCACCCTGGGTGAAGAACTTGTCTTCCAGACCTATGACACTGTCCTATTCTCAGCTACAAATACAAGCCAAAGTGCTGCTTGACCTAGTGAATACCTGTCTAACATAGATCAAGACATACACCATCCACCTGGCGTGCAGATGTTAGCTTCTGTGACAAGGTTAATCCCCCAATTATTGTATTGATTCCAGCCTTCTCCTCCCTCCCCTATCAATTTATATGCACAAGGTGGGCTGAAAACTCCTGTAAGCACAATGTCTGATATTTGGATCCTCAGTTAAATTTGTTATTTATTTATTTATTATAGAGACAGTCTCTTATGTTGCCCAGGCTGGTTTCAAATTCCAAGCATCAAGCAATCCTCCCACCTCAGCCTCCCAGAGTGCTGGGATTACAGGCATGAGTGACCATGCCCAGCCAAAATTTGTGTTGAAACAATAATTAGATGAATGAAGCCAGCCTGTTAGTCTCCAATGTAAAAAACTGGACATCAATTTTCTTTATCTATAAATTATTTTAGTTTTTCTTTTGAGAAAATGGGAACTTTCTTAGGATTTGCATTTAAAAGTTAGTCATTAAATAACAACTCTCAACAGCAGAATCTACGTCTTTATAGTTCAACCAATAACTATTGGTTGAAATAACTATCTTATATTAAATAGTAATTAAATAAACCAATAACTATCTTATATTAAAATATAAGATAAAAATACATCATCAGTCTTACAGTGAGTAAAATGTTCTTTGAAATGTGAACTAATATATGCATTATTGTTTATATTGATTTTTTAATTAATTGAAATGATAAGATGTCTTGGATGTAAGCATGGACTGGGAAATGTTAGGAAAGCTGTAGCCAACCATGTACATTGGTGTTATAGAAAGTTCAGATTTCCCTTTCTAGATGAACATAATCTAACAAAGATCCAAAGCTCTTGTTCCAGGTGTACATATAACAATAAGATGTCATGGAAAAATCTGAAAAAAAAAAAAAAAAAAAAAAAAAAAAAAAAAAAAAAAAGTCAGAGGGTCTACAAATTTTCGTGGCTGTAGGTATCAACCCATCTCAACACCCATCAGGAGCTAGAAATTGTCCTATATAAAACCATATGTAAAACTACAGGCCTCACCCAGCTAGTGAGGCTGTTGCAACTGGCATAATTGTCTCAGGATCCTAACAGATGTTGGAGTTTGCTTTTTGATGCGTTCTATGAACCCATAATCTTGGGGCCCAATACAACCAGGTGACTAAAATTTATCTGATAATTGCTCATTTCAGAACATCATTGTCTCTATATTAAAGGTAACAACAACCTTTCAGAACCACAGCCATGGTTCTCCAGGTCTCTCCTGCCTGCAGGGCGGACTTGGAAGGGCTGGTAAAGTCCTTGAAAAGGACTGTGTTGTATTCTCTATTCTGTCTGCTTTGTGCCTATAAACAGACCTGTTTTTCACAAGGATTAACTCTCACAAATGCTTGTTTAATTGGCCTCTTAGAGGTTAGGGTGGACTTTGAAAATCCCTAAGAACTCTGAGGGTGCTAATTTTTTTTACCAAGAACTTGGATCTAGCCTGGGGCCTTTCTGGGGCCAGTTTTCCCCTGGATCCCAAGGTAATTTAGTTATTATCTAAATTTATTTATTATTCCATACCCTTCCCAATCCAAATAAGTTTTATGGACCTGTTTTCCCTCAGGAGAAACAAATATACTAAAAAGGTATTACCTCTGATTTCAATCTTGTAACATGGAAAAACCATAAATGCCTCAAATCCCATAAAACATAAGAAAATTAAATTTTAAGAATAATTGTTAATAACCCTTCCACACCCTGTTTTATAGGCTTATGTGGTATTTTTGACATCTCAGATCTCAAAAAAAAAATCTGAACAAAAACATACAAACAAAAAAACCCGAAGATGTAGATATTATTCCTATTTTAATTGATAAAGAAATAGAGAATTAAGAAAGTTCAAGCAAATTGCCCAATGGCACAAAACTAAGGAACAGAATTTGAACATGGGTCCTCCTACAGACAAAGAATGTGCTCTCCCCTTAAACTGTAAAAATGTAGCTAAGGAGTGACGTTATTAATCATCACAGTGGAGTTTCCTTGGTAGAATAAAGTAACAAAAACATTTAATTAATAATTTTAGAGTAACAGTCAATTGTCACTCCTAGGATATTGAATAAGTTGAGTTTTCTTTGTAATTGAAACATTGGGTTTGTCTATGTTTCATGACATTATATGTTGCAGAAGGGAGTTTAATCAGTCATTTGGTTAAATGGCAAGAAAGATTAAATATTTTATCTGAAAAATAATTTCAGTGGCCCTACTGAGAACTCCCCTAAGCAATTCTCATATAACAAATACAATTATCCCTCTCTGGACTACCAGATATATACAATTTTGGAAACTGCAATGAATTTCAGGTCCTGATTTATAACTGCTATGGGCAAATAAAACACATTTTTAGGCTTTATAAAACCATATTAATAAAAACCATTTAGTCTGACTTCTCTAGGGAGCACAGTAACTCCTGAAATATTAAATTAAAAGAACACATGGAGGGGAAATTAAGTGAGCCAGATGTCAAAGGCAAAACATACTCACAGTTCCAAATTTAGTTGAGTGTCAATTGCCAAGTGTTACTAGATAAATTTCTATTTTCTTAATATTGCTAAAAAACCAAAAACCAAAAATATATACCTAATGTTGAAGTGAACATTAAGAAAAATAGTAGTGTATGATTGCTATATTTTTAATTTAATGTTTGCAGAATTGATCCAAATAAAATATAGCACCCATTTAAGTTCATATGATTGTTAAATAAAACAGCTCAAGAAGGAACAGGCCTTTTGAAAATAGTTCTTGGTGCAGTAATTATCAGATCCCATTGCCTGATCTAGAGGATATTAACTAAAATTTAATAATTAAAAGTAGAGGCAAAAGCAATATCAGAATGAGACTTTTGCCAATTTTCCAGGGAAAAGGAATTTGAAAGAGTTACTATTATGGTTAATAAGCAGCATTGGGAAAGGAGCCAGTAAGTCCATTGTTAGCACATCCTTTCCCACGAGATTCTATGGGTAATGTGATCATGATTAGTCTCTCCAGTTAGCATGAAATTTAATTAAAATAAATCAGGGCTCCCTTCCCTTCTGTGAGTCTTTTATTGGGATCAAAGACAAGATTCCCAGTGCTCCCTCAATCTGTAATCCTGGCTACTTGCACAGGATCCCATCATGTCACTCCTGCAAAACTACAGTTTCTTGGAAGTTTCACTTCTTAGAAGAGAACTAGGGCAGCAAAATCTGTTGAGTTATGCCATAATACCACCTGAAAGAAAAGGACTATATTCTGGATACAGAGTATTTAATTCTATCAGGGAAACTGGGTAGTGCAGAAACTTGGGGTTTGAATAATCTTATGGAAATAAGGCAGACATTCTTAGCAAGAAGATTTAAAGTCAGTCATGTGTTTCAGACAAAAAAGTTTGCTGTTAAAGATAATTTTCAAAAAAAGCTAAAACTTCTTACCAATGTAAAATGAACACATGTCAAAGACTTTATTAATGAAATGAGAGAATCAGAAAAGATGTTACGAATGGTTCACAGGAGAATTGAAAGAATAGATATATTTATGGATCACGAATATTGAAATGATCTTGCAAATGGACCCCAAGACTTTTACAGATAGAAGGGCTGTCTCTATACTGGACAGGGGAAATTTACATGTCCACAAACAAGAATCATTTGCATTGCCATCAGTTCTGGACAAGTTCATTTCAATTTCTACAGATTTGAAAAAATCCTCCTCAAAGACCAAGGTACATATCCTATTGGTTCAGATAATCCCTGGAGGCTCCAATATTCTATTAAAAGAATATCCAGTAATCTGGCAAGGTTGGTATGCAGTGTTATGCTGGTAAACCCTCAAAAACCTAAACCCTTAGTTGTAGCAGTTGTGGATTTTTCTAGTGTAAATACTCCTACCATGGCTGATTACAAGCTTTCAATGTGTTAGCCCTGAAGATGGAGTTGCAAAAACATGTTCAGTACTTCCATTACATGCAGTAGCTCCATTGTATAGTATTTCTTCTATATGGATACAATAATACTAAACTTTTTTTTTTATTTTTTTACTAGCAGCACTTCTGATACCAAATAAATGTCTTTTGCCCACACCAACAAATTCTCCAACTCTCCCAAACAATTGGGTATGCTACAGAAATTCAATTTTGATACCAGCTACTCCTAGTCAGCATAGACCCACAGATTACGAGCTCCATCCCACAAAACTGCCCCCACCTCAGATGCGAATCACAAGTCTGAGTCATTAGTACCTGTGACTCCCTGGCTGTAAATCAGCTGTTCTCACGACCCCCTCCTCAGGTTCAGTAATTTCCCAGAACAGTTCACAAAACTCTAAAAAGCACTTTACTTACATTTACCAGTTTATTTATAAAGACTATCATAAGCTAAGTGTGGTGAATCACACCTGTAATCCCAACAATTTAGGAGGCTGAAGCAGGAGGATTGCTTGAGGCCAGAAGTCTGAGGCTGTGGGGAGCTATGAACATACCACTGCACTCCAGGCTGGGTGACAGAGCAAGACCCTGTCTCTAAAAGAGAGAAAAAGAGAGAGAGAATATTGTATGACCCAGGGAGTGGCGGATTGGTTTCAGAATGAAATTTTTCCACTTCGGATCATCAGGCATTAGATTATCTTAAGGAGTGGGCAACCTAGATCCCTTGCATGAGCAATTCACAATAGGGTTCTTGCTCCTATGAGAATCTAATGCCACCACTGATCAGACAGGAGGTGCTGCTCAAGCAATAGTGCTCACATGCCTGCTGCTCACCTCCTGCTGTGCAGCCCAGTTTCTAATAGGCCACAGACTGGTATCAGTTTACAGCCCAGGGTTTGGGAACCACTGTTATAGAGGATACAAAAGATAAACAGCCAGATAAAGAGGTACTTAGGGCAGGGTATGAGGGAAGGAACACAGAGCTTCCATGCCCTCTCTGGTTACACTCATGTTCACCAGCGTAGAAGCTCTTCAAACCCCTTCATTTGGGGGATTTTGTGGGGGTCTATTACATAGTCATAGAGCTCCCTAGCCACTGGTCATCTCACTAGCATACAAAAAGAAACTTCAAAGCTTACCATACAAAAAGACACTTAGAAGCGCTTGTGTCAGGAACCAGGGACTAAGATCAAATATTGTAAAAAAAGATGCTCCCCCTCACCTTCAGGAAGTTTTAGCAGTTCTATAACAGGACCCAGGGATGAAGACCAAATATATATTTCTTATAATATCACAAATAGGTATAACCCATCAAACACATAGATTATAGTAAAATCTAATTAAGTAATTGGAACTTGATAGAGTTTGAGTATGTATTACGTCTGCTTGTTTGCTTACTGGTATGTTGTAATTCCATGAGTTTTAACGCATGCATAGATTGTGTAACTTCTATCACAGAATACAGAGCAGTTTTTGAAAACTTTCTTCTCTGCCCCTTTGTTGTACCTTCCTTAGCCCCTTGCCCCTGGCAACCCACTGGTCTGTTGTCTGTTACTATAGCTTTTTATTTCCCAGAATGTCAAATTAATAGCATCATACAGTAAATAATCTCAGATTGCCTCCTTTCATTGAGCATAGCACCTTTCAGAATCCTCCAAGTTTTTACATGTATTCACTATCTGTTCCTTTTTATTGCTAAGTAGAATCTCATTGTTTGGTGGTACCACAGTTTGTTCATTCATTCACCTTTGCTCCCCAAGTCCTACAGGAGTATTTCAGAAAGGCTCAAGTGAATAGAGTGGGTTTGCATCATGTCTGAGGAACCCCAAACTTAAGAAATTCTATTATTTTATAATTGGCTGTAAGTAAACCTGCCCAATCTTTGTCCTAAAGAAAGATTTGTCAGTGAACAAACTTGACTTTTGCTCCAGTGGGAGACACTAGCTCAGTCTTCCAAGACTATTTGCTATATAAACTTCCTTGTAAAGATACTCCAGAATAATGGGGCATTTAGTGCCCCTGCTCCCCAAATGTGCTAAGATGAGAAAAGGCTATGGAGAATTGTCTCCTAACAGTTTTAATATTCAAAAATTAGTTAGTGGCTTGCTTTGAGTTAGACATTGATTTCACAAGTAAAGTACCAAAAGCAAAATCCATAAAAGAAAAAGATTGATAAATTGACATGATAATCTAAATTGCTCTCCAGAAAAGGATTTTACTGAACTAGTTCCAGAGAGCATCAGTTCTATCAAATTAGGTCCCTACCCTCCTATTCAAACTATTTTCTAATCCATGAATAGCATGTATACCATCTTTTATATCTCAAATCCTTAAAAATGGTTCATCTTTCTTTTTTTAAAAAAGAAAGTGCTGAACCAGAAGTTCACTGTTTTACAAAAAAGCAAGCTTTGATTAAATAAGTTTGGAGATGCTTCATGCTATAGCCCCCTCCTGGAGATTCACATTAGTATATCCAATATTCAGAAAAATTGTGTTTTAAAAAAATCCATTTAATGTTTTATAACCCAGTATTTTTCAAATTATTTAAACTGTAACACAGCACTATCCCATAGAACTCTCTGTAATGACAGAAATGTTCTATATTTGTGGTGTCCAACATAGTAGCTATCAGCCACTTGTGACTACTGAACTTGAACTGCAACTGAGGAACCGAATTTTTAATTTTATTTAATTTAAATAGCCACATGTGACTCTTCACTTTGTGTTGGATAGTGCATTTATAGAGTCTTTTAGAATTTTTCTCTACACAATACTTCTTTCAACACTCAGTTAAATGTTCATCCCAAGCAGGATCTGCTACATAATTTTCAAGCCCAAGGTAAAATGAAAATGTTAGGACCCTTTTGTTTGACAAGCAGGAAAAAAGTGCTTTTAAATGTGTTAAAGTATCAAATAGTTTTCCTTTCTTCTGTGGTCTCTCTATTGACTTGTCATGAGAGTTTTTTATTTGCTCTTTAATGTTCTAAGTGAAAAAAACTGTAAATTATTAGCTTGCATTTTACCATTCCTCTTTATATTTTGTAGTGCCAATATAATATACAGGTATAAGAGCCTTCACCTTGTGTGTATAATCTTCAAAATTGCACAATTCATCTTTTGTAGCTTCTACAAACATGTCTTTTGTTCTTACAAGAACAGCGGAAATGCTGCACACTTCTTGATACAAGCCATTTTATCAACAGTCTCTACTTTAGGCTTATTCATGAGCATGGAAAGACTGAAACAACAGAAAATATGGGTTTTCTAATCTTTCCCTTTCTTCTGTGTCATCATTTTCAGCATAGGTGGTTGGCTGATTCAGGGATGTAAAGTGAATAAAAAAGGACATGAGAGGGCTCCTTGATTGTTTGCGTTTCTCAGAACATCACTGCCTTCTTTCTGTGTTCAAAGCAAGTTCTGGTTTGAGTGAAAAGCAGGTGTTTCAGGGCTGCCACTATCCCTACTTACTCAGATACAGACATGATTATCTTGCACTCATTTTGCATCCTGCTGACCTCCTGTGCATTGTGGGTTCACTAGAATTCTGTGTTCATGGGCCATCACAAATACTATATACAAATGAAGTGGCAATCAATAGGTAAACACGTGTCTTGTGCATATCTCCTCTGCTCACATGCATGTACATTGTTCCCTCAGACTTCACATACAAAACAATTCAAAGATAAAATTAAGAACTCAGAAAGGCAACAGTGGAGCATTAAATGAAGTGCAGGGTGTTTCTGAGTGCAATGTTCTGTGTGACTGTGTAGGTCTAGGTCACACACCCACGAAGCCAGCCCTGATCCATTGAAACACATTTTGGGAAACACTGCTCTAAGTCAATACATTGCTTTAACTCTCCTTATTCATGGATTCTGCATCCTTGAATTCAACCAAACCTGGATCATAAATATTCAGGAAATAAAAAATAATGGTTTAATTTGTATTGAGCATACACAAACTATTTTCTTTCCATTATTCCCTAAACAATACAGTATAACAACTATTTACATATTATTTACATTGTATTAGGTATTATAAGTAATCTAGAGATGATTTAAAGTATATAGGAGGATGAACATAGGTTATATGCATATATAATGCCATTTTATATCAGGGACTTGAGCATTCACCAATTTTGGTAACCAAGGGGTTCTTGAGACCCATTGCTGAAGGATATTGAGGAACAACTGTATATAATTTCCTTCTCTGCAATGTGAAGATAGTAACATTACCTATCTCATAGGTAAATGAGTTATGTGATTGTCAAAACAGTGTTGCATAATGTTAAAAGAAAAACCTGAGGCTAATTAAATTTAACAGAGTTTAACCAAGCAAAGAACGATTCGTGAATTGGACAGCCACCTGAGCCAGAGTAGGCACATAAAGACTCCAGTGCAGCCACATGTTGGAAGAGGATTTATGGACAGAGAAAGGAAAGTGATATACAGAAAACAAAAGTGAGGTACAGAAATAGCCAGACTGGTTACAGCTCAGTGTTTACCTTATTTGAACAAGTTGGAACAGTTGGCTATCTTTGGCCAAAACTTGGTGATTGGCACAAAAGTAGGTTACCGTCGTTTACACCTCCAGTTAGGTCACAGTTCACATGCATGGAGAAACCTTAGGCTGAACTTAAAATATGTAAGGAGGCAGCTTCAGGCTAAACTTAATCTAACAAGAACAAACAACTCCAAAATTCAGCAGCTTACAGCAGCAAGCATTTTCCCTTGCTTACAGCCCTATGTGTAGGCTGGGTGGATCTGTTTCAGGCTGCAGGTCAGCTGGGCTTGACTAGCATTGGCTTTGGATCTGCTCCACATTTCTACACCTTCTCTTGAAACTAGCTGCCTTCAGGACATATTATCTTCATGATGAATCATAGGAGCAAAAGAAGGAGGCAAACGATGCAGCACATTGAAAGCTACTGCTCATTTTATATCCACAGGCATTCCATTGGTCGAAGTCACATTGCCTATAGTCAGTGGGCAGCATGGAGTTGTATGGTAATCCAGTCTATCTAAAGTGCTATTCTGTGGACCCAATTTCCCAATTTATCTTTCTGATACTATATTATATGTGAAATTATGAGAAAAATGAATTTGAGGATGTTGCCAAGTTTTCTGAATTGTGTTTGTGGGTGTATGTTACAAAATACTAGGAGGACCTCTTTAAATAGCTGGCAAACTCACTACATGTTCTGACTTCTCTATAATATGGAGCAAAAGGAATCCAGGGAGGACAGTGAGGATGACATTGTGGTATACTTAGGTGCTAGACCTTGACTGCTGTCACTAGCAGGCACAACAGGAGCCTTCAAATTGGCTCCTGCAGATACTGAGAGCACAGGAGCAGCATTCAGACTCAGGGCACCAAGGATAATACTGCCACTCCCTGACAGCCTACAGGAACCACAAGCCCTGATATAGTAGCTTCACTGTGCAGACAGGATAAGTAGGTGTGGGTTTCAGAAGGCTTTCTATCTGGATGCCTCTAGGCACACTATAATGAGTCACCATAAGGCAACAAAGGATATGTCAGCCTCTTTTTTTTTTAAGGTATTCTAGAAAAAGGATAGAGTTTTTCATTTGATTTTTATTTATTACAACAATGCTATGAATGTGGGGAAGGTAATTGTCTATATAATCTATGAAGAGATGTTGTAAACTTTCAAATTCAGAAACCCTTGGAAAAGTGCTCTTACAATAGAAACTCATTTTGGCTCACAGATTCCTAAGAGAGGAGAAATCTAAGGAAAGAGGGTTACACAGTTAATATGCTCCATTGTACACAGTTTTGAGAGAGGAAGGAGGCAGAGAAACTCCAGGCAGACAGGAACAGGTCCCCGGTGAAACCACCTTCAAGCTAAAAGTAGTCTGGCCTGTGGCCTAAAGTAAGAACTTCTGTTCCTGTTTGCCTGCTCTCTCCTGATTGTTTCTTTCTGAATAGTGTCTTTTTACCAATCAAATGTTGCCTTTTTCAAAACTACCTATGGCCTGCCCTGCCCCTCATCATGTGCCTATAAAGACCCCAGACTTAGCCAGTAGAGAGGAGAAGCAACTTGACTTCAGAGATGCTGGCTGTACCTCAGAGAGAGACAACTTGACTTCAGGGGAGAGCAACCTGCCCTTCCCATCCCCTTTCCAGCTCCCCTCTCCACTGAGAGCTGCTCTCATCACTCAATAAAATTCTTTGCGTTTGCCATCCTTCAATTTGTCCATGTGACCTCATTCTTCCTGGTCACTGGACAAGAATTTGGGATCCACCAAGTGTGGGTACCCAAAACAGCTATCACACTGGCCGTTTGCCCTTGCTAGTGGAGGTCAGCCACCCTACGTGATGAGGCAAAGGGCCCAGTGAGCTGATATACTGCTGTCCGCAGACAGTGGAACTAAGACAGCACTGTAACACACCCTCTGGGGCCTTGGGGTGACAAGCACCCCCACCTGGATGCTGCCGCAGAGCCTGCATGAAGTTTGCTCCTGTGGACGCGGAAGCAACTGGCCACTTCCTGCACTTACTTGCCTATGTGTGCACTTCTGTGAGGGGTGGAATGCAGCAGGTCTAAGTGAACAGTTTGCTCCTGCTAGTGCCGAAGCACCTGACCAGTTCCCACACTTGTTCACTTGCATGCTCCCTTCTGTGAGGGGTTGAGCAGGGCAGGGTGAATAAATGAGACACCCCTGTCACAAGTCCCATGAAGGGGTCAAGAAAAAATCCTGCATCATCTTGAGGCTCACCCAGGATTTGTCAGAAGGGTGAATAAATGTGGATCTGTTGGATCTGTCTCTTCATTTTTTTTCCCCAAGACTTCTTGTCCTCATACTTTCCTCTGAAGGCAAATGACGCACCAAACCTCTGAGTGGCCAATTAAGGATGAATGGCACAGCTGTAGATGACAGAATGTGACCCTGCCACCTCTCTTTTGGGTGAAAGGAATGTTGGCTCTGTTTCCCTTCACAGAGGTCTAGCCATTGCGTGGGACTGGGATAAAGTCCTGAGGAAACTGAAGGCGTCTGATTGAGGCCACTCCCCGGTGTTGCCGTAAGGCCCCTAGACTTGGCTCAGTCCCCAACTGCCCATTAGGGCATCAGCCAAGACCCCCAGATTTTTCTGTTATTTGTCCTTCCTTCTTTCACGGTTTGAAATGGCGCCTCTCTCTTCTTTTATAATGTTAAGGGTGTTACTACAAACTGCAGAAATGTTACTAGGTAGGAGCATTTAGCCAATCCATCAGATATGCAATTCAGAACAATGCAATTTCCATCTGTTCTTAGAGGAGTCACTCCCACCTCATCCCAACACCCAAAGGCGTGCACAGTGCACAGCGGCTCCCCCACCCCGCCCCCTCCACTCCCAGGTGGGGCACTTGGGCATGTCCACTGCATGTATGTGCTGTGCCCAACGGGCACATGAGGCAGGAAAGAACCACAGTCACCGCCCAAGCCCCAGGGCAGTCTTGGGGGCCAGGGGCCCCATGCAGCCATTTGGCCAGCATTTCCTGCTTGTCATTCCCTCCCATCATGTGTCCACAGAGTCTTCCCTCCCCTGGCGGAGAGCTCCAGCTCAGTCCAAACCAGAGGAAGGATACGGTGATTAAAGGAACCCATTTGCATAGAGCAAGAGGTTCTCCACGTGCCTCTGACACTTAAGCTGGTTTTTCTTTTTCCTTTTCTATGCAAGAGGGTGTTTTTTTCTACCTTACACTCTGCTTATGGCAGGGAAGCAATGGAGGAGCGACCCCACCAGCTGATAACTGCAAATTTGAAAAGCCCCATCTGTAACTTAATCTAAATGAATCCATGCACCCCCTGAGATACCTTTTTCCAAACTTGGTTCCAAGCTTTAGGTTGAAGCCCTAGAAAGGAAAACTAGATCTGAGTGATTCAAAGCCAGGCAACAGACATAGCATAGATGGGCAGGACTAATTCCTGCTGATTAAGTCCCCGCTTCATGATAGGAGGCCAAGCTCCATGGCATAGATGAGGCCCAGGGAACCCAAAGGTTGCCTACAGTAGGGAGGGTGGAGGCATAGGTGAGTGCAAATAAATCCTATTTTCCAGGCCCCCCGCCCCCTGCCCCCCCACCAAGTTTCATGGGTGCAGGTCACACCAGCACTCATGGGCAGCATCTGTCTAAGGTTGCCAGGACTCGGGGATGAAAAGATGAAAGGAAAAAGAGGTATGCCCTTTTTTGTTCTCTCCCTCACACCCTGGGTTTTTGCTGAAAGAGGGAAGGGAAATAAGGTATGCCTATTTCTCTCTCTTTCAGAGTGGGCAACCAACTATCCTTACCATCTTCAGTCCATACTCCTCTGGAGTGTATCCTGAATCTTTGGGACTGTTTTGACCCTCAGACCCTGGAGAAAAAATGCCTCATAGCCCTCTGCACAAAGGTTTGGACATATTATGATCTGCAGGAAGGACTGGCTTGGCCTCAGGAAGGAACCATTCATTTTGATACAATCTTTCAGTTGGACTTTTTCTGTAAACACAAAGGCAAATGGTCTGAGGCCCCATATGTGTAGGCTTTCTTTACCTTGCAGGGTAATACAGACCTTTGCCAACATGTAGGATTGATCCGGCTCTCCTGTTTGCCATCTCAGGAGAGGCTGCACGGGTCAATCTCAGGGAACTAAAAAATCAAACCCCAGAGAAACCTCCAGCAGGGGATCCAGCTCCCTCTAGCCCTGCTCCCCTGGATCCACCTTGGCCTCCCTATCCAGTTTCTCTCTTTAGCTTGCCTCCTCCTAGAAATCCTCACCCTAGACAAGGCCCAGTACCACTTATGCCCCTCCAACAGATGCCTGGTGAATTTGGCCCCAGTAAAATCCAGGTCCCCTTCTCTCTACAGGAATTAAGGCAAATTAAGGCGGATCTTGGCAAAGTTTTAGATGATCTTGACAGATATATAGAGGCTCTCCAGAATTTAACCAAAGTATTTGAACTCTCCTGGAAAGATGTTATGTTACTTTTGAATCAAACTCTGACTAATGCTGAGAAGCAGGCCACTCTGCAAGTGGCAGAGAGATTTGGGAATGAGCTTTGTATCTCATATAGTGTCAGGGAAGGGGACAAACTTTATCCAACTGGAAGAGAATCAGTACCACTGGATGACCCTAAATGGGATCCTAATGATGAGATGGGAGATGGAAGAGGAAACGCTTTCAGGTGTGCATAATGGGGGTGCTTACGTAGGACTAGAACTAAGCCTCACAATTATACCAAGCTATTCATGATAGATCAGGGATTTGATGAGAATCCCACTGCCTTCCTGGAAAGGCTAAGAGAGGCCTTGGTAAAGCACACTTCTCTAGCTCCTGATTCAGTTAAGGAACAACTAATCCTAAAAAATAAGTGTATTACTCAGGCAGCCCCTGATATCAGGAGGAAGCTACGGAAACAAGCTGTTGGACCAGATAGTACTTTAGAGAACTTCCTAAAAGTGGCCACCTCGGTCTTTTATAATAATATAATAATAGAGATAGGGAGGCCAAGGAGAGAGGGAGAAAGAGAGAGAGAAGGAGGGAGGGAGGGAGGGAGGGAGAGAGAGAGAGAATGAAGACACAGGAAAAATGCAGAGGCTTTAATGGTCACCATGCAAGACCACAAATCCCAAAATCCCTGAGGTGTACTTGTTAACTGCTTCAAATGTGGCAAGCCAGGGCATTTTAGGAAGGATTGCCCAGGCAGCATGAGAAAGCCACCTCAACCCTGTCCAATCTGCAATTGGGACCACTGGAAGGCAGACTGTCCCTAGGGATGCTGGTCACCAGGTTCAGAGCCAATCTCCCAAACAGTCCAACAGGACTGATGAGTCCCAGGGCTCCTCTTCCCCACCCTGGTGGTCCAGACTACTATTACCATCCAGGAGTCCTGGGTAATTCTGGAAATTGAAGGGAGGAAAGTGGATCTCCTTCTGGACACTGGGGTGGGTCTCTCAGTTCTCCTCTCCAATCCAGACTCCCTCTTCTCTCTTAGCATGACCTGTGAGGGGCATCTCAGAAAGGCCTTTAACTTGATATTTTTGTCAACCCCTTAGTTGTAGTTGGGGAAACCTATTGTTACTCATGCCTTTCTAATTGTGCCTGAAAGCCCAACTCCTCTTTTAGGCAGAGATATTCTGGCCCATATGGGGACCACCATCCTGATGGCCCCAGGACAAATTCTTTGTCTCTCCCTGGTGGAGACCTTTAACCCAGACATTTAGGCAATTCAAGCCAAAATCGGCCAAGTTACAACTGCCATACTGGTCCAGATCCACCTTAAGAATCTCACCCCCTTTCCTAACCAGAGACAGTATCCCTTGAAACCAGAAGTTAGGAAAGGACTAGAAGCCATCAATGATAACTTAAGGTTGCAGGGCCTCCTCAACAGGCCCTGGGACCAGAAGATTACACTAGTGCAGGATATTGGGGGCATTCTTGGGGGGATGGGAGACTGTCACTTGTATTTATTGTGACTCTAAATCTTTGATAGTAAAACAAATGTAAAAAAAAAAGTTTACCACCAAATGAGAATAGAAGTTTCAATAAACAGCCTGGATTGGGTGACTATACATTGTATCATAAGGAAGTTTTAGACTCTGAAGAATAGTAAAGAAATGGATGATGTGTCCAAAAATAAAAATAAAAAAACAGCCCTTGTAGTACCCCAATATTAAGGTACAAAAACCCAATGGGGAACGGAGACTAGTTCAGGACCTCCACCTCATTAACGAGGCTGTGGTTTTAATTCACCCAGTGACTCCCAATCAGTATTCCGTGCTAGCTCAAATACCTGAGGGAACTAAATAGTTCACAGTCCTGGACCTAAAGCATGCCTTCTGCATACCATTAAACCCTGACTCCCAGTACTTTTTTGCATTTGAAGATCCATCTAACCAAACCACCCAGCTAACCTGGACAGTGTTACCTCAGGGATTCCAAGACAGCCCCTGCTTATTTGGCCAGGCATTCTCAAAAGACCTCTTTGAGTTCCCTTATCCTCAGGTTAAAGCTTTACAATACGTAGATGACATTCTCCTCTGTGCCATAACTGAGGCAATCTCTCAGGAGGGCAGTAAGGGTCTTCTTAATTTTCTGGCTAACAGAGGATATAAGATTTCAAAGCCTAAAGCTCAGCTCTGTCAGACTTCAGTGAAGTACCTAGACCTGGTCTTTCAGAGAGGACCAAGGCATTGGGTGAAGAAAGGATTAAGCCCATCTTCTTTTTTCCCCTCTCCAAAACCCTCAAGCAACTGAGGGGATTCTTGGGCATTACAGGGTTCTGCAGACTATGGATACCTGGGTACAGTGAAATAGCTTGCCCCTTATGTCACCTAATATAGAAGACTCAGGCAGCTAAAGCTCACTCCCTAATTTGGAAACCAGAGGCTAGAAAGGCCTTTGACCAACTAAAATGAGCCTTGCTTAAGGTACCAGCCCTTAGTCTTCCCATAGGGAAGATGCTTAATCTTTATGTGTCAGAAAGGAAGGGATGGCCCTGGGAGTTCTAACTCAGACCTGGGGTTCAATCCAGCAGACTGTAGCCTACCTAAGTAAGGAGCTTGATTTGGTAGAAAAAGGATGCCTGGCCTGCCTCTGGGCAGTTGCAGTGGTAGCTTTGCTGGTACCAGAGGCTACTAGGTTAACCACGGGGAATAACTTAACCATTAATGTGGCAGGACTACTGTCTTCTAAGGGGAGTCTCTGGCTAATGGATAACCACCTCCTCAGATATCAAGCTCTGCTGTTAGAGGTATCTGCAGTCCACTTAAGAATCTGTCCCTTCCTAAATAGAGCCACCTTCCTCCCCAAGGAAGCAGGGGCGGAGAGCGGGGGGGGACCTTGAACATGACTGCAAACAGATAGTAGTACAAACCTATGCAGCCAGAAAGGACCTCAAGGAAACCCCCTTAGGGAACCCAGACTGGATTCTCTTTACAAGTAAAAGTTCTTTTGTAGAACAAGGGATCCATAAAGAGGTATAGTTACCCGGAATGATATTGTTGAGAGCACGTCTCTCTCCTTGGGTACAAGTACTCAACTAGCCAAGCTAATTGCCCTCATGAGAGTACTTGAATTAAGCAAAGGGAAAGCATTTAACATTTATACTGATTCTAAGTATGCTTTCCTAGTTCTCCATGTCCATGCCACTATCTGGAAGAGAAGAACTTCCTCATAGCTAATGGGTCTCCCATTAAATACCATCAGGAAATTAATAGACTATTATCCTCAGTTTTCCTCCCACACGAAGTGGCAATAATACATTGTAAAGGCCACCAAAAAGGGATGGATGAATAGCCAAGGAAAATAGGTTGGCAGACCAAGCAGCTAAACCAGCAGCAAGGGGTCCCCAGATTTCAGATCCATTTGAAGCCCCTCTGATCTGGGAGGGCTCCATAAGAGAAATAAAACCTCAATATTCTCCTGTGGAAATAGAATGGGCAACCTCTTGGGGTTACATCTTTCAGTCCTCAGAATGGCTACAACTGGAGGATGGCTGACTTCATTTACCAGCTGCCAACCAATGGAAAGTTCTTAAAAGCCTTCACCAGGCCTTCCACCTAGGTAAGGATAAAACCTATCAATTGGCCCAGAGATTGTTCTTGAGTAAAAACTGGATACAAATGGTTAAAGAGGTTATTAATGCTTGCAAGATTTGCCTTAAAAATAATCCCCTCAGTCAATGGCTTCTTTCCCCTGGAACCAAAAGAACAGGAAGCTACCCAGAGGAAGACTGACAAATGGATTTCACCCATATGCCAAAGTCAAGGGACATGCAATACCTCCTAATATAAACAGATACCTTCACCAACTGGGTAGAAGCATTTCCATGTTGGATAGAGAAAGCCTCTGAGGTGATAAAAGTACAAATTAATGAAATAATTCCTTGCTTTGGACTCTCTAGGTACCTCCAGAGCAAAAGTGGCCCCTCATTCAAGGCTGTTCTCACCCAGGGGGACTTGAAGGCACTAGGCATACAATACCATCTTCATTGTCCTTGGAGACCATAATCCTTGGGAAAGGTAGAAAAGACAAATGATATTATCAAAAGGCACCTCAGGAAACTCTCAGGAGACTCATCTCCCCTGGTCTGTTCTTCCTATATTCCTACTAAGTGTTAGAATCTCCACTTCAAAGCTGTGTTTAAGTCCCTTTGAAATAATGCATGGATGACATTTTCTCACCAATGATTTCTTGCTAGACCAAGAAATCTCTGATTTGATTAAACATGTAACTTTTTGGTCCATTTCCAACATGAACTGAAACAACTGTCAGAGGCCCAATTCCATGAACTAGGGCCAGCTCTATTCAACCCAGGGGGCATGGTACTGGTAAAGGTACTTCCTTTCCTTTCTCCCTCTGTAAGCCCAGATTGGGAGGGACCTTACACCATACTTCTTTCTACTCCTACAGCAGTAAAGGTCACTGGAATAGATTCTTGCATTCATTATACTTGAGTAAAGGCCTGGGAAGCTGACGGAGTTTCCTCCTTTGACCCAGAAGAGCACTCAAAGTACTAATATGAAGAGATCAGGGACCTTAAGATAAAAATCACAAAATATAAGTGTCAATAATTAATCTTCCATGGATATCCCCTTTATAGTCTTGCTTATGCTTGCTGTTCTTACCTTCGTTCTATATTATACCATGGGGCACCTTTACCAAAGACCCCTTAATCCTAAATGCCTGTGAGAATATGTACTCCCCTAAACAGTTATCTCTCTTCTAAAGTTTAAGTGTTCCCATACAGAGTTTAATTTCTGTCACTACAGTGAAACAGCTCAGGGCATAATGTTGTTTTCAAGAGGATTAGTGTATTTCACTTCTTATTTCTATAATCTTTGGCACTAGATTCTTTTCTTTTAACTCCTTTTTGTATAACATACATATTTGATCCATGCGTACTTAACCAATTCTTGTCACCCAGAGGGCATCAAACTCCAATCAGTCATGCAACTGGAGCCTCAGACGATGACTCCAGCCACTTCTGAGTCCAGGAACCCTTAGGTAGACCTCTGAGGGAAATCTGACTGCCATTTTCCCCAAAACAATGCCCCCTGTCAGCAGGAAGCAGCTAAGATTGGTCATCATCCATATTCTAACAGCAGTTATGCATGCCTCTTCAAAGGGGGAAATGAGAGAGGCAGGAGGCAGAGACAGTCTAAGCAGACAGGGATGGGTACCTGGTGGAAACCCCACCTTTAAGCCAAAAGTAGCCTGAAACCTGCAGCCCAAAGTGAGAACTTCTATTCCTGTTTGCCTGCTCTCTCCTGATTGGTTCTTTCTGAATAGTGTCTTTTTACCAATTAAATGTTGCCTTTTCCAAAAAACTACCTACGGCCTGCCCTGCCCCCCATTCTGTGCCTATAAAGACCCCTGACTCAGCTGGTAGAGAGGAGAAGTGGCTGGATGTTGGGGAGAGTTAACTTGAGTTCAGAGGAGAGAAGCAGAGAGGCAACTTGATACCAGGGCAGAGTGGCCCTCCCTTTCTGTCCCCTTTCCAGCTCCCCTCTCTGCTGAGAGCCACTCCTATCACTCAATAAAATTCTCTACATTCACCATCCTTCAATTTGTCCATGTGACCTAATTCTTCCTGGGCACTAGACAAGAATTCAGGACCCACCAAGTGCAGGTACCCAAAAAGCCTGTCACACTGGCCCTTTGCCCTCACTAGCAGAGGCAAAGGGCCCACTGAGCTGATAACACACTGCTGTCTGCAGATGGCAGAGCTAAGTGAGCACTGTAACACACTTTTTGGGGCCCTGGGGTTGCAGGCACACCCACCTCATCGCTGATGTGGAGACTGCATGGAGTTTGCTCCTGCCAGCACCAAAGTGGCTGGCTGGTTCCTGCACTTGCTCACCTACACGCTCCCTCTTCCTAGGGGTGAAATGCGGCGGGCCCCAGTGAATAGAATTTATTCCTGCTGGTGCTGAAGTGGCTGGCTGGTTCGTGCACTCATTCACTTGCGTGATCCTTCCTGGGAGGGGTTGAGGAGTGGGCTGAGTAAACAGGACGAGACCCAAAAAGGGGTAAAGGAAATATCCTACATCAGTTTGAGCCATAGCGTAGGCATTGCTTATTTATAAATAAGCAAATTGCTGAACAAATGTCTCTCTTGCCTTAGCACCTGGATGCAAGGATTGTTTCTTAAATGGCAGCAAGAGACCTTCAGAAGTGAGGCAAGTGTCTGCCCCAACTGTAAAATATACACCTTCTCTCCCTAACTTTGTGAAAACAAAGATTATGGCTTGCACCCTTATGAACTAAGAAAATCACCATACTGCCACCCCATAGCTTAAGTGTGGCAACTGCCAGAGATGTTAATGTGGAATTTATATGGTATCCAAAGGCATACAAGTGTATTGTTTAATATGCTGTTCTAGATGGTAGCTCTGTTTCCAGACAAGAGTGAAAAATTCTATTTAATTAGTTCTGTGCCTATAGATTTCAGTATTTAAGCTAGCCTGGCATTTGAGATCAGATTTCTTAATTAGAAAGGACATTGTTGGGTCTGTGAAACCACCAAATGTGGCTTTGAAAAACCTGGGGCATATATGCATATGAGAATTTTTCTAGGGAATGTGTCCATAGCTTTCAAGAGATTCTCAAAGGGCTTCGTGACACAAAAAGCCCAAGAACTACTAATTTAGAACATTGTTTATAAGGGAAATGGTTTTCCAGATCCAGAAAAACAACTTACAAACAAACTTTTGGAGGCCGGCCTGTTGGGAAGTTGAGGGCTACAAATGTATCTTGAAATGATGAATCATCCTAGAATATAATTTTATAAAACTTTCAGTAAATGCTTGCTTTGATTTTACTTTCAATCCAAATTGATCTTATTCTTATTCTTCTCATTTACTCTCACTTTCCCTGAAATTATTCAAAGTATCAAAGGGCTTCAATATCAGATATTTCTAAAAAATGATTTATCTAGGCTTTTTTTTTTTCTTTTGCAACTAAAATATATCTAAAGTCCCTAAGGATTTAGATTCCCTTCCCTCTGGAGAATCAATGAGTCAGAGGCAAGAGAGCAAATGAGGCTGTGATTAAATGTGAAAAATAGATGTTTGAGGCTAAGGGCACCCTGGTGGAGAGTGACACTGTTGATCTTGTGGGACTCATAAGAAATTCTGAATAAACTCAGCCGTGACCCGAGCCTTTTTAAGGTTCAAAAATCAAGGGCTAATTTTGCGTGTTCTTGTTGATTTTTCACATGGCTCCACAGTGCCTGCTTCCAGCTGGAACTGGACATGGAAATACTTAAACTGAAATAACATTGGGAAAGGAGCCCCTGTGAGGTTTCTGATCAAGTAAGAATGAAGAGAAACTAAAAGTCTCAGGAGACAACCACATTTATTATTTTTATCTTTTCTTCTACCTCATCCTAAGAAAGTTTTGGGGCAGATAAAGATCTGTATATAAAAGAGAATTTGCAAGACATATCAGCCTTAGATCATTTTTGGAAATCTAGATTTTAAGGAGGCTTACAATAAAGCAAGTGTGTTTGCTGGTGAATTGTTCAAAAAATCATTCTTTCTAACAATTTTGACATTACTGGAGGCTGCCATCTTTTTGAGCTATTTTTTTCTCAATTTCCAACAAATGAATTAAGTAAACATTTTTAGAAGTAGTAGTCTCCTAGTTCTAGTCAGATTATATTTCTAGTTTCTCTCCAAAAGCAACTTATTTTTTTCACAGAGTCTACTAAAATTTCTAAGTAGCATAATACATAGAAGTCAAAATTTAAAAACTGATTTTACAAGAGCCGGATTAGACTTTTATATCCTGTGTGCCCATGTATTACACCCAATAGCCAGTGATATCTTTAAAATATAGCTGCATCGGCAAGATGGGTGAATCAGTCTGTAGGCATAAGAACTCCAAGTTTTAACAGGAGCAACAGAAGCAAAGAAAGCAGATCTGGGCATTGGACCGTCTCTTTGCTTCTGCTCTTACCTGGCAGAAACGGTCCCTTCAGCTACTTCTCCACAGCCCCTAGTAACACGAGAAATGACAGGAGGGTCGCTTCCCCAGCGGGAAGTCTAACTTGAATTGGAATCAATTTTGTCTCTGGATAAAGGATGTATGGCAGAGCTAAACTGCGCATTTTGCTTATTGTCATGCTGTGCTGTTTATTGAATATAAAACCAATTGACTACATTTTTACATCTTGTAGCAAAAATGTACTTTGAAATTTTAGCTTTTAAGGGAAGAAATAGGAAGAGAAGAATGCTTCCAGGATTCCCAACAAAAAGAAAACTCCTAAATCTTAGCTAAGGTGGGGAATGATTTTTCATACCTTTGTTTTCCTAGTAGTAAATTAACCAAAAACACTTTATAAACAATCTCAAGTAAACAAATGAAATATTTTTTCTTTCCTACCCCCTAGCTTTACTGAGGTATAATTGACAAATTAAAATTGCATACATTAAAGGTGTATAACGTGATGTTTTGATATATGTATACATTGTAAAATAATTACATCAAGTTAATTAACATATCCATCACCACGTATAGTTACCGTTTGTGTGTGTGGGTAGTAAGAACACTTGAGACCTACTCTTTTAGCAAATTACCCATATACAACACATTACTATTAATTTTTACCATACTATACATTAAGTCTCCAGAACTAATCATCTTACAACTACAGGTTTGTACCCTTTGGTCAATATTCCACCCCTTCACCCCCATCCTCTGGTAACCACCTTTCTACTTCAGAATAGTCTTCCTTGAATGTTTTGAAGTTGAACTGCTATAGCATATCGAGTTCCTCATGGGCAACCACTGTATCTTATTCATCTTTGTGTTATTGTATGTAGTTTTTAAAAAAATTCTTCAGAGCCTGACATGATGCCTGGCACATAGGAGAGGCTCCATAATGTTTATTTCATTTGCTCAGTTTAGTCTAATGGTGTATAGAATTCTAGAGTTCTAGGCTCACGTTTCAAGCATGAACAGCTTTCGGCAAAATTCTTAAATGGGAAAAATGTGCCTCCAGAATCTGTCAACTTTCCCTCTCATTGTGAACACAGATGCCAGTGTAATTTTGCCATTTTCTGCTGTGACATTGTCCCCTGGATTTTTTCTCATGATTAAACTATTTCTTGATTAAAAAAGAAAAGTAAGAACAGGTGATGGTGATACAATGTGGGAGACTTCTAGATAACCTATTTGCTTTGAGCCCCTGGGGATGATACCCGTGATAATGAGTAAAATATTTTAGGGTGTAGTACCCTTGCAAAACCTCTCAAATCATGAATCACACCAAGGAAGTAGCAGCCTTGGTTTCAGTCTTAGTTTTAAGAACTGGAGAGGAAGCAACATAATACAGTATTCCCATGAGACAGCAAAGCCTTTCTCCTCATTTTGCAGATGGGAAAATTGAAAAACAGCATAAGTGACTGCTCAATTTGACATGAATGAGGGGTAGAGCTGGAAACAACAACAAAGGACTGCACTTGGTTTTCTGTCACATTAAACCTTTATTTATCCAAAGATTTATAAGTTACTTTGTTTTACAACTCTAATCTCTATTTTTTAAGAAAATGGCAATTATATTTCCCCAGACTGTGATTAACAAATGTAATAATAAACATATAAATCCTTCCCATGGGATCCTGGTATATTGTTTTCTGGGTCAGCATGTTTTGTGCTCATAAAGTTTAATAAAACTTTGAAATGCTATTTTGAAATAATTCAAATACACTGCCAATTTTTCCTTTTTTGTGGGAATTTGTGTTTGATATGTACTAAATTTGGATGAAGTAGTTTTTCTTCCTTCATGTCTGTCATTGCAGCTAGAAGTTGAACATTGGATAATAAAATTTTTTATTTGGCCGGGCGCAGTGGCTCATGCCTGTAATCCCAGCATTTTGGGAGGCCGAGGCGGGCAGATCATGAGGTCGCAAGGTCAGGAGATCAAGACCCTCCTGGCTAACACAGTGAAACCGCGTCTCTACTAAAAATACAAAAAATTAGCTGGGCGTGGTGGCGGGCGCCTGTAGTCCCAGCTACTTGGGAGGCTGAGACAGGAGAATGGCGTGAACCTGGGAGGCAGAGGTTGCGGTGAGCCGAGATCACTGCACTCCAGCCCAGGCAACACAGTGAGACTCTGTCTCAAAAAAAAAAGAAAAAAAGAAAAGAAAAAATTTGTGTGACAGTGGCATTAATAAAATATTTATATAGGAAGACTTCTTGACTTTTAAAAGCTATTTCAAGGGTATATTTTTGTAACAAACTGAAATTTTTGTTAAATTATTTTTGAACAACTTTAATGTTCTAGCTCTTGCCTCAAAAGCACAAAGTAGAGCAATGAAACTATTTTTAAGTCTTCAACTTTGGAGGGCAAACTATCTTATTAATCAGGTTTTAGCAAATTTACTTAATAAAACTTATGCAGAAGTATGATTTAATTTTTTTCCATAACAAGGGCATAGCAATATTCTAATCATTTTGAGCCGTGAAATAGAACACAGAGTAAAAATCCTCTAGTCTATCCTATGTGGCAGTGGCAATTGTTTGTGGTATATGTTGCATATACACCCTAATTGCTTATGGTGTAGAGACATAAAAGAATATGTTTTGAGATCTGCACTAATAAGAAAAATGTCTGGGTCATCTTTAGCACTCTTTATTCATGACTCTATTTGCATGCCCTAATCATACACAATGAATCAGTAGTTTCGGCTGCTTAATGAACAAAAATTCAGAACAGAGAAGATAGCTTTCTCCAGTTGTGTCATCAGCTAGCAATTCCAAGGTCCCCGACAATTTCCTTAACACACACAACCCCCAGTAATTATAGCACATTTTCTAATAGATAACTTCTCAAACAAATTCTCAATTACGTAGGGGGTAAATCCATGCCTGAAGACTGCTTCATCACTGAGATTGGCTGTTTTATGCCCCCAAGCAGTGGCTGACACTTCCCTTTCACACAGTGTTCGGAACTCTTGGAGTGCATGAGACATCTGGGAAATTAGAGCTATGATAGGCTACCTGAGTCATGTTGGAGTCCTGCTCAACTGGAGAACACAGAAACGCATTGGTGTTTGTGGCTTTGTTCATATGTATGGGGGATTTTTGAATCTCATCTTACTTCCCATAACCTATTAATAATTGTCTTTATTTTGGCTTTTCAGACAAGAGAAAGATTTTTAACCTTTTCCCCTTAGCCTACGTACTTTGTTGTTGTTGCTGTTTGAGGCAGGGTCTTGCCCTGTTGCTCAGGCTGGACTGCAGCCGTGCAATCATAGCTCACTGAAGCCTCAAACTCCTGGGCTCAAACTATCCTCTTGCTTCAACCTCCTGAGTAGTTAGGACTACAAGTATGTGCCACTATGCCCATATAATTAAAAACAAAATTTTTTTTTGGAACAGGGTCTTGCTATGTTGCCCAGGCTGGTCTTGAACTCCTGGCTTTGAGCAATCCTCCTACCCCAGCCTCCCAAAGTCCTAGGATTACAGGCCTGAGCCACTGTGTCTGGCCAGCCTACATACATTCTTAAGCGTCCCCTTTCCCTAAAAATATGCATCTACTCCAAAATAAAATTTATAATTATTCTAATCAGTTTACTGCTTATTTCATAATTTTCTCAAACTATGTGACTAGAAAATTTTGACACTCAAGCTTAGTGAAATTATAAAAACTAGGTGTTGTTAATTCTCTAAGGATGATGTACCAAAGGGAGAGTTAGAAATAAGCATTTACAGCAATTACCAAACTAAAAGGCCAAATAAAAAATAGATAGCTTTTAGTTATTCAAATAACAATAATTATTATAATAATCCACGTTACTTTGCTCCTTGAAAATACAAACTCTACCTATTGTAACAATTTTGATCCCTTGAGCATATTGCTTGGCTTTTAATACATTTTATTCAAATATAACAAAAAGTCCTCCGTAATTAAACTGCAATATTTTTGTTGAAGTCAAATTACTATCATTGTGAACATATGCTATATGTATTTAGTAAAACAAACCAAAGGAAAAAAAAAGGGTTCAAAAATTCAGAATATATCAGAGAGATTCGAATATAATGGTTTATTGATGTACTTTAACATAAGCATGGGCATTTGAATGAAGTGCAGGTTCAATAAAATACACTTAAAAGGATTATGATCAGATAACTCAGGCTTTGGGAAATAGCACCTCTCAAAATAGCATAGAACCATGAGAAGAATTTACCCCTAGAGCTCAAAGTAGAGCTTCTCCTGTAGGGAATTGATGGTTCCATAATTACTGTCCTGAGAAGAAGTTAATTTTGGGTAGGAAATACCTTTAGGAAGCCTGCCTGAGGACAGAATGGGAAAACAAAATTTTTCTCTCCCTAGGGCAGAAGTAATTTGTCCCAGACTAAAAGCCTAAAGTAGTATGCATTGCTTTTGTGAAGTGGGGTGATTGATTATGATAACAAATATTTATAGAACACTCAACATGAATGAAGCATCGTTTTACGTGAATTAAGTCATTTAATTCTCACAACAATATAAAGGTGGTACTATTATTAGCACCCTCATTTTAGATGAGGAACAGAGAAGCAAAATACATTTCTCAAGGTTGCACAGATAATAAGTGGTGGCAGCAGAGTCAAACCCGGCAGTCCAGCTCTGCAGACGTGCACATCACAACCACATGAAACCTCCCACCCTTGAGATGGGCTTGGCATATGCATAAGGATTAGGTCAGGCTGAAAATAGCCATAACCAGTAGGCCAATGAGCATGAGTTAAGACATAATCAAAATACAGTGTTGTTTTTATTGTTTTTGTCTTTCATTCTTTTTTTAAATTTTATTCAGTAGAAATAATCTTTCCTTAACTCTGGATGAAAACTTGACAAGTTGATGATGTTTTCATTCCCTCTAAGATAACAGAGAGCCCTACAGGGAGAATACAGTGAAAACATTGTCTTCATTTGGAAAGTAGAATGTTCTGTTTGAGATAGAGATGAAAACTCTGAACTTGATTTAGTTTCAGTCCTTCTTCCCTGCTGCCTGGGAGGAAGTCTACAGTGTGAAGGGGTCAGTGGTGAGGTTGATTTGTCTGCCCCTCCCTCTGCTTTTCCCAGACTGTCCTGTGGGCAGTGGAAGAGAATGGGGCAGGAAAGGTGTCACTTGAACTGGCGGCACCCTAAGCACCTTTTTGATCTGTACTTGGTAGAATTCAAAGATTGTTATTTCTCATGTGGGTAATTTTTGTGGCTCCAACCGCCTGCAGGTCCCTTTCGCTAGAATAATGTATCTATGTTCTGATGGTCACTTGAAAGCCCCTAGGCAACCTCCTCCAGTCTCTCGTTGCTGGGGTCCCTCTGCTTCCCCACATGACCTTAGTGGAGCGGGTCTGTTACTGAACCAAACTGGGTCCGTTTTGCCTGCATTTAAGGGAAAACCAAACACAGAAGCACTAGGTTTTTGCAGTGTGGAAAGTTTATTGTGAGTCAGAGAGGAAATGCTCAAATCTGTCTCCCTGAGCTGTGGTGGTTGTGGTAGGTTTTATAGTCAGAAGACAATGAGGTGTGATCTGGTGTGTGACCAGATGTGAAAAGTGTGACCCTTTCAGCTCCCTCAAAGCAGTTCACCAGCTTCTCTAACCCTCTAGTGTCCTAGGCAGGAGGGATTCCCTGGTCGACTACCCCCAACTCCATGGGTAATGGGCTCCCTGAGCAGCAGTGTGAGGTCCTCCTTCCTCCTCACTGATAATTAAGCTGGTGGAGGGGGTGAGGCTCACAGCACAGCTCTCTGCCAAGGTCTCCTCACAAGATCCTTTATTCTCTACTCTCTCAACTCTTTTGCATCCTCATATTGGGAGAGGGGTTCAAGAGTTGTTGAATACATTTGGGAGCATCTCCTTTGCCATCCTGAATACCTACTAGCAACCCACTGGAATTTCACCTGCATATCACAGCATGACAAAGTTTACTTCCATTTTCACAACTTTTTTTTTCATTTTGGAATCAGGACTCCACTCTTGAGTCTCAGCTCATGGTCCACACTGATGCTAATTTCCTGTCTATAAAAAATATTCTTTTGCTTCTTGTCAGGACCAATGTAAATTTATCAATCCCTTTCAAAAAGGGAGTTTTGAATTGATTCTTAAATGGATGTAATCTAGGTTGTGTTTTCTAAGATCAAAATACATACCAAAGTAACAGTTTTTATTGTCCTGAACAAACATTTTTGAAGGGTGATTACAAAGTAGTTTTTAGAAATGTAACATTCCAAGTAAAGAGGCATTTCTTAAAATAGTGTATCAGAGGGGTTGGAAAGTTTAGTGATTTAGTGCTGTTTATGAAAGTCACACAATGCTTGAGTACATTTACATTTGTAGAAAAAAGCTTTCTTATCTATTAATCCAATTCTTCTTAGAACTTTTATAGGATCTGAATACTTGCTATGAGGGAACAGTATGTATTCAAAGAGCATGGACTTTGAATTCCAACTCTAGTACTAACACCAAATGCCTGTGGCTTTGCACAAGTGACTTCACTCTGAAGAAGCCAGAGGGCACAAATCTGAAGAACTTGTGTCAGAATACCTGAGGAAGTTACTCCTGAGCACACCCTCAAAAATTCATAAACAGCTGGAGAATATTGTGATGCAGATGAACCAGGTGGGGACTTAGTAACATTCACCACAAGAAGTGATTGTACTAATAACAACAACAATAAATGATGTATTCATACATTTAATTACTTCTTTTATTCAATAACAATTTATTGAACACCTACTATGTGTTAGGTACTGAAGATCTAGTGATAAATAAGGCAAGCAAATTTTATAGACCTTACATTTTAGTAAAAAGTGGCATAGAGTAAATAAATGAAAAGAGAATTTCAGAAAGTGATGAGTTGTGAAATAAATAGAATAGGACAAACTTATAAAGCATGATGGGTAGGGGTGGTGCTATTTTATTTGTTTTAGGGAAGACCTCACAATGATCATGTTTGAGACGAATGATAGTATATATAGCCAACCATATGAGATCTGAAAGGGAAGAGTTCCAGGTAGAAGTAATAAGTGCAAAAGCCTTAAGAGAAAAAGTTGGGCCCATTTGAGGAAAAAAAAAGAAAAACACCAGGGTGACTTGAATATCATGAGCAATGAGGAGAGTGATGGAAGATGCAGGCCCAAAGATGGGTAGGGGTTAGCTGGTACATTGCTTATTTTTGTACTTGATATCTCTGCTTGAATATATACCCTGCATCTCAAACAACATGGCCAACATTCAATCTTAAATTTCTATCTCCAATCCTGTGTCTCTGGAAGCATTTCACCACCATTCATCCAGTTTGTTCAAGCCCAAGTTCTAGGAGTCATCTTTAATCTCTGTCTCTCACACACAAAGTCTGATCTATCAGTAAGTGCTGTCAGCAATTATATAACTCTCTCCATGTTTCCATCATCACCACTTATTCTTCTAGTCCAAGACATCATCATATCTTTCTGGAAATAATGCAATAACTCCCTATATGATTTCTCTGCTTTCTTCTTCTTCCTCTATAACCCATTATTTTTATAGCAACAAAAGTTAATATTTTAAAGATGTAAATTAGATTGTGCCATTTCTGTTTTTAAAACCTTTCCATGGCTTGTCACTGAACTTAGTTTTTAATGTAGCTCTCTCCCCTATTACCCACATAAATGCTCAATTTGCATAATAGAAAGACAGCTCATTATATAAGAAAAAAAAGAGTGGATTGTCTACAAGGGTGCAAGAAGAATCACTAAAGTAAGTTAGGAAATATTTTCTCTATAACAGCTCATAGCTTGCAAACCTATTCTATTTTCTTGCTGGAAAATTGAATTTTAAATATTAGTAACTGGCATTACCCTCTTCTGTCTCCTTGCTACTTTTTGTAAGAATGTTTAATCTTTTTGGATTCCCTTTACCTATAGATGGGTACTTCAGACCAACTAGGCAAAAGTCATACAAAGGACAAGGTAAAAGAAAGAAAACCACCACCATTTTGAAATTATTAACATTTTTATGTTGTATTAGAAGAAAATGCTTTTATTGAGTATATAAAATGATAGATATTCTTAATTAGGAAACATCTCATTAATTTGTAGGCCTCATTTGAAAAGAAATCCTCAGTTTTGAACCTCTTTTATATTTCATTTGGCGAAAAGGAGTTTTCTTCATTAGAGTTTTTAAGCCAATATATATTTCTTATCAGACAGCATGGGTTTCTGAAATGCCATCTGGCCTTTTCTTTTCATTGAATAGATTGTGAGGAAGAAGAATTCGTTACAGTTTCAACCTTAAAATGAGTTTTCTTCAGGGTCAGTTGTTTGGTTAACTGTATGGTACACTGGGGGCCAAACCATAGCCATTGCCTTTCTTAAGTCCCAGAGATGGAAATGTTCTCTCCAGACGGCTACATAGAACAGAGACAGGAGAAAACTTGAATTGCCATTAGGCTGTTCAGATGGCTTGGATTATCTTAGAAATCTATTTGGCTATAGGACAAAACACTACTTCCTTTGGAGAAAAACATAATGTACATAAATTCAAATCCACAAAATAAGTCAATTAGAATGTGGTTTCAAATTCTCTGTTTTACGAGCTTGGCCTCCATAGCACTATCCCTAGAGATTTATTATTAAATTATAGGAACTCAATTTTTTTTGGTAGGCACATATTCATTTCACCAAGTGCAACTCCTATAGTAAGTTTTAGTAATATATATTTGTCCATAGCTGTAGGGGAGGCATTTCTCTGAACTGTTTGCCAGTTGTATAAGCAGATTCCTTGTTTCTTGTTCATAAAAACATAGTTATCCAGAGGATGTTTTCTTTTCTTTTTTTTTTTTTTTTACAATGATACATTTATTTTTATTCATATATGTTACCAGCCTAATCCTCTTTTAGTCAAATTCAAAAGCAATAAAATTAAAATAGTTTATGGTAGAGGGTTAAACCTGCTTCACTGCTAATTGTAGAGCATTACGGCAAATATTTTATTACTTTATTTATGATTTGTGCAAATTTATGGGATACATGAGATTTTTTTACATGTGTCTAATGCATAGTGATCAAGTCAGGGTATTTGGGGTGTCTGTCACCTGAGTACAATACATTTTTTAAAGTATAGTCATCCTACTCTGCAATCAAACATTAATTGATGCCTTCTATCCTAGTGTATGTTTGTACCCTTTAACTCACTTCTCTTCATCCTCCCTCCTCCCTGCCATTTACCTTTCCCAGTCAGAGAATGTTTTCTAAACACTCAAACTACTTGGTCATCTGTTGACATTCTTGTGAAAGCATAGTTTTATACGGTCAGTTGTTGATTCATTGTTCTTGTACAGAAAGTGAAAAGGGCATGGAAACTAGAATTAAACCACTTGGGGTTTATTTTTCCTTTTCCACCTAGTTTGGCAGCATGTTTTGGGGCAAGTCACTATTTCCTCACTTTCGAAAAGAAAGAAAAAGGGAGAGATTACAGTGTTAAATATTTCACAGATTTTCCATACAGCTTAGATGAATAGTTATCATGAAAGCATTCTCTCAATTGTTAAACAGTTGTGGTATTTTCATGAAATACATGATTATGACTTACTATTTCTCAGCTCCTAGGAGATGTCTGGTAGTATTAGTTTACATGGAATTGGTTTTCTTGTTTTATGGGGAAACTGTTACCAGCTTTCTTACTTACTGGGGGAGACAGAAGGTCATGTTGAAGCAATCTGTTTACCAAAGATTATTCCTCTTGCAAAAAGCCCGTTCCCTTTCTTCTTTCAGCAGAAAGAAACTCAGTATCCTGAGAGAAATGTATAGCTAGATGTTTTATTTTGTTTTGTTTTGTTTTGTGAGACTAAACAAAAGCTGTCTTTCCCATATGCTGAGCTCTGAGTAGGGAGTAGGTAGAATGAATCTATTTGTATTAGGAGGCTTAAGAGGCTAGGGACTTTCTAAGATTCAAAGTTTAGAGAGACCTGTTAGAATAAACCATTTGGTCCTGACCAAAAGCCAGTGTTACAGAAGAGTGACAGGCTCCTAATGTCCATGAGAGTGGGGCTGTAGTTCTAGTGATTATATTTGGTCTCAGTCATTATATTCCAGTGATTATACTTGATAAACAACAGTTGAACGTGGGAATGTAAATTAGAAATTACTTTATCGCTTAGCGAGAAAAAGTGTTTATAGTATGCTACTGTTTACCTAGGTAAGGACCATAAAAGGATAACTTTAAAATTACGAGAAAAAAAAGTTACTATGTAGAAGGGGAAGACTAGTATGGCAAAGACAAAGATAGAAACTAAAATTTCAAAAATATACTTTGCTTGCAGTTTTGACTTTAGGGCCACGTAAATCTTTTGCACAAATATAGAACAAAATTTAATTTAGAAAAACAGCCCCTAAGAGTTGAAGGCAAATGAAAATGGAAGTTAATTGCTTATTAAGTTGGTGGCACAACTTTTCAGACAAGCTTAAGGCACAGTGATTCCAATGTACATTGCCTATAGACTATAACCTAAAGACAAAAAGGAATTAAAAAGAAAATTCATAAACTTTATTGGTATCCATATGTGCTAGTGATGTTGCTATTCTGAGACCATTTTGTGTGTTTTGTGGAATAAAGCAAATAAGTAATGATGTTGGTGTTATTGGGAACCAGGAATTTTAGCATAGGAGAAAGGTGATACAGATGTAAGTTCAATTAGGTTTCAGTTGTTTACCGATGATCCCAGGGTAACCAAATATTTGAGGAAGAGATTTTTTTAATAGACATATCCAATCAAGGACTGAAGAGGAAATGAAAGAATATCACATTTTGCAAACCATAATTGATGTATTAATGAATCTAGGCAATAGTCATCCATTACTGTCAACATTTGAAAAGAAGACATTTAGATAAGTGTTCCTGATGGAAGTACACAATACCACCCATGAAGTCATTATACCCCAATAATCCAACCTGAATCTAATAAGCTTCTAATAATTTCCCATCAATATAGGAGGATCAAAGAATATGTTAAGTGGCACAAATGGGATGCAATCAGCAAAATTCAGACAATAGAAAACATAATAGGACAAACTATCATTTACTTAAAAAATCTATCTATCTTTCTATCTATCTATCATCTATCTATCTAATCTATCTATGGAAAAAGAAAAAAGGTAGAGGGGGAACGTACAGAATAAAATAGACTTAAGAGACCTGTTGCAATTATGAACTTTATTTGGATTCTGATTTCTACAAACAAATTATAAAAAATAAATTATTAAAACATTTGTGAGACAACTGGGGGAATTTGAATGCTGGTTGGATAGTTGATGATAAAATGCACATATTTATATTTTAAGTGTGATAATGGCATCACATTTAAAATGGGTTTAGGTTTTCTTTTTAATAATCCTTATCTTTAGTGCTGCAAATAATACTACAAATAAAGTGATATGATTCTGGCATTTCCTTTAAAATGTTGGGTGTGAGGAGGATAGGTAGGGAAGAATATAGATGAACAAGATTATCCATACACTGAAAATTACTGAACTGGATGATGGGTATACTATATTCTGGTATATGTTTGAATTAGTCCATGATAAGTAGAACAAGAAATAATCATCCCCATACAGCATGGGCACACCCGAAAGCATGGGCATCCCCACAGCATGGGCACACCCAAAGCCTGGGCTAGGACCTGATCATCATGAGTGTGCTTTAGCAGTAGTGAACAATCACAGTCTGCTCATCTATGCAGGGCTGCTCTTCAACAGTGCTGAACCACGTTGAACAATCATGTGGCACAGATGCACTAGCCAGGGTCCAGCTCCTACCCAGTTGGAGTTTTGGAAGCTGGACTGATAGACTTGGGATTGAGTTAGGTTCCTGGTGTTCTTGAATAAATTGAGGAGTAGGAAAAACCTCCAGAATGATATCCTGAAATTTCATCTAACAAGAAACAGTGGTGGCTCCAAAGTAAATTGGCATAAAAAAGAGATGAGTCTCTATTTTGTAAATGTAGACTTAGTAAAACAGTTATACTGGTTAAATGAGATTCACATCATGAATAGATTTTAATTCTGTAAATCCTATGTTGATTTTTCTCCTATTACAAAACATGTTTTCTAAAACTTCTGAAAATCTACATTTCAATACTGATTAATTCAAGAGATAAAATAATTTTTATATATGCAATATATGTAGTTACTATTTAAACAAGAATTGAGTTGGCTTCATGTGCTAACCAAAGAGCTTTTCATTGCTTTTAGGATCATATCTAAGCTTCTTAACACAATCTAATAAGCCATTCATCCCTTCTATCCCACCACACCATATTCCAGCTTCATTTTTCGTTCTTTCAGTTTGTTAACCTTCTTTAATGCCTGAGATATCTTGCACTTAGGATTCTCTCTTCCCCAAAGCCCTTTCCCTATACTCCCACCCCATCGTTGTCCTGATCAAGTTCTACTTGTAACTAGGGACCAGATTAAATGTCTCCCAATGATGTCTTCACTGATAATTCAGAGTAGAATGGTACCCCTGATAAATTTCAGTAGCATCCTGCCCTTCACCTTTTGTAAAACTTCCATCTATGATTATGTAAGTATTTGTCCCTGTTTTGGTTACTGTTCATCTCTGTGACTAGAATGAATGAATGTTACATGAGACTGGAACAACTCCTGTCTTGTTTTCTGCTCCGTCCCAGCACTTAGAGTAGGCTACCTTGTTACCTAATAAATATTTGCTGAATTAATGAATGAAATCCTCATAGTGTTTTCCTTACTGAAAATCCTAAAGCTGTTTTCTCATATTTGGCGACCTACACTTGAGATATTTATCAAGATTTGTTCTATTTAAATTCTTAGCTCATCATTGACAAAAGCCAGATTTCTTTAATCTACTGTTTTGCTCCATCTAGTGACAATGTTTTAATCAAAATGTCTATTGTGTGAGTACTATTTTCAGTTTTAAGTGAAATGAGAAAGGAAACAGAACATTTTTGCCATTTTGTAGACAGGAATGACAAACAATGAGATTGTCAGATATTTAAATACAGATGTGTTGGCTCCAAATTTAAACTTACTGCTTGCAGCCTCCTAGCCCATCAATTATACTAGCATTTTCCTATTGTAGGCCAAGATTATCAGCTACTTGTAGATTTGTAGAACAACTTGGTTATTCTTTCTCTAAAAAACCCTCTTTAAAATTACATGAACACAACATGTTTTTGAATGTTGAATGATCAAGAGACCTAAAGAAACAAGAAGAATAATCTCCAAAGTGTTCACCACCCAGAGATACACTTGGTTTGTATATATTTTTGTTGTTTGTAATTTTAATGAAATTTCCATTACTCAGTGCCTGGACAAGGTCTGTAGTTTGATCTATATAATTTATACTCTTTTAATCTCCACAAAATGGATCCTATTTTATATACTGTCTGTAAGGTAATATTTTCTTTATGCTAAATATATCACAACTATGTGGTCTGGTAGGCAAGGAAAATCCACCTTTTATTTCTAGGAATGAAAGGTTTTGTGGTGTGTTCCTTAGAATATGCTTCCTGTGGACACTCAGTGAGTGCCTGTTGGCTGAGTCATGCCTGACTGCTGCTTTGTTTTCTTAAATAACATGAAACCTTGAAAACAAACTTACCAGTAACTATGATGGTTAATAAGTGACATACGGGACTGCTGTTTGTGGAAACATGAAAATTTAATTGTTCCTACCCTTGAGCTGACTGATTCCTCAGTGAATTCAGTGGAACTCATCTTAACATTATTATCTAAAATTCATTAGTCCTCAGTGTCTAATGTGTTCAAAAGTATAAGGTTTTATACTCTAAATTTTCTCTTGGAATGTGTCAGTACTAAAACTTCCCTATAAGTTTATTTATAATCCTTTAGTCTTAAATCTGTACTCTCATAGCGTGCCAGGCCGTATAACATCTTGTTATAATTATTTCACTGGACTTGCGAGGGACATTCCATCCAAACCTGCCACTTGGTTTGGAGTTAAGCATAAACAAACCAAATCTATTTTTACGTTCAACAATACTAAGAGGTCCCACTGCTTATCACATTATGATATGGAGGTCTAAATTCCCCAAGCCAAAACAAAATAAAACAACAATAGCAACAACAATTTGTCCCCTCTCTCAGTGGCCTTAAGTATCCCAAGTTGCTGTGGCTCTTCCATTTCATTATTTATGTATGTTGTTATTTGTTGGCTCAACATTCCAGCATCCTTCCCATAAGCTTATCTTCTCCCACTTCCCAAAACCACACGACTCAGAAGTAAACACATACTCTTATAAGAACACCCAGCACTTTGAGAGGCGGAGGTGGGTGGATCGCCTGAAGTCAGGAATTCGAGACCAGCCTGACCAACATGGTGAAACCCCGTCTCTCCAAAATACAAAAAAAATTAGCCGGGCCTGGTGGCACATGCCTGTAATCCCAGCTACCTGGGAGGGTGAGGCAGGAGAATTGCTTGAACCTGGGAGGCGGAGGTTGCAGTGAGCCAAGATTGCACCATTGCACTCCAGCCTGGGCAACAGAGCAAAACTCCATCTCAAAAAAAAAAAGAAAAGAAAGAAAGAACATGATGGCTTACATTGTATAATCAGTATGTAATTACAGGAATGTAGAAGACGCACATAGAAAATCACAAGGATAAATCTCAAAAGCGAGTTCATTAATTCTTAAATCTTGTTTATTCCTAACCTTTGAACTCTGGCCACAACTTTTTGAAAATATACCTTTCTGGTTTTAACCCACATCTTCTTAATGTTTTCTGCATTTTTTATTAGACCCAAATCTCTAAAGTAAATGGTCAGTGGAAACTACAGATATTTTCCAGGCACTGAGTAATGGAAATTTCATTACAATTACATATTGGCACATCATGCATTTTAATTGCTTCCACAGTTCACAGAGACAATGCATATGTAAACACCCACTCAAATCCTAGAAGCTTCAGAATATTTCTTTTTGTGATCTGATGGTACTTGTGGTTGCCATAGAAAGGAGAAAGCAGGAATGTACTATCAGAATTTAAAGTTCCTTTTCATGATATTCTGCTTACATTCTTCTGCCTACCTTGCCAGATTGCTGTCAACAAATGCTAATCACCAATCATGGAAGAATTGCTTGACTAATACGAAAGGAAGCATGGTTTGCCCAGTGTGGGCTCCCTACACTCAAAGCATTGGCTACACTGCAGACAGAAACTGTACAGAAGTGGATGGCATGCTAACAGAGATGAGAAATGACAACTGACATCTAACAACAACGTATGGAAACTAGTTTTATGGAAACTATTTCCCATAAATAAGAATTGTAAGGTGCACATGTTTCCATAGCAACCTCTTCTGTTGTGTTCAATCCTGTGAAACAGAAATATAAAAACAAACACAACCATGTATGTGTGGAGAGCCATTCTGATGACCTGCAGAATAGGGAATGTAGAGTGCAATTTCTAGACCTTTCTCTTCCAGGTTTATTGTTTCTCCTATCCTAGGAAGCCTCTCATTTAATAATATGGTTTTGGCCATTTGTGGCATTCACATTGGCACCACAAATACTAATAGTTTTAGTAACCAACTGGTAGAGTGTTACCATTTGCTAGGCACTGGGCTAAACCCTTCATCATCTTTGTAAACTCTCACCATAAACCTATGGGACAAATAATTTTATTAACCTCATTTTACAGACAAGGACACTGAGGTAGAGAGTTGTTAAATGACTTTTCCAAGATCACTTCGCTAAGAAAAAAACAGAGGCAGGGCAAAATCTTGATGTCAGTTCCTTCTGACTCAAACATTCATGCTTTATGTTGGTAAGTTCAGTAGTCAAGAAGTTCATTGCTTCCTCTTAGGTATTTTTACTAAAATTTAGGAGTGTGGCCATCAGAAGTGTTGCCTCTGCTGAGGTGATATTGTCCAAGCAGCAGGTCTGTACCTACTGAGGTTTGGATAAAATGAGGTGCCCTCTTTAAAAATTAAGCCCTAGGTATTCTTATTTTACTTTTGCTTTAAAATATTCATAGGAAAGCAATGGTAAAGGAGGGGACTTGGGGGAGAGCAGCACTGGTCTTTTATATCCATCTACTGCCTCCCACCTTTACCCCCCAGCTTGTGCCATCAGGCAAGAGAGTGCTGAAGTTCTAGAGCCACAGAAAGAGGTAAGAGAAAGTACGATAGAGGATAGAGTGGCTCAAGAGGAAAAGGAAAACACAGTGTGACTGTGGGACAAAAGCAAATCTCTGTTACCCTTGGTCTTGAGCACTCCTTAAGAGGCGTTCAGAGAGAGGAAAACCCAAGAAGGCCTAGGATGCTGCTACTCTGGCAGGTGGGGGTGTGCAGGCCTGACTATTAGGTAGTTGATATAATTATGATCTCAGCTATGCTAACTGGCCAGAGAAGCCTGGACATCCATGTTAGTCTTGCAAGTCCTCCTTTTAAAAGAAAACAAGAAGTGTATTAGTCAGTTCTCATGCTGTTAGAAAAGACTGCCCAAGACTGGGTAATGTATAAAGGATAGAGGTTTAATTGACTCACAGTTTCACATGGCAGAGAACTTAACTTACAATCAGTGGAAGGGGAAGCAAACACCTTCTTCTTCACATAATGGCCCCTTAAAACAACCATCAGATCTCGTGAGAGCTCACTTATGATAATGAGAAAAGCAGCATGGGGATAACTGCCCTCATGATTAAATTACCTCCCACCAGCTCCCTCCCATGACACATAGGGATTATGGGAACTACAATTCAAGATGAGATTTGGGTGGGGACACAGCCAAACCATATCAAGCAGGGTGTGGTGGCATGTGCCATGTGCCTATAGTCCCAGCTACTTAGGAGGCTGAGGTGGGAGGATCATTTGAGCCCAGGAGTTCAAGGCCAGCCAGCCTTGGTAACATAGTGAGACCCTGTCTCTAAATAATAATAATACGTAAAAAAGGAAAAATGAAAAAAAAGAAGCAGAGCAGAACTCTACCAAGCAGATGAACTTTATATGAAATGCTAGTTTAAAGGTCTTTTCTATGACATGAAATATAAAGCAAACAAAGTCTAAGTAATAATGCATTATTTTTTCTCATCAACCTACAGCTGTTATCAATAACTGTTAATTATTATGCCACATTTTTGGCAGTGATAAAGCAGGCAAATAAAATGGATCAGGATTGGGAATGAAGCCAGACTGTTGGGCAGAACGATTTATGCAGGACACAGATCAGAGAATGCACGAGTTTACGTAGGCCAGGTGTAAAGTTATCAAGAGTCCTAAAGGCAAGACTAAGTCAAAGAGCAATGTACCAGATCTACCTGGAAGATGCAAGAATGTTTGAGATTTGACTAATTGTCCTGTGGGGAAAATTTAGAGATGTAAGCTGAGAAGGAAATGCAGGTTAGATCGACTAGCCTGCATTAGTTAGATCAATTAACTAACATTAGTTAGTAGTAGAAGGGTAATGGTGTAAGAACTAGAGTCAGTGTCTAAAGTTGCAAGCAGAGCAGATGACACAGGAAGAAGTCAATTCAAGCATAAGGCTTGGGCTAGCGATAAACATGAGAAAAAGAGAAGGGAGCATTGGAACTCAACAAAGATATATTAATCTACATGAATCCATAATCGACTGTTGATTTTTGGAAAGGAAATTTTTGCCTTCTGAATCCATTCGTAGTAGCCTTTCTCTTCTATTATGGGCAGGTATGGGTAAGAGTCAAAGATACCCATGAATAGCTTTGGTTTGTGTACTTCCTAAAATAATTTGTAAAACTGTGCAACTGCTCATAATTTTAAGTTGATAGCTAAAGATTTTTCCCCTATGTTTCAATAATTGCAATGGATATAATTATGCATTGAAAATATGGACATTTTAAAATAAAATTGTTACATCACTCTTAAATACAGTCAGTTAAATCTAAACAACTAAGCTAGTTGATATCCACTACAATTCGTTTTATGAATACATGAATCACTTCTGCAATAACAGTCAGAAATTTTATATTTCTCATTAAACAGATGTTGCCACTTAAATTCCACCAAAGAATTTAATTTACTATGTTTTGTGTTTGAAAGTCCTTTTAAAATATGAACAGACACTTCTCAAAAGAAGACATACAAGCAGCCAACAAACAGATGAAAAAATGCTCAATGTCACTAATCAGAGAAATACAAATCAAAACCACAATGAGATACTATCTCATACCAGTCAGAATGACTGTTATTAAAAAGTCAAAAAACAACAGATGTTGGCAAGGCTGCAGAGAAAAGGGAACACTTTACGCTGTTCTTGGGAAGGTAAATTAGTCCAGCCACTGTGAAAAACAGTTTGGAGATTTCTCAAAGAATTTAGAACTACCATTTGACCCAGCTGTGTATATATCCAAAAGAAAGTACATCATTCTACCAAAAAGCCACATGCACTTGTATGTTCGTTGCAGCACTATTCACACTAGCAAAAGCATGGAATCAACCTAGATGCCCATCAATGGTAGATAGGGTAAAGAAAATGTGGTACAAATACACCATAGAACACTATGCAGCCATAAAAAAGAATGAAATCTTGTCCTTTGCAGCAATAAGGATGAAGCTGGTGGCCATTATCCTAAGCAAATTAACACCAGAACAGAAAGCTAAATACCACATGTTCTCACTTGTAAGTGAGCTAAATATTGGATATGTATGGACATAAAAATGGCAACAGTAGAAACTGGGAACTACTGAAAGGAGGGAGGGAGGAAGAAAAAGTGTTGATTAACTATTGGGTACTGGACCTTATTTGTTCTTTCAGTCAGGAAGTTTGGGTCAGGAAAACAGAACTACTCTAGGTATTTCAATCAAGATGAGGTTTAATATAGGATATTAGTTGCTTACAAAATCATTTACAAGTGCTAAGGGAGTAAAGATTGGGAAAAACTTGCACTAACTTCCAGAGAATCAGAACGTTGCAGAAATTGTAGAAAACTACCACCAATGATGTAATGCTATTGGCAGCATTAAAGCCAGAGACTTACAGAAGAATATCTGAGGACAGTTGAAAACCTCATATCAACTGTCTTCCAAAGCTCTTGAGTATGTCTGCTAATGCCAGAAAGAAATGATATTGCTTCTGGCTCTCTGTTGCTTCTAAATTTAATATGAGTGCCTTCTATTAGCAAAACTCTAACTAGGAATGCTGTTGTTGAGGAAATCCGAGAAACGTAGTTTCTATGTTTTCAATACTTGTAATTCAAGGCAGAACATAGGATTGTCAACAGAAAATCTAGCACAATCACATAGCTGTGAAACTGCAGAGCCTACCCTGTTACTGATATCTTTTGGAATGAGTATGTGATCCACCAGACCACTTATCCTAAATCCATTACTATGGGTTGTTGTACATGTACAATGGCTGTGGGATAGGGAAAGGGGGAAATCTGAGAGAAGATTGAGGGTAGGGTAACTGTGAAATTGTCCAAGGTTATTGTCTATAGGGATCATAAGCATATTTCTAGAAATATGAGGAAGTGGAGATAATTATGTTTATTAGAGCTCTTCTCACAAAGTGTGCACGATCTTGTACAAAATGCTTAGGTAGGTAAGAGGATCTATAAACTGAGAAGCTTAACTTCAAAATGCATTTTGAAATTTTTTTTCCTTTCTTTCTTAATCTCAAAATGTAGCCTTGTATGTTAAAATTCTTGGTTTCTCTTTTGTCCACCAGGTACTTGCGTGCATAGTACATGCTTATCTAATTATGTGCTTGCTTAGAAATTCCAGGGGCTAATTTTGAAACAAACCAGGTATAGGCCCAGCTGCAGAATTTTCCCACTTAAGGGGAGTTATGAACAATTAGTCCTCCACCCACCGGGCCAAAGCCAAGACGACACCACGGGGATCTCTAGACAGGCGATTACTCAAGATAGCTATCAGAACAAAACATACAGACCCGCACCCCCCTACAACACTCCTCCACATCTCCTATACAAGTTTTTCTTCTTAAACCCCTTCACTCAGCCCCAAAAGTTGGATAGATCTTTTAAAGGCATGAGGCTGGTCAGTTCCCAATTGCTAGCATTTGATTAATAAAATGGCTTTCCTTTCACCATACCTCGCTTCTTGTGTTTTCGTCCTCTGACTGGTGAGCAGCTGGGTTTGATCCAGTTACAGACCCTTAGAAGGTAAAGTCCTAGAGAGATTGCTAAGTTTTCTGTTAAGACAGATAGGCGGAGTCAAACTCACTAACCAAAGGTCATCAGGAACATCCCTGTATTCACAAATTTATTTGTTAGGTTGATTAATTTAGTGAGGCAAGAAAGACCATACCCAGAGAAACTTCAGGAGTGTTAAGATACTAAGGAACACTCAGGAGAAGCTTATTCTATATTTGGGCTGTTGACGGTTGGTTCTGAAAGGAGTTTGAGGAATCAAGGACCAGTTTTGGATGGGATGCTGTCAAGAAATACAGACAATTTGATGACCGGCTATCTTAACAATTTTGGCCCAAAGACAGTAAGATTAAATTGGAGCTGGGGTTGCCATTAGAAGGGAAATAGAAATCACTCAAAAAAGAGGGATGTTAGTAAATTTTGTGGTAGCAGTTCAGTCTTGCCTATCTTTTAGGAACTTTTTTTTCTGTTAATAGCATTGATTATGCTTGTAAATTTGGAACCAGAGCTGAATTGCTCAGGAAACCACGTGCTGCTAATCCCGAAACCACCAGCAGTCCTGTCTCTCTGTCTTTCCTCCTAAACTGCACTCATTCTGACATCTGCATTAATGCTAAATACATATTTAGGGATTTCAGTGGAGGGGCACTAAGATATTAGACCTCCCTGGGGCACTCCTCATGTCTCAACCCATTTATGAGTTTGTTAGAAACAATATGCAATTTGTTTTTAGTTTCATCAGCGACTCCTCCAACTGATTCTTCCAAAATACTATGATTGGGAAACCAATAAGCAGGATGCAGATATTGATTAGTACAAATGTAACTATGAGTATAACTCAGAACAGAAACATGGACTATGGATTCTTCCAGAAAATACAGTATGGTTACCCTTTTAATAAAACTTTTATTGTTCTTTATGACCACACCCCTCCTTCTGCCAGAGAAAGACTGCTCAGCAGGCTGATTGTATTGGGGTAGGAGCATGGTAGATAAGAGCAGTGGCACTGGGGACATGGATAGTAGCAGATCCAGAATCCAAAAAGCCACTTCAGTCCTTTCCTGGGCTCCCTGGCACCCCATCCTCATAGAAAGCAAAAATCAGAAGAGCTGGACACACCCTGGAAATTAATTAGGATTGGAATAGCACTGTATTCTTGAGTTAGGCACCCCACTGGGGAGTCTGCCTTTACCCCCAGAGATGGAAGAAAGTGTGCACTGTAGGAGCTTGTATTTTTATGTGCTGAGATGCGGCTTTATGGAAATAAGGGCACCCACAGCAGGATGCTTTGTGTTAGTGTATAACTTACAAAATTAGGCACATTTGTCTAGAGTTTCTGTTCTTTCTTGAGCAGACTAGAAGAAGAGAATAATTATATCTTAATGGGACTGACATTTGTTTTCAATGAGATGTTCTTGTTCACTAAGTAGTCATCAAATATGACAATTATAGGGAATGTGTTGTTCTCGAATGAAATTTCAGTAACGCTGGACTTCCTGCTGTGATCATATGCATTATGTACCTCGTGTGGGTGCCCTGCAGCAGTCATCAGGAGACATAAACAAGAACAAGACCCACACCTTAGAATATGGAGGCCTAGAGGCAGGGAGACTGCTTCAGCATTTTCCCCTTAAAAATCAGGTCTTACTGAGGTGGAAAGAGAATGAGCTTTGGAACAAATGAATATCGAATAAACCCTCTACTTTGCCATTTACTTGCTCTATGGCTATAGAAAATGCCTCTAACTTCTCTGAGTGCTGATTTTCATATCTACAAAATGGGATTAATAATGCTTACATCATGGGTTTTAAATGTATAGGCACAAATCATTTGCTAGACATGCAACTATTTCTTTGGAAATAAATTCACCTTGTTCATGAGCCTACATTTGTGTTTGGTAGCAGAAAACCTGTAGTCAAGTGTATTAATCAGAGTTCTCCAGAGAGACAGAAGGAGAGAGAGGGAGAGAGAGAGATGAAAGGAGATTTATTAGGAGAATTGGCTCATGAAAATTATGGGGTCTGAGAAGTTCCACACTGGCTGTCTGCAAGCTAGAGACCCTGGGATGCCAGTAGTGGTGGTGTTGCTCAGTCTAAGTCTGAAGGCCTGAGAACAAGGTGGAGGTGAGTGGAGAGGGGTGCTGGTGTAATTCCTGGAGTCTAAAGTCTGGCTTGAGAGCCTGGAGTCCTGACATTCAAGGTCAGGGGAAAAAGAGTGTATCCCAGTTCCAGGGGAGAAAAAGATCAATTTGCCTTTCTTCTGTTTTTGTTCTATCCAGGCCCCCAGTGATTAGACAATACCCACCCACATCAAGGGCAGACCTTCCCCACTTAGTCCACTCAGGCTCACACACCAATCATTCTGGTAACACCTGCACAGATGCACCCCAAAACAATGTTTTACCAGTTCTTCAGGTATTTCTTAGTCCAGCCAAGTTGACACCTAGAATGAACCATCGTTTCAAAAGATGTAGCCTTTGGTTTAAGACAGTCTTTTTAAGTGATTATTCAATCAATTTAGGAATTCAATTTGTTCATTTCAAACACCATATTTTCCCTTAGGGCTCCTTCTCTTCTCTTTGGGCAAGAAAGAGCTCATGGCAGTGAAGACAGTGAGTTCACTTGTGTCCTCTGAGTCTTTATTGGCCTTCCCTGAGACATGGTAACCTTCTTGGTCTTTTGCCTTTATGTCTACTCATTCCTGTCTAGGTAGCCTGACATCTGTTCTCATGGCACAGATAGTGCAGAATTATTCTCTCCAGAGTGATGGGGTCCCCAGAAATGCAGTTTCATCCTCCAGCAGAATTTTGTTTCAAGGCTGTCTATTCATAGCTTCTGCAAAAGGAAGGCCTCTCTTGCCTCAGTTACTCCCAGGCAGGCACTCTCTTCTTAGCTAGCTTTTCCACCTCTTTTTAGGGGCTTTGGAGACATTTTGAGGCTGAGGTCACTAAGACATCCTGCATCCTCTTCTCACTTAGGCCTTGACCTTAAGCATAGATCGATCCTAAAGCTGAACACCAAATGGCTTGAATGAGACCTTCAAATAGAGATCCTTGTGTTTGATGGCACAACATGAAGAAAAAAGCATGAGGATTGGACCAGAGTGACCTGGGTTCCCAGCTTTACCACCTAGTAGATGGATCCTTGGGAATGAAAGAAAGAAATCTCTCTCTCTCTCTCTCCTGCTCTCACTCTCTCTGTCACTATATCTCTGCTTCTTCTTCAGCAAACCAGATGAAATAATGCCCACCTTTCGGGTTTCTCAGGGTTAAACGAAGTATTGAAAGCAAAGCATCTGGAACATAGTAGATGATCAATGAATGTTAATTTTCTTTCCTCCCATTCCTAATCAGGCATGGCAAGTGGGAGAATAGTACTTCTAAAATTTCACTGTCTGCCAGATTGGGTTACTACCTGGTCTATTTAAGCATCTGTTTTTCCCTGTGGGTTTTATTTCAGTTTTTAAGGAAAATAATTAAGAATATGTTAATACAACCAAACATATGCCATCTTCACCCTGAGTAATGAAATAAAAAACTGTTGATGGAGTCAGCAATATCTTGAAACATGCATGGACACTTAAAAATATCCTATTAAGAGAACTGAAAATTACTAAATTAGTGACTTGGTTGGAAGACTGTGAGATCTGAAGAAAAGAGCACAGAAAGATGAAACCATAGCTTGGTGATAAGTTGAATTGCTAATTTACTTAACCATTTGAGGCAAGTTGCTACATCTTGAACCTCCACACTTTTATTTTCTATCAGCAGAGCAAATTAAAAATAACTTATAAAATATCCGGCTGTAATTAAAATAATACATTATTGTTTAAATCATTATTGTCTGTGCCTATCTATTTTTAGTACTATATAATTTAGGTAACAGAATTGTTTTTCTCTCTTACTATGAAAGCAAAGAGTTTAATGAATGTTCTGAAACATGTCTCTTTGGGCACATATGCCAGGGTTTCTTTGGAGTATATGACCAGAAATGGGATTGTTGGGATATAGGATATAAGAATGTTTGAAAGTACCTATTACCCAGCCTACCTGCCAATATTTGATATTTTGAGACTTTTAAGCTTTTACCCTTCTGGTGGTATGTGTGCAACGGTATCACTTTTTGGTTTTAATAGGCATTTCCCTGATTACTAATGAGCAACTCTTTGTATTACACACTTTTACATTAGCTTTAATCAGCTCTTCCTATCATTATTGACCTCTTCTGTTAAGTACTTAGCCACATATTTCGCTGATATATTTCTACTGGATTGGCATTTTTAAAAAATTGTCTCAGGACTTTGTATATTCTAGATACCATTCCTTTGGCCATTATTTGCATTGCAAATATTTTCTACCAGCTTTGTGTTTATCTTTTGACTGTTTTCAATGTCTTTGAATAATAAAAGTTTATTTTAATGTAGTATATTAACTCATTTTAATAAGTATTAATTACTCCTTGGTGGTTTGTACATTTTATGCTGTTGGCACATTTTATGCTGTTTGAGAAAGTTTTCCTAGTAGGAAGTGATAAATATATTCTTTTTTATTTTTTCCAAATGACTTAAGCTTATCAAAAATTGATGAAGATACTCTCACACATTTTCTTCTAAACGGTTTTTTTTTTTGAGACTAAGTCTCACTGTGTGTGTTGCCCAGGCTGGAGTGCAGTGGTGCGATCTTGGCTCACTCACACCTCCACCTCCCGGGTTCAAAAGTTTTAAAGTTTTGCCTTTCACATTTGAGTTTTTGATACATTGGAATTGAATTTTGTATATGGTGTAGAGATCTAATTTCATGTGTCTCATATTCATAACCAGTTGCCCCAGAACCATTTCTGGAATATATTATTTTCTTTGCTGATCTGCAATGCCATCTCTATTAACATTTCAATTTTTCATTTATCTGTGAATCTGTTTCTTCGATTTATATTCAATTCTTGTCACCTATTAATCTATTCTTACACCCATAATGTATTGCTTAAATCATAGCTTTGTGATAGCTCTTGATATCTGGTAAGGCAAGTCATTTTGCCCAACTTTTTAAAGGAGTGTCTTAGATTTCCTTGCTATTTTTTAATATATAATGTCATATGTAGCTTTTCAAGTTAGAGAAGGAGTCAAGATTTTAAATGAAGTTGCATTAAATCTAGAGATCAGCTTGGGGAGAACTGACATCTTTATAGGATTCACTCTTACAGTCAATGAAATATACTCCCCACATATACTATAAATAAAGGTCTTTATTTCAATAACTCTTATGATTTCATGTATATTTGTTAGATACAGACATATATTTTTAGTTGTTGTCATAAATGATTTTAAAACATATATTTCCAACTATTTAGTGAAATTATATGGGTATTATTTAACTTTGATAAACTGATCATAAATTCAGCAATTAGGCTAAACTTCTATTAATTCTAATGGTAAATATAATCAAAATCATTCTCTGCAAATGTTATGTATATACCTCCGTGAATAAAGGCAGTAGGGTTTCTGTCTCTTTAATCTTTACATATTTTATTCTTTTTCTAAGAAATCCAGTACAATGTTGACGGAAATTCTTATTGTTCTCTTAAATAATGGAAATGCTTTTACTGTATCATTTTTAGGTATAAGTTTTTCAGTCAGTTTTTTTGTAATTTTTAAGTTTTCACATATGCAATTTTTGAGTATTGTGATGATTATATCTTTATTTTCTATTTACTGTGTTTATGCCATGAGTTATATTAATATTCTTTCTAATGTTGAACTAACTTTGCATTTCTGGGTTAAATCCAACTTGTTCGTTATATATTATCATTTTTACTTTTTACTATGTTTGGGTTGCTAATATTTGCAATTATGTCATGAATGAACTTGACCTGTAATTTATTCTCTTACATTGTCTTTGATTTCAGTATCAAAGTTAGGGAGTGTTCTAAGTATATTAATACTTAAAAGTTATGGAGTATTCTAAGTATATTCTAAGGGAGTATAAATAATATTGGAATTTTGTTTCAGTATACCTCCTAGACCTATTTTCTTCTTAATGGAGAAGACTTTCACTATTAATCAATTTTCATATAAAATAATTCCATATAATGCAAAATAATTCAAGTATTTTCTTTTGTTGTTAGTATTAGAAAGTTATGTTTTTCTAGAAAATTTTTTCTCTAAAGTTTTCATATTTGTTGTCATATACTACTTAACTATCCTTTAAACCTTTGATTTATTGGAAGTTATAATCACTGTTTCATCTCTTAATACATTTTGTTAGTGCTTTCACTCCTTTTTATTGATTTTGTTAAAGTTGTATCAATTGTATGAGTTTTTCCTAGGAGCCAGTTTTTGGCTTTGTTGATCTATTAGATCTTTGATTTGCATTTTATTTCACTTCACTCATCTTTATTTTTTCTTTCCTTTTGCTTTCTTTGCATGCATTCTGTTGTCATTTCTCTAACTACTTAAGTTGAATACTTATCTCACCGTTTTTGGCCTTTTTTCTTCTCTAACATAAACATTTTAGGCCATAGATCTCCTTCAAAATGCTATTTTAGCCATATTTCTCAAGTTTTAGTATGTGGGTTTCTAAAAATCATTCAATTTCAAGTATTTTCTAATTTCTCTTATAATTGTCTTTTCCTAAATGATAGGCCTTATTTTGATTTCCAAATGTACACAGTTTTTCTTTTATTATTAATGGTTTGAAACTTCTTTACATTAAAATCAAAGAATATATTCTGTAATAGAATTTAAATAGAAATTGATTGAAATTTACGGAGACTTGTTATGTGATCTTGTAGGTGATCAAATTTTGTAAATGTTCCATTTGGACATTAAAAAATGTGTATTATACCTTTTTGTGTATAACATTATATGGATGTTCATTAGAATAAGCTTGAATACTTGCCAAATACCTAAGGATGTGTTAAAAATCACCCACAATTATGGCAAATTTATCAATTCTTCTTTGTAGTTCTATTAATATTTACTCCGTATGTTTTGAGGCTGTTAGGAGTTACATTCATCTTCCAGGGATGCAAATAATATAAGGCTATTTCAATTTAAGGTAAGCAATGAATAATTTTTTAATATGAGTATGTCATGCAATATTTGGGACAAACTTATACCCAAGAAAATATGTTATTTTTCTAAAATTAAAATTTAACTGGATGTTCTGTATTTTTATTTGCTGGTGACTCTATCCATCCTCTGGAGAATTAAACCTTTTATCAGCACGTAGTGGCCTTCTTTATGTCTAGCTAAAAGCGATATTTACTTTCTTCTTTCTCTTCCCCACACTTCCCTGCCTCCTCCTTCTCTTTATCTTTCCCTTTCACTTCCTTATCCGTTCCCTCTCTCCCTCTCCTCCTCCTTTTCATCCTCTTCTTTTTCTCTTTCCCGTCTTCTTTTTCCCACAATCTCTCTTCCTTCCTTTGCCCTCCCCTTTTCCTGTTCTCTTCCACCGTTGTCTGGTAAATCTTTTTTCATCATTTTCTTTTCCTTTTCTTATTTTTACTTTTAAAAATGTTATTTATGTAATTTCTTGTAGAGATCGGGTTTTGTTATGTTGCCCAAGCTGTTCTCAAACTCCTGACCTCAAGCAATCCTCCCACCTCAGCCTCCCAAAGTGCTAGGATTATAGGTGTGAGCCACCACCATGCCTGGCCCATCATTTTACTTTCAACTTTCTCACGTCTTAATGTTTTAGATGTGTCTCTTTTAAATAATGTATAACTGGACTTTCTCAGTTTGACAATCTTTGCCTCTTAACTAGTTTGTACTGTCTATAATAATGGACATATTTGGATTTATCTCTATCTTTTTATTTTCCACTTTGGATTTTCTATTTCTCTTGATTTTTCCATTTTCATTGTTTTTTTTATTTGACTTTAGACTTTTGGATTGGGGATTTTTGTTTTTTCTCTTTTATTCATTGTACTTGAGATTTATTACACTTCTTTAACCTGAAAATTGATTTCTTTCATTAACTAAGGATATTTCTTAGCCATTATCTATTTTAATACTGCCTCTTTCCTATTTTCTTTATTTTCTTATTTTGGAACTCTTGCAAGATTTAAGTTGAACCTTATCACTCTGACTGCTCTTTTTGCTAGTCTCTGCTGTTTTCCATCTCATTCTCTCTCTGTCCTACAATTTATGATTTCTTCACTTCTATCTTCCAGTCCACTAGTACTCTCTTTAGCTGATCATTTCTCCTATTGAATTCATACACTTAATTTCTAATTTCAATTATGATTTTTTATTTTCAAAAATTCTATTTGTTTTTAATTTTAAAAATCTTTCTAGTCAGTTTTGATAGTCTCTTTTTCTTAGCATTACTTTCCACTTACTCTTATACTTATTTGAACATATTAAATATTTTATAATCTTTATCTGATAATTCTAAACTCTGCATTCTTGGAAGTCCTTAATCTGCAGTTTATTGTCTCAGCTGAACTTTGCTCAGGAAAGTTGGCCTCCTCAAGTGTTTAGTAAGTTCTTATTTTGAGCCTTTGTTCCTTAGAATTTCATGAGTGGAACTTATTTGAAGGTTGTGTTTAAAGCAAATTCTCTCAGTGACAGTTCATGTTTGCTTCCGCCAGGCACTTGAGAACATTATCAACTTAGGGCAACTGTAACTCAAAGTTATGGCCTGCAGTTTGGGAAGCCACATAAGCAGTGTAGTTTTAGGCCCCAAGCCAGTTGAGAGAGGTGGTTAGGGATTTGAAGAGGAGATACTGTCTGCTTTCTGCTCAGAACCAATGAAGAGAGTGGCAAATTGTCTTCCTCTATTATGCATCATTTTAGTATAAATTGCACTGGAAAGGGTTTCTCTCACAACCGAGTTTATCATATTGCTGAAAAAATGAAATTTAAATCTTATTGATGCAAATTTGTAAAGGGATTCCTATTGCAAGTCAACATGCAACAAATAAACACACTTTTAAATTATTTAAAATAAATAGCAAACTCCAAAAGGTATACCCTTCTATAACTGTAACTTCATTATCTGGATTTGTGTTTACTTATAAAATTATTTTTCTTTTTAAATACCAACTCAATAATTATCTTAAATACACTAATGTGTCACAGTGAGATGTGACTTTTTTTCACTATAGCAATTTAGCTAAGGCACAAAATACTTTTTTTTATAGAATAGCATTTTATGTTAGAATTATCATAGTAACCAGATTCCAAAACACTTCCTGAAGAGCCTTGTCTCATTGCATGGAAGTCCTTGTATAGGCCCCTTTCACTGTCTCCAAATGAGGCTGACCTTTGCAACCAGTAGGATAATATGGGAATTATAATGTGAGGATTTCAAGGCTAGGTCATAACAAAACATTGGGGCTTCTTTCTTGATGTGGATCATTCACTCTGGGTTAAGCCAGTCATAATGTCATAAGGGAAGTTAAGCAACCCAGTGGAAAAGTCTCCTGTCAAGCCAGCACCTGTTTACCTGCCATGTAAATAAGTAGATCCTCCAGCTCAGCCAAGCCTTCAGATGTTTATGTCCCTGCCCAACATCCTCACTATACCCTTAAGAGAGACTCCTAGCTAGAACCACCAAGCAAATATTTTCCTGAATTCCTGGCCCACAGAAACCGTATGAGATAATATATGTTTATTGCTGCTGTAAGCCACTACATTCTGGAGTACTTCGTTATTGTAGCAAAAAAAAATAATTACTACACAAGTTAATTATGCTGCTTTTTCATTTAACTGACAATTTTATTATGCTTTTTTTGTTGTTTTGAACAACAAACTGGTGATCTCATCAGGACATCTAGTAGAATAACAAGATCCATATAGGGACTGAACTCAGCTTAGAAACTCTTGCTGCTATGCACAATGGCCAAACACTGGCAAGAGTCACCTATCTCTGGGTGGCAGGGATATGTCTGTGATATACTGATGACAGGCTCAAGCGATAACTACAGTCAACATCTGTACTGTTTATAACAAAACTCCCACCTGTGGACTGCTAGTTTAACACACACACACACACACACACACACACACACACACACACACAGAGAGAGTCATAAAGCAGTTCTTCTGGAGGCTTTGTGTGGTTTGAGTCCTTGTTGTACTTCACAGGACATATCTCCAAAGGTATTGATCACAATGCCTTATTTCATGTAGCATGTAACCTGTGTGCTCTGTAGGATGTGAATGATGAGACTATAGAAAAAGCCGTAGGGCTGACATTTTTTCTCTCTTTTATTCATCTTCCTACCACTCAGTATTTGTATTCTGAGACCTGTATTCCCTCTATATCTGATTCTCTCTTGCACTCCCCTCTGTAATTCTCTTTTCTATTTGCCTACTAACAGAATCTGCTTTCAGGGAAAGCCTTCTATTAGTGATGAGATAAATGTAATTTCCTCCACAATCTGGATTAAAACTATCTTTCTAGCCTTTTCTCTCATTCTGCTGCCCCATGTAAATCCTTCATTCTAGCCAAAATATCCCCTTCCTATCTTCACCTATTTCTGCTGATCCTTTCACTCATGCCATGTTTTCCCATAGGGGATTCCCTCCTCATGGTCCATGTATGTGATGTTACCTTTTGCAGAGCAGCTCTGAAGCATGTCCTCCATGAAGTCTTCCCTCATTGTCATAGTGACATCTGTTTTCCCTTTCTCAACTATTATAGGAGTCATTTGAACCACCCCTTTGCCTCCTGAGACTCATAGCTAATTTTTGACTAATGCTTGTGCCTGATTTACAACACCCTCCTTCTAACCCCTGTACCCTAAACACACACAAGCCTCACTTCTCCTCTGTTCATCTAGTTTTTACGTCCTTTGAAGACAGGAATGGTGTCATCTTTGTCTTCTCCGCTGCTCTCAGCATACTGTATTCTTTGTACCTTAGTCCTTGTTCTGGAGAGAATAAGCCAGGTGGCAAGGACTAAGCACCTCTAGAATAGGCCACAGCATGTGTGGAGGCCAAGGCCCTCAAGGGGGCAGTAAAGAACCAGTTGTTTAGAGTTTATCGGCAGAAGTAATTAATATTTGGTCCTTGAGGATTTATCAGATGGTCCTAGGAGTAAGTTAAACATAGAAAGTGGGAAGGAAACAAATGGAAATTGTTTGGAATTTAGTCTGAATGGGATCAGGAACCTGAAACAGAAACCAGTCACATGATGATTCAAATGGGGCAAAACCCAGGAAGTCCCTGCAAGGAGAGGCATGAAGGTCCCCAAACACATGTGTAAGAGCTAGAATTCAGATGGTCAAGAGGCAAAGTCTAGGCCAGTCGTTCATGATTTTTTTTTCAATTAAACAGTGAATTAATTTTATTTATTTATTTTTAATTTTCTCATTTTTTTCCTACCTTATTTTTTAATTGAAAACTTGGAAATGTTACAAATATTTTAAATGCTACAAAGTATAATACCTCTACAGAGTGAAAATGTTGATAAGTCTCAATGGAAGATTTTATCTTTGTCATTTTTTAAGAATCATGTTTTTCTGACTCTCTACTTTCTTGCAGTTACTTTATTCAAGTTCATGTTTTGACCAAAAAAAAAAGAAGAGCTAGGTTCAGTGATTGGTAAACCAAGATATAAGACTCAGCAGAAGGGGCAGGAAACCAAGTGTGGTCTGGGTCAAATTACTCTAAAACTTGGCTGGACTTTAAAACATTAAATTGCAATTTATTTATAAATGTAAGACAAAATCTTAAATAAAATATTACCAAATAGAATTCAACATTACCTTTTAAAAAATGATAGTACATCATTTTTTTAATGTGACTTATTTCAGAAATATATAAATGTAGTTCAATATTAAGAAATATATTTATCACAAGCAGAAATATGATATACAAGAAGAAAAAATATGCATTCTTTTTATAGATTAAAAAATGCCTTTAAACAAAGTCCAATATTCATTCTTGATGAGAACACTTAATAAAACGGACAATTTCTTAACATATTAATATTTTATACAGGGAGTATTATTCAATGCTATTTAGACAATAGAATTAATTAGTCACGAAATTTGAAATGATAAAGTTATTACTATTTCTAGATATTTGGATTACAAAACTGACAATCTTGAGATTCAACAAAAAAGTACTACAAGTGATGAGTCTTCAATAACAAATTGTGGTGTAAAATTAATATGCATAAAGTAATGTCCTTCAGAAACCCAAGCGATAAATAACTGAAAAATCCAAAAAAAGAATATACCACCTACAATGGCAACAAGATGATAAAACACTTAGGAACACATTTAACAATAAATGAATACAATTTTATGAGAAGTACATTAAAACATTCCTGAAGAACACACATACACATGCACAAAAACACAAGATTTTTAGGACATTAACTTCTTGGATAGAAATATTCAAAATTGTAAAGATTTCAATTCTTCCTAAAGTAATTGATACAATTAATGTGCTTTTATTAAAATATTAATAGTTTTATTCCTTTAATTTGCCTTTCTTCTGATCTTAAGCAAATCAAATTTGTCTTGACAAATAGGATAGTTGACCTCTCAAATTTATCTTCTCTCCATTTATTGAATTATAACTTGGCTAATATTAGCATGAGGCCAAGAAGATTAGCACATTGCTAGTGATGGATGAAAAGAGAAAGAAGGGAAGAAGAGAGAGAAGAAGGGAAGGAATGAAGCATGAAAGAACATGTAGATTCTAAAGTTACTATGAAAAAAAGGACAAAAGAAAAATTAGCCAAGAAATATCTTGGAAAGAAGAGTAATGACGTTATCAGATACTAAAACATATTTTAAAGCTTCCGTGATTACCACAGTGTGGCATGTAAATAGAATGGTCTAGATAAGAGACTAGAAAATCCATGGATAGACCCAAATACATGTAGAAATTTGGTATATAATAAAGATGGAAGCTCAGATCAGTGAGGTAAGGATGAACTTTTGAGTACATGTTGTTGAGACACTTGGCAGATTTTGGTACAACTGGAATTCCCAAGAACAGTTACTTTTAAAAGTGGTGTTTCTTAAAGAGTGTTTCTCAAACCATCTCATTAAAAAAATCAGTTACATGTTGAAATGAAGATTCTGAGCTCCATTTGAATCACCCACTGAATTAAAAACTCTCAAAGTAGCTCCTGAGAACTTGCATATTACCAAATCTTTCAGGTAATTCTGATGGACACAGTGTGGGTAGGAACTGCTGCTTTAAAGGGTCAAACCTGGCTGAAGGCAGTGTCCTGGCTGAGAGCAGCATGACAAATTACTTTGTCTCTTTAGCTCATGGGTGGTTGTATCCATCCTGATCCTCAGATCTTCCCGATTTTTTTCTACTTGGATCAACGCTTTCATGCCTACATCTGGCCAATTGCAGGCAATTGAAAAGGGCATTGAGGTCCTGACTTATTCTGTTTGGCTGAAGTACACTAGGTCCTCACTTAACATTGTGGATGAGTTCTTGGAAACTGCTACTTTAAGCAAAAATGATCATTAATGAAACCAATTTTACTACAGGCTAATTGATATAAAAAGAGCTAAGTTCCTACAGCATATTTCTGGTCACAAAAACATCACCAAGTTTCTAAATAAAAACTAAAACACATCTAATATTAAACATTAAAATAAATTTGAGATATATATACATTTAAGAGAGATTAATAAACATAAATAAGATAATTATTTACTCAATTATTCCAATTCAGGGTTGCAGGTGGCCAGAGCCTCTTCCAGCAGCACAGGGCTGAGAACCAACCCTGGCCAGGACACCAGCCCATTGCCCTCATTCTTTCTGTGATATCTTTTTACTAGTTTAAAAAATACATTTCCTAGTTTGAGTATTTAATTTTATTGCCTGTGGAAAGAAGTCAGATGATTCAGAAGTAGAGATGATGTGCCCTTTAAGTCGTTTTCATTGCCAAATTGTTTCTTTCTGTAATGTAGAAGTTGGTATGGCAGTGACTAGACATTTGGTGGTCAGTTTTACAGACTACCATTGGAAGTGTATGATGAAACAATACAGTACAACCTCAAGTGGCTGTCTTAGAGGATGTGTTTAATAGCGTGGGATGGTATCAAAGAATTGATGGCTTATCTGTAGAAGGAAGTCCGCCTTCTGACCTAAACCTAGGATGGCTTAACAACCTTCACGTCCTACCACTGTGCATCTCACAAGAGATGGTATAAATTTGAACATATCGGCCGGGGGCAGTGGCCCACGCCTGTAATCCCAGCAGTCTGGGAGGCCAAGGCCAGCAGATCACCTGAGGTTGGGAGTTCGAGACCAGCCTGGCTAACATGGAGGAACCCCATCTCTACTAAAAATACAAAAATTAGCCAGATGTGATGGCTGGTGCCTGTAATCCCAGCTACTCAGGAGGCTGAGGCAGAAGAATAGCTTGAACTCAGGAGGCGGAGGTTGCAGTGAGCCGAGATCGCACCATTGCACTCCCGCCTGGGCAACAAGAGCAAGACTCTGTCTCAAAAAAAAAAAAAAAAAAAAAAAATTGAACATATCTGAAGTAAAGATAAAGTCTAGATAGAAAAGCCAACTCCAGAGCAAAATGGGCAGCAAAGATTTTGGAGAACAGTCCTTGCATTTGCCCAATTCTGCACTATGATATGAAAAAAGAGCTGTATAAATGTGGGTGAGAAAGAAAATCCTCTAATATGTTAACTCTGAAAAGTTATAGTCGAAGGGTTAGAGAACCTCTGCAATTGAGATAAAATTGATAGTTTTAGTGCAAGGACACAGAAGATTAGCTGCAAATTGAGCAAAACAAGGAACACTATAAAAATAAAAGGCTCTAAAGAAAACCAAGTTCTAATGCTAAAAGGAATAAGAAATGACAATTCTCAGAAGAAGAAATGCAAATAGATAATAAAATATAAAAAGTTCCACCTTTCTAATAATAAATTTTACCAAACTATCAACAATTTTTTAAAATAAAAATCATCAGTTTTGGTAAAGAGGAGGTGAAATTCACAGTAGAAGTTTAGCTCCTAGTGGGAGTTTAAATAAGCAACATATTCTGGAAAGCAAATTAGGAATATGTATTAAGAGCCATAAACATGTTTATTATACTCTTTGAGTAAATTTAGCACAATGTTATATTAAAAAAATCATATACCAGGATATGTATTTTTATAAGCAGTAAAATTTATTAAATCTAGTCATACAGCAAAAAAGGTGTTGTGCAGGCAGTAAAATTATGTTTTCCATAGTAAGGTGTGAAAATGTACCTAATGTATTGTCTTTAAAGACACACTTGTTCAATGTCATGATCACACTATTACATTTAGCAATCAACAGCATAGGTGCAAAAAGTAAAAAATATTCTACATTGAAACCTTTTGTTGGAATGATTTACACTTTCCACAGAGCAGAAACTAAAATAACCTATTATACAATTAGTCACCACTACAGTCCTAGAGTTTTTTTACCCATACACCTGACTATCATCTAAAACATGTCTTCTTTGTAGCAACTAGGCCCTGCCACCACTGTGCTTGGCTGAGTTCACAGACCTGTTGTAATCTGTAATTTCCTTGTCATGTCTCTGGCTCTACTCTACTGCTAAGCTTTGTTTCCTGGCAGTAATTAAAATTTTCTGCCACTGCCATAGCTACCGCTGCTACTAGAACCACAATAACCATCTTGGTTTCATGGTTTGGCAAAGTATTGGCCTCCATCACCATAGGGACCAGAACTTCTGCTTCTGAAGTTTCCTTCCATCATGGGTCCAAAATTTGAAGATTGACAGTTGTAACTGCCAAAATCACTGTAGCTTCCACCACCTCCAAAATTGTTTCCATCATTACCAAATCCATTATAGCCATCTCCACTGCCACCATATCCACCACAACCACCACAGCTGCCACCAAACCCACCATGACTACTGAAGTTTCCTCCATGACCAAAGTTGTCATTCCCACCAAAACCACCTCCATGACCACCACCAAAGTTTCTAGAACCACTTTGAACTCTTTGGCTGGATGAAGCATTAGCTTTGATAGGGCTTTCCTTACTTCAAGGTTGTGGCCATTCATAGTACAGTAATTCTGAATGATAATCTTATCCACGGAGTCATGGCTATCAAAGGTTACAAAAGCAAAAAAGCAAAGCCCCTTTTCTTGCCACTGCCTCCATCAGTCATGATTTAAATCACTTACATTTTCCCATGCTGTTCAAAATAGTCTCTTAACTCATGCCCTTTGGTATCTTCTTTAATGCCACCAACAAATATCTTTTTCACAGTTAAGTGGGCATCTGGTCTCTTGAGACAGCTCTCTTTGGTTCCACAACTCTTCCATCCCCCTTGTGTGGCCTTGTATTCATGGCTGCATGCACCCCTTCCACAGTGGCACATGTGACAACCCCAAAGACCCTGGAGTGCTTGGCATTTGGATCTCTCATTACCACACAGTCTGTGAGAATTTTCCATTGCTCAGATTAGCTCCTCAGTCTCTCATTAATTCTTTCAAATTTCAACCCTCTGATGAGGAGTTTCCACAGCTGTTTGGGCTCTTTAGGAGACTCTGACTTAGACACGATGGCAGTGGGAAGAGAGACGTTAGTGATCGTTCTTCAGTGGCATCCACAGGCAGAAAGCCCTAATGTGTCATTTTTATAATTAAAAAATGGTACTCTACAAAAAGGTTCTGGTGGTCAAAATGGGCAGATACGAAAAGTACACTCCCATTACAATAAGTTGTTTGAGTAAAATAACTATTCCTGGCTGGGAATGTGGTAAAAAATTGTATGCCTCTCCTCGAATTCCTTACAGGCAATAAAACTTCCAAGATTGCAATGCTCTGATTGCCAGAGCAGACTAGGGGGTCATGCTGCTGGAATTAAGATTTAGACTGGAATGTCCTGAATGGTATTGCCTAGGTTTTCTTCTAGGGTTTTTATGGTTTTAGGTCTAACATTTAAGTCTTTAATCCATCTTCAATTAATTTTTGTATAAGGTGTAAGGAAGGGATCCAGTTTCAGCTTTCTACATATGGCTAGCCAGTTTTCCCAGCACCATTTATTAAATAGGGAATCCTTTCCCCATTTCTTGTTTTTGTCAGGTTTCTCAAAGGTCAGATGGTTGTAGATGTGTGGTATTATTTCTGAGGGCTCTGTTCTGTTCCATTGGTCTATATCTCTGTTTTGGTACCAGTACCATGCTGTTTTGGTTACTGTAGCCTTATAGTATAGTTTGAAATCAGGTAGCATGATGCCTCCAGCTTTGTTCTTTTGGCTTAACATTGTCTTGGCAATGCAGGCTCTTTTTTCGTTCCATATGAACTTTAAAGTAGTTTTTTCCAATTCTGTGAAGAAAGTCATTGGTAGCTTGATGGGGATGGCATTGAATCTATAAATTACCTTGGCAGTATGATCATTTTCATGATATTGATTCTTCCTATCCATGAGAATGGAATGTTCTTCCATTTGTTTGTATCCTCTTTTATTTTGTTGAGCAGTGGTTTGTAGTTCTCCTAAAGAGGTCCTTCACGTCCCTTGTAAGTTGGATTCCTAGGTATTTTATTCTCTTTGAAGCAATTGTGAATGGGAGCTCACTCATGATTTAGCTCTCTGTTTGTCTGTTATTGGTATGTAAGAATGGTTGTGATTTTTGCACATTGATTTTGTATCCTGAGACTTTGCTGAAGTTGCTTATCAGCTTAAGAAGATTTTGGGCTGAGACGATGGGGTTTTCTAAATATACAATCGTGTCATCTGCAAACAGATTCCTCTTTTCCTAATTGAATACCCTTTATTTCTTTCTCCTGCCTGATTGCCCTGGCCAGAACTTCCATGGGCAAGGACTTCATGTCTAAAACACCAAAAGTAATGGAAACAAAAGCCAAAATTGACAAATGGGATTTAGTTAAACTAAAGAGCTTCTGCCCAGCAAAAGAAAGTACCATCAGAGTGAACAGGCAACCTACAGAATAGGAGACAATTTTTGCAATCTACTCATCTGACAAAGGGCTAATATCCAGAATCTACAGTGAACTCAAACAAATTTACAAGAAAAAAACAACCCCATCAAAAACTGGGCAAAGGATATGAACAGACACTTCTCAAAAGAAGACATTTATGCAGCTAAAAGACACATGAAAAAATGCTCATCATCACTGGCCATCAGAGAAATGCAAATCAAAACCACAATGAGATACCATCTCACACCAGTTAGAATGGCAATCATTAAAAAGTCAGGAAACAACAGGTGCTGGAGAGGATGTGGAGAAATAGGAATGCTTTTACACTGTTGGTGGGACTATAAACTAGTTCAACCATTGTGGAAGACAGTGTGGTGATTCCTCAAGGATCTAGAACTAGAAATACCATTTGACCCAGCCATCCCATTACTGGGTATATACCCAAAGGATTATAAATCATGCTGCTATAAAGACACATGTACATGTATATTTATCGCGGCACTATTCACAATAGCAAAGACTTGGAACCAACCCAAATGTCCATCAGTGATAGACTGGATTAAGAAAATGTGGCACATATGCACCATGGAATACTATGCAGCCACAAAAAAGGATGAGTTCATGTCCTTTGTAGGGCCATGCATGAAGCTGGAAACCATCATTCTGAGCAAACTATCGCAAGAACAAAAAACAAAACACTGCATGTTCTCACTCATAGGTAGGAATTGAGCAATGAGAACACTTGGACGCAGGAAGGGGAACATCACACCCTGGGGCCTGTCGTGGGGTGGGAGGAGGGGGTAGGGAAAGCATTAGGAGATATACGTAATGTAAATGACGAGTTAATGGGTGCAGCACACCAACACGGCATGTGTATACATGTGTAACAAACCTGCACGTTGTGTACATGTACCCTAGAACTTAAAGTATATTAAAAAAAATGGTCACCTCTAAAAAAATGAAAAAAAGATTTAGACTGGAATAACATGCAGAACTGAAAAGATTCTTTAATAAAGGAGACGTTCCAATCTAAAATTGCTTCTTAAGGTAGATAAAGCAATGAGAATAGATTAGGGTACCCAAACTTTCATTTATAAGAATGACTTTATTAATAATAGCAACAACAAAATAATGAAATCTCATATTACAGTAATTATAGTTCTATTATTCATTAGTTTGGAAAATGTATGACAAATAGCTTCTATGAATTCAGTAGTACTTTCAATTATTGGTATTTTGCCAATTGTAGTAAAATCTACATGCAACTGAAAGACAGAGGCTTACATATACATGAGACATTCTGCTTAGCCTATAATAAATGCTCTGACTAGTATATGAATTCATAGATTACTTGCACTAATTTCATGGCTTCCTAGAGGAAATGGAAAACAGTCAATATAACTGTGACAAGGTAAATTGAAAAAAACATCCTCTTTCTCTCCTTCTGTTAAAAGCACACCAGACTTAAAAGAATGTAATCAGAGTTGGTGCATTGGAAATGGCAGAATTTCTGATTTCACCAAAATACCAGAACAAACTTTAACAGCAAATATAGTTCCTATTTTAATACATCCAGGCCTCAGGCAGGAAATGGAAGTCAAATTATTCTCAGCAAAATAATGATGATGGTTGTAGTGGTAGGTGCATATAATCCTAAAGAAAAATCCAAAACTGTAACATGAGAATAGAGAGCAAAATAATTTAATGCCTGGGAAGTTATAGCTAACTTAATTTATTTACTGACAACATTTTAGTTGCTTTGCCACTCTCATTTCATCTAGTAAATCAGTGGCATTTCTCGTTTCTGGAGAAGGAAAAAGGTAAAGGTCAGATATAGCCTTGGATTAAGAACTAAAGAAAGATGGCAGAAGAAGAAGTCCTGGGTCCCCCTCCTCATAAACACACTGATTCAGCAAAAATTCATGAATAAATTATTTTGTGAGAAAGCCAGAAAATAACTGACAGGCTTCTGTACATGAGGTGAGTGGGAAACCAGACTCACCAATACTAAAAGGGAGATTCAGAACATCTTCTTGCCAGAACCCAAAACCCCAGCAATGGCACCATACAATCAAGAGGAGAATCTCTAGCTCTCAACTTCTCCTAGGGGTGAAAGTGACTAGTTTATATGCACAGAGCTTCAACTTTTCTGAGGAGGGTCCCCAAGGACTGGCTTCTGTCTTTCCATTAGTGGAGCTCTGACAGGACCAGCCCAGTCTATCTGCTTGAGGAAGAATGGAAATGGTGACACACTGGGCTGGTAGATACCATAGATCTTCTCCCTTAATCAGCAAAAAGTGAGTGGATAGAAAATATCCCAGCTCCCACCATCCCCCTGAAGAGGAAAAGATTTAATCTGCACATCCAATGCCCCAGCTTCTCTGGGCTTCCCAAAGAAATATCATCAGATTTACCAGTCTTGGAGCTTTCGCAGGTCCAGCATAGTGTAGCCACCCGGGAGAGAATGAAGACAGTAGCATGGACTAGTAGACACCATAGGTCCCCACCCCTCAGCTCTGCACAGAGTAAACAGACAAAAACCCATAGTTCCTGCTTCTCTTTGGGAAGGGAAAGAATTGTTAGAAGCCTCCAAAATCTCTGGCTGGACTGATTTCTTCCAAAATATGGGGAAGGAAATAGACATCATATCTAAGAAGTTCAAAAAACACCAAATAATGTAAACCCAAAGAAATGTACACCAAGCCACATTATAATCAAATTGTCAAAAGTCAAAGATAAAGAGAGAATTTTGAAAGCAGCAAAAAGAAAATTACTTCTTACATACAAGAGAATATCTATAAGACTATTAGAAAATTTTACAGCAAAATCCTTGCAGACTAGAAGGGGGATGATAAATACAAATTTCTGAAAGACAACTGCCAACCAAGAATACTATATGTGCCAAAACTATCTTTCAAACAAAAGCTGAGGAAGTTTATCATGACTAGTCCGATATTATAAGAAATGTTAAAGGGAACTCTCCAAGATGAAATAAAAAATGTTAAATAGCAACATAATAAGATAAGAAAATATGAAATTGGTTTGTAAAAATAAATATACACACAAACACAGAATACTGTATTCCATGCAAATGGTAAGCAAAAGAGGCAATACGTGGCTGCACTTATATCAGAAAAAATAGACTTTAAGTGAAAACTGTCACAAGATACAAAGAAGAACATTATGTAATAATAAAAGAGTCCACCCACCAGGAAAAAAATAGCAATTATAAATATATATGCACTCAATATCAGACTATATAAAAAAGTGAACATTAAAGTAACTGAAGGGAGAAATAAACAACAATACAATAATAGTAAGAGACCTCAATATCACACTTTAATAATGGATAGAATATCCAGACAGAAGACCAATAAAAAAACAGAGGATTTGAACATTATTAACCAAATAACCCTAACAGTCGTATGCAGAACAGTTCATCCCAAAACAGCAGAGTACACAATTTTTCCAAATACATATGAAACTTTCTCTAGGATAGATCTAGCACGTTAGGTCACAAAATAAGTCTTAATAAATATAAGAAGATTGAAATCATATCAAGTATCTTTACTAACTACAATGGAATGAAGCTAAAATTCAATAGCAGAAGGAAAACGTGGAAATTAAACAACACATTCTTAACCAACCATTAGGTCAAAAAAGAAATAAAAGAAATTAGAAAATACCTTGACACGAGTGAAAACAAAAACATAATGTAACAAATCTTCTGAGATCTAGCAAAAGAAATTCTAAGAGGGAAATTTATAGTGATGAATATCTAAATTAAAAGAAAAAGAAAGCTCTTAATTAAAAACTTTTCCACCTCAAAGAGCTAGAAAAAGAAGAACAAACTAAGTGCAAAGTTAACAGAAGAAAGGAAATAATGATTAGGGCATGAATAAAATAGAAAAAAGAAAAACAGAAAAAATTAGCAAAGTGAAGAGTTGGTTTTTTGAAAAAACAATTTGACAAATTTTTAGACTAATTAAGAAAAAAAGAGAAAAGGCTCAAGTCAGAAATGAAAGAGGAGACATTTCAACTGAGACTACGTAAAAAAAGGATCATAAGAGACTACTATGAACAATTACACACCAATAAACTGGATAACCTAGAAGAAACAAACAACCTACTAAGACTAAATCATGAAGAAATACAAAGTCTGAACAGATCTGTACTAGAATGGACATTGAATCAGTAATCAAAAACTTCTCAACACAGAAAAGCTCAGGAAAAGATGCATTTACATGTGGATTCTCGCAAACATTTAAAGAAGAATTAATGCCAAGTCTTCTCAAACACTTTCAGAAAATTTAAGAGGGAAGGAACACTTCCAGACTCATTTTATGAGGCCAGCATTACTCTGATACCAAAGCTAAACAAAGATACCAGAAGAAATGAAAACTACAGGCCAATATTCCTGATGAACATAGATGAAAAATTCCCAATAAAATAGTAGCTAACTGAAGTCAATAGCACATTGAAAGGATAATACATCATGATCAGGTGGGATATATAGCTGGGATGCAGGATGGCTCAACATATAAAAATCAACTATTGTGATAAAGCATATAAACAGAGTAAAGCATAAAATCACATGATAATTTCAATAGACACAGAAAAAGTGTTTGACAAAATTCGACTTCCTTTTATGAGAAAAACTCTCAAAAAATTAGGTACAGAAACACACTTCAACATATTAAAGGCCATATATAAAAGGCCACAGCTAATATCATACTCAATGGTGAACTTAATAGTTCTTGATCCTTTAAAACAGTGGTCTGCAACCTTTTTGGCACCAGGGACTGGTTTCGTGGAAGACAATTTTTGCTTGGATCAGGGCGAGAGGGATGGTTTCAGGATATTCAAGTGCATTACACTGATAGTGCACTTTATTTCTATTATTATTACATTGTAATATATAATGAAATAATTATACAACTCACCATAATGTAGAATCAGTAGGACCCCTGAGCTTGTTTTCGTGCAACCAGATGGTCCCATCTGGGGGTGATAGTAGACAGTGACAGATCATCAGACTTTAGAGTCTCATAAGGAGTATGCAACCTAGATCCCTCACGTGCACAGTTCACAATAGGGTTTGTGATCCTATGAGAATCTATTACTGCCACTGATCTGACAGGAGGCGGAGCTCAGGTGGTAATGTGAACAATAGAGAGTGGTGGTAAATACACTCACCTCCGGCTATGCAGCCTGGTTCCTAACAGGCCACAGACCTATGCCAGTCAATGGCCTCGGGTTTGGGGACCCCTGCTCTAAAATCAGGAACAAGGTACAGATGTCCCTTCTTGCCACTTCTATTCTACATATTACTAAAAGTTCTAGTCATTTTTATCTATGTCGTCAAGTTAATTTGCATAAAAGTGTTACAATATCATCTTATTATCCTTTTGATAGCTGTAAAGTCTATAGTGATGCCATGTCTTTTATTCCTAATGTTGAAAATTTGTAACTTCTCTTTATTTATTGATCAGTATAGTTAAAGATTTACACATTTTATTTATCTTTTCAGAGCACTAGATTTTTGTTTCATTGATTTTTTTCTTGGTCATTTTATATTTCATTAATATCTACTCTTTTATTCATTTATTATGTTTTCCTTCCATTTTTGTTATTTTTTACTCCTTTTTTGTACCTTCGTAAAGTGGAAGCTTTGGTCGTTGATGCTAGCTTTCTGATTTTTCTAATATGTGCATTTAAAGCTATAAATTTTTTCTCTAAGCACCTCCTTAGATGTATCCTATAAATTTTGACTTGTTGTATTTTTATTTTCTTTCAGTTAAAAATATCTTTAATTTTTCTTGTGATTTCTTTTACCTATGGGCTATTTAGAATTATAGTCTTTAATTTCCAAATATTTAGGGATTTTTCACATAGTTGTGTTATTGGTTTCTAATTTCATATAGTCAGAGAATGTATACTATATGATTTCAATCCCTTTAAGTTTATTGACGCTTATTTTATGTCCTAGAATATGATGTATTTTGGTGAATGCTACATGTACACTTGAAAATAATGTATATTCATCAGATGTTAGATGAAGTGTCCTATAAAGATCAATTAAATCTAGTTGGTTGCTAGTATTGTTCAAGTCTATATCCTTACTGTCTTCTATCTAGTTCCATAAATTTTTGAGAAAGGAGTATTGAAATCTCAAACTATAGTTGTGGATTTGTCTATTTGTTCTTTTGGTTCTCTCAGGGCATTTTGGCACTCTGTCACTAGGAAAATGTGAATATATAAGTTTTATGTCTTCCTGATGAATACATTCTTATGCAATACATCTCTTTGTCTCCAGAATATTCTTATACAAATTTTATATATAATGTTAATTTATATATAATATATATAATATAATTTATATATATAATGTTAATTTAACCATTCTAGTTTTCTTATAATTATTATCTACATGGTATATATTTTTCTATTCTTTTACTTACTTTTCTATTTTTTTTTTTTTTGAGATGAAGTATCATTCTGTCACCCAGCCTGAAGTGCAGTGGAGTGATCTTGGCTAACTGTAACCTCCACATCCCAGGTTAAAGCAAGTCTCCTGCCACAGCCTCCCAAGTAGCTGGGACTACAGGCATGCACCAAAATGCCTGGCTAATTTTTATATTTTTAGTAGAGATGGGATTTCACCATGTTGGCCAGTCTGGTCTCAAACTCCTGACCTCCAGTGATCTGCTCCCGTCAGCCTCCCAAAGTGCTGGGATTACAGGCATGAGTCACTGCGCTTGGCCTTCTTTTACTTACTTTAAATCTGGTTATGTATATTTAAAATGTAACTTTTGTTTTTTATCCAGTCTGGTACTCTCTGATTTTGAAGTGCACAGTCCATTCACATTTAAGGTAATTATTGAAATGATTGGATTTGGTCTGCCATTTAAAAAATTGTTTTCTACTTGTCTTATCTCATTTTTCACTTTGTTTCTTCTTTCCTGCCTTTTTTGTATTAAACAAATATTTTTTAACACAATTTAGGTTATTTTCCAGGCCTTTCAACTTGTTGTTTTAAATAACCTTGTTTGATTTTTATAATTGCTCTCATTGGGAGGAATTTCTTGACTTTCTCATGCCCACTTTATTCAAAGTCTTTAGTTTTCCTGATCATCTTAAACTACCTGTGCTGAACTTATATCATCAATGAGTACAGTGAGGATAAAGGGACTTACCCTAAAACAAATTGGAATGGGTTATCTTGATGAGAGTCAGTGTGGTTTAGTAAAGAGCAGGTAAACCAGATGTCTTTCTACTTCTTTCACCAGGTTTCCCACAATACCCAAACATCATCCAGGGAGGAAGATGGGGCAGGGACAACCATTAAAAAAAGAGGGCAGCCCTGAAAGGACATTTTAAGTTTGAGTTAAGTAAATTTATGTCTTAAATTGACTGAATAATTATGCAAATGAAACTTTTAAACCATAAACTGAGTAACCTAAAGGAGAAAAAATAAAGCAATTTTGTTGTTGCAGTCATTGTTAATATTTTTTGTGCGTTTTGTTCTATTACTGAGCAGAAAGAAGAAATTATGAAAAAAATGGCTTCAGCTATATAGAATTAAAGAAATATATACCTGTCTATATTGGGTATTAGAGTCATTTCTCACCTTGACTACCACCCTAGTCTGTCAGGATTGGGCAGAAGAAATCTAAAACTAAGGCTTTCCTCTAGTTTAAATCATAAGAAAAGGAATCAGGTGATAATATTTTACCTTGTAGGTAGGTATAGAGCAGAGGTATCCAATCTTTGGGCTTCCCTGGGCCACACTGGAAGAATTGTCTTGGGCCATACATAAATTCACAAACACTAACAATAGGTGATGAGCTTTAAAAAAAAAAAAACTCATAATGTTTTAAGAAAGCTTACGAATTTGTGTTGGGTCGCATCCAAAGCTGTCCTGGGCCACGGGTTAGGCAAGCTTGATGTAGTTTCTGAAAGAAAGTAGAGACACTTGAGGAGGGGATTACATGCAGGTCATAGGTGTGTAGGAAAGTATTTACCCTTGTTCAAAGAGACATCTGGCCTTTGTCCTTTGTTTTTGTAAGGTAATCTCTAAATTTTCAGACTGTCATGCCTGATAGAAGTGTCTTTGTTTGCGTGGGGGCCTTGGATCTCACAGTCTATATCTCAGCGTGAGGCTGGTAACACCAGATAATAAAAATGTGATTTAGGATGGAGACCTTTGGCTAAGCCAGACAGTAAAAATGTGACTTAAGGTGGGGGCTTTGGGTCACATGGTACGAGCTGACCTGGAGACAGAAATTAATCATATGGACAATCAATCAATCATGTCTATGTGATGGAGCCCCAGTGAGAGGTCTGGGCACAGAGGCTCAGGCAAACTTCCCTGGTTGTCAATACTCTATGCATATTGCCACTTTTCAATTTCATATTTTCAGGAAAGGAATGTGTCCTGACTCTACAGAGCAAAGACAATGCAAACTCCACATTTGGTACTGCCTCAGAATCTGCCCTAATGCTTCTTCCTTTAACTGATTTTAATCTGTATCTTTCCTAATCATAAGCCATAACCGTAAGGAAAATTGCATTCAGTAAATTCTGTGAGTCTTTCTAGCAAGTTGTCTAACTCGAGGGTCATTCTAGGAATCCTCTGAACTTGCAGTTGGTATTAGAAGTGAGGGAGGCCTATTGTGGGGACTGTGCTGTTCCCTTTAATTGCTCAGTTGTCTAACTCAGGTAAAAGACACCAGAAGATTAACAGCATCCCAAGGCAGAAGAATTTTTCTTAATACAGAACCAAGAATGATCAATAAATACTAAAAAAAAAAAAAAAAAACAAAGACACCAGAAGAAACAGACAGATCAGTAGAGAAGGGAGCATTTGTTAAATGATACATTCCTTCAAAATTTTAAGCCTGGAAAGAGTTTTTTTGTTTGTTTGTTTATTTTGCTAGAATTTCAGTATTTGTTCCTCTCTCATGTAAAACTTCTAAGATCTTCCTGGTTCTTCAATAAAATAAAATAAAACTACAAAGCTTTTTGTCCGTTTATAGAGTTATTGCTAGTGTTTGTCAGATCAGGTCAGTTGCGAAAGTTGGCCAGATTCCCTCCATTCATTCATTCATTCATTCATTCATTCATTCATTTATTTTCTGAGACAGGATCTTGCTCTATCTTCCAGGCTGGAGTGCCTCTATTACTTTTCAAGTTCTCCTGGTGAAGGCAGTGGAGATCCACTGGCTCCTTAAAGTGCAACATGATATAGAGAGTCACTAGTGGCAAGAAGTGGAGGTTATTTTTCAGAAATGGGAGAAGAGAGTCCTTGTCCTGCCCTGGCTATCAATTAGAATACCTGTATTTCTTAACTTTTATGATAAGATCAAAACAATTTCTTAATGACTCTAGTCTTCACTTTATTACAAATTCCAAAGCTATTTTTAAATTAATGTTATATTTTGCAACTTTTCCTAGAGAAGTGTTCAAATGTTGTCTTTGGCTGTTATTAGAACGCTAATATTTATATTTTTTCTCTCTAAATTAATGGACTAAGATTTTTGTGGCCTTTATCATCTTAGTTTTGCTAAAAGTGAATAATATTCATATCAGGCTAACTTAGGAATTGTGGTAGCATGTGGTTCTGAGGGGAAAAAATCTACTTACTCATTTTCCCATATATTACTGGAAAGCAGTGGGAGATAGGAAATAATAAACAGAAATGTATTATGCACATAAAAATAAACACCAGTAAAAATGGATGAAACACGATAACAGTGGAAAGAAGATTAAATTAAGATTTAAGAGACTTAAATGATAACCTTTGGTATCGGGAATGGTAGTCAGTTGAAGCACATGTACACAAACTCTGGAATGTGATTGTTTGCCCTGGATACTGAATGGTCTTCCTCTTTCATTAACCAGTATTAGAACATTCAAAGATTGGCTAACAGCTGAGAGCATTAAAAAAATTAATATCTATGAAAGACAAATGCTAGTTATTTCATAATAATGGTGGTAATAAAATACAGAAAAGCTGATGTTGCCAGGCATTTTGCTATCTGCTTTACAAAAATTATCTCAATTAATTTTTATAACAATGTATTATTCAAATCAATCTAACAACAAAACCTTTCCTAACAAATGTGCTGTACACATTCTTAGAATTATCAACAATGTCTGATAATGATATAACTATTTAATTTCTAAAGCTCCTTTACTTTTATTATCTCTTTTGATCTTTACAGCTAGTTGTACAAAATATCTGTCCCCTTATTTTAATCTCTGGCTTCACAGACTTTGATTTTTAAGTCCAAGGTTACAGAGCTAGTAATTGACAGTGGAGAACCTGAATCCAGATCTTCAACATTTATTTCAAGTGCTATTTTCACTGCACCATAGCTGTCTTTCCATGTGGCTAAAAAGGGCAATATTAATTTGTTTAAAATTAGTACAGGTAAAATTCAGGATGTTTTAAATAAGTCAAATGGTTAAAAAACTCAAAATAACTGAGATTCCACTGATTATTGTTCCCTACACTTTTTGAGTTTCTCTAATCTTCAGTTGAGTCCCCAGTGAAGAGTCAATGGGATAATGGAGATAATAGACCAGAGATTGATAGGTCTTTTTTGTAATGAATCAGATGATAAATATAGTAGGCTTTGTGAGCGATATGGTCTCCAGTCTCCGTTGCAACTATTCAACTCTGCTGTTGTAATGCAGAAGCAGCATTGATATTATGTAAATGAATGGGGGGCATGGCAGTCTTCCAATAAAACTTTATTTATAAAATCAGGCAGCTGGCTGGATTTTTGTCTTCAGGAACAGTTTGCCAACCCCTCAGAAATGAAATGATGAAGATAATCTCCTGTGGCTAGAATTGTGGTCCTCAGTCAACAACAGTCACAGCACATGCCTGCTGGGAGTGGTGTGAAAGAAAATACAATGTTGTTATCTAAAGGCTGCATCCAAATAAATCTTAAATGGCCCTACTTTCATCAAGTATGGCTACCAATTCAGAGAAATATGCATTTTACAAATTAGAGTGCTAAGTCACTAAGCTTCAAAATTGAACTCCACCTACAAAATATACCTCTACAAAGTAAGTGGGACATATTAGATTTATTATACTTCTTTTTTTTCTTTCCTGTGATCTACATTTATCTAATGCTAACATTTGCTTTGAACCAGCATATTCTAAATCTGATTTATTAACTAACCACGCGTTGCCCATTTCAATTTAATCTGGTTTTTCATCAGGGCTCTCAACAGCCACACCTGTTATTATTTTAATAGTTGCCCCAAATTCTCACCCTATTTTCAAACTCTCTATTCCTTTCTTATTATTGGCTACTTTAAGGGAAGATGCTCTGCTTTGCAGCCAGTGATAGGGCCCTCTACATACCTCAAAATACTTACTATGTGCTGGCTGAGTTCTATTATGATATTGTGTTTTTCTCTAATATGTAGATATCCCATTTCCTCTACTGGACTATAAGCTACTTGAGGGCAGAATCCACTTCTGTGTTTACGTGACAGTGCCTAAGGTAATCTAACTCTATAAACATTTGTTGAAAGAATGGTTGGGCTTGATTTAGAAAGAGCTTATTAAGAAGATGCTTTAAAAAAAAACATAGGGGACTCAAAACTAAGAGATTGTGGAGAATCCTTTTTCAAAGAATAGAAAAGTATTTCAGTATGCTCTATGTCCTCAGCACAGGGGAAAAATGGGGTCTCTCAGTGCAGGTACAACCTTATTAATGGAGAGGTAAGAGACATAGACTTTGCCCTCAAAAAATTATTTAATGGTATTAGAGAGTTTAAGTCAACATAAATGCTGATTTTTTATGCAGAATAAACAGTAAACATGGTATGCTTCCAGTGATCCTTCCAGGGTGACATTTCTAAGGTAAAATAATATAAAACATTATGCTGCCTTACACTGGTTACTGAATGGCAAATGTTTATGAAGTCATTCAACAAATACTTGTTGAGAATTACTGTGTTCAGTGACTGTTTAGGCACTGGGTCCAGAGTAGTGAACAAAAGACAAAAATACCTGTCTTTCTTGATCTTCCATTCTAGTAGGAAAGAGACATTGAAAAAGATAAATAAGAAAAATACATTGTGTGTCAGATGGTGACAAGTGCTATGAAGAACAATAAAGAAGAAAAAGTGAAAGGAAGTTTTGGGGGAAGGTTGGAATTTTAAATAGGGTAATCAAGGAAAGCCTCATTCAGAAAGAGATATTTCAAGCAGACTTGAAAGAAGAGAGGGTATGAGCCCATGCAGATATCTGGGGGTAAGCATTTAAGATAGAAGGAACAACCAGTGCAAACAGCCTGAGATAGAGCTTGTCCAGAATGTTCAAGAAATTAAAAAGTATGCAGGGTGGCTGGAGTATATTAAACAAGGGGGTAAAGTCAAACCCTATAGAAGATGAAGTCAGACAGGTAATGGGCTTTGTAGGTCTTTGTAAGGACTTTGACTTTTACTCTGAGTGAGATGGAAAGCCATTAAAGAGTTTTTGGAAGATAGGGTGGCATTATTAATGCAAGGTCATCAGTAGAGGGTTATGATGTGGGAGGGGGTATTGGATGTATGAAGAAAAAGATGAAGGTATGAAATAGTCATCTAGCGAGTGCAAGAGTGAACAAGTCAGGATTCTTCAACAGCATCATTCTGGCTACCATGTTAGAGTAAATTATCCAAGAGATGATTGAAACAATCTACACAAGAAAATAGAGTGATTTGGACCAGATTGACCACAATGGAAATCATAAGTCACTGGATTCTGGGTTTTTTTTTTTTTTTTTGTGGTAAAGCCAACAAAACTTGCTTACAGGTAAGATACATGGTGTGAAAGAAAATAAAAGATAAGTTCAAGTTTTTTTTCATTTTAGATATGTTAAGGTTGATGTATCAACTAGGCATACAAATGGAGATATTGAAAATACAATTGCTGGTCAGAGGTGAAAGAGGAGATAGTGATAAAAATTTAGAATCCTTAGCACAGAGATGGTATGTTAAGTCTTGAGATTGTATGTAATCAATGAAAGAGAGAGCCAAGAATGGAAAAGATCAAAGACAGAGTTTTGAGGAACTCCAGCATTTAGCGGTAAGGAAAAGAGAATAAAGACTAAGAAGAGAAATAAGGGGAAACCAGGCTCGCAGTTAGAAGCCAAATGAGAAAAGCAAATAAAGAAGAGAGCAATCAACTGTATCAAATGCTGCTAATACTTCAGTAAGATGAGGACTTAAAATTAATCATTGCATTTAACAATATGTAAGTCATTAGTGACCTTGATAGAGAATATTCTTTTTAGTTTTTATTTTTAATTATAGTAAAATGCACATAACATAAAATTTACAATCTTAACCATTTTAAGTGTACAGTTCAGAAGTGTTAAGTATATTCACACTGTTGTACAACCAACCTTCAGAAATTTTTCAGTTTGTAAAACTGAAACTCTTTGCCCATGAAACAACAGTTTCTCATTTTTTCCTTCTCCCAGTCCCTGGGAACTACCAATATACTTTCTATTTCCATGAATTTAACTATTCTGGATACCTCATATAAGTGGAATCATGTAGAATTTGTCTTTCTGTGACTGGATTTTTTTTAAACATAATATCCTTCAGGTTTATCCATGTTGTACTATGTGTCAGAATTTTCTTTCCTTCCTTCCTTCCTTCCCTCCTTCCTCTTTCTTTCTTTTTTTTTTCTTTGAGATGGAGTTTCACTCTCATTGCCCAGGCTGGAATGCAGTGACACAACCTCGGCTCTCTGCAACATCTGCCTCCTGGGTTCAATCTATTCTCCTGCCTCAGCCTCCCGAGTAGCTGGGATTACAGGCATGAACCATCATGCCTAGCTAATTTTGTATTTTTTAGTAGAGTTGGGGTTTCACCATGTTGGCCAGGCTGGTTTCAAACTCCACACCTCAAATGATCCACTCATCTCAACCTCTCAACGTGCTGGGATTACAGGCGTGAGCCACTGCACCCGGCCAGAATTTTCTTCTTTCTTTGGGTTGAATAGTATTCCATTGTATACATGTACCACATTTTTTTTATCCGTTCATTCATCAATGTACACTAGGTTGCCTTTGCCTTCTGTCTATTGTAAATAATGCTTCTATGAACGTAAGTGTGCAAATATCTCTTTGAGAATCTGCTTTTAATTCTTTTGAACATATACCCACAAGTGAGTTTTCTCAGTCATATGATAATTCTATTTTTAATTTTTTGAAAAATTGCTGTACTGTTTTCCATAGTGGCTGTGCCATTTTATATTCCCATCAACAGTGAACAAGGGTTCCAATTTATCCACATCTTTGCCAACACTTGTTATTTTCTGTTTGTTTGTTTCTTTGTTTTTGTGGTAGCTGTCCTAATGGTTGTAAGATGATGTCTAATTTTAATTTGGTTTTAATTTGCATTTTCCTAATCATTGGTGATGTTGAGTATTTTTTCACATGCTTCTTCTCCATTTGTATATATTCTTTGGAGAAAGCTCAATTCAAGCCCTTTAGCCATTTTTAAATATCTGAGAGTTATTTATTAGGTTATTTGTTTTTGTTGTTGTTGGCCTGTAAGAGTTCTTTATATATTCTAGATATTAATCCCTTATCAGATATATGATTTCAAATATTTTCTCCCATTCTACAGGTTGCTTTTCACTCTGTTGATTGTTTTTGATGCACAGAATTTTCTAATTTTGATGTAGTCCAATTTATTTATTTTTTAGCTGTCTGTGCTTTTGGTGTCATAGCCAAGAAATCACCACCAAATCTAATGTCATACATATTTCCCTATTTTTTAAAAAAGTTTTATAATTCTATGTCTTGCATTTCAGCCTTTAAACCATTTTGAGTTAATCCATTTTTGGTATGTGGTATAGAGTAAGGATCCAACTTCATTCTTTTGTTTCTGGATACACAGTTTTCCCAACACCATTTGTCAAAGATAAGAGAAGATTATGATGGAATGGTGAGCGCAAAAATCTGAAAGGAGTAGAATTAACAATAATGGGAGTGGCTCACACCTGTAATCCCAGCACTTTGGGAGGCCGAGGCAGCACTTTGGGATCACCTGAGGCCAGGAGTTTGTGGCCAGCCTGGCCAACATGGTGAAATCCCGTCTCTATTGAAAATACAAAAATTAGCTGGGCATGGTGGCAGGCGCCTCTAGTCTCAGCTACTCATGAGGCGGAGGCAGAAGAATCTCTTGAACCCAGGAGGCGGAGATTGCAGTGAGCTGAGATGGCGTCACTGCACTCCAGCCTGGGCAATACAGTGAGACTGTCTCAAAAAAAAAAAAAAAAAAAAAAAAAAGAGGAAGGAAATTGGAGGCAGCAATAGTTATATATAAAAAATAGTTATAGCCAACTATTTTTTAAAAGTTTTACTGTAAACAGAAGAGAGAAGATGGGGTAGTAGATGGAAGAGAAAGTGGAGTCAAGGGAAAGATAACTTTTTTTTAAGATGAGGAAATTAAATTGTTGCATGCTAATGAGAATTATGCAGTAGAGATAAGACAGAGAAAGACTGAGAGAGAGAGAAACAGAGAGAGTAAATAGTTCATCCGTAGTAGAAGAGAAGGCAGAGGATATAAACCAGTTGCAGGTAAGGGATTAGATGTGATAGAGGAAATTTGGAATCTGTTGCTTCATATTTCTTAGTGAACTTTCAGCAAAGTCATAATTTGGGAGTGAGCTAGATATATTGGAGGTTTGAGAAAAGAACTAATGTGAAATAGTTATCTAGTAGAGTAAGGGAGTGAATAAAGCTGAGGAATATGGATTGATTGCCCAACAGTATACATGAGATTTGGGATCATAAATTTAAAATTAGATCAATAGGCATGGTTGTAGCTTTTCTAGCCATATTCAGCTGCTAAAATGCAGACGAAGAGTAATGGAGAGTTGGAACTACCTAGGGTTATATTTTAGCAAAATGAGTATCATTATAATAAAATAAAAAGGAGACAATGGTGTTAAGAGTGTGCATGATGAATAATTACAATCCTTGACCACGGAGTTCATTCTAAAAAAGGAGATAAACTAAAGATCCTGTGCTATCCAAGTAGGATAGGATAAATGAGGCTCTCAAGGTAAGTCAAACGATTTTGTAATTGAAGTGCTAGCAGGTATATGCTGGAAAGATTGTAGTTGATAGAAAGGCCGAAGCGGGCAGATCACGAGGTCAGGAGATCAAGACCATCCTGGCTAACACGGTGAAACCCCATCTCTACTAAAAATACGAAAAATTAGATGGGCATGGTAGCGGGCGCCTGTAGTCCCAGCTACTCGGGAGGCTGAGGCAGGAGAATGGCGTGAATCCGGGAGGCGGAGCTGGCAGTGAACCGAGATTGCGCCACTGCACTCCAGCCTAGGCAACCTAGTGAGACTCCGTCTCAAAAAAAAAAAAAAAAAAAAAGAAAGAAAAGAAAAGAAAAAAGAAAAAAAAGAAAGTGCGGTGTTTTAAATTGAGATTATGGAGGTGTTGTAGTTATTGGTAATGCCAGGATCTGTGATGACCATCAGTGACAGACTGAGAGAGAGAGGAACAAAAGATCATTGGAGGGCAGGTAGTCTAGGGCCTATCCAGTCAAAGTGATAGAAGAATCATCTTTGCATATATTAAAATCACCAAGAGGACCAGGTGTGGTGTCTCACACCTGTAATCCCAGCACTTTAGGAGGCCGAGGCGGGCGGATCACTTGAGGCCAGGAGTTGGAGACCACCCTGGCCAACCATGGCGAAACCCCATCTCTACTAAAAAATACAAAACTTAGCCAGGCATGGTGGCACAAGCTGTAATCCCTGCTACTTGGGAGGTGAAGACATGAGAATCGCTTGAACCTGGGAGGCAGAGGCTGCAGTGAGCCAAGATCATGCCACTGCACACTAGCCTGGCGCAACAGAGCAAAACCCTGTCTCAAAAAATGTTTAACAATTTTTAAAAAATTTTTAAATCATCAATAGTTAAGACAGGAGAAGCAGTGCTGAAGATGAGATGATGATCTTGAAGTTAAATATTCAAGGGATGAGGGGAAGTGACCTAGGGGATGGTACATTCTTGACTGCAACAGGGAGAGGTCATAGGTAGTATACTCTTATGACATGAAATTTAAAGTTGTATGTTTTTATAAAGAGGGGAAAGATAATGGTCTGGAGGCAATACTAAAAAGAAAGATAGACACCTACCTGTCTTCCTGGCCTAATCATGTGAGGGGTATGGAAAAGAAAACAGCCATCACATGAGTGGCCTGCACAAGAGGCATGTACAGCAGGAATGTTACACATTTTGTAATTTATTTTCTCCTCTTAAAGCAATAACTCACTTGGGAACTTACAGGAATGTATATAGGAAGAAGCTGCCTTGCCTCTAAATGCATCATGTAGTACTCAATGCAAAGTCGCTGGAGACCCAACTCCTTGAAGATTATGTTGGACCACAGTTGAATACATTTTGGAACCTATAGATCATAACCCTCTGGATCAGATAGAGTTAAATCCAAGCAGGAAAGGAGGCATCCAAGCCAGATCTCCAGTCCAGTAAGAAGGGGAAGGGCTGGAGCATGAATATGGGGAACCTTGGTCAGCTGGCCCTGAGTTGAATCCAGTGAGATGGCTCAGAGGTTAAACCTAAGGAGACGCTGTGATGGAGATGCAACAGAACCCACAGTACTGTGAATTCGAGCTAAGATTAAAGAGTCGAAGGATATGACAAACCTCAGCAGAAATGCAAAGGCAAGTCCAGTATGATCTGTAGATCAAGCTGGGGGAGTTTCAAGGGCAGGCAGAAGGTGGCCAGAAAAGTCAGGAGTCAGAGAAATCCCAAATGAGATCTATTCATTTTTTCCTTCCTTTTCTTACATGACCCTTGCTGTTTCTGGGTTAGAGGATCTTAGGACTTTTCTTGACAGAAAGGAATCTAAGACAATAATCATGAGTCCTGCGCCAGTCAAATGTGCAGAACCATTTGGTTTATTTGACTAAGATTTTACTTTGTAATTCAGCTAAGAGAAAAAGTCACAGGTAATAATAGCACTAGTATACCTGTGCTTCTGAAGCCCATCACTGAAATGTTCAAAAACTATTACTCAACCTAAATGCAAATATTTTGTATTACTATCTTAACTTATGATTTAAGTGTTTTAGCAAATTTAGAGCAACTTTTATTTATATTCATTGGTTATTTTGACAAAATTTTATGCTCTGAATTATAGTTTTGTATATTTTGGTATTCTTCAAATATTCTAGAAAAATCATACTTTAAACTTTCTCCCATGACATGCTGAGAACTTTTATAGACAGTATGTGAAGGCAGAGTGAGATGCCCCGGAGAATTTAGAGGTAGGAGTGACAACGTTGTCCTCTGAGAAATAAACTACTTAAATCAGCACATGATGGGAGGAGACAGAATGTCTCTGAGCCTCGGAACAAGTTAGTTGACTAAGGACAAGTAACTTGGCTCAATCAATATTTGTATCTAAGTAAGAAAGTATCAGGGCCAGGCACAGTGGCTCATGCCTGTAATGGGAGGCCGAGGCAGACGGATCACTTGAGGTTAGGAGTTCCAGACCAGCCTGGCCAACATGGTGAAACCCTGCCTCTACTAAAAAAATACAAAAATCAGCTGGTGCATGCCTGAAATCTCAGCTACTCAGGAGGCTGAGGCATGAGAATCGCTTGTGCCTGGGAGGCAAAGGCTGCAGTGAGCTGAGATAGTGCCACTGCACTCCAGCCTGGGTGACAGAACAAGGCTGTCTCAAAAAAAAAAAAAAAAAAAAAAGGAGAAGAAGAAAGTATCAACCCAGAAGTTGAGGACAAGCAAAGAAAATGAAGCAGTGTCTCAACTTTGGGAACAGAAGAATTGTAGAGCATGTTCTTTGCTGTAAGGTCAGCACATTTGTTAGTCAGATCCTTCTCAGGAATACTTGCCCCCTTTTGCCTTATTCCTTGTCAGGACAGCCATGTTCTGATTACTCTTTTGGGATGCTTTGAGTAGTGTCGTTGATCATTTTGGTCACTGAAAAAAGACTGCCCACTTTTCTATGAAAGAATTCATTGTATTCTGGTTTACAAAGAAGTCTGCAGTGAGGTTTGGTTAACATTAATCCATCAGCCAGAGACTGGGAACCGACTGCTGATAAAAAGTTTTGTTTTAAAGCATGTAATGCTGAGGACCAGATGCTGGACCCGATGCCATCACTAGGTTAACCCCACCCAGTGAGGCCTTATAGGCTGCCAGCAAGCACTCCTCGTGATTCATCTTCATCTTCTCCTGAGTGGGCTTTCTTCCACATATAACTCCCATCCACACCTTCATAACCCCCAGGCTAGTGATTAACCCACAGAGCATTCCGTGACAGAAGTAGACCACAATTATTAATAAATGCTTAACGCATGTGGATGGATACTTGAATTAATAATTAATTTCTTGTTGGAAAGTAGAGATTAAAACATTTTCCTCAGGTTGCATGGAAAGCCAGTTACAAAGGCACTGTTCAGTGACTTTATATTCATGTCTTTTCAAATGGACTTCCCCACCACCCTCGGTAAAATGGAATATCAAAGGCAGTTTCCTATAAACCCTGCCAGAATGATGCATAGTGTGAAATGCATTCAGAGACCCTCAAAAATACTTTTGAATTTAGTAGTTGATTCTAGATCATTTCTCCTTCCAGTCCTAATCTACTTAATAATGATAAATAGAATCCTTAAGGATGCATAAAGTAATTTCTTCCAAGAAGTGGTGTTAGATTATCCAATAAGTATCCTTAGGATTTTCTTATTTTAATATTTTCTGCTGAATGTGAGAGAGAAAAATAACTTTTTTTGTTTTGTTTATTTCTTAAACAGACTCTAAAATGTATTAGTGCAGATATAGCAAAAGAATAAAATATATACTGGTAAGCCCCCATTAAAAATCCACATACTCAATCCTTAATTTTATGGAAGCATAAAAATATAAAGTGCTCCTTTTTAAAGGGTTTTAAAAAGTGAAGATTAGTACAGTATATTTAGGGAAAACATCAGAACAAAGTTACTATCATGCCTTGTAATTTAAATATTTCTCTTAATTTTTTTACTAGCAGTTACTAATCCTTGGACAGTGATGGAACACTTAACATTTCTCAGTGAAGATACATTGGTTCAAAAATGAATAAAATTATTTGACAGTATCAAGACACAGCGTTTATTTTAAGTGACAGTTTACTCAAAGAGAAATAAGGTGAATTGTGCCTTGCTGTATTTTTCAGATGCACATTTGGACTGATCTTTCTTTGGCTTGCCATAGAAACCTAAATACTCATTCATGAAATATCTAAAAATGTTCATATTGTTTGAGGAGTTGTATCTGACTCAAATGTGCAATGGAGTTCCAAACAGACAGACATTCTCTAAACAATATGCCTGTCCAAGGAATGATGAGAACATTATTACATTCCAATTTGATCATTTTATTTTTTAAAATAGTTTATTATTTTTCAGGTAAAATGAAAATATATTTTAAACTGCATTTCTCTTCATTTCAAACTTCTCCCTAGATTTTGAATTAGTCCTGATGAAATTTTAGTAAAAATTTCAAGTGTAAAGCATTGCATGCTTTAAAACAAAACTAAATTTGACTTATGGTATTTTGGTTTCAAGTATAATTTTATAAGTCATAGGATTTTAAAATGTGTTTTAATTAGAATGGCATTTTCCAGTTGTTGAGAAAAATTTAAATAATATAACAAATTTTTAACACTGAAAGGACCTTTTTATCTATTTCAATCTCCTAAATAAGAGATGAGGAGCCAGGTGTGGTGGCTCATACCTGTAATCCCAGAACTTTGGGAGGCCAAGGCAGGCAGATTGCTTGAGCCCAGGGGTTCAAAACCAGCCTGGGCAACATGGCAAAACCTGTCTCTACTAAGAATACAGAAAATTAGCTGAGTGTGGTGGCACACACCTGTAGTTCAGGCTACTCGATAGGCTAAAATGGGAGGATCACCTGAGCTCTGGAAGTCAAGGCTGCAGTGAGCCAAGATTGCACCACTGCACTTCAGCCTGGGTGACAAGAGTGAGACCTTGTCTCTCTCTCTCTCTCACACACACACACACACACACACACACACACACACGAGAGATTATTAAAGTCTCATAGAAGATTAGCAAATCACTCCATATCACACACTAACTCAAGTTTATCACAGTTTCACCATTGAACTTTCATTGTTTGACTCCAAGTTATCATGATAATTTCATTATAGCATTTTTTGCAAAAGAAAAAAGTATTCTGGAATTTAGATAGAAAATTCTGAGATATTTAATTTTCCTTACACGTTTTTAACTAAATGTTACTCCAAGGAGTTTCCTTGCCATTTTCACCATCAGAGGCCATTTAGTGAGCTCTATTTTCTGAGTTATCATGCTGCCTACATACCTGGCCACGGAGAGAGACACTTTTCAGACCCTAGGGATCACCACCCAAAACACCTCTTATGGGTGAGAACCATTATTTTATGGTGGAATTTACTCATGCTACTTCAACACAGAATCAAATGGACGAACACCAGAGTTTTAAACTGAATACTCTGTAGGCTGGGTCATTTGAAGTGATCCAAGTCTTGGTTAGAACTTGCCATGGAGCCGAACTGCATGTGTTCTAGTCCTACCTCTGGGACCTTAGGCAAGTTATTAGAGCCTTTTAAAACTCGGTTTCCTCATCTTTAAAATGAGGTTAATAAAAGTAGCTACCTCATCTCTACTCAATAAGTGAATATAAGTAAATATATACAAATGGCATAGACTAATCTCTGTGTTGGGTCAATCTCATAGAAGTTCAGCAAATTACCAGGTGTCACACACTAAACCAAGTTTTTAACGGTTTTGTAATGTAACTTTGTTTGACTCCAAGTATCAGATGATTTCATCTTAGCATCTTTGTAAAAATATATTCTGGAATTTTTAAAGATGAATATTATGATATACTAAAGTTTTCCCTACAAATTCTTAACTGAATATTATTCCAAGAAATGTAAGTGATCAAAAAAGGTTAGCTATCATCATGATTTTTATTATTATATAACTTTTATTGTAAAGCTTCACAGGTAAGTCACATACTCTCTGTAGGAAATCTGTCCCACTCTTAACATAGAAAAAGCCACTGTCTCTAAGGTAAATAGCTTTATGGAATCAGAGTTAAGAAACTGTTAAGGAAAAATGCAAAGTGTCTTGGTTCAGTTGTATGAATATAAAGTTGTAGATTAAGCTCTTTGTACCACAAAACAGCATATACAAAATGAAACATATCTTTCATTACCTTACTCAAAGCAACTGTTCTAACATTTATATTGCTACTACTGGCCTGTGTCACGAGTCCCAGGCAAGTAATTTGCTACAAAGCAATACCCATTAAGAAGATAATTGTTATGGGAAAATATATATTGGTTTGACCCAGGGTGATGCCCTTTAAAAAAAAATCTTATCCATGTAATCTCATTAGCTATCCACTCAAAATTAACTTAGTGATGTTCATTTGAATAAAGAGGTTAATTTCCTTTGTAAGCTAACATATGCTCTGCACATGCAGTCTAAATATAACTTTAAAATGTTTAATTGTCACGAAACAATTGGGTATTTGATAATTCTAGCTTTTCTATACAAATGGGAGTAACAGAAGTATCTCAACTTTAGATAAAAGAGGTAGAGATTGATAAATTAGACAATTTTATGTAAGATAATAAATAATTACCAAATGAGAACATTAAACCTGATATTGTATTAGAGATAGATTAATGGACCAAGTTATACAAAGTTAATAGAAGCAAGAGGGGAAATATATTTGTGTATCTAAATAAGCCTAGGTTTTAGATTGGAAGAGTCTCATGATGTCACATATCTATAAATTTCATGTTCTGGAGAGCCAGGTGACTTGAGGAGCAGTAACTCAATATTGAAGCAAAAATAAATTAAGAAAACTTGCCTCTGAGGGCTGTGCCCACAGCAAAAGCTCTCCTCCTTGCATGACACCACTGAGGGCATTGTACCAGGAAGATAGGGGAGCCTATAAAAATGAGAAAAGAAAAGAAAAAATCAAATAATTTTTCACCTCTTGTAATTTAAATTTTTCTGACTTCATGAAAATATCCTTTTGTTCCATTTCAAGTTTAATGATTGGAAGACTATTGATCTTAAAATTCTGACATATTAGTCATACTAAGAAGTTTTAAATCACTGCAAAAGAAAAGGGATGGTGATTACATATTCAAATTATTAACAGTTAATCAAAGCAAATCCACCATACTACTGAATGTCCTGATGAAAAGTGCATGAACAGCCTCCTTTACTGTTACAGGGCAATGAAGGATCCCACTGAAAGCTGTAAAAAGAAACTTTTTCCATGAATTGGTATTGCTTGGGAATAATCTTTAAGTTTTATAAGCCTCAGTAGATTTTGGATCATTAAATACTTCCTATTCTATATATTTTCTTTTTTTATTATTATACTTTAAGTTCTAGGGTACATGTGCACAATGTGCAGGTTAGTTACATATGTATACATGTGCCATGTTGGTGTGCTGCACCTATTAACTCGTCATTTAACATTATTTATATCTCCTAATGCTATCCCTCCCCCCTCTCCCCACTCCACAACAGGCCCCAGTGTGTGACATTCCCCTTCCTGTGTCCATGAGTTCTCATTGTTCAATTCCCACCTATGAGTGAGAACATGAGGTGTTTGGTTTTTTGTCCTTGTGATAGTTTGCTGAGAATGATGGTTTCAAGCTTCATCCATGTCCCTACAAAGGACATGAACTCATCATTTTTTATGGCTGCATAGTATTCCATGGTGTATATGTGCCACATTTTCTTAATCCAGTCTATCATTGATGGACATTTGGGTTGGTTCCAAGTCTTTGCTATTGTGAATAATGCCACAGTAAACATACATGTGCATGTGTCTTTATAGCAGCATGTTTTATAATCCTTTGAGTATATACCCAGTAATGGGATGGCTGGGTCAAATGGTATTTCCAGTTCTTGATCCCTGAGGAATCGCCACACTGACTTCCACAATGGTTGAACTAGTTTACAATCCCACCAACAGTGTAAAAGTGTTCCTATTTCTCCACATCCTCTCCAGCACCTGTTGTTTCCTGACTTTTTAATGATCGCCATTCTAACTGATGTGAGATGGTATCTCATTGTGGTTTTGATTTGCATTTCTCTGATGGCCAGTGATGATGAGCATTTTTTCATGTGTCTTTTGGCTGCATAAATGTCTTTTTTTAAGAAGTGTCTGTTCATATCCTTCACCCACTTTTAATGGGGTTGTTTGATTTTTTCTTGTAAATTTGTTTGAGTTCATTGTAGATTCTGGATATTAGCCCTCTGTCAGATGAGTAGATTGCAAAAGTTTTCTCCCATTCTGTAGGTTGCCTGTTCACTCTGATGGTACTTTCTTTTGCTTTGCAGAAGCTCTTTAGTTTAGTTAGATCCCATTTGTCAATTTTGGCTTTTGTTGCCATTGCTTTTTGTGTTTCAGACATGAAGTCCTTGCCCAAGCCTATGTCCTGAATGGTATTGCCTAGGTTTTCTTCTAGGGTTTTTATGGTTTTAGGTCTAACATTTAAGTCGCTAATCCATCTTGAATTAATTTTTGTATAAGGTATAAAGAAGGGATCCAGTTTCAGCTCTCTACATATGGCTAGCCAGTTTTCCCAGCACCATTTATTAAATAGGGAATCCTTTCCCCATTTCTTGTTTTTGTCAGGTTTGTCAAAGATCAGATAGTTGTAGATATGTGGCATTATTTCTGAGGGCTCTGTTCTGTTCCATTGGTCTATATCTCTGTTTTGGCACGAGTACCATGCTGTTTTGGTTACTGTAGCCTTGTAGTATAGTTTGAAGTCAGGTAGTGTGATGCCTCCAGCTTTGTTCTTTTGGCTTAGGATTGACTTGGCAATGCAGGCTCTTTTTTGGTTCCATATGAACTTTAAAGTAGTTTTTTCCAATTCTGTGAAGAAAGTCATTGGTAGCTTGATGGGGATGGCATTGAATCTATAAATTACCTTGGGCAGTATGGCCATTTTCACGATATTGATTCTTCCTACCCATGAGCATGGAATGTTCTTCCATTTGTTTGTATCCTCTTTTATTTTATTTAGCAGTGATTTGTAGTTCTCCTTGAAGAGGTCCTTCACGTCCCTTGTAAGTTGGATTCCTAGGTATTTTATTCTCTTTGAAGCAATTGTGAATGGGAGTTCACTCGTGATTTGGCTCTCTGTTTGTCTGTTATTGGTGTATAAGAATGCTTGTGATTTTTGCACATTGATTTTGTATCCTGAGACTTTGCTGAAGTTGCCTATCAGCTTAAGGAGATTTTGGGCTGAGATGATCAGGTTTTCTAGATATACAATCATGTCATCTGCAAACAGGGACAATTTGACTTCCTCTTTTCCTAATTGAATCCCCTTTATTTCCTTCTCCTGCCTGATTGCCCTGGCCAGAACTTCCAACACTATGTTGAATAGGAGTGGTGAGAGAGGGCATCCCTGTCTTGTGCCAGTTTTCAAAGGGAATGCTTCCAGTTTTTGCCCATTCAGTATGATATTGGCTGTGGGTTTGTCATAGATAGCTCTTATTATTTTGACATACGTCCCATCAATACCTAATTTATTGAGAGTTTTTAGCATGAAGGGTTGTTGAATTTTGTCAAAGGCCTTTTCTGCATCTATTGAGATAATCATGTGGTTTTTGTTGTTGGTTCTGTTTATATGCTGGATTACGTTTATTGATTTTCGTATGTTGAACCAACCTTGCATCCCAGGGATGAAGCCCACTTGATCATGGTGGATAAGCTTTTTGATGTGCTGCTGGATTTGGTTTGCCAGTATTTTACTGAGGATTTTTGCATCGATGTTCATCAGGGATATTGCTCTAAAATTCCCTTTTTTTGTTGTATCTCTGCCCAGCTTTGATATCAGGATGATACTGGCCTCATAAAATGAGTTAGGGAGGATTCCCTCTTTTTCTATTGATTGGAATAGTTTCAGAAGTAATGGTACCAGCTCCTCCTTGTACCTTTGGTAGAATTCGGCTGTGAATCCATCTGGTTCTGGACTTTTTTTTAGTTGGTAAGCTATTAATTATTGCCACAATTTCAGAGCCTGTTATTGGTCTATTCAGAGATTCAACTTCTTCCTGGTTTAGTCTTGGGAGGGTGTATGTGTCGAGGAATTTATCCATTTCTTCTAGATTTTCTAGTTTATTTGCGTAGAGGTGTTTATAGTATTCTCTGATGGTAGTTTCTATTTCTGTGGGATTGGTGGTAATATCCCCTTTATTATTTTTTATTGCACCTATTTGATTCCTCTCTCTTTTCTTCTTTATTAGGCTTGCTAGCAGTCTATCAATTTTGTTGATCTTTTCAAAAAACCAGCTCCTGGATTCATTGATTTTTTGAATGGTTTTTTGTGTCTCTATTTCCTTCTGTTCTGCTCTGATCTTAGTTATTTCTTGCCTTCTGCTAGCTTTTGAATGTGTTTGCTCTTGCTTCTCTAGTTCTTTTAATTGTGATGTTAGGGTGTCAATTTTAGATCTTTCCTGCTTTCTCTTGTGGGTATTTAGTGCTATAAATTTCCCTCTACACACTGCTTTGAATGTGTCCCAGAGATTCTGGTATGTTGTGTCTTTGTTCTCGTTGGTTTCAAAGAACATCTTTATTTCTGTCTTCATTTCTTTATGTACCCAGTAGTCAATCAGGAGCAAGTTGTTCAATTTCCATGTAGCTGAGTGGTTTTCAGTGAGTTTCTTAATCCTGAGTTCTAGTTTGATTGCCCTGTGGTCTGAGAGACAGTTTGTTATAATTTCTGTTCTTTTGCATTTGCTGAGTTTTGCTTTACTTCCAACTATGTGGTCAATTTTGGAATAGGTGTGGTGTGGTGCTGAAAAGAATGTATATTCTATTGATTTAGGGTGGAGAGTTCTGTAGATGTCTATTAGGTCCTCTTGGTGCAGAGCTGAGTTCAGTTCCTGGATATCCTTGTTAACTTTCTGTCTCATTGATCTGTCTAATGTTGACGGTGGGGTGTTAAAGTCTCCCACTATTATTGTGTGGGAGTCTAAGTCTCTTTATAGGTCTCTAAGAACTCGCTTTATGAATCTGGGTGCTCCTGTATTGGGTGCATATATATTTAGGATAGTTAGTTCTTCTTGTTGAATTGATCCCTTTACCATTATGTAATGGCCTTCTTTGTCTCTTTTGGTCTTTGTTGGTTTGAAGTCTGTTTTATCTGAGACTAGGATTGCAACCCCTGCCTTTTTTTGTTTTCCATTTACTTGGTAGATCTTCCTCCATCCCTTTATTTTGAGCCTATGTGTGTCTCTGCACGTGAGATGGGTTTCCTGAATACAGCACACTGATGGGTCTTGACACTTTATCCAATTTGCCAGTCTGTGTCTTTTAATTGGAGCATTTAGCCCATTTACATTTAAGGTTAATATTGTTATGTGTGAATTTGATCCTGTCATTATGATGTTAGCTGGTTATTTTGCTCGTTAGTTGATGCATTTTCTTCCTAGCCTCGATGGTCTTTACAACTTGGCATGTTTTTGCAGTGGCTGGTACCAGTTGTTCCTTTCCATGTTTAGTGCTTCCTTCAGGAGCTCTCATAGGGCAGGCGTGGTGGTGACAATATCTCTCAGCATTTGCTTCTCTGTGAGGGATTTTATTTCTCCTTCACTTATGAAGCTGTTTGGCTGGATATGAAATTCGGGGTTGAAAATTCTTTTCTTTAAGTATGTTGAAAATTGGCCCGCACTGTCTTCTGGTTTGTAGAGTTTCTGCCGAGAGATCAGCTGTTAGTCTGATGGGCTTCCCTTTGTGGGTAACCCGACCTTTCTCTCTGGCTGCCCTTAACATTTTTTCCTTCATTTCAACTTTGGTGAATCTGACATTTATGTGTCTTGGAGTTGGTCTTCTCAAGGAGTATCTTTGTGGCATTCTCTGTATTTCCTGAATTTGAATGTTGGCCTGCCTTGCTAGATTGGGGAAGTTCTCCTGCATAATATCCTGCAGAGTGTTTTCCAACTTCGTTCCATTCTCCCCATCACTTTCAGGTACACCAATCAGACGTAGATTTGGTCTTTTCACATAGTCCCATATTTCTTGGAGGCTTTGTTCATTTCTTTTTATTCTTTTTTCTCTAAACTTCTCTTCTTGCTTCATTTCATGCATTTGATCTTCCATCACTGATACCCTTTCTTCCAGTTGATTGAATTGGTTACTGAAGCTTATGCATTCGTCATGTAGTTCTCGTGCCATGGTTTTCAGCTCCATCAGGTCCTTTAAGGAGTTCTCTGCATTGGTTATTCTAGTTAGCCATTCGTCTAATTTTTTTTCAAGGTTTTTAACTTCTTTGCCATGGGTTCAAACTTCCTCCTTTAGCTTGGAGTAGTTTGGTCGTCTGAAGCCTTCTTCTCTCAACTCGTCAAAGTCATTCTCCATCCAGCTTTGGTCCGTTGCTGGTGAGGAGCTGCATTGCTTTGGAGGATGAGAGGCGCTCTGATTTTTAGAGTTTCCAGTTTTTCTGCTCTGCTTGTTCCCCATCTTTGTGGTTTTATCTACCTTTGGTCTATGATGATGATGACGTACAGATGGGTTTTTGGTGTGGACGTCCTTTCTGTTTGTTAGTTTTCCTTTTAACAGTCAGGACCCTCAGCTGCAGGTTTGTTGGAGGTTGCTGGAGGTCCACTCCAGACCTTGTTTGCCTGGGTATCAGCAGCAGAGGCTGCAGAACAGCAGATATTGGTGAACAGCAAATGTTGCTGCCTGATCATTCCTCTGGAAGTTTTGTCTCAGAGGAGTACCCGGCTGTGTGAGGTGTCAGTCTGCCCCTACTAGGTGGTGCCTCACAGATAGGCTACTCGGGGGTCAGGGACCCACTTGAGGAGGCAGTCTGTCTGTTCTCAGATCTCCAGCTGCATGCTGGGAGAACCACTACTCTCTTCAAAGCTGTCAGAGAGGGACATTTAAGTCTGCAGAGGTTTCTGCTGTGTTTTGTTTGGCTATGCCCTGCCCCCAGGGGTGGAATCTACAGAGGCAGGCAGGCCTCCTTGAGCTGTGGTGGGCTCCACCCAGTTTGAGCTTCCTGGCCGCTTTGTTTACCTACTCAAGCCTCGGCAATGGCGGTCACCCCTTCCCCAGCCTCGCTGCTGCCTTGCAGTTTGATCTCAGACTGCTGTGCTAGCAATGAATGAGGCTCCATGGGCATAGGACCCTCCGAGCCATGCGCGGGATATAATCTCCTGGTGTGCTGTTTGCTAAGACTGTTGGAAAAGCACAGTATTAGGGTGGAAGTAACCTGATTTTCCAGGTGCCATCTGTCACCACTTTCTTTGACTAGGAAAGGGAATTCCCCGACCCCTTGTGCTTCCTGGGTGAGGTGATGCCTCGCCCTGCTTCGGCTCACACTCGGTGCACTGCACCCACTGTCCGACAATTCCCAGTGAGATGAACCCGGTAACTTAGTTGGAAATGCAGAAATCACCCGTCTTCTGCGTCACTCATGCTGGGAGCTGTATACTGGAGCTGTTCCTATTCTATATATTTTCAAATATAAGTGAAAGGCCCTACATGTGAAAAGTTCTAATTGAATCTTTGGATTCTATTTTAATTATATGTAATAGATACTAAAAATAATTTCCATTTAGCTTTTTTTAAAGTCATGTTTACTGAGTATAACTTACATAAACTATAATTCATCCATTACACTGCTCAGTTCTATATTTTGTCAAATGCATATAGTTGCAAATCCATCACTATAATCAAACATAGAACAGTTCTTCAAAACAATCTTCTCATTTTCCTTTTTAGTCAATCTCTTCTCTCCTCCTCCATTGCCTATTAACCACTGATCTGTTGCCTGTTCCTATAATTTTGTCTGTTCTGGATTGTCACATAATGGAATCATAGAATACGTAGGCTTCTGAATCTGGCTCTTTCACTTAGCTTTATACAGTTGAGATTCATCTATGTTGCTGCATGTATTAGTACTTTATTTCTTTTCTTGCTGAACAGTATTCCATTGTGTGGATATGCTAGTCTATTATACATCAGGTTTTGAATACTTTTTCTATTTCCATTTGAGTATATGTTTCTCTACCATTCTTAAATTATATATTTGAATTAAAATAGTATATGAACACAGAAATATGACTTCCTTAGGCAGTCATATTTCCAGGTTTCCAAAGGAAACTCTTGCTCAGCTAGCTTCATCTTTCTTCCTTGTATCTCTCTTTATCTTAGAAAGAAGCAGTGTCTTTGCTCCATTCAGCAAGATAATGTCTTACCTGAACACCACTCTGGATTTTCCATTTAATCTGTCTTTCTGAATAATACTCAAAATAGAAAACACAAATTAAAGACACAGCTAATTAACCACAACCTTGGCTTCATAGTTCACAGAATTTCTGGAGTTAAAAAGTACGATAACTGAAATAAAAAATTCACTGGAGGGACTCAACAGCAGATTTGAGGAGTCAGAAGAGAGAATCACCAAACTAGAAAGTAGTCAATTGAAACTTACTGAATCTGAGGAGAAGAAAACAAAACAAACAAACAAACAAACAAACAAAAAACAAGAATAAAGACAAAGGAACAGAGCCTTAGAGACCTGTGGGATACCATTAAGTATAGCAATATAATGGGTATCCCCCCAAAAGAGGGAGATAATATTTAAAGAAATAACAACTGAAAACATCTGAAGTTTGATGAAAAATACTAACTTGCTGATCCAAAAATCTCAAAAAAATCCAACTAGTATAAACTAAAATAAATGTACATCTAGGCACATTGTAGTCAAATCATCAAAAAGACAAACAAGACAGAGAGAATCTTGAAAGCAGCAAGAGAAAAGTGACTCATCACATAAAAGGCATACTGAAAAAAGATTAATAGCTAACTTGTCATCAGAAAGTGCAGAATCCAGCAGGAAATGAGTTGACATATTCAAACTGCTGAAAGACAAATACTATCAGCACAGAATTCTTCATTCAGCAAAACTATTCTTTAAAAATGAAGGAGAAATTAAGACATTCTCAGATTTTAAAAAGCTGCAAGAATTTATTGTTAGTAGACCTATCCTACAATAAATTCTAAAGGAAATCCTTCAGGCTGAAATAAAAAGGCATTAGGTAGTAACTTGAATCCACATAAAACATGAAGAGTCCTGATAAGGGTACCTATGTAGGTAAATATATAAGACAATGTAAATATACTTTTGTTTGTAAGACTTTTTATATCTGATTTAAAAGACAACTGCATAAAGCACCAGTTACAAAACTGTGTAGATAGAACTGTAAAAATGTAATTTGTGACTTTGTGCTATGACTATAATAGCACAAAGGAGGGAGAAAGGGACTGGAACTACACTAGGACAAAGTTTATGTATACTACTGAAATTAAGTTGATATTAATCCAAACTAGGTTGTTTCAAAATAAGATATCAATTGTAAGCCTCAGGGCAACTACTAAGAAAATAGTTAAAAAGTAAAGTAAAAGAAACAATAAGAAAATGAAAATGGAACACAGAAAATAGCTACTTAATACAAAAAGAAACAGTATTTGAAGAATAGAGACACAAAAAAAGACGTAAGACATACAATATACAAAAAAACCCCATAAATCCAACTTTATCAGTGATTATATTAAATGTAAATAGACTAAAATTCCAACCTAAGATCCCAGTATTTCTAGAGCTATGGGAGAAAATACAGCCACTGCTTGAAAGACTGCAAGGGAAACCGTGTCCTCAGAGGAGAGCCAGGTTTTCAGTGAAGGAAAAAGATGAAGAGAATCGTGGTGAATTTCAAAAGTTACAAAAGTGTGGAAAAAAAGATAGGATCAAGAAATGGCAGAGCCTTATGGGGATTAGAGAGTGGGAAATGAAGAAAGACCTGGAATTAAGAGATGCTTATGGTGTTGATGCAACAGGAATAAAAATCATGAGGTGAGTCTTGGTGGATGGACTCAAGTCAGTGAGTTTTAGTGGAAAGGGTAGATGTATGTGGCTCCTTTCCGAATTCTGAAAATTGAGCAGAAGACGTTGAGGAACTATGGTTCAGAACTTACTGATCATGTTGGGGAAGGGGTAGGCCTACTCTGACTGAGTGGGAGCTTCTCCTTGGGTCCTATTAATAGAATTAAAGAGGATTGTGAAAAGCAAAGCTTGCTCAAGGTGTGGGTCCCTTCTCAACCTTCCTCCTCCTCATCATCATCATTATCAGCAGCAGCATCAATATTACCAAGTTATGATAAGTTTTTCACATAATAGTCATACTCCTATTTGGAAAAATGAAAATGACAACCTAGTTAAATCAATTTTATTATAAATACATATGTTATTATCACTTAGTGGAGAATGAATTCTTTGCTTATTTTATAGCATTTACAGCAAATTATGAACACTTTATAAACATTAAATACTAAGAAATAAATATAAGCTGAATTACTAAAATTACATATATCAAGATAAACTACTTCAAACGAAAGTGTCATTACATATAAAATAATCTGAGTAGTCTTTAAATTCACTCCCAGTGGCCCTGAAATTAACCATGTAGCATAATATTATATAACATATCTGTATTTACTGTTTCATTCATTTGACATATGTTTATTAAGCACTTATAGGTCTACATTATTTGAGGTGTGAAAGTTTCAGTGGTAAAAAATACACCAGATCTCTGATCTCATGATACTTGAATTATAGAGGAGGAGTTAGACAACAAACAGATAAATAAGTGATGTCAGATAAGTGGTCTGAGAAAACATAATGCAGAGAAAGGCAATAAAGTCTGACATGGGGTGGAAGGAATGGAGAGGAAGGCGCTATTTAACATTGAATTGGTGTGAAAGTATTGGGCATAAGAAAGAGTGAGTGCAAAGGCCCTGAGCCAGGTGTATGCTTGGTCTGATAAAGTGGATTTCAGGAGGCCAGGTAGGCTGAAATGGAATTAAATAATGCAGTGAGTGGTAGAAAATGAGAATAGGGAAGTTAGATGGTGGTGAAGAGTCTGAGTCTTACTGTGAATGAGATGAGGAACTATCAGAGTTTTGAGCAGAAAAATTACATGATCTACATTGTGTGTTTACTTTATAAACAATGTCTCCATGTTTACTTTGACTGCTATGCCACGAATACGTTGTAGGGAGCAAGGGCACCATCAGAAAGACAAATTTTGAAGCAGTTAAAATAATCCATGTGAGAGATGACAGTGACTTGGACAAGGTCGATAGTGGAGAGGCTGTAAGAAGTGGTTCAGTTTTGAATCTATTTCACAAACAAGAGGTAACAGGAATTGTTGATGGATTGGCTGTGGAGGTATGAGAGGGAAAAAAAAGAGTAAAATGGACATTGATGTTTTAAGTATAAGCAGCTAAAAAAATACATTTGCAATTGATTGAAATGGGAGGGACTGAGGAAAAAGCCATTTAGGGAAGAAGTCAAGGGTTCATTTGGACATCAAGTGAAGATGTCAAGTGAGCAGTTGGATATGAGGGTCTGGAATTTAAGGGAAGTGTCTGGGTCTGCAAACAGACATTTGAAAGTCATTAAGATGTGGAAGATATTAAAGCCGCAAGGGCTAGAAGAGATTGAGAGGGTGAACATAAACAGAGAGAAGAGGCCTGAGGACTGAGCACTGGGACATTCCAACACACGAAGAGGAGAGGGTTTGCCAAATAGAAGAAAGTCTAAAAGTGATAAAAGGACATTTTTTTAATCATCTAAAAGTTATCAGAAAAATATGGGACCTGTCATACTTCTCATGCAGATATGGAGAGAAAGAGAGAGAGGCAGTAATAGAAAAAAATATATCCATTGCAATTTTATCATATTATGTTCTTATATTCTCTCATATATATTATATAGTTTATTAATTTATAGATATATATTCACATATTCATGAATGAATCCATTACAGTGCCTATTATAACCAATGTCCCTTTCTTAGGATGCTTTTTTAAAAATCTTCAGCTAGCTACTAACAAAATGACCCTTTAGGCTGAGATAAGGGTCTGTGAGCCTGAAGAAGTTACACATGAGAAGGGTGGAAAGTGGAAGTCCCGTAATAAAGTGAAACAAACTCCAGAGTGAAGAGAGAGGTGGTAGGCTGATCACAACCCAAGGCAGGTAGTTATTGAGTCATCATAATAGTGAGTTTTGTTGGTCAGGTGCAGTGGCTCATGCCTGTAGTCCTAACACTTTGGGAGGCCTAGGAAGTGGATCTCTTGAGCCCAGGAGATTGGGACCAGCCTGGGCAACATAGTAAGACCCCATCTCTAAAAAAGAAAAATTTTAAAAATAGTGTTGTTAATGTCTGCTAAGGGAAAAACAAGATAAACTTGCTGCAAGAGGATATTTGGATTTTTTCTGATTCCTAAAGTACATAAATTAGTCCCTATGATGAGGCTGGCGTAGATAGCTCTCTACCTGTGTGAGATTTCTGTTGCTCTTGCTGTCATGAGTGCTTTCAGATGAAACTCATTAGTGTTTCCACTGAGGAAGGGTTCTAATCTTTGCTTCCAGAAAGTTCTTGGTTTATACTCAAAATTAAATATTTACAGTATTTGTTGTTGATAAGTCAATAAATAATGCCAATAAATATTGATTTAAAAGTCAAAAAGAATCGTTAATCATTTTCTGTGCTGATATCCCAAGAAATAGTAAAGTGCATTCATGCTAAAATTATAATTAAAATTTAGTATGGTGTTCACTATTTTAAATTAAATTGGTTTTACAAATATAACAAGAAGCTGTGTGGTAAATGATCTTCACAGCATAAAAATTTTGAAACTAACTGCAAGATAGAGCTCTAAAATCTTAAATTTCTTTTAAGATTTTAAAATGAGTATGGTTTTAAGATTTATATGAGTATGGCTTGAAAAAGAGTAGTGACCCCCAAAATTCTAAAGTGGAAATCTGAAGACTCGAGTTTTAATCCCAGCTCTGCCACCAAAAGCTGTATGTTATTTAGCAAGTACCTAATATTATTTGTCAATTATACTTCAATAAAGCTGAAAAAAACCAAATAACTAAAACTCTGTCTCAGTTTCTTTAAAGTAAGGTGATTGAAACACATGATTTTTCAAGTTTCTTTAAGTCTGTATAACACACATTTCTCTAGGAACATAATGTAAATTGAAACTTCTTCCGGAATAAGGCTATCATATGGATAGGAACTAAGAAACTCCGGATGTTTGAACAGAGTTTTAGGAGCAGAACACAGTCACTCCTTCCATGTTAAGATACCTCTAAAATATGTACAAAAGCTTCATATTTTGTGTAGGACACCAGATAAACCTCTGACCATGCTTAGGGTAGCCCAAGTTAAACTTGCCTGGGCTAAACAGTATGGTAAGGTTTTGATTGCCTGAGGTTGAAATATACCGTTAGACCACCCTCATTCAACTCTGCTAACAAACTTTCATTGAGCTGCTATTGTATGTTAAGTCACATGTTAGGTTCCAGGGATTCAACAATGAACAAGAGCACAGCACCTGTTTGAGGTGATAAGTGATGAGTAATCAGCAAAGTACAATTATGCAACAAATACCTTGACAGAGAAAAGTGCTATGGAAGCACCAGGTAGGTGTATCTTGCTTAGACCAATGGGATAAGGGAAAAGTTCAAAAAGGGAAGATTATCTGAACAAGACCTGAGAGTCAAATTATTGGGATAGGGAGAAACAGAAAGGACAGAATGTATTGAGATCTGAAACTAAGTGTGAGGGCAGGAGTTATAAGAGATGAGGCTGGAAGAGTCAGGGGTGTGAAAGGAAAATAAATCTTGGGGTCCCAAAATCACCAAGCTAAAGGGAAAAGTCAAGCTGGTAACTGCTTAGGCAAACTTGCCTTCCATTTTATTCAAAGTCATCCCTCTGCTCACGAGATAGATGCATATCTGATTGCCTCCTTTGGAAAGGCTAATCAGAAACTCAAAAGAATGAAACCATTTGTCTCTCATCTGCCTATGACCTGGAAGCCCCCTCCCTGCTTCGAGTTGTCCCACCTTTCTGGACAAAACCAACATACGGCTTATGTATATTGATTGATGTCTCATGTCTGCCTAAAATGTATAAAACCAAGCTGTGCCCCAACCACCTGGGGCACATGTCGTCAGGATCTCCAGAGGCTGTGTTGTGGGTGCATGTCCTCAACCTTGGCAAAATAAACTTTCTAAATTAACTGAGACCTGTCTCAGATTTTCAGGGTTCACTGGGGGTTGAAGAAAATGCCTCCTAAGCCATATTTTAAAAATTAAACTTTATGGCCAGGTGCGGTGGCTCACGCCTGTAATCCCAGCACTTTGGGAGGCTGAGGCAGGTGGATCACCTGAGGTCAGTAGTTTGAAACCAGCCTGGCCAATGTGGTGAAACTCCGTCTCCACTAAAAACACAAAAATTAGCCAGGTGTGGTGGCAGGTGCCTGTAATCATAGCTATTCGGGAGGCTGAGGCACGAGAATCGCTTCAACCCAGGAGGTGGAGGTTGCAGTGAGCTGAGATGGTGCCACTGCACTCCAGCCTGGGTGACAGAGTGAGACTTTTTCTCAAAAGAAAAAAAAGAAAAGAAAAGAATAATTAAACTTTATCTCATTGTCAATGGGGAGCTAGGGCCAGGTTCTAAACAGGGGAGAGATAAGATCAAATTTATAATTTAGAAATGTAATTGGTTGCAGAGATAAAAATGGATGAGAGAAGACTAGCTTTAGAATTTGCGAGGCTGAATTAATAATCCAGTTGAGAAAGGAGTGGTATTGTTAATTAAGGGAGTGGTAGTGGTGATGTGAAGAATTCAAAAGATTCTCAAAGTGCTTAGGGTGCGGAATAGACAGGATATAGACGAGGAGACAAGGAAGGTAAAGATAAAACCCAGGTTTATGGCTTAATCAATGCAGATCTTGATGTTATCACTCACTGAAGTAGAAACATAGGGCAGGAACAAGTTGGTTAGAACAAACAAAGCAGAAAGAAAATAAAAGAAAGAAAAAGAAAAAAGTAATGAGCTAACTTTTCAACATGTTGACTTGAATGTCCCATGGGATATCTGAGTTAGGTAGTGTAATAAATCAGTAGTGATAAGCACTTATTTCAAAATGAGAATTTGTTCCAAAGCATTTGTCATATTAGGGAACAATTTGAGTATAACATGAATATCATGTGCTTATGCATGAGTGAAGAAACCTGAACCCCACTGATTTGAACCAGGGGAATGCACAAAATGCTCACTTGCACACACCAGAAACTGCCACCTCCACTCACCTCGTGTATTTTCCTCGGGTTTTGCTATTCTTTTGCATTTGTGAATTATCTTGAAAAACCACTCATCCGACTTCCCAAACTGTCAAATCTTACTGGTTTAAAAATGCCAAGCAGGGCCTGGCCTAGTGGCACACGCCTGTAATCCCAGCACTTTGGAAAGGCGAGGCGGGCAGATCACTTGAGCCCAGGGGTTCGAGACTAGCCTGGGCAACATGGTGAAGTCCTGTTTCTACAAAAATAAAATAATAAAATAATTAGCCGGGCGTGATGGCACGCACCTGTAGTCCCAGCTACCAGGGAAGCTGAGGAGAGAGGATCACCTGAGCCCAGGAGGTCGAGGCTGCAGTGAGCCATGATTGTGCCTCTGCACTCCATCCTGGGAGACAGAATGAGACCCTGTCTCAATAAAATAAAATAAAATAAAATAAAATAAAATAAAATAAAATAAAAATAAAATAAATAAAATAGCGAAGCAGTGTGTGCAATTGAAAGCTTTACATTTTCAGGAGCAAATTGAAATAATACAGCATTTTGAAAAAAAAAGAGAGGATATGTGATATCTCCTGAGCAACAGAAATAAAGGCATTATACTGTGGACCATCAGAGACAATGCTACAAAAATAAAACAAAGGTCTGTGCTGTAAAAATAAAAGAAAGTTTTATGCTTGCAACAACTTCAAGTGCTATGATGTCAAATAAGTACAAAGCCTAGAGCAATAAAAAACGTTTTCTTAAGTGGAAAGATTGTTGGACATATAGATTAAAGAACAACAGCAAAAAAGAATTGGGAATAACTTTTCTTGCAATGTAAGTGAAAACTCTCTATATAAGAACACTTTACATAGAAATTGCCAAATCCTGCAAAACTGGCTCTGTTTACTGGTCGTATTAGCATATAGCTGGTTTGGTGGTTTCCAACATCACTGCAATTTCCAAGGCCTTCATCAGTTGGGCAAAGCCACAAGTGCAGAAGAGAATGCTGCAAAATAGCTTCCAGTACTCATAGGGAAAGTTAATTGAAAAAGAAGGCTATACATTGAATCAAATTTTCAATTTTGATGAAACAGGTATCTATTATAAACTAATTTCTTTAAGAACCTCCATCTCCAAGACAGAACACCATTCCCCATAATTTAAGGCTGCGAAAGCTTAATTGTGACATTCTGTGTGATAGCAGAATTTAAGACTTTTTTTTTTTTTTACTTTTATTTTAGGTCAGGGGTACGTGTGAAGGTTTGTTACACACGTAAATTGTGGGTTGCTGGGGTTTGGCGTACAGATGATTTCATCACCCAGGTAATAAGCAAAGTAATCAATAGTTAGTTTTTCTGTCCTCACCCTCCTCCCATCCTCCACCATCAAGTAAGCCCTGGTGTCTGTTGTTTCCTTCTTTGTGTCTATATGTATTCTCTGTTTAGTTCTCACTTGTAATTTGAGAACATAGAGTATTTGGTTTTCCGTTCCTGCGTTAGTTCACTTAGGATAATGTCCTCCAGCTGCATCCATGTTGCTGCAATGAACATGATCTTGTTCTTCTCTATGGCTGCATAGTATTCCATGATGTTTATGTACCATATTTTCTTTATGCAGTCTCCTATTGATGGGCATTTAGGTTGATTCCATGTCTTTGCTATTGTGAATAGTGTTGCAATGAACATATGTGCATGTGTCTTTGTAGTAGAATGATTTATATTCTTCTGGGTATATACCCAATAGTAGGATTGCTGGGTTGAATGGTAATTCTGTTTTAAGTTCTTTGAGAAATCGCCAGACTGCTTCCCACAATGGCTGAACTAATTTACAGTCTTATCAGCGGTGTATAAGCATTCCCTCTTCTCCACAACCTCGGCAGCATCTATTTATTTTTTGATTTTTTAATAACAGCCATCTGACTGGTGTGAGATGGTATCTGTTAACATTTAAAGTGAACATTTAAGAGATGTTAATTGCTGCTACTGACGGTGAGAATGCAGAAAGTGTTGCAGAATTTTGGAAGGGATTACTGTCAAAATGGACATTGTAGAAACCTGGAATGATGTAATAAAAGAATACTTGCATTATTGTGGTAGAAAACTCTCCATAACTTAATTCATGAATTTGAAGGATTTGAAGTTTCCAAGCAATTTTATTAAAAATTAAGGCAAGCTGTGTTGACCTAGCAAAGCAGGTTGGATTTGAGGAGGTAGAAAATGAAGATGTGGAAGAGCTACAAGACTCTTACTCTGATGATCTAACCATAGAAGACTTGAAACAACTTACTGCCGTTGGCTAAATAGAGGCAGAAGATGACGAAGATGATGATGAGTACAAAAGCCAGAAAATAGCTTGACAATTTTATGTTTTATAAATAATTTTATAACAATTTATAATTTGACTCTCAGAGCACAAACTTAATTGTAAGTTTTTCAGGGGCACAACCTGGAGAAAAATTACTCTTAAACTAATTTACCAAATGTTCTACCTTCAATGGGATAAACTTTTTTTTCTGCCTGCACAGTATTTACATAACTTTGGTTATTCCGTGAAATGTACCCACAAGCTTCTTGATGCAAACTTCCACATTTTTCTCCAGAACTGCCACATTAAAAATAGGCTACATTTTATTAGTAGGCCTTTAAAATATGTAACGAAAGAAGAATTTTTGATTTCCAGCAAAGTTTAACAAAATACATTATAAAAAACCTGAGATAAGAAACATTCCAATTTGGATTTTCCAAGATAAAAATAACTCTGTGGATGGATCATTTGTTATTAATTTTTAACATTAAATGTAGTGAAGTTGAGTCTGTCAATATCTCTTTATAGAAAATTAATGTCGGTAACAATACAGGGAAGGGGAATTCATTCTAACTCAATCATAAATAGCTAATATATGGTTAATATGTGCCTGCGTGCAAGACAATCAAATAGCAGTGTAGTTATTGAAGGGGAAGCCCTGAAGCTTACATAACTGATTCATACTTATAATTCTATACTTAACACTGTTTATGGAAGCAATGAATCAAAGGAAAAACGATGTTATTTAAATTTAAAACTGCATGCCGATGGCTTATAAACACCAAGATTGGAAAATTCCCAAACAAGGAATTTTCAGATTCCTAACTCCAGCAAAACTAACTTGGAAGTAATTCTACGATATGTTGTAGAAGGGTGTACAAGGTTGAAAATGCTGTTTTGTGCTAATGATAAACTGCCCTCATTCCTGCTCCCCAAACCTCTCCATGCATATAGACACATTAGGCTGCTGGCGAGTGATAAGGGATAATAATCCTTGCCACCTGCCTGTCTCACAGCAATATTAGGAATACTAATGACAGTATTGAGAATGTGTCTAGTGAGAGCCTCTTGAGAGATCTTGAAATCCACAGAAGAAATATCAGCATAATTATTTTGAGATTCATCCATTAGGTGTATGTATCAAGACATAATTTGTAAAATTTGGGGATAGTATTTTATCATGTGGATATATCACAATTTGTTTATCCATTCATCTGTTCATGAACATTTGGGTTGTTCTCAGTTTTGAGATATTGTTTTTAAAGCTGCTGTGAGCATTCAAGTACAAGTTGTTGTATGGACGTTTTGCTTTCATCATTCTTGGGTAAATAGCTAGAAGTGGAATAGCTGGATCACGTGGTAGGTGCATGTTTAACTTGTCATGAAACTGCCAAATTGCTTTCCAAAGTGGTTGCACCATTTTATATTCCCGTCAGCTGTATATGAAAGTTCCAGTTTTTCTACATCCTCACCAAAACTTGGATGTGATCAGTCTTTTTAATTCTAACCATCTGTGTGTAGGGATGTTTCATTATGGCTGTCATTTGCATTTTCTTAATGACTAATGATGTTGTGCATCTTTTCATGTGCTTATTTTCCCTACATGCATCTTCTCTGGTGAGGTGCTTGTTCAAATATTTTGCCCATTTTATGAGGAAATCATATTATTACTGAGTTTGAAAGGTCCTTACGTATTCAGAATACAAGTGGTTTGTTTTTTTTGTTTGTTTGTTTTGTTTTGTTTGAGACAGTCTCACTCTGTTGCCCAGGCTGGAGTGCAGTGGCATAATCATGGCTCACTGTAACCTCCGCCTCCTGGGTTCAAGTGATTCTCCTGCTTCAGCCTCCTGAATAACTGGGATTACAGGTGCACACCACCATGCCCAGCTAATTTTTTGTTTTTTTTTAGTAGATATGGAGTTTCACCATGTTGGCCAGGCTGGTCTTGAACACCTGACGTCAGATGATCTGCCCACCTTGGCCTCCCAAAGTGCTGGGATTACAGGTGTGAGCCACCGTGCCCAGATGGATACAAGTTCTTTATCAGATACGTGCTTTGCAAATTTTTGTCTTAGTCTATGATTTGTCTTTTCATTTCTCTCAGTAATGTTTCATAGTTTTCAGTGTACATGGCTCCTTGTCTTTTGAAAAATTTATCCCTAAACGTTTAGTAATTTTTTCTCAGTTGTACTAGTCACATTTCGAATGTTCAACAGCAAGATGTGGTTAGTGGATTTATTAGACAGCACAGATATAGGACATTTTCATCTTCCCTAGAGTGTACATATGTATTTGAGACTCCTCTGTGTATTTTGCATCTGCACCCAACATTAAAAATAATCTATGACTAATTTGTGATATTGCTTAACAATGCTTTGTAAAAGATATATGAAATTAGATGTTTTTCAAACAAAAACAAAACTAACCTGGAACCTAGTCTAGTGTCAGACTAGACTAGGTTATAGACCATTTTGACCATTTTTCTGTTATAGACCATTGAGTTATATTTAAAATAAGTGGAGTGCTAAGAGAGTAGCTCTTAAATATTCTCACCACACACAAAAAGGGTAACTATGTGAGGTGATGAATATGTCAATTAGCTTGACTGTGGTAATCATTTTACTACTCATTAAAAATCATTTTGTATCCCTTAAATATATACAATTTTTATCTGTCAGTTATACCTCAATAAGTCTGAGGGGAAAAGATAATTCAGATGGCAAAAAACTTTTAAATTATCTCCTAAGATACTTTGTAAATATTTACTTTGTTATGAAATACCAAATTGTATACTTCCTTTTCTTAAAAAAAAGTTAAAACCTAACATAAAGTAAAATTAATTATGAGTTTTAGATATATGACTACTGGATTTAAAAATGAAAATATAGTTAAGAATTCTTACCCAACAGTTGAGACTAAAATAGGATAGAGAGAAACAAGTACTGATTTTTATATAGATTTTTTACCTTCGGAAAGCAAAGGTTCAAATTTGCATAATCATTAACTTTACCTATTTCTGGTCTTAGCTGGTCTTTTGACATACTCATGTTGTTTGATGTTTGATGTGGGCTCCAAAATATGTTTGGGAAACAAACGTGATAAATGGTTACCATGACACCACTCCAAACTTACATGGTGCAAGCTTTAATAACCTTCAATGACCTAATTCATTCAAAAGTATGCTTCTTGTTGAGAGTGCTTTAATTATTCCATTGCCATTTATACTTTCTGTATATCAAAGTGCTAATTTAACACCATGTGACCTTTACAGTAAGCATCAAACATGATTTCAGAATAGGACACAAAGATTTTTTTCCCAGTCTTAATCTGTATCATGCTTCCATGTGTGTGGATATCTTTAAAATAATTGATCTGTTTTTCTGTGTACCCACTGCCCTTGCTGAAATTTGTACTTAGAATCTATTTACTTGTGCTCTACATGGCTCTGATTTTGAAATTCCAATTTGGAAAGCTTTATTTATTCAGATCCCATAATGCTGATCTGGTGGTTGTAAAGAGCAGGTTTTGTTCCTTCTCATATAAGGGTTATGGAAAAGAAGGCATAAAAATTTGTTCCCTTCTCAAGAGGCTCTCCATATTCCTATTGGTCATGGAGTAATGGGGCAGGGTGAGCACAAAACAGGAACAAACCTATCTCCCAGTTTGTTTTTGCTTCTCTGTGATACTCCCCTGTACATCCCAGGTTGATGCATCAGAAATTTTATGCAGTTAATAATATAAATTTTTCAGTTTGATGAAGTAGATTGAGGAAACGTCTACCATCAAACTTTCTAGCTGAGCTGCCGCAGTGTAATGTGCGGTCTGCAGTGACAGTGGCCAAGGGCCATTGATTTTGAATAATGTTTGTCCAGGGTTTTAGACATAAATTTTATCAAGAACTCTTTGTCCATCCACCTGATAATTAAGGAAGGGTGAGGAGTCCTCAAGGGGCTCCTAGAAAAAGGTCACTGTGGACTTGGTTGACTTCCACATTTACAAGTAGTGCTTTCTTTCCCTATGCATGTGGATAACACCATTCTTCAGTGCACTTAAGTATTAAGCCCTTAATGCTTCTATGGCATTTGTAGCCAAGAAGATTTATTTAATTTCATTATAACATATTGCATACAAGGCAGTACATTATTTCTTATTATTATGCAACTAAAATACTCATATAGTTAAAAAATTTGAACAGCTCGTGTAAACTTTTTAAAACAGCCTATAATGAAAAATGAGTTTCCCTTTACCTATTCTGAAATTTTACTTTTTTTTTTTTTTTTTTTTTTTTTTTTTTGAGACGGAGTCTCACTCTGTCGCCCAGGCTGGAGTGCAGTGGCGCGATCTTGGCTCACTGCAAGCTCCACCTCCTGGGTTCACGCCATTCTCCTGCCTCAGCCTCCCAAGTAGCTGGGACTACAGGCGCCCGCCACCACGCCCGGCTAATTTTTTTGTGTTTTTAGTAGAGACGGGGTTTCACCGTGTTAGCCAGGATGGTCTCAGTCTCGATCTCCTGACCTTGTGATCCGCCCGCCTCGGCCTCCCAAAGTGCTGGGATTACAGGCATGAGCCACAGCGCCCAGCCCTGAAATTTTACATTTAATAAGCATAGATCAACATATATTCATGTATCTACAGATAGATGGTAGATAAATAGATGATAGATAGATGGACAGGTATTAGATAAAAGCTTATTCATACAGAGCAATATTCTAAAGCTATTAAAAGAGTAAAGATCTCTAGATGCCGACATTTCAATAATAAAGAAATGTTAGTATAATGTATAAATGCTTTTTCCACCTAATTATTTTTTTTAATTCCTTTGTAAGGATCTATCCTAATTTTTAACCAGCTTTATTTTGATGGGCATTTAGATATTTCTGATATTTTATAGTTAACACCCTTGTACAATATCTTTATATGCCTGCAAGAGTATTGGTTTCTGGAACCTGAATTACTGGACCAAAGAGCAGAGCATTTTTGATAGGTGGGCCAAATTGCTCTCCAAAGAGATCCTGTGAACAGCATATGAATAGGCCTGATTTTCCACATTCTTGCTGGTAATTTATATTATCAAGTGTTTTATTTTTGCTAATTGATATTACCCTATTACCACCCTATTTTGGTTAATTGATATTACCACATTATTTACTAACATCTCCATAAAAACTAAAATGAAAATTGAAATTGCAGAATAGTTAGAATAAAGATAAAAATAAAATAAAAAATTCTCAAAAAAGAATTGCTTTTATTGTCTTAAAATTTTCTTTTAGATGAGATAAGAAATTTCTTTTATTGTCTTAAATATTTATTCATTGGATAGTCGTACATATCCATGTCGATATACATATATACACCATTTCTCTTACTATGTTATATGGATCCTTTATGTCTTTTCTTATATTTTGTCTACTTTATTTGCATATCTAGTCATCCTATTTCCAGCAGTTTTTGACTTAGTTTTGATGTCATTCCATAAATATTCTTGAGTTAATCTTCATTGTAGATTATACCTTTTATCACTGCAAAATGCCCTTCATCTTCTTTACTCATTTTTGCCTTGAACTCAAACTTTTCTGATATTCTTATCATGTCCTCTGCTTTATTTTTGTTTGCAGTTTCCTGGTATGTGTTTGCTGTGGTATTCTTTCTGTATCTGTGAAGTTTAAAAACTTGATTTTCCCCTCTTCTGGAACACAATATGTTTTATTTAAAGTAAATTTTTTTCTCATCTCAGAGATATTTTTCTGTGTTGTATTTTTGAATGTTTTATCTTGTATTTGTGGGTTTCTCCACATCCCAGACATTATGTGTCATTGTTTTGGTTCTTCTTTATCTGACCTGCACATTTATTACTTCTTCTTCCGTTTCTTTAATCTTATGGTCTTTTGCATTTTCATTCACTAAAGGGTTTCTTCTGCATCAATCATTGTATTTTTAGCTATATATTTTGCTTCACTGTTTCTAATTTGAGTGTTGCTTGTATAATGCTGTTGGTTTGATTCTTAATTTGTTTCTTACATCTAAAACATCTACAATGCTTTTTTCTGTCTCATTCTGTTATCCTGTATCTATTATTTGAATGCTCATTTTACTGACTTTTGTTCTTACTCATAAAGCACTGGTGGGAATTTCCTTTTGTTTCTTGGAGTATGTTTTTCTCCAGACTGAATTGTTCATCTACCATTCCCTTCCCTTGATATATTGTTTTTCCCTTTCTTTAGTATGTTCATATTCTTTGTGTGTGTGTGTGTGTGTGTGTGTGTGTGTGTACACACATATATAAGAAATATGAGCAGTGGTTGTGGTAGAAAACTTTGATGAAAATTGAGACACTGTAGTAAGACTTAAAACTCTTGATTTTTTTGCCTTCTCAACTCAAATGTATGTTAGAAGATGCTCTTGCATATGCAATAGTACTCTATGCTTAACCCTACCTTGGAACTTACATTTCATTGTAACTGCTTATTTGTCTGTATTTCCTGTTAGATCATTGCTGCTCAGAGGATAGTTACAATCAATCTGCATTACAATAACCCCAGGGGCTTATTGAAAATAAAGATGCTTAGGTTCCTCTGCACCATTTCTGAATCTAAATTTGTGAAGATAGATCTTAGGAGTCCTGTATTTGAAACTCAAGTCTTGGGAAGTCCTTTTACATAAACTCTGAGCATCTTGCTCATCATGGTGTCTCAGGCTTATCAGTGCCAAACAAGAGTAGGAAATCAAGATATACGTATTAAATAAATAAGTAAATGAATAAAGAAGTTAGAAACTACATGTATTTTACAGCGTATGTATTAGCCAAAGAAAATGAAAGCAAGAGTTAAATTTCAGTTTTCTTTATTCACTGTGTCTAGTGAAACAGTGTAATGTTTTATGAAGTCTTCCTATAAGTTCTTTCTCTGGTTTGTCCATCATCAGGATCCTAAAATATTGTTTCAATGAAAAATTGAAAAATGTTTAATGCAATGAAAATGTGAAACTGAAATCACTTGACCTGGAGTGTCATTTAGTGATTGATAACTATTTGGCTCCAGAAGTAGCATCACCAGCAATCAACTGTTGATAAACTCTGACAGATTTAGGTTTGGCAAATACCTTTCCCTTAGTTGGAACAAAAAGAAGTTGATTGCAATGACCATAATGTTGTGAAATACACTGGCATTAGAGTTTCTGGGAAATATATTTGAGTCTCATCTCTGTCTCCTGCTAAATAACTTTCAGGAACTGTTATGATGATACAATGAGTCTTTATGTATGTAAATATTTAAGCATGAAGTGTATACTTATAAGTAATAATAATGAAATATAGATAATTTGATAATAAATTATAAATACATAAATAATTATGTTTGGAAGGTGCTCTGTTTTAATAATTATAGCTATAGGGAAAGATGATATCAGTATAAAATATTAAATTAATTATGAAGAAAGATAATTAAACATTTGTAAATTTTACCTATATGATGCACACTTGGAAAAGTGGATAAAGGATAATAAAGTAGAAATCTGAATTTTTGAATCAAAATGTTTCTAATTAAAAGGATTCTGGGAATTATCATGAGACTCATTACAGATGCCTGTGCAGCAATGATGGAGGAATGGAGGGTGTTGCTTAATTTGGCAGAAGACTCTGTTCTCTTCAACAAAAACAATCGAAACATCAATCAAAACAATGGATAGGATATGTTGAAAGATCAGAAGCACAGGACTTTAGAAGCCCTATTAGCTTGAGCGACTTTAGAGACAATGTTAGAGACAACTTCCACATCAATATGAAGATAACCAACTTTGCTGTCCTTCTTTATTTTGGTTCCGCTGGGAATCTGGTTCCTGGTTAATGCTACCATGTACAATAAACACAAGAACCAAATATAAAATGTGGCAATAACTTTGATGGATTGTGTGATGGAATGAGAGCATCCAATAGAATTTTGCATCTATGATCAAATATGCTGGTATCTGTCTAAGCTATTCTTCCAGAAATTTAGCCTTCTATATATATCACATTTTGGAAATTTCTATTTGATTTGCTTTGACTAATCTAAACTCATCCTTAAATTTCAATGCCAAAGCAATTCTGTAGCTTCCTGTTTGATTAGATAATCATTTTTCTTTTATTGTCTTAAGGAAAAATAAAATTTGTAGCTTTTAGTTGAATTCATACAGAGGATGAATTCAGATAAATTTTTCTTCTTCTGCCATGTAAATTTCCATTCTCTTAGAGAATACCAGATAGTAATTTATTGGGTACTCTTTACCATGCCTGCTGTCTTCTGTGATGCTGTTCTGACTTTTTACTTTCCATTAACATTCATTTTAGAAAGTACGTCAATCATCTGTGGAATATTCCCCTCAGAGGACTTGCTTCCTCTCCCTTCCTCCCTTCAACCCCAAGGTTTACTTGCAAAAATGACTTACAAACCAAGCATTGCCAATAACAACAAATAAATATATGTTTTTAATGAAACACCATATTTCTTTCTCAAACATACAGATTTTCCTCAGGGTCTGAAATTCCACAACTTAATTAAAATGTACATTGTTCCTTAATAGTTGAGCTCGACAATACCCACTAAGATGGAAAGTTTCTTAGTTCTGCTGAATCTACACCTCCAGGTCCAAGTTTATTCTGAAATCAGTTTTGCCTTAGATGAACAATTTTTAATTTTTAATTCACAGTGTCTCTAATCGTGACTGTTTATTTGTAACATACTTATACATTATTTATATCTTTATAATAATGTCATTTACTGACCATAAGCACCATATTAAATTCTTTACATGTATAATCTCACTGTTTTATTGTGTCTTAACTTCTCTTATCCCAGTGCGAAGTAGAGTACAATGTTTGCTGAATAAATTACTGCATGCATGAATGCGGAACTAAGACACAGAAGCTTGATTTTAGATCATTTATGTTTTTGAAGGTACAACTAGGAATGGGTTCTTTTTCTTCTAAAATTAATGTAACATTGATTTTTATCTTAATACTTATACTTGTTACACAACAGGCACTGTTCTATATTCTTTACATGTTTTATCTTGTTTGTTCCTCAGAGCAATCTTATTAGGTACATACCATTATCAAGATCCCTCTTGTGAGAATAAGGAAATTGAGGCAGATTTGGCTGTTAGGTTAAGCAGTTTGCTCACAGTTGTAACATTCACATGCAGTGAAATTAAGATTATGAGCCCATGTGGCCCAGCACCAGAGAACACTCTCAGCCAGAGTATATAACCCTGCCTCCTGGAGGCAACACAGTTGGGATTGGTACAAAAAACACAGTTCTCTGATGCCAACACTATAATTGCCAACCCCATTGAGAAAGGAAAGAAACATTTGCCCTGACATCTTCCCTCCAGGCAGGGCTGGCCATGCCACTAGTAGCAAAGAGGAGGGATGTGTTGAGTCATCTAGTAAGTCCCTGTGAAGAGTGGATCCTGGCCCATCTGAACATCTGACCAGAAACTAGTGGCAGCAGTTGTAGAACGTGGTATATGCATGTGCTTCTCTTTTTATGGAATCGGAATCAGGGTGCCCCAGAAAGAAAACGAGCCCAATTTTAAAGGGGTTAATTGGGTATCGTCTTGATTCTTTGTAAGATTGGTTAGGTATTCAGGAATCAGGCTGACCAGGCACAAGTACCTACCAACCTTTGTAAAATATTCTACACTCTACAATATCATTCACACCTGACATTTAAAATATAGCAGTGGAGAATAAACTTAAACTGCTATGTTATTATCAAGTTGAATAAGCCAGACTCATATTTAAGGTAGGCATCACATAATTTAGAATACAGCCAGGAGAGACAGCTTCCATATAAGGAGGTAACTGCAAGAGGAACCCAAGATCATAAAGGATTTTTTTTTTCTGTGACAGAGTCTTCCTCTGTTGCCCAGGCTGGAGGGCAATGGCATGATCTCGGCTCACTGCAACCTCCACCTCCTGGGTTCCAGTTGTTCTCCCATCTCAGCCTCTCGAGTATCTGGGACTACAGGCATGTGCCAACATGCCCAGCTAATTTTTGTATTTTTAGTAGAGACGGTGTTTCACCACGTTGGCCAGTCTGGCCTGGAACTCCTGACCTCAAGTGATCCACCCCGCCTAGGCCTCTCAAAATGCTGGGATTACAGATGTGAGCCACCACACCTGGCCCCATAAAGGATTGTTTTGTTTTCCCTTGGATACTTTAGCAATACATTTTCTTTGTGTAGTGAATTATCCAAAATAGAAACCCTTCAGAAACAGAGTGATACAAAGGAACAATTTCTCATATATGAGTTCTAAGTTAATTTGTCATTTGAAAGAATAACATATTCATATCTTTTGATCTAATAATTTCAACTTTAGGAGCTTTTAGGAATGTCATTTAAAGAAATCATCAGAGTTACAAAGATTTGTGTTTGGTGCTATTCATTGCAGCACTACTTGTAATAGAGAAAATTAAATATGAAAAATTTTAGTCATGTATACAAAGAAATATTCTATGGCTAGAATAAATCATGGTATCAAAGAATATTTAATGACAATAAAAATGCTTCTGATGTTACGCAAGGTTAAAAAATGACACATAGCATGATCTCAATTTTGTAAAAAATAAAATGTATATTCATAAAAAGGACTGGAAAGAAAATATATATATCAAAACACTATATTGGATATCTCTAGATGATGATTTCTATTTCTATTTCTTTTACACTTCTCAGTCTTTCTCAATTTTTCTCTAATGATGGTATACTATTTTTTATATCGGTAAAAATGTTTCAATAATCTAGTGGTTTCATGACGAGTTGCTGTCTGTAGGCTTCTCCAAAGCAGAATCAGGTATAGAGATATGAACCACGGCTTTGCCTAGTGTTTGTAAAAGGTAAGGAGACTGTGTTTATTCTGTCTTTCACTCTACAAATACATGTGAGGGATGCAAAGATTATAATGTGGTCACGTGTTAGAAAGGAGTAAAATTCACATTTCTGTTGTTCCTACAACATGAACGATAGAACCACTAATTTTTCTTTGAGTGAATCTTGCTTTATCAACTAGGAAAACAGGTTTTTTAAATGTTTTATTATGCAGTTGATATTTTAAACATTTATTCCTAAAAGTAATACCAGATTCCTTTGTGTACTTTTTTACTTCAGATAATAGGAACTGACTCAATGGAACTGAAGGGCATCAATTACTAGTGACAGAAATTAGTTGCTTCCTTAAAGACTTTACTACAACTTTCATGCAATGAAGCATGGAAACTTCAAGTGTACATTTTACAACCAAGCTTCTAGCTGTGTAATCATGGTAACTGCTGGGCCTTACAACTTTGGAAAATATTTTTGGCAAGAAAATATTTGGAAGCATCATAACCAGATGCTTCATAACCAGATATCATACATGCACATATTGGGTTTTAATTCAAGAATAGTGTAGCAAACATTGCAGTTTTGAAACTTTTCCATATAATTAATGCATAACAGTGACTCTCAATCACTTAGACGTCATTCTAATGGCTTACAAATGCTATAGTTTCTCAAAGTGGCGTTCCTCTTAGGTAATCCTTGAATATATAAATGGACTGTTGATACAACTCCTTCTCTCTGGAGCAAAGGCTGGTTGGTATGTGTGAACTAAGAGATAATTAATCAAATAGGATTATGATTTCCTTTCTTTTAAAACATGTATCCAAGAAATGGCTCCTAAGATTTCATTCACAAGAGATACAGTTTCACAGACCATACTGTGGGCTGCTACATATGCCAAACTGAGTTCTCTTAAAAAGAACTGGAATCCAGCTGGGCGCGGTGGCTCACGCCTGTAATCCCAGCACTTTGGGAGGCCGAGGTGGGTGGATCACAGGGTCAGGAGATCAAGACCATCCTGGCTAACACGGTGAAACCCCATCTCTACTAAAAATACAAAAAATTAGCCGGGTGTGGTGGCGGGTGCCTGTAGTCCCAGCTACTCGGGAGGCTGAGGCAGGAGAATGGCGTGAACCTGGGAAGCAGAGCTTGCGGTGAGCCGAGATCGCACCACTGCACTCCAGCCTGGGCGACAGAGCGAGAGTCCATCTCAAAAAAAAAAAAAAAAGAAAGAACTGGAATCCAAAGATGGCATATTCAGTCATATGTTATGATGCCTTTGAGAAATTTCCAGACAAATGGCATGGTTTTCAAGATTAAGTTTGATTTTGTTGTGAACCAATCAATAATCTTTTACTGGTTGCAAACCTACTTAAGATCAACTGCTTTCCAAATTACTGCAGCAAAACCCACAGAAACTCAAAAATGAACAACATTAAACTGCACTATTTCATGTCTTAGCATATCTAGCATAAGTCATAGCCTGTGTTCTCCTTGGGATAGAATTTATGGCTCCATAGCAATTACCATATCCTGAGTGCCTACAACTGGCCAGAATGCCATACACCAAACTCATTACCATAGTTAGGATTTAATAAACTTGCCCCAAAATCATACAACTATTAAGAGGGAGCACCTCAAAACTCACATCTATTGATTCCTAAATCTGTACTCTTCCCAAAAACCTAACTTTATGATTTCTTACTATCTCAGTACTCGGGTTACCCCTAAAAAGTTGTGGGGGACAAAGGGAGGGTCACTTTTACCAGAGCTAAAATCAAGGACGTTGTTTGGTTTATTTTAGAGAGAGAAGACAATCCTTCACTCCTTTGATTCTTGATGCTTTTATTCCAGTGGTGGGAGAAATGGTCTTAATGTAAAGTCTATGTTTGCATTTGTAATATAAAATTGTTCTCAGATATTCATTCAGTAAAATAAGGTTTCTAATTAACACACAACTTGTTATGCTATAACATACACGATGTTATAAAACCAGTGGTTGAGAAGTTAAATAGATTGCTTTCACGATCCAGAGAAGTGGTTATTGCTATGTAGCTTCCTTTTATAAAACAGGAAATGGAGGCACTTTGACCAAGTAATTTGACCATAGCTAATAAGTTGTAGATTTGGGTTTGAATCTAGGTACCCATTCTACTGATTCCCACTGGTGATGATAATAATTGACCCAAAGTTGTAACTGCATGGCAACCCTAAACTTTCATGTCAACTTTAAAAGTATACCAAGCTAAATTTATACTGCAATGCATTTTAAATACACAAGTGAATAAATAATGTACACAATCCTTTAATCTGGGATATATGTAAATAATAATTGAAACACGGTGTAATTATATAAGTATTACAAGTTCCTGCTTTGAAAATATTTCAAAATTTATCATCTGATGAAAAATAAGTTAATTTTGTCAATTTAGTGATTTTTAATTTCTGGTATTTCTTATTCCAAATTTCCTTAATTAATTTTCAATAATATGTAGGTAGAATACAAAACATGAAAGGCAAAATCAATATGCAATGCTTTTTTGGAAAGCTTGTTTGAGAATAAATGTTTAGAGTAGATTCTGAGCCATCAATTCTATCCCAAGGAGAACACAAGCTATCGTCTATGCTAGATATGCTAAGAGATGAAATAGTACAGTTTAATGTTGTTCATTTTTGAGTTTCTGTGGGTTTTGCTGCAGTAATTTGGAAAGCGGTTGATCTTGAGTAGGTTTACTTCTAGTAAAAGATTATTGATTGGTTTACAACAAAATCAAACTTAATCTTGAAAATCATGTACATTGCAATAGGTAATAAAATTAGAGAATAGAGAACGTGTTTTGAAATGACCTAGACGAGTATAAAGACATAGTTTGCGAAAAAAAAAGATTAACCTTAAATTAGTTTTGCTTAAGAAGGATAGTACTGACATTGAATATGAAATAGTGACTAATTCTCTATAATTTTGTTTGGTCTGGAATGCACCATATGGATCTTTTGGCATGACATTTTATTTCCTGATTCAGGTTTCCTAAGGACCAGTCTAAAATCAATTTCTGTTTTTTGGACCAGAGGAACCAATGGTGAGGAAAAGCAGTCAGCTGTATTTAAGACAGAAGGAGAAGGTCAGCTGGGTATTTATGTTGTAGATTACCATTGACCTGTGTCTTAGAATTCCAAATATCTGTGTTCTGTATACCAAATCATATTCCCTCAGGGCTGAACTGGACGTAGAGCTACTCTTTTACAAACTAATTCACAAAACTACTATACTGGAACAAATGGAATAAGAAGAGTGGTTCCTTTAGTTGCAGAAACTACTCTTAATCTTTCTTTCCACCCCAACACAAGTAGGGATATGACGCTTCTCACTGTTATTAGTGGGTCACCAGAAGAGAGATCTCATGAGAGACAAGGGGAACTAGGAGGTATATCAAATCCTGAAGGGAAAATATATGTGTTTTTAAAATCCCACCAAGGGGATTCATATATATGGCCTAGCTTATCTTAGCAAATGACTCAATGATAAGTTAATCTTTAATAAGCAAAATTCTCTACGTTCAGTGAACATTCTATAAATATTCATCATAGATAATGATGATAGCAATTATTGCCACTAATAACAGTTATTGCATCTTCTAGATTATTTTTAAACTTAGTACTATTAATATAATTATTACAAAGATTTGTGCTTCTGTTTTAAAGACCTTTTGTTTTTAAGTTTATAAAGACCTTATAAAATAACCTATACAATTATTAAAAGATAATTTCTATTTAATTTTGCTGAATTATCACCTATACTAGAGATCTGGAGAGACACTTGCTATTTCTCAGTTATTTTACATGCACTACCAAAAACAATGTATCTTAGTCCACTTGGCCTGCTATAATAAAATGCCATAAACAGGATAGTTTATAAACAACAGATATTTATTTCTCAAAGTTCTGAAGGCTGGGAAATCCAAGATCAAGGTATGAGCAGAATCAGGATCTGGTGAGGGGCTGTTTCCTGGTTCATAGATGGCCGTGTTCTTGCTGTGTCCTCACATGATAGAGGAGGCAAGGAAGCTCTCCAAGGCTACTCTCCAAGGCTGCTTTTATAAGGGCACCCATCCCGTTCATGAGGGTTCTGCCCTCATGACCTAATCATCTTCCAAAGGCTCCATCTCCAAATCACATCAGTAATTAGGTTTTAACATATGAATGGAGGGGGAGCACAAACATTCAGACCATAGCATAATAATACACAAAATTCAATAATAATATTAATGATAATACATTATTTTGCCTACAAAATACCTTGAATAAAGAGGGTGTTTGTAACTCCCTTATTATTTCTGCTACTATTTGTGATAGTACTTTCCATAAGGCCTTAAATAGGGAATATAAGGGAGAAATATTTCTAAAAAAAGACATAAAAACAGGAACTAAGAGCACGATGATACATTTTGTAGTTTGATTCTAACCAAGTCCTTGGAGTTTTTTGGCAAAGTTTCACCTTATGGAAGTGACTGCCTTTTCAGTGAGGTTCTTTTAAAATTCATAAGTAAATGACTTTAAAATTAAGTCTATCTAAGATGGACTAGACTTATATAATTCCTATGGACTTTTTCTTATTAACTAGAATTCTCATTCATTCTTCTTCCCTATTGTTCTTCTTTTTCTTTTTCTTTTTTTCTTTTAACTTTTCTGAGGAGAAAATACAACTTCTGTGCCTGGTGTAGATAAATATCATTTCGACCACCTCCATGCTAAGTAGACAGCCTCTTCAGGATGAAATTGCTATGATATCTAAAGATACATTAGCTAGTGGCACAACATTTTTTTAGAAGGGAACATAAGATAGTTATTTCAAGTTAATTATGTCATAGAAAGTAATTTTTTATATTCATTTTGCCTTAAATAGGCCCCAAGAAGTCTGTTATGAACAGGTGAAATCAAGGGTTGTGAAAATGAGACACATGACTGTGGAACCTAATGTTTTATAAACTAAGCAGGTTTCCAAACACCTCAATTAGTTCTCTCCCAAGGATAGTATAATGTTCAAGATCATTTCAAGTGTTCTTCAGACTAAAATTAGGTTTAGAAGATCAGGGGAAACAAATGTAATTACTTCAATCTTCTCAATAGTTTTAATTTATATAGAGAAAGAAAACATGCATATGTAGTTTCAGTATTTCTTCAGGGACATTTTCCTTTTGAACCAATGTAAACTCACTTAGATCATGCACAAACTTTCTTATGTAAAACTTGAGAGACTGAACTAAAGGTTTAATCAGAAGGGCAAATTTTGTAACTTCCTTAAACAACCAAGCTCCATTAATGATGCAGGTGATGTGTGCTCAGTTCTCTTGCCCCATGCATAGAAGCCCTTAGATTCTGTCCAGATATTTTCTTTATCATAATTATACAAATCATTTTCAATATAATTGTGAAATTATGGGAGAATTAAGCATCTTCTATGCTCTATAAGATATTGCACATAATCCGAAATTTTCTATTTTTTTCACTGTTTCATTGTGAATAATTCCCCAAATCTATTTAAATAATTCAATAAAAGTAGCAATCCTAATCTTACATAAAAAAGAAATGATATGGACACAAATCAAACATATATGATTCTTCTTGTTCTACTATATTTCCTGCATAGACTTGTATTTAATTTTCCTTATCCTAGGTTGTGACTTTTTTAGATTTATTTAGTGATTTGATAGAAGTTTTTAATCTATATTATTAAACTAGGCAATACTCACCATGCCTGGGTCAAGAACGAATTTAGAGAATGCCCTTTCTGATTTTATATCATTTGAAATTAATTTGGATACTATATAGAATTAATTCATCATTTATTCATTCAAAAATACCTAGTGAGCAATTATTATATGCAAGAACTGTTGTAGGCACTGGGATACAGCAGTGTCCCAAGTCCCTCTTTTTAGAGGGAAAGACACAAAGAAGGGAACAATAGACACCTACTTTAGGGTGGAGGTTGAGGGGAGGATGAGGATTGAAACACTACCTATTGGGTACCAGAAAAGTTGGTACCTGATCACCGTTTCATCACCATTACCTGTGTGATGAAATAATTTGTATACCAAGCACACACATGTAACAAATCTGCACATGGATCCTCTTTACTTAAAATAAAAGTTGGGGGGAAAAGTCTCCCTTTTCATTTTACATTATCTCCCAGCATATTCTTTGTTTCATTATGTTCTGTTCTTTGCTTCATGTTGGGTGGTAAAGTTTTATCAAGAAAAATAAAGCAAGTTAGGAATGGCTTGTGACACTATTTAAATGGAGGAATGATCAGAAAAGTTTCCTGTAATAAGGTTAATATGTGAGCAAAAGTCTAGAATCAGGGGTGTTCAATCTTTTAGCTTTCCTGGGCCACATTGGAAGAAGAAGAATTGTCTTGGACCACACAAATACACTAACACTAGTGATAGCTGATGAGCTAAAAAAAACAATCACAAAAAAACTCATAATGTTTTAAGAAAGTGTAAGAATTTGTGTTGGGCTGTTATTTAAAGCTGTCCTGGGTCATATGCAGCCTGCAGGCCATGGGTTGGACAAGCTTGGCCTAGATAAAGTGAAGGAGGGAGCCATGTAGACATCTGTGGAGTTATCACAGTGGCTTAAACAGTTTACTGCAAGACCTGAGGCAAAAATGCACATAACATGTTTGAGAAAGAGCAAAGAGGTAGTGTTGGAAGTAGAGAAAGGAGGAGAAAGATGAGAGATGAAAGCAGAAGGTAGCCTCCAGGATGGTCCCCACTAATACCCACCTCTTATAACCACACCCTGGTACTACCCTTCCCACACTGAGTAGAGTGACCTATGTAACCAATAGGATATCATGGAAATCATGATGTATGACTTCCAATATAAGACATTGAGACTTCCACCTTGCTCATTGTTGAATCACTTGCTCTGCGGTAAGTCCACTGTCATGTTGTAAGGACAGTCAGTCTTAAGGAGAGGTCCATGTAGCAAGGGACTGAGGCCTCTTGCCAACAGCCCACTTTAACTTGCCAGCCACATGAGTGAGCTGGCACACAACCTCCTGGCACTAACTTGCCAGCAGTGTGAGTGAGCTTCAAGTGACCGCAGCCCCAGCTAACGTCTTAACTGCAACCCATGAGAGACTCTGAGTGAGACCCACCCAGCTAAGTTTCTCCAAAATTCCTGACACACAGAAACTGTGTGAGATAATAAATGGTTATTATTATTTAAAGGCAGTAAGTATGGGGGATAATTTCTTATGTAGCAATCCATAACTAATACAATGGGGCTTTGCAGACCATAGTAAGGACTTTAGATTTTATTTTAAGCAAGAATGGGAAGATTTTGGAGGGACTTTGTCTAACTTAGATTTTTAAATAATCACTTTGGCTACTGTGTGGATAACAGACAGTAAGGAGAAGGGGATGGAAGCAGGGAGACCAGATAGAAGGTCTCTAACAGCCCAGGACAAAGACGATTGTGACATGGACTAGGATATGGAAGTCCTATCATAGTGGACATAGTCAAAGGATATATTGGGTATATTTTGAAGGTAGAACTGAAAAATTTAACTGTAGGGAGATTCTGAATTTGCTACTGCAATGTAAATGTATAAAACAATTTCTCTAAAAGTTCAAAATACAGAATTCTTCAAAAAGCAGATCACTCACATTTATCCACTATACCTCTGCTCATCATCTCCACCTTATTTTTCATAAATTATTAGTAGATTATATGGTTTGGCTCTGTATCCCCACCCAAATCTCACCTTGAATTGTAATAATCTCCATTTGTCAAGGGTGGGACCAGGTGGAGATAATTAAATCACAGGGGCCATTTCTCCCATGCTGTTCTGGTGATAGTAAGTTCTCACTATCTATAAAAACTTATGGTTTTATAAGGGGCTTTACCCTTCACTTGGCCCTCGCTCTCTCTCCTGCCACCCTGAGAAGAGGTGCTTTCCACCATGATTGTAAGTTTCCTGAGGCCTCCCCAGCCATGCAGAACTGTGAGTCAATTAAACCTCTTTTCTGTATAAATTACCCAGTCTTGGGTTTTTCTTCATAGCAGCATGAGAATGAACTACTACAGTAGATAAATTATAAAAGTTTTCAATGATAATTGTTGCCTATTAGAGTGTCTGATAGTTCATCACCAAGTCTGTTCATTAATAAAGTGATAAGTTAAATGGTTTAATAGAACTTTGCACCTCTGAACAACAACTTTGCATGCAACGGAATAGAATTGCTATTGTAAAAATGTGCCAATGAACCTAGATTAGCAATGTAAAATATTAAAAATAATATAAATTCATTATAGTAATTTACATGGTTTAAATACATTTAATGGTGGCAATCAGTTTAGCATATATATTTTTAATTACTGTAATAGAAATGATAAATATCAGGTCTGGTTTTATTTAAGAACAATAAGAATTTGCAAATAAAATTAGCCTATAAATCACCTACATATTATCTGCCTAGGAACTGTTTGAAAAGGAAAGGAGAAAAACATTTAGGGAAAGGGAAGGAGAACCTAGAATAAATGAAGAAAAGGATAGAAATCTTATTTTTTAATTTTAATGTACTGCTTCCAGGTTGAAGAAAAGACTGCTGACTGTTCCTTAATATTCAGTCTTCCCTTTTTCCTTTTAACAATAGACTCCCCTGTATTTTAACTGGGCCCATGCCCAACAATCTTACAGAATATATTTCAGAGCACTCCTTGTAGCTGGGTGTGAAAATGTAACTACATTTGTGCCCGTGACATGCAAATGGAAGTGTTGTGTGCAATTTCTAGGCTATCTTCTTGATAAGATAGTTGCCTACCACTTTATCCTTCCTACTGACTAGAATGTTGACATGGAGTGAGCTGGCATCAACCACATATGCAAGAACAATGCCCTACGACATGGCAGAGCAGCAACGCAGAAGAAATCTGGGTTCCTGGGTGTACATCAGAGGCCCTTCTAGCCTGGGAATCTCATCTCCGCTTTGAACATTTGGGAAAAGGAAATAAATCTCTATCCTATTAAAGCCACTGTTATTTGATTCCCTTTGTTATAACAACTTATTTTGTACCCTAACTCCTACACTAGAGAATAAAAAAAATTTCTCTCAGTCTGTTAACCATTATATAAGTGGCTCTTATGCATGTTAGGCACTGGGGATAAATTGGTGACCAAATCTAACTTTTGCCATCAGGAAGCTTAGACACCAGCGGAGGGGAAACATATAAAACAAGTAATCGTGCAAATAAATGTAAATTTACAAACTTTAACACTCATTCCATTCTTTAGGAACATTCAGAACAAGTCTAATTCCTGTTACACATAATGACTCTCAAAATATTTGAAATCTAGAGCCTTTACTGTTTCTTCAGTAGAAACAGTTATTTTCAACATTTCTCTCATGATACGGTTTGAAGTTTCCTTATAACTAGGATGGACCTCCAAAATACTCACATTCTTCTTGATATGCAACAACCGAATAGAATTTGTAAATTCAGATGTAGTCTAACTGGAATGGAGTTTGAGTCTATCTTAGTGTTCTGTGGCTACTGTAACAAATGACCACAAACATAATGCTTAAAACAATACAAATGTATTCTCTTGCATCTCTGGAAATTAAAAATGAGTCTAACTCATCAAGGTGTTGGCAGGGTTAGTTCCTTCTGAGGCTCTAGGGGGAACCTGTTTCCTTGTCTTTTTTAGCTTCTGGATGCCACCTGCATTCCTTCTGGATGACCCCTTCCTCACATCACATTGCCTTTTTTCCCCCTGCTCTTCTTATCACTTCACATTTTTCCTCTTCAAGTCGCTCTCTGCCTCTTTCTTATAAGGATTCTTCTCATAATAATTAAATTTAAGGCCCACCAGAATAAGCAACGATTATCTCCCATCTCAAGATCCTTAATTTAATCATAAGCCTTTAAAGTCCTTATTAATTAACCATATAAGATCATATTCATAGGTTCTAGGATTAACACCTGGATATTTTTGGGGGCTATTATTCAGTCTACCATGTAGTCACACTCCAGACTAGAATTAAACTTATTAGCAGAAAAAAATTAAATTGCTTATACATGTTGTTAAAAGGCACCTCTTTAATCCTGTACTTGAATTTTTAGTACTCAAGTGCAAGACCAGATATTCAAAACCCTTATTAAATTCTATTTGTTAGATTTAATCCATTGAGCTAGTCATGGAGAACTTTCCAAATCTATACTCTGTCATGTGGCATATTAAATAACTTATCCATTTAATTTCTGAAGTATCAAAGAATTTCAACCCAACATGACTTTTTTCTGTTTTTAAAAGTCCATTGTAATGTGGTTTGGGTGTACATGTGCAGGAGATTATCATAGCTCAATAGTCCTGAGACCAAGGCTGAGGAAACTAACTCAGCTTGCAGGAATGCTTCTTGAAGAATGTTGCTGGAAGTTTAGTTCACAGTCTCCAAAGGGGCATTGACTTGGCTCTAATCCAGTGTGTGGACCATGAAAATGGGAGAAATTTCTCAGCAGGAATAGCTGAAGCCAGTAATTTCAGGGCTGTATTTACAGCAGAACCTGGTCTGAGGCTGAAGGCATAAGTAATAGAATTCAACCTTCCCAGGGCAGAGAGCTAGCAAAATTTGAATGAAGAATCAGCCTAATTGAGGTTCAGACTAGAGCCGCTATTCCTGTGAGAAAGACTGCTCACCAGAAAACCAAGGCAGAAGTCCAGCCATGTTTACTGTGCCAACTTGCAGGTGGATACCTTTCTGTGACATGCACCAGGCAGAGATTGGGTAGACTGCTTCGAGATCTCTCTTTTTGATGCATTGGTCAGAACCGAATCAGAAATCAGAAGACTGAGACTCCAAGTTGGAAGGCTCCTCCTAGACTGTAAGAAGTGTGGTAAAGGCTCTAGTTCATTATGTTGACTCCTTGACATTAATCTACCCTTGAAATGAACCTCTTTGCTAGAGTTGGAAAATTATCCTTCTGTTCCTAAAGGGAGAAACTCTGGCAAACTATATAGGGTCTTCAGGTAATGATGACGAGTGCATATGGGGGGCTTCCCATATGCTTGGTACTCTTATAAGAGCATTGAAGTACATGAACCTATTTCATTTTTGTAACCTATGATTTATTATTTTGTGGATGAATAACTGAAGCACAGAGAAACTAAATTGCTGAAGGTTGCATGGCTACTGAGGATGTGAATGCAGGCACTTTGCTCCCGAGCTCATGCCTGTGGTCCCACAGTGTGCTGCCTCCCCGGCACAATCCTCTTTTGTGCCCCTCACTGTGTGTAATCTCTTGCACATAATCAAAGTCCAATAAATATCTGTTGGACAGAAAGATAAAGGGGGAATAAATTTATGAGTAGATGGATAGATGGAAGAAATTTGAGCTGGGAGAATACCAGTTTTATTTAATCAAAAAGCATAGCATAAGAATCCTCTCATTATAGACCACTTTATAAAGCAGAGCAGCATCACTTCACTAATAACTAACCCTTCTCCATCTTTTATGACCAAATGCTTTCTGTGAACCTTCCACAAGTAAAACAGGACCTAAATTGGCTAAGTGCCATAGACAGTATGTACAACTTTTTTTCAAATTCAGAAATGAAAGGGTACATAAGAATAATGAAACAAGAGTGTTCTGAGCCCAACATAGTAAATTGCCTACACTCTTTCATTACTCTGCTTTTATGAGTCAAAGTAGATCTTAAAATACTAATTAATCATATTTCTAAAAGTAAAGACATAGTGTTTGTTAAATTCTGACTTGAATGAAAGTAGACAGGAGGAAAGGAAACTTTGCCATTAATATCTTCCCTTTCGATATTTTTTCCTCATTATATTGTAAAATTAAGTCTAGGGTTAGAAATAATTTTTTGGCACTTTACAATGCTTGGTAATGGACAGCCCTGCTCTGGTTTATGCTTGTCTTATTTTAGTATTTTGCCAGTATTTTCATTGAGTGTAATTCTATTAGAAGTGTTCTTGACAAATAAGGAAACTGTCCCCTGTATATTTTATGTGATGCTTATAAGAACACATTTTTTGTTTAAAGTAGTAATTCTAATCCCAAAAAATAATTATCTGACTGGGCTTGGTTGAAAATTTTCTTTCTACTTCTAAATCAAAATTTCTTTTCACCTCAGGTAGGAAGAAAATTTACAGGGGAGAAAAGTCTGACATTTCTTTAAGTATGTAAGTTTCCATCCAAGTATCATTGACCTAGTTACTTAATGCATGGCAGATTGTTTGAACATATCTAAATTTTAGAGTTATGGCAGGTTTTCAAATAACTGAAGGCTGTATGATGCCCTTGATAAAAAAAAAATTACTTTGTACAGAGAGTCTGTGTGAATCAACTATTGAGAAATCATTTGCCTGTTTTATGACTTTTGGCTTCCAGCCCACTCAACCCAGGCCTTGTCTGGTCATCTAGTCATATTTTCACAACAACTCGAGTGATAGGATCTCTTCCAGTATCTCTTGAAATGCCTTGCAGCTGTCCTTGTTAGCCTTTCTATTTATTTACCCGGACAGAGAGCAAAGGGCAAATTGTTTTCTTGGTTAAACTGAAGAAAAAGCACTAAGATTTTCTTTATTTTTGGTTTGAGATCTCATCTGGGTCATATATGAACTCGTTTTAAACCCTCTCTTCAAAGCCTAATGGCTTGATGACCTAATAAATCAGGCAGTTTTCTATAAGACATTTTTCATTTCATTCATTTATTAACTAGTGCATTCACTACAATTTCACTGAGTGCATAACATGTGTCCAGTTCTATTACACACAAGTAGATAATAGTTGATAACTGTTCTTGAGATTTGGCAGTCTAATACAAATAAGAGAAGTGTAAATAAGCACTAGAATATCACGTGGAATGTGCCATTATAGAGGTAAGATGAGTGTTATGAGATCTCATTGGAGAAAGCAATTAGGGTGACAGGGAGTGGAAGGGAGGACTAAAAACTAACTTTGAGGTCATCAGTTGCCTATTTGTGTTTGGCTTTTGTGCTAACATTTTGATTTTTAGAGGCTTTTCAATATTTTTGCTTGACTTATATCATCATCCGTTTATATATGAGGCAACACAATACACTAGAAGAGAACAGACTTGAAAGACAGTTTTATCACCTACTACTTAGTGTCTTTGACTAATGAGTTAACCCTTCTATAACTGGTGCAGTAGATTTTTGCCAGTACAGTGGCTGATCAACTTCCAAACTTCCCTTTCTATTTGAAAGAATGTTCTTGTTGCTTGAGTCTTGGTATTAGTCAATTTGTGCTTCAAAAATTAAAGTAGCATAATACTTGCTCTCCTATTCCCAGAAGCTAGGGCTCAGCTGATCTGATGCTCCCAGTGGAGCTTAAATTGCAAGCAAATGTTGTAAGGCAAAGCATTCCGTTCAGAGCAGTGGCAACCAGAAATTACTGAGGGCAGCGATTTCTCTCAGCCATGGCACCTGGTAGTGGTGCCCAAGACAGTATCCAATCAGGTTTTATGGTTCCTGCCACCCAACCTCCAGTAGCACTTGCTCATTTTCAGAACCTGGTTCTCCAGCCTCCTTCATATACTTCCAGCAAATTATTTTTCTGGTTAAATTAGCCAGAGTTCATTTCTGTTGCTTGCTACCAAGAAGCCAAGATAAGACACACAGTTAATAAATCAGTAAAACCCTATTTCTCAAGATTTTGTTGATGATTTTAAAAGTTGAGTTACTTGTTCATACACCTATATCCATAGCACAATATCATTATCAGTCCCAACAAGACCTTTCTCCTATTTTCATCTAAATATCACCTTGGTTCTCAAACATCACTTTCATTACTTTCCCCACATAGGCACCCACTGTAAGATGCTTGATGTATGTTCTTACATGTTTATGTCTGCTAGTGGATTATGCAGTGTTAGTGTGATTGTTGGGGAAGTACTTCAATGTACATAGAGAGTATTTAGCTTTAAGTTTTTTCTGTTTCTTTCTGTGGTCACTGAATATTCTGTATAAGATCAATTCAGCTGTTTGTACATCTGGCGCTTCTCTTTTAATGACTGTGTAATATCCTATGGTATGAATCTACTATGATCCATATTGCCATGGTGACTGATAACTAGGCTGGCACCCACACCAACTAAAGCAAACATCATAAGGACAAAAATCCTCAATCCTATCCCTCTATTGAACTGTGCAAGAATTTCTCTGGGATACATACTCAAGAGGGTCATAAGTAGGCTATGAGGAATACACATATTTTATTTCTCTAATATTCTTTCCAGACTAGTCATAAGCATTTACACTTCCACCAACAGGGCATAAGAGTTCCTATCTATCCACATCTTGGGCAACATTTTGTGTCATTTGTGTTCTAATTTTTGTCTTTCAAACAGGAATAAAACAGTATTTTATAGATATTTGAATCTGCATTTTTATAATTACTATTGAGTTTGAGCATCTGTTGATGTACTTGTTAGCTCCTTCTCATAGACTAACTCTTCATAACTTTGGTCCATGTTTTAATCTGCTTTTCTGTCATTTGCCTTTTGATTTGGAGGAGATCTCTTTATTCTAGATATTAGTTCCTTATTTTTTTTACATACCAGAAAAAGTTTTTTTAGTCTGCCATCTGTTAACATCTGTCTACAGTAGTCCACATTGATCTGAAATAATTTTTATGTAGTCTAATTAATCTATTATGTTATCATATAGTGTGTGCTTTGGGGGTATTGTTTAAGAAGTCTGCTCCAATCTCCAGGTCATATAGGTTCTCTAATAACATTTTCCTTCTATCAGGTTTGTAATTTACCTTCCACATTTACTTCATTAATTTATTTGGAGTCTACTACTAAGATGTGATATAAGAAGATGAATCTAGCATAATTTTCTGCATTTCCCAACTCCTTTATGCCATCCTTCTCCCTTGTTTTAGTGGAGACCTCTTTATTGTATAGTAAGCACCCAAATATACATGGAACCATTACGGCTGTCTATTCTGTTCCACTTTGCTGGGTGTGGTGGCTCATGCCTGTAATCCCAGCACTTTGGGAGGACGAGACTGGCTGATCACTTTAGGTCAGGAGTTTGAGACCATCCTGGCTAACACGGTGAAACCCCGTCTCTACTAAAAATATGAAGAATTAGCCGGGCGTGGTGGTGGGCGCCTGTAATCCTAGCTACTTGGAAGGCTGAGGCAGGAGAATGGTGTGAACCTGGGAAGCGGAGCTTGTAGTGAGCTGAGATCGTGCCACTGCACTCCAGCCTGGGTGACAGAGCGAGACTTCGTCTCAAAAAAAAAAAAATACAAAAATTAGCCAGGCATGGTTGCACATGCCTGTAATCTCAGCTACGCAGGAGGCTGAGACAGGAGAATTGTTTGAACCCGGGAGGCGGAGGTTGCAGAGAGCCAAGATCGCACCACTGCACTCTCCAGTCCGGGTGACAGAGCGAGACTCTGTCTCAAAAAAAGTAAATAAACATAAAAATAAATTTTTGTTCCACTAGTTTACTGGTCTATTCCTCAACTATTTTCACACTGTTTTTACTTCTATGATTTTGTTCTGTCTCTTAATGGGTAAACCTTCCCACTTGAGTCTTTATTTTCAAAATTAACATTTCATAAGCCTTTATTCTCCCATATAGCTTTTAAAATGGGTTTGTTGAATTCCTCAAAAATATAGTAGAAATTTACTGTAATTCAGTATAAATAATTGTATATCTGTTATTGAAAAATGTAGAATTTTCCATTTATCTACAAATTTATCTATTTAATTCTGCTGTAATATTAATTTTCAAATAGATATCTGCATTTTCAAATTAAATTTTAGATATTTGTTTTGCCTAGTTATTTCCTTTTTTCACTCTATTTCATTTGTATTTTCTTTTTTTAATAGATTTGTCTTGCAAGAGATTTATTCATCTTATTAATCTTTTTAAAGAATATTTATTTAAAGTTATATAATTTTCCTTCTAATCATTACTCTGGCTGTGTCCCACACAGGTTGACTGCTTTCATTGTCATTTGATTTAAATATTTTATTATTTCTCTAGTTATTCCTCTTTAACTCAAATTCCACAGTATTTTGCTTGTTTCCTGTTTAGTTTTCAGACTGGTGAAATTTTATTAACCATGCTTTTGCTATTAAATTCTAATTTTTTTAAATAATAGAGAATATAATCTGTATAATTTTAATTCTTTGGATATTATTAATAAGTCCCTATGGATTTGCATGTGATACATTCTTTGTGACACTTCCATGTGTGAACAAAAATAAACAAAAAATATATAATCCCCTACATATATCTATTACTTCAAACTCAATGTTTTATGTCTTTTTTCATATATTATTTGACTGCAATTTACAAGAAGAATTCATTGAAATCTCAACTATAATTATTGGTTTATCGCTTTCTTCCAGTAGTTATTAATTATGTATTTTAAGGATATGTTGATTTTATATATTCTTATCCTTTTTAACTATTAATGACTCTTTGTTTTTTATAATTTTTTAAGCCTTGAATATTACTTTGACACAAAATTGCTAGTCATGTTTGTCTTTTTCAATCCATTTACTTCAATATTCTGTGACCATTATTTTAATTATACATTCTACTGCTGGTCTTTTTTTTTTTTTCCTGATCTGAAACCCTCTGTTTGAAACCATTATTTGTGATTAGTATTATTGCCACCATACTAGAACTTATGTCTACCATATGATTTTTATTTTCTATTTATGATGTTTTCTCCTTTCTTACCTTCCTTTGGAGAGATAACATTTTCTTCTACTTACTTGAAGATCAACTTCTTCTTTTTTTTTTTTAATTATACTTTAAGTTCTGGGATATATGTAGAGAACATGCTGGTTTGTTACATAGGCATACATGTGCCATGGTGATTTGCTACACCCATCAACTCGTCATCTACATTAGGTATTTCTCCTAATGCCATCCCTCCCCTAGCCCCCACCTCCTGACAGGCCCTGGTGTGTGATGTTCCCCTCCCTGTGTCCATGTGTTCTCATTGTTCAACTCCCACTTATGAGTGAGAACATGTAGTGTTTGGTTTTCTGTTCCTGTGTTAGTTTACTGAGAATGATTGTTTCCACCTTTATGCATGACACTGCAAAGGACATGACCTCATCCTTTTTTATGGCTGCATAGTATTCCATGGTGTATATGTGCCACATTTTCTTTTATATATATATATATATATACCTTAAATTCTAGGGTACGTGTGCACAATGTGCAGGTTTGTTACATAGGTATACATGTGCCAAGTTGGTTTACTGCACCCATTAACTCGTCATTTACATTAGGTATTTCTCCTAATGCTATGCCTCCCCCTGCCCCCACCCCATGACAGGCCCCGGTGTGTGATGTTCCCCACCTTGTGTTCAAGTGTTCTCATTGTTCAGTTCCCACCTATGAGTGAGAATATGCGGTATTTGTTGTTCTATCCTTGTGATAGTATGCTGAGAATGATGGTTTCCAACTTCATTCATGTCCCTGCAAAGGACATGAACTCATCATTTTTATGGCTGCATAGTATTCTGTGGTGTATATGTGCCACATTTTCTTAATCCAGTCTATCACTGATGGACATTTAGGTTGGTTCCAAGTCTTTGCTACTGTGAATAGTGCCGCAATAAACATATGTGTGCATGTGACTTTATAGTAGCATGATTTATAAACTTTTGGGTATATACCCAGTAATGGGATTACTGGGTCAAATGTTATTTCTAGTTCTACATCCTTGAGGAATCGCCACACTGTCTTCCACAATGGTTGAACTAGTTTACAGTCCCACCAACAGTATAAAAGCATTCCTGTTTCTCCACATCCTCTCCAGCATCTGTTGTTTCATGACTTTTTAATGATCGCCATTCTAACTGGTGTGAGATGGCATCTTCTTGTGGTTTTGATTTGCATTTCTCTGATGACCAGTGATGATGAGCATTTTTTCATGTGTCTGTTGGCTGCATAAATGTCTTCTTTTGAAAAGTGTCTGTTCATATCCTTTGCCCACTTTTTGATGGGGTTGTTTGATTTTTTCTTGTAAATTTGTTTAAGTTCTTTGTAGATTCTGGATATTAGCCCTTTGTCAGATGGGTAGATTGCAAAAATTTTCTCCTATTCTGTAGGTTGCCTGTTCACTCTGATGGTAGTTTCTTTTGCTGTGCAGAAGCTCTTTAGTTTAATTAGATCCCATTTGTCAATTTTGGCTTTTGTTGCCATTTCTTTTGGTGTTTTAGACATGAAGTCCTTGCCCATGCCTATGAGCTGAATGGTATTGCCTAGGTTTTCTTCTAGAGTTTTTATGGTTTTAGGTCTAACATTTAAATCTTTAATCCATCTTGAGTTAATTTTTGTACAAGGTGTAAGGAAGGGATCCAGTTTCAGCTTTCTACATATGGCTAGCCAGTTTTCCCAGCAGCATTTATTACATAGAGAATCCATTCCCTGTTTCTTGTTTTTGTCAGGTTTGTCAAAGATCAGATGGTTGTAGATGTGTGGTGCTATTTCTGAGGCCTCTGTTCTGTTCTATTGGTCTATATCTCTGTTTCTGTACCAGTCTCATGTTGTTTTTGTTACTGTAGCCTTGTAGTATAGTTTAAAGTTAGGTAGCATGATGCCTCCAGCTTTGTTCTTTTTGCTTAGAATTGTCTTGGCTATACGGGCTCTTTTTTGGTTCCGTATAAAATTTAAAGTAGTTTTTTTTTAATTCTATGAAGAAAGTCAATGGCAGCTTGATGGGAGTAGCATTGAATCTATAAATGACTTTGGTCATATGGGCATTTTCATGATATTGATTCTTCCTATAAATGAGCATGGAATCTTTTTACATTTGTTTGTGTCCTCTCTTATTTCCTCGAGCAGTGGTTTGTAGTTCTCCTTGAAGAGGTCCTTCACATCCCTTGTAAGTTGCATTCCTAGGTATTTTATTCTCTTTTTAGCAACTGTGAATGGGAGTTCACTCATGATTTGGCTCTCTGCCTATGATTGGTGTATAGGAATACTTGTAATTTTTGCACATTGATTTTGCATCCTGAGACTTTGATTAAGTTGCTTATCAGCTTAAGGAGATTTTCGGCGGAGACGATGGGGTTTTCTAAATATACAGTCATGTCATCTGCAATCAGAGACAATTTGACTTCCTATCTTCCTATTTAAATATCTTTCTTTCTTTCTCTTGCCTGATTGCCCTGGCCAGAACTTCCAATACTATGTTGAATAGGAGTGGTGAGTGAGGGCATCCTTGTCTTGTTGCAGTTTTCAAAAGGAATGTTTCCAGTTTTTGCCCATTCAGTATGATATTGGATGTGGGTTTGTCATAAATAGCTCTTATTATTTTGAGATACATTCCATCAATGTCTAGTTTATTGAGAGTTTTTAGCATGAAGGGGTGTTGAATTTTATCAAAGGCCCTTTCTACATCTATTGAGATAATCATGTGGTTTTTGTCTTTGGTTCTGTTTATATGCTGGATTACATTTATTGATTTGTGTATATTTTGAACCAGCCTTGCATCCCAGGGATGAAGTCGACTTGATCGTGGTGGATAAACTTTTTGATGTGCTGCTGAATTCGGTTTGCCAGTATTTTATTGAGGATTTTCGCATTGATGTTCATCAAGGATTTTGGCCTAAAATTTTTTTTTTTATTGTGTTGCTGCCAGGTTTTAGTATCAGGATGATGCTGGCCTCATGAAATGAGATAAGGAGGAGTCCCATTTTTCTAATGTTTGGAATAGTTTCGGAAGGAATGGTACCAGCTCCTCTTTGTACCTCTGGTAGAATTCGGCTGTGAATCATCTGGTCCTGGACTTTTTCTGGTTGGTAGGCTATTAAATACTTCCTCAATTTCAGAACTTGTTATTGGTCTATTCAGGGATTCAACTTCTTCCTGAGGGTGTCTATGTGTCTAGGAATGTATCCATTTCTTCTAGATTTTCTAGTTTATTTGCATAGAGGTGTTTATAGTATTCTCTGATGGTAGTTTGTATTTCTGTGCAATCAGTGGTGATATCCTCTTTATCAATTTTTATGTTGTCTGTTTGATTCTTTTCTCTTTTCTTCTTTATTAGTCTAGCTAGCAGTCTATCTGTTTTGTTGATCTTTTTAAAAAACCAGCTCCTGGATTCATTGATTTTTTGAAGGGTTTTTTGTGTCTCTATCTCCTTCAGTTCTGTTCTGATCTTAGTTATTTCTTGTCTTCTTCTAGCTTTTGAATTTGTTTTCTCTTGCTTCTCTTATTCTTTTAATTGTGATGTTAGTGTGCCAAATTTAGATTCTTCCACTTTTCTCCTGTGGGCATTTATTGCTGTAAATTTCCCCTTAAACACTGCTTTAGCTGTGTCCCAGAGATTCTGGTACGTTGTGTCTTTGTTCTCATTGGTTTCAAATAACTTATTTATTTCTGTTTTAATTTCGTTATTTACCCAGTAGTCACTCAGGAGCATGTTGTTCAGTTTCCAGGTAGTTGTGTGGTTTTGAGTGAGTTTCTTAATCCTGAGTTCTAATTTGATTACACTGTGGTCTGAGAGACTGTTTGTTATGATTTCTGTTCTTTTGCATTTGCTGAGGAATGTTTTACTTCCAATTATATGGTTAATTTTAGAATAAGTGCAATGTGGTGCTGAGAAGAAAGTATATTCTGTTGATTTGTGGTGGAGAGTTCTGTAGATGTCTGTTAGGTTCACTTGGTCCAGAGCTGAGTTCCAGTCCTGAATATCCTTGTTAATTTTCTGTCTTGTTGATCTGTCGAATACTGACAATGGGGTGTTAAAGTCTCCCATGGTTATTGTGTGGGAGTCTACATCTCTTTGTAGGTCTCTAAGAACTTGCTTTATGAATCTGAATGCTTCTGTATTAGGTGCATATATATTTAGGATAGTTAGCTCTTCTTTTTGCATTGATCCCTTTACCATTATGTAATGCCCCTCTTTGTCTTTTTTGATCTTTGTTGATTTAAAGTCTGTTTTAATAGAGACTAGGATTACAACTCCTGCTTTTTTTTGCTGTCCATTTGCTTCATAAATATTCCTCCATCTCTTTATTTTGAACCTATATTTGTCTTTGCATGTGAGATGAGTCTCCTGAATACAGCAAACTGATGGGTCTTGACTCTTTATCCAATTTGCCAGTCTGTGTCTTTTAATTGGGGCATTTAGCCCATTTATATTTAAGGTTGATATTATTATGTGTGAATTTGATCCTGTCATTATGATGCTAGCTGGTTATTTTGCCCATTAGTTGATGCAATTTCTTTGTAGTGTCAATGGTCTTTACAATTTGGTATGTTTTTGCAGTGGCTGGTACCAGTTCTTCCTTTCCATGGTTAGTGCTTCCCTCAGGAGCTCTTGTAAGGCAGGCCTGGTGGTGACAAAATCTCTTAGCATTTGCTTGTCTGTAAAGGATTTTACTTCTCCTTCACTTATGAAGCTTAGTTTGGCTGGATATGAAATTCTGGGTTGAAAATTCTTTTCTTTAAGTATGTTGAATATTGGTTCTCACTCTCTTCTGGCTTGCAGGGTTTCTGCAGAGAGATCTGCTGTTAGTCTGATTGGCTTCCCTTTGTGGGTAACCTGACCTTTCTCTCTGGCTGCCCTTAACATTTTTTCCTTCATTTCAACCTTGGTGAATCTGATGATTATACGTCTTGGGGTTGCTCTTCTTGAGGAGTATCTTTGTGATGTTCTCTGTATTTCCAGAATTTGAATGTTGGCCTGCCTTGCTAGGTCGGGGAAGTTCTCCTGGATAATATCCTGAAGAGTGTTTTCCAGCTTGGGTTGTATTTTCCCTGTCACTTTCAGGTATGCCAGTCAAACATAGGTTTGGTCTTTTAACATAGTCCCATATTTCTTGGAGACTTTGTTCATTTCTTTTCATTCTTTTTTCTCTAATCTTGTCTTCATACCTTATTTCATTAAGGTGATCTTCAATCTCTGATATCCTTTCTCCCACTTGATCGATTTGACTATCGATACTTGTGTATGCTTCATGAAGTTCTCATGCTGTGTTTTTCAGCTCCATCAGGTCATTTATGTTCTTCTCTAAACTGGTTATTCTAGTTAGCTATTCATCCAACCTTTTTTCAAGGTTCTTAGCTTCCTTGCATGCTCCTTTAGCTCAAAGGAGTTTGTTATTACCCACCTTCTGAAGCCTACTTTTGTCTATTCAGCAAACTCTTTCTCCATCCAGTTTTGTTCCCTTGCTGACAAGGAGTTGTGATCCTTTGGAGGAGAAGAGGCATTCTGATTTTTGGAATTTTTAGCCTTTTTTAGGTGGTTTTTCCTTATCTTTGTATATTTATCTATCTTCGGTCTTTGATGTTGGTGACCTTTTGGTGGGGGTTTCTGTGTGGACATCCTTTTTGCTGATGTTGATGCTATTCCTTTCTGTTTGTTAGTTTTCCTTCTAACAGTCAGGCCCCTCTGCTGCAGGTCTGCTGGAGTTTACTAGAGGTCTACTCCAAACCCTGTTTGCCTGGTTATCACCAGTGGAGGCTGCAGAACAGCAAAGATTTCTGTCTGTTTCTTTGTCTGGAAGCTGCTGCCTCTCTTTCAGAGATGCCCTGCCCAGAGAGGAGGAATCTAGAGAGGCAATCTGGCTACAGAAGCTTTGCTGAGCTATGGTGGGCTCCACCCAGTTCAAACTCCCTGGCAGCTTTGTTTACACTGTGAGGGGAAAGCCACCTACTCAAGCCTCAGTAATGGTGGACGCCCCTCTTCCCACCAAGCTCAAGCATCCCAAGTCAACTTCAGACTGCTGTGCTGGCAGTGAGAGTTTCAAGCTAGTGGATCTCAGCTTGCTGGGCTTTGTGGGGGTGGGACCTGCTGAGCTAGACCACTTGGCTCCCTGGCTTCAGCCCCCTTTCCAGGGGAGTGAACAGTTCTCTCTCACTGGTGTTCCAGGTGCCACTGGGGTATGAAAAGAAACTCCTGCAGCTAGCTTGGTGTCTGCCCAAACAGCTGCCAACTTTTGTGCTTGAAACCCAGGGCCCTGGTGGCATAGGCACCCAAGGTAATCTCCTGGTCTACAGGTTGTGAAGACTGTGGGAAAAGCATAGCATCTGGGCTGGAGTGTACACTTCCTCAAGGCACAGTCCTTCATGACTTCCCTTGGCTAGGGGAGGGAGTTCCCTGACCTTTGTGCTTCCCGGGTTCCGGGTGAGTTGATGCCCCACCCTGCTTCGGTTCACTCTTTGTGGGCTGCACCCACTGTCTAACCAATCCCAATGAGATAAGCTGGGTACCTCAGTTGGAAATGCAGCACCTTCTGCATTGATCTCGCTGGGAGCTGCAGACCTGAGCTGTTCCTATTTGGCCACCTTGCCAGTCGGGCGCCGAAGATCAATTTCTTAAACTTAATGCCTTCATCTTCCCCTCAAGGAAGACATGTACTTTAGCTTGCTTATTCTCTCCCTCCCCAGCCTCCACATTCAAGAATGTCTGTCTTATCAATAGTTCTGGAATGTCATGAATATACTTTGTTTGTGGCTTCTGCTAATCTTCACTAAATTATTTACACAACCTTTCCTTCCCATGTAATGTACAAATTCCTCCTGGAATCTCTCTGCTGTTAGACTTCCAGCAAAACTGCTTTTGTTTTTACTTGCAAGAACTTCTGAGGGTCATTCTTTGTCTGAGAACATCTTTATAGCAATTCACATTTAAATTACTGCTTAACTGGATAAAAAATTCGGAGTTCAAAGTTTTTGTTTTTCATCACCTAGAAAATATTGCTACATTATCTTTCTCTTTCCTGTGTCTCTGTTCTAAAGTTTTATAGCAATCTTATTCTGTTTTCTTAATGTGTTTTTCTCTTTCTCTCTGGAAACTTAAAAAATGTTCTCTTTGATGTTTTCAAATTTCATGATATTATGTTTGCACGAGGTACTTCTTTTTCTACCTGTTTTGATATTGAGATAGTTTGGCTCTTAATTTTTTCCATATTTCCTATATTGTAACACACAGATCTTCAGAGTTTCTCTTTCACCACCATGTTCGTTAACCTTACTTTAAGGAAATTCCTCCTTCTGACACCATTTGGGAGAATTCTTTGACCAGCTCATTAGCATATTTGAACTATATTCTTTCCAATATTTAGCCCAGCTTTCTAATATTTTACCTCTACTGTAATGTTTTTTATATTCATGGTTTCCAATTGGCTCTTCATTTTTCTTTATTTTATTTTATTTTTTTGAGACTCAGTCTCACTGTATCATGCATGCTGGAGTGTAGTGGCACAATCTTGGCTCACTGCAACCTCCACCTCCCAAGTTCAACGAATTATCCTGCCTCAGCCTCCCGAGAGCTGGGACTACAGGCATGCACCACCATGCCTGGCTAAGTTTTGTATTTTTAGTAGAGATGGGGTTTCACCATGTTGGCCAGGCTGGCCTGGAACTCCTGACCTCAGGCAATCCACCCACCTCAGCCTCCCAAAGTGCCGGAATTGCAGGCATGAGCCACCACACCTGGCCCTCAATTGGCTCTTCTTTATAACTGAATATTCCTGTTTCTTTTTTATCTCTTGGGAGAAATGTATTATGTTTATTTTGAAGTTTTGTTTGGTCTGGTTCAACAATTCTGCCTCATCTAGAACAAATTATTCATCTGCTATGTCCTTTAGAAAGTGGTTATATTCCTCGTATGTTTGGTTATTATTCCTGAGAACTCATTTATCCCTGGGGGTATGGGTTGCTTAGGCTAGCAATGGGGTAGGGGTGGAAAAGCACAGGCCCCAGCTTATTCACTCCTGTGACTTTAAGTGGCCAGGGAGGGGAGATGGTTTTCCCCTCAGAGAACCTTCCTATTTTTTACCCACTCATTGCTCTTTTCCAAAACATTAATGCCCTTATGATCTCCTCTAGGCTGCCTTTCCTCCCTAGGACACAACTACCTTCTGTCTCCTACTTTATCCTTGGTCCTTCAGATTTACACACTTTCCTCTCACTTTGAAATCATCCCTCAGTATTGGGTAGGAAGATGGAACCTTCAGCTTGTGCTAGTTGGCCATTGTAACATTGTGTCTACTCATCCCTAGCACTCTTTCCATCCTCATTCTTCTCCCATTGCTCCCCTCCTCTGCCTTCAAAGAAAACATACAGAGGCACACATTAGGATAGTGCTCTTCATCCGACCAGGCACGGTGGCTCACGCCTGTAATCCCAGCACTTTGGGAAACCAAGGTGGGTGAATCGCTTGAGGTCAGGAGTTTGAGACCATCCTGGCCCACCACCAACATGGTGAAACCCCGTCTCTACTAAAAATGCAAAACTTAGCCAGGCGTAATGGCAGGTGCCTGTAATCCCAGCTACTGTAGAGGCTGAGGCAGGAGAATAGCTTTAACCCAGGAGGAGGAGGTTGCAGTGAGCTGCGATCTGATCATGCCAATGCACTACTCCAGCTTGAGCGACTAAGCGAGACTCTGTCCCCCCACCAAAAAAAAAAAAAAAAGAGGATAGTGCTCTTCATCCAAAAACCTGGTGGGGCAGTGGGAAGGAGTAGAATGAAGAAGATATACATAAAAGAGCAAAGATAAATGGGTTGTGTTCCTCTGCAGCTCAGTGACTTCTATTTTGTGGATTTCTACTTAGAGGAACTTCATTTTGAATATGGTTCTCAACCTCAGCTACACATTATAATCATCTGTAATTTCAAAAGCTTTCTAGGTGATTCTAATGTGCAGTCAGGACTGAGAATCACCTGACATACAGCAACCAGGTGTACCCTACCTTAACCTTTGCTGTTCTGGACAGAAAGGAACACTAGATATTCCAAACTGGCTTCAACTTTGCAGATTTGAAAGTGTGGGAGAAATCAGATAAGGCAAGACACACAGGTAAGGAATCACTAATACAAACATCAAGAGACAGATATTTCCCAAAATCATTTCTGGAATCACACAACATGGTAACAAGTTTATAGTAGGAAAGTTTATAAGAATGTAGAAAATCCAAGCTGCTCTGATATAAGACAACATCCTTGATATCAGTCGAGTAGCACTTAAAAACTGCCATTGGGATGTGGAACGCCACTAGAAAGCCAAATTGGAAGGCAAAGTATTTACTCTTTATGTCAAGTAAAAACACAAGATTGCAATAAATGCATCTTTTTTAGTCAAGAACAAAAATGTGAATCTCTTTGGTTCCATAATTTTCATACTTATAAAATTACCCTATTCATTTTATGAGGTGTTTAAAGTATTCGTACATGAGGGATGTCTGGGCCCTACAGATAACTCATGTGGCAGTTTGGTCTGTAATGTGAGGGTCTTGCTACGAGGAAATACTCTTTACCTAATGTGAAGTTGATCACTTGACGTGACCTAAAAGAATGTGATGTGTGAAAGCAACACTAAAGTTTCTCAAAATACATCTCTGTGGCTGAGAAAGAATTGAGCCGAACAAAATTGGCTTTCTCTATTTCTAGATATTCATTTTGAACTATGTTATCAGAGTTTCGGCAAATATTTATTTTAGGCTTGTGTCGTATGAGGCTCTGTGCTGGGGACTACAGGTCAGGCGTCAAGCAGCTTAAACTCCTTATTATTTCCTAAAATATCATTATAAGTGTGCTGTCAGAACTATTGATTTTATTGGATTAACTCAGTCTTTTGGGGAAATAGTCTGATAATTCAAAATTCAAATTTCCTATCAAGGATGCTTCTATCCTTTCAAAGAGTCACACTCCCCCTCCTCCTTCCCATCATGAGGCCTAGTTCAAAGGGATGCCTCTGCACCGCACACCATGAGACTTTGGGAAAGGGGACCCTTGCCTCTACTGGTTCCCATTGGCCTCTGGTTGAGGTTTAACTTGTATTTCCTGGCTTCTCTATGTGAAGCCTTGATGATTCTCCTGCTAAAGTTCTGCAGCTGGTGGAATTTGGGGTGTGTCCTCACTGCATGGCAGGGAATTCCAGCCTCCTTCCTGACTTGCTTTGCTTCCATCATAGCTTTCATTGATGCTAAGATGGTTCAAGTCTCAAGCTTGTCCTCCATCTGTCCCCTGGCTTAGGCTGCCCATGTCCCTAGACTCTGCCATGGAGTAACCTGAACTGTCAGTCACTGGAGCATACTGGAGCTGCTGGCTCCTGCTCATGCTACACAGGAGCATTTTTCCGTCCTATTTCTGGCAGCACACCAATTTACTAAAAGCCAGTTTGTATAAAGACCGATTTTTATATTTTCCTAACCAGCTTTTTGTTGACCGTCTTTTTTGTTTTTATACCATACAAGCAGTTTAATAAGTGTTCATTATGTCTCTGCCTCAGCTTCTTGTTCTGCAGTTGAAGACTGAGAAACAGATGAGTGACAGAAGGATGGAACAGTGGAAAAATCGAGGGATGTGATAAAATCACAGTCAGAAAATTGTATCTTCACATATCTACATGAATATGTAGATATGAATACCCCCTTCATGAACACAAAAATACAGATACACTTTTTTTTTTTAATACTTTAAGTTTTAGGGTACATGTGCACAACGTGCTGGTTAGTTACATATGTATACATGTGCCATGCTGGTGTGCTGCACCCATTAACTCGTCATTTAGCATTAGGTATATCTCCTAATGCTATCCCTCCCACCTCCTCCCACCCACAACAGTCCCCAGAGTGTGATGTTCCCCTTCCTGTGTCCATGTGTTCTCATTGTTCAATTCCCATCTGTGAGTGAGAACATGTGGTGTTTGGTTTTTTGTCCTTGCGATAGTTTACTGAGAATGATGATTTCCAGTTTCATCCATGTCCCTACAAAGGACATGAACTCATCATTTTTTATGGCTGCATAGTATTCCATGGTGTATATGTGCCACATTTTCTTAATCCAGTCTATCATTGTTGGACATTTGGGTTGGTTCTAAGTCTTTGCTATTGTGAATAATGCCGCAATAAACATACGTGTGCATGTGTCTTTATAGCAGCATGATTTATAATCCTTTGGGTATATCCCCAGTAATGGGATGGCTGGGTCAAATGGTATTTCTAGTTCTAGATCCCTGAGGAATCGCCACACTGACTTCCACAATGGTTGAACTAGTTTACAGTCCCACCAACAGTGTAAAAGTGTTTCTATTTCTCCACATCCTCTCCAGCACCTGTTGTTTTCTGACTTTTTAATGATTGCCATTCTAACTGATGTGAAATGGTATCTCATTGTGGTTTTGATTTGCATTTCTCTGATGGCCAGTGATGGTGAGCATTTTTTCATAAGTCTGTTGGCTGCATAAATGTCTTCTTTTGAGAAGAGTCTGTTCATATCCTTTACCCACTTTTTGATGGGGTTGTTTGTTTTTTTCTTGTAAATTTGTTTGAGTTCATTGTAGATTCTGGATATTAGCCCTTTGTCAGATGAGTAGGTTGCGAAAATTTTCTCCCATTTTGTAGGTTGCCTGTTCACTCTGATGGTAGTTTCTTTTGCTGTGCAGAAGCTGTGTAGTTTAATTAGATCCCATTTGTCAATTTTGGCTTTTGTTGCCATTGCTTTTGGTGTTTTAGACATGAAGTCCTTGCTCATCCTTATTTCCTGAATGGTAATGCCTAGGTTTTCTTCTAGGGTTTTTATGGTTTTAAGTCTAACGTTTAAGTCTTTAATCCATCTTGAATTATTTTTTGTATAAGGTGTAAGGAAGGGATCCAGTTTCAGCTTTCTACATATGGCTAGCCAGTTTTCCCAGCACCATTTATTAAATAGGAAATCCTTTCCCCATTGCTTGTTTTTCCTAGGTTTGTCAAGGATCAGATAGTTGTAGATATGTGGCGTTATTTCTGAGGGCTCTGTTCTGTTCCATTGATCTATATCTCTGTTTTGGTACCAGTACCATGCTGTTTTGGTTACTGTAGCCTTGTAGTATAGTTTGAAGTCAGGTAGTGTGATGCCTCCAGCTTTGTTCTTTATGCTTAGGATTGACTTGGCGATGCGGACTCTTTTTTGGTTCCATATGAACTTTAAAGTAGTTTTTTCCAATTCTGTGAAGAAAGTCATTGGTAGCTTGATAGGGATGGAATTGAATCTATAAATTACTTTGGGAAGTATGGCCATTTTCATGATATTGATTCTTCCTACCCATGAGCATGGAATGTTCTTCCATTTGTTTGTATCCTCTTTTATTTCATTGAGCAGTGGTTTGTAGTTCTCCTTGCAGAGGTCCTTCACTTCCCTTGTAAGTTGGATTCCTAGGTATTTTATTCTCTTTGAAGCAATTGTGAATGGGAGTTCACTCATGATTTGGCTCTCTGTTTGTCTGTTATTGGTGTATAAGAATGCTTGTGATTTTTGTACATTGATTTTGTATCCCGAGACTTTGCTGAAGTTGCCTATCAGCTTAAGGAGATTTTGGGCTGAGAAGATGGGGTTTTCTAGATATACAATCATGTCATCTGCAAACAGGGACAATTTGACTTCCTCTTTTCCTAATTGAATACCCTTTATTTCCTTCTCCTGCCTAATTGCCCTGGCCAGAACTTCCAACACTATGTTGAGTAGGAGTGGTGAGAGAGGGCATCCCTGTCTTGTCCCAGTTTTCAAAGAGAATGCTTCCAGTTTTTGCCCATTCAGTATGATATTGGCTGTGGGTTTGTCATAGATAGCTCTTATTATTTTGAGATATGTCCCATGAATACCTAATTTATTGAGAGTTTTTAGCATGAAGGGGTGTTGAATTTTGTCAAAGGCCTTTTCTGCATCTTATTGAGATAATCATGTGGTTTTTGTCTTTGGTTCTGTTTATATGCTGGATTACATTTATTGATTTGCGTATATTGAACCAGCCTTGCATCCCAGGAATGAAGCCCACTTGCTCATGGTGGATAAGCTTTTTGATGTGCTGCTGGATTCGGTTTGCCAGTATTTTATTGAGGATTTTTGCATCAGTGTTCATCAAGGATATTGGTCTAAAATTCTCTTTTTTGGTTGTGTCTCTGCCTGGCTTTGGTAAACTGCTCAACTACATGGAAACTGAACAACCTGCTCCTGAATGACTACTGGGTACATAACGAAATGAAGGCAGAAATAAAGATGTTCTTTGAAACCAATGAGAACAAAGACACAACATACCAGAATCTCTGGGACACATTCAAAGCAGTGTGTAGAGGGAAATTTATAGCACTAAATGCCCACAAGAGAAAGCAGGAAAGATCCAAAATTGACACCCTAACATCACAATTAAAAGAACTAGAAAAGCAAGAGCAAACACATTCAAAAGCTAGCAGAAGGCAAGAAATAACTAAAATCAGAGCAGAACTGAAGGAAATAGAGACACAAAAAGCCCTTCAAATAACAGGATCTGAAGTTGTGGCAATAATCAATAGCTTACCAACCAAAAAGAGTCCAGGACCAGGTGGATTCACAGCTGAATTCTACCAGAGGTACAAGGAGGAACTGGTACCATTCCTTCTGAAACTATTCCTATCAATAGAAAAAGAGGGAATCCTCCCTAACTCATTTTATGAGGCCAGCATCATCCTGATACCAGATACACTTATAATAATATATTACAGCATTTCTCAGAGCATTTAAAATGCCATCAGAGTCTCTGAATATTTTAAACTTATTTCACCATGGATATTTTATTTTGCAGAAGTTTTTTTTTAAGAACTATTGTTCTATGAAATATATTTTAGGAAAACTTTCAGTAAATGAGGGTGAGGAAGTTCTCTCTTCCCTTTCACGTTTTAAGAAAAATCTTATAAAATTTTATGAATTTTTAAATTAAATAAAATGTAATGAAAACTTTCCACTAAATCTAATAAAAATTTAAAGCAATTTTGCTGTTGATATGCCTAAAAGTTTATCTTTCCCACACCCAGGATACTTCTTTGGATTCAACAGATGTTTATTAAAATCAGCAACAAAACTTTTCTAATATATATATTAGAATATACACACACACGCACACACACACACACATATATATATACCTGCTTTGGTTCCTAAGCTGTTATTCTGATCTGAATTCCGGTTCCCATTAACATGTTACAGAATGGAACATAAAGGAGGAAATCCAAAATCTGACTTGCCTAGGATGGTTCCACATACAGAAACCAATAAAATGATTCACCATATTATCAGAATGAAAAGTAAAAGCCATATGATCGATCATCTTGATAGATGCAGAAAAAGAAGTTGACAAAATTCAACACACTTTCATGATAAAAATTCTCAACAAATTAGGTATAGAAGGAATGTACCTCAACACAATAAAGGCCATAGATCACTAGCCTATAGCTAACATCATACTTAATGGTAAAAAGTTGAAAACTTTTCTTCTAAGACAGGGACCAAGACAAGGATGTCCACTCTCACACTTCTATTCAATATAGTACTGGAAGTTCTAATTGCCAGAGCAATTGGGCAAAAGAGAGAAAGAAAGAAAAAGAAAAGGAAAAAGAAAAAGAAAAAAATAAAAGGCATCCAATCAGAAAGGAAGAAGTGAAATTGTCTCTATTTGCTGACCAAATAATCTTATACATAGAAAACCCTAAAGATTCCACCAAAAACTGTTAGAACTAATAAATAAATTTAGTAAAGTTTCAAGATACAAAATCAACATACAAAAATTACATGGAAAATACTTAGGAGTAAATTTAACTAAGACAGTCAAAGATTTGTACACTGAAAAGTCTAAAATATTGATGAAAGAAATCTAAGATGACATAAATAAATGAGAAGATATCCCATGTTTGTGGGTTGGAAAAATTAATATTGTTAAAATATCCATACTACCCAAAGCTATCTACATATTCAATGCAATCCCTATCCAAATTCCAATGCCATTTTTCACAGAAATTTTTTAAAACCCCAAAACTCATGTAAAACCATAAAAGACCCCAAATAGCTGCAACAAATTTGAGCCAAAAGAACAAGGGAAGGCATGGCATTACCTCATCTCAACATATATTATAAAGCTATAGTAATCAAAATCTCATGATATTGGCCTTAAAAACAGAAATATCAACCAATGGAACCAAATAGAGCACCCAGAAGCAAACCCACACATGCTACAAGAAAACATAGGCAAAAAGCTCCATGACATTGATCGGGGCAGTTATATATATCGAACTGGGCAGAAATATATATTAAACTCAAGCAACTCAATAGCAAGAAAAAAAATAACCTGATTAAAAAATGGGCAAAGTACCAGAATAGATATTTCTCAAAAGAAGATATACAAATGGCCAACAGGTATATGAAAAAATGGTCAACGTCATTAATTATCAAGGAAATGCAAATCAAAACTGTAGTGAGATATTACCTCACTCCTGTTAGAATAGCTATTACAAAAAGACAAGATATAACAAGTGTTAGCAAGGACATGAACAAAAGGGAATCCTTTCACATTGTTGGTGGAAATGAAAAATTAGTATAGACATTATAGAAAACAGTATGGAGTTTCCTTAATAAAGTAAAAATAGATCTACCATATGATCCAGCAATCCCATTTCTGGTTGTATATCCAAAGGAACTGAAATCAGTATGTCAGAGGTATCTCCACCCGAATATTCACTGAAGGATTATCCCAATAGCCAAGATATGAAATAACTCTAAGTGACTATCAATGGATGAATGAAATAGGAAAATGTAGTGTGTGTTTATATATATTATTTAACCTTAATGAATAAGGAAATCCTGTCATTAGCAGCAATGTGGATGAACCTGAAGGACATTATGCTAAGTGAAGTAAGCTAGGTACAGCCACACAATTGCTGCATAATATCACTCGTCTAGAATCCAAAAAAAAAAACAAAAAAACAAAAGCCAAATCTATAGATGCAGAGAGTAGAATGGTGTTTGCCAGGGCTTGGCTGTGGGGAAAAGGGAAGATGTTGTTCAAAGGCTATAAAATTTCAGTTAGATAAGAAGAATAAGTTTTACTGGTCTATTGAATAGCATGATGACTACAGTTAATAATAATGTATTATATATTTCAAAATTGTTAAAAGAGTGTATTTTAAATGCTCTCACCACAAAAAAAAGAGTATATGTGAGTATATGAGGTGATGGATATATTAATTAGCTTGAGTTAATCATTCCACAATATATACATATATCAAAACATCACATTATACCTCTTAAATATATACAATTATTATTTGTCTCTTAAAAAATTACATGTCATAATATTAGGGTAACTGCCACTTAGTAACTGATAACTGAACAGCATTAGATCAGCAGTGGTACTGGACCATTTGGGGCAATCTTTTCTTGTTTTGCTCCCGGAAGTCCTCCATAGGCAGGATGTCTCTACATATTTCACCACTGTTTTCCTAATTGCCTCCATCCTCCATCTCCTTTCCAGTGCCACACATGGATTTCAAACCATTTGGGGACTTTTTAGCTCAGCATTTATATTTACCAGATCCACAACTATAGTTTGTGTTTATAGCATCTCTGATCATTTCAAAGCGCTTTACAAATAAAATATTTTGACCCTCAAAAAAACCTATGTTACCTTTACCCTTAACATTAATATCTATGTTTCTATACCATTTATTATTTTAATAGTATTTCCTCTTGAGTGCCCCTCACCACACTGTGAATTGGCCAGGCAAGAAACATTTTTTTGAGTTTTTAAAAGAGTTCTTTTTAAATAGATTTTAAGATTTTTAAAAGAGGGAACTGAAATTCAGCCTGATTAAGGAAATTTGCCAAGGTCTCACAGCTCATAAGTCAGAGATAGAAATAGAGCCTAGCTCTTGGCTCCTCATCCAATCCACATCCATTGCCCAATGCTTCCATCTCACCTGGATGTCTTTACATATTTATATTGCATTACTATAATTGTCATGTAAAATAAACAGAAGCAAATCTTTAAATAAAATTTCCAGGACATTGGAACAGTATCCTTAGTTAATTAGTGAAATAAATACTTTGTATATCTTTACTTGGAATTCAATTCTAAGGGCAAATGGCCTAAGTTGGTCAATAGAATCATTTTAGTTATGATATATTATCTCAACCAATGCACTCAATGTATTTAGGAATTCTGAAATAAAAAAGAGGCATATGATGCCTGGAGTGATTATCTGACAATGAGAAGGCACAAAATTGCACTAGTGTAAACATCTAACTATCCCCTGTATATAAATACCACCTATGATAATTAACTTTAAAAGGAATAAATGAGCTCTTCCGTAATGACTTCTATATTTTTTTAAAATTCTCCTATTTATTTTAGAGCTGTATTGTGTGTAATTTAATGTACCTCTTTTGGCAAGAAATTATACCAGAGTTAAATCTTCCTTTTCAGAAATCAGAGATGACACAAAGGGTAAAATATTCTATGATAATGGAGAGGAAGGTCAATATTGTTAAAATGGCTATACTCTCTGAAGAAATTTATAGATTCAATGCTATTCATATCAAATTACCAATGACGCTTTTCACAGAATTAGAAAAAACTATTGTAAAATTCACATAGAACCAATAAAGAGGCCGAGTAGTCAAGGCAATCCTAAACAAAAGGAACAAAGCTGGAGGCATCACACTACCTTACTTCTAAATGTACTACAAGGCTATAATAACCCAAACAGCATGATACTGGTACAAAAGCAGACACATAGATCAATAGAACAAAACAGAGAACCCAGAAATAAAGCCACACACCTATAAACCATCTGATCTTTGACAAAACTGACAATAACAAGCAATGGGGAAAGGACTCTCTATTCAATAAATGGTGCTGGGATAACTGGCTAGGCTTATGCAGCAGATTGAAACTGGACCCCTTCCTTTCACCATGTGCAAAAATCAACTCAAGATGGATTAAAGTCTTAAATGTAAAGCCTAAAACTCTAAAAAAAAAAATCCTAGAAGAAAACAGAGGAAATACAACTCTGGACACAGGCTCTGGCAAAGATTTCATGACAAAAACTCCAAAAAAAATTGCAACAAAAACCAAAATTGACAAGTGAGACCTAATTAAACTAAAGAGCTTTGCATAGCAAAAGAAACTATCAACAAAGTAAGCAGACAACCTATAGAATGGGAGAAAATATTTGCATACTATGTATCCAGCAGAGGTCTAACATCAAGAATTTATAAGGAACTTAAACACATTTAGAAGCAAAAAGCAAACAACCCCATTAAAAAGTGGGCAAAGGACATGAACAGATGCTTTTCAAAAGAAGACATGCACATGACCAACAAGCATGCGAAAAAATGTTCAACATCACTAGTAATTAGAGAAATGCAAATCAAAACCACAATGAGATCCAACTCCCACCAGTCAGAATGGCTGTTATCAAAAACGTCCAAAAATAACAGATGCTGGTGAGGTTGTAGAGAAAAGGGAACACTTATGCACTGCTAGTGGGAATGTAAATAGTTCAGCCACTGTGGAAAGCAGTTTGGAGATTTCTCAAAGAACTTAAAACAGAACTACCAATCAACCCAGAAATCCCATTACTGGGTACATACTGAAAAGAATATAAATCATTCTACCGTAAGGACACATGCATGTGTATGTTCGTTGCAGCACTATTCACAGTAGCAAAGACATGGAATCAACCTCGATGACCTGATGCCCATTAACAGTGGATTGGAAAAAGAAAGTATGATACCTATACAACATGAAATATTATGCAGCCATTAAAAATGAGATCATGTCCTTTGCAGCAACATGGATGCAGCTGGATGACATTATCCTAAGTGAATTAACGCAGGAACATAAAACCAAATACCCCACATTCTCACTTATAAGTGGAAGCTAAACATTGAGTACACATGGACACAAAGAAGGGAACAATAGACACCTACTTTAGGGTGGAGGTTGAGAGAAGGGTGAGGATTGAAACACTACCTATTGGGTACCAAAAAAGTTGGTACCTGATCACCGTTTCATCACCATTACCTGTGTGATGAAATAATTTGTACACCAAGCCCCAGCAACACACGTGTAACAAATATGCACATGGATCCTTTTTACTTAAAATAAAACTTGGGGGGAAAAGTCTCCCTTTTCATTTTACATTATCTCCCAGCATATTCTTTGTTTCATTATGTTCTGTTCTTTGCTTCAGTTAAAATAGGGAGAGTTATTGCTTTATTTCTGAACAATCAATAGAAATCATTTTTTCTTTATACTGTGAGTCTGCCTACTCACAGCAATGTATGGCCTAATAATGCAATAAAATTACCTTATTAGAGTGGGGAGAAATGTCATCTTCTCACGTAGAAAAACAATTTGTTTTGGCTTTACATAGCAACCTGCTGACTCCAAACATGGCTTAATAGAATTATTTGCTGGGGTAATTCTCCTAAATTAGCTGTAGATCTGAAAAGTTATTGACTTAAAAGTTATATAACAGAAGGAGGAATAAGTTGGGTTGGCCATGTGTATCCAGGATATATACTATAATCTCAATTTTATGTAGGAGGAGGATCTGGTAAGGTGGGAAGTGTTCCAAAAGCACTAATAGCCTATGGTGGCCAGAACAGTTTTTTTGGATTCAGGTTTTGGACCTAATTTTACCTCTTATCATTTGTGAGACTTGGAAAAGTCACATCCTGCCTAGACTTGAACTCCCTCATTTCTAGAGGAAGTATCTGATCCAGAAGGTGTCTAGGAGCCTGTCCCCAGACTCTGCTGCCTTCTCTCCCTCATAAGTGGGGCTGGCTCCTGCCTTGAGTGGTCACGACTAATCCTCATTTCGGCAATAGAGATGTAAACTTCATTATTCCAATACTCCCAAACTCATCCTCAAGACCATGACTCTGCATGTCTTCTTCCCTACCATACTCTAGCTTTTCGGGTCCTCTGCTATGGTCTCTTAACTGAGTCTCTATCTGTTCTCACCCTCCTCCATTCATTTGCACATAAAGCCAAAGTATTCTCTTTTAAAAGATACAAAAATGATTATGCCCTTCCCTTGTTAAAATTCCTTCAACATTTTCCCTTTCTTGTAGATCAAGCCCAATATCTTTAACGTGTCCTACAAGACTGCATAATTTGCTCCTGCTTACGCTTTCAGTTTCATCCTGCTACAGTGCTCCAATCACACGTTCTTTTTGTTCCTACAAGATAATCCTTATTCATTCCTCAAAAATTGCCACATCCCCCCTCCTTAATATCTTTGTTTCTTTCTGGAATATAATCTTCCTGAGCTCCTATTTTCTTCGGCTCTTTATTCAATGTTTTGAACATGGTAAGTATGGGTAAAACACTTTTGGATAAATTATTAACAAAGTCACCTTGGCTATTATCTAGTTAGAACTTTGTGGCCGTATTCTGATGACTATTCTGCCTGTGACTTAGTTTCTGTCAACAACTTTCCTACTTCACCAGTTAGATTCACCATCACAATTTTCTGCCCTTACCAAAAAGAAAAAGATAAAAATTAAGAACTATTTTTTACTATATAGAATATTTACTTCACAATAAGATTTACAACAGAGTTCTCCTAGAATAATTTATGTACTTGATTTAAATTATTATTTGATTTCCCCAAATTCAATTTACATTATATTCTTTGAAAACAAATCATTGCGTGCTTAATCAAGAAGCAATCTTAGGACTTATCCATGTTCTCCATTGTCAAATGAAGGAACCAATGCCCAGAGAGGTTTCGAGGCTTATGGTTTGCCTGAGATTGCCCTGGGCCAGTAGACAACCTACTAAGAAAAGGCAACATTGTATTTAGAAAAAACTTTAGAGATGCTGTATTTAATGAGTATGCTTAATCCATAAATATTCATTTAAAAGTAATTTAACTTAGAGTTGATATAAACAAGCACAGCAAAAGAGGTGCATATAACCAGCCAGTACTGAATACATGCTCATTAAACACTTGTTGAGTTAAGGAATGATAAAAGGAGGTGATAGTTGACAGCTGAAAACAAAACATTAATTTGCAGAATATTCTGAAGTTTCTATAAGTCAGGTAAGCCTAAGTAGAATATGCTAAGTCTGATGGAAATAAAATAGACAAGTTATTAGATATTTCAGGAGGGGAATTACTGTTGCTAATCATTTTAACATGAAATTTAAAGGACTTTTTCCCCCACTTTTGTTGACCCTTAAGGTAAATTAGCTACACTTTTCATGCCAAATAGAAACTGTTTTAGAAGAAATATAACTTTAAAAAGATAATCAACTTTATCTCTAAATAAGTATGAAAATGTCTGCCAAAGTCAATATTCTTGCATAGTGTTCTAACTGGAAAGCTCACCATGCCTGCTTCAATCCTAACTTTCTTCAAATCTCATCTCACATCTGTTCCCCACTTAAATTATATAATTCATGTATAAAGTATAGTATATACTTTATATAAAATATAATAATCATTAATTTTATTATTGCTATGCTACCCATTGTCTCCCTTTTCTGGACACAAAGTGCTTATTATTCATCTTACACATTTTAAAAGTTGTTTGTTTTGTGAGGTATCACTCTTTAATTGTGTTAGGTTTATATGTTTTGTTTTAACTATATTAGAGAAATCCTTTGAAAACAAAACAGTTCACTGGGTGTTATATTCATCACAATGTCAAACACAGTGGGCTCTAAATAAAGATTGATGAATCCAATTGAACAAATGACAACATAGCAGGGAGTGCCATGCTCTTTATGTGGGGATGACACAGCTGGAATCATTTTAGAGAGGGAAGTGTTGAGACTAATGGCCACTCACTGGCATGACCAGAGTTTAGATGCTTAGATTAATATGTTTCCAAGAAACAATGACTTTGTTCTTTTATTATGCAAAACCAAAATGTTTAGTGACCAAAACAGTTCCAAAGTTTCTTCTTTACATTTATACTAGAATAAAATATGAATATGCATAAATTTATTTATAGGCATACCATTGTGATTTGAGTTGTTTTAGTTATTTATTTGTAGTAGTCCATTTTCATGTTGCCGATAAAGACATATCTGAGACTGGGTAATTTATTAAAAAAAAAAAAAAAAAAGAGGTTTAATGGACTCACAGTTCCATGTGGCTGGGGAGACCTCACAATCATGGTGAAAGGTGAAAAGCACATCTTACATGGAGGCAGGCAAGAGAGAGAATGATGAGAGCCAAGTGAAAGAGGAAACCTCTTACAAAACCATCAGATCTTGTGAGATTTATTCACTACCACAAGAACAGTATGGGGGAAACCAACCCCATGATTCAATTATCTCCCACCAGGTCCCTCACACAACACATGGGAATTATGAGAGCTACAATTCAAGATGAGATTTTGCTGGGGACACAGCCAAACCATATAATTCCACCCTGGTCCCCTCCCAAATTTCATGTCCTCACATTTCAAAACCAATCATGCTTTCCCAAAAGTCCCCTAAAGTCTTAACTAATTTCAGCATTAACTCAAAAGTGCACAGTCCAAAGTCTCATCTGAGGTAAGGCAAGTCCCTTCTGCCTATGAGCCTGTAAAATCAAAAGGAAGTTAGTTACTTCCTCGATACAATGGGAGTACAGGCATTGGATAAATGCACCCATTCCAAATGGGAGAAATTGGCCAAAATGAAGGGGCTAAAGGCACCATGCAAGTCCAAATTCCAGCAGGGCAGTCAAATATTAAAATTCCAAAATGATCTCCTTTGACTCCATGTCTCACATCCAGGGCACATTGATGCAAGAGGTGGGCTCCCACAGCCTTAGGCAGCTCTGCCCCTGTGGCTTTGCAGGGTATAGCCTTCCCTCCTAGCTGCTTTCATGGGCTGGTGTTGAGTGTCTGTGGCTTTTCCAGGTGCACAGTGCAAGCTGTCAGTGGATCTACCATTCTGGGGTGTGGAGGAACAGTGGCTCTCTTCTCATAGCTCCACTAGGCAGTGCCCCAGTGGGGATTCTGTGTGGGGGCTTCAACCTCACATTTCCCTTATGCACTGCCCTAGCAGAGGTTCTGCATGAAGGCTCTGTCCCTGAAGCAAATTTCTGCCTGGACATCCAGGCATTTCCAAACATCCACTGAAATCTAGGCAGAGGTTCCCAAACCTCAATTATTGACTTCTGTGCACCCCGAGGCTCAACACCATGTGGAAGCTGCCAAGGTTTGGGGCTTGCATCCTCTGAAGCCACAGCCCAAGCTGTACCTTGACCTCATTTAGTCATGGCTAGAGCAGCTGGGATGCAGGGCACCAAGTCCCCTGGCTGCACATAGCAGGGGGACCCTGGGCCCAGCCCACAAGACCATTTTTTCCTCCTAAGCCTTCTGGCCTGTGATGGGAAGGGCTGCCATGAAGGTCTCTGACATGCCCCAGAGACAATTTCCCCATTGTCTTGATTAACATTTGGCTCCTCGTTACTTATGCAAATTTCTGCAGCTGGCTTGAATTTCCCCTTAGAAAATGGGTTTTTCTTTTCTATTGCATCATCAGGTTGCAAATTTTCTGAACTTTTATGCTTTATTTCCCTTTTAAAACTGAATGTTTTTAACAGTACCAAAGTCACATCTTGAATGCTTTGCTACTTAGAAATTTCTTCTGCCAGATACCGTTTGTCATCTCCCTCATTTTCAAAGTTCCACAAATCTCTAGGAAAAAGGCAAAATGCCACCAGTCCCTTTGCTAAAACATAGCAAGAGTCATCTTTACTCTAGTTCCCATCAAGTTTCTCATCTCCATCTGAGATGAGAAGCATTTGGTCAAAGCCATTCAACAAGTCTCTAGGAAGTTCTAAACTTTCCCACATATTCTTGTCTTCTTCTGAGCCCGCCAAACTGTTCCAACCTCTGCCTGCTACCTCGTTCCAAAGTCGCTTCCACATTTTTGGGTATCCTTACAGCAGCACCCCACTCTCAGTACCAATTGACTGTATTAGTCCATTTTCACTGCTGATAAAGACATACCTGAGACTGGGTAATTTATAAAGAAAAAGAAGTTTAATGGACTCACAATTCCATGTGGCTGGGAAGGCCTCACAATCATGGCAGAAGGCAAAAGATATGTCTTACGTGGTGGCAGGAAAGAGAGAGAATGATGAGATCCAAGCAAAAGAGGAAACCTCTTACAAAACCATCAGATCTCATGAGAGCAAAAGGGGAAAACTCTTATAAAACCATCAGATCTCATGAGACTTACTACCACAGGAACAGTATGGGAGAAATCACCCCCATGATTCAATTATCTACCACCAGGTTCCTCCCACAACACATGGGAATTATAGGAGCTACAATTCAAGATGAGATTCGGGTGGGGACACAGCCAAACTATATCACTATTATTGCATGAAACATAGTAGCCTTACACAGCAATTTTATTTTGCTCATAATCTTGTGGGTCAGGAATAATGAAACTGTTCAGTGGGGTAGCTTGTCTCATATCCCCATGTTGTCAACTGGAGCAGCAGGAGGATCCCAATATAGAAGATGGCTTCTTCACTCACATATTTGGTGTGTTGGTGCTTTTCAGCCTCTCCCTCTCCACATGGCATCTAATCCTATAGGGGTTCCCCAGATGCCTTGGGCTTCTCATAGCATGGTAGTCTTAAGGTAGTAAGATATCTTACAGAGCAGCTGGCTTCCAAGAGTGTTCCAAGAAAAAGGAAGTAGAAACCATCAATCTCTTCAGGCCCGGGCCTGAAATTTGAACAACATCATTTTTGCTGTAGCCTTCAGTCAAAACAGTCATGGAGTCTGTCTAGATTCAAAAGGACATAGACCTCTCCTCTCAGTAGAAGGAAATCCAAGGAGTTATACTCTATTAAAATCTGTCATATGGGTTTGCTATCTTTCTATTAAATGAAGCTTCTGTGTAGAAAGTGTCACCTTGGTTCACACATGGTCTTTGGAGCTTCTGCCCAAATAAACACTCATATTAAACTTAAATTTCCTGGGTTCAGGAATGACATTAGGGGTCTAGAATCCTTCAAAGTTGTAACTAACCTCTGTGTATATGCGTTTTTCAAAGAAAAGTCCTATTAGTTTCATCAACTCTTTGGAACAATTTTTATTTCCCTAAAAGAGTTAAAAGTAACTCTACAAGAGGGATCTATGCTCATTTTCCCCTCCTTAACTGTATTAGTCTGTTCTCATGGTGCTAATAAAGATACACCCAAGACTTGGTAATGTATAAAGGAAATAGGTTTAATTGACTCACAGTTCACAATGGCTGGGGAGGCCTCAGGAAACTTACAATCATGGTGGAAGGGGAAGCAAACACATTGTTCTTCACATGGTGGCAGCAAGGAGAAATGCAGAGTGAAACAGGGGAAAAGCCCCTTATAAAACCATCAGATCTCATGAGAACTCATTACCATGAGAAAAGTATGGAGGTAACTGCCCCCATGATTCAATTATCTCCCAGGGGTTCCCTTCCATGATACATATGGATTATAGGAGCTACAGTTCAAATTGATATTTGCATGGGGACACAGCCAAACCATATCATTCTGTCCCTGGCCCCTCCTGAATCTCATGTCCTCACAATTTGAAATGCAATCATGCCCTTCCAACAGTCCCCTAAATAGTTAACTCATTCCAGCATTAACTCAAAAGTCCAAGTCCAAAATCTCATCTGAGACAAGACAAGTTTCTTCTGCCTATGAGCCCATAAAATTGAAAGCAAGTTAGTTACTTCCTAGATACAATGGGGAGGGGGCAGGGTACAGGTATTGGGTAAATACACCTGTTCTGAATGGGAGAAATTGGCCCACATCCAGGGAGCACTAATGCAAGAGGTGGGTTCCCATGGCCTTAGACAGCTCAGTCCCTGTGGCTTTGCAGGGCACAGCCCCCCTTTCTGGCTGCTTTCATGAGCTGGCATTGAGTATCTATGGCTTTTCCAGGTGAACAGTGCAAGCTGTTGGTGGATCTACCATTCTGGAGTCTGGAGGATGATGGCCCTCTTCTCACAGCTGCACTAGGCAGTGCCCCAGTGGGGACACTGTGTGAGGGCTCCAACCCCACATTTCCCTTCCTCACTGCCCTAGCAGAGGTTCTCCATGAGGGCTCCACCCCTGCATCCAACTTTGGCCTGGACATCCAGGCATTTCCATACATCCTCTGAAATCTAGGTGGAGGTTCTCAAACCTCAATTCTTGACTTCTGTGCACCTGTGGCCTCAACACCACATAGAAGCTGCCAAGCATTGGGGCTTGCATCTTCTGAAGCCTTGGCCTGAGCTTCAGGCCTTTTAGCCATGGCTGGAGCAGTAGGGGGGACCTGGGCCCAGCCCACAACACCATTTTTTCCTCCTAAGCCTCCTGGCCTGTGATGGGAGGGCCTGCCAAAAAGGTCTCTGACATGCTCCAGAGACATTTTCCCATTGTCTTGGAGATTAACATTCTACTCCTTGTTACTCATGCAAATTTCTGCAGCAGGCTTGAATATCTCCCCAGAAAGTGAGATGTTCTTTTCTTTTTTTTTCTTTCTTTTTTTTTTTTTAAGATGTAGTCTCTCTCTGTCACCCAGGCTGGAGCGCAATGGCATGATCTCGGCTCACTGCAACCTCTGCCTCCAGGTTTCAAGCGATTCTCCTGCCTCAGCCCCCTGAGTAGCTGTGATTACAGGTGCCCACCACCATGCCCAGCTAATTTTTTGTATTTTTAGTAGAGACAGGGTTTCACCATGTTGGTCAAGGTGGTCTGGAACTCCTGAACTCAGGTGATCCACCTGCCTCAGCCTCCCAAAGTGCTGGGATTACAGGTGTAAGCCACCACACCTGGCCAAGATTTTCTTTTCTATTGCATCATCAGGCTGCAAATTTTCCAAACTTTTATGATCTGCTTCCCCTTGAACACTTTGCCACTTAAAAATTTCTTCTGCCAAATACCCTAAATCATCTCTCTCAAGTTCAAAGTTCCACAGATCTCTAGGGCAGGTGCAAAATGCGACCTGTCTCTTTGCTAAAGCATAGCAAGAGTCACCTTTGCTCCAGTTCCCAACAAGTTCCTCATCTCCATCTGAGACCACCTCAGCCTGGCCTTCATTGTCCATACCACTATCAGCACTTTGGTCAAAGCCATTCGACAAGTCTCTAGGAAGTTCCGAACCTTCCCACATCTTCCTGTCTTCTGAGCCTCCAAGCCTCTAGGAAATTCCAAACTTTTCCACATTTTTCTGTCTTCTTCTGAAACCTCCAAATGGTTCCAACCTCTGCCTGTTACCCAGTTCCAAAGCAGCTTCTACATTTTTTTGGTATCTCTATAGCAGCATCCCAATCTCTGCAGTACCAATTTACCATATTATTCCATTCTTACACTGCTAATAAAAAAATACCCAAGACTGGGTAATTTATAAAGTAAAGAGGTTTAATTGACTCACAGTTCACCATGGCAGGGGAGGCCTCAAGAAACTTACAATCATGGTGGAAGGGGAAGCAAACACATCCTTCTTCACATGGCAGCAGCAAGGAAAAGAGAAGAGCAAAGTGGGGAGGAAAGCCCTTTATAAAACCACCAGATCTCATGAGAATTCACTCACTACCAAGATAACAGTATGGAGGTAACTGCCCCCAGGGTTCAATTACCTGCCACCGCGTCCCTCCCACAACACGTGTGGATTATAGGAACTACAGTTCAAGATAAAATTTGTGTGGGAACACAGGCAAACCATGTCATTAACATTTTGTTTTGAAATGTATTCATTTTCAATTGAAGAAGACAGGTTGTGTTATATTTCACTAGTAAGGCCAGCTCTCTATGGTTATAGTGAAGCTGAGTGTTACTGGTGCAGAATATGAATAGAATATGGCTTACTAATGGCCACTTGTGACATTCTTACCCTCAGATTGCCAAAACTTTAAACAAAACATTTCAGGACATAGGCATGGGCAAGGACTTCATGACTAAAACACCAAAAGAAATGGCAACAAAAGCCAAAATTGACAAATGGGATCTAATTAAACTGAAGAGCTTCTGCACAGCAAAAGAAACTACCATCACAGTGAACAGGCAAACTACAGAATGGGAGAAAATTTTTGCAATCTACCCATCTGACAAAGGGCTAATATCCAGAATCTACAAAGAACTTAAACAAATTTACAAGAAAAAATCAAACAACCCCATCAAAAAGTGGGTGAAGGATATGAACAGACACTTCTCAAAAGAAGACATTTATGCAGCCAACAGACACATGAAAAAATGCTCATCATCACTGGTCATCAGAGAAATGCAAATCCAAACCACAATGAGATACCATCTCACACCAGTTAGAATGGCGATCATTAAAAAGTCATTAAACAACAGATTCTGGAGAGGATGTGGAGAAATAGGAATGCTTTTACATTATTGGTAGGACTGTAAAGTAGTTCAACCATTGTGGAAGACAGTGTGGTGATTCCTCAAGGATCTAGAACTAGAAATACCATTTGACCAAGCCATCCCATTACTGGGTATATACCCAAAGGATTATAAATGATGCTGCTATAAAGACACATGCACACGTATGTTTATTGCGGCACTATTCACAATAGCAAAGACTTGGAACCAACCCAAATGTCCATCAATGATAGACTGGATTAAGAAAATGTGGCACATATACACCATGGAATACTATGCAGCCATAAAAAAGGATGAGTTCATGTCCTTTTTAGGGACATGGATGAAGCTGGAAACCATCATTCTGAGCAAACTATTGCAAAGACAGAAAACCAAACACTGCATGTTCTCACTCATAGGTGGGAATTGAACAATGAGAACACTTGGACACAGGGTGAGGAACATCACACACCGGGACCTGTTGTGGGGTGGGAGGTGGGGAGGGATAGCATTAGGGGATATACCTAATGTAAATGACGAGTTAATGGGTGCAGCACACCAACATGGCACGTGTATACATATGTAACAAACCTGCACATTGTGCACATGTACCCTAGAACTTAAAGTATAATAAATAAATAAATAAAAAACATTCAATAATAGCACCCACACAGGGGCTGGGTACTTCTTTCCAGAAATATTTATTGGCTATTACTGAGACTAAATTATCATAATATAGGAATTCCTTTTATTCAGTTTAATTAACTAGCATATACAGAAAAAAAATCACTGTAAATGATAAAAGTAAAGTCAGTACTTCTTCCCCGGTCACTTATGCAAAGAAAGGCTAGAATGAAATTCAGCCATCCATTGCAAGTCTGAGATCAACAGGTTGGTTTTCATATGTGAAGTAAATATCTGTTATTTTTGCCAGCTTAGCATACCCTCCTTTTCTAGCAACAGGAGCATTCTTTCCTGTGAGGAATCCATTTCATGCGATCCACATAAGGCTGTTTTCACTCTTTTCCTGCCCACAGGGATGGACATGTAAACCAGGCCAAGCCAATCACAGAATTCCATCTTGTTGTCTATTGTGGTTGGCTCAAGGATGAACCTATGATCCAACCTGAAGAGAATTCTCCCCAGGAATTTTCTGTTATGTCTAATAAGAAATATACTCTGTTGTCACTGTGGTTGCCAAGATGGTAGAATCTAAATCTTGGGCCACTAGGGACCAAACCATGGAGACACTGTAAGAAATGAATATAGAGATAGGTGCTTAATGATCTTATATATGCCCCAGGATCCAGCCTTGCCTAAACCTTTGTGCCTCTGCACTTTTCTTTTTTTGCTAAAGCAAAGTTAGTGTTGAGTTTCTGCCCATGGACAAAAACGTACTTATTAATGCAATGGGACCTCCAAAATAATCTATAGTTGAATTGGAATTTGTCTAATGAGCTTTAGACTTAGTATAAACCCTCTTTACACTTAACCAAAACACAAAACCTTACTGATAATTTGTCTTGTAATAAGACTCCAAGAAAAAACATATATAATGTCTTAGAATCATGAAATGTGAAAAATTAGAAACTTAGAAACCATATTAATTGTCAGTAACTATTTTGGGGAAAAGGAAAGGAAGACTTTTACCTGCTTGCTGTGAGCTACACTGGATAGATCCTTACTTATCTCTCCCTTTCTTGGCACACAGGAGACCACAGTTCCCAGCCTCTTTTGCAATTAGGTTGGAACCATGAGATCATTCTGGCCACTAGAATGTGGAAATAATTTATGTATGCTGCTGTGGATCAGGCCCCTAAAATTTCTCTTGAACGCCTTGGCTCTCTTTCCTGCCTTCACAATGTCCACCCATCTAAGGATGAATTTGGAAGTGTAAGATTCCAAGGAACTCCTTGATGGAAGAAACATGGACCTCAGAGTCACTGCTTGGGGGAAAGCTGCTCAACTTGCATTAGACTTTGCATGAGTGAGAAATAATTTTTTTGTTAAGCCACTGAGGTGTCAGAATTGCTCTGTTACTACAGGACATAGCCTATCCTACCCTAATTACTACATTGGCTAGTTACAGGAGTTTCGTGTTCTTGTGGTTGTTATAAAGAATTTGAGTTGGAGCAAAGTGGAAGAGAAATTAAATATGTAAATATAATCCAAAAAGATTAACGTGATGTAAATTAGAATGATGGGGTATAGAGAAAAGAAAGAGAAGAAAGGTTTCATGGACAAAGTTTGGGGACTTGTTGAATGAGAGATTCAAGAGTATATCTGAGTATGTAATAATTTGGAAAAAAAGAAAATATTCTCAAAAAGTTTGAGTTAGACCCTTTAATTGTTCATTGAGTTATAAAGGCAAAATTAGAATTTCTATCTAATAAATTTTGACTGATAGATTGATGAGCTTCCTTGAAAATAATCCTATACATTAAAAGTAGCATGTAAGGTGCCAGCTTACACATACTGAGGTATTTGCATATGTGTCTTCAATGTATTACTTATGTGATTAAGGAAAAAAATAGGTATTTAAAATAGCACTTAATAGGACAACATTGGCTATTTTAATTTTCTTACTCTCCAACCCGTCTTTCCCTCTGAAAGAAGAGAGTGCTGTGAGTAAGCAACCCAAATATCTAGAAGGCTGTTTGGACAAGGGCTAAGTATCCACCTTGTATCCTTTCAGGTAGTCTCAAGAAAGAATATAAAAAGCAGAGTCAGCCACTCTGGCTCCATTTTGTGTCATTTACAATTCAAAAAAACTATAATATCAAGGGTACATGAGTGCCAGTAAAAAGAGATCTTATTTGGGCTCAGAAAGGACAACCAGGAAATATTTAATGATCGATATTCATGCCTTTCATCAATACATGTAGTCCTCTTCCCTTCTCTGGGCACACAGAAATCTGCCTTCTTGGATTAGGTGTGGCTAACTGGCTACAGTTAATAAAACATCAGTGAAAGTGATATGTGTCACTTTTGGGCAGAATTATTAAAGATCTGGTGCATGATTCTCTCTCTTCCCTTCTCCCTGCTACAGTGACTGGTGACATTCCAGATGATCAAGCCCCCTCACCTAGGTTCCTGAATGAGAAGCACATGGAGTAAAGCCCCAGCTATGCATGATGAATAGTAGCATGAATAAGAAATAGATCTTGATTGCTCTAAGCCACTGAGATTTGTTGTTTGCTTGTTACTTTAGCATAACTTAGCTTATCCTAAGTGAAACATATGCACTGAACAATGGAGATGGGAAGATTGAAGACCCTACTTCAAAGCAGGGAACTGGAAGGACACTTTGTTTTATTGAAAACACCTTCCTGTGCCTAGTGTAATCATAAGTCTTTACACAATTATTATGAAAAGGGTATAAGCACTCTTATTGTACAAAGAGATTAACGTCTTATTAAAAATCATTTAACCAGAAACATAATTCAAACAAGATTTCTCTGAATAAAAAGCCAGTGCTAATTAGCTAAATCATTGGTCATGCCAAGAAAGGAGTTATAAAAAAGTTCAAATTTGTAGGATATCTGATAGTTCTAGAAGGGAAGGCTATTCAGATTGAGCTAAAATTCAATTTCTTAAGAAGGAAATTTATCCATTGATGCAAGGAGACATCTAGAATTGAAGCCAATCAGAAAGCAACACAGCAAAGGAAATTTTCCAAATGGAAAATGTAAAAAAAAAAAAAAGCAGAGTTTCAATAGGTAATTTAAAATAGTCTTCTAGTCTTCTTCTTCCTTCATAAAAGCCACTTGAAATTCTTTTCCAGGTTAAGGCAGCACTCTAACAAGACCAGCAGGCTTGAAAACAAGGAGGCAAGAATGAGGAGCAGTTGACAGGGACATTCAGTCATGTTGATCTTTTGTTGAAATCCTGCAGCAGCAGATCAATTCACTTACAGACCAATCATTACAGATGAACTGAAAGTTCACTAAATGCTACTATGCAATGAGGACTGACATTAAAAGACAAAGCTGGCTAAACATTTGAGTAACAGAGAAGGGAGGAAAAAAATTAAAAACAATAGTACAGTAGGAAATGAGACCTGCCAGTGTTTGTAAATAACCAGATGGACTACATAGAGACATGATATAAGAAAGTTTAGTTGTACAGATTAGTCCTCTATTCCACAGGTGCAAGAAATTAAATGAAATATTCACAGTACAAAGCTCAGGGGATCATTACAACACTGAATAAGCACACCACTGAATTTTAAGAAATTGCCCTGGAACCACTAGGAGAGAGGGATATAAAAGAAAGAAGAGCTGTTCTGGCAATGGCAAAATGCAAAAGCATTAGGATTTTCTTTTATGAGTGCATGCTAAAATGGGGATGAAATTGATGCTCTTGTACACTTGTTTCATCTCATCAGAACAGTGTGGCTTTTAAATTTTAATTTGAATGGTCTTGAGGAAGATGTGAACTTACTTAGCTAAATTCCATTTCTCCCACTTCCTCCTGTTCTATAACTCACATGTGTATTACCTATCTGGCCCCTGAAGATATTTCCCTGTTTTAGGAAAAAATTAACAAGACATTAAGACAGAGTCTTAAGTCAGAATGAGACCTCCTAAGACACTCGCTACGGGGTGGGTGGGACAGGGTGGGCTGGAATAGAGGAAGAGGAAGAGGAAAAAGGGAAAGAAAAATGAATAGCAATAGATGAACAAGTATGTCTTTACTTTGATGCGTTCTGTGCTTCGTACTTATAAAACCCCACAAAAGAAGGAACTCTCATAATGTTGAATGTCTATTTAAATGTCTCAGGAAAGACATCATTGGGAATTTCAAATATCGGGGGAAAGGGAGAATGTAGAATATCTTTAAAATGTTGAGTTGCTTTTAATAAAAATTTAATTTTTTAAAAACCTGTAGCTTTTAATATTTTGCTTCTGAATATAGCACTTCATGCACAAGATGAAGTGTTAAATTTATTCCATTGAACTTGCACATCCTAAGAGGTTAGACTTCTTCCATGAGAATCAGTGGAAGGAGTTTCAGAAACATTTCAGAGTAATTTTCAAATATCACAAGACCTTCCCAATATGCTCTCTCTTTCTACAGTTCCCCAGAAATTCTGCTATGCTTCCTCATTTTTCCCCTCCTTGGCAATCACTGTTCTAAAACAACTGCTACAAATGGGTGAATGTTAGGTCTCTTGGTGCTGTGGGAGGGAGAGAAAAGCTTAACAACCACTAGCTTATGCCCTGGCATTAAATGTATTAGAATATCCAAAGCATTTCTAAAAGGGAAGTCCTTCTATGGTTCTTAACAAGAAACACTTGGAGAGTACAACCTCATTCATAAGAGTTTATAATTTTTATTCATTTTGTTAGACATCTTAAGATAGAATTATTTTCAAATTTTATCCTCGAGAGCATTCAATTTATTATTTGCACTAAGAACATTCATACTCTCAGACATCTAGATCAAAATAAAAAGAATGATAGAGGATTAGTAGTCCATTTTTTAAATCTGACACAATATTAACACAGCTTTTGTACAACTCTTCACATAAAGTTCAAAAGGATGTTTTTTGAGATTCATTTAAGGCAACATCCAGAAGAAAGTGCACTGATACTATCTTCTCTTTTGAAAAGTAATGGCGTAGGTAGCAGAACTTGAAAATAGCAATTGATTTTTTTTTTTTATTGTCAGTAATTTCTAAAACTTTCAAGTCACACAGTCACTCTCCTCCGGTTGTAAAAAGCATCATTTGTTGCTCTGTGAGTGTATGGGAAAGATAATAAGGAGGGGAGGAGTAGAGAAAGTAGGTGCAAATTTATCCTGAAAGAAACACCATTGTTCAGCTTTAAAAGAGAGCTAAGTCCACAGCAAAGAAATAAATAAAATCCAAAGAATGTTTGGTTGGCAAAAGCCAGGATCTTGAAAAAGAAGAGGTTTTTAGGTATTCCTGTGTTTGCATTATAAGCAAATCCTGGCTGATGTAGAGAACAGAGCTTATCATGCCTCCAATCACACAGTGAAAAGGATTCTGGAGTTAGGTTCCAAGATGGCCGACTAGGAACAGCTCCAGTCTACAGCACCCAGCATGACTGACACAGAAGATGGGTGATTTCTGCATTTCCAACTGAGGTACCAGGTTCATCTCATTGGGGCTTATCAGACAGTGGGTGCAGGACAGTGGGTGCAGCCCACGGAGCATGAGTTGAAGCAGAGCAAGGCATCACCTCACCTGGGAAGAGCAAGGGGTCGGGGAATTCTCTTTCCTAGCCAAGGGAAGCCGTGACAGATGGCACCTGGAAAATCGGGTCACTCCCACCCTAATACTGCACTTTTCTAATGGTCTTAGCAAACAGCACACCAGGAGATTACATCCCGTACCTGGCTCAGAGGGTCCCATGCCCACGGAACCTCCCTCATTGCTAGCACAGCAATGAGGTCTGAGATCGAACTGCAGGGTAGAAGAGAGGCTGAGGGAGGAGCACCCTCCATTGCTGAGGCTTGAGTAGGTAAACAAAGCAGCCAGGAAGCTCGAAGAGGGTGGAGCCCACCGCAGATCAAGGAGGACTGCCTGCCTCTGTAGACTCCACCTCTGGGGGCAGGGCATAGCTGAACAAAAGGCAGCAGAAACTTCTGCAGACTTAAATGTCCCTGTCTGACAGCTTTGAAGAGAGTAGTGGTTCTCCCAGCATGGAGTTTGAGATCTGAGAACGGACAGACTGCCTCCTCAAGTGGGTCCCTGACCCCCGAGTAGCCTAACTGGGAGGCATCTCCCAGAAGGGGCCAAATGACATCTCATACGGGTGGGTGCCCCTCTGAGACAAAGCTTCCAGAGGAATGATCAGACATCAACATTTGTCGTTCTGCAATATTGCTGTTCTGCAGCCTCTGCTGGTGATACCCAGGCAAACAGGGTCTAGAGTGGACCTCCAGCAAACTCCAACAGACCTGCAGCTGAGAGTCCTGACTGTTAGAAGGAAAACTAATGAACAGAAAGGACATCCATACCAAAACCCCATCTGTACATCACCATCATCAAAGACCAAAGGTAGATAAAACCACAAAGATGGGAGAAACCAGAGCAGAAAAGGTGAAAATTCTAAAAATCAGAGCGCCTCTTCTCCAAAGGAATGCAGCTCCTCGCCAGCAATGGAACAAAGCTGGATGGAGAATGACTTTGACGAGTTGAGAAAAGAAGGCTTCAGACAATTGGTAATAACAAACTTCTCCGAGCGAAAGGAGGATGTTTGAACCCATCGCAAAGAAGCTAAAAACCTTGAAAAAAGATTAGACAAAAGGCTAACCAGAATAAACAGATTAGAGAAGATCTGAAATGACCTGATGGAGCTGAAAACCATGGCACGAGAACTATGTGACGAATGCACAAACTTCAGTAGCCGATTCGATCAACTGGAAGAAAGGGTATCAGTGATGGAAGATCAAATGAATGAAATGAAGCAAGAAGAGAAGTTTAGAGAAAAATGAGTAAAAAGAAATGAACAAGGCCTCCAAGAAATATGGGACTATGTGGAAAGACCAAATCTACATCTGATTGGTGTACCTGAAAGTGATGGGGAGAATGGAACCAAGTTGGAAAACACTCTTCAGGATATTATTCAGGAGAACTTCCCCCAACCTAGCAAGGCGGGCCAACATTCAAATTCAGGAAATACAGAGAACGCCACAAAGATACTCCTCGAGAAGAGCAACTCCAAGACACATAATTGTCAGATTCACCAAAGTTGAAATGAAGGAAAAAATGTTAAGGGCAGCCAGAGAGAAAGGTCGGGTTACCCACAAAGGGAAGCCCATCAGACTAACAGCAGATCTCTCGGCAGAAAGTCTACAAGCCAGAAGAGAGTGGGGGCCAATATTCAACATTCTTAAAGAAAAGAATTTTCAACCCAGAATTTCATATCCAGCCAAACTAAGCTTCATAAGTGAAGGAGAAATAAAATCCTTTACAGACAAGCAAATGCTGAGAGATTTTGTCACCACCAGGCCTGCCCTAAAACAGCTCCTGAAGGAAGCACTAAACATGGAAAGGAACAACTGGTACCAGCCACTGCAAAAACATGCCAAGTTGTAAAGACCATCGAGGCTAGGAAGAAAATGCATCAACTAACGAGCAAAATAACCAGCTAACATCATAATGACAGGATCAAATTCACACTTAACAATATTAACCTTAAATGTAAATGGGCTAAATGCTCCAATTAAAAGACACAGACTGGCAAGTTGGATAAAGAGTCACGACCCATCAGTGTGCTGTATTCAGGAAACCCATCTCACATGCAGAGACACACATAGGCTCAAAATCAAGGGATGGAGGAAGATCTACCAAGCAAATGGAAAACAAAAAAAGGCAGGGGTTGCAATCCTAGTCTCTGATAAAACAGACTTTAAATCAACAAAGATCAAAGGAGACAAAGAAGGCTATTACATAATGGTAAAGGGATCAATTCAACAAGAAGAGCTAACTATCCTAAATATATATGCACCCAATACAGGAGCACCCAGATTCATAAAGCAAGTCCTTAGAGACCTACAAAGAGACTTAGACTCCCACACAATAATAATGGGAGACTTTAACACCCCACCGTCAACATTAGAAAGATCAACGTGACAGAAAGTTAACAAGGATATCCAGGAACTGAACTCAGCTCTGCACCAAGAGGACCTAATAGACATCTACAGAACTCTCCACCCCAAATCAACAGAATATACATTTTTTTCAGCACCACACCACACCTATTCCAAAATTGACCACATAGTTGGAAGTAAAGCTCTCCTCAGCAAATGCAAAAGAACAGAAATTATAACAAACTGTCTCTCAGACCACAGGGCAATCAAACTAGAACTCAGGATTAAGAAACTCACTGAAAACCACTCAACTACATGGAAACTGAACAACCTGCTCTTGAATGACTACTGGCTACATAACAAAGTGAAAAGGATTCTGTACTATAAGACTGAAGAAGGGTTTTCCCACCTAATAAAGATCCTTCCTACACAGTGGGGGAAGATCTGGAGAGGTTTAGGATAAAAAATTAAGGTTTAAATTTAAGCATGAGTCCCTTCTTTCTGCCCACCTTGTTTTAAGTTTGAAAGCACAGGGAGGAGGTGCTAGAAACTCCTAGATAGATTTTAAAATCTAAAAGTAGAAGAGGATTGTGTCCCACTTCCAGCTTAGAATTCTGCAAAGAAAAGGCTTTACAGAGTGTTCCTAGGCATACCCAGGGTGGAAGCAATAGCATATATATGGTTGCTATGGTTTGGATATGGTTGGTTTGTCCCACCCAAACTCATGTTGAAATTTGATCCCCGATGTGGTACTGTTGGCAGGTGGAGCTTAGTGGGAGGTGTTTGAGTTATGGAAGCAGATCTCTCATGAATGTCTTGCTGCTGTTTTCATGTAGTAAGTCAGTTCTTGCTCTAGTGAGATGAAACTGCTTCTTGCAGGAGTGGATTAGTTCTCGCAAGAGTGAGTTGTTATAAAGCCAGGATGCTCCTCAGGTTTTCCCCTCTTCACCCATGTCTGCCTCTCCTTTGACCTTCTCCACCGTGTTGTGAGGCAGCACAGAAGCCAGGACTATGTCCCTGAACTTCTCAGCCTGCAAAACTGTGAGCTAAACAAACCTCTTTTCTTTGTAAATTACCCACTCTCAGGTATTCTTTTGTAATAACACAAAATAGACTCAGACAATGTTATTGGAGTATATTTAGGCAGAGAGGACCTGAAATAGCCATGCCTGTGACAGCTTGACTCCCTGTAATCCCTGTGAATGTAGATTAGATTTTAGAAGTTCTTGTATACTCATGGGGCAAACAAGTAGCTATGTATTTATAGAAGGAGGCCAGGCCATCAGTCTTCAAGACGAAGGAGAAAGAACCCAAAGCAAAGACTTAGGACAGTCAAGCTGGGGGCAGACAGTGGATGTGAATAGGTCTAAGTGGATGAAAAATGCCAGTAAGAGAGGAGAGGAACAAAAGCAAGGGAAAATACTGAGTGTTCCTCCCTCACCGCAACCCCAGAGCTAGTACCATGCCTCACCTGTGATAGAACAGAGGACTAGTGAGGACCAGCTAGAATAGCTATGGACCTCAGCATGGGATGTGGCAAAGATAGAGGCAGACCCCTGAGACCACGCAGGGCTGCTATGTATAAATTTTATAAAGATAAAGTCATGACTCTCCTGCAAATGTAAAATGAACACATGCTACAGTTTTATTCAGCTTATTAATTAAGGATGGAACCAACGAGATGTTAAGACCTGTTCAGGGGAGAATCTGAAGAAGAGTAACACACAGGCAGTCAAGAATTCTGAAATGATTTTGCTAAAAGATGTAAGATTGATTATTATTTTTCTATTGGTTCATAAAACATAATGCTTGGAGTTTTCTTTCCTACGGGGCAGAAATCAATTACATTTCTATTGGAAAAAATTCATTTATGTTGTTATGGACAGCAATCAGTTGCATTACTTTCAGTTTCCTGCAAGTTACCTTTTCAGAGTTGTAAAATAGACTACCCAGTAAAAAGTCAAACAGTTACACATCATGACAATGACAATGCACCTACTCTGCGGAAAGAACACCCAGGAATCTCTTTTACCTACTTGCAAGTCTTGGACAATTTTTTCTGACAGTTTTTGCCACTCCTCAGTTGGAGCCAGCAGGAACTCCTAGCAGATGGCATTCCACTGAAACCACAAAAGTACACAAGCCTCCACAGATGTTAAATGACCCCAAGCAGAAGTAGGGAAAAGAAGTGGAGCATGAGTAGGGATGGAGAGGCATTGGGCTAAGAAACTACATTTTGCACTAGAATTGACTGTGTCACTTGGGATTTGTCAGATTAAGTTTCTCACTTTCAGCAGATACATGATTTTTTAGAGCTGCATAACATCCAGTTATATTAGGATAAAGACTATCACATACCTCTGGTTTTGTGTTTCCGTGTGGTGACGGTTCCCTTGGCTATTCCCCACACCTTGGATTCACATCCTTTCTGAAGAGAGGAGAGTTATAAACTGGTGAGCTCTCCCCTTCTGGGATCTGTTTGTTTTGCATATACCTTCTGTAGGGGAGGAAAAATATCCTATCTTAGGTTCATGACTAAGGCTCCTATAACAAAAGATGGATTAACAAGAGAAAAGCATACAAATGTATTTAACCTAAGTTTTATGGGAGCCTCTATGAGGAAATAAAGACCTAGAGAAATGGTAAAATCGGAGTGTTTTTTAAAGTAGGTTTGATGAAGAGTGAATAGTCTGGAGAAATGTGATAGAGCAAAAGGGTGTGATCTCATGGTAATAAACTGAGGGAGATCTAATAAGGCCTGCTATTTGCTGGCTCCCTGTGTCTTCAGAAACAATGGGGCTCCTTTCCTCTAGACATAGGGAGGTCATCTCTGACATGAGGGTATCATGACCTGCTTCAGGGTAAGGGCAGAAAATCCTTCCGGCACATACTGTCTCTCAAATTTCTTTAGCTTAAAATATTCAATATCCCACAGTGCCGTATTTTGGGGGTAGTGTGCCCCGAAGCTCATCATTCCCCTCAGACAAGGTAGTGTCATACTGCTCTGTGCCATGCAGAAAGCTGTCTGCCCATGAGGCAGAGAATGGTGGCTGGATAAGTAGGTCTCATTCAAGAGTAAAATATAAGACAGTCCCCACTGGGGCTGTACCTCTGTGCCACATCCTCTAATCTATAAGACTTACCAATTATTAAACTAATACTGTGTTTTCCATAGATCTGACTCTTGTACTTATTTCTCAGTTATTTCTGAAGACAAGGAAGACAGAGAAGTATTATTTATTGGCCTCCTCAAACATCAACAATTACATTTTTATATAGTCAATTTGGGACTGAGAAACTCAAAGGAAAAGATTTTGATATAAGAATTCCAGTATTTAGTAGATAACTGAAAGACAGAAGACTCACAGAAAATAAAAAAACAAAATTATCTATTATCCTCAATGTCAAAGCCCCTAAAATATTTTTTTAATTTTTGTTTTCTCTGGCACTTGATAATTACAATTACCATCTTTTTAGGAAGTCCCTCCTCCTTCAGTTTCTTTGGCATGAAAAAAAAAAAAAGAAATCATAAAATTTTTTTGATAGAACTTAGTCAGAACTCAGGAAAACAAAGATGACTAAGAGATAGACCCCATCTTCATATTTTCATCTTCTACAAGATGACTTAGAAATCAAATATATAATAAAAATTGTATAATAAAAAGTTTTTGTGTAATAAATTGTATAATTGTATAATGATAATAAATTGTATAATTGTATAATAAATTGTATAAATACAATTATACTATTTTGTATAATAAAATTATACAAATACAATTATACTATTTTGTATAACAAAATTATACAAAAACAATTATACTATTTTGTATAATAAAATTATACAAAAACAATTATACTATTTTGTATAATAAAATTATACAAAAACAATTATACTATTTTGTATAATAAAATTATGCAAAAACAATTATACTATTTTGTATAATAAAATTATACAAAAACAATTATACTATTTTGTATAATAAATTGTATAATTGTATAATAAATTATATAATAAAAAGAGTAATAAAAGAAGGCTAACTTTGTTATTGCTTTTTTAAGTTTTCTATAAGTTACCTTTCTTTTAATGACTTAGTTTTGATATTTTACTATCAAAACCTTTTCCAGAAAAAAAATGCACATAATATAAAACTGGGCTTAAAATAATTATGTGTCAATTAAAAATTTAGAATAAAGAAATGAAACACTTAGCACAAAAAAAAATGGCAGAAGCATCATGAGAGAAAATTCATTGCAATATAAGATGCAAATGGCATTCTGCCACTTATATTGCAATATACACTGTTCTGAGACTCACATCAAATAATGTATTTTAAATGTTTTATTATAGAAGGTAAAAAGTGTTAAGAGGTTACAAAAAATTGGTATATTTTCAAATGATATTACAATTAATTAATTTTAAGCTACTACTGATAAGTATAGCACTTCAAGCTAACTCACAAAATCATAATTAATAAAAACATTTTTTACATTTACGTGATGAAAACATAATTATTCTTATATATGTGTATTGATTCAATTACCAAATCTGAAAGGTAAATTATGATATCTCAAGCCATTTTGGGGTTAAATATATCCCGTTTGTTCTTTTACTTGTTTGTAAACAATTATATTTCAAAATATTTGTTATTTTTAACTGTCTAATTGTAGTTTTGGTCAGATTCCTTTCAATAATTAAGATGCCTCTGTTACCTGAAGTTCTATTTTTTTCTAAGCCACATCATTGATCTTGCAAATTACATTTTAACTGATATAAAATATTTGTTTGATTAAAACAAAGTCATACAACAAAACATTTAAAAAGCCAAAAACTCCTAGTTTTATTTTCTATGGGATTACTGTGCCCTAGAGTATACTCTATTGCCAAAACTAATTGCTAAACCCAGGATATCCTCCAGTGAGGCCTTATTCTGGAGTTTTGTGAAGGCAATATGAGGCTTACAATAAGATTTCAATTTCATAAGATTTTGTCGGGGTAGAGTTGCCACACCAAGCTGGCTAATGTTGTTTCTCCCACTGAAAGTCTCAGTCAACTCAGGAGGCAAGGTGAAGCTTGAATTGGTCCACATGAAGCAGATAAAACAGGTTTTAATTTGTCAACATTGTTAAGAGATGAAAAGGGAAGCTCTTTTAAACCCAGGAAACAGAATCTCAAGAGATCCTCAGATGGTCAAGAGTTACCATTGAAATTCAAAAGCCTCTTGCCCCCTTAGCCCTGTCCAATTATGCGGACAAATGAACTCTGTAACAGCCATGGCAAGAATTATGGCAGTAGAAAAATATGTTTTCTATCTAGACCAAGCTAGACAGCAAATGTGGAAAGAGTTACTCTATCAGAAACAAGTTAGTAGAAGGGAAGAGCACAGTCTTGGAAGTAAGAAAACCCAAATATGCCATCTGAGCAGAGTCACTACTGGCTGTGTGTTCTCGGGCAATTTATTTAACCTCTCGGAGGCCCGCATCCTTATGTGTAAAATAGTGGTTAATCCATCTCATTAGATTCGTGAGGATTAAATAAGATAATGTATGCAAAACCTGGATTACAGCTCCTGCTACTTATGGTCCATATATACCATGTATTATTTTTTCTGTATAATTTATAACAGTTCAAAGAAAAGTAAAAGTAATATTTCTAACTTGAGCAGTTCCTTTATCATAATTCAGCACTCCCAGATTCTGTTTGTAAGTTATAAGACATTTATGAAAATGTTTAACTCATTATTAAGTAAGTAATGAGACAAAAACGATGAAATATTTCTAACGAAATACATTAAAACAATCAGATACTTATTCATTTATCAAATTCGGAAAGATTTTCTTTTCAATGGGACTATTCTGTGTTCACAAAGCTGTGGAAAATGAGCAATCTCATTTATTGCTAATTAGGCGTTAGTGTGGATATATAGGCTGGGCACGGTGGCTCAAACCTGTAATCCCAGCACTTTGGGAGGCCCAGGAAGATGGATCGCTTGAGGCCAGGAGTTCAAGATCATCCTGGCAACATAGCAAGACGCTTTCTCTAAAAACATTTTTAAAATAACAGCCATGAATTATGTCACACACCTGTAGTCTCAGCTACTCGGGAGGCCAAGGTGGGAGGACCACCTGAGTCTAGGAGTTTAAGGTTGCAGTGAGCCATGATCATGGCAGTGCACTCCAGCCTGAGCAAGAGAGTAAGCCTCTGACTCTATTTTTAAAAATGTGTGTGTGTGTGTATAAGTGATTTGATAACCAAATCAAAATTTTACATAATCTTTGACCTAGTAGTTCCACTTCCAGAAATTTAACCTTAGGAAATAAACATGAATATGAATAAAGAGGTATCTATAGGCAGCATGTGTATAAAAACAAGGGGAAAAGCTGGGAGGCCAACATTTTTCCAAAAATAAGGGGTGGGGAGAAAATAGAAAATAAAGTAGGCACATTAATAGGATAAAGAACTATGAATCCATGAAAGTAATGATGTAAAAGAATATTTAAAGACATGGAGAGATGTTTACATGATGTTACTAAATTGAAAAATAAAAAATATGGTCTAATTTTAGTTTTATAAAAGATACACATACATACACACAGTGAAAAAGGATTATAAACTTAAGCACATCATAAATGTGATTACCTGTGGATACTAGGACTAGAATGAAATATTTCATTTATTTATTTGGAGACGGAGTCTTGCTCTGTCACCCTGGCTAGAGTGCAGTGGCACAATCTCGGTTCACTGCAACCTCCACCTCCCGGGTTCAAGCAATTCTTGCACCTCAGCCTCCCGCGTAGCTGGGATTACAGGTGCCCACAACCACACCCGGATAATTTTTGTATTTTTCCTAGAGATGGGGTTTCACCATGTTGGCCAGGCTGGCCTTGAACTCCTAATCTGAGGTGATCTGCCCACCTCGGCCTCCCAAAGTGCTGGGATAACAGGCATGAGCCACTGTGCCTGGCCTTAGAATGAAACATTTTAAAATTAAAATAATATTGTTCTAAGTAGTAAAATATATAGTTATTTTTATCATAAATGAATGCATATAGATTCATTTTTTTCCTTGCCTTATGCATAACTGTAGTAAAAGTAATGTTGAAACGTATTCTAGATTTTTCTGCCAAATCTTCTACGGCTGAGTACGTGAAGTTGTCATTCCATTATGATAAAATAAATCCATACAGAATTTAATTGTGTAAAGCATTTTTCTAAAATGCTTGCCTGGCAGTGAGAGATCATCATTGAAGGAATAGTTAAATTGTTGAGCAGATGGGCTAGCTATTCAAATACAAGGTTAAACAGAGATTCTGGAAAGTGTAGAAGCCTTCTCTGAACATCAGTTACATATTAATTCTTCCCTTTTAATAGCGTCTTCAATGTAGACATGAATAAGGAGCACCGGCCATCCATCTGATTGCAAGTACTTAGGAAACTGCAATGATGACGTCTCTCTTGTTATTTCTTCCTGTTGACTTACCAGGTAATCAAAGAACATTTCCACGTAAAAGTCTGTTCAGGAACACTGAGGTAAAGCCCTAAATATTTCAAGCCTATTCCATTTCGTGTCCATACTTTAAATATATTCAGAGAAATTTAATCTTAGAAACTTTCTCATGTACATTGAGGTTGCAATCCAATGGATCAAACCTCTTCTCAGGTAACACGTCTGCTTTTTTAAGTATAAGTTAGTTATAAATATATAATCATCACCATAGAATCCTAACAGAAAATAAAATGCAACATATTCCATATTACTGGAGATAGGTAAAAAGGCTTTTGAAAAACTTTGAAGCACCTTGCAAGTATGTAAGGTGACAGATGGTGTGGCATAGGAGTGGAGTAAAGAATAGAAACAGAATATGTTGCTTCAAACTTGGCAGTTTGTGGTTTTACTCTTATATTTTGCATTTTCCTGATAAAGTTTATGTTAACAAATGCATAATCTGATTATGTGATAGTGTTCTTAATGCGAGTTTACACATCATTAAAATATGCCTAGCCAGGCACAGTGGCTCATACCTGTAATCCCAGTACTTTGAGAGGCCAAGGTGGATGGATCACTTTAGCCCAGGAGTTTGACACCAGCCTGGGCAACATGGTGAAACCCTGTCTCTACAAAAAATACAAAAATTAGCCAGGCACAGTGTCATGTGCCTGTAGTCCAAGCTACTTGGGAGGCTGAAGTGGGAGGATCACCTGAGCCTGGAGAGGTTGAGACTGCGGTGCTGTGATCACGCCACTGCACTCCAGCATGGGTGACAGAGTGAGACCTTGTGTCAAAAATCAATTGATTACTGAAATTAAATTAAATATGCCTAAAAAAGAATATATTTTTTAAAAACTAACCCCTGTCAAACCTAAAGAAAAATAGAGGCAAATAAGTATTTAAAAATTCTAATAAATAGTATTCACAGCAGATAAACAAAAAATTATAGTATCACAACTTTGTTCAGCACCCTTCAAACAATGCAAACCTTTTCACTCATGAAAAACAAATTAATGAATACACAGAGGTAGTCTCAATGTTGCCAGCATGCTGGAAGAATGAGTCTTGATGATCAAATTTAGACAGGATAGCAAAACTGCTGACCATGAAGATGCAGAACACCCAAATGAATATGAATTCATTAGGAGCAAAAGTCTTAAACTCAACCATTTAAATGATTTTAAATTTTAAAAAGCCATTTAAATTAAATCAACCATGTAATTTTAAAAGCAAACTGATTTTCTGAACATATAAATAATACTGATTTTAGAAATGGTTTTCTCTGCAGTGATTTTTCTACTAATACTGTAATGGCTGACTTAGGAATGAGTTTGTTTGTTTTAAGAAGTGATGAGATTCTAATATTTCATCAACAAAGATCGGAATACTTTAAGATTTTGTTGAGCATGGTAGCCTCTCTTTAATGTCCTAGCTCTGCACTCATACATGTAAGCCCGTATTAGCAGATAAGAAAATAAAACTCCATGTCAGACAAAACGCTGTTCTCGCTTTTTAATTTTACCCTATAGAGTAAATAGTATAATGAAGACCTGGTGTTTTTTCATGCTTGACTTGCAGCACTTTTTAGAATCCAATACACTCTCACTCTCACTCTCCTCTTTGTGTGTGTGTGTGTGTGTGTGTGTGTGTGTGTGTGTGTGTGTGTGTGTGTAGTTAAGGAAGTTCATTCCCTGGATAACTTTTAAAGCCACATATGCAGTTACCTGACCAGGATTCCCAAGGCAGAAGAAAGACTAAAACCATTTAAGTCCCTTCCACATATAAATGCTGACCCGCTTTTTCAGAGGGATCCTGTAGAGATGTAAGTGCTGCTCAAAGGCACACTGTTCTCACTTTTAATTTTACCCTATAGAGTAAATAGTATAATGAAGACTTGATGTTTTTTCGTGCTTGACTTGCAGCACTTTTTAGAATCCAGTACACTCTCACTTTCTCTCTCTTTCTCTCTCTCTCTCTCTGTGTGTGTGTGTGTGTGTGTGTGTGTGTGTGTGTGTGTGTAGTTAAAGAATCTCATTCCCTGGATAACTTTTAAAGCCACATATTACACTTACCTGACCAGATTCCCAAGACAGAAGAAAGACTAGAACCATCTAAGTCTCTTCCAAATATAAACACTGACCCCCCTTTTCTCAGGGGGATACTGTAGAGATTTAAGTGCTGCTCAAAGGCAGCTCTTCAAGAACTGTTCTCTAATTTATCCAGTCACTAAGCATTTTCTGAACTTTATATTCATTCAGTACTCAAAAATAAGTTTCTATTACAACATTTGTTAACTCATTCCACAAAGATGTGTTAGGTGCTTTCCATGTATATGGGAGGCATCAGGGTATGGAGGGGAGAGCCCAGGCCTTGTCACCAAATGGAGCTGTGTGTGAATCCCGGCTCAGCCTTGTGGTTAAGTTGATTAACCTCTGTAATCCTTGTTTTATTCATCTGTAAATGGGATAATAACTGTGTCCTTATACAGTTTATAGTAAATATTATTTTAAAGATTATATGAAATAATGAATATAAAACACTTTGCTCATGAAGTAAGAACTTAGTCAATGTGTAACCCAGGGCTCCTGGGTTTTTGGGTATGCATTGTGAAAAAGTACCCATTCATAACAACAACTTGAGTTCGTGTTGTCTCAAAAAGTTCCAGGAAGAAGCTCAGCCCCAGCAAAACAAAAAACTGGTCATATGCAGAGATGCCTGACTGGAGATGAACTTTGGCAAACTCTCCTCATTATCATACTAAAAACTCCACCCGAGGAGGAGCTTATTTGTCATTTTCTAAACATGCCAGTATTTGGAAGCATGATCTGCATCTGTGCTGCCTTTATTCCACCTCTACATACAGTGACTGAGCTAACTAGCCCAATAAAAGCCCTGTTTTCAGCATTGTTAGGGGAGACACTGCTTTGGGAACTCTCCCTGGTGTCCTCCTTACTTGTTGCATAAAATCTTGCTAAATCCTTCTTGGTGTTGTGATCATTGGACTATCATGCGCTATGCCATTGACTTTACCTATTGTATAGGTAACAAATGTCAGTAAATGTTCATATTATCTATTATTATTGTCACTAGTGTCATTGTTATTACTACTCCTACTATGATTGCCCTGTACTTGGTTTACCAAAGAGGAAACCAAAAATATGTAATAACCAGTGCAGATCCTACAGGATTTCCTAGTCTTTGTGAACCCAAAGTATCTGAGACAGGTCTCAATCAATTTAGAAAGTTTATTTTTGCCAAGGTTAAGGACACTCCCATGACACAACCGAACAAAGTCCTGATGACATGTCCCCAAGGTGGTCAGGGTACAGCTTGGTTTTATACATTTTAGGGAGACATAAGACATCAATTAATATAAGTAAGATGTACATTGGTTCAATCTGGAAATGTGGGACAACTCGAAGCGGGAGGTTTCAGGTCATAGGTAGATAAGAGACAAATGGTTGTGTTCTTTTGAGTCTTTAGTCTTTCACTGAATAGATAACTTACATGTGAAGAGGGTAGAGGAATAGTCACTTATGCCTTAGTCTGGCTCAGTGAATCTGCATTTTTACTTAAACAATAGGGCAGAAGAAGCAATCAAATATGCAAAGAAACACAAAAAGTGGCTCAACATTCAAAGACAGGTTTATTTTGGAGAATAAACCTGAGAGGGGCTTCTGGCCAATTTCAGTCAGGAGCATTCTCTGTTACAGACTAAGAGTATTAATTGGTTTAAGGGTGAGAGAACTTATCACCGGCGTGGAATGTTTCTGTATAACGGAGAAGTCAGTTGCAGGGTTGGAATGTATCTGGTTGGAGGGGAGGTTATCTTGGGGCTGATATGTCTCTGGTCAGGGAGGGGTTTGGAATGTTTCTGGTAAGAGATGTTATTTGTGGCTCATGGTCATTCTGGCCTTAGCCATTAGGCTGATGCCCTTTGGATTTAGGTGGTTTTTGATCAAGGTGAACTTTAAAATGGCAGGATGGTGATGCTCCTGCTCTGTCACCTTGTCTTGTGACATGTTCATCACCATTCCATGGGGAAAGTAAAAAAATGGGGAGTTTCCATGGTAAAATAACCTTGGAAAACATTGATGAACAAGGTTAAGTAAGTTTCTTTTCTGAAGTTTCTCAGGTCCTTTTTATGTATAAATCACCAGGAGAGGGTGGGATGCATACACAGCACTTCTCCAACATATTTAACCATAAAACTCTTCTCATTGCACATATGTAAATTGGGAATATTTTGCTTTAATTGGAAGGGAAAATGTTAATGGTAAAATAGCTGGTAATTTGGAGGATTTACATGTATGAAAAAAAGAAAATGTTTTGAACACCGATAAAATGCCAGAAATTTAAACAACCATTTATATAATCTTTGCAGCAACTGCATTGTGTTTAATCACCAAGATTTTACAGTGAAGAATTTGAAACTCGAAGATGAAAACAAAGTCTTACTGCTAGTAAGTGAAGGAGATAGCTGCTTCCATGAACTGAAGTACTTCTCAAATATCTGGAATTATGAAGTGAAAGGAAAGAAGATTGGTAAATGAAAGAGAATGATTATTCCAGGATATGTATGCACAACTTCCTTATTTTTTTCATTATTTCACCCCTAAAATTTGTTAACTGAAGTCTACAAAGAGTAAGAGGGAAAAGGTAAGTCTTAATAATACAAAAAGTACAGAGAAAATGTAAATTGCTCTAAGAAAAAGCACAAGGTGCCACATAAAATATTGTCTGTTGTGTTTTCTTTTTCATATTTTAAGACCACAATTATTTTACTCTCTATGGGGTAATTTAATAGCAGGTCCAGTGAGGCATATGAGTAGTGCCTCATATGTAATAGTCCTGCTTTCCTTTGTATATAAAACCAGTTAAATTAAGTCAAAAACATGTTTAAAACTATATGGATTAAACAAAGGGACTGGTTCTACAATCTGCAATGAACATTTTTTTTTCCTGCTTTCCAGGCCCCATGGCATCCAGCACAACCAGCGAGAGACAGATAGATGGATGATAGATAGATAGATAGATAGATAGATAGATAGATAGACAGATAGATAGATGATTGATTGACACATGATACATAGAATGGCCAGATGCATACATATAAACATACATCTATGTATCAAGCATATATACATTTGATATATATGGATAATTGGTACTGTTGTCACTGAACAATAATATCTTCCAACTGTATCCACCAACATAACTTGAGAGGTTATTTTTATAATTTGGATAATTGGATATAGTTTTATAATTGGATCAGATTGTCTGACACAGATGATTTCCTGAGAGGCCACCACCCTATCTCCTGGAATAAGAACCTCCACAGAGATATTGGTGAGCCTGTATTGCAGATTTCCTCTCCTGAAAAAAACCTAAAAGCTCAAGTGTGTAGGGCCAAGAGCCACAAAATTACTAGGCTGTGGCCAACAAACCACTTTTGCAATACCCAGACACTAGGTTCAGTCAACATTCTTTCTCATCAGGAGCACTAATAGTGTAATTTGTGACTTAAAAGAAAGTGAATTCTCTGAGTCAGTGACTATTACCTAATTGCTTGAAGGATTTTTTCCAGACAGGTGGTCTGGAAACCTTTTACCTATTACCTTCCATCCCTGAACCATTTCAATCTTCTGCCTCCTGGATATCTTGGAGAAAATGAACCAACACAACACAGCTTTCAGTTTTTAGAGCATTTCCCCCATACAGAACATTGTCTTACTTGATCTTCCCGATGACCTCAACAACAGGAAAGGCAGGTCCTTTCATTTCCATTTATAAGACGCACAGACCCAGGATTATCTAGCCACAGGAAGCAGGACTCCAGATTTCAAGTCCAGCATCTCAACGTGACAACCTTGGTAACTCTGCATGAACGGACTGGATAGTAAAGTGGAATTATTACTGAGAACTGCAATGAATAAAATCTTTTGCATTTTTTGCCTACGTTTCACAGAGGGTGATATTTTTCTGAGGCAATTAAATTTATACCACGGCCACAATACTGAAACGTTCTGACCAACAAAGTCATGCTCCTGCATCTACACAGCAGATAACTGCAGAAACGGCTTCCTTTCTTCCTTGTAAAATTGCCTGAAAACAGCTCCCCCTTGCTGTCCGTCGAGGCATATCTTCACCAACGTTAAAACAGAGCTGAGGGAGATCGCATTTCTGCCTCCCTCCCGCCCTGCAGAGGGGCTCCAGCTGTTCAGAGTAACGGATTACTAGGTAGGTGGTTGTTTCCCCTCCTTCCCAGGGCCTCTTTCCTCTCTTTGAGATTGCCTCTTTCTTACTCCTGAGCACAGGAGCCGGGCGGGTTTTCTGTCCCTTGCCCTGGACAGCACTGCCTGGATGGCCGCTGTCCGGCAGCTGCTCTTTGTCCACCCAAAAAGATGTCCCCACGACTCAGTAGTAACCAGACGGTCCCCACGGACCACTGCGGCCAAATTTCCGCCATCCCCGCTGTGGGAATCAGGCTTTTCCCGCAGAAAACCCCAGGAATCTAGAGAAAACTCCTTAAGTCCCTAGTCTCCATAGAGAAAACCAGGAGACACTCCCCCCAAACCCCGCTGTGAATACAGGCACAGCAGCCACTGGGGCTGCAAAGTGATGAGTGCGTTCTTCCCGTCGCAAACATAGGGTAATAAATAGCATGCATCAAAGACGTTACTAGGAAGAGATAGCTCTTTAAGTCACGAGCGGGGAGAAATGTTTGCCCCGGGAAAATTTGCCTGGGGAATAAAATTTGCCAGACTGCTGCACGGGTGAGCTCGGTGAGAAGGAAGAAACCCGGACTGGAGGAGGTGAGGTCGAGAGCCAGGTTCAGGTGCAGGAGCTAGATGCGTGGACGCCGGTGCGTGGACTGGAGGTTTCCAGGTACCGCGCTTAGCGTGCCTGTTGAAGTCAAATGCATGGTTAAGGAGGCTAGCGAGGAAGGCTAGTGAGGGAAGCTTGTGGAAACGGCTACGAGCCCAGAAAAGGCATGACTCGTCCAGTTGTCCAAGTTTTTGGAAGGGAAAAGCGGGAAAGCGCCACGATCCCACCTACTGTGAGGAGGAATCTGCGAGTCTCCCAGCTCCACCCCCTCCACAGTGATGCAGAGGACAAACACCGACGTAGGGAGAGGAAAAAATAAAACTCCAGGGAGCGGGGAGTAGGCAACCAGCAGTCTTCCGGCAATAGGGCGGGAGGGAGCGCGTCCCAAGGAAACAAGCACCGCATAAATACTTGAGTTGGGAACCCAGTGCTTCCGGAAGCTCGGAGCTCACCTTCCCGACCTCGCCGAAGTTGAAAAAAGGCAGAGCAGGGAGAGGGGCCAGCTCACCCTGCTGAGAGCTGCTCAGTGGGCAGGCGGGACGCTGCTCCGGGAGACGCCCACTGGAGGGATCGCAGAGCCCGGCAAGCTGCGAGCGCGCCAAAGACCCTGCGCTTCGGACGAGGAGCCCAAGTCCTCCGAGACGGGGAGGGAGCGGCCCGCGAGGGCTGGAGCTCCGAAGAGGGCCGAGTAGGAGCTGCATGGACAGCATGCGTCTCTCCGCCGGTCCCGACGCGGGGCCCTCGGGCAACTCCAGCCCATGGTGGCCTCTGGCCACCGGCGCTGGCAACACAAGCCGGGAGGCCGAAGCCCTCGGGGAGGGCAACGGCCCACCGAGGGACGTGCGCAACGAGGAGCTGGCCAAACTGGAGATCGCCGTGCTGGCGGTGACTTTCGCGGTGGCCGTGCTGGGCAACAGCAGCGTACTGCTGGCTCTGCACCGGACGCCGCGCAAGACGTCCCGCATGCACCTCTTCATCCGACACCTCAGCCTGGCCGACCTGGCCGTGGCATTCTTCCAGGTGCTGCCGCAAATGTGCTGGGACATCACCTACCGCTTCCGCGGCCCCGACTGGCTGTGCCGCGTGGTGAAGCACCTGCAGGTGTTCGGCATGTTTGCGTCGGCCTACATGCTGGTAGTCATGACAGCCGACCGCTACATCGCGGTGTGCCACCCGCTCAAGACTCTGCAACAGCCCGCGCGCCGCTCGCGCCTCATGATCGCGGCCGCCTGGGTGCTGAGCTTCGTGCTGAGCACGCCGCAGTACTTCGTCTTCTCCATGATCGAGGTGAACAATGTCACCAAGGCCCGCGACTGCTGGGCCACCTTCATCCAGCCCTGGGGTTCTCGTGCCTACGTGACCTGGATGACGGGCGGCATCTTTGTGGCGCCCGTGGTCATCTTGGGTACCTGCTACGGCTTCATCTGCTACAACATCTGGTGCAACGTCCGCGGGAAGACGGCGTCGCGCCAGAGCAAGGGTGCAGAGCAAGCGGGTGTGGCCTTCCAAAAGGGGTTCCTGCTCGCACCCTGTGTCAGCAGCGTGAAGTCCATTTCCCGGGCCAAGATCCGCACGGTGAAGATGACTTTTGTGATCGTGACGGCTTACATCGTCTGCTGGGCGCCTTTCTTCATCATCCAGATGTGGTCTGTCTGGGATCCCATGTCCGTCTGGACCGGTACGTGCCGGGAAAATAGAGGAAAGTGCAGGGATAGGAGTGTGTGTGTGTGTGTGTGTGTGTGTGTGAGAGAGAGAGAGAGAGAGAGAGAGAGAAAAAAATGAGAATCTAGCAATTTTCTTCATAGTATCTTCTAGGGCAGTAGTTTTTAAACTTCTATGTGTACATAAGAGTCGCACCTTGGAGGAACACTGTTTAAAAAAAAAAAAAGCATATTCCTGGATTCCCCATGCAGACATTCTAATTAAGAATGTCTGGAATGGGGCTCAGGACTCTGCATTTGTAGTGTGCAATGATCCTAAGACCACAATTCCAGAAACTGTGTCCTAGAGTCAGCCAAGCAACTACAAAGCCGAAGAATGACTTTTGCTAAATCACTAGCTACTGTATTAACACCATTTCAGGTCTATTGGATTCAGGGAAATATTTTTACTGTCACAACTGCTTTTTGTTGGATTGTGAAAAGTATTACAATTAATTTTAAAAATGTGTAGAAATGCCTCAGGGGCAAGGATAGAAACAGATATATATTTCTAAAGAAAGCTGGAGAAAAATTCTTTAGAAGGTGAGTAATTCCAATTTGGCATTTAGCTAATAATGTTCCTTTCTCGTTATAATCTATTTTTTTCTAACAATGATTAATAGTTTTTTCTTGGTATTTCAAAGCAGAATTATTGATAAACTAAATTCATTAGACTAATTCATTAGTCTTTCACCACTCATTTGACCACACGGCTCTACATCTCTCCACCCAACTCTTACAGTAGTTTACTGGAAATGTTCTCTGCACCTACTATTGTGTTTGATTTTAATTCCTTCCCAAACTAGAAAAACTAACTTCACAGTGACTTGCAAAAAAAATTATTTAATTTTGCATCTTGAAAATATTTTCTTCTAGTAAAGACAAAAACTCAAACTAAATAAATTCCAGTGCTTGTCGGAACTCAAACCAAATAAATTCAATGGTACAGTTGTTACCAGAATGTTTCTGGTAACAGGAAATAGGTATCTGGGAGTAGCTGTTCTCCTTTTGCTTTTTGGAATTGGAGTAGGGGAGGTATGTAATATGCTTTGGAAGTTATATTTGCAAATAAAACATTTCAGTATGAATTTAACTTAAATATTCTTACTGACTATAATACTAGCGATAATGAAAAATACAATATAAACACTTTATTTTTGGTTTGCTATTTCTTATCTTGCTTGATCTTAGAAGCCTCTTCATATTGTCCATCAAATAAAGAAATTCAGTCTAATTATTGCTTTAGCAGAATTTACACTCAAGTAATAAAAACTTCAATTGTGCATAGATATGTTGGTAATTTTCATTCTTTGTGAATACCATCTTACCCATGGCTCCTGATCACCTTTGATAGCAGCATCTTAGCACTAAGTATGATTAAATAATAACCTGTAATTGTTTTCTGGCATAACAAGAGTGAGAAGATCCAAGTTTATATTTAATAATCAAGGAAAAGTCAGTGTTTATTGATTATTCTTATTTTTAGAAAAGGTATATTATCAGCACTGTAGCTCCACTGTGAAAGGTTATAATATTTATGCAGTTTACCAGTGCTAATTATCATAAAATATTTTAGAATCCTGTTGGAATTTCCTAATTCTACTGTTCTTCTTAATATAATTTGTTTGAACCACAACCACAGATGGTTTTCCAAATTTCTAACCAAAGAAAAACAACTAAAGCTTATATCATCCAGGGACTTCTTCTGTATGGTTTTCATATTATAAGAATATTTAAAACTACTAAACTTGATCCCTAATGCAATATTTTTTCCTGAGTTATTAGGATAAATACAATTTGGTATACATGGTTATTTAAAATTATCTTAAAATTTCATTACAATTGTAGCCATTCTGTAACTGCTGTGTCATTAGCACATGCTAGTTCGAGTATAGAAGATAGAGATTTTTTAAATCAATTACTTAATAGTCTTAACCTCGTAAAATTCCCACTCAATTCTATTTAAATATTTTGATAGTGTTTTAAAAATACTTGAATTAATTTTAAGGCATCTTGCTTACAAAAATATTTTATAGTCAAGCAATTTTCAAACACTCCCCATTTCCCTGATTGATAAACAAAATAGTTCATTTTCTATGATAATCCAGAAGTTTATGCCTTCTTAATTAGTTAATAGAAAAATGAGTTTATCCATGGTTCACTTACATTACATGATTTCCCTTTATATTTTTCATGCAGAATCGGAAAACCCTACCATCACCATCACTGCATTACTGGGTTCCTTGAATAGCTGCTGTAATCCCTGGATATACATGTTTTTTAGTGGCCATCTCCTTCAAGACTGTGTTCAAAGCTTCCCATGCTGCCAAAACATGAAGGAAAAATTCAACAAAGAAGATACTGACAGTATGAGCAGAAGACAGACTTTTTATTCTAACAATCGAAGCCCAACAAACAGTACGGGTATGTGGAAGGACTCGCCTAAATCTTCCAAGTCCATCAAATTCATTCCTGTTTCAACTTGAGCCTTGCATTCATGCAACTTGATTCTTGTGATTGACTTTTTGGCTCATTAGCTGAATTGAGCTAGAAATCACAAGAACAAATACACTTTATTAATATAACCATAAATCAATTCATTGTGTATGAGACTGTGTTTCTAGTTGCATTTTCATATTGCTACCAAAAACTAGACATTATTTTGTATGGAATATTAATGGAAACATGCTGTACTAAAATATGCAGGTCTGATTCCCAGAAATACAACAGAAGTTATATTTTTAAAGGAAAAATCATAACCACCCTAGCTTTATATTTTGTTGTTAGTTTCTTTTATTTTCATTTCTAACATAAGTAAGACTTGATTGGTTTAAAAGTCACATAAAATGCGGCACTATTTCTGAACAAAGAGAGCTCATCATCAGTCTTAATATTCAGAGAAAACTTCAGAGAAATTATGTTTTCATCCATTAAAATTAATTTGTGCATCAGAAAATGCAGCCTTAAACAGTGTCCAGGAGATGGGATGGTACCTCCTAGGAGTACAAGTGCCTGGGGTGTAATGAGCTCCTGCTCATTGTGGCCAGTTTAGAGTTCTATTAGAAGCTATCAATCACCTTGCATTTCAAAATGGTAACTTTACAACTGGCAGTGGCCTCCTTTTGGTTCCTCACATATTATTGGTCAAGAAAAGCATGAAAACTGAGATGCTGAAGGTGAGAGGAAATGTTGACTGGCCAAAAATATCTTTTTTCCCCCACTGCGAGGTTGTTTTAAAGTCAGATTTGTATAAGGAAAGCCAAATTTTATTAAAAGAGTAGAAAAGGATTGCTTAAGGTACTCTGGACTTTCTCTTGGACATTGTAAACGTATTTTGATCAGTGTTACAAGGGTATCCTGTGCTATGCTGGACATTAACAAGATCATTATCTTCATGTTTGGGGAATTCAGATTCATAATATGAGTATCCTAAAGAGTGACTCAGGATATAAAGTGTCCCAACATGTTTAATTAAAAATAGCTTTGTCTTTCCAATCTCTCACTCATCTAACAATTGCAAAGCAGAGATGAGACAGGGTTGGGACATGGGTGACAGATGGAAAGAGAACTGCTCTGTGCCCAGACTGGCTTCCTTCATTATTAAATCCACAACTTTAGGCAAGTTTCTTAAACACATATAAAGCCTCTGTTTCCTTGACTTACCGTGGGGTTGATAACACTTACCTCACAGGGTTGTTGTAAGGACTAAATGAAATCAAATATGTTAAAAGAGCTTCAGAAATAGTAAAGTACTATACACATGCTAGCAGTTGCTTTTATTATAGCCTTGGGATCTCCAAAATTGCACAGATGTTTTCCAGTTTATTTTTCATTAACTAGAATTGGTTCATTTCATGGCTGGGATATAAAATCCTAAAATTTAAATATAGATCGCTGATTCATTGGACAACATTTCCAGTGACTGCTCAGCTTGACTTCTCCTGCCTGACTAAAGTTTTCCAATTTAAAGACAGAACTTGCTTTTCTTTGAATGCAGGTAGATCAAAGCCACCCACAAGCATCAATTTTTTCCATTTTTAAACGGAGACCAATTACACTACTTTGCTGTTATTACATTTTTCATTAATGGAACTCAGTGATTTTTTTCCTAGCTATTTTGTCTGGCTGCTTCTTCTTCTTAGAGATCATGCAATGATTTGAGGATACATCATAAATATTTTGCATCCTTAAGAGGAAGTAATAGTTGCTTTTTTTTTTTTTGAAACAGAGTCTTGCTCTTTTGCCAGGCTGGAGTGCAGTGGCGTGATCTCGGCTCACTGCAACCTCCGCTTCCTGGGTTCAAGCGATTCTCCTGCCTCAGCCTCCCGAGTAGCTGGGACTATATGCATGTGCCACCACACCCAGCTAATTTTTATATTTTTAGTAGAGATGGGGTTTCACCATGTTGGCCAGCATGGTTTTAATAGTATTATTGAGTTTCTTTTTTTACCTTTGTAGATAAGAAAATGAGAACTGGATAGCACTGTGAGAACCCGGAAGCGATAACTTCACTCCTCTTCATTCTTCTGCCTTTTGAAATTCTCAGCCCTTAGGCTCCTTGTATTGATAGGCCTAAAAACATGTTTCCAAATGCTTTATAGAGATTATAAACCTAGGGACTCCCTAGGTTTTCAAATTCTTCTTTCTAAAAATAACAAATATGTCTCTTAAAGGGTACTGTCCAATATAAGCCATAACTAAATTAATTAATTCATTATTTGAGTTAGAGTAGCATCTCAGTAACCCAGCACTCGAAGACTGTCAGTCCTTTTAACAACTCTTTGATAGTTCAAAAACTAAAGCTTTTTGGTTTGGAACTAAGATGAACCCATTTTTTTCTAAATCCATTTCCAAAGTAAGAACCTCAGAACCTATAGATCTTGCTTCAAAATGTTGATATGTACCCCCAAGCAAAACAATTCAATTTGAATGTTATTTCTGAGAACAGCTCACAAAAAAAAGTGCATATCACCCTACCCAGTTGTATTTTCTCCTTTTAAATGTATTGGGAGATGAGACAGTAGAAAATGGGCTGGGGAAACATGAGATCTGGGTGCTAGTTCTGCACTAGGCAAATACATGGTCTTATTCTCTGCGGTTTAGGCTGAGAAGTTTCATCTGTCTGGTTGCTAAATTTTCTCAATGTTATGTACCCAGAAATGGACGCCACATATCTCAAAACAATATTTCAGATTGGAAGGAATCTACCTGCCTGTCTGTTTCAGAAGAAGAGAAACTGAAAAAGTATTCCGGGAAGGGAAGTTTTCCTTTTCTTGACTAAAGAGAAGACCTGAGATATTATGCCAAATAACAGCTTACAGTCAAGAAAAAAATGTGTTGCAGCACCTTATTTTATTTTTCACAGTTAACAGTGGGAAGATCCTGCAAGTACACAATTTTAATGCCTCTATATGGGTATTAGGAATGTGATATATAAAAAATGTCCAGTAGGGAGAAACTAATCAGTTGGGCATTTGATGAATATTAACTGATGATGGTAAATAAACAATTTAGAGTGCATTATTAAGTGCTTAATGGGTTAATTTTGGAGCATGTATTCTAAAGTGTAAAACTACTTGGCTTTTATTTTGAAATTTCATTTGGAACACAATTGTGAAGGAAATCAGTGAAATTCTTGGGTTAATTATATACTTGTTTTACATATAGAATTTCTATCATCATCAAACAAGTCTTATGCCATGATTTCGGGAAGGGTATGGTTTTAGAGAAAAAAATACTAAGCAGTCTTAATGATACACAGGACCCTGCCAAGCTTATTACAGTTTCTAGAATGGACAACTACTAATGATTAAGAAACAACTTTCATCTGTTATTACACAAGAAACCCGATTAGGTTAAAGTTTGATGTTTTCAGACTCTAAAGCCTATGTTTTTGTAACTTAATTGGACTTTCAGAGTGTTAAATTATGGCTTCAGAGTTTGGCTCTACCTAAAATTTAGTTAGATGCCAACCAGGGAGAAATTAAACCTAATCCTTCACCCCAAATATCAGAGGTTAGACAAACCCATGTTAATTGGAGCCTTATGGTTATTCATATTGGAGGCAATAGCTTTATTTAGAGGAAGCCCAGGACAGGGCCGTCTGGGATGCTAGTTCTGGAAATGCAGAAGCAGCCACTGTATCCCTGCCCACCCCCTCCATCCAGCCCTTTTGGTACTACTCAGTATTGTTGACAACATTTGGAATCATAAGTAACATAGGACAGTAAGTATTAGAGAATGATTCTCCGTTAGAATTGGACCTCAGCCGATTTGAGCCAAAATTTAGGAACTATTCAGAAGACAGTTTCTTTCTTTTGAGTGCTTAAGACAGTGTAAATGGTTCGAATCACACACATTTTAAGATTCCATTGTATACATAAGCATTTTAAGAATATTGTTTTAACATAATTATTAGGCATACTAAGTTATCATGAATGAAAATGTACATGTGACCTGTAGTATGTTATATATTATTATGGCTAAATGTTAAATGCCATTTTTTTGCTTTTTAGTTTTATGTATTTTTGTATGTATATACCCACATTTTTACATTGATTTATGTTCTAAATAATAATTAAAACAAAGTATTATAAAATGAATGAAATATTTTTGTGTTCCATGGTCAAATTATTAATAAATTCAGGAAAGAAAATCTGATGATAAATCTGATATAAATACCAGAATAATTATTATTAATATAAAATAATATTTTCACATATGAAGGTATGTCTTCATACTACAGGATTTCTGACTTGAATATATTCTATAATGCTTTAATTCATTACCATAACAAATGTACTAAGAATTAATGTTGCATCTTTAGTATTCCATTTTTTGGAACTGTTTTTCAAATGTTCTATATCCTCTAGCTTATTATGCTATCTAAAATAATTTCAGTGTGTTTTTTCCTGGGGCAACTGAATGATTCTTGTTTTGAATGAGTGATAAAATGTTTTGTGATAGTATCTAATATTTGGTCCTTTACAGAAAAAATGGCTTGTGGTACTATATTGAAAAAACTATTGTATTTCCTCAATTTTACTGTGTGTTGTCTTGTTTCTATAAACAAAAATAAGTTTTGGATTTGTTTGAAATAATTCTTTTACAACTTATTTGACAATGAAATATATTTCAAGTTAATTATTTTGACTTTGAAAAACTAAAGACTGGTTTTACAGTTGGTAGCTATTGATAGGTTGATATTTGAGCACAAAAATGTTTGTGCTTTAGTGACCATAGCAAGAATAAGTGAAATTTGTAACTGCCCTTTCAATAAGTTATAATTAAGGAATCAAATCAATTTTGTTATAGTCTGTATTTAGACAACCAAAATGATCGAGGTTAGCTGACGTCATGTTTGTCATTCAGCCCTAAAAAACATCATCTATGTGCATTTATTTCTTAATGTTGGTAAGACTGACTTCTGGGGCCTAAAGATTAAAAATGTTCCCATTTAATAGTCTTCAAAATTAGAATTTTTTCCCAGTAGACTAATAAGTTTAAATTATATTAACTGTAGAATTTATATTGTCTAACTTTTTTTTCTTTTACAAGTTGAATCTTAATAGAACAAATTAAAATATTTATTTTGGGTTTGGCTTAAACCATAGATGCAGGGAATGCCCAGAATGGAAGAAAGAGAATTTGAAGTATCTATTTTAAAATACCACTGTTATTTCAAAAGATTTATAAGTGCCTAAAAATAAACAATATTTGTACCAAAGACATTTTCACAAAGTCCTATGGATCAGATAAAACTAAAATAATAGTTTCATTGTACACCAGAAGAGACTCATAAAGAAATTTATAAAGGAACATTTTTAGTGCCAGTCATATAAAAAATGTTCAATTAATGGAATTAATATAGATATTCTAAATCCATATATATATACACACACATATGTATATAGTAATCCATATGTGGTATTATAAAATATTGTGAATGTTTACAATAAAAAGCTTTAATTACAAGAAGCAGTAATGTACGGTGACAAAAGTACTACAGGAGAGAATCAGGAGCTGTGGTATTTCTACCATCTATAGGCAAATGATAGTAGGAAGTTCACTTTAATGCATCTGGGCACTTTGGTAGGCCGAGGCAGGCAGACCATGAGGTCAGGAGTTCGAGACCAGCCTGGCTAACATGGTGAAACACCGTCTCTACTAAAAATACAAGAATTAGCCAGATGTGGTGGCCGGTGCCTGTAGTCTCAGCTACTTGGGAGGCTGAGGCAGGAGAATTGCTTGAACCCAGGAGGCAGAGGTTGCAGTGAGCCGAGATCGCACCACTGCACTCCAGCCTGGGTGACAGGGCAAGACTCCATCTCAGAAAAAAAAAAAAAAAAAAATCATCTTGGTTGAAAAAAAAAAAGGATTTAGAGATTCAAGCCCAAACTTAAAATAATTCTAATAGAAAGGCTTTGTCACCACCGGAGTAATGGACGCTAGTCCTTAGGCACAACACAGTGGGACTTCAACAGAACTTAAAGTATATGTCTATAACCCCCCAACCCCTGCCAAAAAATCCAGATTTATGGTTCACCAAAGTATCCATGTTTTTACAGCATCCCCATCCCATAAGCTTGTGTCACATAAGTAGCTACAGCCTGGAAGAATGTCCCTAAACTGTACCTCTCTGTGCTCACTCTTTCCTTTAATTTTCAAGTAAAGTAGTTTTAGCCTTATCTCATTCAGTGTGCAAATCCTGTGCCTATCCTTAGATTTTTTTTTTATTATACTTTAAGTTTTACGGTACATGTGCACAACGTGCAGGTTTGTTACATATGTATACATGTGCCATGTTGGTGTGCTGCACCCATTAACTCATCATTTAACATTAGGTATATCTCCCAATGCTATCCCTCCCCCCTCCCCCCACCCCACAACAGGCCCCAGTGTGTGATGTTCCCCATCCTGTGTCCATGTGTTCTCATTGTTCAATTCCCACCTATGAGTGAGAACATGCAGTGTTTGGTTTTTTGTCCTTGCGATAGTTTGCTGAGAATGATGGTTTCCAATTTCATCCATGTCCCTACAAAAGACATGATCTCATCATTTTTTATGGCTGCATAGTATTCCATGGTGTATATGTGCCACATTTTCTTAATCCAGTCTATCATTGTTGGACATTTGGGTTGGTTCCAAGTCTTTGCTATTGTGAATAGTGCCGCAATAAACATACGTGTGCATGTGTCTTTATAGCAGCATGTTTTATAATCCTTTGGGTATATACTCAGTAATGGGATGGCTGGGTCAAATGGTATTTCCAGTTCTACATCCCTGAGGAATCGCCACACTGACTTCCACAATGGTTGAACTAGTTTACAGTCCCACCAACAGTGTAAAAGTGTTCCTATTACTCCACATCCTCTCCAGCACCTGTTGTTTCCTGACTTTTTAATGATCGCCATTCTAACTGATGTGAGATGGTATCTCATTGTGGTTTTCATTTGCATTTCTCTGATGGCCAGTGATGATGAGCATTTTTTCATGTGTTTTTTGGCTGCGTAAATGTCTTCTTTGAGAAGTGTCTGTTCATGTCCTTTGCCCACTTTTTGATGGGGTTGTTTGTTTTTTTCTTGTAAATTTGTTTGAGTTCATTGTAGATTCTCGATATTAGCCCTTTGCCAGATGAGTAGATTGCAAAAATTTTCTCCCATTCTGTAGGTTGCCTGTTCACTGTGATGGTAGTTTCTTTTGCTGTGCAGAAGCTCTTTTGTTTAATTAGGTCCCATTTGTCAATTTTGAATTCTGTTGCCATTGCTTTTGGTGTTTTAGACATGAAGTCCTTGCCCATGCCTATCCACCATGATCAAGTGGGCTTCATCCCTGGGATGCAAGGCTGGTTCAATATACACAAATCAATAAATGTAATCCAGCATATAAACAGAACCAACGACAAAAACAACATGATTATCTCAATAGATGCAGAAAAGGCCTCCTGACAAAATTCAACAATCCTTCATGCTAAAACCTCTCAATAAATTAGGTATTGATGGGACACATCTCAAAATATTGTTTTAGTTTGTGGAAGAAACAAGGGAAGGGAGAAAGATAGGAAGGACAACAACATAAATTAATATGCACTTCCAAACATTATCCAGCTACATAGCAATTCTCAAATTTATATGATTGAGAAACCTAACTTTTTCAGAGAATGTTGACATGGTTAAGTAATGAGGGGGAAGACAATATCAGAGAAAAAATGTTTAAAGCTGTGCATGGCCACAGAAAGCTCAATATTATAAAGAATATTTATCAAGTCTATCCAATTGGTGAATATCCTGCAAATTCACTCTCTCAGTCCAGCATTTGATTGGAATGAAAAGAAACAGGAACCAATAAAAATAACATTACATTTATTTATTCTTCTAACATCTCAAGTCAGTGGGGTTTTAATACTCATTCAACAAACAAATATTGAGTTCGAATATATGGTAGGCATCGTTCTAAACACTGTGAATATAATAATGAACACAACTGATAAAATCCTAACGAAGTATTCTTTCTATAAGGCTAAAAAGTTATTATATTCTCCTCTCCTTTTCCCAGTCCTCTCCTTATGCAGGCTCATAGGTAAAGGGTGAGGGGGGAATGCATACAAGTTTTCTAGACAGCCACATATCTTGTAGAGCACTCATTTCATCAATGGAAAATTATTTACAATCTTTCAACACTAATTAACAAACCCACAAGTATCAGAAAGGTATGGATAAATCTGAAATGCACATTGCGACATGAAAAAAGTCAATTGGAAAAGAGGACATACTATATAATTCAAATTATATGACATTCTAGAAAAGGCGAAACTGTAGCAATGGTAAAAAGATCAGGAGTTGCCAGGGATTTAGGGGAAAGGAGAAGGATTGATAGGTGAAGCACATGGGATTTTTTTTTTTAGGGGAGTAAACTATTCTGTATAATATTATAACATTGGATGTGTGAAATTATACATTTGTCAAAACCTGTAGAATAATAACATAAAAATCGAACCTTAGTTTTCAACTTAAAAAATTATTTCGCAGGATTCCATCTGGGAATCCCAGTATGGAATGCAGAATGTGACAAAGCAATCTAATCATATTATAAATGTATGAAACAACTTCCCTGAGGGGGTTGGGGAAAAAGGTGCCGACCTAAGTAACTTTAGAGATTAATGAAGTCTGTAATACTGAAAGCAAAAGAAAGTACACAGAAGCAGTGTGCTTTAGTTGATAAAGCTGTTTACCATAGGAGTAAGGTTTAACAATTCTGATACTGCTATACATGTATTCTGAGATTGAACGGCTAAGTAAATGGATGGTGGGAGCCAAGTATTTCACTATTGGAGTTGGAATTTACAGAAAAGCAAGTAAAGGTGGTTAGGATGATCTGTGTGGCAATGGATTAGAGTTGGAGACATCAGTATGAACTCATGTTCAGTATAATATAGATAGAGGTATTTACATATGGAAATTTTTCTAGATATGTGGGTATACATGTGCTGGTATACATATATGTACAATATTTTCTTGGTCTGTCAGTTGAGAGGGCCTAGAAGCAATGACACCTCAGAGGCAACAAGCACACCTGGCATCCAGACCATTCTCCAAAACACAAAACAAAATTAACTAAGGCTCCTTGGAGAAATGTCTGATTCCAAAGACTGGGGCACAAAAATATAGAAGTTGATTCTTGAGCATCTTGTAGTGCCAGAAAAAAAAGAAAGAAAAGAAAAGAAGGAAGGAAGAGAGAAAGGAAGGAAGGAAGGAAGGAAGGAAGGAAGGAAGGAAGGAAGGAAGGAGGGAGGGAGGGAGGGAGGGAGGGAGGGAGGGAGGGAGAGAGGGAGGGAGGGAGGACTGCCTGACAGTACTAAGGGCTGACTTGAAGCTAGTGCAGTGAAAGAAAAGTAACACCAATTCTCATGGTTATGTGCTTTTTCCTACCCACAGTCCACTGCTTGAGGGCAGGCAGAGTTAGAAGAGAGTTGGATTTAACAGGGGTTTGGATATTGCCCAAATATATAGCCTTGCAATAGTGGGTCAAAGGAATTGAGGCTGTACATAACAGATTATAATGAATGTAATAATTATAATCATTATTTACAAATTATGACATCACTGACCTTGCATTTGTCCATGCCCCAGAATCAACCAATGTCAGATTTATGTCTATACCCTCTAAACAGAATTCAACCTTCTAGTTTCAAAATTACATACCCCTTTTGGTAGGAAGTGGAGAAGAAGAATCATTAGTGTTAGCATTGAGCTCTGAACTTGTGTGTCATCTTTATGTGTGTAACTATACAAATAAACTTTAACTGATAAAATTTCATATAGAGGTAGCACATCTGCCTAAAACAAAAATTTATGCTAAGAAATTATTTCACAAAAAAATTCAGATGGTACCTAGAAGTAGTTATTAGATTAATTATTTAAAATTAAACTTCTTAATCACTTCAGTCAAACACCTAGTTGAATACTTTTACTTTTTTTTCTATTTGACCATGAGTAGTTTGTTTTGATGTGCACTATGATAGAAAAATTGCTATGTGGGGTCGGGAATTACAGCCAGCCTCTAAATATAGTATCCCAGATGGATGGTGTTTTTGTTTGGGAAATTCATAGGCCCTTTTAATTATGTAAAGTATGCCTCAAAGGGTAAGAAGGGATTGCTGAGCAAAGAAGAGTTGAATGTCTCCGCATATTAAAGTGTTATGATGTCTGTAATCCATAATATGTCCACATAGATAGTGTGATATTATGTATAAGTTAGGCTAAAATACAAGCCTGGTGCATTTCAATGTTCTAATTAGGACTTCACCCAGAGTGGTAGAAGGGAATGGGGAAGCAGCTAGAATTTTATCAGAAAAGCCCCACCCACCAGAGATGACTACTATAAGAATATTGGTGACCTTTTCTTCTGATTGACAATAGATATTTTGTTAATTAACATAATGGTGAAATCAGTAGCTTATTTATCAGCATAACGGGAGTTAAAAATAGGCTCTCACCTATTATGAAAAATAGTAATATTTAAGATATGTGGATTTGTTAACATACTTTAGAACAGGAATTGGCAAACTATGATGCACAAGCCAAATCTAGCTCATCCATGTTTTAGTTTGTCCTATGAGCTAAGAATAGTTTTTACATTTTTAAATAATTGAGAAAAATCAAAATGAATATTTCTGACACATGAACATTGTATAAAATTCAGATTTCAGTATCTATAATTAAAGTTGTATTGGAAAACAGTCACAATTCTTTGTTCATGTACTTACTATGGGAAGGATCAGCAAACTTTTTTTCTGTAAAGAGTAAGAAAGTAAATAGTTTAGGCTTTACAGGGCATACCATCTCTGTCACAACTATTCAACTCTGCTTGTAAAGCACAAAGTTAGCCACAGGCAATAGGGAACCAATTGATTGTGAGTGTGTTCCAACAGAGTTTTATTTAGAAAAGAAGATAGTAAGCAGGGTTTGGCCTGCAGGCCATAGTTTGCCAGCCCTTGGTCATGGCTGCTTTTGTACTGCAATGGCAGAGTTTAGTAGTCACAACAGAGGCCACATGGCTTGCAAAGCCTGAAATATTTGCTATCTGGTCCTTTACAGATAAAGTTTATCAACTCCTACTCTAGAATATAAGTGATATAAGATCAGGGACCTTGTCTTTCTTATCTATAGCTATCTTCCCAGAATTTAGAACAATGCCTGGCATACAGTAGGCACTAGTAATTATTTATTGAGTGAATGAACGATGAATGAATGAACACATATAAACTTGCTGTGCCTGAAAACTTACTATCGCACCATGCAGCCCATTACATTTTGGAACAGTCTAACAAAATATTGTGCCTTATAGAAGTTGAAATGTGTCTTCCTGTAATTTCCACCCAAGATCTGTTATGTACTTCTTTGCTACTTATAAAAATCCAATCCGTCTTCCACCTGCAACTTCTTCAAGTGTTTGAAGATGATTCTCATGTTCCCTCAATTGCCATTCCTTGACATTCTCAGGGAACATGAGAATCATCCCTTTAGACCAAATCCACTAAAGAGTGTCTTGTAACTCTCCTTCCCACGATGTGGTTTTTGAGTTCCTTAGAACATCGATGGCCTCTACTGAAGATTAATAATCCACAAATCGCTTGTTTGTTTTTAAAAACCTAGCTATGAGACTAGGAACAAAAGGTTAGTGCAGCAGGAATCTGCCAACATGCTACTTTGTCATTGGAACACATATGGCAACATTGAGAATTATTCTTCTTTAAATGACCAATAAATGAAATGAGTTCCACATGGTGAAAAGTATTCTCATTACATGAAGAGTAGGCCACACATTATTAAGTTCTATTAATCTCACTTTTATTATTTTTATACTGGATAGGTCTCTCTAAACTTTGGAGAGATATAAAGTTATTCTCAAGTAACTAAATTTTTATTTTATTTATGTATTTATTTTTTTGAGATGGAGCTTCACTCTTGTTGCTTAGCCTGGAGTGTAATGGCACCATCTCGGCTCACCACCCACTCCGCCTCGCGGGTTCAAGCGATTCTCCTGCCTCAGCCTCCCGAGTAGCTGGGATTACAGGCATGTGCCACCATGTCCGGCTGATTTTTGTATTTTTAGTAGAGATGGGGTTTCTCCATGTTGGTCAGGCTGGTCTCGAACTCCCAACCTCAGGTGATCCACCTGCCTCAGCCTCCCAAAGTGCTGGGATTACAGGTGTGAGCCACCATGCCCAGCCAATAACTAAATTTTTTAAAGCAAATGTGCTACTTTAACAAGTTTGTTTATTAAGAAAATTTGTTTGTCCAAGTAATAAGTGACAACCAGCAAATTTAGTATACCTTTCATTTTCTCATTGGCATTTATATGTACAAGTGCTATTTCTGAAAAAGCATTATATAACCCTGTGATTGCCTTGATTTTGGACCCAGTCTTTGGAAACATTCAGCCTATTTTTAGTAGCATTCCAGACCCTATAGCTACATTCAGTGATTTACTTCCCCATTTATGTTATTCTTCTGAACTTCTCTCCCCTGAGGTTCTCCTATGACTGAAGAACAATGTTAAGCTACTGTGTTCTGTTCTATTACAGTGAACTGAGACAGATAATAGCATTCCTAACCTAATGAGACATGCCTAATATAATTTGGCTGTTCATCAATGTATCTTTTACAACAGATGGACCACTGTGCAATATAATTAACCAAGACACATTGAAAAGCATAAATATTACTCTCTTACCTGGAGAGTTAGATGGAATTGCAGGAGGTTATTTGAATTTAATGGAATCTAATGGCATTCCAGCTGTAGTCCTTGGGTCCCCAGTGAACATAGATTCTCATGGTAGCACTGAGTTTGATTCTAGTTACAGGATAAGATGCTCTAGTGTTTGGCAGGTTCTCATCCCGTACAGGGAGACAAGCAAGAGGGTAAAGAGAGTTTACTCCAAATGACTCTAATCTTGGACACTCACTAACCAGAGCTCAAATGCAAAAGAATGTTGGACTAGAAGTTACTTTCCCATGTCTCTTTTTTAAAAACAATTTTCAAAGACCCTAGAAAATCAAATAGTGACTTAAGGTTTCAGAAATTTTCAAGCCTACTAGCGGAGTGATGTGGCAGAATGAACACAGACTTGAGATTGAGAAACACTTGGAGCTGAACCTTGCTCTACCTCTTGCCAGCTATGTGTACGGGGCAAGGTTCTGCATTAGGGTTTCAGCTTCTTCATTTGTAATATGGAACCACCTATCTAGATGGCTACTGTGAGGATGAAGTGATGCAAACAGGTAAGACATCTGATATATAACAGGCCCCCGACCGATGTTAGTTGCCTTCATTGCCAACAAATGTGGAATGATCCCCCTCCTCTGAGTTCCATAGAGAATGAGAATAAAGAGTAGGAAGGGGTTTCTCAGCTTGTAAAACTTTCAATGCTAACATCCTGGCAAACCAGGACACATTGTTCAAAGGGCTACATTTGATAAACTATCCCAAGTGTTCAATATGTGGCTGTTATCTCCTTCCTAATATCCTGAATAGCGTTTTCTATTGTTTCAGGGAGTAGGGTTGAAAAACAGGTATTCGTGATGTAAATAATTTGTTTTTTCAATCACATAATTGAAGACTGTTAACTGGCTTTACAGCAGTGATTTTCAATGGGGAGTGCAGTTTTGCCCCTCCCAAGAGACTTTTAGTAATTCCGGAAAGATTTTTGGTTATCATAACCAGGGAGTGGGAGAGGGTTCTTCTGGCATCTAGTGAGTAGTGGCCAAGAATGCTGCAAAATATCCTACAATGCACCAGCCAGTACCTCCTCTCTCCCATAAGAAAGAATTAGCCAGCACAAAATGTCAGTAGTGCTGAGGTTAAGAAACCCTATTTCTAGAGGCTAATACCTATTTTCCTTAAATCTGTTCTTAAATATATGTTTGAATAGCTCATAGAAAAAAAAAACTAACAGCATACCTGTCCTCTCTCCCTCATTAGTACCTAATTTTTGTACAGTTCAATTATACAATAATGATAATTGTGTAATGCTTTAGAAATTTACAAGTTGTTTTCACATGATAGCTCAGCCCTGAGAATAACATTATAAGGCATTTATTTATAATACCCATTTTATAGAAATAGAGACAACCCTAGATCGTACATTAGGAGCAAAACCAATGCTCAATCCAAAACCTTTTAATACTGCATGTCATGCTTTCCTCTGCCTCCTGCTCCAGCTGGCCTCATTCTGTTTCATGCTATTCTCAGCAGAAAGAATCTGACCACCTAAGTCCCACAAGGCAATGGATCTCAACTGAGGGGATACGTGAGAATCACTGGGAGATTTTAAAATATAAATTAAAGGCCTATCAAATCGATTATATCTGAATCTCTAAGGATAGGGCCAAGACACGTATATTTTCCAAAAATCTCCTTCTGGCCTGCCCTCTGCTTCAGAGCACAAATCAAGTAATAGCAATGACCTTTCCAGAGGATCTTGATGTTAACATTTCTCAACCCAAAGAAATGGATCTTTAATGGCATCCTGGGCATCAGAGCAAGTTTTGAGTGTGTTAGGAATAGTTTTCTGCTAGTGAAGCTTCTTAACTACTAAAAAATGATGACATTTTCACCTGTTTTTAAGACCTTTTAAATTCTAGGTGAAAGTAATTTTTTAAATCAGGCCACATTTGTTGTTTTCTTCTGTATACTTTCTATGTCTGTCACACACATTATATGCAATAGATTTCATAACAAGAAACATAATACATTAAAAAGCAAGATGCTTGAAAAAAAAAGCCCATTAAAGACTCAACTGGTGTGGAAAATAACAAGATCTTTATCATACAGCTTCTATATCTGGACTTCAGTTTATTCCAGTACCTCCTGCCATTTCTCAACCTTGTTTGCATTCCTAACTCACAAGTGGCTTTCTAACTGGTCTCCTTTTTACCACAATCCCCATGATGGTCCATTTTAGGCTTGTAATGATCTTTACAGATACTTATGCAAGTGCATTGCTATGCAGCATTCTCTCTGTGGGCAGCATGGGCACCACTTAGACACCCGTTAGAAATGCAAAATCTACATTTTAACAAGATCCACAGGTAATGCACATTCAAGTTAGAAGTGCACTGTTCTAGTGAGTTTTCCCTTCTCAGGGGTGGGACACCCCTGAGAGGTTTCCTCAACCAACTCATACTAATATAGCTCAACACTATAGCAATTCTCTAAAACAGTGGTTCCCAAACTGTGGTCTCCAAACCAGCAACATCAACATCACCTAGGAACTCATTAGAAATTCATATTTCCAGGCCTATTTCAGACATACTGAATCAAAAATGTTGGGGGTGGGCCCAGCAATCTGTGTTTTAACAAGCCCTTCAAGTTATTGGTGCACACTAAAATTTAAAAACCATGTTTTCTGAGTCATGAGTTATCAACCCTAACTTCATATTGAAATAATCTGGGGAGCTTTTTGCAAACACCAATACCTGCACCCAACCTCAGGCAAACGAAATCAGAGTTTGAACCAATACATTGGCAGGTGATTCTAATGTGTCATAACTGGGGTTGTGAGGAAATGTGAGTATGGTTGATAAAATATCACGGGTCTAAGCCAATGTTTCTCAAGTTTGACTGATTAGAGGGAGATGAAAGATACCCCAGCCTCACCCTCCTCAGCGCCAATTTGTCTGGGGTGGTCACTAGGGATATATTTTGCAATGTTTCTCACGTGATTCTAGTGGGCAGCGAGCATAGAAAAGCACTTGTCAAATGGCATCCTCTTTTTATAGAGGAGGAGTGATATGCTTTGGCTGTGTCCCCACCCAAATCTCATCTTGAATTGTAGCTCCCATAATTCCCACGTGTCATGGGAGGAACCTGGTGGGAGGCGATTGAATCATGGGGGTGGGTCTTTCCCATGCTGTTCTCGTGATAGTGAATAAGTATCACGAGATCTGATGGTTTTATAAAGAGTTCCTCCCTACACAAGTGCTCTCTTGCCTGCCACCGCATGACTTTGCTCCTCGTTTACCTTCAGCCATGATTGTGAGGCCTCCCCAGCCATGTGGAACTGTAAGTAAATTAAACCTCTTTCCTTTATAAATTACCCAGTCTCAGGTATTTCTTTATTAGCAGCATGAGAACAGACTAATACAAGGAGTATGAGATTTAGAGGTTCAGTGGTTTATTGACTTCAGTTTATAAGAAAGTCCTCAAGAGTGTCAGGAGTAGAACTCCCAAATCCTAATTCCTAACCAATGCTCTCATTCATCTACATAATTTCTTCATCCTCTGTGTGAAACATAGCTTAGCATCTGCCTTCAAATGGATTTCATTTCCCCCCCAATGTTAAAGGTCTATAAGAAATTTGATTTTTATCCTCCAAAGACCTAAGTACTCTGACCAAGACATTTTAGGGTAAAAGATATGACTCATGCCCTTTTAAAGAATGAATATTGGCCAGGTGTGGTGGCTCACAGTTGTAATCCCAGCACTTTAGAAGGCCGAGGCAGGCGGACCACTTGAAACCAGCCTGGCCGACATGGTGAAACCCCATCTCTACTAAAAGTACAAAAATTAGGTGGGCATCGTGGTGCTTACCTGTAGTCCCAGCTAATCAGGAGACTGAGGCAGGAGAACCTTTTGAACCTGGGAGGCAGAGGTTGCAGTGAGCCAAGATTGCACCACTGCACTCTGGCATGGGTGACAGAGACAGACTCCATCTCAAAAAAATAATAAAATAATGAGTATTAATTTGGCAGACTATATTTTCCAAAATACCTCCTACCCCACTTATTTTTCTATGATGTGAACTCGTCTCTCCCCCATCAAAAGATGTATTATAATTACTGCCCCCCACCCCCTTGAATCTGGGCTAGATTTGGTGATTTGTTTGACCAGTAGACTATGGTGGAAATAACGTTCTTGGACTTGCAAGTCCAATTCATAAAAAGTCGCAGCTTCTGCCTGGGCCTCGTTGAATACTTGTTTTCTTTTTTTAAAATTACTGGATTTAATTGACATTTATAAAATACTTAACAACAAGCACAAGACACATTTTCTCAAACTCACATGAAATATTAAGCCAGACACAGAAGGATAAATATAGATGCTACCAGTTATCTGAGGAACCCTTGTGCTTGAGACACTCCCTCTCGGATCCCAGCTGCCATGCAGATAGAAACCCAAGATACCACGGAGAGACTGTATAGAAACTCTGGCCCACAACCCCAGCTGGGTTCCCAGATAATAGCCAGCATCAACACAACTCTGAGTGAGCCATCTTAGGCCACCAGCCCAGAAGAGTCTTCAGATGACTGCAGCCTCAGCTATCTGACTGCAACTGCATGAAAGATCCCAAGAAGAAACTATTTCACTCAACCCAGTTCATCTATAGAACTAAGAGAAATTATGGCCCCTAGCTTTTAGAGAAGTTTGTTGAGCAGCAATACATACCTGGAACAATAAGATACCAGAAAATAACTCCAAGTGGAAGAAATGTGTTATCAGTAAGTTAACAGTAAATAAGACTTAATTGAAATAGGATAGGATAGGGAGGGTTAGAAAAGATCAGGAGCACATAAAAATAAATAAAAATATTTAAGGAATATCAGAAGTATATTCTCTCTTTAGAGAACCAATGCGGTATCGTCATTATACATTTCAAAAGTAGAGTTTGAATGCACAAAAAATATATAAAATTAGTCTGTAAAATGCTTTCACTGATAGTAATTGTCTGGAATTACCATAAAGTCAGAAATGTAAAGATTAAAGAGATGTTAAGAATGACATGGAAAAAATATTTTTTAGATAAAATTGTAAGTAGATAAATTAATATTTTCTAGTCCTATAGAACTCTACTTACTTTGGAATCTTAGGAATGAATCCTTATTGTGACCATAAATATTACACCAAAAAATGAGGACTATGAGCTCCCTTCGGTGATGATTTCTAGGGTTTCTTGGATGGCAGTGATTTCTAATGTTTTCTAGATGGACAGGTAAACAAGAACATTTCCGAATTTCAGTTCTTCACTCTGCCAGAGAAGTGCGGCACTATATCAGAAACTCAAGCTGTGACCCCTCCCTTTCATATTTAGTATTCTTTCAACAAAAATAATGATTCTGAAATTGGATTTGGACGACAATTTCTTTTGAATCAAAACACACAATAAAGAATAATGCACAGATTATTCTCGCCCCAGTTTTTATCGCAACACACTGATTGTGCAGTGGTTTTCACCATCAAAATATGTTTTTATTAGCATTAAAGCTAACTTGCAGGACACATGGAGTGTAATTGAATGTTGTTTTAAGGTGCTATTTCGTGATCAAACTCCTGTCTTCTACTTCTTGAATAATTTTGCCTTTGCTCATCTTTGACTGTTGAATTTAGGTGATTAAAGTTCAGTCACAAGGAAACTAAGGTCAGGAGTTGGTCCCCTGGTTATAACTGTTACCTTTGCTTCCTTTGATAACCATACTCGTTGAGCCATCTTGTAGGCATATCCCGTTTACCAAAAGAAGAAAACTAGGAAAGACCATGAATCAGGGAAAAGCTATTTCAACTACTAAGAAATACAAAACACTGGTCTAGGTATGACAATGATTTAGCATAAAAGCTGCCACTCTCCCTTCTCCATGTATGTGAGGAATCAATAATCAATTGTGGCTTTCCTTTTCTGAGCCTAGGCACAGCCTCAGAATTCTTCTCAATTACTATCAGAGGAAACCTTTTTGTTATTCTTGTACTTACCATCTCGATAGTGCATCAGGCATATCATCTCTATATAGAGCTGGCTTCATCTTTATCACTGGCTTTCTAAATTTGGTGGTCGGAAGTAGAAGAGAATCACCCAACTGACTATACACTGTGAAGCTAGATATTTTATAGAAAGCATTTTTGCATTCTGCACCATAACTTTCTCTTTAAAAACTGCAAACACTCATGGTATCATAAAGTGTGTGATCTGAATCCTATGGTGATTGTTAAAAAAATCACTTCTCATAGCAAGCATCAGAAGTGTGCCTAATTCTTGGAATTTTTTTCAATTCTCACACAAAAAGGATTTCTAGAAAATATCTTAGTCCATTAAACAATAACAAATGTTGTTTAGATATATCTATTAATTGGTACTGTACCATCTAGAACTTCCATAGCAATAGTCAGGGATAACTTTTCAAGCACTGAGTCATACAGAGGACTTCACTAAACTCACACTAGGGTCAGCCCAAAACCTCAGGTGGGTAAACAGCTATCTTCAAAATTGGTTTGATTAAATAAATCAATATAAGGCAGAAAGTAGTAAATGCTTTTTCAGTTATTTTCAAGTTATTGAAAATAGTCAATGACTACTTTACTAGTCATTGTAGAGAATGAGGTACTAACGTGGGTCTTTCCCAAAGAATTTTGTCATAAATTGAAAATATGTCTTGAAAAGTTAAACAATTATCTAAGGCAGCATGGGGATAAATAAAAGACTGGTTCAAGCCAGGAAACCCCAATTACTTTTCACATAGAAGATTTTTACTTTCCCAAAATCTCAAGAGAAGCCAAGAATGATAAAGCCTGGTCCTGGTGACCTACAAGGCTGACTTGTTTTCAAATTTACTATCTAGGTGAACTTGGGCAAGTGTGGGATCACTGAACATCTCTAAGCATTGGTTTTCTCATCTGTAAAATGAGATAATATACTAACAACCACCTCATATGACTATTAAAAAGATTAAATAAGATAATATATAGAAAAAGCCTGGCATGGTGCCTAGCATACAGTAGGTGCTCAAATGCTCATTATCACCCTATCATTGTGCTGCTGGACACCCGAGCAAACTACAGAAGTTGAAATGGGAAGGCCATAGAGGATGATATACAGTTGACCTTTGAACCACACAAAGGTTAGGGGTACTGACCCCCACAAACTCAAAAATCTGTGTATAAATTTTGGCTCCCCCAAACTTAATTACTAATAGCCCACTGTTGACAGGAAGCCTTACCAATAATGTGAACAGTCAATTAACACATATTTTGCATATTATATATGATATACTGTATTCTTACAATAAAGTAAGCTAGAGAAAAGAAAACGTTATTTAAAAATAATAGAAAGTGCTTCCTATTCATTAAGTGCAAGTGGATCATCATAAAGGTCTTCACCCTCATCTTCAGGTTGAGTAGACTGAGGAGGAAGAGGCAGAAGAGGGGTTGATCTTGCTGTCTCGGGTGGAAGGGGTGGAGGAGGTGAAAGGGGAGGCAGGACAGGCAGGCACATTCAGTGTAACTTTCATTTTTAAAAATTCATGTATAATCCAGCCTGGGCAACATAGGGAGACCCCTATCTCTACTCTAAAAAGAAAAAAAAAATACAAAAAATTAGCTGGGCATGGTGGTGTGTGCCTATAGTCCCAGCTACTTGGGAGGTTGAGGAGTGAGGATTGCTTAAGCCCAGGAAGTCAAGGCTGCAGTGAGCCATGATTGTACCACTGCACTCCAACCTGGGTGACAGAGTGAGATCCTCTTTCAAAAGAAAAAAATTGTGCAAGTGGAACTACACAATTCAAACCTATATTGTTCAGTGGTCAACTGTAGTTACAACTGTGACTGATTTGGAAGTTCCCCAGGTAATGGACCTCTCCGTTGTTTGATAACCCTTTATAAACAGCCAATTCCACAAATTCAGACAAATATGAGCTGCAGTAATCAATGGCATTATGCCAAAAGTAGTACTTTAATTGTGCCTTGGCTACCATGTAGATATTGGACAGGTGGAGAAAGAGATATAAACAAGAATACTGAGGGGCACGATGTGTCTGATAAAGAAGCCAATTAAAGTGGACAGGACTACGGCACTGTGGAAAACCACATTACAGCAGGCTCTGGATGGGCAGCTCCACAAAGTGGAGACTGACCCAGCCACTCCACATCATGAAGCTTCTGGTTCACTCAAATTGGGTGGTACATTTCCTCTCTCCCACTGCCATTTAGTGTACATGGCTTTATTGGTTTTGTTAAAAAAAAAAATTTATATAGTTAACATTTCCCATTGTTGTCTTCATAGGGGAGTGTCATGTTCTTGGAACTAAAGGTGATTTCTTTTAAAGAATGCAAGAAAAAATGCCCATATCTTTTAACTTGGATAAAAAGTGAAGGACCTTTCTGTTGCATACACCATGAGAAAAAATACCAAACTCCGCAACTTCGTTTTGTGTAGTGCATCGATATTCTTCAAATTGAACCTACTTAGCACATTTTCTCCATGAAAACCCATTCTGAGGGCTTCACCAGTCTGATACCAGCATTAACCTCATAAAGTTCAGCACTAGTAGAGTAAAGTGAATCAGGGCAAATAAGTCAATACAGGGCAAAACACGCCAAACACACTTTTTTCCTTAGTGAAATAAGAATGTGAGAACTATATTGTTTTTACTCTGTGCTAAGTACAGTGCTAGTGCTTTATAGTCTTCGTTTCATTTAGTTCTAGCAATCCTATGTAAGAGCTATTAATAACCCCATTTGATAGAGGCAAAAAATGAGGCTGAGAATGCAGAAGCAACCTGCCCAAGGTCACAAAGCTATCAAGTCAATGATGGATCCCCCACCATGTTACTTAAGGGTGTATGTCCACTGCTTGAACCCTGAAGGCCAGGCGGTGAGCCAAGGCCATGGTGCCCAGCAGAGGAGCAGGTGTCCCTGAGAAACTCAACATCCTGGAGCACAGCTTGGAACATTCCTAGGAAAACATTCTCATTGCACATATGCAGTAATCAAAGAGCCAGAAAATTAGCTTCAAAGCAACTTAGAGATGGGAGGTGGGGAAGATGGCTGGAGCTGTCTTGCTGCTGCCCAGGAATTCTCTGTAAGTGAGTGAGCTCATCCACTCTTCAAGCTGGACTTGTCTGAGTCATTCTTTGCACTATCAGCTCCTTCCCAGTTTGGGGGGACATTACAATCTCAGGTTTTTCTCATAACAGTAAAGGAGCCAGTACTTGATGCTGGGTCTATTTGATGCCAAAGCCACCATGCTATACTGCTTCCCAAAGGGCATACATAGGAACCAGTGGCCAAACTGTGATGAACACCTCCTGTACAAATCAGAATTCTTAAGAAAAACAGTCTCAAGGAGAGAGTAGTCAATTGTTCATATTAATAGAAACAATAGAGGATAATCTCGATCTACATAGGCTAATTTAAAACAGTCACTTGTATTCCCTTGTTGAGAAAACAAATGTTGTGAATAATTAATGCTTGCAGAACTCAAGAATCAACTTTAGAAATATGCCAAAAAGCTATTGTTAATGTAGCCCTTAGTAAATAGACATGGTTTACCAGATACTCATTTGACCATTTAGATTTTGTAATACATTGCTCACCCACTTTGGCTCTATCCCCAGCAAAGTATCTGCTCTAAAGCATGAAGCACTCTTGCTACAGGGAAACTCCAGATTTTTGTTTTCCTAGAGAAACTATTACTGTGCTAATTTCATGTTCATGTTTTCTTCAGGCAATTCCTGAGTGTATTTCTTTCAAAGAAGAAAAATCTAAAGCTTTCTCTGAAATTTCTTGGTTTTTATGGACAAAATCCTGTGGTTAAGAAGAAAAATAGTCTATAAAGCCTATATGCATTGAATTTAACTAGTTTGGTGGTTTATGTGAGTGATATTTTTAGTCCTGCCTTCAAAAAAGTACATCCTTAATTGGCTACCATTGTCTTTCTCTATATGAGCAAATGTTTCTAATTGTAAGTGTTCAAGCTCTGTCTTTGGTAGCATTATGTAGTGCTTAGGGTGGAGTTTTAGAATTAGAGGGTCTGGGACATGATTCCCGGCTGGATCACTTACCCATGAGACTTAGAGCAAAGTGCTTAAGCCTCACATTCTTATAAGTGTGTGAACATTTGTGTGTGCGTGTGTGTGAGAGAGAGAAAAGCGGAGTGTATAATTTTACATGCAGTAAGCATGCAATAAATGGAAGCTATTAATGTTAACACTAGTTTATGTGGGATTTGCCCTTCAAAGATTATTTACATTTGTGAGTTCCCTGATGAATTTCATAAGATACCTTTATAATAAAGTTAGTAATATCCAGTGTCTATCTTCCATTCTTTGTAAACAGGGTGACAAGAGGGATTTTTCCTTTTGCCCAAAATTGCAACTAAGGCCCAAGGTGGTACACTATAATCGAGGTTCAGAGAGATTCCGGTAGTCACCAAATCTTGGAGACGGCCAATCACCTTCCCTCAGGGATCACTGAATGGTGCCCTATCACCAGCTACCCCTCATCACCAACACAGCCATATAAAAAGAGGAGAGGTATGGGTGGTAGCCTTCTGGGAAGTTCTGTACTTCTCTCAATTAGCATAAGAAACATACTTGAGTTTTCCTGGGATTGAGTAGACACCCAAAAAAAAGTTGATGGATTTGATATGCCTTCTAAGTTCCCTTATTAGCCTCCCAGGCAGTCGGGAAGCAATCTCCTTCAGTAGAGGCTGAAGTAAGGCTGTAGGAGCAGCAGAGATGGAGCCAGATCTCCCACAGGGCCAGCTACGTGACTTGCAGCCTGGCACAAAAAGAAAATGCAGGGGTGGGAAATGTCAATGTCCCCTTCCCATGTGCTTTCTTGGCTCCAACCCAAACCTGAGGAACAACCACCAAAGGATTGCAAGCTCTGCACAGAGATGCACTGGGTGCCTGGATGGGAGCAGGTATTGGGAGCCAAGAGGCCCCTGCTGAATCACCCACCGAAGGCACAAGGCACCTCTTTGCTTTACTCCACCCAGACGCTCCCTGTGTCTGAGGTCAGGAGATGGTAGAGCTTTAGTCTTCCCCCTCACCACCACCATGCCATTCCCTCATGGCCTTGGGCAAATGTTTGGAGCAGTAGCCAGGCAGGTGCCAAGAGAGGGAGGCAAGGCAGAGCCCCAGGAAACAGGGAATGGGGAACAAGGTGACTTTGCCCAGGGAGGCAGGGAAGTTACAAATACAGGGCCACACATGAGCTGAGGCTCCAAGCTACCCACCCATGCTCTGTTGTCCTGCTGGACTTCACTTACAAAACATGAACTTAAAGGTAAAATTAAGAATTTTAGGATGGCAACTGCAGACCATTAAACTTCAAGAGGGATGGGAAGAATTCTGAACTTGAGGCCCTGTGTCCCTAGGTTCCCACAGTTCCCATACCAATGAAGCCAGCCCTTTCTCATGTCAGGGAACTTCACAGGCGGAAGCCTTTTGGGACCCTTCACAGTACTCCGAGATGCCTGCCATGATAGAGTCAACATTTGGACAGGCGTTTCAGAAATGTGATCAATAGCAAATCAGTAGTAACCAGGAAAACTGTCTGCCATTCGGGGAGAAGACTGCAACCCTGTCCAGAGGAGTAAGAGATATTTCCTCTTTTTGCTCTTCTCCCTGACCCAAGAACTGGAAGAGCTAGCCCTCAAAAAGGGAGGAGGGATAAGTTTGTAATGAGACAACCCCCTCACCACCAATTAAAGCCAGTGGCAGGTTTGGTCTTTATTAGTGGAAAGGAAGGAGAGCTCTGAGTTAAGTTGAGATTGAAATTTTAAACTGCATAGGGTTAAAATTACTTTTTTAAACATCACTGCAACTTACAAAATCTGGCCAACTTGTAATTAAAGGAACTGCTCCCCACTGGAAAGTGGGTTCAACATGGCCCAGTTAGAAAGCAGTTATTGGGGAACAAAAGGCATTTTGTGGTTGTGCCCTAAGGAGTGAGATGTTTCAATAAATTGGCAACATGAACTTGGTCACAGTGGCCCAGCTGGACTCACACAATATGCACACTCCCGCACAGGTGAGGCATGTGCAACCTCAGGGCCTTCTAGACCCAATGAGTGAAGAAGAGGAGAGAAGGTGATCTTTGTTGCTGTCAACACCTGCGTGGCCCATAGCAGAAGGGTCAAAGAGCACACAGCAGCAAAAGGACTAGGACGTTGAAAGTACCTAGGTAATTGAGAACAAGGGCAACTATCATCAACCTAAGTTACATACTCCAGATGGTGTTTGAGGTCAAAGTCAGAAGCTTAGAGTAAATCTGTAAGTCAACTACTGAGCATCTACCAATGGGGAGGCCAAGAAAAATAAAACATACTCCATTCCCTCCAAGTTAAGACCCTATATATAGATGCATAATGTATCACCCAGCTCCTATTACCAGCTAAAAGTACAATTAAAAATAGGGAAAGAAAGAAATTAGCAAAGACTGCAATAATCAGTGGAGGATCCATAGAAAAGAGAGGACTTCAACACACAGGCTTTGTTTCGACAGAAGAAAAAAGCAGGGTGGTCCAGGCAATCAGGACAGCATAGGCAAGAACTCATTAGTATTGAGTGTGAAATGCAGCCTCAATGACACAGAAGATAAAAGCAGGAAAACAGACAGGTGCAGTATAAGCCTGGATAGATGGGGGAGTGCTTACAAAGCCTGTAAAGGAGAGAAACACCCTACGCACTGTCCAAATGCTTTTTATAAACTATCTCATTTAATTCTTATAAAAATTCTAGAAGTAGTTTTGAAGTCACCAAGACAACTCTCAGATTTAATCACACATTTCCCACTTTCTTAGCTTAAACTATTTGGTGTAGCCCAAGGGCTTAGATAAACAAAAACATTCTTAACAGGCAGTATATTCTAGAAGCTTAGAGGTTATCTCCCAGGAGTAGAGTAAGGACTAAACCTTTCTTTGGAATGTGCAGGATTTAGACTGTGCAGACCTGCTGGATTAACCCTTTACCACACAAGTAGACACTATTTTATAGTTGAGGAAACTGAGACTGCAAGGTCAGGTTACTTTTCAACATCTTATAGATGGTATACCCAAGGTTTGAATCTGCATTTGTTTGAATCCAAAATCTGTACTTTCCACAATAACACATGACCACCTCTAGAGAGGGTCCTGAAAGCTAAACTGGTGATTAAACAGGTCTGAAAAAATTAGGTCAAATATCTAAAGCAAGGAAATGGCATATGGAAATTAGTGTTCTAGAATCTCAGAATTACCTTTCAATATTAAGGGGGAAAAATGATTTGTATAAGGGAAGAGACAGATACCAGCCCAGAGATATTTGCAGTAATCCAAGTATAATATAATAAGCTAATAGAATACGAATATAGAGGAAGATATCTGAGATATTTACAAAAAAAATTACCGGACTTTGTCAAAGACTAGATATTGGGAAGAAAAAGAAGGGAGAGTAGAAGATTATACCAGAATGTCTCATGATATTTACTACCTTTTTTTTTTTTTTTTTGAGATGGAGTCTTGCCTTGTCACCCAGGCTGGAGCGCAGTGACGTGATCTTGGCTCACTGCAACCTCCGCCTCCCAGGTTCAAGCAACTCTCCTGCCTCAGCCTCCCAAGTAGCGGGGACTACAGGTGCGCACCACCACACCCGGCTAATTTTTGTATTTTTAGTAGAGATTGGGCTTCACCATGCTGGCCAGGTTGGTCTTGAACTCCACAATTCCTGATCTGCCCACCTCGACCTCCCAAAGTGTTGGGATTACAGGCATGAGCCACTGTGCCTAGTGATATTTACTACTCTTAATTGTTTGTTTTACATCTGAGAGCTTCTTTAATCTTCATGATGATGTTGTAAGGTTGGAATTATTGTTCCATCTTCAAAGGTAAGGAAACTGAGACTTGAAGTTAAGCAACTTGCAAGGGTCTTAAAGCTAGCAATCCAACCCAGTTCTGCTCATCAGAAAGGCCATACGCATCTCTAATTATTGTATGCCCTTCCTTGGCAGGTTGGAAAAATGTTAATAATGCCTTTGTCAAAGAAGAGGGAGAAACTAAGAAAAAAGTTCAATTGGTTTCTCTTGGAACATGCTAAATTTGCGATTAACAAAGTAGCAGATACTTGGAGATACTTAGCATGAACTAATTGACCTGACATTTTTATTAAATCTAAGGTTCTATAGGTTGGTGCAAAAGCAATTGCAGTTTGGTCATTCCTTTTATGGCAAAAACCACAATTACTTTTGCACCAGCCTAATACGAATGGAAGAGATAGGTTATATTTCACATTTTAAAATGTGAAACATTTGAGAGCTAGATTATTTGGTTAAATTTTATATCTCAATAGACTCTGTTAAATCTAGATTTCTGATAATATTCATCCAAGTAGTTATATCACATAGCAGTCTCATTATCCTAAAACTAGAAGAGGAACAAATATATTTTGACATGGCACCTGAAAAAAATGAGAATTACATAGTCATAAAAATTGAATCAATATTTCTTATGAACTTTTATATCTACATTTTTTCAACAGCATGTTCAGCCCTTTATGAAATAGCCTTTGGAAATTTAAATCTATTTATTCTGATGAGCTTTTCTGACAGATGCAACTTTTATTTTTGCATTGAAGTGTGTTTGTTTTGGGATGTTGTTGTGGTTATTGTTAGTTGCAATTTTTAGTAGATGTAAGGTCATGCTCTTCCTTTGTAATATCCTGATTACTAATTCCCTCTTTGATTTAGTGAGAATAAAATAAATATTGTTTAAATCATTTAAACATACAATAATAAGAATTAAATACATATTAACATAATACAGATAATTCATATAAAGATTTGATATAAAGGAAAATATACTGTCTCTTGTTAAAGAAAAAGTCTATTTAATTTCATGCATATAATTTAACTGTCTTCAGGATTCCAAGTAATTTCAGTGGTTTCTGAAAACATTTTCTCTGGTTCATGTCAATTAGAAAATAAGAAAGACAATGCAAAATTTTTATTCCTAGATTTTTAAATTCTTAATGCTTTTTTGGTTTGTTTTAAAATGGCTTTAATTTTATAAATCACTTTTTAATTCAACGAGTACTTATTATTTGTTGCTTGATTATGTGCTGATATTTTCTAAGCTCCAGTGATACCAGGATAACAAAAAACAAGCCTGTCATAAAGAAGCTAGCACTCAAATGATAGCAACAGAAAATCGTAGTTGTCACTCTCATTAACATTCTCCCCCTCCATGTATACATATGTAACAAAACTGCATGTTGTGCACACGTACCCTAAAACTTAAAGTATAATTAAAAAAAACATTCTCCACCTCCATGTATACGTATGTAACAAACACGCACGTTGTGCACATGTACCCTAAAACTTAAAGTATAATAATAATAAAAAAAAAATTCTCCCCGTCTTCTCTCTTCCCAACCCATTTTAGGGTAAGGACAGTCTTACTAATCTGTGTTTCTTTAACACTCAGTGAAAAACTGGCCCCAAAATGCTTATTACTGCAGACTGTACTACCTAATCCTCCTAGCCAGAGATCAAATTGGCAAAAAGTTTTAAAGTTCTGCAGAAGCAAGATCTCTCTAGTGAGATTTTCTCTCAAGAGGTGAAGACACAAAGGTTAGATGGAGGACTTGAGCAGGCGCTATTGAGCTGGTAGGTACACCTGAAGGTATGGTGCCAGGCAGGAGTAGAAAAAGGGGCAGAAAATGTGGGGATTCCTCATGCACAGTTCAGGAGATGGTGGTAGATATGGTCATTGCTACCCTTCTCCCAAAATAGGCAGTCTCAAGACTCAATTCTTGGCAAATGCAGCCACATTTGCATCCAAGTTTCCAGATTTTTTCCTCATATATCTCTGCTGATTTCAGAACTGAGGGTCTAAGAAGATACTGGCCTACAGATAGGCAAAATGGCCTACAGATAGGCTGACTTAGAATACCTGAGTCAGTCCAGAGAGGTGATCATGAGTTTAATGATGAGCTCTTGGATACAACACTATAAGCACAATCCATGAAAGACAAAATTGATAAGTTGGACTTTATTAAAACTGAAAATGTCTGCTGTGTGAGACACTTAAGATGGAAACACAAACCACAGCCTGAGAGAAAATATTTGCAAAATACCTATCTGACAAAGGTTTGGATCTAGTTATATCCAAACTGTACAAAGAACCCTTAAAACTCAACAATTAAAGGGAGGGGGGGAGCAAAAGATTTGAACAGACTCCTCACCAAAAAAGACATACAAATGGCAAATATGCCTCTAAAAAGATGGTCAACATCATTCGTCAAGATGGCCACTTGTCATTTTGTCTTGAAATTTAGAGAATTTCAAATTAACAATGATATATGGCTACACCTATTTAAATGACTACAATAGCTACTTGGGAGGCTGAGGTGGGAGGATCACTTGAGTCCAGGAATTGAATGTTGCAGTGAGCTGTGCTAACGCCGCTGCACCCAGCCTGGGTGACACAGCAAGATCCTGTTTCTAAAAGTAAATAATAATAAAATAAAACTGATAATAAATGCCAGCAAAAGTGCATAGCAACAGGGACTCACATTCATTGCTAATGAGACTACAAAATGGTGCAACCACTTTGTGCTTTTATTTATTAATTTTTATAAGTCCGAGGGGGACATGTACAGGTTTGTTACTTGGATATGTTGTGTAGTGGTGAGGTTTGGGCATCTAGTATGCCCATCACCTGAATAGTAAACATTGTATCCAGTAGGTAATTTTTTAACCCTCATCTCTCTCTCAATTTCCCCCTTTTAAAGTCCCCAGAGTCTAGTTTCTCCATCTTTATGTGCATGTGTAGCCTTTGTTTAGCTCTCACTTGTAAGTGAGAACATGCAGCATTTGATTTTGTTTTTGAGTTATTTCACTCAGGATAATGGCCTCAAGCTCCATCATGTTGCTGCAAAAGATGTGATTTCATTTTCTATGGCTGCATAGTTTTCCATGGTGTATATATACCACATTTTCTTTATACAATCCACCACTGATGAGCACTTAGGTTGATTTCATGACTTTACTATTGTGAATAGTGCTGTGCAAATGTACAAGTGCAGGTGTCTTTTTGATAGAATAATTTCTTTTTCTTTGGGTAGATAACCACGTGGAATTGCAGGGTGGAATGGTAGTTCTATTTTTAGTTCTTTGAGAAATCTCCATACTGTTTTCTAGAGGGGTTGTACTAATTTGCATTCTTACCAAGAGTATCAGTGTTCCCTTTTCTCCACATCTTCACCAATATCTGTTATTTTTTGACTTTTTAATAATAGCCCTTCTGACTGGTGTGAGATGATATCTCATTGTAGTTTTGATTTGCATTTCTCTGACAATTAGTGATGTTTTCATATAGCATTTCAGAGAGCATTTTTTTCATGTTTATTGGCCACTTGTATGTCTTCTTTTGAGAAATGTCTATTCATGTCATTTGCTCACATTTTAATGTTTTTTTTTTTTCTTGTTGACTTGTTTGAGTTTCTTATAGATTCTGGATATTAGTCCTTTGTCAGATTCATAGTTTGCAAATATTTCTCTCATTCTGTAGGTTATCTGTTTACTCGGTTGATTGTTTCTTTTGCTGTGCAGAAGCTCTTTAGTTTAGGTCCCATTTGTCTAGTTTTGGTTTGTTGCATTTGCTTTTGAGGTCTTAATCATAAATCATTTGCCTAGGCCAATGTTCAAAAGAGTTTATCCTGAGTTTTTTTTCTAGAATTTTTATAGTTTGAGGTCTTATGTTTAAGTCTTTAATCCATCTCAAGTTAATTTTTGTATATGGCGAAACATAGGTTTTAGCCATGGTTCCTGACTCATAGCTCCCATAGCCCGTATTACAGTCTTTTGTTATAATGCTGGGTGCGTTAGACTGCAACACCTTGGGGCAGGCCTCTGACCTTCTCCTGCCCTCCTTTCACTTGCCCCAAGGCAGGACTTTGCTCTTCCCCTACCGCTGTGATTGTGGGTCTCAAGACCCTCCCCAGAGAGGATCCCGCCCTGTACTCTGAGGGGAAGACATGCAGGTGTCATAAAGCTTCCAAAAAAACCTAAGAGAACTGGGTTCAGAGAGCTTCCAGGTAGCTGAACACATGGAGGATCCTGGAGGGTGGAGCCCAAGGAGAGCATGGAAGCTCCATTCTCCTTCCATAGCTTGCCATACACATCCACATCTCTTCATATGTACCCCTTGCAATATCCTTTATAACAAATCGACAAATGTTAAGTGTTTCCCTGAGTTCTGTGAGCCATTCCAGAAAATTAACCAAGCCCAAGGAGGGGGTCATAGAAACCCCAGCTTGAAGCCAGTCAGTCAGAAGTTCCAGAGGCCCAGACTTGTGCCTTGTGTCTGGAGGTTGGGAAGACAGTTTTGAGGACTGAGCCCTCAACCTTTGGGATCTGACACTATCTCCAGGTAGATAGTGTTGGAATCGAATTAGAGGACAACCAGCTGGTGTCCACTGCTTGGGTGTGTGTGAAAACCCACACACATTTGGTCACAGAAATCTTCTGTGTTGATTGTTCTGGCATGAGAGCAGAGAAAAAAACATGGTTTGAGAGAGTTTTACCCTACACAGGGGTCCACTTTCATTATTCATGTGGCTATCCAATTTTTCCAGCACCATTTATTGAATATGTGGTACTTTCTCCATTGTTTATTTTTCTCAACTTTGTTGAAGATCAGTTGGTTGCAGGCACATGACTTTGTTTCTGGGTTCTCTATTCTATTCCATTGAACTATGTGTCTATTTTTGTATCAGTACCATGCTGTTTTGGTTACTATAGCTTTGTAGTATACTTTAAAGGCAGGTAATGTGATGCCTCTGGCTTTGTTCTGTTTGCTTAGAATTGTTTTTGGTTATTCATGTTTTTTATTGGTTGCCTATTAATTTTAGGGTTTTTCTAATTCTGTGAAAAATTACATTGGTAATTTGATAGGAATTGCATTGAATCTATAGATTGCTTTGGGCAGTATGGCCATTTTAATGATATTGATTCTTCCAATCTATATGCATGGGATATTTTTCCATTTCTTTGTGTCATCTCTGACTTTTTTCATCAGTGTTATGTAATTCTCCTTGTAGAGGTCTTTCGCCTCCTTGGTTAAATGTATTCCTAAGTTATATGTATTCCTTTATTTTTATTTGTGGCTATTGTAAATGAGATTAAGTTTTTGATTTGGTTTTCATCTAGAATGTTGTTGATGTATAGAAATGCAACCAATTTTTGTACATTAATTTTGTATTCTAAAACTTAAGTCATTTATCAAGTCTAGTAGCCTTCTGGAGTAATCTTTAGGGTTTTCCAAGTACAAGATCATGTCATCAGCAGAGATAATTTGGCTTCCTATTTTACAATTTGGATGCTTTTTATTTCTTTTTCTTGCCTGATTGCTCTGGCTAGGACTTCCAGTAGCATGTTGAATAGAAGGGGTGAGAGTGGATATCCTGGTCTTCTTCCAGTTCTTAGGAGGAATACTTTCAACTTTTCCCAATTCAGTATGATGTTGGCTATGGATTTGTCATACATGACTCTTACTATTTTGAAGTGTGTTCCTTTGATGTTTGACATTTTTTTTTATCATGAAGGGATGTTCAACTTTATCAAGTGCTTTTTCTGCATCTATTGAGATGATTATGTTTTTGTTATTGTTTATATGGTGATTTTCATTTATTGCATATGTTGAATCATCTTTGCATCCCCAGAATAAAACTGACTTGATCATGATAAATTATCTTTTTTTTTTTTTTTTTTTTTTTTTTTTTTTGAGACAGGGTTTCACTCTTGTTTCCCAGGCTGGAGTGCAATGGCACAATCTCAGCTCACTGCAACGTCTGCCTCCCAGGTTCAAGTGATTCTCCTGCCTCAGCCTCCCTAGTAGCTGGGATTATAGGCATGCGCCACCATGCCCTGCTAATTTTGTATTTTTAGTAGAGACAGGGTTTCTCCATGTTGGTCAGGCTGGTCTTGAACTCCCAACCTCAGGTGATCCACCCGCCTTGGACTCCCAAAGGTATTATCTTTTTGATGTGCTGTCGAATTCAGTTTGCTAATATTTTGTTGAAGATTTTTGTATCTAAGTTCATCTGAGATATCACCCTCTAATTTCCCTTTTTTGTTGTTGTTGTGTCCTTGCCAGTTTCTGGTATGAGGATGATAGTGATTTTGTGGAATGAGTTAGGGAGGAATCCCTCCTCCTCAAGTTTTTGGAATAATTTTAGTAAGATTGATAACAGTTCTTCTCGGTACATCTGATAAAATTTGGCTGTGAATCTGTCTGGTCTTGGGCTGTTTTTTTCTTCGTAGATTTTTTATTACTGATTTGATTTCATTTCTTATTATTGGTCTGTTCGGAATTTCTTCTTGGTTCAATCTTTCACAGTTGTGTTTTCAGTAATTTATCCCTTTCCTCTAGTTTTCTAGTTTGTGTGCATGGAGATGGTTATAGTCATCTCTGATGATCTTTGCATTTCTGTGGCATCAATTGTAATGTCATCTTTATTATTTTTATTGTAATAATTTGAATCTTTTGTTTCTTTTTTCTTGAGTATTCTAGGTAGACTTCTATCAATTTTGTCATTTCAAGAAATAAACTTTTCATTTTGTTCGTTCTTTGTACAATATTTTTTGCCTCAATTTCATTTAGTTCTGCTCTGATATTTGATATTTCTTTTCCTCTACTAGCTTTGGGTTTAGTTTGCTCTTGTTTTTCTAGTTCCTTGAGGTGCCATGTCAGATTGTTAATTTGAGATCTTTCTAGTTTTCTGATGTAGGCATTTAACTCTATAAACTTTCTTCTTAGCATCACTTTTGCTGTATTCCTGAGGTTTTTGTATATTGTGTCTCTATTTTCATTCATTTAAAAAAGACTTTTTCATTTCTGCGTTAACTTTGTTGTTTACCCAAAAGTCATTCAAGAGCAATTTGTTTACTTCCCATGTGCATGTGTGGTTTTGAGAGTTCCTAATTTTATTCCACTGTGGTGCAAGCAAATACTTGATATGATTTTGATTTTTTTGAATTTATTGAGACTTGCCATGAACAAGCATATGGTTGATTTTGGAGAATTTTCCATATGCAGATAAGAAAAGTGTATATTCTGCAGTTTGGGGATGGAATGTTCAATAGAACATTTAAATAGGTAAAGCATGGGGTTTTTCATGGTGAGTATATGACATTATTCATTTGTCAAACCCTATAGAACTTTACAGAAGAAAGACTGAACTTTAATGCATGCAAATTAAAAATAATCATTTAGCAAGTTGGAAGATTCAGGAAGGAATACAGACTGTAACAAGAGAATCTGACTATATCAGAAATGTATGAAACATCCTCCATGAAGAAGGTAGCCAGAAAGGGTGCTGAATGAGATGGAAGCCATTCTTTTTAGAACTGCACATGTGCACTGTACAATAGTTGATAAAAGTATTTCCCATAAGGTATGGGCTAACAATTCAGACACCCCTATACGTGCATACTAAAACCGAACAATTAGGTGATGGAGGGTAGGTGACGATTTCTCACTGTTGGAGTGGGAATTTACAGATAAGCATGGCCAGAAGGCTACAGTGATCTATGAGGTAATTGAACAGTTAGACACATCTGTATGAGCTCATGTTTAACTTAATATAAATGTTTACATATGGAAATGTGTATGGATACCTGTATGTACATGGGTTAGTATACAAACATGTATCTCCTTGCTCTTTCAGTTGAGAAGGTCTAAAAGCAATAATACCAAGGTAACAACAAGCACAATGAACATGAAGGTCTTGTTTTCTAGTACTGTTCTCCAGGTAAAGAAATCAGGGTGCCTTGAAGAAATGTCTCATTCTAGAACTCAGGTGGGAATTACATAAAATGAGCTTGGAGCCTCTTATGGGGCTAGAAACTTAGGAAGTACTCAACAGAAAGAAAAAAAACAACCCTGCATAGACAGGAACATACAAGTTTAGGAATCAAATGGACACAGGAGCCAACTGAGAGAGTTCACTATGGCCAATGTTGAAACAACTTTAGCAACAAATTAAGCCCAACTAGAAATTAAATTTCCATAAGTCAATACAAAAATAAATAAACTACTTAATAAATAACTAGATGGGGGAGAAGAAACAAATCTTCCCTAAGGATAAGGAGCGTAAATCCCCACCTCTTCAGCGTGGGCTGTGCGGAGTGACTCACTTCCAAAGAGTGCTAGTGGAGAGGGGAGAAAACGTAACTTTACAGTGGAGAAAGCTAGCAAACACTACCTGAGCCAGGGGATTAAGGAGAACAGCAACAGTGATAAAGCATCTTGATAGTATGTACCCTCGAATATGATATGATGAGAATGTACTTTACCTCTGTGGTTTTTTTTTCAAAACCCTTAACCCCATTCTAACCATGAGAGAAACATCAGACAAATTCCAATAGAGGAGCATCCTACAAAATGCTTGACTGAGACACCTCAAAACATTAAAGTCATCCAAAATAAGACAGGACTGAGAAACTGTCACCACCAGGAGCCTAAGGAGACATGAAAACTAAATGTAATGAGGTATCTAGGAAGGGATCCTAGAATAGAAAATGGACATTACCCTGAGAAGGGTAGTGGAAAGAGTGGTATGAAGAAAAGTTGATGAATCGGTACAAATATATGGTTTGATAGAAGAAATAAGACCTAGTATCAGATCCGTAAGGTGCCTATGGCTTACAATAATCTAGGTATTGTTTCAAAGTAGTTAGAATAATTCAAATGGTTCTAAAGAAAAGAAAAATATTTAAGATGATATTTATTTAAAGTACATTGATTTAATGTTTACACATTTTATGAACATCGTAAATTGTCACATATGCCCTGAGAACTATGTACATCTGTTACATGTCAATGTAAAAATAAATAACTAACATGGTTGTTCGGTAAAAACTAAGGAAATCTGAATAAACTATGGACTTTAATTAATAATAATGTGACAGCATTGATTAATTGTAACAAATGTACCATACTAAGATGTTAATAATAGAGAAAACTGAATGAGGGGAAAATGTGGGGACTCTATACTATCATCACAATTTTTTTCTGTAAATCTAAAGCTGTTCTGAGAGATAAAGATGACTTTTAAAAATGCTTTCAATTATCTATTATTCATTTACTGATTGGTTTCCATGGGCCAAAGTATAATGAACATACTAAGGAAAATGTGACAGCTTATGTGTAGGCATAATAATATTTTTAAAAATTGAATAAAAAAGAATTATCTTCCTGCTTTTACACTGTTGGTGCGAGTGTAAATTAGTTACACCATTGCGGAAGACAGTGTGGCGATTCCTCAAGGATCTAGAACCAGAAACACCATTTGACCCAGCAATCCCATTATGGGGTATATACCCAAAGGATTATGAATCATTTTACTATAAAGACACATGCACACATATGTTTATTGCAGCACTGTTCACAATAGCAAAGACTTGGAACCAACCCAAATGCCCATCAATGATAGACTGGATAAAGAAAATGTGGCACGTATACACCATGCAATACTATGCAACCATAAAAAAGGATGAGTTCATGTCCTTTGCAGGGACATGGATGAAGCTGGAAATCATCATTCTCAGCAAACTAACACAGGAACAGAAAACCAAACACTGCATGTTCTCACTCATGACTAGGAGCTGAACAATGAGAACACATGGACACAGGGAAGGGTGCATCACACAGGGGCCTGTCACGGGGTGAGGGTCTAGGGGAGGGATAGCCTTAGGAGAAATACCTAATGTAGATGACGAGTTGATGGGTGCAGCAAAACACCATGGCACGTGTGTACCTATGTAACAAAGCTGCACGTTCTGCACATGTATCCCAAAACTTAAAGTATAATTTTTTAAAAAGTTCTTTTAAATAGCATATATTCTACATTTTGGGCTGCTTGTGACTGCAAGGTAATAGTACTCAATAAAGATAGATTAATGTATGTTTTTAAAAAGTCATCCAGACAGAAATATATACAAAATCCACTCAGAGAATCTAAACATACAATGTTCTATCCTATGGCAAAGGAAGGTGTTTGGCTTCTTCCACGGTCCCAAAGGTCAATTACAGGAAACACCCACCAATGACTCAGGAAGAGATGTTCTTTCCATCTGAAAAGAGCGTGATCTAATTCATAACAATCTTAGTACAGAAAATAAAATCACACTGAGGATGTTAAATTCTAAAATATATTCTTTCCTCTTCCTTCTCTGATAGGGCTACGTCTCTCAGCCCCATGGAAGAATGTAACCAGTAGAGACATCCTGGCCACTTTCGCTAGGTGAGTAATTATTTTGTTTAGAGGTACATTATACAGGATTCTGAGAAACTCAAGTTGTTCTGGAACAAAAAATAAGCTTTGACCAAATCTGTTGTAATGGATGGAGATACTGTGTCAGTTAGGAAATGTTCCCGTTAGAGACTCCTTTGCTTTTTCCACCAGGCTAGTTGTTACCTTGCTGTGAGGCATATTGCATGATGTCATGAGGATGCAAGAAAATCACTGAAGAAAGACATTGGCTTATAAATCTGTAAATATGGGACTAGAGAGTGTATCATATCCAGGAAATGTCATGAGAATAGTTATTACAGGAACTATTGGTCCTCTAGGGAATGGCAGGATTTGTTGGATTCCATTTTTGAGTATGAGCCAGAAACAGATCCAAACTAAGAAATATGGATTGGTGACCAGAAAAATATCAACTAACTTTTCTTCTCTAAGAATATTTCTACCAAAAAGCTGTGGTGATTTTGTCATTGTCTTGTTTTATTGTTTACATTTCAGTCTCTTAATTATGTAGCACAGCTATTACCTTGTTCTGTCTAATCCATTAATGAAAGTGGGTCAGAATTTTTCTTCTATGACATCCTCTGCAAGATAAAATTTAAGCTTTGCCTAGGCACGGTGACTCATGCCTGTAATTCCAGCACTTTGTGGGGTCAAGGTGGGTGGATCAATTGAGCCCAGGAGTTTGAGACCAGCCTGGGCAACATGGCAAAACCCCATCTCTACAAAAAATACAAAAATTAGCCGAGTGTGGTGGTGTATACCTGTAGTCCCAGCTACTAGGGAGGCTGAGGCAGAAAAATCACTTGAATTCATGAGGTCAAAGCTGGAGTGAGCTGTGCATGTTTGCACCACTGCACTCCAACCTAAGCAACAGAGTAAGACCCTGTCTCAAAAAAAAAAAAATTAAGCTTTAACATAAGATGCCTGTTTACCTCTTTACCTCATCCCTGGTCCTACTTCCACGAGCACAATAAATTGCAGCCACTAGAAACTCAGTTGTCTCATCTGGGTCTTTGCACAAGCTGCTCCCCATGCCCGGAGTAGTCTGGCAGATCTCCAGCTTATTCAAGAGGTTCATTCTTGCTTATCTTTCAAAATTTTAGCGCAGAACCACTGCTCTGGATGGCCTCCTCTGGCTCACCAGGCTCCCATCTAAGAGGCCATTCCCATTTAATGTTCCATAATCTGTGCTCACCCTTCCCGTAGAACTGATACTGAATCACATTTTTCTATTGCTGTGTCCAGTGCTACTACTAGGCAATGAGTTCTTGAGGCCAAGGACAGTATGTATTATTCTGAGACCCCCAAAATATTGTATATATAATACGTGGCAGTAATGGTCACTAAGGATTGCGGAATGAATACATGAATCAATACAATTCAGTAAATACTTTAAAGCAACAATTAAAAACTATTGAAAAGTTAGTACAACCCAAATGGACACATCAGAATGAAATGTGATCTCCATAACAAATTTATTTTTACAAAAAGACTTCTGTGCTTCCAATCTTGCCCCCATCATCCTTTTTCACTCTGCTACCAAATATTCCTTCTGACGATGCTGTTGTGTTCACAGCCCTTCATGATCTGGCCTGGATTACTTCTCCAGTTTTTTCCTCCCACACCACACTATGGCCATAGTAATTCACTCACAGTTCCCAGCATACAGTAGGCTCATTCTTGAACAGTGCCCATGTGCAGGAAGCTCTCAGTTTGTTTATAAGTGAAAAAGGCTAAGCATCTTGTGCTGTACTAAAGCTTGTAGATTGCAACCAAATGGGAAAATCTTAATTGCATTTAGGTTCAAAGCCTACTATAGCCAGGCACTGAGTTAAGGACCAGGAGAACAAAAACCAATAAAGCATGGTCCCTATTCTCACAGAATTTACTATCTTCTGGGAGTTTTTTAAGATACATAAATATATTTTTTTTATTTTTTAAATCGATGTAGTAAAAGAAAAGCTTGTACAGTTCAGGAAAGACTTCCTAGAAAGTCTTGAAGGATGAAGAAACCTACCAGTTTAAGAAAGGGCACTTCAGGCAAAGAATACAGCTAAAGGCGTGGAGGCGTGACATAGTATAGCATAGACTGAAAAGCTCTAAGTGATGTAAGCAAGGGATGACAGTGGCCTGAACCACAGCAATGGTACTAGCAATGAAGGTGGAGGGCTCAATTCAAGAAATAAATATACAGAGGATCATTGTGGCTTGGTGATTGACGAAATGTGCGGAAGAAGGAGAAAGAGGAAGGTAATGAAATCATAGAGAAGGAGCAGGTTTCTAATAGGATGGGGAAGACAATGAGTTCTAGTTTCAACACTTGGAGTTTAGATACCTGGGATACGTCAAGTCAATATAACCAGTAGACAGGTTGATATAGAAGCAGATATACACAGCAGGAAGTTTTACGTACAACCTGATTAATAGCAGGCTCCATTAATCAGGATGGGAATCTAAGACTATAAGAGCAAATGGTATTTGTTAAGGAGAGCATGTACTGAGGAAGAAGCTCAGAACGACAGAGGAGACGCAAGGGAGTAACAGCTCAGGAAGACGACCAAAGAAGCAGGAAGAAGTTACCCAACAACAGCCGGGAAGGGGACTGAGAGGAGAGGTTCATAAATGCCAAAGGCACAGAGTGTGAAGAAGAAAGAAAATGCAGCAGAACAGTCCAAAAAGATAAAGGCAGGAAAATAAGCAACGGGTTTGGCAAGATGAATGCTTTTGATGCTGACATTGGCAGAGGATTTAGTGGAATGATAGGACTGAAGCCAAATCGAGAGTTGATAAGTGAAAGCAGGTGAGAAGGGGGACACAGTGAGAGTAAGAGGACCCTCAAAGGGGCCTGAATGAGAAGGGAAGAAAAGTAGGACAATGCTGGAGGTGGGCAAGGAGGAGAACTGGTAGTTCCACGGCCAGAGGAAAAATCAAGACGGAGGATCTGTGAGCAGGTTGGAACCTGCAGAGAAGCCACTCACAACAAAAAGATGCAAGATAAAGGAAATCTCACCCATGACCTCCTTGCTGCCTTGGAATGTATCTTTTTCTTGTCTTCTCCTCAGTCTTAATGACTTACCCGACACGTAGGTATCCAATAAATGTCTGCTAAATGGATACATGAGTGAATAAATGATGAAGCAACACCACGGAGGAAACTGCAGAAAGTGATCAAGGGACTAGGGTGACAGACCGACCTTCAGCAAGCAAAAAGACACTTCTGGAAAGGTCGGGTAGGAGGGAAAAATGGATTTCCTTGCCAGGGCTCTCTCACATTGATAAATTAATTTTTTGATCTGGCGAATGTGAGTATTTACGAATCTGCTAATTATTATGCATTAGGGTTTTATTTACTGTTTCAATGCTTCTTAAAAATGAACATTTTCAGGAAGGTAAAATATATTTTGTCTGGCCTTCTGGTCTATTTTACTGTCATACTACTGCTTAAAAGATATTTAAGCCCCCTAAGAACATAAACCTTGACTCTTTTTATCCCTTACAACAGGGGTCCCCAACACCCAGTACTGGTCTATGTCCTGTTAGGAACCAGGCCGCACGGTAGGAGGTGAGAGGTGGTTAGGTGAGCGAGCATCACTGCCTGAGCTCCACCAACTGTCAGATCCGTGGCAGCATTAGATTCTCATAGGAGTGTGAACCCTGTTTTGAACTGTGCATGCGGGGCATCTAGGTTGCATGCTCCTTATGAGAATCTAATGCCTGATGATCTGAGGTGGAACAGTTTAATCCTGAAACCATCCCTCCACCCCCAGTCTGTGGAAAAACTGCCTTCCATAGAAACTGGTCCGTGATGCCAAAAAGGTTTCAGGAGAAAGGCCTGGGCTATATAAATTTGGGAATCATTGTCATGTAAATGGAACTTAACACAATAAGACTAAATGAAAGCACCAAGGGATAAGTATAAATAAGACAAGAGCTTCAAGAGTGAGACCTTGGACACTCCAAGTCTGACATGAGCACTCCAACATTTACAAGAAGTGACCTATGAAGTAGGAAAGTAGGAAAGTAGGAAACAAACAAACAAACAAAAAAAAAAAAAAAAAAAGGTAAGCAGAGCCTGGTGGCCTGAAAGTCAAGTGGGGGAAGTATTGCAAGGAGGAGAGAGTGATCTCTTTGAGGAAAGCCCATTGAATTTAGGAAATTAAAGAACAATGGATGTCACTGATAACTTTGATTAAAATGTTTTGGTAGAATAGTGGGGATAAAAGCCCATTGAAGTAAGGGCAAAGGAAAATGAGAGGAGAATCCTCAGAAACAGAAAGTGTAGACAACTCTTTAGAGGACTATTCCTGTAAAGAGAAATAGAAATGGCACAGTAGCTAGAGGGGAATCACCAAAGGCTTTGTTTGGATTTGGTATTTAACATGGGAGCTACTGCAGAATGCCTGATATTAAGAAGAATGGTACAGTAAGAGAGGGTGAAATCAATGATGCATTAGAAAGAACTTGCATGAGGTTCATAATTACTAGTAACTAGATGATTCAGTTAGAAGTTGAGAAATGATGGGGTGGATCTAGGAGACATGTGGAAGGGCTGGGCTTAGAGATGCAGAGAGTAACAGCAAGGAGGGAAGAATATGGGCATGCATAGGCTGATAGGTGCAGAAGCTCTCTTCTGAGTCCTGTTTTCTTAGTAAAATAGGAAGCAGAATCATCAGATGAGAATGAAGAGATGAAAAAGGGATGGAAGTTCAAGGAGAAGGAAGAAAATGTGAAAAAATTGCCTAGAACTTTTTTTTAAATTCACAGCATGTTTTATATCCCAAACTGGCACAGATGTGTGTATATAAATGTACATACAAATATAAAAGAAACAAGCATTTCATGAAATAGTGTTTATCCTTATTTTATGCTGTGTACCCTATTAAATTCTATTCAGCTTTAATCTATTTAAGTTTTTAAATGCACAATTTGAAAAACACTTTTCTAGAGAATGGGAGAATGAACGGACAGTATGATGAAGCAGAACTACCAGGTAGCCCAAAGATTCCACTTGAGTTAGTGATAACATAAATTTAACATGGGCCTGGTAGTCATGGCTGTAGGTTTTTATCCAGTCATATCCAGGTGCAAGGAGGCAGGCATGGAATAGGCAGAGAGTTAGATGTAACTGGGTTGGGGTTTCCCAGGCACTGTAATAAAGGACAAAGCAAGGCCATACATAAATATGCAAGAAAGTTATAACAATGTGAAAGCATGGAATCCCTTCCATATAAGGCTGTAAAGTGAGGTGATGAGGAAGAGCAAGAGAAGGAGAAAAGGTGACCAAAGCAATGGACTGAAGGTCCAGTGGAGTTGGGAAAGTGAAGACAGGGCATCTGAGAGTATTTTGATAGAATGCAATGGTAAGGATGTATATGCTAGAAACCGAGATTAAGGTAGGGATGTAGTTGTTGGTAAACACAAAGGCAAGGGTTGTGACCATGGGAATGAGTGACTGAGGTAAGGTGGGGGGAAGATCCCTAAAGGAGAGGAGGTTAAGAAACCTGGAGCCCATGTTTCAAAATGATCATCTGTCTGGATACTGAAATAACCAAAACTTGTCACAGGAGTTTTAGGGGGAAATTGACAGTGAGCCAGGATCTAAAAACATTATAGAAATGAAGAGGAGAGACTAGAAGTAGATGACTGCAGTAGGAAGGGGGGTTGTGCAATCGTTGGATGACAAAGACTTCAAAGCTGGGGGTTAGAGAGGTGGAGAGGAGAATTGTTGGAGACAGCGATGAGGGGCTGGCCGGCATCTACTGGCCCCCAAGGCCTGGTAGTCAGAGGGGTATGGGAAGAAAAGCTACATGCAAGACAGCACGCTCCTCACACTAGAGCCAGGTTTCCATTGAGCAAAAAAGCAAACAGTGTTCAGAGAAGAAATAAAGGATCTGGGAATTTTGCAGATGGTGGATTTTGAATTCCGGATAGCATGGTGGAAATTTTCCAAAATAGGGAGGAATGAGAGATGGGCCAGGGTAGCAGATGCACAGAGCCATGTGGGGATGATCCCCTATGTAACTGATGATTTTCTGCAAGTGACTCAAGAAAGGAAGCTAAATTAAATAAGGTAAGACAAATGCCCTGAGCTTACAGCAATGTCAGGCCTTTGGGTATAGAAATAATACGGAAAATTGCTTTGATTCTTTTTTCCTTAGACATTATCATCATAGTTGGCATTCATGTTACATTGTTTACCATCTTTTTACGACTCATTCTATTTTAAACAGATTTTTCTCATTCTTTAACATGTTTAGTTTTTTACCTAGAAATAAGTACAATAAACTTAGCAACCTAATTGAATTGTGTGGAGAGGAAAAACAGTTTACTTGATATTAACTCAAGAACCAAATGGTTTAAATATTAGAAAGTTGTTCATTAAACACGAATATGCCACACGAAAAAGGTTGCAGTTCTGTGACAATTAGTGCACTTCAAAGAAAATCCAAACTTATTACAGAGGTACCACAGAACCAACTAAAATTCTCCCAAGGACAAGAAAGCATGCATCAAAAATTTTCACTTTACAAAATGCAACGTGGGCTCCACCCACTGGAAATGTTATGTTACTGCAATGTTGCCCTTTAACATTGACAAATACAGATTTGCATTCATTATTATTATCGATTAGTAGATATGATGTATTGATTGTCTTCTATATACCAGGTACTGTGCTAGATTTTGGAGATACAATAGTAAACATGAAACACAAAATATCTGTCTTCATGGAGTATATATTTTAGTGTATAAGTATAAAATTTCATATTTTGCTCACTATAAAAAACTACAGGCCAAATCTGTGTAAGAGGTATCCTGGATAAGAATGAACTCTAAGACATTAGAAACTTGATGAATAAAAGCTGGGGAAAAAGCTTGTTAATTACATTATCAAAAATGTTCAGTTTCTAAAGTTAGAAATATCAATTCACCTTTAGGGCATAATGTTCTCTGTGGCAATAAAACCACACATTCCATGTGACCACTCTCAGCTTTCATTCTTTGTGTACAGTTTTATGAATCTCTATATATGCATAATTTTTTTGTATTTTAGTTTTCACTTTTCAAAACTGGTGTCATACTGTATGTAATTGGGGAATGGCTTCCTTTTTCATTTTCTATTATATTGTTAAAATTCTTCCATCTTAGAGTTCCTTTGTTTTAGCTGCTCTACAATGTTCTGTGGTGTGAATGTACCACAGTTCTTTTGCCACTCTTCCACCAATGGGCATTTAGGTTTTCCCTATTATAAGTGTCACTGCTGTGAGTATGCTGTGCATATCTCCAGGTATAGGTGTATATGAGAGATTTTCCTAGGTATGTACTTAGGGGTGGAATTGCTAGGTCACACCCAGTATGCAAATGTTCAACTCTGAGAGAGTGACAAAATGTCATTTAGAATGACAGCAACAAATTACACTCCTTTCAGAAATGTATAACAAATCATTTGAAACCAAAGCCTTTCAAACACTTGGTATTTTCAGATTTTAAAACATTTGGCAGTTAAATGCAAAACGGTACATGGTACCTCACTATGGTCTTAACTGGGATTGCCAATGATGTCAAAAATGTCATTGTGGCTTTATTTGCCACACGTATATCCTCTTGTGCAGAATGTTTGTTCATGTTTCACCTCCATTTTTATGTTGTATCATTCATGTTTTTCTTATTATTTGTAAGAGTTCTCGATATATTCTTTTAACCTTTTATTTTAAAATAACAAACTTTCAGAAAAGTTGAGAGAAAAATACAAAGCATTTCTGTCTCTATCCTTTACCCAAATTCCATAGCCGTTAACATCTTATCACATTTACCTTATAATTTTTATTCTTTCTCTTACCCCCCTTTCTCTCTCTCACCCTTTTCTCTTCCTATGTATGCGTGATTTTTTTTCTCTGAACCATTTCAGAGTAAGTTTCAAATATGAGGCAATATTATTCATCAATACTTTAGTATATATTTCCTAAAAATAGAGATGGTCTTCTACACAGGCAAATACAACCATCAAAATCAGGAAAATAACATTGATATAATACTATCAAATCCACATGCTCCATTTAGATTTTGCCAATTGTCTCCCTCATGGTCCAGGGTGTAGTCCAGGATTGAATACTGCAAAGAGTTCCACATCTCTGTCAGGCGAGGTGTCAGAGCCTCAGCAATGGAAAGTGACTGACTCACAGGGAGTAAGAATAATTTATCCACAACAGCATGGTTTTGAAAAGGAAAGTTTTGATAGATGGAATGCTACAGAAGAGTACAGCCGGGCATCTCAGCAAGAGAGGACTGAGTGCACCATGGTGGATTTTTTCCTTAGGGGTATTTATGGACCTTAAAGTGGGAGTTAAGGGTAATTTAAACCATATTAGCCACATAGTCATGATAAGTGATTACATTTGTAGACATTTGGGTGCCTTGATGTCATCAAGGGTCACACAGTCAGTTTCAACATGCATGCATTCCAGAGATGTATAGAAGTTCTAATTACTTATACATTTGGGGTGAAAGAAGCCTGCTACCAGATGTCAGCTTTAGATAATAGAGAAGTCTAATTACTCTTGAATTCCTCAGAAAAGGAGTTTTGTCTCTGGATTGTCTGCTTGATGGCCTCGTGGTGGTCTTTGCTCTCCTCGGTCTTCTTCACTCTGGAGCAGCTCTTCTGTCTTGTCTTTCATGACCTCAATGCCTGTGAAAAGTACAGGCCAGTTGCTTTGTAGAATGTCCATTGTTTTGAGTTTGGCTGGGGTTTACTCATAAGCAACTTGAGGTTTTACATTTTTGGCCCCAGAACACTGCTGAAGTGATACTGTGTCCTTCTCGGTGCAGCACATGAGGAGGCACATGACGTTGATTTGTCCCATTACTGGCGCAGTGAACTTTTAATACCTGGTTAATTTGATGTATGCCAAACTTCTCTACTATAAAGTTATATAATAATTTTGAACTTATTACTTAATATCTAATCAATAAGAACTTGGGGAGTACTTTGATATGATGTATATATCTACCCCATATCTATCCCCCTGCTGTTATCTCACTATCTTAATCACTACAGTGTGGGAGCCAAGGGGGAATCTTGGCCCTCTGAAGTTTCACTGAAAAATCAACTTGCAAAGGCACAATACACAGGAGTCTTCAGAAGGAAGACCCAACCTGACAATAAGGTACAGAAGCTTATATACCATCTTGAGGTTATAGAGAGAGTGAGGGCTCAGAACATGGCCAAGAACAGGTTATGTTGGTAAATCAGGTTTAATGAGAGGTTTAAAAGGAGGTGGCCTGGCTAGCAAAGGTGGCCTTGTTATGTGGCTGAAGCCTCATAGATAGCAGTCCTCAGAGAATAGATGGTAAATGTCTCTCTTCAGACCTTTAAAGGTGCCAGACTCAGTTAACCTCACCTAGGGCTGGGAAATGCCTAGAAAGGGAAGGTCTGGCTACATTAATGAGGATTCTCTACAGATGCAATACCCTCCCAACTCAATCTGCTGGCCCTGCAGCAGCCATTTCAAAATAAATCAAGAAAATATATTTGGGAGTGAAATATTTTAGTTTCCTTCAACAGCTTCATAGTAAGTTCTGATACCTGCTACTTCAGAAGCATTCTGGCTACTTTTGACCCTTTACCCTTCCATATAAGTGGTGAAATAAGCATAGAAAGTTTTACGGTTTTGATTTCAATTGCATTGAATCTATAATTCAAGTTGGGAACAATTGGTGTCTTTATTATATTTTTTTTCCTTTCCATAAACATGATATGTCTCTCCATTAATTCAGGTTCTCTTTTTAAATCTCTTATCAAAATTGTATAATTTTTCCCGTGGAAATCATCTTGAAAAAAATGCCCCAAGCCATTTGAACAACTGGTTTTAGGAGATCTAGAGCTGAGATTTGAGACAGGAAGAAGCATGTGAAAGTAGAAATCCTCACTTCCAACTGGAATTAAGCCTAGATTAAACTAGGTTTGGTTCCACTGTACTTGACATGTGTGTTGAAGTCCCATTTGTACATAATGGGTAGTTGAGCCTAATAGGGAAACATGCTTGGCTTTAGATACCTCAAATAGAGCTAAAGCTCCACCACTGCCTCCTCCTTGCCTAAACTGAGACTAGTGTTCAGCTTTCCCTCCTGAGAAGTCAGTAGAAGTTGGAGTGGATACAGAGACTGGTGAGAGCCAGGAGAGAGAAGCCTGAGAAAGCAGAAGGGCCTGGGACCAGAATGCTTTTATCCCTCATGAATGATGTTGTTCTGTGGAAGAAATGGGCCATGCTGGGCTGGATGCGGTAGCTCATGCCTGTAATCCCAGCACTTTGGGAGGCCGAGGCAGGCAGATCACTCGAGGTCAGGAGTTCAAGGCCAGCCTGGCCAACATGGTGAAACCTCATCTCTATTAAAAATACAAAAATTACCCGGGCATGGTGGCGTGTGCCTGTAGTCCCAGCTGCTCATGAGGCTGAAGCAGGAGAATCACTTGAACCTGGGAGGCAGAGGTTTCAGTGAGCTGAGATCGTCCCACTGCACTCCAGCCTGGGTGACACAGCGAGAGTGTGTCTCAAAGAAAAGAAAAGAAAAAAGAAAAGAGGCAGTACTGAGCAATGAGGACTGTGGAAGGGAACCACAAGGAGGACCGTGGGAGGAGATATTTAGGAAACAAGGCAACAATCAGAAGAAAAGATCCGAAGCCAGCCCAATTTTACACTTCCATCTTTTCTCAGGAAACCGATCGCCAGGCCTCTCAGATGCCATCGGGGAGCTGAGGCTTTCTAGATCACTGCACCCAGACAATGAGATGCATCTGTTGCCTGTTGATCAATTCCCCTTCTTACCCCTCCCTAATTCCTATTTTCTTATACGTGGTTACAATAAGACGCTGGACCCTTCATTCAACCACCTGCTGCCTGTTGACCAACTCCTCTTCCTTGCCCCTTCTGTTTTCCTTCCCAGCTATGTAAACCCCTGACCTTAGTTGAGAGGGAGGGATGGATTTGAGACTTGGCTCCCATCTCCCTGGTTGACATCACCCATAAAATAATAAAGCCTTGTTCCCTGGCAACACACGTTGTTTCTTTTTGTGGGGCAAACAATGGGACCTAGACCAAACCCCTGGCGTTCAGTAACAGATCTTTGAGTAGGTATTCAGAAAATGGTGGACAACTGTTCCACAAATATCCATTGTCACCAACCCACTTAATGGCAAATGACCAATCAGAGGGAATAACCAACCAGCAGGTGGCCACCAAGACCAGAGAACATAAGGCAAACTCCCCTGGTTTCTGCCACTGCAACTGTTACCCACCAAACAGCAGGCAAAATAGGCTTTATACAAGACACAAAGGAGGAGACTTGCCAGTGGGTATAAATTCAACAGTGATCATCACCCAGCTATTTAGTTAGCCCAACAAGATGCAAGAGCCAGAGCATCTGAGATCAATTCAGAAAGTGTGCGTCATGAAGACCCATACTATGCTGGTCCTCATGATTTGGCTTGTTTCTGGGATAGAATTTGAAACACAAGGAGAAATCAGTGGCTCCTGTCCTCAAGGCACTCCTTTGAGAGTTGGTCACCAGGAATTTGGATTTATGCTTCCTGGCAAAAATAATTCAATAAGATTTAGCAAAGCGAGGCATGGTGGTGCATGCCTGTAGTACCAGCTGCTTGGGAGGCTGAAGTGGGAGGATCACTTGAACCCAGGAGTTCGAGGCTGCAGTGTGCTATGCTCATCCTTGTGAATCGTGGCTGCGCTCCAGCCTGGGCAACACAGTGAGACCCTCTTCTAAAAAAAAAAAAAAAGATTCATTGAGCAGCTGAGGAGAAGATAGCACAAGCATGTTATCTTGCAAAAATCAAGATGCCAAGCCAGGGCTCATGTTCTTTATGGAGATCTACCTTACCTTTGCACAGAAATAGGCTGAGGGAGTCCCCTGGTCTGGGTCCAGCTTTCCTCAGAAAACGGTTCTGGTACTGGTCCCACTCACAATTACACAATGAAAGCTCAAGATATTCCTTTAGCCTGAAATTTCCAAAAGTACCAGTTAACAATTTCCCACCACAACCATTAAAACTTCATAAATGCTTGAAATGTCAAATTTTAAACAATGAAACTTTCTGATGAGCTTTTTAACATAATTTAACTGAAAAAAAATGTACTCCCAGGTGACTGAATATACTGACCAATTACATAAGCCAATTAAAGGCTGCTAACAAAAAATGATTATTTTTGCTTTAGAGTGCTGTATTAGGTCATTCTCTTTGTCAGAAATTAGATGCAAAACCAGTTGTCTGTGGAGACAAATTTATGACCGCTCTCCTACACATCCCCTGCCTCAGTTTCAATCCCATTCTGCCACTAACTCACTTTGTAACCTGTAGATGAATGCAACTTCATAATGCGTTCAGATTTAGAAGCTGTCGGATAGGTTTTTCTTTCATGTAAGCTTGTCAAAAACAGCTGCAGTCTGGAGATACCACTTACGACAACTACTGCAACCATCAGAAGTTAAACTACAATATTATAGTCAGCAGGGGGGCAGGGAAAGTAATACAAGGCAGGGAAGGAAAAAATAAGAATCCCAGTAGAAAATTCAACTTTGGCAGTTAAGAGATGAGAAATTATTTATAGTAGATACAACTGATAAAATATTACTGTTTTCTAACCTAGTCATGTTCTATGGCATTTTACAATTACTTAAGCTTTGTTTTACAAAACTTGATGTCCATGGATGCAAAGAAATTAAGATTTGTACTTGTAAACACATGAGTATGTGCCAAATAAACTTGAGAGTTCTTTTTAGACCATGGGTGGGAGAGCACAGAACATTCAGTAAATAGCAATCTGACTTGAGACCTTCGTTTTTAGCTTAATAAATCCAGCTAATGATCTTTCTAATGACCCGAGGCTTTTTTTAACGTTTCAGGACATGGAAAAACATACTGTACTGAACTTGGCTAAACTTGATAAACCGAGGTTGCTTTATTTTCATTTATCCAAATGTAATTTCCTTTTTAGTCGGAGACTTATAATTCTGATTTTATATTTTCCATTTTCAAAGACTTCCATTTCCTTCTCTATAAGAAAAGTATTCTACAGGCCTCTAGTTTCCCTTCTAGCCTCCACATTCTCTCTTCCTTATTGCCATATGGTACATGTTGGTATGGCAGAAAGAACAGCCACAAACTGGTATCAAAACCCAGTCCCACTGCTTCTTAGCTGAGTTACTTGGAGCATGTTATTAACCAGGCTGTGTCTCATTTTCCTCTCTGTAATATCCATCGTTCAAAGTGGTTGTGAGGATTTTAAATAATACATGTACAGCATCTGTCTCATAACATTCATGTGTGTTTCTCTTATCTCATGAGCACTGTCCTCTGTGAATGTCATGCTGCCTCTCTCTAGCTGTATTTTTTTGTCTGACTAAACAATGTGGTCATTCCTTCTCATATAGTGTTCACAAGACATTTACATCCACTATCTGATCAAATATACTGTGTGGATCTTTGACTTCATTTTAAATAAGTAATCCTTGTTAATTTGCTTCATATGTGACCTGGATTTTAATGTCACATCATTATTTAAATGAGCACACAAGGAATAAGCCATCCTGGAGGTTCCTGTAGGAGCTCAGAGATGTACATCACTCAGAAGTAAAGACGAGGAGATCACAGCAGGGCATGGTGGAGAAGAATACCTGGAATCCCTGATGGGGCTCTGGGAATGGAAGACCCTAGCCCAGTGACCAGAAGAGGGATTTTGGGGTAAGAGAGTTTGGGGCTCCTTTTCTTGCTCTGCTCTCCACATGCCACTTGACTCTGACAAGTCATCTTTCTTCTGAGCCTCTGTTGTGTTACCTGAACGCTCAATATTGTAATACCTACCTAGTGGTTCATTATGAGGATGGGGTGAAATAATGCATGTCAAACATTTTTTCCAAGAGTAAGCACTCAGTGAAACATGATAGCAGCAGTTGTCATGGTCATTCTTGATTCCTAAGATGCTACAGGATAGATGTCATGTTTTTAGTTCATTTCACTCCATTCTTTCACTGAACTGTAGGTGATGGTGAAAGTGGGAATTGGCTCTCTGTGTGAGGCAGGCAAAGCTTATTCTGTAATGTGTTCTCACTATTAATTGAAAATATCCAGTTCTGTTTTTGCAAACAAAAGCAAGTAGGATGGATAAAACTTAGACCATGTGCTGAACAAACACAGTGAGTGAGCAGGTATGTGAGACATGAGCAGAATTCACAAGATTTGTCCACTATAGATAGCCAACAACCATTAAGACATGTTAAAGTAGAATGGATTATGTGATTTTTCAAAAGATGGAACACTCAAGAGTATTATAAAGAGAAAAGGTGGAAGGACTAAATCCTAAGGCATAAATCAAGCCACTTGCAGACTGACGGTTTTGTCATCTCTAAACTGGCCAGCCACTGGGGCCCCATTCTGGGCTAGCATGTGCTCTGCCGAAAAGACAAAGTTCAGGCTGGGTGCGGTGGCTCACGCCTGCAATCCCGGCACTTTGGGAGGCCAAGGTGGGTGGATCACTTGAGGTGAGGAATTCAGGACCAGCCTGAGCAACATGGTGAAACCATCCCTACTAAAAATACAAAATTTAGCCAGGCATGGTGGTGGGTGCCTGTAATCCCAACTACTCAGGAATCTGAGGCAGGAGAATCACTTGAACCTTTGAACCTGGGAGATTGCATCATTGCGCTCCAGCCTGGGTGACAGAGTGGGATCTGTCTCCAAAAAAAAAAAAAAAAGACAAAGTTCACAGCTCTCCAGCAAACTAATTGGCGAAGTACAGCTGTAGCCAGGTGTTCTTGCTCCCCTGCCTCTCCAATGGAACAAACATGCATTGACTCCAGACATTTTCAGCTTTCTACATCCCTTGTTGAAGTTCTGGTCCTTGTAACCACAGCTCCATTAGCAAAAAAAAAAAACTGATGTGAAGTGGAGTTAGAGGGAGAGGAGAAGAAAAGGTAGAGTTGAAGGGAAAGAAAAAAAAGGGGATATATGAGCAATTGTATAATACAGGATTTAGTATTAGTCCTCCCATGGTCCTCCCACCCTACCCTGTCATCACTCACCTCATATCTCTTTTCCTTTACACCTTGATAAATGTTCTAGATAGATCCAATCTGCCATGCGATTTGAGCATCTAAATTTAGTCCTTGAGACTTTCTGTCCTGTGACATCTAGGATAGCTTGACTGGAGTAAAGTTGGAGGCTACCATCACACCAAGGTAATTTCCTCTGGGATCTATTTTTCCTTGACACCAGAATTGCTTTTGAAGAAAAATCACCTGCTGGGCGTGGAGGCTCATGCCTATAATCCCAGCACTTTGGAAGGCCAAGGTGGACAGATCACCTGAGGCCAGGAATTCAAAACCAGCCTGGCCAACATGGTGAAACCCCATCTCTACTAAAAATACAAAAATTAGGCAGGCGCGGTGGTGGGCTCCTGTAATCCCAGCTACTTGGGAGGCTGAGGTAGGAGAATCGCTTGAACCTGGGAGGCGGAGGTTGCAGCGAGCTGAGATTGTGCCACTGCACTCCAGCCTGTGCAACAGAATGAGATCCATCTCAAAAAAACAAAAACAGAGAAAGAAAAGAAAAAAAATCACCTACAGCTGGTATTCTTCTACAAAAACATTACATTGCAAGCATTTTGCACTAGAAGGGAACAAAGTTTTTTCCCACATTTTTTCCAGTGAGAGCAGTTTTGATACCTGGTAAATGTTTGAAGAACCAGTAATTTTATATGAAATTGCAGCCTTTCTTCTAGGTGATATTTCTAGCTACAATTTCTGCTGTAGTCTCTAGCAATATTTTCTGCTGTTATCTGATTCCTTTTTATTTTATCATCATGGAGTTTGGGGGTGTTTGCTTTTTTTGTTTGTTTTAACTAATTGTCAGCACTTCTGGGTTCACCATTACCCTGACCAGGCTAGAGACACAGCTACATCAGGAAAAGCAGCAGAATCTCAGCCCCTGAAGATCACTCACACCCAGCCACATTCTTTCTCCTTTCCTTCCATCCCCACCCCTCCCCCTTTCTTCCTTTTTAGCTTCCTTCATTTCTTACCCACAGCCCTTTCTTTCCCATCTCAGGAACTACATGTGAGTCCACATGGAGCTGTGCTCTGAATCATGTCTCTGCTCTAAAAATTATGGGTTTCTTCACTATATCAAGCTTGTTTCCTGGACTTCCCAGAGAATTAGATCTCCCCTAGAAGACTCTCAGCCCTCTGTGCATGTAAGCTCATGACAGACCCACTTCATCACTTACTCGGGTATCTTTATACTGGTCTGAATCACACTGATGGAGAAGTCTTAAGCTCAAGGACCAACCTCTTAATAATGTACATAAAATGATGTCTTGACGTCTAGGGAAGCCTTGGAACAGGATTGTGGTTGGGGAATGAATCAGAGGAAGCTCTGGCCTCCCTACAGTCTGAAAGTCTTTCTCCCTGCTCTCTCAGGCATTAAGGGCCATCTTGTTTTCCCCTCAATAGACCCTGAAAAAGAATGTCAGATTTTTCAGCATGAAATATCTACAAATTAAAAAGGAAAAAAAAATTATCTTGATAGTATTGCCTGCTAGAAAACGGTAAGGGAAAAAACCCAGTCAGTCCACAATTAAGGATAGAGAACTAAAGTTAATACTTGTGTAAATGTAAAGACATAGAACCAAGCTTTACACTTCTGTTCATCCCCCTACCTCAGCGAAGCAAACAAGCAACCAACCAATGACCTAACAAACAAACCTACTAGCAAACTATAAAAGGGATCTGCTGTACCATGGAGTTGGAAATTCCCTGGGAAAGGCAGGCAGTGAATCTGGTTTGATCAGGACTCTGGCTCCACTTGTCTGCAGCTCTCTTGGCTCTCTCTCCTTCTTATATGGGCTTAGTCTGCAAACTAGCTGCTCTCATGATCAAAAGATGGCTGCCAACAGCAACCAGAACTGCCTGCTTCCTTTTTCATATCCACGAAGCCCTAGAGCTTCACATAGATTGAGCCACCCATGTGGTCATTGTCATATCATGCACTGATTGACTCAGACCTGGGTTCCCTCAACCAATTTTTGTGTCGTGGAAGATGAGAGTATCCTTCTGGGGTAAGCAGCTGGAGGTGGGTCAATGCAGCAGAATTATAGGGCTACTACACAGTAGGGAGAACAGTGATGTCCCAAAGAGAAGTTTGGGTACTGTTAGAAGGTGGAAGGAAAAAAAAATTGATGTTGCATAGGTAACAGGTCAACTTCACCCACAGTTGGGGATTGCCCACAGAGTATCAGCACTCAGCATGTCCCTGATGAGTGTGTTGTTTCATGAACTTTTATCAGCTAATTTCCTATAAGTCCACCATTTACTTTCTGAAAGTAAATGTAACTGAAAGTCACCTAGCTCCCATTACTCCATAACAGTATTACTACTTTAAGAGAATGGGGTGGAGTCATTTCAGAGAGAATAATGCAGTTCTACATCCTGCCCCATAAGTGCACACTGTGAAGAATGATTGTTAATATTTCAGTGTGACTACTGGTTGTTGAATTCAAAGGCATGCCATTCCCTGAAGTCAAGATCATTTCAGCATCCTCATCTTCAGTGCCTCTCTCTTAATTTTATTTCCACATTGTAATTCCTTCAGAGTTAATTTTCTGCTGTAATATGCTATGATGCAGCCTTCTGAAATTCAAGTCCTGACTGTTTTCCACATTTCAAACATACTTTCTTCCCAGAGTCAAGTAGAATCAAAACTCAGGAGACAAGGCCTTGTCTCCTGAGTTTTTATTATCATTCAACAAGTCTTTTCCCAGCAGTCTTCTGAAGACTGTGTTGTATATTTTACCAGCTCCTTATCAGGAGGCTTCAGCATTTTAACTTGTAATATTACGTTCTGTTGATCACAATCCGTGGTCAGAAGACCTGCAATTTGAATTCTAGTTTATTAACTAATTCACCATCCGTAAATACAGGAAATTTCTTTTTCCAGAGAGCACTTAACTACCTTTTAGGGTGTGGTTTCTGCCTCAGTAGTGAAAGCAGTGTAGTTTCACAAGCTGTGAATCAAATACACAGTTTGTGATAGAATGGAAATCAAATACACAGTTAAATCTGTTTTCTCTAAGATGGCAAAAGGTTTATGGCTGCCCTTACAACCAAGATTCATCTGAGCTATGACCGTTTGCCGGAGCTGACTGCTACTTTCAATTCCTTGTAGGAATTAGAAGAAGTGAGAAGAGGTGATAAGGCATTAGCACTTGCATTGATTATGTAAAGAAGCAAGGCAAGCATCATACACGTGACTCACATCTGTCCTGGTCCACTGCTGGGCTTTTACAATGTCTTTCCTATGTGGCTATCCCTTCAGCTCCCCCATCATGCCACTTTGTTTTATACCAGGTCCCTCTCACAATCAAAAGCTTCTGTTTCCACCAAACTTAAAGCTGGTATCTATGGAGACTTTTTTCCAAAGTGGTTTGACCCTGAAGGTAGCTGGTCTTGCATGAAGGTCACTTTGCTGCCTTCCTCCATCTTTCTGTCAATTGTATTGGACAGAGAAATGGGAGCAAATATCTGTTTGCCCCCAAGTAGCCTCAGCCACTCCATGAACATGAAAAATCTCACCACTTGATATGGTGCGAAAGGGAATGGTGATATTCATTCCTCTCCCTTCCTCCTGTATCCAGCCACCAAGTCCTGCTTTTATCCTATAAATATATTTTTTAATTTGTCCCCCAATCCCCATCTTTCCTACTGCTTCAGTGCTAGATTAGACCTTCATCGTCTCTTTCCTAGGTTAGATCATTAACCTCATCAATTATCTCCCTACCTTTGGTCTGGTTTCCCTCAAATTCCTCTCCACACAGCTGAAAAAACTATTTAAAGTGTAAATCCAGCTATGCTATCCTATTGCTAAATCTCTCCACTTACTGCTTTCCCTGCAGCAGTAGCTCTGTCTCTTCAATTTACAGACCAGGATAATTTTTTTTAATATTAAAAACTTACAGGAAGATGCCACATTTACATTTTGCTAAGGAAGGACTACTTTTTAAAATGTCATCTTCTATCACAATCCTTTCAGAAAAGATCATTTTAAACCATACATACACACAACGTACAGTACTGTAATCTCAGGGAAAAAAATGGCCAGTTTTTTCCATTGAATAAATTTAACTTTGCGAAAAAATACTCTACACATCCGCAAAGCAGTGAAAATGTTGCCTCCCACTGGCTTCAGTCTGCAGAGTCTAGCATAGTACACAAGACCTCCCACGAGTGGGCTCCTGGCTGCTGCCATTCTAGCCGGATCCCTCCCAGCCTGAGCTCCAGAGACTCTAGGTGGCTCCGAGTTCACCCACACACTGAGATACTGACATGTTTCTCACCTCCCCCTTGGCTCCAACTGTCTCCATGAATTGCACATGAAGGGACTGCTGCCTCCCACCACATGCTTGACTGACTTCATGCATGCTGTAGCACTCAGAAAAGGAGTTCCATCCTCAAGCTGACGGAAACTTTTTTCTTACTCCTCCAATATTCCTGTCCCCAGCCCTCAGGATGAGGTTAAATAACTCAATAATACCCTGTGCAAATAAATAACATTGTTCTAGCATATTTAGCTGCCTTTTCACCTCTTTCTTCCACTAGATGGGAGTTCTATAAGCCAGTAGACAGTGATAGTGTCTTTTCATTTTTATGTTGACAACACCTAACATAGTGATTCTAACCATACACAATATGTGCTCAAAAATATTCACTGCCTGAAGAAGCTAATGAATAGATTTAAAGGACTACGTGATGCATAACCTAATTATGAAGCCATTTTTAATTATTCAGGAGAAAGACAATACATAAATTAAGTTTTATTGGGACTTATTTTTGATTCGGCCTTCTAGGTTGGAAGCACCACCTCACAAAAAAAGGACAGTCCCCTCATTTATTTTTCTGCTACATCTCATCGTATTAAGAGGTCATTCAATTCTCTATCTATCCCCTAATCCACAGATATCATACCATATGGAAAAATTTGAGGATGGGAAAGTTGTGCTTATTTTTCTAAGACTTTCATATTAAAAAAAAATGCAGCTGCTAAGCATGTTTTTGTTTTCATGTTAATGCATCCCTTGGTGTAATGCTTCTTCCCCAAAGAGCATGTCTTTAAAAACGATCAGCTGGCCACAAGATATTATAATACCCTGGGTAGTAATTACTCTTAACATGTGTATGCACTTTTCTGGGGATATGGTTAATTCTGTTGCAGAGATCTACTGTGAAACTAGATATTTCCAACTCTGTGAACTTTATTAGAGAAAACTGTACCTAAAGAGTATTTAACTTAGTTTCTCCAGCTCTCACAAATAAGAGGGTATACATGAAGGAATGACTGAAAGAGGGCTCTGGAATCAGATTGTTCAAGTTGTAATCCTGGATCCTACACTTGCTGTCAAGTGACCTTGAACTAATTCAATTGCATCTGCCTCAAAAGTCTTTTCTGGAAAATGAGGATAAGATTAGTATGTGCATTAGTCTGTTTTCACCCTGCTGATAAAGACATACCCAAGACTGGGCAATTTATTAAAAAAAAAAAGAGGTTTATTGGACTTATAGTTCCACATGGCTGAGGAAGCCTCACAATCATGGTGGAAGGTGAAAGGCACATCTCACATGGCAGCAGACAAGAGAGCTTGTGCAGGGAAACTCCCCTTTTTAAAACCATCAGATCTCATGAGACTCATTCACTATCATGAGAACAGCGCAGGATAGACCCACCCCCATAATTCAATCATCTCCCACCAGATTCCTCCCACAACACTTGGGAATTGCGAGAGTTACAATTCAAGATGAGATTTGGGCGGGGACACAGCCAAACCATATCAATATGTAATCCATAAGGTTATTGTATGGATTAAATGAAGGACTTTGCTCTCAAAAATATTACTTTTTTTTACATTTTTTTTTCCTGTCTTCCTATGTGGGACTCCAGCTCCCTAAAGAATTCCACTACCTGCCACAAACAAGTGAAGTGAATTGGCCGTGGAGCTGCTCTGAAGTAGCCCTGGCTTCTTCCTTCTGTTCCAGTTCCTTGACAACTTACTCATTCACTTCACAGTGTTCTCCAGACACCACAGTCTCCCAAAAGACATCAGTGCTGCTACGGTAGCTCCCAGCCATTGCCACCCATTGCTTGGGGAAGTGTGGAAGGAAATATCAAGATCTTGATCCTGGCTCTTAACGTCTTACAGAATTTCTCATAAAATAGTCTTTTAGGTTTCACTGGTGATACACTGCCATCACAGTTCCATGCAATGGATCCTACTTAGTCCATAGACTTTTGAGGCAGATGTAATTGAACTAAATCATTCAAGGTCACTTGACAGAAAGTGTAGGATCCAGGATTACAACTCGAGCAATCTGATTCCAGATCCCTCTCTTTCAGTCATTCCTTCATGTATACTCTCATATTTGTGAGAGCTGGAGAAACTAAGGTTAAATACTCTTTAGGTACAGTTTGTTTGCTCTGGGCTGACAGCTGGGGAACCAGCAACACAAAGTGCCCAGAATTACCCCTCCCTTCTGCCTTTCTAGGTCATGCTAGAGGTACCAAGAGGTACACTCATTCCCAGGAGATTCTTGAGTCACTCAACAAAGTGGGCATCTGGGGCCTAATTTTCTGGACATTCTTTACAAGTCAGAACCCAACTGCTGGTGAACAAGCTTCCCTAAAGAGGGGATGCTACCCCTTGATACAAGGACAGCCTGGAGCTCCTTCCTTGGTCATTCCAGGCCAAATGCCATCTAAAGTATTTTGCAGATCTTGATTTTCAAAGAATTACAGTAAAGAAGAAAAGAATACTTATCAGTTGGCATTTTGGAAATCAAACTTGTTTTTCTAGCAATGGTGCTGAGAGAGGAGATTACAGTTTCTCATATTCTAAGTCCATGGTGAATGCTTTTATGGTCTGAGGTTGGATTTTTAGTGGGAAAGGGAAACAGAAGAGCAAGAGAAGGAAGAGTAAGAGAAGAGTAAGAGGTCAGGCTTCCTATCCAGTAGGTATTTATTCCAGAAAAAACCCCAGCCCTGGGTGTCTTGCTTCCCTTCCGTTGTTATCACCATAGCTCTGACTCAGCCCACTTCCCCCAACTCACTGAGAATCCACACACTCTCTCAGTATCTCCCCTCCTCTGCCTTTAAAAAAAGTAGAGCTTCCTTTCAGGTTTCCCATAAGGATTTTTGGTTTTTGTTTTTCTAGAGACAGGGTCTCACTCTGTCACACAAGCTGGAGTACAGTGGCATGCTCTCAGCTCCTGCAGCCTCAACCTCCCAGCCCCAAGTAATCTTCCTATCTCAGCCTCCCAGATAGTTGGGACTACAGTTCACACCCGGGTAATTTTTTTTTTAATTTTTCATAGAGACAGGGGTCTCTCTATGTTGTTCAAGCTGGTCTCAAACTCCTGGGCTCAAGTGATCCTCCCGCTTTGGCCTCTCAGTGTTGGGATTACAGGAGTGAGCCATCATAACCACCCTTCCGTGAGTTTTCACTATTACTAATATTGGAGAAAACAAGGAAAATGGTAAAGGTTTAGTATCTTATTAAAGATTCACAGTACAACTTGCCATAGGCATTCCAGGAGAGTCGTGAACACAAGTCCGGATCTTTCTCCCGTTACACAACCTTGTTTTTATTAATTTTCTGACTGTTTACCTCCCCCGGACCTTCATTATTCTGGGATACATGGTCCTGAGTCTCTCTCTGTTGGATAAAGAGGGTCCCCTCGAACACTGCTTCTATCTTTTCTCTGCCTAGATTCAGGGTAAATAGAAATATAGGATAGGACTGAGATAAGGGAAAACTTGTCATGTACTTCAAAGAAATTTTCACACAACCACTCCATGGATATCTTCCTTTATCACAGTGTGTCTTCATAGATGTTACAAGAACCCTGTAAGAAAATGCCACACAATTCTCTGGCAGGGGTAAGTGTGCGATGATGTAGAAGATGAATTCAGGGTTACTATTACTTCTGCTGCTGCTACTACAACTACTAGTGGTGGTGATGCTGCTGCTGCTAGTAATAATATTCCCATTTATTGAACCCAGATGCTTTATATTATTTGTATGCTCATATGAGTTCCTAGCAGGTACTTCTATTATCTTCACTTTTCAGATACAAAATTCTAGTCTAAAGCCAATAAATAGTTGAATCACAAGTCAAATGCTGTGTTGTCTGTCAGTTACCAGTGGCCGCTGGCTGACTAGAAAATAAAACCAACATGCCAATGAAAAGAACAGAGTAGATGCTGAGGACAGTTTGCTCTTTCTTGTTTCCCTTCCTCCTACATTTTCTGATATTGTCTACCATAACCGTCAAAAAAAAACAAAAAAAAAACCAAAAAAAAAAAACAAAAAAACACACCCCACAGCTCAGTAGCTTAAACCAACAATCAGGTATTCTTCTGCACACATGTGCAGGTCAGCTGGGCTTGGCTGACCCAAGCTAGGTTTGGCTGGGCTTCGCTCCAAGCTCAGGATGGCCCAGGTCACCCCACACCAGAAGACCAGGGGCATGTGATCTTTACGTGGCATTGGCAAGAGTGGCAGAAAACAAGCCTAACCACATAAGCATATTGCAACCTCTGCTCATGTCACATGTGCTGATATCCCATTGGCGAAAACAAAGTCTGATAGCCAAATCCAACTTCAAGCAGGGAAGTAGAGGCAATCCATCATGAAGCACAGCAAGCGATGTATGATACTAACAGATGTAAAGAATTATGACCAGTAGTTTAAGCTACATACCCACCATACCTCAGACAAACAAAGAAGCAGAGGAAGGTCTATAGCAGCAAGGGATTGGAGTGAAGTGCTGAAAAAGACGGAATGAGAATTCCCAAGGGAAGCCAGTTAGAAGGAAAACAACTGTTCATACTGGGCTGGCCCTGCATTTTACTCTGGAGGTCCAAAACAAGGATTTCCTTCTAAGATATAAGCCTCAAAAGCCTGGCCCTTGTGGCAATTTCAGACACAGCAAGCAGGGGCTGAAAACGCTCATTGTCCCAAACAGAAAATTAGAAGAAAAAAATTTTTTTCAAACTTCTCCATTTCTTCAGTGTTTATGTCCTTTGGCTTGGATCTCTCTAAACATGTGACTAAAGTGAGACTCAACTGAAGTGTAGCATGTTACGGCTCCACACTTGCAAATTCAGGCTTTGTTGGTTTCCAAAAACTAAGAGAGTTGCACATTTCCCTGTTACTACATAAAAATGTCAGCTGAACAAAACCATGGGCATTTATCAATGCAAAGTAATAACAATAAGCTCAGGAAACTTTATTTTTTTATTATAAGTCACCAAAAGTATTCAGGCATGAGGCACTCTTTTGTTTTCTCTTGAAATGTTTGTAATGAAACGGTGGTTCCTGACTATTTTCCCATAAGCCTTCTCTGAAACTTAGCTGAAAACTATTTCCTTTTTGGTGAGTAAATATTTAATTAACTATGTGAAATACAGTATTAACCCAGATATTTGGTGGGCAGCTTCTGAGAATCTCAGATATTAGCAAAAGGGTTGTATACTCTGTTTAATACCCCAAAGTATCATTAAATATTGAAAGTGGTTTAAAAAAAAAAAAACAACTTTGGTTCTTAAAGAGGCAATGTGGTTTTCTAAAAAGACCTTTTCATCTCAGCTCTTTCATTAACCAGCTCTGAGACTTTGGGAAACTAATTTATGTAGATTTGAAGGCTTTTAACAACCTGGCACTGACCAACTTCTGCAAAAAATATTTTCAACTCCTCGTTTTTACCCTTCGCTCCAGTCTTTCACTACTTTTTCTCTCCTGCCTTGCTGTCTTTTCATCCAATTATTTTGCAAAGCAGTTCATTTCTTTCTTTGCAGACTAAGTCCTAGAGAGCCTCACTCTTGACTCTCACAGGGGCCTTCAAGGCATTTTGCAAAGCAGTTCGTTTCTTTCTTTGCATACTAAGTCCTAGAGAGCCTCACTCTTGACTCTCAAAAGGGGCCTTCAAGGCATTTTCCAAAACAAAGCGACATCTCTTCTTATATAAATGTTTCTACAGTGCTAGTTATCAAAATGCTTATTTTTAATAGAGCAGCAACTTTTTCTCCTACCTGCATCAGTATAATAATATATTCTTGATAAGCTTATTGAATAAGAAAAAAATTATTGTTTTTAGGCCTACTATATTTTAACCACTGATTTAGCGTGAGCGTTTGGATAAGTTCTCACTTCATCTTGACTATAACTCTGTTAACTAAGAATCTGTGCAAAAAATTGGGCTCAGAGAGGTTAAGTAATTTCTCCAATGCCTCACAGTTTATAAGTAGTAACATTGGAATTTAAATCCACATCCATCTGTTTTTATTACCTACAAAAAAAGAGGTTTAACCAGATAATCTCTGAGGTTCCTTAAGATACAAATTTCAGTGAATCTGTGTATGCAATAAAGGATTAACTCAGTAGACCTGAGTTGCACAAACCCTGCGTGTTCCAAAGAAAAGTTTGCCCCTTGACTGACTCCTGGATGATAACCTCTAAGAACCTGGAAATATCCTGCCTGATAAGACTCTTTTTTGTCTACCTTGGACCTTGGGTCATCCAGATAGTTTATGCTAATGGTCCTAGTTATGGTGGAAACCTTGGGCTATGCAATATCAGTTTGACCTCTGAAGGAGCTGGAAACTGAGTAAATAAGGTCAGCCACATGAGTTACAGCCATACAGAGTGACTTCTGATTTAATGACTGAAGTCTGGCTCTTAGAATTTTTGCTACTGGCAGCAATTTCAGGAAAACAGAACCTCAAAGAAGAGAATCCGGGATGAGTTCTCTGATCTGAATAGAGTTAAAGAATGTAATGGCCTCACTGCTAGCAAAAAAAAAAAAAAAAAACTTTGTTGGTATACAATGTACGGAGGCTAAATAATTTTTTAATTTCCACTTTTAGTTTCCTGGAATTATGAGCCTATAAGAAAGCTAAGTGTTGAAAGACCATATGACTTCTTCAAGAGAATCTTTGAGCAGAAAGTTTGACAACAACAACGATGGAGCTGGCTGGATATCTAAGACTGAAACTTACGGAAGGATGATCTATAAATTCTCAAGCAAGGAACCAAAAAAGCTTCTATGTTCTGAAAGAACGTTTTATTTCTTGTAGCTGCAGAGCTAAGATTTCTGAGAGCCAAATCTAAAATTGGATCCTATGGGTGACTGGGTAACAATGAAAGCTGAAATCACAGTGAGCCTTGTCAGGCCTCTTTCGTAAAAGTTAAAGTGTTGCCTGGAAAAGAATGGGGACATGAAAATTGGAACAGGGCACTTGGGGAGATTCTAAAGGGGAGGACAGCCCATTATTCTTGAGTGGCAGTTGCAGGCAGATGCTGACCAGATGGTGGATACGAGGCACACAGCAGTGTCTGTGTCTGGCAAGGTCTTGAGGACAACCTACTTCAGTGTTGCTGGCTGAGATTGTAGGTAGTGGGCTTCTTGACCTGCCCTTTCCCTAGCCCATTTGACAGGGATGAAACCTTGAATCTCCTGTATTGAAATACAAAGAACAACTTCCATTTGCCTGAATGAACACTGACCAATACAAGACTAAACATCAGTTACCTAAACAATTAGGAAATTTGTTAATATGAGACACTCACTTTTGAGCAATGTTAAGCAAAAGGGTCATATAGACATGAAAAGTAAGTGATGTCCCTAAACCAAGTAGGAGTGAGTGGATATTAGCGAGTGCTTCCAGCCATGTGCACTATAAATCATATGATAGGGTTCATTCCTATACGTTTAGTGGACAGATACTGAGGAAAGAAATTCTGTCTGAATTATGAACTTTTGCATTTTCTTGTAGACCAAGTTCTTGTCCTAATGCCTGACACACCCGAGTGCTCAGTAAATGTTTATTTAGCATTTGGATTTGCCTGGGCAGGATGAATCCCTCCCTGTCCAGTTACTATTAACAACTTAATAGTCAATAGTTAATATTATCAACAGTAGTCAACAATGTATCATTATCACACTAAAAGTCTCAAAGTCCACCTGTCTCACAAAGACTTTCAGGCTGGGTCATAAATGTGTTTATCTTGTTCGGTGTAAAGCAATTCAACTTCCTCTTCCTATGTGCAAGTGTGCACATTTCTAAACAAGAGAATTTTAAAACTTAGATGTATTCAGTTACAACTTGTTTACCAAAATGTATATGAATGTAATTTGGAACAAGAAGAACATCCTCTTTCTACTGTCAAGATTATTTTTGTTTTAAACATGATATGTCGTGATTTCAAGCTAAGTAGATGTATCAGGGAGGCATACTTTTTTATAGAATTTAGTTTTATATACTAAAATCTAGTACTCCCATCTTAAAGTTTTATTGACTATTTTAAAATTACATTTATGAGACTGCTATATGAAAAATTTCAGTGGCATATTTTGGGTACTAAATTTATTTTACACACACAAAGCCTATCCTGGTGGCATATTTCTTCATCTAGTATATAACATCTAGGAGGATTTTTGCTGCTATTAAAGTTCAAGAAAGAATATAGGCCAGGCGTGGTGGCTCACACCTGTAGTCCCAGCACTTTGGGAGGCCGAGGCGGGCGGATCACCTGAGGTCAGGAGTTCAAGAACAGCCTGGCCAACATGATAAAACCTTGTCTCTACAAAAATACAAAAATTAGCTGGGCATGATGGTGGGTGCCTGTAATCCCAGCTACTCCGGAGGCTGAGGCAGGGTAATCTCTTGAACCTGGGAGGCGGAGGTTGTAGTGAGCTGAGATCGCACCACTGCACTCCAGCCTGGGCAACAGAGCAAAACTCCATCTCAAAAACAAACAAGAATATATAAGAGAAATAACATACCAATCAACATTTCTAGGTACACAACTATAAACGTCTTATAGAAACTAGCAAAATTATGAACTTATGAACTATTAGCCAATAGAGCACTTAGACAAAGTCCTACAAAATAACAGGAAAAGCAAAATAAATGTGACATGTCTAAAACAGTAAAGTAAAATAAAATAAAACCAAATGTGATCTGTATATTTTTTCCTAAAGATGGCATTAACTATTTAATCTCAACATTGTGAATTTACTTCCACTGAGAATAGGAAATTTGAGGGTAGGAACTTTCTCTAGTTCACCACTTTACTCAGAATCTACAATAATATCTGCATAGGCAAGATTCTGGATAATTGAATGAATCTATTTGAATGAACCTAGGCATAGAGAGATGAACAAATGATTTTTTGCCTTTATTTTACCTTGTTTTCTTCCACTCCACCCTCACTTATTGAGGACTGCATTAAAAAAATTAAGTACCCTATGTTTGCTCTAATTACAATTAGCATTTCTCCAACCAAACATCTAATGCTTATTCAGTCTCATCACTTGGATTCTTTCTTACAGGCACCTCAAATTGAATTCGTGGTCCTTCCTTGCTCCTATTCTCTCCCTCCGCTGCCTCATCATTGCTACTACCAATGTGCACAGCCATCATCACCACAATCCACCAGCTATTCAGCCATCTTTCCTTACATCTCCCCTTCCTTACTCCCTAGATCCAGTCACCACCAAGTTCCATGAATTTTATTTCCAAAATCTTTCTCAAATCCATCCACTTTTCTCTGTTTCCATTGTCACTAATCCAAGCCACTCTTTCTCTATCTGGACCTGGCAATAGGCTTTTTACTCATCTCCCTGCATTCCCACCTGCCCCACTCCAATTCATTCTTTGTACCTCAGCCAGGAAGATCTTTTTAGAACTCACACTAGATCAAGTTGGCCTCCTGTTTCAAGCCTTTCAAAACCTAACCCACCTTTCTCAGTGCCAGGACCCTGTTCAACCTCTTTTTATGTCACTGTACCTTCATCCATGACCACTATTGTGCTACATTCACAAAGACAGACAGATATTCAGGATTCAAACTAAGGACATTTAGATAGCCTTAAGGCTTGCGGCCTGGCCAGGAAGGAAGAGCTGAGATGATGCAGACAATAAAGAGATTCGTTTAATTCAATCAAGTGGTGAAGTCACCTGGGTTGAGACTTGCAGACTCAAATCAGACAGAAAAATTAGATAATGCTCAATGTGAATCCGGGACATGTGTATTGGAAGATCACACCATTTGAAAGTCACAGAATAAAAAATAAATGGCTCATATAGGTCAGTGACGAGGACAGAATCATACCTAAGACCAATCCAAAATTATGTGGCCAATGAGCACCCTCAGTGTGCTGGGATAGTTACCTCAATTTGCAAGAAAGACTAACCTTGTAATTCTTGGAATAACCAAAACATGTCCGTGATAGACCCAGGGCCACAACATGCAATTGTGGGGGAGCTGTGCAGCACCCAACTACAAGATGTGCCTCTTTCATACTAGTTAATATGAATGTTGTCTCCAGAGTTGTTTAGGAAACCACCTATGCAGCCATATATAGCCGACTTCATGAATAAGTACCTTTTTCTCCAGGAAGAATATTAACACTTTTGTGTTAAGATCAAGAATAAATATTTATTTTCAACGGTTTAATCTTGATATAGTTACTATTTAAAGCATTTGTAATATTGAAGAGAATTTGGCATATTAGAATAACTAAAAAATTAGACTTGTAAATCAGTAGGAAGCACCTAGCTGACTCACACTGGAAAAGTCTGAGGAAGGTTAGTGAAGGGGTCATGGTAAAGGGTTAACAGTACTCTGAAGCTAGTAACAGTAGCAAGTGCCTCTTCAGGCTTGAAGAGTATGAAGAAGGGGTCATTGCTGAAACCCAGAAGCAGAGAGGACTGTCTGGAGGCCCCCTGAGCAAAACTGCAACTTTTAAAGGTTGCACTCAGCAAGAAGTGATCCTGAAGAGGGAAGCCAGGAAATAAAGACCCAGACCTCACTCTCTCACATGTTTTGCCTGTTCTCATTGACTGAACAGGAACCTGACACCAGAGGACAAAGAGTTCTTCCTGGTGTAATTTATGCATATCAAGACAAAGTGTATGGTGGAAAGGGGTAGAAAGGGAATGTGAACAGGCAAACAGAAAGCAGCCAACCTATTTTGCACCTCAGGATTGGCTCTTGTCCTCCATCTTGTAAAAAGCTTGTACCTCCAAATAGAAAACATGTGAAATATCAGCATATGGTGTTGTTAACTCATGTGTGCCCCCACATGGAATCTAAAACATTTGCCACTATCAATATGCTTCACATTAGTCAGCAGGGAGAGAAAGGGGAGGGGAGAATAAATGAACATAAACAGTAGCTAGTACAGTCCCTGCTTATGCAGCTGCTCACAGACCCAAGGTGGTGATCACAGCTGCCTTCTGTGACCCATTTCATGTTTACCCTACTCTTTGCTAGCACCTTCCCTAAACAGAGTCACTTGCCTGAGGGATTTGCATCTTTGGTGGTCTTTCGATTGGGTTGGCACCGTATTTTCATTGACCACAACTATCAGGCAAAGGAGGCCTACGAGGTAGTCCAATACTATGCATTCCCTAGCACTCTTTCTCCCCATGATAAAACAGTAACATGGTGCCCTTCTGGTAATTGGATACAAGGAGGTAAATGGCCCCTTCTTTCCAAGTCTGAACAGCTAGCCAATCCACTAGCCACTGCTCATGGATCAATATAGAACCAGGTCATTTTTCTTTCCAAAAATTGGACAACTAGACATTCTGCTCAAAATTCCACACAAGAAGTCTTGCCCTCACCTCTGTCTGTCAGGAGCACTGAGAAGCAGTGGTCATCCATTTCTGGCTGGTGCTAACACATATGAATGGCAACACACTTTTCTTTGGCTGTGAATGAGCCACTGGGAACTCCCCTTGAGATAACAGGTAAATGTATTAGTCTGGGTTTTCCAGAGAAACAGAATTAATAGGATATGGATATATATATATACACACACACATATATATATATACAGACACACACATACACACATGTATGTATGTATGGCCCAGAGGAGCCAATGGTATAAAATCCTGGTATAAGGGCAGGAGAAAATGAGATTAAATGTCCCAGCTCAAGCATTTAACCAGAAAAAGGGGCAGGGTGGGGGGCGGGAATTCCCCCTTCCTCTGCCTCTTGTTCTGTTCAGGCCCTCAACAGATTAAATGATGCGTACCCACATTAGGGAGGGCAGTCTACTGAGTCCACAGATTCAAATGCTAATCTCCTCCAGAAACATCCTCACAGACACACTCAGAAATAATGTTTAACCAGACATCTGGACATTCCTTGATCCAGTCAGATTGGTGTATAAAATTAACTATCACAGTCTGCATTTTAAAAAACATGATAAAACAGTAGGAGATACCATAAAAATCTGAATATCTTGTATTTTCAGACTCAGCATCACATAGCTGCTATTTTCATTTATTTAATTTTATTTGTTATTTATTTATTGAGACAGAGTCTCACCCTGTTGCCCAGGCTAAAATGCAGTGGTGCAATGTTGGCTCACTGCAACCTCCACCTCCCAGGTTCTCCTGCCTCAGCCTCCTAAGCGATTCTCCTGCCTCAGCCTCCTAAGTAGCTTCGATTACAGGCATGCACCACCATGCCCAGCTAATTTTTGTATTTTTAGTAGAGATGAGGTCTCACCATGTTGGCCAGGCTGGTCTCAAACTCTTGATCTCAAGTGATCCACCTGCCTCAGTCTCCCAAAGTGCTGGGATTACCAGCATGAGTCACCATGCCCGGCCTCTATTTCCATTTAATAATGAAATGATACAGCACAATTTACCTTTTCATTTTGTTGGATAGATGACAAGTAGTTTCTGAGGAGCAGCTCAAGTTCATAAGATTTCGTGGCCTTAGTCAGATATTCAGTTTCCATCCAAGTCCATAGAAAGTTAGGAGCTGCCTTTCCCATGGAGAGCAGTTGTCTGTAGCAAAGAACAGGCTTTGCTTAAAAGTCCTAGGGTTCCCTCATGGGATTATTCTATTGGGACTTGCCAGAGGCTCCATACAGCATCTCTGATGAAGAATACATTTCTAATACCACTGGGTTGACTCATAATCAGGCCTTAATAGAAAAGCAAGTTCTAATGCAGCCTGGGCCTGCAATAGAGCCTTTTCTTTCCTCTGAGTCCAATCAAAATATCAGACTTAATAGGCAAATGCATCAGACCATGTTCAAAGTGCAGTAAATCAGCCTCTGAAATCCAAAGATGTTCAATAAGCATTATGACTCTTATTTGTGATGGGCAATGAATAGTGCAGACTTACTTCATTTTAGAGGGGATATCCCAATGTGTACCAGACCCCTAGAAAATTCACTGATGTGGTGACCCCTGAACTTTTGCAAGGTTTATCTTCCACCCTATAGTACAAACATGTCTTATAAAGGGTGCTTGCTACTGCTTGTTCACAAGGTCCAATTAACATGTCATCAAGTAATGGGCCAAAATAATAGGGTATGGGCTCTTAGGACAATCGGTGTTCCTCTAGATCACTTAATAGGGACGAGAGAGTTGACACATTCCTAAGTAAAACCATATAGTTAGACTGTTGTCACTACCACATCAAAGCAAATTGCTTCTGATTGTTTTGACTGATACATTTGGAGAATGAAAAGCATTTTCTAGGTTCATATGCCAAAGACTGTATTGATTTGGGATGAAGCTATCCCATCCAAAACACAGCTTTGATAGGCTTCATCCTCTGAGTATGTGTGAGATAGTCTGCTGCCATTCTCCATAATCTGCTTGGCTTTTGCACTAGCCAAACAGGTGAGTTAAATGGGGACATGGTAAGAATCATCATCCCTGTGTCTTTCAGTTTTTTGATGGTGGCACTGATCTCTCTGATTCCCCCAAGGATGTGATATGGTTTTGAATTCCTGTTCTAGTGGGGATGGGGCAGTTCCGGGACCACTACTTGGCCCTTCTAACTGTAACTGTGACTTCATTGGTCGGAGGACCACTGTTGGGATTCTGCCAGATGCTAACCATAGCTATTCCTCTATAGATCCCAAGCCTAGTTTAAAAACTACAAGACAAATTCATAGTCCCACTGGCACCACTGTGAAAGAGACTCCAGTCACAACTCCATTTATTGCCAGACTTCCACAAGAACCTGCACCAATAAGAAGACTCTCAGAGGCTTTTGGGGCCTCCAAGGATTATCATCAATTTGAAGCCAGTATAAAACAACCCCTAGAATTCTAGGTGTCTCCTTTTCTCCAGGGCACAGTCCCCATAGTCAATGGCTGCAGATGCCTCTGGTAACATCTAAAGGAAGATTCAGGTATGCACCTATGGCCACAGTGCAGGGTTTTGCCTCTGAGGAGACTGACCTTCCCCTCAGCCCGGAGGCTTTGTATCTTAACTACTTTAGAACTAGAAACTGGCAAAAATGTTCCATGGATCACCATTATTGCAACTTGAGTTAGATTTCTGTCCACCAGATAAAATTTTTTAAATCTGTTATGTTAAAGAGCATCTGACTAGCTGCCCATTTTGCTTCTAGAAATCCCATGATTAATTGTTATTTATTTTCCAGTGATCCTTTCAGGTAAGAATACTTTATCACTCTGTTCTTGTAGCTTTTAGGGTGGTTGTGCTCATCTTTTCCTCGAAGTTTAAGTGGCACTACCTGGTCTCCACCATTCTGGGGTCCCATTGTTCCCACTGAGCTCAGGAAACCCAATTCCATTGCAGCATCTTTGTCCATTATCTCCAGGCCCATTTGAGTGCAGGCTTCAATTAGTCAACTTAGGAGACAATTATCACCATTCCTGGCTGCTTAATTTTCACATTAAATCCCAAATCCCAGGTGAGAGTTCCCATGTTAATATATTCTGTCTCATCAAGCTTTAAGTTTTATTCTCTTTGGTCTAATGCCCTTGAAATCCACTCCCAAATATGCTCCCCAGACTCTTGCTGATACAGACTCATAAGTACTTGTAATTTTTTAGTATATAATCTCCTTCCTCCCAGAATAGGCCTATGTTTCACCATTTGGGATATAGTGAAATCTAACTCTCATCATGGGCCTACGGAGTGATGGAGGTGAATCAGCATCATCTTGCTAGGCAATTATTTGTAGACTATAATTATACAGGGGAAGGCTATTTCCCTCAGATGGGAGTTGGGGAGGCTGCCTCTGCTAGTAAGGGAGATTTGGGGAGATCCAATGGTATGAAGTTCTCAGTTTCATCTACGTAAATTTAAATCTCTTTTCTTCCCTTCCCTTCACTTCCCTTGATGTAAGAGGCCTGTCAGATCTGAGCATGTGTTGGCATTTCAATTCTGCAACCTTTATAACTGGGTCTGGTTCTTAGTCCTCAGCCCTATCTACCCTGCAATTACAGGAGATAAGGGACTTCTTCAAAGGTCCATGAGGCTTTCTGATTTTCCATGCATGCTCTCAACTAGATAGTCACAGTTTTCCATTTCTCCTTTTACAACTAGGTTCACTTGCTGGGTTACCAGAAGAAGCCAACAGATGCCTCATAGTGACCTAATGTAACAGCCACTTGATCTTTCAGCACATCAGCTTCCGCCTACATTTCATCTCACTCGTGTTCATTTAAATAAGCATGTGCCATCACATGTTCTGTTTCATTTCACTCCAATAAGGAGATCCTTAAATATATGAGCAACCTAACCCCACAATCGTATTTGAAGGTCTATTTCCTGAGGGTCACTCTTTGTAGCAATTGCTGTATTAGTCAAGGTTCTGGCAGGAAACAAAGGGCAGAATAGAATAATTTGAGGACAGCTTAATAAATAGACTATTGATAATGGTGTGGCTGTGGTGTATGGAACTCAAAAGGATTTGTATAATACTGTAAGGCTAATAATAGAGGAGTCCTGTAATCTTTGAGCCTGCAAAAGCAGCCAAGGGACAGAGAAGGCTTTGTGGAGAGTTCCTCTGATGTGATGATCTGAGATCCTAAGTTGAGGGACCTTCAGTTGAGGAAGTCAGCTAGAAGTCACTCTGTAGAGAGAGCTCTATCTGGGGAAATATGTACTCAGACCTTATTCTTCTCTCTAGAGCTGCTCTCCAACAGGTACACTCCATTAGTCAAACCTAACCAGAAGCCAGAGGACGTGGCCGCCTAATGATGTAGACCATGCCAGGCAGCTTCCTCAGGCACAGAGCAAGGAAGAAAATGGGCCAACTATTGACCAACCACAACCTGGAATTTCTATATAAAATCTATGGTTGAATCATTAATTTTAGATTTATAATTTTAGTTGAACAATGACCATTAGGCTAAGTTTTAGACAGTTTTGGAAATTTAAGGTGAATTTGAGATTCACCTTTATCTGTGAGCTTACTTTGTCAAGAAATAGTTAAATTCCTAAGCAGGTTTCCATTGTTGAGATATGCGGTTATGTTACTTACAGGGCAACATGGAATAAATGAAATTTATAACTGCAGTTCAATAATTTAGGGTATTTCAGTCTTTAGGCCTTTGAGGAATTGCCACACTGTCTTCCACAATGGCTGAACTAATTTATACTCTCACCAACAGTGTATAAGCATTCCTTTTTCTCCACAACCTTGCCAGCATCTGTTATTTTCTAACTTTTTAGTAATAGCCATTCTGACTGGTGTGAGATGGTATCACATTGTGGTTTTGATTTGCATTTCTCTAACGATCAGTGATGTTGAGTTTTTCTTCATATGATTCTTAGCTGCATGTATGTCTTCTTTTGAAAAGTTTCTGTTCATGTCCTTTGCCCACTTCTTAATGGAGCCGTTTGTTTTTTTTTCTTGTAAATTTGTTTAAGTACCATTCTACTCTCTCAATTCCATTACTGAGTATATACCCAAAGGAATATAAATCATTGTACTATAAAGACACATGCACATGTATTCCTCATTGCAGCACTATTCACAATAGCAAAGACATGGAATTAACCTAAATACCCATCCATGATAGACAGGATATATACCGTGGAATACTATGCAGCCATAAAAAACGAGATCATGTTTTTTGCAGGAACACAGATGGAACTAGAGGCCATTATCCTTAGCAAACTAACACAGGAACAGAATACCAAATACCACATGTTCTTACTTATAAGTGGGAGCTGAATGATAAGAATTCACGGACACATAGAGGGGGACAACACACACTGGGGCCTTTTGGAGGGTGGAGGGTGGGAGGAGGGAGAGGATCAGGAAAAATAACTAATGGATACTAGCATTAATACCTAGGTGATGAAATAATCCGTACAACAAATCCCCATGACACAAATTCACCTATGTAACAAACCTGCACTTTTACCCCTGAACTTAAAAAATAAATATAAATTGGTGGTGTTTATTTAAAGTATTTAAAAGCCTCTCTAAAGTAGTAGTTTAAATTCATCAGACTTATATGTTGAATAATAAGATTTTTAAGTTGATCATAACATTAATAGAAAAACTGAATTTTCAAATGCTAAATTTAGCAAACTGCGTACAATTTTTTTTTTTTTTTTTTGAGATGGCATCTCGCTCTGCTGCCCAGGCTGGAATGCAGTGGTACGATCTTGGCTCACTGCAACCTCTGCCTCCTGGGTTCAAGCAATTCTCCTGCCTCAGCCTCCGAATAGCTGGGATTACAGGTGCCCACTACCACGCCTGGCTAATTTTTGTATTTTTAGTAGAGACTGGGTTTTGCTATGTTGGGCAGGCTGGTCTCGAACTCCTGACCTCAAGTGATCCACCTGCTTCGGCCTCCCAAAGTGCTGGGATTACAGACATGAGCCACCACACCCAGCTGCATACCAATTTTAAAATAAATGCCAAAAAAAGTTTTTCTGTTCCTAAAGGACATCAAATAAATCACACTGCCTTGCACCACTACCCAGTCTTCTTTCAGTCCTTCAAGAGCTTCATGCTTTTGGGCTTCTGACTTCTCACCATTGGGTCTCCACTGCATGGACACTCTCCACACTCCTCTTCATGAGGCCAGTGAGTCTTGTTCAGGTCTCAGGGTAAATATCTCTTCCTCAGAGGAGCCCTGGGACCACGTCAGGTTCCCCAATATGATGCTCAACCATTAGAGTTAATTGTTAGGTTGGTTAAAAAAAAAAAAAAGTAATTGCCATTACTTTAAAAAAAAAAAAAAATGGCAAAAACTGCAATTACTTTTGCACCAACCTAATATTCTTGAGTAACTATTCTTTCCATTAGAGTGTAAGTTTCATGAGAGACTTTGTCTTGTTTTTAGCAAAATGCCTGGAATACAGCAGTACGTACTCAAAAATGTGTGTCAAGTACCCAAATTCCATTATGATAAGACATTTGAAATAACTAAAGAATTGATATTGAAGTAGTGAGTTAAATCAATTAAAATTGTCAAAATTGTATGTACACGTGTAATTGGAAGGGAAGGTAATAATTAAGAAACTGATTTTCAAATATAATCAATTAACTATTGATGGTTATTGATGATGAATTATCAAATTCTGAAATCATTTAGTAAAGTTTATTGTAAAGTCACTTCAAAGGTTTTCTTAGTGGACTCTGGATTTTAATAGCAGATGCTAAATAGAAACCCCACCTCGTTGCAGTTTCATTGAAATTTGTATTAAGCATTTGCTAGAGATCTTAGACAACTAACTACTACAGTCTCCAGTCCTAAATTCAAACACCATGTATCAGCAAAAGACATTGCTTTTTGCCAAGAGCCATTATAAAATACTTGCACAAAGCAAACAGTAGAAACAACACAGTTTTGGAAATGTTATAAGCAAAATTGACCAAACAGAACACATATGAGTCTAAAAACAGGAAGCTTATCAGAGTTGTTCTCATAGAAGAAAATAACGTACTAATACATCACTATTTAAACTACAGTAGCTAAAGTAACACTCTTTAAGCAATGAGAACAAGTACAAATGCGGGTACTTTAAAAATGACATAAGAGCTCAGGTGAGCCAGAATTGTCTCTAAGCGTTAATCAGATCATGTCATTCCCCTTGTTAAAGCCCTCCAACATGTCCCTCTACACTTAGAACAAAACTCAAACACTTTAGGATGAACTTCAAAGCTCAACATGTTGTATTCCTTGTCAAACCCTTGACTTTCCTCCCTGCCCCTTGCCTACTGAGACAGTATCCTTTCTGTTCTGGAATATGGCAAGCTCATTCCTACTTTATAGTTTTGCACCAAGTGCTCTGTTTGCCTGGAATGCCCTTCCAGTAAATCTTCACATGGCTGGCTCTTTCTCGTTGATCAGAAATTTTATCAAATATCACCCTCTCAAAAGCGACCTCCATGAATACCCAATCTTAAGGAACCCCTCCAAACCTCTGCTCTTTAATTTCACATCAACCTATAAAGCAGCTATAGCTGTATTTATAATATAAACTCCATGAGATTACAGGACTTTTCAGTTGTATTCACCTAGGGCCTAGAATACCTGGGTACCTGGCTCTTAACAGATATTCAATCAACATGTGTTGCATATATGAATGACTAAGTCAAGCAATGCATAGCCCAGTCTGTTCTTGAACTCAATAGTTCCAGCAGTGCCTCCTGGCTTCCATTTCCTCAGACTTTCCAATAATTTTTAAGTACCTTATATCCTGTCTTAATCTCTTTCTGTAAATACCTAAGCTGATTACTGTTACAGCAGGTATTTACCTGCTGTAAATACCTAGGCTGATTACTGTTGCCTGCACTAAACACAGGGTTTACCAGAAGCAGTTGCAAGGACTAGACTCTCAAGGATAGAAATGTGGAATTAGTTGTCAGATCTCATTGGATTGGAAGACAGGGATTGTCTGGATACCATGAAAAATGAGACATCTGTAGTCCATAAGTTTGCAAGATGGTTGCTTAAATTATATCACCTGTGGTTCCTTAGGATGAAGTGCCTATTGCCAGCATGGCTTTACCAGATTATCTAGCAATTAAAGTGGAAATGGGGAATACAACAACCATCCTAAAGAGCTTAGAAAGAAGACAACAAGCTAAGGTTTTTCATTTTCATTTTAAAACATGGTCAGAAAACCAGAGATCTCCTCCTTTGACTGGTCTCAACAAATCTTTTATAACCATAGGGCTGTGTACCCAAAAATCAATCAGCATATGATCCTGAAGGGTACAGAATTAGAATTTCAGTTTAACTTGGAGGCTCATTAGGCTCTTTCCGTGAAATATAAAGAGATTGATTGGGAAAACTAAAGCTGAAGAACTGGAATAGGATCGCTGGCTGGATTTAGATGACTCTGAGCACTTGGAACTCCCCAAACTTCCTAAGTCTCCTTTAGCAGTTGCATTAGTTATTTACTGATGCACAACAAATTACCCCAAAACTCTGTGGCTTGAAACAACAAGCACTCATTATCTCGTGGTTTCTGAGGGTTGGGAATCTGGGCCCAGCATAGCTGGGTGCTTCTGACTCAGGGTCTCTTGCAAGGTGGCCATCAAGCTGTAGCTGGGGCTATAGTCATCTCAAGTTTCAGCTGGTGAAGGATTCACTTCCCAACTCACAAGGCTATTGGCAGGCCTTGGGTCTTCACCGTCTGTTAATCAGATATAATCAGTTTCTTGCTACATGGATCTCTCCCAAAGGAAACTCACAACATGGCAGCTGGCTTCCCCTAGAACAAGGGAGCGAAAGAGCCAGAGAGGATGTCCAAGACAGAAGTCACAATCTCTTTTTAACCTAATCTCAGAAATGACATTCCATCACTTTTTCCATATTTTATTTATTATAAGTGAGTCACTAGGCCCAGCCCACACACAAGGAGAGGGTGTAAATACCAGGAGGTGGGGATTACTGGGGGCTTCCTCAAAAGCAGCTTGGCATGGCAACAGAAGTGGTCTCTCCTCTCTTTGCTGTGGTTACTCCTGCCTCGCTTGAAGACATTGTAAGAACCTCATGTGACTTTGCTAAGTTAAATTAGGGAGGCTAAGGCAGAGAAGACAAAATTAGGGGAAAGGCGTGGAGGTGAGGTCATGAGATCCCTTGAGATCTAATCTTAAAAGGCCTTCAAGATCAACTTGTTAGTACTGGACCCTGGTTTCAAAGCAGTATGAGTCTATTTTTTTTGAAAATATGATATAAATCCAGTTTTAAGTATGTACTTATTTATATGAAACAAATTTTTTTATAAAATAATGTCAAGTTTATTATTGCTATTTCCCTTCTAGTAAATTGACAGAACAGTGACAGACATAGTACAAGCTTCTTGTGTACCAAAATGACGACTGCAGTTTAGGCTAACAGTAGTGTCCCCTAGGACATCTGAACAACTTCCCAGCTATATTTAGCCATGCAAAAGCAATGTCATCTTCTTAACTACTATTCAAGTGTCTTTGGCCATGGATGTATTTTTTAAGCTAATTCTACCAGAAAAATATAATATTGGCTGGGGATAGTTCATTTCTCTCCTTATCTGTATTCAATGGAACTATGCTTAAATTATAACACATGTGATTTGGGGTAAAAATTAGGAGGAATATGCTGATGAAATAAGGTATAAAACATAGGGAAATGCTACAAATCAGCTTCTGTAATCATTTCTTCTGTAAAGTTTTAGGAACATGATGGATGGCTTGTTACAATTGACCTAAGCCAATCTAACCACTTCACCATAGTCAGTTTCTCTTTGGTGACTCTGGACGCCTCCAAATATTAGAAGTAGGTGAGAGCTATTATCTCCTCCCTTATATCTTTGCTACCAGGTACACTATAATGAAAGCAAGGCTTAGACTTAATTCTGCTCCATGTACAAACATTTATTGTCAGATTCTTACACCCTATTCACGTAAGAGCTAAGATGCCTGTACAATATTTCCAGCCAACTACATGTCTCAGAAGCTTTCAGATCGCCAAAGAAATACTGTTAAATATCACTATGCTAATTAACAAACTCTATTGCAGATTTAGATAGCAATATTTGAAATGCTGTAGTCAGCCATTTCTCTAGTGTGGATTTCTGGATAGTCTTTTAAATGCTAATTAACCACTTATGGAGTTGGGATTTCTGGTCAGAAATACTCTGACTTACACACTGAAGTGTTTTCAATAAATTACCATCGATTTAACAAAGCCTCAGCCTAAAATTAACTAAATAAATCCTGCTTGAGAAAAGAAAGTTTGACTAGTTGACATCCTGTGGTCTCCCTCTTCTTGTCTGGTGATTCTTGACTGCCTTACAACCTAGACTTGGGCAGTTTCCAGAAAGAGCTTTACATTGTCATCTTAAGAAGCCTGATAAAAGTAGCAATTTTAAGTCCGGCCATCAGAGGTCAGTAAACCCCAGCTTATTCAGTATTTTCCTTTTGAAAACTTTTTCTAAAACAAGAAGAGTTATAAATTAATTAACATGCATTATTAGGAGAGTTTTCCCTCAATCTTTAAAGAAGTAAAAGAATAACAATTCTCAAAAGAAACCTAATGTGCTCAGCTCATGAGTAGAAGACATCCCTCACTGCCCCCCATCTTACATAGAAATAGCTTAAAATTTAAGGTCTCCAAAAGCTCCAATAGAGTAAGCCTAGATTTGAAACAGGGAGCCAACCATCATCATTTCCATTTGCAGGAAAAAAGAAAAAAAACAAACTAAAGCTTTTAAAAGAATGTAGATTTCTAAGCTAAAATATAATTCCTGTTATTTGTATATGTTACATTAGGTTCTCAACTTTTAGTTATTTTAATTTCGCAGTGATCTGTGAGGTGTATAGGGAGGTGTTATTATCTTCATAGACTAGGAAAGCAACACACAACACTGTGTAACTAGCCTGAGTCTAGTTTCTGACCCATAGCTTTCAATATATTTACCTTCTCTAGACTAAACACATACTTATAATAAAGATACTTTATATCTTTATTATACCACACATGTGCTTATTTATGTCTTTTGGCCCAATGACAGTGACATTGTAACCTCCTTTGAGGCAGCAATCCAGTGTCTTCTCTATCCCTTCACCATGACTTGAGTACAGTTAATCAGAAAATTGAATTTGCTAACCAAATAACTAAATTGAATTTGTCTGGTTTTTTTAGCCTTCCTGTACACTCTGTAGAACACACACACACACACACACACACACACACACACACACACACACACACACACACGAGCACAATGGTGGGCATCCACTGCAACCTGGAGAAAGGCCTACTTGCATTTAAATGAAGCCTAAACAACATCAAAGAAACCCACCTATTATATTCTAGGCCACAGCCAGGCATTTTCATGGACTAGAATAGATCTTCAAACAAGTTGATTTTGTACTCCAGCAACAGAAACACACAAGCACTCATCCCTAATATACAGATACTTTTTATAAATTACAAATATGTATATGTGTTAATATTGACTGAAAATAGAAAATGGATATTATGAAACGAAGATGAAATTTAAATGTATTTAAATAATTATATATTTTATTTCCTTTATAATGGCACAGAAATATTTTTGATTGCTGCATTATAATATTTTGTGATTTCAGTATGATTGAACATTTATGTCCATGTTCATAATTTACTTATAAATAAGTAGGAACATTTTGAAACATACAAGAATAGAATTTTAAAAGAGCTAAAGATGTGATAAAAATATTTTATATAATTGTGTATCTTCTTTTAATGCCTCAAAAACACCTTTCTTGTTTTCCTATTATTTTTTCTTGGCTTACTGTAATTTAAAGGTCTAAATCTTTGTTGAATTTACTTGGATGCTCGGACTCTTGGTTTTAATGGGTATAATAGTTAGAAAAAGTAACTCCAGAGAAATATGTTATAATCTGTGCATTCCCCTATATTTCAAATAGTGTGTTTAATAATTTTAAATTTTTTAATATAAGATTAGATTGTCATTGTTTTGAATTTCATAATTTGGAGGAAAAAGTTCTAGTAAAAAAGTTCGAGTAAAAAAGTGTCAGCGCTACCATTTTCTCACAGATCAGCTATGCTTGCACTATTAGTATTATAGTTGCTTTGTAGGAATCCTTTTAAGCCACTGGTCCATTGAAAAAGATTGTTTTTGTTAAAGTAGATAAAATAATGCATACATCCACTGTACTGGGAACATGTCATCTGTCATGTGTCTCGACACACTACAAATGAAGGAAGAAAGGAGTAAGGCAGCTACTGTGAGCCCGCCTCCCTATGGGCTTCCACTGGGCTCTAAAAAAAAAAACCCTAAACCTCCACAATTAGTGGGTTAAATTTCATCAATAGGAGGCAGTCAGCCCAGGCTTGAAAGCAGAAGGGAGAAGGAACTCAGATCCTTGCTCCTCAGCAGTGAGGGCAGGTGTCCAGGTTCCCGCAGCTGGGAGGCTCTGCAGCAGCCTCCAGACGTTCCCCATCCAAGCAGGCTGGGGGGGTTTCCTGCAACTCGCTGAATCAGTGGCACACCTAAACACTAGTGTCAGGTTTTTTCCTGCAACTTGCTGAATCAGTGGCACAATTAAACACTAGTGTCAGCTTTCTCTGACCTTCGCTACTCCTGTCCCTTTTGTAAACACCTACCTGAAATCAAACCCCTCCTGCTTGAATCAACCCAGTAGTGTCTCTCTTCCTGACAGAATCATGACTCTATGTAAGGTTAAAGTCCCTTTTAAGGACCACCATGTTCATTCCTGCTTGACTTCCTCTCTGACCCAGATGTAAATATTGTCATCATTTTAGTGTCTGTCCTTTTAGATTGTATATATACATAAATAGACACAAATACAGATGGTATCTTATATTTTTTAGTATTTTTTCTAAAACACAATGGTATTACTGTGAGTGTTCTGTTTATCTATTGGTGCATAACAAACCACACAAAAACTTACTGCTGTAAAAAGCCTGACATTTCTTATGCTCACAATTCTGTGAGTCAAAAATTAGGGCAAGGCACAGTAGGAACAGTGTGGCTGCTCCACAATGTCTGGAACTTCAGCTGGGTGGTTCAAAAGGATAAGGATGGCTGCGATTGATTGACTGGGGCCATATGTCCAGGACCTTGGCTATCCTCTACATGGCATCTGCTGGGACCATAATGTCCAGGATGCAGCCTCACTCACATGCCTGTTGCCTGGGCTGGGGTGACATAAATGGCTGGAACAGCCAAGGTTGGCTGTCATCTCCTCTCCACATGACATTCTCAGGACAACAGAACTTCTTACAGAGCAGATGACTTCCCCCTAGAGCAAGAGTTGCAATAATGTGTTCCAAGAGACCCAGGTGGAACCTGCAAAGCTTCTTAAGACCCAGAATGACTTCTGCCACACTTTTCTGGTCCAGGAATTCATTGAAACAAGCCCAGATTCAAGGGAAGGATAGAAATAGATGTAACCTCTTGATGGGGGAAATGACAAGGGAAAGGATTAATGGTGCCACTCTGGAGACAAGTTATCACAATGAATACCATTCTGTAACTAGGTTTCACACTCAGCAATAAGTCTCGGTGATCTGCCAAGCTAGTCCATACAGATCTACCTCATTTCTTCTCATTCTTGTGTAATATTTACTAAGATTTTTCCACAATTTATTTGGACACTTTCTCCTTTATGGACGTATACATGGTTATCATTTTTCTGTTTTAAAATCATTCTTGACCATATTTATTTTTGTTTATGTTCCAGTATTTCTCAGGTTAATACTGAGAAGTAAAATTATATTTTTAGCATCAAAGAATAAGAGCATATTTAATTAAGAGCACTACCCAATTACCTTCTAAACTGGCTCATCCAGTTTGTATTACACCATGACTGTATAAGCACTAGTTTCCCTAGTAATCACTTGACACTACCAAACTTTTGAAATGCATGCCAATTTGATTGGTGAAAAATGATACCTTGGTTTTTTATTGATTTTTATTTCCCCTATATGGTGAATGCATATTCATCACTGGGTTCGTTCTTCTGAGTTGCATGTTCATGTCTTTTGCCCAGTTTTTCATTATCATTTTTTATGTTTCTATTTGTTTATAGAAACTATTTTCTACTCTGGATTCTAATCTTCTTATTGTTACTTATTCAGAGCAAGTTTTGATGGAAGCCAGCACCCTAGCTACCTGGTTGAAACGTAAATGAAGAGCGGGGCTCTGAGCTATGAGGTTTGGGTCTTCGAGTCACTGCACCTACTTCTCAATTTAGCCAAAGTTGTATTCTAGAGTAAATCAGGATCCCAAAGATTCCCCAGGCAAAATTATATCCATGAGGTTACAAATCATGCCTTTGACAGTGTTTTTCAAAATTTGGTTCTCAATCAATGCCTCAGAATCATGTGGATTCTTGTGAAAAATATAGATATCTGGGCAATGCCCCAGGTCTACCACATCAGAATTTCATGGAGTGGAGCCTAGTAATCTGCATTTTAACTAGCTATTTACTATTCACCACTAAAATTTGAAAATCACTACCCCGATTACAAGTCAGCAAGTTATACTAAGAGAGGAGGAAAGCGGGAGGTGGAATATTGTATCCCCTCCCTGGTTTGCTCTTGGAAGGAAAAATAGAACCAAAATAACACAGAATCTGAGAGCTAGAGGCATTTCAGAGGTCACCTAACCCAGTGGTTCTTAAACCTGTCTGGCATCGCCATCACTTGGAGAAATTTACTTAGACCAATAAAGTCAGGATCTCTGGAGGTTGGATCAGACACCAGCATTCGTAAAATGCTATGCTATATGTCATGCACCTCAGTCAAGAACTACTAGCCTAATTCAAACCCCTTACTTTACAGAAAAGGAAACGGGCCACGTGAGTTGCCATCACTTGTCTCTTTATTTGTCTCATGGATTCTAGTTGGCAAGAACTTAGGTTTCCTGACCAGCTGTCCCGTGCTATCTCTAATATTTAACAATTTCTCCAGAAGGGCTGAAATTGCTTGGAAAGGGTTAGTGCTGAGAATACTCACTCTGAGAGTAAGGTGTTTTCACAATATGGGTGCATGTTCTTTCCTAAAACTCAATTCTGTACTTAGTGTCTGAAGGAAAAAGCTTCCACATCTGTGCCTATAACAGTATTAGACAGGAAGCACAGCTATAATTACACAATAAGCTCTTTCCTCAAGCGGTTTTAAGAACCAAACATTCCATGCTTATACATCAGCCACTGATCAGGATCTGGGTATTTGTATTAATTTTACAGCCTCAAACTACTATGTTCTCAGAGACAGGAAGTGACATAAAAAGTAATCAGGCATTACAATTTTCATTTATTCTTTGTTCTTTTTTTTTTTTCATTTTTTACTTTCCCTTTTCTCTGTGTTTTGTTTGTTTTGTTTTGTTTTGAGATGGAGTTTCGCTGTTGTTGCCCAGGCTGGAGTGCAATGGCGCGATCTTGGCTCATCGCAACTTCTGCCTCCCGGGTTCAAACGACTCTCCTGCCTCAGCCTCCCAAGTAGCTGGGATTACAGGCATGTGCCACTACACCCAGCTAATTTTGTATTTTTAGTAGAGATGGGATTTCTCCATGTTGGTCAGGCTGGTCTCGAAATCCCGATCTCAGGTGATCTGCCCACCTGGGCCTCCCAAAGTGCTGGGATTACAGGCATAAGCCACCACGCCCGGCCTGTGTTCTTATTTTATATTACAAGATTTCTTATTTGTATTATAAGATACATACCCTAAAACATATCTTTAAAAAGCCCTGCACAGCAGAGGCACATAAGCCTAGGTTTGGGAAGCAGAAGTCTTCATTCTAATCCTTACTGTGTTCTAGTTGTGGGAGACAAGACAATTAGTTCACTTACCCTCCCATCTTCTTTTCTATTCTGCAAGATGGATAAGATAATTCATGCCCTGTTCATCTCACAAGATCATAGTGAGGTGAGATTTGTCAAAGTATTTTATAAACACAAGTATTTTATAAACAAAGTATTTTATAAACACAAAGTATTTTATAAAGCATCCTCTATGCTTTTTCATGATGTACTTATGAGAGGGTAGATTTTGGTTTAAGACACATCCATTGGAAGCTACATCCAAAGGAGTTTCCTAAAATTGTCTCCTTCAGGAGCTATGCTAGGTCTCATCTTTAAAGTTTCCCCAAAGGCAGAATTGCAGAGAGGCTACGCAAAACTGGGAAAGGAAAATTCTTGAAGAATATACAAATAGTCAAAAAGTCTTTCTTGATGCCTGATAGTTCCATACCTAAATAATTACCATTCTGCAGTGGACTGAATGTTTGTCCCCACCAAAATTCATATGTTGAAATCCTCACCCCAAGGTGACGGTGTCAGTAGGTGAGGCCTTTGGGAGGTGATTAGATCATGAGGGTAGAGCCCTCATGAATGGGATTAGTGCCCTTAGAAATGAGACCCAAGAGAGCTATCTTACCACTTCTGCTCTGTGAGGACACAGTGGGAGACGGACATTTGTGAGCCAGAAAACAGGTCCTTACCAGCCAGCAACTTGATCTTATACTTCCCAGCCTCCAGTACTGTGAGAAATGAATTTTGTTTGTTTGTTTAAAAGCCACCCAGTCTACGGTAATTTGTTATAGCAGTCTGGCTGGACTACGACACATTCTTAAATTCTACACCTTTTCCCCTAGTCTTAACAGCCTAAATTTTTGTTTCTGTAACTCTGCCTTGACATCTCATGTTTTAGTTTTTTCTTTAACCCTGGGCCATACACAACATACACAAAAACACTATGCAGAAGGAAATTAGAACTCAAAAGAAATCAATACCTAAGATGTTTATTTTTAAATTTTAAAGTGGTAACAAAATGGCATTTATCAAATAGGGTGTTATTCCTATACATGGCAAGAACTCTTGTTAGCTTTTTGTACTTTGAGGGGTAGAATGAAAAAGTACATACTTTTACTGATTATGAAGGTAGTCTGAGTTTATAGAAAAAGAGAAGAAACTAGGGAAAGAAAATAATATAATTCTTATATAATTTTTATTAATATCATTTATCAAGGGTTGTGTTTAACATTTTAATATATTTTCTTCCAGACAGCTTTCTATAGAAACAAATAGACTTGCATATATGTTTTACAAGTTGGATGAAATTGTATATATAGTATTAGATCTTCATTTTTTTAATTTAGCATTTTTATTATGATTATAGTTTTATACCCTTAATTATTCTTCACAGTCATGATTTTAACTGTTTTTATCTTACTTCATTGTATGGAGGAATTGTGATGTAATTTTTTTCTCCAGGTGTTGGACACATTAACATAACAATAACTGCCACGTATGGAGCATTTAGTGCCTGTGATTGTGGTAATAACTTTAGTTACATTATCTTTTTATTCTCACAGCTAGGTTGAATCATATGAATTATCCAGTATTTGACTGGTTTTGACTTACGAAAGTGGTAATTTCATGTGATTCAACCTCATACATATTACCATTATACAGATACCAAGTTTTAGAGGTTACTTGCCTGCCCAGGTTGCACAGCATGTGGGGAGCTGGGGTGTGAACCCACATCTGTCTGATTCCAAGTCCTTAATCTTAACCACCACTATGCTATTACAAGTTATTGAATTGAGGTTGTCAAAATTTTTTTTTAATGAATGCTCTCCCTTCTGTTCCTATTAACATACCCCTTTCCAATTAAAATAATGTTGCTTTAACTTCTTTAAATATATAACACCATGATGATCAGAAAGATTTCTTCTTTTCCTGTTTGTTTATCTAATACTTCTGTCCTTTATTAGAAATCTACCCTATTTAAACAAATTAAATTACATCAAAGTCTAACCACGGGAACATTGCAGAGCACTTCACTTTCTCTAGGTTCAAGACGCTCCCTCTTTATTCTTTTATTCTCTGACCTAACTCTTCAGATTACACATGTGGGTCACTTATTTTTCCCATGATAATGCTATAGGGTTGGGCATAATTCCATACAGTCTTCCTATGTACAGCCAAGACCAGAGAAGTAAGGATAATGAAAAGTCACTCGTTAAGCATGTACTATGGGCCATTTGTAATGCAAAGTACTTCACACATTATATTGCATTCTCACTGTAATCCTATGGAATATAACTTATCCTCATTTTACTGATGAGAAAACTGAAAATTAGATGTATCCATTTGCTTGCAGGTACACAAGAAGAGACAGAGCTAGGATTTTAATCTGGGTCGGACTCCTGGGCAGATACCGGTTTTGTACAATAATATTGGACATAAATATTCATTTCTCTCAGAAAACGGAAACCAAATCATGCATGTTGAGTTTCAATCATCTTCTAAACACATCTTAAACATCCTGAATTCTTGCTTGGATGTTTCTCTCTCAGCACAGAAAAATGTCTTCTTCCGCTGACCTCCACACTTTTCTGGCTCAGGCTCCCCATCTACCAGTTCTTTTGCTAGACTAAGTGTGTAACTTTAATTCACTGAGCCTTGATTTGCTCGTCTACAAAAATAGATCCAATTCAGCTTCAAAACTCTACAAGTCTGTGTGTAAGAAAGAAGAAGACACAGCATCCGTTAGACAAAAGGAAACAGGATAACCATATCAGTAGTTTGTAAATTACAGCATTTTTCTTACCATTTTCTTCTATGCTAAGAAAAAGCACAAACTCACTGAATATAATCTATTGCAGGGTCATCTGTAAATGCATAAGGTCAAGGTGAAATAAGATGAAATTTGTAATATAGAACTGAAAAATATGCACCGTATCTATAAGGAAACTACCGCCCACATTGGTTGTTATCGCTTTTGTTTTTGTTTGGTGGATGGTGGGAGGGTTGTTTTTGTTGTCATTTTGTGTCAAAGAACACTTGTTCTGGAAGAAGATAAACTTGAATTCTGGAATCAGATCCAGCCTATTTTTTAATCTCATATGATCCATGATATCCCTTGTTTTTCAATACATTTTGAAAAAAAATTTCTGGTATTGTCATTTAATTAAACCACCTTTTCCTTCTATAGCTATGGGAAAGTAAATTTTAAGTGGCATACTTTTACACAGTTCATAATTATTTTATTATACAGTTTGTGAATCAAAGCACTGTGCTTTAAAGAAAATCTATTTATATTTATGAAATTCCCATTTCTCTCTAAAATAACAAAATGTTGTGATATCCAGGAAAACTATCTTCTCATCATATAAAAAAGGATGGGAGGAGAGTAAGAGTCTTCTATTGTACATAAATATTCTCACAGAACAGCCTCTAGCTACCTCCACTGTCAGAGCTACCACTTAAACCTTGATAGCTATGAGGCTACCCTATCTAAAAAATAATGGAAACAAGGGTTGAAGAAGATGGAAAATGTAGTCTTCTTGCATCTTAGGATGGCTAGAATATTGCCTCTTAAATAGAAGAAAACATGTTATAAAAGGGATGTAGCAGCTGATTGCTTGATCTCTTAACCTTCTGACATTTCATTTTGGAAAAATAAAATTTATGCCACAAGTGCAAGGCTCAGCTAACAGAGTAGTAATGACATGGAGAAAAACGAAAACTGTGGAGTATTTATTGGGCAGAAAGTAACAGAATAAAAGAGCCAAATACAGCATCATTTTAAAGGAACAGTTCTTAAAATAATAAGTTTTAAAGGGCCTCGTGGCATAAAGAATGTGTTAAATTCCCCTGCACAGTCATTACATCAAGCTGAAAGCCAAAAACCTTTCTTGTTGAATGAGAATATTTATGTTTGGTTTGTGGTTAATCAATATAATCGGACGTATAACCAAAAAATATACTATTTTTATTTATTTATTTATTTATTTTGAGATGGAGTCTTGCTCTGTCACCAGGCTGGAGTGCAGTGGCGTGATCTCGGCTCACTGCAACCTCCACCTCCCGAGTTCAAGTGATTCTCCTGCCTCAGCCTCCCAAGTAGCTGGGATTACAGGTGCGCACCACCACGCCTGGCTAATTTTTTTGTATCTTTAGTAGAGACGGGTTTTCACCATGTTGGCCAGGCTGGTCTCGAACTTCTGATCTCATGATCTGCCCACCTCAGCCTCCCAAAGTGCTGGGATTACAGGCGTGAGCCACCGCGCCTGGCCCAAATGTTTTTATGAGCGAGAAGGAAATAGGAAGAAGGATCCTTGGAAAACCAACATGATAGAGGAGAACATAACTGCATATTTCCAAACAGCATCTGAGGGCTTAAAAGGAAAGATACAGATTATCAACCATAAGGGCTGCCCATCTACAGTGACAGGCTTCTGGGAAAGCAGGCTTTTGGCTTGGGTGGTAATGCTGGTTATTCTGTGATACAGTTCATTCAAGTAGAATGGAAGGACCCTCATTTAGGAACTTAAGTGCATCTCATTAAAGATAAGTGATAATGAAAAAAGTGAAGACATTTGCATTTGAGCCATTTTAAGACAGGCTAAGATTACAACCTGAAGGGCAAGAAGAGTGTGAGTTATATGAGTGATACAGCACCTAAAGGAGCATCCAAGGTCAAAACTCCAGAGAAGCAAAAACCTTCTGTAAGGAACAAGAGGGCTTTCCAGGGACCCTTCATCTGAACTGTTTGCTTCATGAGGAATGGTGTGGTCCAGTGGAAAGTGTATCTCCTTGAGAGTCACACAGACCTGGGTTCACATTCTGGTTCGGCACATAATTGCTGCTTAGCTGGGGATAATATACCTATTCTGCAGGGTGGTTATGTTAACTAAGGTGGTAACCATAGACAAAGTACCTAACATGTAATAGATGCCAATGAATCTACATTGTCGTCTCATCAACAATGATGCTGGTCATCATTTCAAAGCCTAATTTAACTTTTCACAAATATAAGCAGGCTGTCATTTCTGATTCAGACCTTTATCCTGTGCTGTACTCTGTGCTGGAAATCCTAGAAAGGTAGATGTAGAAAAGAAAATGAGAGAAACTTATTCTATAACCTCCACTCCAAAGGACTATCATTGGAAATATCCTTTAAAAATGAATATTTCCCTTTTTAAGAACAGAGGTTCTTAAATTGGGTCATTTCTAGGCAGCTGAGTGCCTTGTGAAGAACTACTTTTCCTCTCAGTCACTACCTCTTAACCTTTCTTCATTACGGCCTCCACCTCCCACCAGCCTTTTAGACATTTTTTACTAATCATCACTCTCATAATATTTTAATACAATAGATATACTGTATATCTGTGCCTATGCATAAAGAATGAGGTATTTTTGCCTCCTAGTTTCATCAACCAAGTTTCGCCCCACTGGGGGCAAGATTGCCCTAGTTGAGAATACATGCTCAAAGTTTCTTCTCCAGTCCCCAATCACCCCTGCTCTCACCATCATGCCCCAAGCCAGGATTTGCCTACACTCAGCTTTCACCATAAGTCAGGGGTGCTGACACCAGTGGATCTGTCTTCACGTGACAAACAATAAAAAGAAGAAGATAGGAGAAAAGTCAAGTGGAATTTCATAAATAAGGTTTTACAGACAGACACAAGCCAAAGGGAATGAAATCACCAGTTATGACAGAAGATGGAATCACTGCTCAGAACTATCAAACCCCAAAACTTAATTCATGCCTGCCCTTAGAGAAACTCATGGTACAGATTGGAAAGGAAATGGTATCTTAACCAATACTGTTCCAATGTTTTCCTCATGTCTTTACTTTTTAATGTGCATGTGCCCATGTGCGTGCATTATAAAACAAGTGTAAGTTAGATATTAGTTGATATTTCCCTCTAACAAATGTTTTTGGACACTTCCAGTATCTTCTACATTGTTAAGCTTGCTCAACAATGTGCTCCATTCAATCTAATCTCCAGATGCAATGTTTTTGTTGCTCTTCAAGCTTACTAATTTCTTATTACTTGCTAAATCTCTAAAACTGATTATTTAGGAAATACCATAATGAGCAAACCCTCCTTATGTGATAAATTTGCACTTGACATTTGACCAAGAAAATTCAGTGTCTGTATGTGTGTTTGGAAATATTATTATATCATGACACAGTAAAAAAAAATCTAACCATAGGTTATTATTGTGCACATATACTGCTTTTCCTAATGAAGTACCTTCCCAGATCAAACTTTGAGAAAGTTATTTGTAGACTGGTTCTTTTTGGTTGGTATGATATGTTGGGTTAGACATGATTTTCTCTCATGTTGGCATTTTCACTTGAATTAAATTCTTTGCTGAGTTTTTCTAACAACAGTATTGTTAGGAATTAATTTGAGGAACGATGACAGAGTAGATTCAGTCAATGCAAGCTATATCCTTAGGCCACTAAATAACAGGATTTTCTGTACGTTCAAAGACTGAGAGAATCCTAAGCCAGGAACCTAGGATTTGGTGGTTAAGCAGGATTAAGTTAACTGCCCTGAACTTCTTGAAGCATGAAGTTCTCAGTTTGATTTCTTAGCCCTTTGGGCTACAGTGGGTGTATGGTATATCCCTTGTGAAGTCTGCACTTCACTGGGCTTTAAGCAATGACTGATGAAGGATCAAAAATAGTTCCAATTTAAGTGGTTAAAAAATGAAAAGTAAAAGAGACATGGAAATCAGCACTCACAACACTGGTAGGAATCAAAATTGCTGCTACATTTCTTAGGGAAAAGGTGGCAGTATTTATCAAGAGACTAAGTGAGCATACCCTATAACCCAGCAAATGGATGTCTAAAAACTTATCCTAAAGAGCTGACAATGAAGGGGCCTAAAGATTTACAATAAGGATAATAGTTGCAAGGTTATTTATAATGTTTTTTAATGTAAGCCCCTAACTGTCCTACTGTGGGGAAATGATTAAATAAACAATGGCAGATCTAAACATTTCCATACAAAAACAGGTAACAAAACTAGTAAGAAATCAATTATAAGTGAAATATGCCAGTCACAAAAACACAAGCACCATATGAGGCCACTTATACGAAGTACCTAGAATCATCAAAATCACAGATACAGGAAGTAGAATGGTGATTGCCAGGGGCTGGAGGGACTGCGGAGTGGAGACTTGTTGTTCAATGGGTACAGAGTTTCAATTTTGCAAGATGAAAAGAGTTTTTAGAGATTATGTGCAGAACAATACAAACGTACTTAATGCTGCTAAACTGCACCCTTAAAATGGTTAAGGTGGTAAATTTTATTTTATGTTATGTATGTTTTGCCACAATTAAAAATTTAAAATTTTAATAACAATTATATCTTGAAGATGACATTTTGAGTAGTTTTAATTTTCTTCATTTAGTTTGTCTAAGTTTTCTAAATATTTTCTGGAAACCATGCATTTTGTTTGTAAGAAGTGGGGGATCTAGTTATATGAAAAAAAACTCATTCTTTCTTTAGTTGATATTTTTAGTAGCTGATAGCTTTGTGTGATAAAAGAAAGATATTTGGTTATTGTCCCTGTGGAACATATTTGTTTTACCCAGAATGCTCTCACTGCAATATACCCCCATACTTACCTACAGAAGATGTACACACCCTTCAAAACCCAATTTGAGCTCGCCTTCCCTAAGAAATATTCCCTTATGACATTAGTGAGAATTCATTCTCATTTTCAATAAGAAAATGAGTGATAGCAATAATAATAATACCTAATGTTATTTAGGTGTAACAAGCACTAAGATTAGCACATCATTTTGTCTCCTAAAAAATCACACATTTCCCACCTCTCAAGCTTGGTGTTTGGTCAGTGGGGATCCATACGGGTTCAACATGTGTATGGAGAAGTGTTATTTCTATCTGGGGCCCATCCACCCTGGCCACGGCATGATGTTCGTCCACAACTATTGCAGGGTGTTCAGATTTTGTAAATTTAAATGTCATTAAAACTTTAAAAAGAAGCGCAATTCTCACAAGGTCATGTGGGCTACAGCATTCCAGAAAGCAGCTGGTGAAAAGCTTACAGTGGATAATTCATTTAAATATGAAAAATGTAGAAATGAACCTATCAAATACCAGTGAGAGCTACGGAATAAAACTATTGATGCAATGAAGAGAGTTGAAGAGATCAAACAGAAACGCCAAGCTAACTTTACAATGAACAGATTGAAGAAAAATAGAGCTACAGAAAGTTCAGGATATATCGAAGAAGTCAAGCAAAACATCCATCTTATCGGAGCCCGTCTGGCAGGCAAAGAAAGCAGATGGAAGAGAAAATGGTACAGCAATGACAACAGGATGTGGACATGGAAGATGCTTCTTAAAAATCTCACTGTAACTATTTCTATATGTACACTTGAAAATGTCCTTCAGAGATTTGGAACTGCTAAATTATTGGTTTTTTTACATAAGGTCACTTAAATGAAAAGTGATTAAAATGTATATTTCCTACGTTACTGTCTATAAAACATCAGTTATTATAAATGTTAGATTGCATCTCAATGTTAAATCTTCACTGATAGATGTAGTTATGTAAATCATGAAAATTCCATTTATAACTATAAAAGTGAATTGTGGGCGTAAAATGGTCATGCCATTTGGATAATGTCACAAGGCAGCATTTATACAGTGACTAATGACAAAAATGCATGGCTAGCGAGATATAAAATAAAATATTATTTGCAGTAAAATATTTCATTTATTAATGTTATAGAATCAGGGGGATACAAGGAACAAACAATTTGTATGACAGAGTTGAATATCTTTTATTTTGACTTCAGTATTTCCTGTTTTGGTTTATTAGCATCTTAGAACAGCATAATGGCATTGTTTGATGGGGCCTAATTATACTGGACTGTTTTGACCTGGTTACCTGGTTTAGCCATTCTGATAGGTAATTGTGGATGTTGTAAATGAGAGCTGAATAGTCTCTGCCCGAAATGGCGCTATACCCTATCATTTCCACTTTGGAGAATACTCAGTTCTAACTTGTGATTCCTGGTAGAACAGACTTCATTTTTCTGGCCTAGCAATGACTGAGAAGCAGAGGAATCCCAGTGCCTTTTAAAATGTATTGTGTGGTTTTCTTTTAGAAAGCTTCTAATTGTTTTTTGGAAAGTAGAATTTATGAGTAGAACATCTGTTCATTATTTGCAGGTAAAATAAAACCATTTTCAAAGTAAAAAAAAAAAAATCACACATTTAAGTAGGTGTTAGCATCCCCATTATACAGACGAGGAAACTAAGGGAGTGACACAAAATGCCTTGAATTGTAAAACAACATTACAATCTCGGTCTGTCTGCTTCGGACTACATGTCCCTGTATTACCACCTGTATCTTGCAGGGCTCTGAACATTGCTATGCTGGCTTTCTTTCTGTCACAGAATTTTAAACCCATCTTTGGCAGGACAACATTTTTGAAATATTAATTTTTCCCCTTCTCCTCATATTTCCCACTCCATTTGCAGAGATACTAGGTCCTGAACTCCTTGCCACTGAGGAAAGATATGATAGATTCAAAGGTAGAACATAGCTGAGGAGACTCTTCTGATAGAGTGGACATTCTGTGAACTCCAGGATTGATAGGATATTTGGGACAGGCTTCATGTAATAGAGCAGGTCTTCTCTTCATTAGCAACCCCACCTTTCCACTCACCCACTCTTTAAAAGGGAAAGGGGGAAGAAGGAAGGCCAGAAGAGAAGCAGGGAGACCAGTGACCTAGATGGCTATCCAAGAGAGGAACACTTTATCCCAGTTCCCAGGTTTGAGTTGGAGAGAGTGAATGCTTTGGGTACATAAGGAAGTAGACGTGGATCCTAGCCAGTTTCAGAAAAATTACTGTGCCTCAGAGTGTCATGAAAACCTCAATTATAGCACTGAAGGAGAGGTAGACTTTGGTTCTGAAGGGACCAGAGAAGAAGGAGCTTCTCAGAGGTGATCAACAATGTAACCATCACCATCCCTTGGGTTGTACAACTGGGGAAACTCCCTGGCCTGGTACCAGGAGGGAGGTATGGAATGCTGCCCCTGAACCCTTGTGTTAGTCTATTCTCATGCTGCTAATAAAGACATACCTGAGACTGGGAAATTTATAAAGGAAAGAGGTTTAATTTACTCACAGTTCCACATGGCTAGGGAGGCCTCACAATCATGGTGGAAGGCAAAGGAGGAGCAAAGTCACATCTTACATGGTGGCAGGCAAGAAAGCTTGAACAGGGGAACTCCCATTTATAAAACCATCAGATCTTGAGAGACTTAGTCACTACCGTGAGAACAGTATGGGGGAAACCACCCCATAATTCAATTATCTTCCACCTGGCCCCATCCTTGACATGTGGGGATTATTACAATTCAAGGTGAGATTTGGGTGGAAACACAGCCAAACCATATCAACCCTGTTTTCTGAACACCACTAAAATTCAATGTTGTTATATATGATCCAGGATTTAATCTAGTATAGTGGGAGTACAGGTGAAACAAAAATTTATGATTGTTGCATCTGAATGATGAATTCAAGGCTCTCTATTTTGGCATATGTGTAAAGTTTTTCATAATTAAAAAAAACTTTAATTTTAGAATTTCTGTCTTTAATAATATCCCAAAGGTCTTAGAAGACACCAGCAATTTAGTTTCTTTCCAACTGCAATGACCTTGGGCATGACTGGCCCACACTGGATGAGTTAAACCAGGCCATCTGCATTCTTTAGGAAGGCCCTGCCAGCATAGATAAATGCAAGACTAATGATGGAACAATGAATGTCTCATTGATACCTGCAACATACTGATAATTTATTGCTTCCCCTTTCTCTTTCATCCTATGCTTTAGGCCTTACTACATAAAGCCCCTGGAATTTATTGTTAAATAGGTACATGAGATATACAGTAACATCATAAATGGATTTTATCAAGGAAGAAGCTGAAACTACAAAAAGTCCAAATACCTGGCCCAGATAAGATAGCGACAGGGAACAAGTCCAGAGTTTTATCCTAGTGTTTAATCACAAAAGTCTTTACCCTTTCTTGTATACCATACTCATTCTCTAGCTCCTTAAGTTTAGGGACTTTGTTTTAACAAATCTTTGTATATCCCACAGTCTAGAAACAGAAACCCAGAGTCAAGGTCCTGAATTTTAACCAGTTGCTTGGAGAAATCACATGACCTCTACAGGCCTCATATACTTCATTGATGGCTAGATAATAATAGTTAACATTTATGGACTACTTTATGGTAGACATTATTAAGCACATTATGTACATTAACTTAACTCTCATGTCACCCTATACCTATGTAATACCTATAATTAAATCATTTATATAGAAAAAGAATAAAAGACTGAGGGAGATGAATTGTTTGGGCAGGTTCATAGAGCTGAAATTGTGGGATCATGAATCAAAGCAGGCTCTCTGACTCCATTCCAAAGCATGAACCCTTAACTACTTACTGTCTATACAGCCTTCTGTAAGACAGTTCCATGGTCTCTTCCAGCTCTACAGTCTATGACCCTGTGTAACTGCAGACTTTCTCATGTTGAAGAATCTTTTGGATTCCCTAACTTCCCTTATAGAAGCGTTTCCGTGTAATTATTTTTAAAAATCAAGTTGAAGTTCAGAATCCCCTACAGTTAGGATAACTCTCCACAAGTTCACCCTTAGTGCTGCTCTTACATGTTTATCCTGTTATTCCATAGTTCCTTTTAGCACAGTTTACTGTCTTCAAATGATTTACACAAGCCAAGCTTATGTGTACCATGAATTTACCTCCACCCTTTAAAAAAATATGCCTCTTCTTCTGAAATTCCTTTTTTACCCCAAACCTTCTTTTATCTATGGCAGACACACCAGAAACACTTACTTCCAGGTACAGCTTGTAGTAATCCACCCAAGGACTGATCTACAGGGCACTGTGTCAGTGCTATTTGTCCTACTCCCTGGAATGCCCAGAGATACAAACGAGGGTGCTGCTGGTGGGTTGCTGTTCTTTCACCATTATGATTCCCTTCACTCTTTCTGGAGAAGCATGTGAGAGCATGACCTCCGCAGACTGACTGACTAAGCCCAGCCACCGTCACGCCACACAGTAGCTGAAAGACCCTTGGCAAGTTATAAAACTTCTCTGTGCCTCATATATAAAGCAGGTATAATAATAGTTCCTTCATAAGATTAATGTGAAGATTCAATGAGTTAATACACAGGTTTTTAAAGAATTCCTGATATATTGTAAGTGCTTAGAAATTTTATCTATTATAAGGCCTTTTAACTCCTTGGGTACCAGCCTTCTGTGAACACTTTACTAGGCTAAAAACCTGTTTCAAAAACACATGGCAAGAGACAGTATATACCGTGGTGGTTAGGAGTAGAGTTTTTAGAGTCAAAAAGACCTAGATTCACATTCCAGCTCTTTGCTTGCGAGTTGTGTGAATTTGGGCAAGCACACCTCTCTGAGGCTGTTTCCTCACTGTAGAATGAAGATAATAATATTATATTTCCAGGGTGGACATGACGATGAGAAAGAATAATATGTAGGGTACTTAGCCCAGATTCCCTATGAATTAGAGCCTGAGACAAGCTTATATACTAACAATTTATTGGAGGATACAATCCCAGGACAGAGAAAGTAAAGAAAAAGGATAAATGGGGAAAAGAAGGAGGGAAGGAAAATATAGATGGTGTGTAATCAATGTGGCCATAGCTTCAGGAGAAAACAGCTGGTTGTACAGAGCACCTGCAGGTGGGCAGAATTGTCCATCAAGGGAAGGAAGGAAGAGGGATTTGTCTACTGGCTCTCTGTGGTTTTCTGCCTCTCATTAGTAAACCTTCAATCCGCATTAACTCCTGTGCACTTTTAGTTGTGTCACCAGGTCCTTCTAGGCTGTTACTGGGGAAGGCAGATCCCATATCCTGTCATGAACCTTCTGAACCTGAAAGTGGTGTGAGAAACCAGCACCTCCATGGATCTGATGAGGTTGGGTCTTGCCACTGGGGCTGCCACACCCTTATCAGAACTCAGCCCTACCTCGGGGGAGATTGATACCTGGCTGTGTCAAGAGATGAGGCTGGACCCTCTTTTGAGTGAGCAACCAAATACCCAGGAAGAAAGCTGGGCAAAGAGAATTTGGGGAACTTCGTAATTTGTTCCAGTATGACACCCAATTCAGTGGCTGGTACTTAGTAAATAAATAAATGGTTGCTGACACTGTTAATGGTACAAACACATAATCAGAATGGTATAAATTCCAGAACTGTATGTGAAATCTGGGAATACCTTATTTCCCTGAAAACTAGTTCTGAATTCTCAAGGTGATGGGGCACTGAGGGCTACCCTCTCACCAGAAGCCAGGACTGGCCCAGTGGATAGAAATTGACTGCTGTACGTTATGGTTTTTTGGGGTTTCTTTTTTTTTTTGAGACAGAGTCTTGCTCTGTCACTCAGGCTGGAGTGCAGTGGCACGATCTCAGCTGACTGCAAGCTCCACCTCCTGGGTTCACACCATTCTCCTGCCTCAGCCTCCCGAGTAGCTGGGACTACAGGCGCCTGCCACAACGCCTGGCTAATTTTTTGTATTTTTAGTGGAGACAGGGTTTCACCATGTTAGCCAGGATGGTCTCGATCTCCTGACCTCATGATCCGCCCGCCTCGGCCTCCCAAAGTGCTGGGATTACAGGCGTGAGCTACCACGCCTGGCCTACTGTACGTTATGTTTTAAGATTCCTTGACTCTCAAATCATTTTTTCTCCTTATCAGCCTCACTGTCTAAACTTAGATGTGCAATGTGTTTCTTGGGCATACGCATAAAGGCTTCCAATGCTCTGAGGGACAGCAGTTGGGAAGGTAGACGGAGTCTCAGGACTTTTGTGTAGGTAAGAATGAGAAAGGGGGCAGAATGTTATGCTTGGAAGACAGTCTTGATTATGGAAGTGGAATTAGGGATTTCTTAGGAAAAGGACTTTAAAGACAAGGTGTGGGGAGGACTGAGGTACCATATTGGGAGAAGAGGAATGAAGCTTGGGGGCTGAACACACACTTGACCTTACTTCATGGTTTTAGCTAGGTCTAAACCTTTGGCATTTGACCCAAAGTTTTGTGAGTCTTAATAAGCCATGTAAATCAAATGGAATTTCTCTGCCCAAAGTTAGTGAGAAAAAATCAAGGTTTAGGCCTGATTTAAAATATAAAACATTCCGTTATAATTCTCCCTAAAAGGAACCAGCGCTCCCTTGGATAAATGGTTGATTCTAGGGCTGGGACAAGAAGTATAAAATATGAACCTGGAGCATCTTGTAGCACCAGAAATTAAGGAATTGCTCAAAAAACAAAACAAGGATTACATGTCAAAAGGACACAGGAGCCAACAGGAAGAGCTTCTAAAGGCCCAGCTGGAATAATTTGACAACAAAATGGATACCATTGTATTAGATTATAACCCAAAGCATACTATAAATATCCATGAGTCGATAATCATATGAATAAATAATTGAATATAGAATAAATATGAGGAAAACAAAAAAATCTGTGCAAAAGAATGCCAAATAACTTATTGATATCCCTTTCTCAAAGAGGTAGAGCATAACTCTTCCCTCCTTAAGTATGGCCTGCACATGATAACTTCCTTCCAGAGCCAATTGTGTAAAGGAGGGAAAAAAGTAGCTTTACAGTGGAGAAATCTGTAAAACACTACCTCAACCAGTGAATCAAGGTTAACATCTACAGTGACAAGTCATGATGACGGGATGATGTGATAAAAGTGGCACTGTAACTCTATGGTCTTCCCCCCTCAAACCCATAAACCATGTTTAATCATGAGAAAAACTTAAGACAAAACCAAATGGAGGAACAGTCTCCAAAATACCTGACCAGTACTCCTCAAAACTGTCAAGGCCATCAAAAACAAGGAAAGTTCGAGAAAATGTCACAGTCAAGAGGAGTTTAACGGCCGAGCTCAGTGGCTCATGCCTGTAATCCCAGCATTTTGAGGGGCCAAGATGAGGAGATCCCCTGAGGTCAGGAGTTCGAGAACAGCCTGGTCTCTACTGAAACCCTGTCTCTACTAAAAATCCAAAAAAAAAAAAAAAAAGCTGGGTGTGGTGGTGGTTGCCTATAATCCCAGCTACTTGGGAGGCTGAGGCAGGAGAAGAGCTTAAACCCAGGAGACGGAGGTTGCAGTGAGCCAATTTCATGCCATTGCACTCCAGCCTGGGCAATTAAATTCCATCTCAAAAAAAAAAAAAAAAAAAAAAAGTTTAAGGAGACACAACAACTTAATGTTAGTGAGATATCCCAGATAGGATCTTAAAAAAGAAAAAGGGCATTAGGATAAAACAAAAGAAATCTGAATAAAATACAGACTTAATAGCAATTTAGTAATACTAGTTTATTAGTTGTGACAAATGTGCCACATTAATGAAGGATGTTAACAATGGGGAAACTGGATACAGGTTACACAAAACCCCTCTGTGCTATCTTTGCAACTTTTCTGAAAATCTAAAACATTCCAAAATTAAAATTTTATTAAAAAACTACAAAAATCACTTATCTCACTCTGTCACCCAGGCTGGAGTGCAGTGGCACAATCTCAGCTCACTGCAACCTCTGCCTCCCAGATTCAAGCAATTCTTGTGCCTCAGCTTCCCGAGTAGTTGGGACTACAGGCACCCGCCACCACATCCAGCTAATTTTTGTATTTTTAGTAGAGACGGGGTTTCACCATGGTGGCCAGACTGGTCTCAAAATCCTGACCTCAGATGACCCACTCACCACAGCCTCCCAAAGTGCTGGGATTACAGGCGTGAGCCACCAATGCCCAGTCTTGATTTTCCTTACTAACTTTGGGCTTGATCATTATGTTATCATTGCTCTTGTGGGGGAATCTTTGAATATGTTCCTTTGGCTTTGACTCAAACAGAGGGAAGGCAATTGACTGGTTTTGGCAAATGATAAACACATAAGTTAAATAATTTTGAAAAAATACTTGTTGGGTATTTTAGGAGTGAGCTTTGCTTTCTGGTATCTACTGTTAACACTGTTGGCCACCCACCTGGTGAGACGGATCAGTAGGGCACACATAAGTGAGTCTTGACATAGTAACTAAAAATATGACCCAGTGCAGCACAAAGTGTAGTTGTACATGGTGTCAGGAGACCACATCAGAACTCATATTTTTACAACAACAAGCTGTGATGCTGCAACATTGGATTGTGCTTTACAGGTGAGGACTACACACCAGAAACAGATGATCCCTTGATAAACAAGAATCCTGTTTTTATTCCCTCTGTGTTAAAACCATCTGTCATAAGAGAAAAAGCAAACAAGCAAAATAAATAAAAGACTATCCAAATCAAATATTCGTTTTTTCCCACTGGTGAATGTAAATATGCTAAATAACATTTTGAATATTGAGGATTCTGAGCAAAATAATAACTTAATATTAGTACTTAAATATTTGGTCTTATTTTTCAGAATATATACAATTATCAATTAGAGGTGATAGAAATATAAGTAATATAATATTACTTATAAAATAATATAATATTACTTATAAAATAATATATAAATATTATGAATATAAGTAAATAGTGGAAGAGGAATATCCATAAAACACAATGAACAGATACTGAAAAAATCTCCTTGTTGTCAAACTAGCTGTTCAATACCATATATTGAGACCCCTTTGTGTTTTTTATTAAACAATTGAATATCATTTCTTATATTTACGGTGCTTATTTTAATGACTCTTAAATTATAGAGGATGGAAATGTACAAGTATATTCATAAATATACTATGTTGTTTTATTCCTCATTTTGGTAAAATACTGCCTTTTTCTAGAAGCATATTTTAAGTAAATTAATTTATGGGGAAACATACAGGTAAAATGTCAGAGCATTTGCATTTTGTAAAAAAGAAACTATAGGAAGTAATATTTTATGTATTTATCAGTTTCTCTTATTTACTATTTATCAACTTTAAAATATTGGAGTGAAACCCCGTCTCTACTAAAATACAAAAAAAAATTAGCCAGGCGTGGCAGTGGGCGCCTGTAGTCCCAGCTACTCGGGAGGCTGAGGCAGGAGAATTGGTTGAACTTGGGAGGCGGAGGTTGCAGTGAGCCGAGATTGCGCCACTGCACTCCAGCCTGGGCGACAGAGCGAGACTCCGTCTCTAAAAAGAAAAAAAAGAAAAAGAAAAACAGAGGCTGGGCATAGTGGCTCATGCCTGCAATCCCAGCACTTTGGGAGGCCAAGAAGGGTGGATCACTTGAGTACAGGAGTTTGAGACGAGGCTTAGCAGCATGGCAAAATACAAAAATTACCCAGGCGTGGTGGTGTGCACCTGTGGTCTTAGCTACTTGGAAGGCTGTGGTGGCAGGTTGAGGCTGCAGTGAGCTGTGACCACAGCAGTGTACTCCAGCCTAGGCGACAGAGTGAGACTCTGCCTAAAAAGAAAAAAGATTGGGAAACTGGCAACATTGCCTTAATTGGTTTCCAAGTGTTTAATATTTTTTTAAAACTAGTCTCCCACCCCATGGGAGCATTTGGTAAATGCTCCCCGTATAAATAAAACATTTCAGAAAACGTCCCTTGGGTGAGTGAAAATCAAAGAGCAGATCTGAGCCTTACCCGTCTATTTTCTGAAAGATATCAATCCATACCCAGAAAGCTTCTTTTAAGAGAAGTGATGTGTTTCTTTTCTTCAGGAGTTAAAGAGAAGATTTGATTGATGTCCTCAAATACTGGTCAAGTCTAAGGGAACATTTTTAAAGATCTAAGGTTTAATGGGGTTTGAAGAGTTCTTTTTTTTTTTTAATCTACATTCAAGTGGATATATTTTTCTTCATCATTTTTCCTGGTTTTGTGTTTTCTGAAATTGCCTGCCTGCTTGTCTCTTGGTATTTCTGAATTCTTTCCAGTCATTGCTTGACTGGGAATACATTCCTTTTCTCTTATACTACTTTATTGAAGTTTTGTTGAAAAAACAATCATGAGGAGAATGAGGAATACAAAGCAGGTTGGTAATGGTCAGAGCTGCTGACTTTAATATAGAAATAACCTAGGCCTCAGGTGGGGGTGAGTGGGTGAAAGAGAGATTCAGACACTCGCCTCACCACCCAGAGAGTGGAATGTCCCTAGTATCACGATTTCTTGCTTTCTTTGGAGGGCAGCCCCTAGGGCTGTTTCGGGGAAAAAAAAAAAATCATTCCATTGCATTCCTGAAGACTGTGATCATGTATTTCTTTCCCTTGCTGGATTCTTCATAAACTTAACATGGCTCAGAGCCACTGCCCATCAGGCTGGTAACTACAGGCCTGAGTTCTGAATTCTTATCTTCACTTGTCAGTTCCTGCACCATAATAGCAGAATCACAAGTCCTGGATACCCTGATAGTCCAGTAAGGGGTGTGTGTGTGTGTGTGTGTGTGTGTGTGTGTGTCTGTGTGTGTGTGTGTAGGATCATAAACATAGTAATACTGACCCTCTATGTGTCGGGGACAGTTTATGGGCCATACATGTAGTAGTGATCAAGACATACAAGGACCCTTGCTCACAGGGAACTTTCTGTCTTAGTCTATTTTGTGCTGCTATTGACTTGAGACTGAGTAATTCATCATGAACAGAGATTTATTTCTTAAGTCTGGATCTAAGGTTGAGGAGCCCACATGTGATGAGGGCCTTCTTGCTGCATCATGCCATAGCAGGAGGCAGAAAAGCAAGTGGGCACATGCATGTGAGAGAAATGGGGTCAAACTCACCCTTTTATCAGAAACCCATCAGCCTTAATCCATTCATGAGGGCAGAGCCCTCATGACCTAATCACCTCTTGAAGGACCCACCTCTCAACACTGCATTGAGGATTAAGTTTCTGACACATGAACTTTGAGGGACATATTCAAACCATCGCACATTCTGAGACAGGATTTGAGCAAGAGTATAAAAATTGGATAGAGAAAGAAAGGAAAGAATGTAGGAAGGAAAAGAAAGAAAGAAGTGTTGGATATGATAACTATTAGGGTGATGGGATGGAAAGATATGAGTCAGCAGGAGCTCCTGTAGATTGAGTGGTCATCAAGTGTCTCTAGGAGGAGATGAAACTCGAGAGTTAAATGAGAAGCAGTATACCATTATACAAAGAACAATTGGAAGAATATTTCAGCAGAGGAAAATGCTAGTGCAAAGGCCTTTGAGTTGGAATAATCTCAGTGTGTTTGAAAACTAATTCTATGGCTGGAGTGGAGTGGGCAAGGGAAGAGTGGTAAGAGATAAGATCAGAGACATAAGCAGGGCTGAATTATGGAGGGCTTTGCCAACTATTGTAAGAGTTCAGGTTTTATTTTAAATGTGATTAAAAGCCACCCAGAGATTCTCAGGTAGGATAAGATTTGGGGGTGACTCAATCTTAGATACATTTTTATAAGATCACACACTGAAGTACATTTTAAAAGATCACATGTTTTTAAAAGAAAATATTGTGAAGAATATTCTGTAGCAAGGTACAAGAAAGGAAGAAGGAATCCCCGTCGGGGAGATGTTGCTGTAAGAACAGGTGTGAAGGGATGGTGGCTTATACTAGGGATGTGGTGAAATGGGTAAGTGGAGAAATGAACAATTATAAGTGATAGAGATGACAAGACCAATAGATGGAATGGAGATGGGGAGTAAAGTAGATAAAGGTTTAAGTTAAGTTGTACATTTTTGGTTTGAGGAATTAGGTGGATGGTGGTACCTCTTGCTGGGATGGGTAAGGCTGGTGGAAAATAAGACCAGGGAGAGCTGTGAGTCAGGACTTGTTTTGACCATGTTATTTCTGCAACATCTAATTGAAGATGTCAAGTTGGCCATGGATGTACAGGTTCAAGGACTTAAATTTCACAACCAAGATTTGATTTGCCTCTTATATAGATGAGATCTGACTGGGTTTTGGACATAGCCCTAGTTCACTCCAACATTTAGAGTTTAGGAGAAGAGGAATTATCAGCTCAGTGAGGTAAAAAGAGAACCAAAAAAGTCTGATGTCATGAAAGCCAAAAAAGGGAGACATTTCAAGAAGGATGGAGCAGGCAATTGTGTTGATTCTTGCTGAAAGAGGAGAAAGAAGTGACCTATAGAGTTAGCAACATGGAGGTCATAGCAGAACAATCTTTGAGATATGATGTGGATTGAAGCGTATTTGGAGTAGGTTAGGTATATGGAGGTAGAGATCTTAACTAGAAATAACTCTTCCAATAAGTTTACAGTCAAGGTAGTTTGTTTTTTTTTAAAAAAAATTAGGAGATTAGGAGTATGTTTGTACACTGATGACTGTGTGAAATACAATTCGGTATTTGGAAAACATAGTGAAATATAACTTTCGTAGAAATACTTAGAAATTTAAAACACCACTTGATCCCTCTTAGTGGATTAATATTTTTGTGGAAAGAAATTCCTCCTTTTCAAATGTGGAAAGTTTGTTAATTCTCAAACATGTTGAAGCCTAAGAATACCTTGTGAGTACTGTACTTCAGGGGCGATGTAGACGTCCACAGTCTGAAGTAGTTTTTTACACAAAGCAGAAAGAATAAAAGGTTCTAGTACTTCTGAAAGTAATGAATGCAGAATTGTAGACAGTTTGAAAAGAAGGAATATTTTCATAAGCAGAAAGTTAGGGAAGTATCTAATTCAAACCTTAGGAAAAGACACAAATCCAATTTATTTATTTTAAAAAATGAACATGTATGTTAGTCATCTGGATCAAATAGGAAAGGCAAAAGTGAGTCACTACAGAAGTAGAGATTACAGGCAGGTCTAGAGGATGAAGACCAATTTCGTGAAGCACTTGGGGAGTGGTGAATAGGGTAAGTTTGAACATCTTGGTAGCATGAACAAAGGCAGGAAGACATGAGTAATACATAGGAGAGCAGAAGATAGTCAAGACTGACTGGGACAGGGACTATGAAAAGGTAAGAATATGAGGATAAATTGGGGCAATATTCTATATGGTTTGAATGTTGAGGCAAGGAATTAATTTTGCAAAAATGTGGTACGGTTGGAAGTTTTTGAACAGAATAATGGCCGTTAGTGTTTCCTTTTGATATTAAAATAAATATTCTGGCCTAGACTTTCTCTAAGGATTTCATAATATGAGGCTTTGAAGTGGTCAAGCCAACAAGTGTCTTGGAGAATATGAAAACTAAAACAATAATAATGACCATGTCCTTTTCTTTTTTTTTGAGAATTATCATATGGCAGACACTGTGCTAGGTGGTTTACAGTTAGCAATCACATTAATCCTGTGAGGTAGGTGTTATTGTTCTCACTTTATAGATAAGAAGAAAGCCTCAGTGAGGCTTAATAGCTTGCTTAAAGCTGCATAAATAAACCAGTATGAAAATTTAGCTGACTCTGTCTAAGAAGCCAGAACCAAATATTTCTTGCCCTTGAGAATTTTACACTCTTGTTGGGGAGATAAAACCTCTCTATATGAAATGTTTATAACTCCCACACTTACTATTTTTTTATTTGTATGTAACTTTGTATGGATTACCTGTGTTCTTACTAAATTATCACTATGCAATGAATCCAAGCTCTTATACTCGGATTTTGGTATCAATCTGAAGTTTAAGATGGCAGTTCCTGTATGGATTGGAGTTCTACTTAAAACATTAGTCCACTTGGCTGGAGTCCAGTCTTGTATAGATCTTTTCTTGTTCTCTGTTAATTTTGTGGTTCTGATAACAGAGAACCACAATGCCCAGCCCAGGCCACTGCTTCACAACACCAGGAGCATCATTCACACTATGGTTGACACAGTTGGCACTAGTTGTGCAGTTGGTTGGCCCTGCTTCAGGTCTCCTATTGTGCTGAAATTAAACCCCTACAGACGTTGAGGCCCAGGTGCCCCAACCCAAGTGTGATGGTTAATTTATGTGTCAACTTTTCTGGGCTAAGGGATGTCCAGATAGCTGGTAAAACATTATTGCTGGGTGTGTCTGTGAGTATGTTTCCAGAAGACATTAGCATTTGAACTAGTGGACTGAGTAAAGAGATCACCTTCACCAATGTGAGTATCATGCCATTCATTGAAGGCCCAAGATAGAACAAAAAGACAGGGGCAGGATGAATTTACTGTCTTTTCTTGAGCTGAAATATCTATCTTCTCCTGCCCTTGGACATCGGAGCTCCTGGTTCAGGGGTGTTCAGGGTCTGGGAGTTACACTAATGGTCTCCCCAGCTTCTCTCTGTTTCCCCACTTCTCAGGCCTTCTCAACTTAGAATTATACCATTGGCTCCCCTAGTTTCCAGGACTTCAGACTCAGACTGAATTACACCTCTGGTTTTCCTGGTTCTCTAGCTTCCAGATGGCAGATTGTAGGACTTTCCAACTTCCAAAGTTGCATGAGTTAACGCCCATAATAAATATATTATTATGGGCGTTAACTATTATAAATATACCTACTGGTATTATAAATATACCTATTGGTTCTGTTTTTCTGGGGAACCCTATCTAATACTTCAAGTTTCCCATCATCCTGTGGGCCCTATATCATGGACTGTTGACTCCATCTTTAAGGACCAGAGGACTCCTCTCTGGCCCATTCTTTGAGCATTTCACCCTTCCTTCATTCCTGAACTACCAAGAGCCTAGTGTGCCTTCTACCTGAACTTCGTGCAATGATTAGGAAAAGGATTTAAGAACCTGAGCAGTGAATTCAGAGGACATGTCAGAAACATATGAAATTCTTTAGAAAACAGAGCAAAGAGATGTATTCGTTCATTCACTTATTCACCCATCAAATACTATTGAGTATGTAGGGATAGGTGAGACAAGTCCAGCTTCATGGACATAGAATGTGTGTAGTCATAGAGGGTCCCATGCTCAGAAAGGCCCTGTGGTTGGTTTAACACGTTGTTGTCACCATCTTGAATTTCTTTATCATTTTATGGTTGAACGTATGTTGTATAAATGAAGTCTAATGGGACAACAGATCATATGACTGAGCAGAGGGGACATACACAACATGTGTGTCTACCTCATTTCTTGCTTCTCCATTTTCCTATAGCATTTGTGATGCCCATGAGTATTCAAATTCCAGTACACCCATGATATGTAGGAGTTTAGTGAGACTCAAAATAAGTACAAGGTAAGTGTGTTATGTCTAGGACTGAGTATGTGGTGGTGCTGATGACCCCAAGGGACAGCACTTTCCATTCAATCCAGAATTTGCTTCAAACACAAAAAGGAAGCATTGGTATTCTAAGAAGCAGACAATCAAGGAACCCTATCAATATTCTTTCTTAGTTTTGTTGCACCACAAATAATGATATAGGAAGGGAGAGTTTCTTTTCCTTTCAATCATTCCATACTCATTAGATAGCATTGATAGATTGAATATATATATATAAAGAAATGAACTAAAACAGTTGAGTTGGTTTTGTGCAGCATTTGTACTATTCTGTTGAGAATATACACATGTAAGTGTGAGCTACAAAATCCAAACTGTAATTTTGATGATTCCACACAAGTTAAATGCACGTATACTTACATTTAGATCTGGCAATATACAACATAGAGATAAATGACAAAAACTTATGCTAAAAGTTTACAATTTAAACTTTTCTTAGGACAATATTAAGTAGCAAATGCACCATAGTAAGTCAAGAGAGCGAATGTGGAAAGGAATCACTTTATATTGTAATACACTTTCCTGCTTTTTGAAGCAAGGAGCTCTTCATTGTTATTTTGTGTGGGTCCCACAAATTATGTAGGTGGACATGGGGCCAGGCATTGTGTTAGGAAATGAGGTCAATGATGAACAAGTAGGCCACAGACTCTGTCCTCATGGAGTTTACAGTTGAGCACAGATAATTACATAAGAACAATTGTTATAAGAGGTACAAAAGAAAGGTACAGGATGCTATGAGAACACATAAATGAAAGAGCCTATTTTGCTCGGTGTTGCTGATTGCCTACTCAACATCTCTTCTCCCTTGCCCACAAAATTTACCTTCTTTAGAGACTAAAACTGCCAGATCCTGACTTTCCCAGTAGGTATGGGGTATGGACATGTGGCTAAATCCTGTCCAGTGTTATTTGAGTGTAAGTCTGCGAGATACAGGGACACTTTTGGAAAAGATTTTCCTCCCTGATAAAGAGAGAAACATGAAGAGAAAATCCTTCCCTTCTTTTCTACTTTACCTATTGTTACATGAGGACCTGATGCCTGGAGCAGTTGTAGCCTTCTTGTGATTATGAAGGAAAGCCATGAAAATGGCAAAAAGCAGACCCAGGGCTCTAACATAACTTTGAACCTCTGAGTCAATCCAGAACTGTCTGCATATGGACTTCTTGTTAGGTGAGGAAACGTAAGTCCTCAGTGTTAAAGACAACTTTAGTTGAGTATTCTGTTGTTTGCAGTCAAGACTTACTAATATGTTGATCTAGTTTGGGTGATCAGAGAGGCTTCCCCTGAGGAAGTTGTATATACACCAGAACAATGAGCAGAAATTAAATTTTCAAAAATTTGGGAGAATAGAGTTCTAGGCAGACAGAATAAACATATTTGAAGCCCCTGAATCAGGAAGATACTTGATGTGTTCAAGAAGCTAAGATTCAGAGGTGTACATGCTGGGGAACTAGAGCGGATGTTCAGCATTCTGCAAGTCAGGTTCTAGGATACACCAGCAGACAGACAACCCAACCTTGTCCTACTGGAGGTTGGTGATAAGCTTACTGCTCTTCTATAATGTGTCCGAGAAAGTTCAGGCTCCAGCACTCAGGGTACCTATCAGCTTTCCCACAGCTCACTGGCAGCAAATGTTGTCTTCGCATCTTTGTTGACAATCCCACTTGTGGAAAGTGGATGCCTTGCCTGCATGTAGCTACTCTGAGTGGTAACACAAAGATTATCAGAATTTTTAGCAAACGGTAAACTCTTTGGCACATAACCTTCCTTGTCCTGATAAGTAAGCAACATGATGTGAAGGCAGCAGAGATTAAGTGTAAGATCCACAGAGGCGTGCTTCGGCAGACAGAGTTAAAAATATTTTTATGTAAGACTTGGATGATTCCCCAAATGATAAAAATAATGAAAAGGGCAACGTCATCGGGAGTGGTTGTATAATTGCAGCTTTAATGGTTAGAATCCACTCAGCTTCCATGACTAAGGTATGGCCTAGGTGTCTGATGGTTCCCACAGATAATGACATCTTCAGGAATAAAGCTGTCAGAGCCATTATCATTATCGTGTTTATCAACATCTCATTATAGTCATCAGATTTGGCGCCAGAAGCGGGAAGAGCTGTGCTTTACAAAACAGACATATACCTCCAAAGCCTGTTTAAACTGCAATTACACAATGGCAGTGATTTTCTGTAATTTGTGGGAGGAAGGAGATGAAACCCTGGGCTCTGCGTTGGAAACAGAAAAAGAAAGAGAAAGAGAGAGACGAGAAGGAAATAGCATTTTAATTATGTTTTAAAAAAATGTATATAGCACCTTCAGCATTATAAAAACGTCATCTCATTAATCCTCTTAATAACCATATTAGTTAATCCCACAGTTGAAAGAAGAGGAAATTAAAGTAATGAGATGTCTAAGTGGCTTGTCCCCAGCATGAATGCACTAGAGACATCAGGGAAATAAAACTGGCACTATTAATTTGATGAGTGGCTCTCTCTCATCTTTTGGTTTTTAAACCTTGCCATAGATTAGACAGGAAATTAAAGATCATGCACTGGAGCCAAAAGCCACTGCTGGCCTTGCAATGTTGTGAATCAAGTAGAAAGACCCATCACGATTCAGTCATGAAATAATCTGCTGAAAAGGAAGACTTTTGAAAGTGTACTAGATATTTCTGTGGATGTTAAGGAAACTCCATTGGGAGTATCCAACTTAAGAACTTAAGCTAGAATGAACATTTACAGTCTTTCTGTATTAGCATTCTGTCTCTAGCTTTTTTCTGTCTCTCTCTCATTTGTTCATTCAACAAATATTAGTTGAGTGCCTAATATGTGCCAGGCATAGCTCTAAACACTAGGAATATAGCAGTGACTCAACCAGCCAAGGTTCTTCTGCCCTCACCAAGCTGTCCTTCTGCAGAAAGGGAATCAGGCAATTAACAAGTAAAAAATAAATGACAAAGACACTATCAGAGAATGATGCCTGCTGCTAAGGGAAACAGAACAAGGTGAAGGAAAGATGGTGAGTCGGGGGTGTGAAGTTCCTTTGGTTAGGGTGATCAGGAAAGGATCTTTAAAAAGTGAAATAAGAGTAGAGACCTGGAGGAAAATTGGAGACAGATTCCTGGTGGGGAGTTCTGCAAGTGCAAAGTCCCTGAGTGTGGCAGAATCATAAGGAGAAACAGAGTGAGTGGTAGAAGATGCAGTTGGAGAGCCATTCATTCATTCATTCATGAAAATTGAGAATTACAAGCCAGTTACTGCATGAGGTGCTGATTCAGAGGAAGGGTCTACGCCTTCCTTCTTTGGTTGGCTCTTGTGCAAGATTCTCCAGAGTTATTTCATGTAAAATGGAAGACAGAAAATGCCCTGCTCAGTGGGCTGCAGTCTCTCTCCTGTTTCTTTTATGCCTGTTCTGCAGTGAAGCACTTAATGACCTTATTTTGCCTTAGTTTTTTTTTTTTCTGTGAAAGTATATTAAGGCATTATTCCATGCCTATTTTTAAGGTAGTTTATGAAATAGGAATGAATATAGGCACAGTTTGTTCCAGTGAGTTTCTAATAATCAAATGCTTCCTTGCTTGGTGTAGCCTGGCTTCCACACAGGGATTCTAATTGAGAGGAGTATTGCAAAATCAGCATTTAGTATTCTGTGACACTAATTTGGCAAATACTTTGTTAGTATAATAGGCTTCAATATATAAAGTAATTTGAAGACTGCTTCTGAAAGGAAGCCCAACCAATCTCTGTGTGAACGCTGACAGATGACACTGCCAAAGGTCTCATCCAGATGGAATCAGCAGGGATTTATGCATTTATGGACTCAGTATCAGCATATAAATCTAAACTACTCTAACAAATCCTAGATCAAAAGATATATATGACTTTCTTTTGCTATGTCCAAAGCCTTGATTATACACTGAATTTTTGAAATAAAAAGACCTACAAATCAAATATTATTTACTTCTCATTTTTATTGCTTTTTGGTTCAGGTTTTATGATCACTTGAGTCTATGAGGTAATGCTAGGTACATCTATATTATTTTAGCCTAGACACATGAAATAGTTGGCTAGGAGGAATTGAGAATGGTTAGCATAGTTGTTTTGTTAGCATAGGTGGTTGGTTGGCATAGTTGATTTGCAGATATCAGCATACACTTAATTATTATTTTTAAGTGCTACTTGAAAACTAATTATGTCTGTCCTGTTGGAATTACAGGTGTGAGGAGGGTCACATAATTTAATTATATGGCAAATTTGCTGATTTCCATCTTCTACTACTGACAGCCCCTTGAGTTGAGAAGCTATGCCTTCCTGCTGTTTCCCTCAGCACGTAATACAAATATGCACACTATTTGTTCTGACATATAGTAGGTGCTGACTAAATACTTGTTGAATGAGTAAAATTGAATAAAAATAGAAACTACAGTGAATTCATTATAATTAAGACAACTTACTCTTTGTATAAGCTAAGCCAATTAAAAATTTCATATATATTCACTCATAGAATTTCACTTTCTTATTATTACAAATGGCTTTATATGTATATAATAATTTTACAAGTGCATAACTGTGATGATGTTATAATCCTGTTTTCTTTGTTCAACCAGTCTTTCAGCTCTCCAGGCTTCTACCCCTATCTCCAACTCATGTTAATAACCTACTAATGTGTCTAATTAAGAGCATGGACATAAGAGGCAATATTCTTCTCATCCCAGTACCATCACTTACAACCTGTGTGACTTTGAAAAAGTTTTGTAAATTTCCTGTGACTCAGTTTCCTCATCTGTAAAATGAAGATCATAAAACCTACCTCAAAGAGTTATGAGAATTAAATGAACTAATATATGACAAGCTCTTAGAAGAATGATTGTTACTTGCTTGTATGCATGTATACCACTAACTGTAGTCAGGAGGCTTTAGTTCCTTACCACTTGTGCCTCTCTCTAGGGTTGCTCACCACATCGCAGCTAACTTCTCCCAGAGTGAGTGATCTGAGAGGTAGAGGAGAGGACGTTGCCGTGCCTTTTATGACTTAGTCTCTAAAATCTCATCCTTTGTAACATTGTAGCTTTAAATATGTTTATATTAATATTTTAAATGGCTTATATTACATTTTAAATAAAATACAGGTTGATGCACCAGTAATTACTTTTAATGGCAAACACTGCAATTACTCTTGCACCAACCTAACAACTTAGAATTTTTAATCTTGATTAAAAGGTAACTGCTTGTTCATATACGTATTCACAAAGAGCTTTAACAAGATTTGTTTTATTTCTTAAAAAACAACTCTTTAGTCTATCTGCAACTCATTATTATTTATGATAAAGAGCCTAATTTTATTTGTTCTTAATGGTTCGACAGTTATCTAGCTAAAATAATTTTATAATCTATGCTTTATTCTACAAATTTGGATCTTTATAACTAACCACTGTAACATATAAGTCCCTCCAAATCTCGGCGGCCTAACATAATAAAAGATTATTTGCTAAACTAGTGTAGGTATTTCTGGGCAGGAAGGTCTTCTAGCTTGCTTCTTCCAAACAGCGATTTGGGAACCTGATTTCTTTCATCTTGTGGGCTCTCTGTCTTCAATACAAGGCTTCTAGGGTGGCCCTGGTAGTCATCACTATTCCAACTAGTTAGCCAGAAGTGGAAAAGTGCATGGAGAATCAGGTATATAAGACTTTAATGGGACAAGTCTGAAGGTGGTGTACAATGTTTCTGTGCTTGTTTCATAAGCCAGAGCTCAGATGCGTGGCCACTCAATGACAAGGGATGATGGGAAATATATTCTAGTTGGTGTCACTGATCTGTTCGTCAGTTTCTATGCTAGTGTCATATTGTTTTGATTATAACTTTATGACTTTATGGTATGTTCTAATATTTCTTAAAGTCTCCCTTACTGGTTTTCTTTTTACACTTTCCTCCTAAAGTTTGAATACATTTTATCAAATTTCAAAATCAAAGTCAAATAGCCACAACAAAACTCCTTCTTGACATTTTCATAGAAAATATATTAAATTTAATATTATTTGTAGGAGAGGTGATATTCCTATGGTATTGTCTTCCCAACCAAGAATATGTACCTTTTCTTTTGTTAAGGTATAGTTTTATGAGCTTTCTCAAGATTGAAATTATAGAAGAAACTAGAAAAAGTAGAAAGGTTCACAGCTGAGCCTTTTTTTTCTTTTTAAATTAAGTTATATTGTACTTATTATGAAAAGTACAGATCTTAAATACACAATTAGATGTCTTTGGGCAAGTGTATACACCCCTACTAAGATATAGAACATTACCGTCACCCCAGAAGCTTCCCTTGTGAGTCTTCCAATGAATCCCCACAACAAAGGTTACTATGGTTCTGATTTTCAGCACTATAGTTTTAGTGGTACTTGTTCTTGAACTTCATATAAGTGAAATTGTATGTATTTTTTTCTGTGTAAACCTTTTCTTTTTTTGTTTCATGTGGAAATTTACCCATGTTGCTACACTGATCAATTTGTCCATTTGTATTACTGAGTAGTATTCCATTGCATGGATATACCATAATTTGTTTATTCACGTTTTGAATAACATTTGGGTTGTTTCCGTTTATTGCTATTATGCTTAAAGCTGCTATACACATTGATGATATGCAAGTCTTTGTGTGGACATATGTATTTATTTCTCTTGAGAAGATATTTAGAGGTGGAATTCCTAGGTCATAGTATAGGTGTATATTTAACTTTATAAGAAACTGACCAACAGTTTTTTCAATTAGTTAGCCATGTTTTACACTCCCTCTGGCAATGTAACCTCCACATTAATAGTTAGAGTTCTAATAAATTAAAACTCAGGTTTAAGAAACTCACTCAAAACCGCTCAACTACATGGAAACTGAACAACCTGCTCCTGAATGACTACTGGCTACATAACGAAATGAAGGCAGAAATAAAGATGTTCTTTGAAACCAATGAGAACAAAGACACAACATGCCAGAATCTCTGGGACACATTTAAAGTAGTGTGTAGAGGGAAATTTATAGCACTAAATGCCCACAAGAGAAGGCAGGAAAGATCTAAAATTGACACCCTAACATCACAATTAAAAGAACTAGAGAAGCAAGAGCAAACACATTCAAAAGCTAGCAGAAGGCAAGAAATAACTAAGATCAGAGCAGAACTGAAGGAAATAGAGACACAAAAAAACCTTTCAAAAAATCAATGAATCCAGAAGCTGGTTTTTTGAAATGATCAACAAAATGGATAGACCACTAACAAAACTAATAAAGAAGAAAAGAGAGAAGAATCAAATAGATGCAATAAAAAATGATAAAGGGGACATCACCACCTATACCACAGAAATACAAACTACCATCAGAGAATACTACAAACACCTCTATGCAAATAAACTAGAAAATCCAGAAGAAATGGATAAATTCCTGGACACATACACCCTCCCAAGACTAAACCAGGAAGAAGTTGAATCCCTGAATAGACTAATAACAGGCTCTGAAATTGAGGCAATAATTAATATCCTACGAACCAAAAAAAGTCCAGGACCAGATGGATTCACAGCCAAATTCTACCAGAGGTACAAGGAGGAGCTGGTACCATTCCTTCTGAAACTATTCCAATCAATAGAAAAAGAGGGAATCCTCCCTAACTCATTTTATGAGGCCAGCATCATCCTGATACCAAAGCCTGGCAGAGACACAACAAAAAAAGAGAATTTTAGACCAATATCCCTGATGAACATCAATGCAAAAATCCTCAATAAAATACTGGCAAACCGAATTCAGCAGCACATCAAAAAGCTTATCCACCATGATCAAGTGGGCTTCATCCCTGGGATGCAAGGCTGGTTCAACATACGCAAATCAATAAATGTAATCCAGCATATAAACAGAACCAAAGACAAAAACCACATGATTATCTCAATAGACGCAGAAAAGGCCTTTGACAAAATTCAACAACGCTTCATGCTAAAAACTCTCAATAAACTAGGTATTGATGGAACTTATCTCAAAATAATAAGAGCTATTTATGATAAACCCACAGCCAATATCATACTGAATGGGCAAAAACTGGCAGCATTCCCTTTGAAAACTGGCACAAAACAGGGATGCCCTCTCTCACCACTCCTATTCAACATAGTGTTGGAAGTTCTGGCCAGGGCAATCAGGCAAGAGAAAGAAATAAAGGATATTCAATTAGGAAAAGAGGAAGTCAAATTGTCCCTGTTTGCAGATGACATGGTTGTATATTTAGAAAACCCCATCGTCTCAGCCCAAGATCTCCTTAAGCTCATAAGCAACTTCAGCAAAGTCTCAGGATCCAAAATCAATGTGTAAAAATCACAAGCATTCTTATACACCAATAACAGACAGAGAGCCAGATCATGAGTGAACTCCCATTCACAATTGCTTCAAAGAGAATAAAATACCTAGGAATAAAACTTACAAGGGATGTGAAGGACCTCTTCAAGGAGAACTACAAACCACTGCTCAACAAAATAAAAGAGGATACAAACAAATGGAAGAACATTCTGTGCTCATGGGTAGGAAGAATCAATATCGTGAAAATGGCCATACTGCCCAAGGTAATTTATAGATTCAATGCCATCCCCATCAAGCTACCAATGACTTTCTTCACAGAATTGGAAAAAAAATACTTTAAAGTTCGTATGGAACCAAAAAAGAGCCCACATTGCCAAGTCAATCCTAAGCAAAAAGAACAAAGCTGGAGGCATCACACTACCTGACTTCAAGCAATACTACAAGGTTGCAGTAACCAAAACAGCATGGTACTGGTACCAAAACAGACATATAGACCAATGGAATGGAACAGAGCCCCCAGAAATAATACCACACATCTACAACCATTTGATCTTTGACAAACCTGACAAAAACAAGAAATGGGGAAAGGTTTTATTTAATAAATGGTGCTGGGAAAACTGGCTAGCCATATGTAGAAAGCTGAAACTGGATCCCTTCCTTACACCTTATATAAAAATTAATTCAAGATGGACCAAAGACTTAAATGTTAGACCTAAAACCATAAAAACCCTGGAAGAAAACCTAGGCAATACCATTCAGGACATAGGTATGGGCAAGGACTTCATGTCTAAAACACCAAAAGCAATGGCAACAAAAGCCAAAATTGACAGATGGGATCTAATTAAACTAAAGAGCTTCTGCACAGCAAAAGAAACTACCATCAGAGTGAACAGGCAACCTACAGAATGGGAGAAAACTTTTGCAATCTACTCATCTGACAAAGGGCTAATATCCAGAATCTACAAAGAACTTAAACAAATTTACAAGAAAAAAACAACCTCATCAAAAAGTGGTTGAAGGATATGAATGGCCAACAGACACATGAAGAAATGCTCATCATCACTGGCCATCAGAGAAATGCAAATCAAAACCACAATGAGATACCATCTCACACTAGTTAGAATGGCAATCATTAAAAAGTCAGGAAACAACAGGTGCTGGAGAGGACGTGGAGAAATAGGAACACTTTTACACTGTTGGTGGGACTGTAAACTAGTTCAACCATTGTGGAAAACGGTGTGGCGATTCCTGAAGGATCTAGAACTAGAAATACCATTTGACCCAGCCATCCCATTACTGGGTATATACCCAAAGGACTATAAATCATGCTGCTATAAAGACACATGCACACGTATGTTTATTGCAGCACTATTCACAATAGCAAAGACTTGGAACCAACCCAAATGTCCATCAATGATAGACTGGATTAAGAAAATGTGGCACATATACACCATGGAATACTATGCAGCCATAAAAAAGATGAGTTCATGTCCTTTGTAGGTACATGAATGAAGCTGGAAACCATCATTCTGAGCAAACTATCGCAAGGACAAAAAACCAAACACCGCATGTTCTCACTCACAGGTGGGAATTGAACAGTGAGAACACATGGACACAGGAAGGGGAGCATCACACACCAGGGCCTGTCATGAGGTGGGGGATGGGGGAGGGATAGCATTAGGAGATATACCTAATGTAAATGATGAATTAATGGGTGTAGCACACCAACATGGCACATGTATACATATGTAACAAACCTGCACATTGTACACATGTACCCTAAAACTTAAAGTATAATAAAAAAAATTTTAAAAGGAAACATACTAATAAAAATCCTCACAAAAAAGAAAAAATAAAAATAAATGATCTCTTTATTAAAAATTGTGTTTAAATAAATTCATAAACCGTATGCCCTAAATTTAAATAACCTAATGAGAAGTATTTCCAGAAAGACATGAACTACTGAAACTCACTCAAGAAGAAATAAAAAATATGAATAGACCTATAACAAGGAAAAATATTAAATTCATAATAAAAAAACTCATCACTAAAGCCGAGGACCAGCCAGGAGGGGGTCTGTAACCTGCAAAACCACAAGAGCAGAGCTATCCAAGATAGCTATGCAAGCGTACCCTGGACATGAGACATGGAGTCAAAGGAGGTCATTTTGGAACTTTAACATTTAATGACTGCCCTATTGAAATTCAGACTTGCATGGGACCAGTAGCCCCTTTGTTTTGGCCAACTTCTCCCATTTGGAACGGATGTATTTACACAATCCTTGTACCCCCATTGTATCTAGGAAGTACCTAATTTGCTTTTGATGTTTCAGGTTCATAAGAGGAAGGGACTTGCCTTGTCTCAGATGAGACTTTGGACTTGGACTTTTGAGTTAGTGCTGGAATGAGTTAAGATTTTGGGGCTGGGAATGGTGGCTCACACTTGTAATCCCAGCACTTTGGGAGGCCGAGGCAGGAGGACCACATGAGGTCAGAAGTTTGATACCAGCCTGGTCAACATGGTGAAACCCCATCTCTACCAAAAATACAAAAATTAGCCAGGTGTGTTGGTGTGTGCCTCCTAGAGGCTGAGGCAGGAGAATCATTTGAACCTGGGAGGTGAAGGTTGCAGTGAGCCAACATCACATCACTGCATTCCAGCCTGGGCAACAGAGGGACACCCTGTCAGCAAAAGAAAAAAAAAAAAAAGACCTTGGGGGCTGTTGGAAAGGCATGATTGTGTTTTGAAATGTGAGGACATGAGATTTGGGAGGGGCCAGGGGCAGAATGATATGGTTTGCCTCTGTCCCCACACAAATCTCATCTTGAATTGTAGTTCCCATAATCCCCACATGTCATAGAAGGGACTCTGTGGGAGGCATTGATAATTTAATCATGGGATGTTTACCCTCATGCTCTTCTTGTGAGAGTGAGTGAGTTCTCATGAGATCTGATAGTTTTGTAAGAGGCTTTTCCCCCTTTTGCTGGGCACTTCTTGCTGCTGCCATGTGAAGAAGGATATGTATGCTTCCACAGCCATGCTGACCTGTGAGTCAATTAAACCTTTCCTTTATTAATTACCCAGTCTCAGGTATGTCTTTATTAGCAGTTTGAGAATGGACTAATACACCAGGTCAGGTCAAACTTATCCCACACACAGACAACCCAAATCACATGTTCAACTTATGGGCATTCTATTATCCCTGCTGATGAAGAGCAAATGGCCTGCAATAGGTGAGAGGAATAATTAGTCACCATCCCCAAAATACACACCAAGGACATTTTTAAAGGTAGTTTATATTGTGGACAAATCTTGTGCAATTGTATTACTGTATCATTACATATTATTTCTATAATAAACCACTTTTTAAAAGATGCTAAATAAAAAAAAGTTAGGCATCTTTTTGTTCCTGGATAAGAACAGAAGATTTTTGGTAATTCTAAATCCCCTTATTAACAAGGTAATTTTTATTAGCATATATTACTGTTGGCTTAGGGAAAATTGTGGGTTTTTAAAGTGATACAAAACAATTATCCTTTTCAACAGAACTACGGATAAAGATCAAGCTAAAGGTGAAGTGAGAAAATGAGAATATCAGTTTTGCTAATCCTTTAAAAACATTTTTTTTCCTTCTCTGTTATTTCCCTGTGGTTCTCTCTTTTATGTTGTAACAAATCTACCGTGAAGATTGATTTAAAAGAAAGAAAGCTTTGAAAAGGTTCTTACATATTTGCAGATGTTTGATTTGTATCTTCCCTTTTAACTTTTTTTCTCCAGCCAAAAGCCTTCTTATCATAAGGGGCAGTAGTAATATGAAGAACTATGGGTAAAACTAGTATATTTATTATTATTATCTAAACCAACAAGCATTTCTCAAAACATAAGTGTTGCATTCTGTGATTAATGTTTCGGACGGATTGCTTGCCAGTACAGCATTATTTTTTCCTGTCTCCCTGAAGAGTTTACAAACAAGGTTTTTTTCCTGAGGAGCTGACAATTAAAGTTATGCAGGCATTTCTAAAATGGTGAAGTGTGTTTTTAGTATGTATTTTCTCCTTGAAGAAAGGGATGATCCTTTTGTTGTTTTGGGCTTTTTTCTCCTTGAAAAGATAGCTCCTTCTCTAGTATTCTGTAAGGGTCACTTAAGACCAAGCTGCTTCAGGTCATCTTCCACTTTCATGCAGATTTATTGGCAGTTTTGTTTGTTTGTCCAGAAGGAGATTTTGTTCTCTGCTCTAAGGCTGACTTTGAAATGGAAGCTAATCACATAAGCAAAAATAGTTAACTATACTCATTGGCTAAATCCAATACGTTGTTTAGTCAGGCTGAGCGGTAGTGAAGTGAACAATCAAGGGAAGACATACTCAAGAGGTATTGCTTGCCTGCTTGCGTGCGTGCGTGCGTGTGTGTTTGTGTGTGTGTGCACGCGCGTGGGTGTGTGTCTGAGAAACAGACTCTTAGAACAATTGCAAAATGCAGAACAAAGCTTAAGATACAGAATTTTGGCGATGGCAATAAAGAGTGGATCTATACAATTAAAATATGCCAAATTATGTCAGCGCAGTAATGCAATTTGAACACTCACTTGGAAAATTTGGCAGTTTCTTAAATGTTACACATATACCACCATTGAATTCAGCCATTCCACTCTTTTCTCTGTCATTCTCATTTTATAGTAAAAACCTCTGGCTTCTGGGAATTACTATGAAAAATACCTGCAGTGACAACAGTTATTTTGAAATGCAAAAATTTCAGGCATGCATATAATCTCCAAAACCTTCTAAGTTTATTTCTTAATATTTTGCAGTGAGGGCTGATGTTCAAAATTAGGTACTACAGAATACTAAAAATCTCCTAAAGGTTCAATGTGAAAACTGAGTAATTGGTTTTTATTTCCTATTTTGTAAAGAGACTAAGGATCAGAGCAGCTTCCCACCTGAAGTCACATGACTGGTAAATTGTGGGCACAGGATTTAAATTAAAGTCTGTGTGACTCAAACTTGTGTTCTCTGCAACCGTTTAGGTATACTATACATGTTAAAAAATAAAAAGAAACTGCTATATCTCAGAAAAGTTTTAAGCTACATGGCTACACACAAAATAAATTCTTTCCTGGCAATCAGAAAATTTAACTCATCATGTTATCATAGTTACAAAGGGTCCTGTTTAGCAATTATGGTACATAGCCCACAGAGAAACCACATTTTCAATAATGAATGGGGCTATAATTTGGAATCAGAACACCTTATCAACAAGAGATGTCTGAAGAGGGAAACATAAACTAAGCCTCCCAAAGCACCTATAGTAGATATAACTGAGAAAGAGATAGAACCAGAATTTTTTTGTAATTTTTCTCAAAAGATTAATCATAACATTAAAAGTCTCTCAAGCACCTACGTGTGCCTGAAATCATGTTAAATTATGTACATGGAGGATCTTGTTAAATCCTCACTTGAATCTTACGCATGAAGAACACTCTTCCATTTTACATTAAGACTCCATTTTACAAATGGGGAAACTGGAACTTAATAGTTGAATCTCACCTGTTGGGACTCAGCAAGCAATATCCCAAAACATGGCACCTTGGCGTGCAGAGTACTTTGAACTGAAGGACATTAGAAGGACCTCGGAAGCAGTTTCTCTTGCCCTCCTATCACCCACCCCTTTTTCTCCCCTGATGTGAGTCACAGAATGCAGAATTCCTCTTCCACATGGTGTATCATAGAAACTAGAACCTCTCTCTCCCAAAGCAAGCCATTAAACCTAGAAAGGTCACTCTCTCCCCTATCTCTTCTCTTTTGAAGACCCTTATGCCATGGGGGTCCTGTCCCATACCTGGGAGGGAAGAATGTTATACAGAGGCCCAGAAGAATCTGAACAGACAGGCCTTGCTGGGTTTCCTCGTTCAGCTATGATCTATTAGATCATACCTTTTTGTCCAATCACATTTCTACATGGCTGCCCATTCTTCATCAAACCAAAACATAAAAATAAATAATTTTTCCTCCGAGTCTTTGGGTCTTTATTTCTGAAGCCTCCTGTGTTACATAAAACTTTGATTAAATAAATCTGTTATGCTTTTCTCTTGCTAACCAGTCTTTCATTATAAAAGTGTCAGCTGTGGACGTGGACCCTTACGATGGGTGAGAAAAGGTATCATACCTTTCTGCCCCTACACACCCAAAGTCATGTACTGGTACATAGCGGGCCAGGGTTTGACTTCAGAGTCTTCTCTCAATGAAAAATGCACCACAGGAATTTAGCTGCAACATGGTCAACTAATAACATTTTCCTTCACATAAGATCATTATTTTCACAGTGAGACTTCTTGTTACTAAACTGTAGCACCAAGGTGCATGCTAAAAATGAAATAAAAATGTTTGTTTCATGAATAGCTGTGCCCATCTACCTTTTTTCCCCCAACTGAAATTGGAGTATTGGTGCATTTTTTGCATAAATGGAAGCTGGCAAACAGGGCTTGGTTTTGAGAAAAAATACAGGTCAGACATAGGCTATTCAGTAATTGAAAGAGAAGAGATTGTAGATACCGCAACCAGAAACTTTTCAAAGAAAGCCGAGTACCTCAGTTATTTCCATATAAAACACACAGGAGTTGAGATTCAATAGATTTTATTCATCTGTGGAGAAAATGAATGCAGCTTCCACCAGCTGATAAAAATATGAGTGAGGGAGGAGGGGCCCCTGTGCATCTCCCAGGCAGAAAATAGGTCTGTAACTTGCTTTGTGTTTGAGGTCTTCCCATGTTATGCAGTATGTCTAGCAAATGATGTCACTGGCTTCCAGAGCAAAAGCAACCAAGGGCCCTAGTAGAGTTGCATGGCATGGATGGGTCATTTGTGTCCTCTGAATTTGCATAACTGAAGTGCAGGCCAAATTCTCAGCTTGGTATTCATTTTGCTGGGTAAGTAGGGCCCAGCTGACAAATAGAGTTTGGAAGCTTCCAAGTTACTAAGGCAAAACACTGGGGCAAGAAGCCACATAACACAGGGCTTATGTGAGCTCAAGTCCCTACCATTATGGATTTGTATCCCAGCTCCCTCTCTTTGAGGATGTTAATGTTGAAAAGGTCTTTTTGTTGTTCTTCTTCTTTAAATGAAGGTTGGATGTATTAAAATATGTAAAGCAATCAGAATATTAGACAATTCATTTTAGCTTCACATACACCCATGCATGTATGTACACACATTCCAGCCCAATCCATTTAAACATTCTTACTGTCCTTCCAGATTTTCAAAAAAGGAGTAAGCCTTATATGACAGGCCCTGTGTAAGAGCTTAACTTGCTTACCCCTAACTCTCAACTAATCCTAACAGCCACAGTTCCCCATTCTGCCCTCTCTCCAGGGCTGCCTCGTACGATTTTATTTAGAAATAATGCAAAAAATATGGTATTTCTCCAGCTTAGAGTCTTTCTTTTTCTTACCATGTCCCTAGACATGGAGTGTTTATTATAGTTTGGTACCTCTAACTTTCTGGGCATATTTGTTTATTAGAGCTGGTATTTATTAAGCACTTGCTATATGCTAGGTGCTGTGTTAAGTACTCTAAATAAATTCATAATATGAGTAGTATTATGTCCATTTTACCTATGGAGAAATCAAGATCCAAATTAAGAAACCTATCAAGGGTCACAGATCTGGAAAATGGTAGAGGGTGAGCTCAAGTTTATGCTGGCATGGCTCCAAATCCTGTACTCATCCTTATAAACCATATTCCAGGTAGCTTTGTTTTGTTCACTGGCAAAAGATTGAAGTCTCAACCCAAGCCAACAATCTTGTAAATACAATCTATGGTTCACATGGAAAATAAGTAAATAAATGTGTGTGTGAATGTGTCTTAGTCCATTCTGTGTTGCCATAATAGAATACCACAGACTGAGTAATTTATAAAGAAAAGTAATTTATTTCTCACAGTTCTGGAGGCTGAGAAGTTCAAGGTCAAAGCACCTGCATCTGGCAAGGGCCTTCTTGCTGAGTCATAACATGATGGAAGGCTTCACATGGTGAAAGAGCATGAGAGAGAGCAAGACAGATGGGGGTCAAACTCATTATTTTATCAGGAACCCATTCCTATGATGATTAACCCATTCCCAAGATAACAGCATTCATCCATTCATGAGAGCAGAGCCCTCATGACTTAATCACCTCTTAAGTGTCCTGCCTCTCAATACTGTTAAGTTGGGGATTAGGTTTCCAACACATGAACTGCGGGTGACACATTTAAACAATAATAATATGGATATAGCCCATGGCCACTACTGGAGAAACAATTCAAAGTCTACGTGTGTAGATCTGAGTTCTAGAGTGAGAACAGAAGCACATCCCTCTTTCTGTAAAAACGGGCCTTAGAAAGAGTGTGGATCCCCAAGGTACAGGCAAAACAAAAGCAAGCTTTGGGGCTGCCTCTTGTCCTCTCCGGACTTAGGAAGAAAGAAGAAAAAATTTAGCAGCTGGGGGTAAAGGGTTAGGTTTCTCACCCCCTGACTAATAGTACAATAGCAGTACCCACACATGGTAGAATGGGAGAAGGAGTTGCTCCAGCACCCTGTGGGTCTCCAAGGAAACTGAGAAGAACCCATCAGTCCTCATTTTGTCAGAGGAAGAGTAGCTCTTCTTTCAGCAAGTCTGAGCAGGTACAACAGCAGTCGTAGTTTCAGAATCTGTGCTCTACTGCTCCAGGCTGCCCTGGAAAGACCTCTATTATGGGGTAGCTAGTATTTCTCTGACTTTCATCAAGACCAGTTAGGTATTTAAGGTCTTGGATTCCCAGGCACAAATCACACACCTATCTTTCAAAAATATATAGTTATAAGCCAATCTCATCTTTTTATCCCAAACATATAATTGGCACTGAAATTCAAGCTGTGTCATAATCGGATTGCATCAGACAGCTTTGTAAATAGGCTTAAAAGTTTTAACTAATTTGGAGAGCAATCTAATGGCAAAGGTAAGGCAAGTAGCTTTATAGAATGGTTTCTGTTTGATGGAGCTTAAGCCATAAAGGGTATTTTTCCCAGGAACCAGGAACCCTACTAACTCCAAGCCACTTTTAGTGATAAATTAACCACCTCATCTTTGTATGTAAAGTATGACATATATCTACTTTTATTTATATTTGATTGGAACCAATGGAATCAGATATTGTCTAGCTTACTATCCACTGGCACCGTTCAGGGGTCACCTTGAAATATTTGTAGCAAGTAAAAGTTCGAGAGTGTGGGCCCAGGTATAAGAAATGCAATATTATTTCCCTTTACTTTGCTTCTATTATGCAGAAAAACAATCTGTCAATTTGTGGTTCCCAACTTCCTCCTAGGATTGTATCTAGGATTGTTACTGTATCTCTCATGTACATATAATGCAGGGTACATGGTAAGTCTTCGATAAATGGTTTCTGTAAAAGAAAAAATAAAATTGAGTTCACATCATGACAGCCTTCTTTCTCTCCTTGTCAAATAGGAAGTGGGGGAGTATTATAAGACATAGGTCATATTTACAAAAATAAGGTTAAATTAAATTTTTTTGGAAACTATTTTCAGGATTGCATAATCCCTTGAAGTGATAAGTACTCTCAGATGTCACAAAACCATGACTAGGACACGCCAATTTCATGTAAGGAAGCCCTTCTCAGTGAATGGCAAGGAATACTGGCCCAATGTGTTGAACAAACATTGCCTGATATGCAGTCACAGCTTGGCATCCCACCTCCAATCACTGCTTGGCTCCACAACAAATGTCAATAGCTTTGTTATAAGAAAGCTGAGAGCAATAAGATTTTAGACAACTATGTTCAAATATTAAACCTAAATGTATTATTTAATAGTGATACGCTAGTTTGCAGTTATCCATGCTAATAGGGAAATAGTTTGCCAAATAATTTTCAGATACAATTGAAAAAAGCCTTATTTTAGTTATCGTTATTACCTCCTTCCCTTCAAACATTTGTAAGTGCTACTAACAAGGAAAAAAATTAACAAATTTTGACTTTTACCTCCATCTCCTTCTTTTCTCCTCTGATGAAAATGTTCACAAGCAATAAAACAGATACACACTAAAAGAAAATAAGAGGCAAGAAGCAAAAAACATGAGAAGCCAGACTAGATTCCTAGGCCCAGAAAAAGGCAACACTGGCAATGATAGCAACGTGTCATAACTGGCCAATTCACTCACGGAGAAAAGAGAACATGGCACTAGAAGCTCGGTGATGCTAAAATTTTAGGAAGTAGCTGTTTTTACTCTATCCTTTATATTTTGATCCATGGAGGGCGCTGGCACTGGCGCGCTCTCTCTCTCTCTCTCTCTCTCTCTCTCTCTCTCTCTCTCCCCCCCCTTCCCTCCTTCCCTCCCTCCCTCCTCCTGAGGGTTTCTTGGTAGCTAAACTTTGCATTAATGGTTCTCCTTATTTTTCATAATAATAGCCCAGCTGAGCAGGAAAGAAAATCCAACCATAGTTGCTTTTCTAACAGTGTTGGTGGGCTCAATCTTTAACCAGCTGTTTGTGGTTCTCACGGAGCAGTGAATTAAAACAATACCTGTAGGACTTGACCCATTTCCCATTACCATTTGAGGGAAGTTTTCTACCATTTCTTCTTTTCACGAACACAGCCTCTTATATAGCCAGTTTCCCTGACCAGAAAGCATTTCTTTATGCCCTCTTAGCCCGGATTTTAATCTGTGCTGATTCTGACAAGGATTTTCACTTTACTAAATGAAACATTTCCAAAATATTCACTGAAAAGAGGAAGATAGTCTGTTAAAGGGAACTCACAAAACCACGGGACCCACGGGACAAGCCACAAGTGGCATCTTGAGCTTTCTTGGGCCCCAGGTCATTTCAGTCGCTAAGGCTGATGCATAAGATGCAGAGAGAAATACGAGCCATGTGATAAACTAAAAAGCAAAACTAGTGATCCATGTAATATGGCTCATGCTTTACAATGGAATGAAACTCACAGGCCCTTTAAGTTGGAAACATCCGATGAGACATTGCTTCTAGGTCTTTAGTGGATTTTAGAATTCTGAAAGTGTGTGGCAAGTGTGTGTGTGACCTTAAGCTATACGTGTCTCATTTGTGATGACTTATTCCAAAAATGCAGGGCCTTTATGTTTGAACAGTAAGTGCAGCTAGAGGCTTAAAAAAGCAAAGGCCATTATTTTATATAACTTCTTTTTAAGAACATGTGAAGGGGGCTATTTGGGGAATACAGTCTGAGCAATCCTAATGACTCAGTTGTGCCGATTTAAACTACATTAAGTTTTCAAAGTTTGTATTTCCTATTTTTAAACATTTTTCTGCATTTGACTTCAATTATTACTTGTAATATGTACCTGCATGCTAAAAAAACCAGCACTTTAAGAAGTCAAACAATGTTTACAGCACTCAGAAGACTCTCTAAAGTATCCCATTGGTTTGTTATTCAAACACAATAAATTTATATAATTACTGGGGTGTATGTGTATGTTGATATGCTAATAACATATCTTCCTACTAAACATGCATTTGTTTCTCTAAGTTTTATACCTGAATATAGGATCCTGAAAGCAAATGACTTAGTTTCATCTTTTAGATCTTCCTGCCTGGTACCAGTGTTACTGTTGGATAAATGTTTACTGACTGCTGAAACTAAAGCCAGCATTGCAGGTGTGTGTCACTCTAGGAGATCTGCTTTTGCATATTGCTTTCACTTAAAGAGAACACTATTCCTTCAAGCAGGTAAAGAAGTTACTCTCTTTCCTGTGATTATTTCACAGTTACAGTCATGTAGGTTGTCTTGCTTTAAGCTGTGTTTCAATGAATTTTTAAACTGTTTCTCTCCTCCCTGGCTTTCAGTGCCTTAAACTAGTGACAGGCCCAGTGGGGAAGAAATCTGGGGACAAACTACACTAATGGATGACTGCATGCCTTTACCTTAAGTGCTGAAATAAATAAACAACTTCAAAGAGAATACAGAGAGGGAGGAAAGGGTTAGGGCAGGAAAAGAGAAGGAAACGGGGGGAAAGGGCATAGGGAAATGTGAGTGAGTGGCACATGGCTCCTGAGATGGAACTAGAGTACTCCATCTAATCCAAAAAAGTTCATAAAGCACTTTCACATACATCATTCCACAGTTATTAGGTGAAGTATAGAATATCTTGATCTCAGAGATGAGAAAGAGGATTCAGAGAGGTTGAATATCTGCCCAAGGTCACACAGCTAGTATGCAAGTAGTAGAGCAGGCACATAACCTCCAACATCATCATTGTCATCATCACTGTCATCATCTTCACGCCAGATCATCATGTTTTCCTCTGAGCATATGGCCAACCCCTATACCATCCGTTTGCCCAGTGTTTGCAGACACCACAATTAAACAAATATATTTAAGTGCTGCTTAATAAAGGGTGAATGTTATTGAGAGGAAGGAGAAACTTTGTAAATATAGGGCAAAATGTCATTATTTTCTGAACTATAAATTGTTTATTTGAGCCACAAGCTCTGATAGATAAGGCACTAACATTTTGAAATCTCTCACAATGTGTATGTAGATTGTCATTATATAAAATAACAACAATAAAAATGATGTAGCATTACAGTGTGTAAGGCCCCATTTATGTCCTTTGCATTCTATGAGGAAAGAACTATGACTATCTTTGTTTTACAGATGAGGAAACTGAGGCATATAAATTTCAGTAACTTGCACAGAGTTATACAGCTGTTAAGCAGTGACATCTGAAAGCATCCTGGCTCTGAGTCCTCTCTGAACTATATAATTTTATGTATTACTTTCAAAAGAAAGTAATTCTAGGTGATTATATTATCAGCTCAATCATTTTAAGTACCTGTATCTATGTTATTACAAATTCATTCCATTCTACACTATATTCTTGACATTTTTTAATTGGTAATTCTTGACAGGGAAACCATTTCCCTTATGATACTTAAAATATTTGTTGTATACATTTTTGCAATCATTAAAGTAAATAATAACCCTGGTGTAAAAAAGAAACTAAAACATTACATAAATATATAAAAGAGACAGTTACAGTTCTTTGTAAATTTAGCTCCCTTCCACCACCATAATTACCATTAACATCATCCACTCACGTTAAACCATCTCAGTTATTATTAACTCACTTAAAACTTGAGTCCTAAACTTTCAGCAATGCATATTTACAGTTCTCAGCTAATTGTATCCACTTAAAGCTTTTCCAGCAATGACAGCAGGTAGGCAACCCCAGATAAATGCAGCCTGTGTGATGAGCATTTCACCAAAGCTTATTTATCCTCAGCCATCGGCCTGCCCAGAGGTCCCTTTCTGGGGTCTGGGTCAAAATCAGCACAGCAGTGCCAGGTAACTTCGCGTTGTCAAGAGACAACGCTTTCATGATCTTCAAAGCAAATTGAGAAATCCATTTTCTCTTCATTGCTGGGAAACTGACTCCAAAGACAATTCTAGAGGAGAGACTCCCAAAATATTTGGGTGAGGTTAAATTCATCCAAAACATACTAATTATCACCGACTATATGCCAGGTACCGTGTTAGCTACTAGGGATAGAAAGATGAGTCAGCTAGATGTATTTGCTGACTTGCGGTGCTTACAATACAACAGGGAAGACAGCTATTAAATAGTCACAAAATATAATGTAAAATTGAAACTGGCATCATTGTTAAGAAGGAAAGTGATGCAGTGATATTTTGAAAAGGATCTCATGTGGATGACTAAGTGGCTGTGTGCTATGGTTAGAGGGGAAAGTTACCCATTATTTTCAAGACAAACTTCATTCAATCCTTTACATGACTCAGTAAACAAAATAGAGAGTCGTGCTCTTGTGATGCATGCTGTCCAGTTACAGAAAACACACCAGACCTGTGAAAGACTTGATTTTATAGATTCCAGGCCAAAAGCAATGCTGGGTACCTTTGAATTTGCCCACTTTTCAGCTGTCTTTTTGATATTGATAAACAGCAATGCAGAGACGGATCAAAGGGTGGAAAACGCATGGCAAATGAGATTTGGATCAGGCAATTTAAAAGGCTGATATGTTTTGCATAACATCAAAGATCAAAATTACACTGCTGGCACTGAAATGACAGTTCAAGGAAGCAGTTGCTGCTAGAAAAACAAAAGGACTAACAATCTGACTTCTAGGGCTTAGATCTCATAGAGGAAAACTTATGGAAAAGAAGGCAGCAAAATAGCCAGCAGATCAGCTTCCCAAAACACCATCAAGGGATGTTATCCATCCCCTAAGGAAAAACCTTTTCAACAATAACTGTAAGAGTCTACCCATGACTGCTCGCCTGATTCGCTATATGGAAAAATAAGATTAATGTATTAATAATTTTAAAAGATGATGATATGATATTCAAATAAGCCTGTGAATGATTAATTCACTGGCTGTTTACATTCACTTGAATTCACTACAGAGAGTTTTGAACTGTGCAGAATATAGGTTTTTCCATTTGTACTTTAACTGGCATTTGTAGGCATTTTGATGTTTAAAAGTTGGCGTCAAGTTGTTGGATGGAACAATATCCTGAAATTTCAAAATTTTCTATAGGAAAGTCTGCCTTTTCTTATGCCTGAGGTTTCTAAAATTTCACATCATTGGGTATTTTCTTAGAAGAGCTTCCACAGCTTTCCTTAGACTTTCAGCTGGCGTCATGACCCAAAATAATGTAGAATCACAGACAATATCATGTATAACTTTTGGAACTTTTCTCAGAGATGTAATCTCTTGTATGTTTAAAGTTTCCTTTTTGCATAGGCATATAGAAGAAAATTTTTCCCATGCTTGTATATGTATGTATATACATACTAGAATGTTATAAATGAATAACTGTGTATGTCTAGGTGGGTACATGCATCTACATACAGATATAAGCATGAATAAATTTAAAATAAATGTAGAAATGTATGTCTTATAAATTTTCTCACTACCAACAGGTACCCCCAATAATTGTAAACTCTTTGACAGTGGGAACTACCTTCCATTTGTCTATTATAAACATTTTGCCCAGCATACAGTAGGTACTCAATAAAGTAATTGTTACAATAATGTGAGTTACCCAGTACACCCAGTCTAAAGCAATATATCCAAGGAAAAAAATGGAGTTCATTCATGACCCTTTGACTATGATATCAGAAATACATGAGAATCCGGGGTATATTGTTTGTTTTTGGAGGTTTTAACATTGAACTTTATTAAAATATATTTATAAAGATATAGTCTGGGCCTTTTTTAAAAATTTCTTTTACTCATCTATTTAAGAAATATATTGAAAGGATTAGGAGGTCAGTCATACAATTTTCACTGCACAGTCCAGCCATTGCTTTTCAATATAGAATTTTACACAAAGGGCTAATAACAAATAGAAATTGTTTACAAGATTTGACTGGGGAGTGGGAAGAAAGAAACCCTTAATGGGGAATATTTTCTGCAAAGAAAGATCTTTGCCCATATTTCAGAACATCCCCAGCCCTCTTCCTGGTTGCTTCCTCTTGCTTCTTCTCCTTTTCTTTTCTCCTTCAACTGCTTCCCTCTTGTCTTTCCACCTTGGACTCCTTTTCTTCCTCTAGATACCCATGAGCATTAGAAATAAAATGTAAACACATCCAGCCTAGTATATTAAATTCATACCAAAGTTTTGGATTGAAAAAAAACTATAACTGCATACTTGGAAGAGAACTTAAATTTCTCATTTATTCTGCTCATTTAACAGATGAGAAGACTGAGTCTCAGGCATTACCAACCATTATTCAACTAAAGGAATAACAGCACAAGTTTTAAAACAATCTAAAATGATTATTTTTCCATGATATTTGCATCAACGTGATAAATTAACCAACCACTAAGTGCTGATTGATCCTCTGATAATTTATAAGTTCTTACATGTGACAGATATAAGTTTGCTGGAGCTCAAGAAGAAAGAGATTGGTTGGGTGCAGTGGCTTATGCCTGTAATCTTAGCACTTTAGGAGGCCAAGGTAGGTGGCTCAGTTGAGCCCAAGAGTTCGAGACCAGCCTGGGCAATATGGCAAAACCCTATCTCTACAAAAACTACGAAAAAAAAAAAAAAACAGCCAGGTTTGGTGGCATGTGCTTGTAGTTCCTGCTGCTCAGGAGGCTGAGGTGGGAGGATTACCTGAGCTGAGCCCGGGGAGGTCAAGACTGCAGTGAGCCATGATTATGCCACCGTACTCCAGCCTAAGCTTCAGAATGAGACCCCCGTCTCAAAAAAAAAGAATAAGAAGAAAGAATTTTAAAAAAAGAATAAGAAGAAAGAAATCACAGGCTGAGTAGTCAGAGAAGATGGATTGGAGGCAGCAGGAGAGACTGAGAAGGCAACACTGTCAGCTTCATAAGGGTAGGACTGTGCTTCTCGGCTTCACTTACCAGAGTGAATAGTTCATTTTCCAGCATGCAGTGTACTTTCAATACATGTTGGTTGAATGAATAAGCAGAAAATGAGATTAAGCATGAAAAAACCAATATGATCTAAGTTACAGAGATGGGAATATGCATGATATTTAGGAGAATTAAAAATAAATCAGTCTAGCACAGACGACTTGAATAAAGAAGTAGTGGGAGGTAAGCTGGAAAAGTTGGTGCCCTTCTGTGAACTTCCCCAGCATCCTCAGCTCACTTCTATTACACCTTCACCATATTGCACTGTGAATGATGTTTTGCTTATCTGTCTCCCCCTCCAAAGGTAAACTCTGTTTTGAGGGCAAGAACCATGATCTCTATCATGGAGATCTTCATGATCTCAATTTATATTATCTTGCAAAATGCTCACAAAGACGGCACACCTTGATGTCAGACTAAGTAGCCTGGTTGTCATCTTGAAGGCAATGGATAATCAATTAATATATTTGAGTGGGAGCCTAATGTTATCTAAATGATGAGGTTTGACATGTTAATGTCCTAGCACGGGTAAGAGTTGGGATGTGAAAATGGTAGTGGGAGTGAACAGAAATGGGCCTAGATATGCAAAAGATATTGCATGTAATCCCAGATACACATTGTAATGGACACCATGCTCCAAAAAACACTAACATTCTTACTCTATTGATTCATTTCCAATTAACTACATTACAAAAATATCTTATCCACGTTGAGTACATAATAATCTTGGCTCTTACCTTTCACCATCTAGACCTTTTACTTTCCAGAGTACTATTATCTAGGGCATATTTACACCATGATCCATCATATCTTTAAAAAGTCTGACAATAAAAGTCATCACAATTTTATTCAGAGGAAAAAAGAAAGAACCTTATGACTTAACCTTGTAATTTTCATTAATTCTGTCAATAAAAGCATCAACAAACAATAGGAAAACAGATCAAATCAGGTCATCAGACCTTATTTTAGAATGAGAAAACAATGTTCTCGCATTAACTCACCTTAAAATTTTGATATGGAAATAAAAGCATGCTATTTTAAGACAGCAATTAGACACGGATCATGAATATCTAAAATTTTTAAAAAGAAACTTAACTAGAATGGGTTTTTAAGGATCTACACAATAACTTCTTTGCCCCAACAAGAAGCATTTCCATGGACACAACACTTGGTTCTAGAGCTGATCAAATATAAACACAGTTATTGAGGTTTAGGGAAGAAATGATGTAAAACCATCAACTTTGCTTTATGTATATTCTACTTACCAAGGATAACATGTTCATAGTAAGTCTAGTCTTATCAAGTACTGAGAATAAAGAGCCTTTCTAGGGAATCTATCTGTTAATAAGTCAATATTTACCGAGCATTTATGATGTGCCAGGGACTGAGTTAAACATGGCTTTATCCAATTATATTTAATCCATAGAACAACTAAGTGAAGTAAGCATTATTACCCTCCATTTTATAGGTGAAAAATGAAGCAAATCAAGTGACTTGTCCAAGGTCATACCCTGTAGCCAATGGAAAAAATATGGAATAGTGAGAAAGGATATGAGCCTTAAGAATCCAAAAACCTGAGTTGAAATAATGGTTCTTCTTATTAACAGCAGTGGAAACTTGGATGATTCACTCACTCTCTGTGTCTTGGCTTTTCATCTAAAACTTGCAGGCAGTATGTATAATAATTAGACTATGAACCCTGGAGCCAGACTGCCTGGGTCTGAACTCAAGTACTACCACTTACTGGCTTGTGATCTTAGACAAGCTACTTACCTCCATACTTTAATTTCCTTGCCTAAAAAGTGTGGATGACAATGATGATATTATTAAGAACTACCTCATAGGGGTGTTATATGGAGTATATGAATTAATAAAATGCTTAGAACTATGCCTGGCACATAGTAAATATTATGTGTGCATGTGTGTGTGTTGGCTATTACAATAATTATGACCTACCCCCCAGGATTGTTACAAAAAACACAAAAGAAGTATGTGAGACCACCAAGTTCATAGTAATATTCATTAAATATGAATCACAAAGGTTAACAGTTTAAAATTCAATGACAATGAGACCAAGAGGTAATAAAAGACATTAATAAAAGCTATGCTGCCATCACCCTTTTATAGAAATTGTCAAATGTCTGTAGGCACATGGTTCTGAGTTAGACAATGCCCAAAAATGCTGACTGAGCTTCTCCAGGCCATGGTAAGAAGTCTGCTTTTGTCGGTGGCACTGGTTTTTTTATTCTAAAGGCAGTGTCAGCTCACCCTCGCATTTGCACACAGAGTAGAGATGCTCAAAGTTTCACATAGGTATGGACAGACAACTACAAGCATCTGGTTCCTTCTGAGCCTCCAGGATCCAAATGTTGCCTAAATTGCAAAGACATTTCTAACACATGGGAGAATTCGGCTCCAGAAAGCTTCTACAGGAGAATTAAGAATAGGATCCCCGCATCTTGCAGGTGGCATTTGTGTTCAGCCGCTATTAATAGAGGTTCAGAAAACTGGCTTAAGCAAATTACTGGTAAGAAATTCAAAAGCTAACCATCCAGGGCTGGTACTGGAGTGTCATTAAGTCATTAGGGGTTAATCTGTTCAGGCATTCTAAATGTAGAGAGAAACACTATGATTTTGGTTGCTATCTGTTGATGAGAAGACCCCAGGCCCCAGATTCAACCACCTTCAGTCCTTAAATTTTGGTTTATTCGCTTAGGTGAGGTTACAAGAGTTCATGTCAAAATGGAGCTTTAAATCTCTCCTAGGTTTGTTCCACTAGGGCAATTTCTTCCTATCTAGACCCTGAACATTCAATAAGAACAAGCTTGTATAATCAAGAGAACTGCCAGGACTTGTAGTTGACAGACTCCTCTTGCTGTAGCTCTTTGGAAGTTTGCTTAAACTTAGTAACAAAGCTTCAGTAATGACCATGCTAGGGGCTAGGGTCTAGAATTTAATAGTGCAGTAAGAGTTTCCATTTATTCATCACAAACTACTGTGTCCTGCACTTTAGAAGCTTTAGTTCTAATATCTAATGCTTACAACAACATTGTAAGGCAGGAAATCTTCATTCCATTTTTTAAATAAGTGAAGAAACTGAGATTCAGATTAAATGAGGTGTCCAAAATGACAATGCAAATAAAGGCTAGATTATGATTCAAATCCAGTCATTATCTAGGTTGAGTAAACTGTGTGTGGGGAAGGTACAAACTTCTAGGCAGACTAGCAGTATGTCACTCCTTGCCTTCCCAGCTGGACCTCTGCTGTCAGAAAGCTAATCCCACCTCTGAATTCTCATTCATATCCTAACCTGAAGGGTGATATTGTATCAAACCCCTAACCTCAATAGGGAAGCCACCAGGCTCAAGAGGCCAAAGAAGAGACCCAGAGCTAGTAAACGAGACATGCGGCTTTATCAGATGCTAACATATAGGGGAGAGGGTCCAGTGGCAACAGGCTGGTCAGGAAAACTGCAACTGCCTGTAAACATCATGCAGTTTATAGCATTTTCACTTAACACCCCCCCCAACGACCTCCACCTGGCATTCTTCATTTAACTGAAAACTCAGGGCTTCAATCTCCTGTATGGCCCATGTTCCATGGGATGGGATGGGGCTCAGATGTTTATCATAGATAAGGGATGAATCTCTGGGTTGGCCACTACCAGATTATCTAGCTTAGAAAACACTTTCAGGTGCATCTGCCATAGAGAGTAATTCTAAGGGTATGCTTAAATTATTGTTATCAGGTGCAGTTACCCTACAGGTGTGTCTAGGGCCAGACACCGCCCCCCCCCCCCAGTATTGTTGCAAGCATTTTGCTCATTTGTTTTTTATTTGTTTTTGTTTATCTAACACAATATGCTTATGAAAGCAAGTCTGTTGGCACTAAATCCATATGCTTTCCTCAGATCCAAATATTTCCCCAAATCAATCCATTTGGTTCATATTAAAACACAGAAAAACCTTTAGTCAAGTGAGAAGAAGTCTGCTGACTACAAAAAATCACAATAATAGTTTTGGGGTTTCGATGTCACCAAAGGAAGACCAAGACTGGCCTCCCCAGAAGTTAAGGCAATTGAACCAGAGGTGGCTGTGGAAGCGGATGGGGCTGAGCCAGGAACCCAGCCTGGCAAGAGTCTTGGGCCTTCCAAGCCTGCCTAGGTTCACATTGAATAATTACAAGCAACGGGAGTATGTTAGGGCTTGGGCAAGTATCACCACTGAACAATTTGGTAGGAATAACAGGAAGCAACCAGATGTGAAGCCTTGACAATCCAATGGCAGGGAAGAAACAGGGTGATGGGCAGGGTCAGGAACCCCTCTGTGGTGGGAACAGTTTAAACATGATCTATATAAAGAACGAAAGAGTCAGATGCTACAGAGAAAGCACTGACCTGACGTAGCAGCCTGAATCACTTTCCAAGAGTGAGTTGTGCCAACTGCACCATGTTGACAGATCACTCATGATTTGCCTTGGTATCACCACCCAGGGATGGACCTTGTGCTGGGTTTTTCTAAAGCCAATTTGATCAAGCTACAAACTACATTTTCCAAATTTCCTGCTCTATATGCTTCCAGGTTACCATTGACTAAAAGAACTTAGGATTTGGGAGACAGAAATAAAGTAGCAGCTATTATTTTCCAAAGGTCTTTGCAGTCACATAGCATGACAGACTGATGCAGAGGTGCCCATCTGCATCAGACGATCCAGTCTGCTCACATTCTCCTCTGCTCCCTGTCCAACTCTTCTTCATGACCGCTGGCACTACTGCTTACCAGAGGCCCCATGCCCACCACCAGAAGCCCAGCTACAGACCCAATGAGGAGGTAGCTACATAAAATCAACACCTTCCCATAGACTTCCCCATGAACTTTCCCTTTGTGTTCCCACTTCAGGAACAGGATGTCCTTGACTGCTCTGTACATCCTGTCTTGTCCACCTGCACCAGGGTTTCAGGAAGATTGATTATTCCTTTAATTCTGATCTCCAACTCCTTCTGGACCCTTGCTTCCCCAGCTCTTCCCACAATTGTGTAAGGTCTTTTATTCCATATACTCATGGTAATTGTGCTTCCTCGACTAATAAAGTCATTTCTACTCTAAATGGGACCTTGTTCATCTAGGAAGTAGTGATTTCTCCTTTGGTCCAGGAAGCTCCCTTGTCTATCTTAGCATTCCTCCTATATCTACAGAGAGGAAGAGAAATGAAGAAGGCTGAAAAGAAGCTTAATTCTCTAAGCCAATGAGGTAGATAGTTTCTGGCTCTTCCTCTAGTATGGGCAGAGCTCTCATGATAGCATGTCCTACGTTTATTTCACCTCCTCCTTTACCCAAAGAGCAACTGGGTCTCCTGAATCTTCAGTGCAGGATGAGCAAACTCTGCCTTAATTTGCTCCGGCAACCAAGAAAGAGCATGGCACCAGCAAGTGGCCTAATGGCAAAGGACAGTGTTAGAATAAGAAGGAAACATGTAGGGTATTTTTCCAGACTTATGGCAAGTAACATTAATCCAATTAAGGTTAAGTTAAGCAAAACTGGTAACTATTTCATTCAATTATCAAGTCCAATGATGAGTCCCATTTGAAGCACAGCTGGATCTGGAGGTCCTGTTTCTCACCATTTCCTGAAACTGTTTCTCTAAGAGAAGTGGCTTCATTCTCAAGCCAGCCATCTCCCAGTGGTTAAAAAAAGAAAAAGAAAAAGATAGTGTGAATATACATTCCACAAGTTAACTACAAAAAGGAAGAATTCAGCTAGCTTTGGCATAAACATACAAAGAATGACTTTGATCTGGGTTAGGTCCAGTTCCTGGAACATTCATCATGGCCAGCAGAAGTGGGATTATAACAGTGCATGTACTATATTTTCCAGAATAAGGCTATGCTTCCATAGCAAAGAAACTTTTAAAAATAGTAATTCAATGGCTTCAAGAAAATAGAGGCATACTTCTCTCACATATTATAACCTGAGGTTATATTCCATAATAGTAAGGGCTCTGCTCCATGGAGTCATTCGGAAATCTAGATTTCTTCTACTTTGTTTTCCTATCAGCCCCTAGTGTCTGTGTGGTTGAACCTGGAGGAAAGCAAATTCATGCTCCAGCTTCTGGGAAAGAAAATAGAGCACCAACGAACCATTTCTGTTGTCTTCAGGCCTCAGCCTAGAATTTGTATACATTAATTTTGCTCACTGTCCATTGGTCCAACCTTAGTCACATGGCCAATGCTAAATGCAAGGGAATTGGGAAAATATAGTCTAGCTATGTGCCCAGGTAAAAAAAGGGAGTATGCATAATAACAATCTCCACACCATGGACCCAACTCTGTAGCTAGGAAGAGGTGACAAATGTCACATCCAACCCATGTAGAATGAATTCCCCATGGAAAGGAGGATTCTGATACCAGAAAACAGGGAACAGATATGTTCAGGCAAAAATAACAGATGTCCTCTACAGATAAGTACAGAATGGTACATTCAAGGACATGTTGAAGTCAAGCATGGTCAAAAGAGCAGGTCTCAGAATCAAGCACTCTCTAGCCAACCAGGCAGTATTTCTGATAGTGTGTGTTTCAGAACACCTCAGTAGTATGTAATGTAGGGGAGGAAAAGTAATTTTATCTCTACCCTTCATAGTTGTTAGTTGGGATGGATCCCTGTAACAAAAGACAGATTAATTAGAAAAATAAACAGAAGTTTAATAACATGTATACCTCATATATACCTGGGAGATAACCCAAAGAAATAAGTAAATCTCAAAGGCATGGTTTTGAGTTCAGGCTTAAGTACCGTCATCTGCTGAAACAAAGAAAGGACGGTGTGGGAAAAGGGTAGTTATGGAGAGATGCCCAGAAAAGCAAAGTAAACAAGGGTGTATTAATCTGTTCTTATGCTGCTAATAAAGACATACCCGAGACTAGGTAATTTATAAAGGAAAGAGGTTTAAGGGACTCACAGTTCCACATGGCTGGAGAGACCTCACAATCACGGCAGAAGATGAAGGAAGAACAAAGGGACTTCTTACATAGCAGTGGGCAAGAGAACTTGTGCAGGGGAACTCCCATTTATAAAACTATCAGATCTCGTGAGACTTATTCACTACCGTGAGAACTGCATGGGAAAGATCTGCCCCCATGATGCAATTGTCTCCCATGGGGTCCCTCCCATGACACATGGGAATTGCGGGAGCTACAATTCAAGATGAGATTTGGGTGGGGTCACAGCCAAACCATATCAAAGGTTAAGGGTAGTTATGCAGATTTAAGTCAGTGCCTTCTTCATTGATGAGTCTCCAGCAATTCAGTCTTCCTTTTCTTGGTAGAGATAGAGTGACATCCTTACTAATAGAGATTTCCTTTACAAATATAAATTTCCCTTATGAAAGGACAACTTCTACTCTGTTTTCGGAGCTTCCCCTGTGTCTGCAGTCTCTCAAATTAATCCGCTCAAAATAAGCTTCATGCCAAACAAATATTTTGGGGTGGCATATTTTGGTCTCCTACAGAGTCTTCATGCATATTTTTGACATATTTTTGGTCTCCTGCAGTAACTTAATGTTATTCTTTTAAAAGAGACTTGTGGTCAACTAAGCTTAGAAAACACAGGGTTAATCGAAATAAAGCAAGTCCTTTAGCTACAGTAGTTTTCAGTTTTTAACACAATAATCTCCAAGTTTGCAACTTGTGCCAAGCTCATGTAATGTCATTAAAGCATTAAGGCATTAAGACTATTGCCAGCAGAACAAGACTGCAAGAAAGTCTGCCCCGGAGCAAGAGACAGACAAGTTTCAGGGCTGCAAAGTGGTGACCCTGCCCACTTGAGCAGCGACACAGTGGACGCCAATTCATAACAAAATTCCCTCTTAGGTTAAGCTTCACTGGTGAAAGATAAACTCTGGTCTCAAATCTCGTGAATCCCATTCTCTAAAACTGTGCTATCCAATACAATGGCCACAAGCCACTGTCCGCTATGAGATTATTTAATAGGAAATCACTAAATGCTACTGATCATTTGCAATGAAGTTACTGCAGATTGACAAATTGAATTTATTTTATGTAAACGCATTAAAATAAAAAAACTGAAGCAGTGTAAAATATTTTTCTATTAAACACAAATGTCGTGTTTTGGTAGGTCTGCATTTCGCTTTAATCACTGAAAAATTAACATCTGAATTGAGTTGTGCTCTAAGTGTACAATACACACCAGATTTCAAAGACTTAATATAAAAAGAGTGTGAAATATTAATAATTTTTATATTGATCACATGCTGAAATAATATTTTGAATATATCAGTTTCAGTAAAATTATTAAAATTAATTTATTGATTTATTTTACCAACTTTTTAACGTGGCTACCAGAAAATTTCAAGTTTCATATGTGGCTCACATTACATTTATGTTGGACAGTGCTGCCTTGATCTTGTAAGATCAATTCCCCAAAGCAGGTCCTGTTTCCCCAGATCAGTGATGATGTCCTTAGATGCCCTCCAGATTCTTGTTACAAAGCAATCACAACTAATGAACAGACTTAAGGTAAAAGTTTAAAAAAAGAAAAAAAGAAAAAACAATTAGAAAATCCATTTATTTGCATATTTCTGAACTTGAATCATTTGTTTGAAGCCATTCTTCCTTTGCCTGCCTCATACAAATTACTACCTGTCAACAAAAGGAAATGTGTTTGAACTTTACAGGAATGCATAGAATTCCCATGCTGTATCTTTTCTAATGATAAGACAAGATCAAACAAATTTTCACCCCAAAAAAAGACAGTTAAATCAAGATCTAAGAAACGTATTCAGTTAAAAAGTGATTGCCCTTCAAGCTAAATCTCCAAACAGCACTTTAATTATTTTGTTGGATACTGTATTCAGACATCAGCCACATTTCAAAACAAAGAAATCAAGGAGATTGGAAAGGTCTATTCTGTATAAACTTTGTGAGCCTGCCATAGTAAAATCAGCCAGTATATATTGCGAAACTGTTCACGCCAACACTTAGGGACTTTCAGGGGTAAGCACCTCCCCCGTGCTGATGCCCATATTTGTACCCATGTTTGTAGGACATGACTCTTCTACACCCTAACCCCTGCTGACAGGATGGGGGGTCTGTATCTTAGCAAAGCTGGACAATCAGAATCTCTTCTTGGAATTTAGAATTGGAACACAGAAACTAGACTGCACTTAATTTCTGATGAGTGTTTGAGTTAGGAGATCTGGAAACGCAGAGGCTGGGACCAACATGTGCGGGCCGGAGCACAGTAAGATAATCTACAGTAAGACCCAGGAAAAATAAAGTTGATGTACCAATAGGAGCAGAGCCAAGAGATCAACTCTTCTGAAAAAAACAAAGCAAATAACCTTGGATTCAAATTTTCTGGGTCCTGGATCCAGTACCAAATGACAGATCTCTATAATTATTACTCTACAGTTATTAGAGATACCATCAGACATTCAATACATTCCCCACTTTTTGTTTCTGACCTGAGCTGGTTTGAATGAGTTTCTGTTCTGACAACAAAGTGATTCCCCTCTTTATTCAACCAGGCACTGGTACTCCTTGTCCATTATGAGATTAATAAGAAATAAATGAAGTTAATTATAAGGAATTAATTAATGATAAAATATAGTACCCTGATAGAAAAGGGCTAAAGGCAGATTATCTAGAATGGATATTTTAAGTTAAATTTAAACAAATATATGTGGTAGCCATACACTCATATTGCTATATTAGAAAGAGGAGATAACAAAAGCAAGAGGAAGAAAATAAAAGGGGAAACCAAGGCAGTTCCTGACTTTTAAGTTCTTTCCTTCAGCAGTGTCTACTCTTCCCCTTTTTGTTTTTACAAAATCCTCCAACAAAAGATAAGCTTGGTAAAGATCCAAAAAGTGGGAATGTACAAATTAACAACTAGTTTCTAAGCATCTTATAGGAACTCAACATTATATAAGGTTGTTGGGGAATCAGCAGAAAAAAAAGCATTGATCCTTACATGCAGAGAACTACAACTACAATCTAGTTAACATGTTAGATAACACCAGCACAAGAGTCATTACATGGACATAGAAAATTGAGGTGATTGCCTTATGCCTGAGTCCCAGAAAACATGGGTGGGTCCCATGGTATTCAAGTATTCAAGAGAAATACATGCCCCAAGCAGAATCAGATCCACAGCCAAATGGAATACATAGACTATCTTCTAGGGGAGACAAACTCATAGTGAGGAAGGTAATACTGAGCATTAAGTCTGAAGAGCAAGTTAGAAAAAAGAGAAAGCATGTGTCTTTATAGTACAATGATTTATAATCCATTGGGTATATACCCAGTAATGGGATTGCTGGGTCAAATGATATTTCTGGTTCTAGATCCTTGAGGAATCACCGCACTGTCTTCCACAGTGGTTGAACTAATTTACACTCCCACCAGTAGTGTAAATATGTTCCTATTTCTCCACATTCTCTCCAGCATCTGTTGTTTCCTGACTTTTTAGTGATTGCCATTCTAACTGGCATGAGATGGTATCTCATTGTGGTTTTGATTTGCATTTCTGTAATGACCAGTGATAATGAGCTTTTTTCATGTTTGTTGGCCGCATAAATGTCTTCTTTTTTTTGTATATGCATACTTTTATTTTTACATTGTAAATTACCACTTTTTTACAGCATATAAATGAACATAGGTATAAGCCAGCAAGAATAAATAGCATATATCTAGTGAAAAGAATCAGAATTTCTCAAACACAGTAAATACCTACATCCTACTTTTTAGGAACCAAATGCCAACTACATATATATAACAAGGTAAGTACTGCTATATCAGCATTACCAAAAACACTTTCTTTAGGAATTGTAAATAAGTATCATCCAGCACCTGGATGCTAAATAAAAGAGCTGGAAGACTAAATAAAAAGGAAAGTCACTCTACCCACTTTCCTGTTTCCATCTTTCAGGAATTCAAGTTTATTGAAAATTTTGATATATAATCCTGTATCTATGATCTCTTCAATAATTTCGGAATGGTAGTTTTAGACAACTTTAAGTCTCAAGCTCCTTCTGAATTTCCCAAAGTGTTTTTGCACTCTTTTTCAGATGGGCCTCCTCTTCAGGGGTCAGCTTTCTCTTTATAAGGTTGGTAATACCCTTCTCTCCAAAGAAGGAATACTGAGGAAGACTTCTTCATTTATTCCGTAGAGGCCCTTAATTATGGTGGAAACTGGATGTTTTCTCCTAAGATTCTTCAAAATACTTTCTGTTAAATCAGCTCCAGATAGGCCAATGGCCCACGAAGTAGAACTTTTCATTTCAATAATCTCATAGGCACTAGCAATCACTTCTTTGTGGACATTTTTCCATTTCTCAGGATCTTTATCAGTTCCTATATCAGAGTTCAGATCCTTCAAAAGGACACCAGCTATGTTCATTCCACTCCACACAGGAACACTTGAGTCTCCATGCTCTCCGAGGATCCATCCACGGCAGCTTTCAGAGTGGATACCAAGCTTTTGTCCAATGAAGAATTGAAAACGAACAGTATCCAGATTACAGCCGCTTCCAATAACACGGTTTTTGGGAAATGCACTCAACTTCCAGGCTACGTAAGTTAAGATATCTACTGGATTGGAAACAATAATTAGTTTGCAGAGGGGGCTCTGCTGGACAATACTGGAAATCATTAACTTGAAGATGGCCACATTTTGCCGGACTAAATTAAAGCGCATTTCTCCCTTTTCTCGGCGTGCACCTGCTGTGATAATCACTAGATGGGGGTTTGCTGTGACAAGGTAATCTTTGCTACAAACAATATTTGACATTTTCATGAAAGGGCTGTCATGTTGAAGATCCATTGTCTCACCTTTCAGTTTGCCTTCATCAAGATCCACAAAGGCAAGTTCATCACTCAAGCCTTTTAATAAGATGCTGGTAGCGCAGGCCATGCCCACTGATCCAGTTCCTGTGATGGAGACCTTTCTGTGATGAAAGGGCTCCTCGGAAGTGAAGCACTCAATAAGCTCACTCTTCACAGTCGCCATCTTGCTCACGGAGGTGAAGAGCCAGGTGCCCATGAGTGGCATGCACGCTGCCTGACGGGGACACAGGGCCATCCCCAGGCACAGAAAATTCGCTCCTGCCGAGCTCACTCTCTGGCTGGCCCACACAACAGGTACAGTCCAACTCATGGCTGCTCACTCAAGAAGTGGAGGGAAAGAATGGAAAAAAGCCGCTGACCAAAACGTCGAGACGCCAAGAAAGCCGTGGGCAGCACCTTCAGCCCTCTGTGGCGGGTGCGCACCACCCGCCCCCTGGCCCTCTACTGCGGCTGCGCGGCCCTTGCCAGCGCCTCCAACACGTGCTTTCCGTGGGTGCTCAGACTAAGGCAATGAAGGGCTGCTTCTCTAGCAAGTGATTTCTGGAGTTAGTTTTACAAAGAGTATTCTCATCAATAGTTGACATGCTTAAGAGACTAACCCAGATCCCTGGAATTACTAGTGTTTTCTATTTTTAGTATGAATGTCAAGGCAAAATGCTTCTATTAACTACAGATGAAAATCAGGTTACATCTTCTGAACTGTGACCCTGCCGGGAAGGATAGGGCACTGTGCTTTGCGTACTGGTGGCTGCCTGCACCCTCTCCCAGTGTCCCAGAAGTGGGCTCCTGCTTTCTGGTGTATGGCGCTGGAGGCCTACTTATAAAGGATCCCACTGCCTTGGTGCCAGTCTTGGCCAGGACCCACACTGGGACAGTCAGCAGGAGCTTGAGCGGGGTAGGGGCCGGCTGGGAGTCACTCCAGCACTAAAAACTCACCAGGCGGGAATGTTACTCCTTTCTCATGCCGGAGGAAAGCCTTTGATTGTGGGTCCCGAAGAAAAACGACTTCTCGGGTAGAAAGTTGGTGATGTAGCCTTCAATTAAAATGAGGATATCTCTTACATGTCACTGTGAACCCCTAAAGCTTTCCAGACTGAGAAGCTAATCACACCAACCCCACACCATGCATACAGTGAGCCGCAGCCCAGAGCTCGCAAGGCAAGGGAAGACCCGCTTTCCGGTAATGCAGTCGTGACCATACTTCCCTTATTGAACCATTCAGGGCTTTTCTTTTTAGCCAATGATAATGTTGTAATAAATCCAGCTAGCGTTCCTGCTGCAGCAACAGTACCAAGGAAAATTCCACCTTTAACCAGGAAAAGCCGGTCATCCGTGGACCCGGGAGCCTCCAGCAGAGAGGCCGGCTGCCCAGTACCAGAGCCCGCTGTCTCCATGTTTAGGTCGCCTCTACTGTCTTCTTTTGAGAAGTGTCTGTTCATATCCTTTGCCCACTTTTTGATGGGGTTGTTTTTCTCTTGTATTTGCTTAAATTCTTTGTAGATTCTGGATAGTATGTTTATTGCAGCACTATTCACAATAGAAAAGACTTGGAACCAACCCCAATGCCCATCAATAATAGACTGGATAAAGAAAATGTGCCACATATACACCATGGAATACTATGCAGCCATAAAAAAGGATGAGTTCATGTCCTTTGCAGGGACACGGTTGAAGCTGGAAACCATCATTCTCATCAAACTAACAGAAACAGAAAACCAACCACCGCATGTTCTCACTCATAAGTGGGAGTTGAACAATGAGAACACATGGACACAGGGAGGGGAACATCACACACCAGGGCCTGTCGAGGGGTGAGGGGCAAAGGGAGGGAGAGCATTAGGAGAAATATCTAATGTAGATGATGGGTTGATGGGTGCAGCAAACCACCATGGCACGTGTACACCTATGTAACAAACCTGCACGTTCTGCACTTGTATCCCAGAACTTAAAGTATAATTTTTTTTAAAAGTAGAAAACATATTCAAGTGTACTTGAAACATTTATCAAGATAGCTCATACATTGGACAATAATAAAAGTCTCAATAAACTTAAAAAAAAAAAAGAAAAGAAAAAAGAGAAAGCAATTCAGTGTAAAAGCTGAGAGGATGCAGATTGAAATAACCATGAAAGAGGGGTGGGCCAGGGTAAGCAGCTCAGAACAAAGACCCAGACAAGCAAGAGCTAGTGCGGTGCCCCTATGGTGGCAGGGTAAGAGGTCTGGGGATGGGACGGCAGCTCCACAGGATGGTGAGTAGTCTGACAACGGACATTGTCTGAGGCACATAAAGTCCAGTGCCAACCCATAATCCCACACACCCTCAAAGGCAAAATCTGCCCCCAACGAACACTTCCTATCTTTAAATTGCAGCTGAATGTTTGCATTTTAGCCATTGTGTCTAGAGTTGGATTATGTAGTCCAAGACATTAATTTTAAAGATGAGGCTATTGAGGGACAAAGAAGTTACATAACTTGATCAAAGCCAAACTGCTAGTGGCAGAGTCAGGACTAAAATACAAATGTCCTGATATTTAGTCCAAGTTTTCTATTGAAAACTTCCTTTTAAAGTCCTACTTTTATAAAAATCCAACTTTTAGTATTGTATTCTAAAAATACAAATGTCCTGATATTTAGTCCAAGTTTTCTATTGAAAACTTCCTTTTCCCTTCTAAGCTGCTCTATTAAAAATTCATAGAGAGACTTACACATACAAATTCTTCCAAACATATAACACCTTAACGCCCTTTCACTATTTCCAACAATAGACCTGGGTTTTTTATCTCTCCAAGTATAAAGAGAAGTAAAGAAAAAGAGGAAAAGATAACTGAGAACTGGATTGGTCAAAAGAAACTTCAGTGTGAAAGCAAAATTTGATGTGAATTTTGAAAAATAAGTTCAATTTAGATAGAGGGAAGAAAAAACGAGATTCTCAGGAAAATAAAGAAGTTCCTCACTGAGTCGGGCACAGTGGCTCACACCTGTAATCCCCGCACCTTGAAAGGCTGAGGTGGCCAGATTACTTAAGCACAGGAGGTCGAAACCAGGCTAGGTAATGCGGTGAAACCCCATCTCTACAAAAAATACAAAAAGTAGCTGGATGTGGTGGGCACACACTTGTAGTCCCAGCTACTTGGGAGGCTGAGGTGGGAGGATTGCTTGCGTCTGGAAGGCAGAGGCTGCAGATCATGCCACTGCACTGTAGCCTGGGCAACAAAGCAAGACTCCATCTCAAAAAAAAATAGTTCCTGACTGAGAATGTGACTTGTGGAGGCCCATGTCTTGCAACAGGATGAAGGGAAAAGACAGAGAAAGAGGTGGAACAAAGAGAGAGGGAGGGGTGGGAAAGACAGAGAGGGAGATCCTCCAGTCTCAGTCTTCCAGTTACAAAGGATACAAAGAGCTCCCAACATCATAGAGCTGAATAACTATTTGTTTGAGACTTTGAAAGGCAGAAATAGCAATGATTAACGTTGCTTAATCACTGAAATATATTTGAAATTGTAAGAGGCAGGATCTCTCCTGATAGAAGTCCTAGTGAAATGCATTAATATTGTTTTGTTACTTTTAATATTCTTCATGTTTTAAAATCCAAAGAAAATCTTTCATACTCCAGTGGTTCATTCTGACCTTGGGCATTCCATTCCAGAACCGTGACTCCACAGCTGGTTGTGTGTCCCTCCATTCATCTCAAGGGTTTCCCAAAATTCACCCAGAGAAGTAGTCCAGACATTCTCCTCTCTTATTTTTTAAAAATGTTTGTTTTATCAAATTAATATATGTACATAGTTTTAATTGTCAAGTAGTAGCACAGTTATTAAATCATATTATTTAATAATAATAAACAGCAGCCCTCTGCCTCATTCCTTTCCTCCCCAGAGTTCTGCTTTACTCTCAGTAATGTCCTAACCTCCCATTTTTGAAGCATAAAAACAGAACTTCCACAAGTTCCCACCACATTTCCTGCCTACTAGAGTCTCTCCCATTGCTGTAGAAGAGCTTAGACGAGGCCAGACCCCCAGTTCTGCACTAGATCCCATCCCCTTCCATCTGCTCAGTTGATGTGCTCCAAAAAGCCTTCCCTCTCTTGTAGCATCCACATTTTCCCTCTCTATTGAATCACTTTCATTAGCATATAAACATGACATTAATTCTCCAATTTAAAAAACAAAGATTTGCCTTGGTGCCACCTGCCCCCATCAGGTTCCACTGCTTTTCTTTCTGTTACACATGTCCACAAAAACTACCTAGGAGAGTTGCAACATTCACCATCCTCCATTTCTCTCCTCCCATCTCTTTTGAACCTGCTACAGTCACTCTATCATCCCCACCACTCCACTGAATTGTTCTTAGGTTCACAGTGACCCTCTGATGCCAAATTTCTCTCCTAACCTGACCTGGCAGCAGCGTTTCCACTCTCCTCCTGGAAACATTGTCTTCACTTGGCTTCCAGGACACCGTGCTCTCCTGACTTCCTCCTCCCTCTCTGTCCATTCCTACTGAATGTTGCTCCCTCCTCCTTCTCTCTTTCACCCCTAATTGTTGAAATTCCTCCAGATTCAGTCCAGACCTCTCATTCTGACTATACGCACTCCCTGTGTGATCCCATCCAGTCTCAAAGCTTTAAATTTTTAAATTCCATCTACACATTGATGACTGCCAAATTTATGTCTCCAACCTAGATCACTCCCCCTTAAACTCCAGACTCATCTCTATCCAAGTGTCAACTTGGATAGGACATTTTTACTAGAATATCTGGTAGACATCTCAAACTCCATACATCCAAAGCCAAGCAGTCTGCTTCCCATCTCACTTGATACAACTCTATTCTTCCAGTTGCTTAGACAACAAACTCCAGAGTCATTGTTAAATTCTTTTACTCCCACATCCTGTATCAAATCCATCAATGACTCCTATTAAATTTATCTTCAGATTATATCCAGAATTTAGCCATTTCTCACCGCTCAACACTTTCCACCATTATCTTTTGTCTGGATCGGCTCAATAGCTTCCATCCTAGTCTCCCCACTTTGCCCTTGCCCCCTTTCAGTATAGTTTTAAAACAGAGAGGCCCTTTGAAACTATTAACCAGATCACATTTCTTTTGTGTCTGCAATCCTCCAAGGGCCTCATATCTCACAGAGACTACAGGCCAAATTCCTTCCTGAAACCTATAAAGCCCTTTCATCTGCTCCCTGCTGTCTGTCTAAGCTCACCTCCTTCTTCTTCCCCACCCCATATTGTTAGCCACACTGGCCTTTGGAACTTCTTGAACATTCCTGGAATGATCTTGCCTTAGCATCTTGGCACTTGCTAGTTCTGCTGCCTGGACTGTTCATCCCCACATATCTGCGTGGATAGTTTATCTGCTTCATCCAGGCTCTGTGCAGATATTTTGAGTGAAGTTGTCCCTGACTCTAATGTCTAAATTTTAATTCTCCTCCTTGACCTATCCTATTACCTTTTCCTGCCTTGTTTCTTCTTTTTTTCCTTAACACTTTTTACTATCCTACATACTAAATTTTTACTTAGTTATCATGTTTATTGTTGTTCTTTTTCATTAAAATGTAGGTTCCATGTGAGTAGGGATTATTGTGTTTTTGGGGTCACTGATTTTTTTTTACGCACCTAAAACAGCACCTGTTCAGTGGAAATCATATTGATTGATATATTACAATTCTATATTTTATGGACTGAGAAAATGATGCACAAAAAACTGGAATTGCTCATGTTAAATGGTGTGGACTGAACTAGAACATGGGTTCTGACTCTCAGCACTGAGATCTTTCCACAATACCAAGGTATTTTCCACCATTGGATTTAGAATTTTCTACATAATGTAGAATTTTCTACATAAATGTCTTTCCACAATGGGAGAAATCAATTGCAACCAGCAAATGAGAAACATTTTTCCTCAAATTGGCCCTGTTCATACATTTAAATTGTTGTTTTCTATTTGTACAAGTACATTAAAATAAACACACAGGGATAATCAGTGCAACATTATATGTAAGACCAGACATTGGAAAATTCTAAATGTCCATCAATAGAAGATTGGTTAAATGAATTATGTTGCATCCGTATAACGGAATATGTCTGCAGAAATGAAAAATATTGAGGTAGATCTATAAGTACTGATTTGAAAATCCTATCTTCAAGATGAATTATATGTTCCATAATTTCTTATACACAATTCCAAAATCCAAAATACTCTAGAAATTAGTTTTGTTTTTTTTTAGAAACTTAATTGGTGGCAAAACATGGCCAATCCTACACTCACTTGGCATCAAATACTGACCTGACACAAGAATATGTAAAGTCTTAATTTATCTAACTTGGTGTGAATAGAATACTCATATCTTCTAGTTCCAAAAAAAATTTAATGTGTTTAATTATAAGGTGCTGCCCTAGACCCCACTAGTAGTATTGTATGACATTCGCTGTGTGCACTGTATTACAGCTCTAAAATGCAAGATTCTGAACTCTCCACAAGGAATTACGACTTACACTAAGGGAACAAACAAGATGTAGAATAGTGTCTGTGGGATGAGGAAATTTACATAATTTATAAAGGCACATACACTGGTTTATGCCTGGAAATTCTGAAAGGATTATGGATTTTTTATAAAGAAAGAATTGATAGTGGTTATTTCTAAGGAATGGAATAGAAGGAAGTGCTGGACAACTCTGCTACCACAGGAAGCAGCTCTTCTCCTGCAGCAGCAACAGGAAAGAGCCCATGGGTCTTCCTCTGTAGTGCTACCACTAGATGATCCAACTCCAGGTACCTTGCATCCCTGTGTGTCTTCACTCAAGATTGCATGACCCAGAGTGAGAAGCTAATTGACCCATCTTGAGTCACATTCCCTGTAAGTGGAGGCAAGGTAGAGAGGTGCAAGGAACTTGCTTTTGACTGGCAGTGCAGACTGGACTTCACCAAGAGAGAGACAATGCTGAGGTTGCTACATACAGGTTGGGGATGGTCTGCTGAGAGACAACAGATGTCACCAACATGTGGGACAGGGCCTGACCTGACTCTATCTCTGCCACTAACCTGCTTAATTATAACTGGGCAGATCTCTTGAGCCCTCTGGGACCTTGTTTTCTATCTATAGAGAGAGAAGAACCTCTCGGCTCTCATAGCTCCAACAGTTCTCTAATGGACTAAGTACAATGTCTCTTAGACTTAAATGTGTCTATGAACCACCTAGGGACCTTGTTAAAAATACAGATTCAAATTCTGATTCAACAGGTCTCTGTGGCCTGCATGAGCAACTAAGTGATGCCAAAGTTGCTGCCAGACCTGAGTTCCAGCAGCAAAGCCCCAGAGCATTAGCTGTGGCTTGCAGGCAATGAGAACACTCAGTCAAAGTTAGCAAAATGTGAGCATTGAGTGATGTACTTTATAGCAGTGACAACACTGCTTAAAACTTCGTTGGTGGCCCTGCCTGTTGTGAACATTGAAAGCATCGACACAGATATTAGTGGGGTTTGTCCTTTGTGAAGGCAAGTGAGAGATTTAATCCTTAATCTAATCATTAATCAATACACCAACTGAGTTTACCCATGTACTAATACTCTGAAGTGTTACCTAAGAGATTTACCAACAACCATATTTGGTACTTAAAAAACAATTGATTCTAACTTTTGCTTAGAGCAAATATAAAAGATCACTTTTCATGGTTTTCATAATTAATGTAAACTTCAGAGAATTTTTCTGAGCTATGGATCAATCCGTTGTCCAATAATACCAGGACATTAACCAACAGAATTTAGCTCAGAAGGGCCCTAGGGAAGGACTAGGTTTTCATTTATAGCTATTCAGAGGTAAGTACACAGATGGGTTTCAATAAATAATTAATTATAATGGAACTAGGGTTCTCTAAAGTGGGTTGTGTATAACACTAAATGTATTAAAATGAGTTTATCTAAGGTTGTACCTACATTAAGAAGTCAAATCCCCATGTAATAAGTTTGATGGTGTTTAGTCTACATTAGGTATAATTTTAGAAGTCAAGTACTCTCATGTTAGATATTTTCCAAATTACACTTTCAGATAGAAACCACATCAGAAACCTGAATTTATTGAGACATTAATTACCCCAATCAAATATTCTCCTCCTCTGCTAGCTTTCTTCTGTTCTATGTCTTCCCACTGGCATTATACTGCTATGCTTTGGGAACACAGAAGACTGGGAAAATCAAATGAGATAATTACTTACAAATTATTGAATAGAATGGTGTTCTGGACATTTTGAGTTATAATTCACCCAAAAGACATAAAGCAGTTGAGTTTTTTCTTCAATCTTCAAAAAGCAGCATTTTGTCCCAAGTGGTAGTTTAGAACCTCAGGTGCCATGTGATACTAGACAGTGAGAACTAAAAATAACTGTAAGGAAATGGCTTCTAAGTAATAAGAGACAAAATATGTGAACAAATATTTAATATGACAAGTGGTAATAAGGAAAAGCTGGAAGCACTCAGCCCAGAAGGCAAGCTTTTCCCACTTAAAGACAGGAAGAAGGGCAAACCCTCTGCACCTGGCCACAGCAGGCATTCCCAGAAGGCTGTCAAAGACATCTATGGCAGAACAATAGAGAGAGTCTGGCTAGAGGAAAAGTGCACCTCCAGCAGATTAAGAGTGGAGAGAGATATGGGATTTAAAAAGTGTGAAATGCTTACATTATTTTCAGCACAAAATCATATAACAGTGTAAACATTTTCAAACATGTATTTCTCAAAATGCTTTTTCCATAGAATAAGTTTTTTCCCAAAATCAGTTACTGGCTTTCTTTAGATTCTGATTTGAACAAATCAACTGATAAAAGAAAACCACATTTTTTGAAGCACCTGAGGAAAATTCAATAAGGACTGGTTATTGGATAAAATCAAAGAAATGTTAATATTGTTAGATTTGATAATGGCATGGTAGTTACAGGAAAATGTCCATGTTTTCTGGAGATGCATATAGGTTGACTGTCACTAATCTAAATAGCTGAAACCCCAAATGCTCCAAAATCCAAAACTTTTGGGGCACTGAAATGAGACAGTGAAACCTTTGTTTTCTGATGATTCAATGTATACGAACAGAACACAATTATTTAAAATATTGTATAAAATTACCTTCAGGTTATGTGTACAAGATATATATGAAACATAAATGAATTTCATGTTCAGGCTTGGGTCCCATCCCAGCCTGAACTCATTATGATATGCAAATATTCCAAAATAAAAAAAAATCTGAAATATGAAACACTTCTGGTCCCAAGTATTTTGGATTAGAGATACTCACATGTACTAAAGTATATCATGTGAAGTACCAAGGGATTTATTTAAAATACCTCAACAATAAAAACAATAACAAAAAAGGAAAACTAAAATAATATGGTAAAAGCTTGATAAGTGCCATTTCTAGGCAATAGGCAAGGGTGTTAGTTGTGGTCCTCTCTACTTTTCTGTATACTTAAATTTTTCAGAGTAAAAAGCAACTTGAAAATCATTTCCATTTTCAGTTATTGTTAAAACATCACTCATATCTTGAATCAAAAACAGACTAAGCACAAAGCTAAGGAAGTTTTTATTAAAAATTGGAAAAATGGACTTCCAGTTTCCAGTCCAGCATATAAAGAGCTTGGAAATCACCACTCCATCCTAACAAGTAAAAAGCTGAACAAACTGAAAAATCAGCAATTCTTCTTAGATCCATAAGAAAAGTAGGGCCACAGGGCAAACCACTGCCCCTAAAATTGGAAAGACAGGCAAATACAGAGAATCACAACCTACCAAAGAAGAAACCCATGAACAGAAACCTCTGCAGGAACCATTTCCAAGGTAGGAAAACCTAAACTGTAACCGACAAATTGCTGGAGACTAATGTGGAAAAGCCTGAGAGTTAAGAACTCCAGGGGCACCCAGTCTTGGAGGTGGGGGCACACTTTTGTGAGTTTTACCTATAGTAGCTCTACTGGGTTGTCACAGAGAATAATGGAGACAAAGCTCTCATGTTTCCAGCAAGGTGAGGAGAAAGTAGCCATATTGAAATACGTCATATAATTCTGTTCTTAATAAGGTCTGCCCTCAGACCTTATTATTAGAGAAACTATTTAACTACAGCCTAATCTACTAGGCTTTTCTCAGAACCTAATTTACCTGGAGGGAGGAAAATATCAAGCTCTAGCCCACTAGAGCAATTCTATACCATCTGAGAGGGTAAAAATAAAGAAAAATAGTGAAAAGAAAAAACAAAACTGTGATGCACTTGTGAAGTTTACAGTGCAGAGACACAGGCTCATTAAAAGAGTCAGACCTAATCAGAACACTCTAGAACACATTGCCTCCCCCACACCTTACCAACACATTACTAAAGGGCGATTTACAGCAGTACTTTTTACCTAGTATGTTATATCCAGCTATGAAAAAAAAATACAAGGTATACTAAAGGGCAACAAAATAAAATTTGAGGAAGCACAGCAAGCATCAGAACTGGCCTCAGATATGGCAGGGATGTTGGAATTATCAGACAGGGAATTTAATAAACTATGATTAATATGCTAAACATGGTAATGGTTAAAGTAGACAGCATGCAAGAACAGATAAACAACATAATTTCCAAGAAAGAATCAAAAAGAAATCTTATACATAAAAAATACTGTATCAGAAAAGAAGAATTCCTTTGATGAGCTCATTAGTAGAATGGACACAGCTGAGAAAAGAACCTCTGATCTTGAATATATCTCAATAGAAACTTCTAAAACAGAAAAGCAGAGAGAAAAAAGATTGAAAAAAAAAAACAAAAAACCAATAGCAGAACAGAACACCCAAGAACAGAGGAACAACTACAAAAAGCATAACAGACTTACAATGGGAATACCAAAATGAACAGAATACTGGAAAGAAACAGAAAAAATATTTGAAGCAGTAAAGACAAGATTTTCCGTAAACCAGTGTCGGGCACCAAACTACACATTCAGGAAGCTCAGAGAGCACCAAGCAAGAGAAATGAAAACAAAAACAAAACAGAAAAAAAAAAAAACCCTATGCCTAGAGGAAAAATATAGCTTACCTATATAGGAGTAAAGATAACAGTTACCTCTCACTTCTCTTCAGAAACCATGCGAGCAAGAAGAGAGTAGGATTAAATATTTAAAGTGTTGAGAGGAAAAGAAGCCATCTTCCTAGAATTTTGTACACTGTGAAATTATCCTTCAAAAAGAAGAAAAAAATAAAGACTCTCTCAGGCAAACAGAAATTGAAAGAATTTGTTGCCAGTACATTCACCTTGCAAGAAATGATAAAAAGTTATTTAGAAGGCCGGGCATGGTGGCTCACTCCTGTAATCCCAGCACTTTTGGAGGCCGAGGCAGGCGGATCATGAGGTCAGGAGATCGAGGCCATCCTGGCTAACATGGTGAAACCCCGTCTCTACTAAAAAATAGAAAAAAATGAGCCAGCATGGTGGTGGGGACCTGTAGTCCCAGCTACTCGGGAGGCTGAGGCAGGAGAATGGCATGAACCTGGGAGGCGGAGGTTGCAGTGAGCTGAGATCGCACCATTGCACTTCAGCTTGGGCAACAGAGCAAGACTCTGTCTCAAAAAAAAAAAAAGTTATTTAGAAAGAAAATTATATAGGTCAGACACTCAGATCTACATAAAGAAGAGTATCTGTGAATAAATAAATGAAAGTTAAGTAAAAGCTTTTATTTTTCTTATTCTTAATTGACATAGGAGCAGTTTGTTCGAAATAATCATAGCAAAAATATGTTCAATTATGTATGCATGTATATGCTTCCTTATGTGTGAAATAAATGCAGTAGTGATATGAACAGGAGGAATAAATTAGAATGGTTATCATAAGGTACTCTGACTACCGGTGAAGTGTTATAGTATCATTTGAAAGTGGGCATGGATCAATTGTAAATACATATTGCAATATCCAGGATAACTATCAAAAATTGTTTAAGAAGAAGTATAACTGATATGTTAAAAGAGAAGGGAAAATGAAATAATATAAATTGCTCTCAAAAGGCAGAAAAAAGTGAAAGACAGAAATAGGAACAAAGAACAAGGGCAGCAAACAGAAAGCAGTAACAACTATGGTAGAGATCGATCCAACTACATCAACAATCACTTTAAATATCAATGATCTAAATATACCAATTAAAAGACAAAGATTGTCAGAATAAATAGAATAATAAAATAAATAAAAGAATAAAATAATACAAGAATCCCACTTTAAATATAAAGACACATGTAGATTAAAAATAAATGGATGGAGAAATATATACAATACTAACATTAATCAATAGAAAGAGTAGCTATATTTCAGACAAAGCTGACTTCAGAGCAAGGAGAGTTATCAGGGAGGAAGAGGGGCATTACATAATAATAAAGTGGTCAATTCTTCAGGACGACATAACAATCCTCAACAGGTATGTGCCTAACTACAGGGCATCAAAATATGTAAAGCAAAAACTTGTAGAACTGCATGGAGAAATAGGTAAATCCACTATTACAATTAAAGGCTTCAATAGTCCTCTATCAGAAATGGACAGATCCAGCAAGCAGAAATTCAGTAAGGACATAGTTGACCTCAAAACATAATCAACAAAATATAATTGATATCTATATACTCTTCCATTGTAACAACAGCAAAATACACATTTTTCTCAAGCTCACATAGAATATTCACAAAGATGGGCCACATTCTGGGTTATACAATATGCCTTAACAAATTTAAAAGAAGAGAAATCATACAATGTCTAAGTTTAGGCCACAATAGAATTGAACTAAAAATCAATAAGAGAAAGATAACTGGAAAATTCAGAAACACATGGCAATTGAACAACAAACATCTACATAGCACATGAATCAAAGAAGAAATCTCAAGAGAAATTAAAAGTATTTTGAACTAAATGCAAATGAAAACAATTTATCAAAATTTGTGGGATGCAGCAAAAGCAGTGCTTAATGGGAAATTTATGATATTAAATGCATGATTAGAAAAGGGTACACTCTAAAATCAATAATATAAACTTCTACTTTGGAAACTAGCAAAGAAGAGCAAATTAAATCTACAGTAAACAGAAAGAATGAAATAATAAAAATTAGATCAGAAATCAATAAAATTAAAAACAGGAAGTCAAGAGAAAATTACTGAAAACAAAAGCTGGTTCTTTGAGAAGATGAGTACAATCAATAAGCCTCTAGCCAGGTCAACTAAGAAAAGAGAGGACACAAATTACTCATACCATAGGTAAAAGAGGAAACATTACTACAGATCCCATGGGCATTAAAAATAATAATAATGAACTACTACGAGCAAGCCCATAAATTTGAAAACTTAAAGTGTATTAATACTAATACTTTGAAAGACACAATATCCAAAAACTCACACAAGAAGAGACAGACCATCTGAATAGGTCTATATCTGTTAAAGAAATTGAATCAATAATTAATAACCCTCCAAAACAAAAAGCACTAGGCTCACAAAAAGCATTAGGCTCAAAAAGCACTAGGCTCACATAGGTTCACTGGTGAATTCCACCAAACCTTTAAGGAAGAAACTATACCAATTCTCTACAATCTCTTTTAGAAGACAGAAGCAGAGTGAATACTTCATAACTCGTTCTATGAGGCCATCATGACCCAAATACCAAAAGCAGACAAAGACATTACAAGAAAAGAAAACTATAGACCAAAATTTCTCAGGAATGTAAGATGCAAACATCCTCAACAAAATACTAGCAAATTGGATCCAACAATGTATAATGAGAAATATACACCATGACCAAGTAGAATTTATTTCAGGTTGGTGAGGCTGGTTCAACATTCAAAGATCAATTAACATAATCCATCACATCAACAGGTTAAAGGAGAAAAATTACATGACCCTATCAATAAATCAAAAAAAGCATTCGACAAAATCCAATACCGATTCTTTCCAAATTTTATTTTTTAAGATTAGTCTATATATCCAAGAAGCTAAATATAAACAAGATAAAGACAAAGAGATACACACCTAGACAACATCCTAGTCAAATTATTCAGAGAGAATAATAAAGAGAAAAGCAACAAATCTATTCATAAAAGGGAAAGAAATACAATTAGAAGCTAATTTATTATCATAAAAAATGGATTCCAGAAGGCAGTGAAAGGTATGTCTCAAAATCCCTGAAGTGATATATTCAGAGTGCTGAATACTTTCAGCTATTATTTCTTTAATTGTTTTTTCATAGGTTTCCAAGGCTCTATTTATTTCTCTTTACTCTTCTTTTTTCTCTGTTCTTCATATTGAATAATTTTTACTGATCTAACTAAAAGTTCACTGATTCTTTTTTCCTGCCATCTGAAATCTGCTATTGAGGCCCTCTAGGGAATTTTTCATTTTAGTTATTGTGTTTTTTTGTTTGTTTGTTTTTTGGTTTTTTTTTTTAGATGGAGTCTCGCTCTGTCCCCCAGGCTGGAGTTCAGTGGTGCAATCTCGGCTCACTGCAAGCTCCTCCTTCCGGGTTCACGCTATTCTCCTGCCTCAGCCTCCCAAGTAGCTGGGACTACAGGAACCCGCCATCATGCCCGGCTAATTTTTTGTAGTTTTAGTAGAGATGGGATTTCACCATGTTAGCCAGGATGTTCTTGATCTATCTCCTGACCTCGTGATCCGCCTGCCTTGGCCTCCCAAAGTGCTGGGATTACAGGCATGAGCCACTGCGCCTGGCCAGTTATTGTATTTTTTAACTCCAAACTTTTGATTTGGCTTTTTTTTCATTATTTATCTTTATTGAGATTCTCAATGTATTGCATCATTGTCATACTTTCCCTCAATTCTAGAAATATATTTTCCTTTAATTCTTTGAAAATATGGACAATGGGTGCTTTAAAGCCTTTGTCTTCAATGTCCACTCAGAGACAATTTCCACTGAATGCTTATTTCATATATATGGGTCAAATGTTCTTGTTTGTCTCATACTGTTTATTGGTTGAATCTTTTGGGGTGCTGAAATATTTTTAAACTGGATTATAGTAATGGTTGCACAATTCTATACACTTTCCAAAAAGTTTGAATTATATAAAAATTCAGTGGGTAAGTTTTGTGGTATGAAAACTATATCCCAATAAAGCTGTAAAAAAAGAAAATAACCAGCCAGTGGATAGGTGAAGAGGTGTAGATTAAATCAGATTAGCAATCTGCTGATAATTATAGACATTGAATGATAGGTAATGGGAGTTACTATATTATTCCCTCTACTTTTGCTTATGTTAAAAAATTTTTCACAACAACAAAGAAGGGAAAAAAGAATCAATTGGTCTAATAATCAGTAAGCTGAAACCATGGCTAGTGTGAGGCAATATTATTTTCGTTTAGTGTCTGGCAATAGAATGTAGCCCCAGGAAAACATAAAATAAGTATTACTATAACCCTAGGGAAAAAATACAACTACGAAGAAATGAATTAAATCCACAGAATCAATGCTTTTGAATGTAAAAAATAAGTTTTATATTCATAGAAATAAGTAGTATTAATATTTACCAGTTTTTAAATGCTTGAAGCATGTGAAAGAAGCTGATATGTTAGATTGATGATATTGAAATGTTTAGGAAAGTTAAATGAACATTTAAATGTTTAAATAATTTGATTTATGTAAATTATGATTTGATTGATCAGCTGTTTAAGTAGTATTTCAATGTTGAAGCATAGTTTGCTTAATCCATTTTTAGGATTAAGACACTGGGCATGAAACTCAGCACCAAATTTATGAGAATTTCTCTCCATGCATAGATGTTCCACATATATTACAGATCTGGGTGAGCTTTCAAAGATCTTCTCTCCTTTTTCCCCAAATGATCTCATATACTCCACTACTTTCAATTATCACTGCTATGCAGGTGATTTCCAAATCTCCAGACTCCTATTTCCAATAGCTAAATAAACATCTCTTCTCTGCTGCCACAAGCCCAACTTTCCTCCAACCAATTCATTTTTTTCTATCCAACTCGTCTTCTTCTTCTTAATCCTATCTGCCTGTTTAACTTTCTCCAGTCCATGCACAGTTAGATGACAAGTCTAATTATGTCTTCTTCCTTTCCATTCCCATTGCCAACACCCACTTTCTAACTCTCATTCTCTTGTCCTGAACTATTAGAGCAGGCATCTCATTGATCTCACCCCTCCCAGTCTCCATTCTTTCAACTCTGGTCAACTCATTCATCCTTCCTATATAACACCTCAATAATACAGTGTTTGCCAAAATGTGTTCCTGGATGCAAGTAGCAAATTCAAGAAAACCATGTTTCACAGACAAGTAAGCTTGGGAAAGGTTTCATACTATAGCCCATTCTTAGACAGTTACAACACTAGATTATAAGAATACAGAATTTCTGCATTAAACAAACAAAAAACCACCTATTTAACACAATTTCCAAGACATCACTGATCATGTAACTATTTTACAAAGTAATATGTACTAGCTTGCAGTGGAACACATTTTGGGAAACACTGCCATAAGACAGTTATGGTATTCTCTGTCTAAAATACCTTCAGTGGAGTCCTGTCAATTTAAAGATCCAGTTATTTGGCCCAACATATACACATCCCACAGACTAGCTCTGAACTGTCTCTTTAATCTTCCCATGGTACTGACACTCTTAGTTTCATTAAACCTAAACCCTTTAGAATTTGTGGTTTCCATGAGGTCCTAAATAGCAATTCCTTAAATTGCATCTTTCAGTGTTCTAGGTAAAAACATAATTACAATCATGAGTGGAACCAAGGGTTGCAAACAATCAAGTTTTGCAAACAACCAAATAGCTGGCTGTTGTAGAGGCGCACTTTCACCTCAAAACCAATATTTAGTCATCATGAGTTGTTTTATAGCTAAAATAAGTCAATTTGTACGAAAGTATGTCACATGGTACTAAGTAAATATTTATTTAATCTCAATAGTAATCCATTATATTTTGAAATCTGTATTTTCTTTGATCCTTACTATTGGTGCTAAAATTAATTAAAAATTATTTATTTTCTCAATGAAATAACTATTAAGTTTTTATGTTTTTTCTGCCTGAAATCCCAGTGCTACCAAAGTTGTTTAAACTTAATTTATTAGTCATTTAGAGTCCAAAGTATTTTTTCCTGTTTAAGAGACAATCTTATTGATCATATTATTTACTAATATCAGGAAGAAGGGCATACAACTTGTGAACTTTTAATAGAACACAGATGTATTTAATTATTTTGTGTTTCTATGGAAGTAATTATTCAATAATCACTCAAAGGCATATTATACAGTAGACCAACTAGTGATCAAGCTTTGATCATTCTAGGTGAACTTAATTTACCAAGAATATGGTATTAATGGAAACAGATCAAATAAGAAAATGGGAAGTAGTTCCTAAAAGTGCTGAGGGACTAAAAAGGAGATACTTCAGGCTTAAGCTCTGGAAATACACGTATTTTGTAAATTTTTACTTCTAGATATAATTGTAATGGCTATTGCATTAATGACTAAACTTGAATTATTTTAAATTACTTAGGGTTAAAATTCAGCCAAAAAAAGCATTCATATATACATAGACTCATCATGGAAGTAGAAACACTTACAATGGAATTTTATTTTTCTCTAATATAAAATAAGAACTGATTTATTTATTTTAGAAAATGTTTCATCAGTACCTATTATATACTAGTTCTTCTAGAGCACTCACTGGTGGGTAAGAATTAATTTATCAGTTCACAGGGATATAAGAAATCCTTTTATCAGGCCCTAGTTTAGATGGCTTGAAAGAGAAGCCAACAGCTGCAATGTCTGCTCATAAATTTTAAAAGAGAACTGTAAATATAAATTTGTGAATCTTTACTGCACCAATAATTTGAAGGTAGGTGGCAAAAAAAAAAAGCAAAACAAAGGCAGGAAATAACTCAAATGTGGCTTTTTGCCATTTCAAATAGAGTAAACTTAAATAAAAATTATAAATGGATGTAGTATACCAATAAAGATCTAGATCATGTTATCACCATAAACATCCCTGAACCACTGATCCTACCCCTCTCTGCTAACTTGATACTGAAGAAATCAGCACTAGGGTAATCCATTTTGAAGCGAGTCTTGCCAAAATCTTCTCTCTGGCTTCTACCTGTAGTATATTATCTTTTCTTCCCTGACATTTTATCTCTTTTGTTCTATTTGCTCCCATCAGCCTGAATTTCTGAATGTTTCATCTTTTCTTGGACACTCCAGTATACAAACATGTCTTCACTTTGGACATAATCTTAGTGGAATTCAACTGTGAGTTGTGTAAGTGTAATAAACAGCTTAACTACCATTCTGTAAGGAGGCTGCTTACCTAATCCAGCAGGCTCTTGATGACAACTGCTCATTGGATCCCCTAAACCCCAAATTTGTATATTACCACATATTTTTTTAAAAGTTATTTAATTCAGGATTTAACTATGAGAAATTAAGCAAGAATGGGTGAACCAAGTATATGGAGTGAGGAGTAAATGAGATAGAATCACTAAACTGACAATTTAAGCAAATACACACATATGCATGCATGCACATGTATTGACTTTCCAGCCCTACAAAGCTGGAGGAGAGGAACCCATTTGTAAAGTCTGTACTCTGAAGTCCATCTTATACACAAATTAATATTTATAAACATCTATTTGATTAAGTTGCTCCAAGGTTCAAAAACCACAGTTTCCATTGCCACACACTGGGGTACACAGTAGTGGGCCAAGAGGGACTTGGAACCATCGTTAAATGTGGCACATCTTTCTAGAGGGTCAGTTTTAATAGAAAATTTTAGAGAACAGCTTGCAATTTATTTGCTTTGTGATTCACTTGAAATTTTTAAAAATCAAAATAGACACAAATTCCTAAGGAACAGAATGCATATTCTCATTAATTTTTATAAAAGTTGAGACTTCAAAAAAATTTTGCGGCAGGCTTAAGGATCACTGTCTCTCCATCTTCTTTGGAAGCATATGTTTAGTCTTTCCCATCATCTGGAAACTTCAGTGAAAATGTTTGAAAAGTGGTGTCCTACTATGCATATTAAATAAAACTGTTCTCCATGAGTTTTTCATAATATACAACAAGGACCTTAAAAATTTGCTCACTCTTTGGTCTACTCATTTCAATTGTTGTTGTGTGCTGCTAACATTGGTTGAATGCTTGATCTGGGCCAGGCATTTCTAAACTTTGTACATGTTATTAACTCTTTTAATCTTCACACCAGCCCTGTGAGATACCTAATAATATTTTCATCATAAAGTTGAAAAAACTAAGGCACAAAAGGGTAAGCTACTAAGTAGCAGAGTCAGGGGTTGATTCAAGGCAGTAGGGTTCCATAATTCACACTCCTAACCAAAAGGTTGTTCTTCACTTATTACTGATATTGATTAAACAATGGAAACAATTACCCACCAATAGATTTAATTAAATAAATTATGATAAAACCATATGACAAACTACCCTCTAACCATTAAAAAGGTTGGTCTGAATGAACTGAATGTCCCCCCAAAATTTGCATATTAAAATGCTAACCCCCAATGTGATGCCAATAGGAGGTGAGGCCTTTGGGAGGTAATAGGTCATGAAGATGGTGCCCTAATGAGTGGGATTATTGCCATTATAAAAGGGACCCCAGGGCTGGGCGCGGTGGCTCACACCTGTAATCCCAACACTTTGGAAGGCCGAGGCATGTGGATCATGAAATCAGGAGATCAAGACCATCCAAGCTAACACAGTGAAACCCCAGCTCTACTAAAAATACAAAAAATTAGGTGGGCGTGGTGGCACGTGCCTGTAATCCCAGCTACTCGGGAGGCTGAGGCAGGAGAATCACTTGAACCTGGGAGGCGGAGGTTGCAGTGAGTCGAGATCATGCCACTACACTCCAGCCTGAGTGACAGAGTGAGATTCCATCTCAAAAAAAAAAAAAAAAAAAAGGGACCCCAGAAAGCTCTGTCACCTTCTTTCCACCGTGTGAGGTTACCAGAAGGTGGCAGTCTGCCACCCAAAAGAAAGTCCTCACCGGAACCCAACCTTGCTGGCACCCTGATCTCGGACTTCCAGCCTCCAGAACTGTCAGAAATAAATTCTTGTTGATTATAAAGTCACTCAGTCTATGGTCCTTTGTTACAGCAATCCAAGCTAAGACAGTCATTATGTACTAAAGTGGGTTAAGGGATGCCATAAAGTAAACAAAAGAGAAGCACTATAGAGCAGTGTCTATACTATGTATGTAAAAACATACCTAATAAAGTATGGATAGGAAATACACAAAAATATTAAGAGCAGTTATTATCAGAAACATTTTCTCATCCTAATGTTTCTGGGGAGAGGACTTCTGCCATGTGAACACTACGACTCTTCTCCTATCCACACTCCTCTTCCCTTTGTCACAGTGAGGTTGGGAGAAAGAATTAGAAATCTTGGTTCAGTGCCTTCCTCTTGCCTCTAATGTGCAAATCAAACAGCTATAGGCCAGCCCTGCCCTTATTCAGCCCTCCTTAAATTCTCACCTTAGTGCCTGGCTTGCTTCACCCTGGTCCCATGCTAGTAGAAAGGGGGTCTAACTCATCCCCACAGGGGAAGCTGGAGTTGTCCAGCATGGGCCATGACTAAAGGGTGAGTTTAAGCCTGGAGTATAGCATTAGAAAGGCCACCTGGCTGCCCAACAAGAAAATCCCCTTACTCTAATATAGGTTTCAGCAGTAATAAAGCTGATATTTCTAAGTCACTTTATCTGACTCCTGCGTTTATTTTTCACTTGATTTTAATTCACCAAAAAAGTGAGGGCTGGGAATGCCCTTTTTCAGGCCCTTTTACTTTTACCTTTTTCTAGTGTTTAAAAAAAATTTCGTGGCCAGGCAAGGTGGCGCCTACCTGTAATCCCAGCACTTTGGGAAGCTGAGGTGGGTGGATCACCTGAGGTCAGGAGTTCAAGACCAGCCTGACTAACATGGTGAAACCCCATTTCTACTAAATACAAAAAATTAGCCAGGCGTGGTGGCACATGCCTATAATCCCAGCTACTTGGGAGGCTGAGACAGGAGAATTGCTTGAATCCAGGAGGCGGAGGTTGCAGTGAGCCGAGATCACACCATTGCACCCCAGCCCAGGCAACAAGAGCGAAACTCGGTCTCAAAAAAAAAAAAATAGTATGACATATTATTTTAAAAAGTTACTTCCATTTTAAAAAATTATCTGTCATATGACATTCAAAATTCTTTAAAATCCAGCCCTATGTTCTTTGCACAAAGCTATCCAGGGCATTTCCTCCACTCACCCTACCCGCTGCTCTCGGTTCATGGAGAACTGATAGCTGTCCTCGGAAGCCCATGCCCTTCCAGCTCACCCAACCAAGCTCTTCACTCAAGCTTCTTCCCGCTCCTTCCGTGTCTCTTGTTGTTTTGCTGAACTCCTATTTATCCTTCAAGACTCATTTCAAAGACCACGTTCTCCTCAAACTGGTCATTGCTAGAAGACTACAGGGAATGGTTAAATAGACCAGGTTATAACCACTGGGGCAATGAAAGCAAAATAAAAGCTCAGGAATTGTTTTCTTCCTCAGATTCTCCCTTAACTAGTTATAATAACGGATACATTTAGAGGACATTTGAAGTTGAAAAGTCAGGTCTACTGTGGAAAAGCATTACCAATCTGTTGACAGCAGTGGTTCTCAAAGTATGGACTCTGGTCCATGAGCCTCAGCATCATCTGGTGATACCGTTTGGATATTTGTCCCCTAAAAATCTCATGTGGAAATGTAATCCCCAGTATTGGGGTGGGACTTAGTGTGAAGTGTTTGGGTCATGGGGGTAGAGCGCTCATGAATGGCTTAGCACCATCCCCTTCGTGATAAGTGAGTTCTGGCTGCAAGTTCACCCGAGATTTGGTTGTTTAAAACTGCATGTCACCTCCCTGCTCTCTCTTGCTCCCACTGTCACCTGTGACTCACCTGCTCCTCCTCTGCCTTCCATCATGACTATAAGCTTCCTGAGACCCTCACCAGACACAGATGCTGGCACCATGCTTTCTATACACCCTGCAGAACCACGAGCCAATTAAACCTCTTTTCTTTGTAAATTACCCAGCCTCAGGTATTTCTTTATACAACATCAGAGTGGCCTAATACACCCAGAAACTTGCGAGAAATGGAAAGATCTCAGGTGCCATCCAGACCTATGAATCAGAACCTTTGGTGGTAAGACCCTGCCAACTGTGGTGAACAAGAGCCCTTCAGGTGATTTTGAGGCATCTTGAGTTTGAGACACATGGGGTTACAGTAAGATGAAAAGAAGAAGTCAAGATGGTAAGGAATGGAATTCATTTTCAGTTGTAAATTTCCTGGTTGAGAGAGAGAAAGTGTTGGAAGCCGAAATATTTTAGTCTGATTAGCAGAAACTATGGATTAGCCACTGCAGTTATGTCAATGCCATGATGACTAAGGACAGCATGTTAACATTCTGGGTGAATCTTCCTGGAAAAGAAAGTGGAGGCCCCTTCTATGTGGATGTTGGGGACCTTTCAGAAGATGAGTGAATATACAACTTGTAGACCATGTCTCATCGGACTCCTGTCTCTGTGCCCACATTTTACCTTACAAATACTTCTAAGTTGTCATTTATTACAGTGTTGTAGTTAGGTATCTCCTTATTAGACAGAGACCTTTTCAAGGACAAACTCCACACCATTCATCTTTACATCCCCAGTCCCTGGCACTGGACCTGGCATCATTAGATCTTACACATTATTTGTTGAAAGAATTAATGGAAAAGAGGCATTAGAATCAATGTGAGATCTGCAGTTTCTGCATCTCCCATCTCTCCATCAGGCCTATTGCTCACCCTTAGAGAGAAATTGTTAAATGCTATTCACCAGCTCTCTCATCCTAGTTTGTAAAAAGAATAGTGCCCAAGTTTAAGCACTCCAAAACATTCATTCTTCGTATAACATTATCTCCATAATGCTTTGTTTATTCTTGTCTGGGCCTGATCTTCTATCTCTTGGCCAACTTCTATTTCTCTATATCCTGGAGACCAGAAGATGTCTCTAAATTCAATCTGTTCTCTGGATGCTTCCTATACTTCCTTGCCTCCAAGCTCTTCTCTAAACTCATGACTTTCCTTTTAGCCTTCTCAAGGGGTGACTATTTATTATCCTCAAATCATGCATCACAAGGTTGGGAGATGGGGTTGGTGTCCTACCTGCTCCCCATTATCACTCCAGACAACTAGTTCTGCTCCCTTTTATTAAAAACTACCTCTCTGGGGTCCATGCCACTTGGCTATACCAACCCTCCCTCTCCTCTTTGTTGCCATCTACTGTCAGCCTATCCAAGCTCCTTCACCCACTGAAGACTGACAGTTCAGTGTTGTTTCCTACTCAAGATCTGTCTTCATTCCTTGACCTTCACATCTCCAAAACCATCCACTTTTAAAGTCAGACTTTAGCCTGTGCTGTTATCTCTATGTGATCCATGCAATTTAAACATTCCTCCCGTGTAATGAGCCCTCTCCCTCTGTATTAGTACATTCTCACACTGCTGTGAAGAAATACCTGAGACTGGGTAATGTATGAAAAAAAAGAGGTTTAATTGACTCACATTTCCACATGGCTGGGGAGGACTCAGGAAACTTAGAATCATGGTGGAAGGTACCTCTTCATAGGGCGGCAGGCTGAGCAAAGGGGAAAGCCCTTTATAAAACCATCAGATCTCATGAGAACTCACTCACTATCATGATAACAGTACGGGGAAACTGCCCCCATGATTCAATTATCTCCACCTGGTCCTGCCCTTGACACATTACAATTCAAGGTGAAATTTGAGTGAGGACACAGAGCCAAACCATAATCACCCTATATCAGTTACGATTATCAATTACTATTATTCAACCATTCTTTGGCCTTATTGGAATCCCCAAATCTATTGCCTCTTCAACTTTCTTCAAACCAATTAGCGTCTTTTTTCTTTACTTGTCTTTTATCCATTCTGTTTACTCTCCTGTCTCTGTGTCTTTTAGTAGCATCACTCAAACAAAGCCATCAGTTCCTTCCCAGCCTGCACCTAGGCACATATTTCTGCTGGAGAAAGTCACACTGTGAACTCATAATCACCAATTTCAATGGGCCATCCACACTGAATAATACAATTACATTTCTCTGGTCAACCTGACCACCCCTACAATAAAATGTTCAAAATGCTTCTACTCTTAAATCTTTGCCCTTCCTCTCCCCTCCTCGTTCCCAGAAAATGACCTTTCTTTCTACTTAACAGATAAAAATCTCAGGTAGGGATGCTGTTAGGGCTGAATTGTGTCCACACCCCCAAATTCTTCTGTTGAAGTCCTAACCCTCATTGTCTCAGAATGTGACTGTATTTGGAAATAGAGCCTTTAAGGAGATAACTAAGATAAAATGAGAAGGGATGGGTGGCCCCTAATCCAATATGACGCGTGTCTTTTAAAGAAGAAATTAGGATACAGACACCTGGGGAAAAGACCTTGTGAAGACAGGAGGACAGTCATCTGCAAGCCAGGGAGAGGGGCCTCAGGAGAAAATAACCCTGCCAACACATTAATCTTTGATCTTTTAGTCTCCAGAATTGTGAGAAAATAAGTTTCTACTGTTTAAGCCACACATTCGGTGGTATTTGTCACAGTAACCCTAGCAAATTAATATAAATGTCCTCTTCTTCCAACAACCAAGATATAAACCTACCTACAGCTTAACCTGTTCTATGTCTCTTTCCTCTATTGTTATTATGTAACAGTAGAGGCCTTCCCACTCTTCCTTTTATCCTTGCTTTGGACTTCATCCTGTCCACCTCACCCAGCACCCAAAACTCTTCTCACTAAACCATCAAATATCTCACTTCTCTTTTACAGTCAATCCCCACCCACACTAGACCTTTCCAATTGCCTTATACATCTGTGAAGAAGGTCTCTGCCATTTAAATATAATAACCTCTTTTAACCTCATGTTTCTCTCCAGGTTCTATTCTATCCTGTCTCATTACAGCCAAACAGAAACAAAAGAAAATAAAAAACCATCTAAGTTTTGTCTTAATTTCCACATCCACCAATCAGAAGTCAATCTATTCCAATTTAGTTCTTATCATGCAACTTGCCAAAAACACCAACGACCTCCCTATCATAAAGACAATACATATTTTCTAGTCTTCATTTTGCCTGACATCTCTGCTGACCACCTACTCTTGGAATGTTCTGCCTCTTGTTTTCGAGGTCCAGTTGCCTCCTGATTTTCTTCCTACTTTTCTGGCTGCTGCTTCTCTTCTTTTTTATCTCATTCTCTTCTATCCACCATTCAAATTTGGAGCTCCTCTACATTCTGTCCTGGGTTTTCTTCTCTTCTTCCTCAATAATTATGATCGTATTTCTTCTCATATCAAACTTATAATGTTTCCCTGTTGTCCACCATAAGTTATTTAATACCCACCACATTCTCCTCCACCTCTCTTCGGCTTTTTTGTTTCCTTCACATAACACATTTTTTTCTGAATATCCTATGATTTAATGCCTCTATGTCTTTCCTTGGGCTGTTTTTCCTACCTACAAATACCCTTCCACTTTCTCCAACTTCCTTATGTCTAAATTCTACCCATCTTTTAAGTCTAAATTCAAATATCACCTCCCTGAACTCCTTCTCATCTTTCCATGAGAAGCATTCTCATTCACTATGATTCACTGAAGATTTTGCTTTGAATTCCTTGCTTTCCTTATTACATAATTTTCTGGGTACACACCCACAAAGAGCAGGAGCCCTGTCATTTTATTCTTATCTTAAACAGCACCTTTCAAAATGGCTTACACATAGTATGAGCTAAATGACTACCAACCTCTTCATGTCAGGCCATGGTAGATTTTTTTTCCACTCTGATAATCTATAGTATTTATTTTACGGCAGTTGACCATAGGCAGCCCTTTATTATTATTTTATGGGTTCATGTGTGCTGGCTGCCCCCTACTCAGTATGAATGCTTCTCTAGGACAAGATCATATTTCATATTTCTATACACCCTCCACAAGAACACTCTTCATCCAAAGAGCCCTTCTTTTCATAGAGGAGTGCCTGTGATGTGGCTGTTTCTAAATGGTCCATGCAGCATACCCAAATGAATGACTTCATGTTGCAGGCAGAAAGAATGAGGGTCGTGATCAGCTCATTATACCACTGGAGGCTCTATGAGTAAGCAGCAAACTGTTTCTCATAAATGCAGAATGTTGGCAAACTGACAAACTGCGTCTGCCAACCGGAAGGACTGCTGAGGGCAGTCACGCCCCAAGTGCGGTGTTTCTTTTGATTAGGTACATCTGAAGCCTGTTAGTAATAATGTGAACCTGTGATCAATTAAGCAGCTGACCAATCATTACCTCCTCCTTCCTGCTCTTGCTAACCAATAAATACAATGGGCTGTGGAAGCTCAGGGGCTGCGTTTGCTCACTAGGAACACCAAGCTCTCTTCTTCCCCTGGCCCCTTCCTTTAAAACAGTTTCTTTTGTCTTAAGTTTTCATATCTACATTCATCCCCCTTCGTTCAGTTTCGTAATGACGGTCTCAAGCAGTAACAGTAGTAACCGTCATAATGACGGTCTCAAGTAGTAATAGTAATAACTGTCGTAGTGACGGTCTCAAGTAGTAAACGTGGCTGTCTGCCACAACTTCACAGCCACATTTGTTGAAGAAGCCATGCTAATTTGCCAAAGAAGTAAAATAATATTAATTAAACCAAAATGGCACTGAACTAAATGTCTTATCAAAAGTTGGTTAAACCAAACTAACTCTCGCTGATATTTCTATCATTTAAAGGCATTTTCACCAGATTTTCTACACAATGCAATTGTCCTTAAAGCTAGGAAGTTCTCAAAATGGAGCAACGCTAAGATCAAAGTAAAGTATTTTAAATAAAAATTATCTTAGGCCAGGCACAGTGGCTCATGCCTGTAATTCCAACACTTTGGAAGGCTTAGGCGGGAGAATCGCTTGAGCCCAGGAGTTTGAGAATACCCTGGGCAACACTGTGAGATGCAGTCTCCACAAAAAAATTTTTTAAATAAAAGCAGCTGGGCATGGTGGCCCTCGCCTGTAGTCCCAGCTTCTCAGGGGGCTGAGGCAGGAGGATCACTTGAGCCCAGGAGGTTGAGGCTGCAGTTAGCTGTGATCATGCCATTGCCCTCCCGTCGAGGTGACAGAGTGAGACCCCATCTACCAAAAAGAAAAAAAAAAATATGAGTAAGGCTGTAAGGCTCCCACCTCATTTTTGTCCTACCCTTTCTTCCAATCTTTAACATCTGTTGCAATAACAAGGGAAACCGTCATTGCAAGCTCTGGGCAATGATTTGTCCTGTTGGCGCCTTAAGTAACTGATCTTTTTTGTTTGTTTGTTTTTCATGTGGTTATAAAACTGAAAATTAGTCACAGTGGGAGAACATTTAAAGTAGAAAAAAAGAGTGGGCAGAAGTCAAGGAATGCAAATATCTGAGAAACACTACATGAGAGGAACTTTCTATAGAATTAGGCCAGATACCACAAATTGGCCTCTGGGGAAATTTCCAGGTCACACCGAGAACATCCAAACCTACTGGAACCTAAGATAAGAACCAGGCAAAGCTTCACCAATATAACATACTTTATTTTGTAACCTGGGCATAAAAAGTACATTAAAGAGAGATAAGAAGAACTAAAATATAAAATGCTGTGAAGGAAATAGGTATGATTTAAATGTTAAAGAATTCTAATTGCAGGTATATGTGTGTTTTATATATCTATGTGTGTGTATAAAAATCTATATAGAGTTCTAGTATCTTCTGGCTTTACTGTGAATGAATGAAGCAGTGTTTTTAATTTTTTTTGTTGCTAATCTATCCAAAAAAAAGAATTTACATTTTGGTTTAATAAGTTAGCAGTATGATCAAGTCCATGACACTCCTGCAAAGATAATGCAAATTATTCAGGGATACAAAAATAGAAAACTGTGCTTTGATGTCAGAGTGATTCGGATTCAAATCTCACCTCCTCTGTTTACTGGTTGTATGATCTTGGCCAAATGATTAATTTCTCTGAGCCTTAGTTTTTCATCTGTTTAAGAGGGATGCTTCATTAACTAATTATCTCTCATATTGTTATACGATTAAATAAGGTAATTTTATAAAATGCCTGGTGCATGTTGTATTATCTATACATAATAAATGGATGGCTGGGCATGGTGGCTCATGCCCGTAACACTTTGGGAGGCTGGGGTGGGTGGATCAATTGAGGTCAAGAGTTTGAGACCATCCTGGCCAACATGGCAAAACTCCGTCTCTACTAAAAACACACAAAAAATTAGCCAGACCTGGTGATATGCTCCTGTAATTCTAGCTACTCAGGAGGCTGAGGCATGAGAATTGTTTGAACCCAGGAGGTGGAGGTAGCAGTGAGCCAAGATCCTGCCACCGCACTCCAAAGGAGTGAGACTCTGTCTCAAAATAAATAAATAAATAAATAAATAAGATAAATAAATAAAAAATAAAAATAAATGGAAGATATTTTGTTATTAGTGAAGAGAAACAGAGGTTATAATTCCTTATGAATGCCATACAATATTACAATTACTGGAAAACAAAAATCAGTCAAATGTTTAATTTGCGTGATGCAAAATTAGGCTGACTACATTTTTTACTAAATTGCTTAATTTTTATAGAATTCAATGGATTTTGTTTTGGCTTTGAATAGAAAGTTTCTGTGTTAAAATCAGCCTGATTATGTTAATATCAGCCTGATTATAAATGCATCAAAAACACGTCTCATATTTTATTGCTTCAAAGGAGAAGCTTAGTAACTGTTAGTTGATCTTAATTGAACTATTCTCAATGTCAGGATAATACCTAAAATTCATGGTCCTAGGGAAATCGCTAAACTATTATTGAGTCAAACAATTTATCAATAAATATATACTTAGTTCTCAGAGGTTGTGTGGCATTTTGCCAGGCATTTCTGAGAGCTATTAAAGAAAAGTTACAGTTTCAGCATCCAAGGGGCTTAAAATTCTTTTAACCACCTTTTTGAGTTATAATTGTCATACTGTAACTTGAACGTATTTAAAAAGCAAAATTTGATAAGTTTTGACACATATATACACCTGTGAAACCATCTCTAACATCAAGAAAATGAACATATGATTTACCACCCAAAGTTTTTCCTCCTGTCCCTTTATAATTCCTCTATCCTGTACTACTCTTTATATGGACATATGCTTTCATTTATCTTGAGTGAATACCTAGGAGTAGAATAGCTGGATCATAAGATAGGTGTTATTTAACCTTTAAAGAAGGCACCAAACTGTTTTTCCAAACTGGTTGTACCATTTTGCATTCCCAGGAGCAGCATATGAGAGCTCCAGTTCTTCTATATCCTCCTCAACACTTGGTATGGTCACTCTTTTTAATTCTGATAGATATATAGTTGTATCTCATTTTGATTTTAATTTTCGTTTCAAGGGGCTTAAATTTTGATGATCAGATAAAAACTTGTCATGAACACAAATATATGGAAACACATAAACTAATTACGAGTGATCGTTAAGGAGGTTGAGTCAAATATACTTTAGAGTATAGGAAGTCATCACGGGAGGAGGAGAAAAAAGATAGTGAACATTCATATACAGGAAAGGAAAAAACAGTAATGGAAAACAGGAGGGAAGAGATTCTTATTTTTAGTACATTAAAGCTATCCCTCGGTCTAGAAGTCGCCAGAAATAGTGATAAGCTGGAATAAAAGATGGAAAGAAAGTAAAAATAGATACAAACGAAATGTGAGATAAACTCTGAAGTCAGGACCTGTAACTTGAAAAGCTGCTTGAAAACTGGGCAGAACTGTCGTGTTTCCAGCAATATAGAGAAGTTGTGCAGTGCAGTGGGGCAGGCACAGCCCTGAGTTGTAGGCTGAGTTTTACTTCTAAATTCACATACAGTGTGCTCCAGTAGGTCACTTGATTTTTCTATTCTTTGGTTGCTTCATTTATAAAATAAAATAACCATCTTGAAAGAGAAATTTCAAAGTCTCCTCCAAACCCAAATTTCTATGTATATTAAGGTTTGGTGTATTTACAGGAAATTGACACACTTAATCAATTTCTTTAATATATCTGGAATCAGATTTTTTTAAACCTGCTATACAGTTTTGAGTTATAGACAAAGTTATGTAGAGGGCAAATGTGTCCCCGAAATTCATCAGGAAAGAAATGATTGCACACATCTGCTTTGTGAAGTTTCAATCTAGACATCACACTTCACTTTACAAGAAATAGTTATTTTCTGCTTTTCTCTTCTTGGCTGTTTATTTCTAATCATAGGTAATGAAGCTACATACTGAGTTCTGAGTGATTTACCTGGTTATGCAAATATAAATGTCTAACATATGTTTATTAACTCTGAATGTCAAAGCAGAAAGAAAGATACAGTTCTAACCATGGCTGTGGATTTATTCATGTAATATTACTGAGGGCCAAACTATAGTCCAGACAGGCATTGTTCTAGGCACTGAAGATACACCAGGGAAGAGAACACAGTCTCTGCCTTCATGTAATATATGTCCTAGTGGCAGGAGACACAGTCAACAAATACATGAATAGTTCCATGAATTATACATCCAGGTGCCGATAACTATTGGAAAAAAAAAGAATGATAGATGGTATGGGGTGAATGGAGAAGAGGGAGGTCAGGCCTGATATTTGATCAGAACCTTAAAGAAATGGGATAGAGAGGTATTTAGATACTGGTGGCAAAGCTATACATATACATATGTGTGTTATTTCTACAGATTCAATTTTTCCCGTTATAAAATTTGATTTCAATTGTACATTTTTGTAAATAACAATGTCTCCTAGGGAAGACTAATAAGTTATTTACTTCAAAAATTCATTAAGTGTCTGTTTTCTAGAAGCTTGAAATATAACTAAAACAACAGGGTACATATGGAAAACTTAATGCACCTGCCATGTGAAAGTTCACTTTATACTGAATGTTCAGAATTTCCATAGGAATGGGATTTGAGTTTAGCAAGATTTCAATATGTAGGTATTGTGGAACCAGAGTCTTCTCCAGGAGAAGACTGGAATTAATGTAAGAATATAGATGGGAAAAGGTTAAAGCCATTCACAGTACTATAGCTGAGAACTCCCTGACTATGAAATCTGGGTAAAATTGCCATGAATCCCTTTTTATTTTATGTCCAATAGCACCCAAAGCTCTCTCCTGCCTCTTATGTCTCTTGGGCCTTGTCTCTGCACAATGCCTCTGTCCTACGCTAGGAAGAACCCAACTTAGAACTGAGCCTCTCCTTTAGCTCCACAACAACCCTCATTCATACCACGCCTTTTGGGGATAAGCAGATTTTCCTATAAATTGGGTGATGAAGTGTGGAGAGGGTCACACAGTTCCCTGAATAGCCTTCCCCCAACTTGACAGCTTTATCTTACCTCCCTTGTGTTCATCTCTGTCCATCTCTGCTGTTCCCTTCTGCTCCCCACCCCCTATTGAACCAAGAGTGTCATTTTCTCTGCATTGTGCTTGGCAGCTTCCCAATCCCCTGAGACCTGGATGCCAGCTGACACCCCAGCCATTGGGGAACCCACTTTTTGCCCTAAACCCATATTGAAACATCTCCCCAGTATTGACATTTTCCTCTGTAGGAAGAATGTTGGTGCTGGTTGTTAAGATAATACTGTTAGCTCATTATAAGTTTGCTTGGTGCTGCAAAAGGTGATCTAAGAGGACACTAAATTGGTTCAGGATGAAGAGGGTAAAGTATAAACAACATTTGCTTAAGGCCAGGTGTCTCTAACCAATAGGATCATCTGTCCTGCCTACAGGCCTCCAAGCTTGCTATTGCCACACCCCTCTCTCTCAGCATGAGCTAGGTGAAGGATAGAGAACTCAGAACTGTCACTGCCAGTGCAGCTCTCCATGTCACCCACTCCCTTGCTCCTCATGGAAAAGCATATGATTTTAACTTTTCAAAGTGTTCAGGGGTCAATTAATCTAAAGCAGGTCTTGGAGGACAAATATTAGAAAATAGCTCTGGAATGTGAAAGCTTGCCAAAGAGAAAAGGAAAGTTTTGGTCAAGTCCAAACTGAGTCCAAGGCCTGGGGAAAAATAAGCACATCGTGGATGTCTAGGTGGCCAGAGATTTAAACAGATGGAAAACAGCCTTCAAAAGTAGGAGACTCTGAGAAATGAAAAGGTTGAGGGAGAGAAATATCATCACTAATGAACTAAGGTTAAGAAATGGAAACATGTCAATGGAAACTGGTGTTCAAGGTAGGTACTGAATAACCTAAAAACACATCTGGAATCAGCTTCTTGGAGACCTCAGGTCGGATTTCACAGTAATAGCTCAATGTCTTCCTGGGCCAAACAGCAGTATGACTAAGAAACCCAGCGTTGGCTGGGCGTGGTGGCTAACGCCTGTAATCCCAGCACTTTGGGAAGCCGAGGCGGGTGGATCACGAGGTCAGGAGATCGAGACCATCCTAGCTAACACGGTGAAACCCCATCTCTACTAAAAATACAAAAAATTATCCGGGCGTGGTGTTGGGCGCCTGTAGTCCCAGCTACTCAGGAGGCTGAGGCAGGAGAATGGCATGAACCCGGGAAGCAGAGCTTGCAGTGAGCCCAGATCGTGCCACTGCACTCCAGCCTGGGCAACAGAGCGAGACTCCCTCTCAAAAAAAAAAAAAGAAAAGAAAAAGAAAGAAACCCAGCATTTGGAGTCATACAACACTGTATTCAAATCCCAGATCTTCTGCTTACTAGCTAGATAACCTAGAGTTAATATCTCTCTAAGACTCAGTTTCTCTATCTGAAAAAGGGAGGTGATAATATAACCTACCTGGCTATAAGGATTCGTTGAGGTTAAAAAGTGTTAGAGTCGGCTGGGCACGGTGGCTGACACCTGTAATCCCAGCACTTTGGGAGGCCGAGGCAGGCAGATCACGAAGTCAGGAGATCAAGACCATCCTGGCCAACGTGGTGAAACCCTGTCTCTACTAAAAATACAAAAATTAGCTGGGCGTGGTGTCATGGGCCTGTAGTCCCAGCTACTCAGGAGGCTGAGGCAGGAGAATCACTTGAACCTGGAAGGTGGAGGTGGCAGTGAGCTAAGAAAGTGCCACTGCACTCCAGCCTGGCGACAGAAAGAGACTCCATCTCAAAAAAAAAAACAAAAAAAAAAACAGTGTTAGAGTCATTTTTGACTACTCTGTCACACACACTTCTAGATAACCCTATTGCTCTGTTAGCTCATTTTAAGTTTGCTTGACACTGCAAAAGGTGATATAAGAGGATAGAATATCTATCCAGTAACTGACCAGTTCTCACCAACTCCACTATTGGTTACTATTTAGTCTGAATCCTGAGTTTCACTCACCTGCATTATTATATAGCAGCACCTGAATTATTGTCTTGCTTCCACTTCTTGTCCTCCTAGCTAGTGATCCTTTTTTTTTTTTTTTTTGAGACGGAGTCTTGCTCTGTTGCCTAGGCTGGAGCGCAGTGGCGCGATCTCGGCTCACTGCAAGCTCTGCCTCCCGGGTTCACGCCATTCTCCTACTTCCGCCTTCCGAGTAGCTGGGATTACAGGCGCGTGCCACCACGCCCAGCTAATTTTTTTTTGTATTTTTAGTAGAGACGCGGTTTCACCGTGTTAGCCAGGATGGTCTCGATCTCCTGACCTCGTGATCCACCCGCCTCGGCCTCCCAAAGTGCTGGGATTACAGGCGTGAGCCACCACCCCCGGCGCTAGTGATCCTTTTTTTAAAAAAAGTCAGCAGTAACACTGCTCTGCTCAAAATCCTGCAATGGCTTTCCATTTCACTGTGAGTAAAAGCCAAAGTCCTTATAATGGTCAAAGGCCCTATAGGATCCCCTCCCCGCGCCCCCACACCCAGCCACACTGACCTTTTTACTGTTCCTCGAAGTCAACAAGCATTCTTGACTCAGGGCCTTTATGTTGATTGCTTCTGCTGGTCAACCTGTTCGTACTCCAGGTATTCCCACAGTTTACTTGCTCAAGGACTTTATCTCTTTGCTCAAATATCACCTTCTCAGTGAGGTCCACACTGTCCAAATTAAGGTTTCAGCCCCTCTCTCCTCATATACACATAATCTTCCTACTTTCCTGGTCTCTTTTTTCATAACATTTATCACCTTCCTACATGCAATGTAATTTATTTATTTATTATGTTTATTGTTTACTGTCTTTTCACACCCACAAGTATATAAGTTCCACAAGGCAAGACTTTGGGTCTGTTTTATTCATTGATATATTCTAAATACAAAGGCACACAGGAGGCACTTTACAAATGTTTACTGAATGAATGAATAATGATGCATAAAATACACTTGGCAAATTAATATATAGCAAGCACTTAATGTTAGTCTCAAAAAAATAGGGAGTATAGCTTTGATATTGATACTAGGAATGACTGCTGGCATATGTTATAAAATCAGAGATAACGCTGGACCTGAAGATAGGCATTAAACAGGACCAGCATCTGGGCATTCAGCGACAAAAAGCCAGGCAGCCTGCACACAGACCGACTTCAGGTAGCATGCTGAATTTTATTTCATTAAGTCTGTCCTTCCTTATTATTTGTATTTTTCCTTTAAATTACTTCAACTTATTTAACCTTTCTTAAAAGACACAGCCTTTAATCTTTTACCCTTATTATTCCTCTTTGAGCCCTGTGAAGTTAGTTCTCTCACAGTCTTTGTAAATAAATGTGAAGCTTATAGACAAATACTGGAAACAACCCAATAAAAATAATTCTCCTCGACCAGGCAGGCTATTGCGAACAAAAGCCTTTGTCACACACTGACAAAGAATATGAATAAGAGCATAGAGCAGTCCTCTTTGTGTAGATGACAAGGTTACCTTAGGAAGGTGTGGTCCTGGTTTCTATCTTTTGGAATGGTCAGTCCCTTTGGCTGGAAAAGGATTGAGAAGAGGGCACATTTCTTGGGATCTATAGTTGTAACAATATTGTGTGACAAATGCTACAATCAGATTCCCCCAAAAATGGCTTTCCTGAGAGTGTCTGCTCATCAGTGATTTCACAGAATATTAACAAATTCTCCTAAGGGAAATAAAGGAGGAGGGTAGTTCATCAGTTCAGTTTAATTTAATAAACTGTATAACCCACTTTAAACAGATTTCTTTGCTGCAAGGTTTTTGGAGATTTCATCTGCCGACATACAACTGTGAATATTCAAGAGGATGGCATAATATCCATGCAGCATTTCATAAACTCCCTAGGTCAAGGAAGGCTTTTTTAAACGGGTTCCTTGAGAGACCTATTTCATTTATTCAATGAACATTTATTGAACAACTACTATATGCACACATTGCAAGCACCCAGGATTCAGTGGTATACAGGACACACACAGTCCTTGTCCTCATGGGTCTTAACAGTCTAGTAGAAAAAACACACATTAAACTCCTACTTGAAAGTTGATGAATATAATGAAAGGGAAAATATAGCTTCCATAAGAACAATTAAGAGAATACTGCTTAGTAAGGTGTACTTTGGAAAAGGCTGATGTAATTGTTTTCATAAATAAATTTTATCTTTAAGTGGTTAATCACAAACTATTTATAATTTACTATGTACATAACACTGTGCTAGTAATATATGGAAAATACAGAGGCATAAGACATGAACCTTGCTTTAAAAGAACTTCTCTAATTGAGAAGAAAGCCAAAAACAAAAGAAAACGAAATAAACATGCAAGCCAGAATAAAATAACATGTTAAGTTTGAATAGTTTAGATACCCATGAAAATGGTACCTATCTTTCCAAGACTAAAGTCTCAGAGCTTCTAGGCAGCCTTCTCCCAACTCTAGATCCACATTGCAACTTAGGCCCATTTTTCCAGTTCCTGTCACACACTGACCTATAAAAAAGTTATTTGTGTGCATCTCTAATCTACCAAACTAAACAGTCAACTTTGTGGTACAGGCACTGGATCTTTTACATCTTTGTACTCCTCACAGCACATGGTCATTTGCAGGAGCCAGAAAAGTATAATGGTTAAGATAAAAAACTCTAGAGGCATACCAACTGGTTAAATCCTGGCTCTGACATCGACTAACTGTATGACTTTGGGTACATTTCTTAATCCTTCGGATCTCAATATTTTGTTTGTAAAATGGAGATAATAATACCCATATTTACCTAAATCATGCTATTGTTTTAGCAGAGATGATACATATGAAACAATTTAGTGCCTTACATGGTAGGAACTCAGTAATAAAAGATATCATTACTATGACTGTTGTTGCTACAATAAGTACACGTGCTATACAGATTGTTGAGAAAAGGTGGAAGGAAGTCAGGCACCAGAGGACATGGCCCATCACCTCACCTGTCTTTCACAAAGCTCCAGTACAAATGAAGATGAAAGAGGTTTGAAAAGATCTCCTGGGTCAGACTAACTGCTTACAGAGAGAGGCCAAAGGGCAGCAAGATGAGGTGAATTATGCTGAACAGGCATGGAGAAGCCTGATGATGGGGTGGAGAGAACTTGAAATATGAGCTAAAATGTTCATATTTGATTGAAAGACAATGGATAAAACTAAAGACCAATGTGGAAGAAATTGTTTTCAAGAAAGTTTACCTTGCCAACCATGATCAACAGGAACTAGGTGGAATGAACTACAGCCTAAGAGACCAGTCAGTGACACCCAAGTAAAGTAATACAGTTGTCAGGTCTAACACAGAGCCTTTCACTCTTTGCTGCACTAATGATAATCTTTTAAGTCAACAAAGACCTAAATAAATAGAGAGTTAGAAGGGAAAGTACAATATTATATTCAAAGTTGGTTAGTTGGCATGAACTGAAATGCATAGGCCACAATTCTGAGAGATGAATTCTCAGGATGGCATGCAGCCCACTGTTATAAATAGTTTCCGTGCGGCAAAAAAAATAGCACTTGAATATAAAATTTTCTTTTTAATTCTCAGCAAGGCAAGGTACCTCTATAGAAGGGTGCACCCTTACAGATGGAGCAATGGTGAGCGCACACTTGGACAAGGGAGGGGAAGGGGTTCTTATCCCTGACGCAGGCGGCCCCTGCTGCTGTGTTGTTCCCCTATTGGCTAGGGTTATACCGCAGCATCTAAACTAATTCTCATTGGCTAATTGAAAGAAAGTGACAGGGTGAATGGCTTGGCAGGAAAAAATGGTTATGCAGGGTAAGGAATGAGTCAGGGCAGACCAGGTAGCCGGTAATGGGAATGAGTCAGGGTGGAGCAGGTGATTGAAATGAGTCAGGGTGGAGCAGGTGATCGAAAAAGGTTGCTTTATGAGGAAGTGAAGTTTAAAAATAGAAGGCAAAGAATTGAACATACTGACATATTGATTCTTTGTAAAGAAATTTAGAACTCATATCTAACACCACCATGAACTACCAAATACTTCCTCATGAAATTAGACTTTTCCTTAAGAAAATATCAGTTTTGTCACATAGTTAATTTAGTCACCAAACATGGACATCACTCACACAGTGTGGCATTTTAGCAATAGAACTTGTAGAATTGAATACATTATATGAAAATCAGATGAGAAAAAAGTTAAATCTTCTTCAGGAGCCTCTGGGAAGATTACTCAGATTTCTCTAAAAAAAATTTAACAAGCCACTTTCACGTTTATTTTACAAAGAAAAAGTAAATACTGAAAATAACTAAATGAGAACATAATGATACAACGAGCCATTTTAAAAGATCTGTTTTACCTTCCTGAAATAATAAAATACTCACTATTATCTTTTTTTTTTTTTTTACATTTGCCAACAGGTCAAAAAGAACCTTTATTACTTTTTATGATTGCCACTTATGCTTTCTTGCCAGATGCCTTTGGAGCAGGTGCTTTCTGGGCTGGAGCTTTTTGACCCTTCTGAGCTTTTGGAGCAGGTGCTGCTTTCTGGCCTGTGGCTTTCTGGGCAGGAACCTTCTGGGCTGAAGCCTTTTTACTCGCGGCCGTCATCTTTTTTGCTGGAACTTTAGCAGCAGCAGCAGCAGCAGCAGCAGCAGCAGTACCCTTAGTACCAGGTGCTTTTTTGGGAGAAGCTTTCAGGAGAGCTGCCTTTTGAAGCTTCTTAACTTCATTCTTGATTATTCTGTTCCTCGTTTTCTTTGCCTTCATAACTTTAAAACGATCAAAATCTGTCATCTTGGCTTTCCTTTCTCTGGCTTCAATCTTCTTGGCCCATCGTGTGGCTGCCCATTTTGTATTGATGTCTGCCTTCTGCCAGGCTTGTTGGACATACTTTTGGCGGGCACTGTGCGGAAACTTGAGGATGAAATCAGTGAGCTGCATGCACTTGAAAGGCATGGCCTGTCTCCTCACTTGAGTGCAAGGTCCATCGACCAAAGCCCTGTTCTGATCAATAACATCTACAATCGCGACCAATTTTCCGGCATGAGGTCCAAAGGAGACATAGGCCACCCGGCCAACCTCCACGAAGCGCCTGAACACCATGTTGGTGGCGTTAGGTGAGAAGGCCACTATTATCTTTTTTATGCTAATGACTTTCTGGATCAAGACAGAAATTTGTAGGTGCAAGGTTTGATTTTTTTTTTTCAAATACTAGGATTAAAGTCATGAAGACATTCTATCCCTTTCCCTTCTCTTTCTGCTCCATGCACTGACCTGGGGAGAGTTGTTCTTGAAGATCCTAGTTAGAATTCTGGGTGCATTTTCCCATAGAAATAATGCTATAAATGAATATGTATACTTGAAATATTATTGCTTCTATATACTAGGTGTTTAATTTCCAGCCTAAGACCACAAAAACTAGTTCAACCATAATATACCTTGTATATTACAAATTAATTTTTGACATATAATCTGTTCATAATTTTAGGACTCTGAACATTTAAAAATTAGACCATCAGCTACATGTAAACAATTCCTGTTAGATGAGCAAGTGATTTATAGTAACAAAATTTACACCTGAACTCCTCTTGCATGACAGATTTCTAAATTCATAGAGTCACAGGATGCCAGAGCTGGAAGTATCTTCAGAATCACTCAAACCACCTCTTCATTTTACATATAAGGAAACTGAGGCCAGGATGTGCACAGTGGCTCATCATGCCTGTAATCCCAGCACTTTAAGAGGCCAAGGCAGGTGGATCACAAGGTCAGGAGTCCGAGACCAGCCTGGCCTACATAGTGAAACCCCATCTCTACTAAGAATAGAAAAATTAGCTGGGCATGGTGGTGCATGCCTCTAGTCCCAGCTACTTGAGAGGCTGAGGCAGGAGAATCGCTTGAACATGGGACGCAGAGGTTGCAGTGAGCCGAGATCTCATCACTGCACTCCAGCTTGGGCAACAGAGTGAGACTTCGTCTCAAAAAAAGAGAAAAGAAACTGAAGCCAATGAGGGGAAAGCATTTCTGCACTCAGGTAGTTAGGAGGCAAGCTAGGACTTGAAAACAGTTACCGTAGATTCTATTTTCAGCTGAGAAAATGCCATTCATCTACTTACTTGTTTGTTCTTCATCATATATTGAAGAAACATTTGCTATGTACCTTCAGTGTGCAAAATCTTCTGCTAGCTGCTGAGAAAATTCAAAGAACACAAATTGGCATTTGCTCTTAACTAACTAAAATCTAATTGTGCATAAAGAAAGAGAAAATTGGAAAATTAAGTTGCTGCACAAGAGTTACATAAACATAAAAGTTATGTCAACATATATAATTAAATGAATTGAGTTATTCAGAGAATACGGATAATATGTTAGGATTTCAGAGGATGGAGACATCAGAGTGAATTTGAGGGATCAGGAAAGCCTTCATCAAAAACAGAATTTAGACCCACTCACCCATCAGTTCTTTCAGTAGATACTTACTGAAGACCCGTTATTTTCCATATGCTATACCAAACCCTAGGAAAATAAGGATGAAAGACATTGCCCTTGACCTCCAAAGTTAACAATCTAATGGAAAGACAAAGATAAGAGGGCAAGAGGCAACATGAAGTAGAAGATCAGCATGTTTGGAGATGATAGTATTTTAGATATGAATAGAGGCAGGACTGGGATTAGTTGCAAAATTCAAGGAAGCACTCCCTCTCTAGTCCTTGCAAGTATAGAGTTGGCACTTGTCCAGACCTGAAAGGGAGTGCTTCCTTAAATCTTGCGTGGGCACCTCAAGGCCTCCCCCAGTCCTATTTAGCTGCCATCCAAAGTAGCAGGATTGTATGAACAACAACAAATCAAAAATTTCAGAATAGGTCCTGAATAAAACCTCCTGCTCTGTAGGTCATCTTGAGTAAGTTTTTCCATCCCTCTGGGCTGCAGTTTCCTCATCTGCAAAATGAAGGGCTTAACTTAGATGAGTGCTTTTCAGACTGTGACAAGCATAGCATTTTGAGTCTTCAGAAAAAGCTCAGATAAGGAGGGGCTGAGTGGGTAGATCTCTAGATCCCCCATCCTTCCTTTAACCAAGCTAGCCACCATTTATTGGTTAAATAATCATTTACAATGATGCTTATGTATTTAAGAAAAAAGTTTCACTGATTTTTTTAAACATCAGTTTGGGCCAGGTGCAGTGGTTCACACCTATAATCCCAGCACTTTGGGAGGCCAAGATGGGCAGATCACCTCAGCCCAGGCTGGGCAACATGGCAAGATCCTGTCTCTACAAAAAATAAAAATAAAAATTAGCTAGATATGGTGATGTGTGCCTGTAGTCCCAACTACTTGGGAAGCCGAGGTGGGAGGATTACTTGAGCCCAGGAGGTTGAGGCTGCAGTGACCCGAGATCTTGTCACTGTACTCTAGCCTGGGCAACAGAGTGAGACCCCCATCTCAAAAAAAAAAAAAAAAATACAAACATCAGTTTGAAAAATCAACCATCAAGTTGATCTGAGATGATCCCTAATACCTTTGTCCTTTTGTCTTTTTATGAGGAACCTGGTTTCTGCCAAGGACCAGTGAGGACAGTTATAACTGTAGTTTAAATGACTGGTAGTACAAACTGAGTGGTCTCCAAGGGCATTGAACTCTTGTAAGTCTTGTGATTGAGTACCCAAGGCTGTTTCCCATGTGAAGTGCTGAATGAGTCTTGGTGAGTTGGGTGGAGAACAAGAAAGGACAGGCAGACTGATATGGCTTGGCTGTGTCCCTGCTCAAATCTCATCTTGAATTTTAGTTCCCATAATCCCCACATGTTGTGGGAGGGACTTGATGGGATGTAATGGAATCATATGGGCGGTTACCTCCATGCCATTCTTGTGATAGTGAGTGAGTCCTCTTGAGATCTGATGGTTTTATAAGGGGCTTTTCCCCCTTTGCTTGGCACTTCTCCTTCCTGCTGCCATGCAAAGAAGGACGTGCTTGCTTCCCCTTCTACCATGATTGTAAGCTTCCTGAGATCTCCCCAGCCCTGTGGAACTGTGAGTCAGTTAAGCCTCTTTCCTTTGTAAATTACGCAGTCTCAAGCAGTTCTTTATAGCAGTGTGAGAATGGACTAATACACAGACTGAAAAACTAGATCAATCTGATGTTAATCTAGGGGTGCAATGGGAATTAACAATCTGTGAGTCTGTTGACACTCTGGAGTTGAAACCAAAAAGCACTAATGCAATCAAATTTCCTACCTATAAAATGATGCCTCATTAATGTCATAGTACTTTCTATCTCTCCTACAGAAATACCACTTAGTCAATGATTGGTTACAAGGTGACACACCCGTGGTGCTTGCTGAGCAAATCTTAAGCTAACTTTGTGATTAATGGCTAAATATATTATTTGCTCCATTTTAAGAAGCAAGTTACTGATCTCTAAATATCCGTGAGTCTTTATAAGAATTCTGAAGTAATAATCAAAAAAAGAGGTATAGGGCTGGGCACAGTGGCTCAAGCCTATAATCCCAGCACTTTGGGAGGTCAAGGTGGGGAGATTACCTGAGGTCAGGAGTTTGAGATGAGCCTGGCCAACATGGTGAAACCCTGTCTCTACTAAAAATACAAAAGTTAGCCCGACGTGGTGGCACACGCTTGTAATCCCAGCTACTCGGGAGGCTGAGGCAGGAGAATTGCTTGAGCCCGGGAGATGGAATGGATGTTGCAGTGAGCTGAGATTGTGCCACTGCACTCCAGCCTGGCCGACAGAATGAGACTGTGTCTCCAAAATAAAAAAAAAAAAAAGAGGTGTAGTTAAAACAATGGATAAGAAAATGTGCAGCAGTCTGGTTTGTGTCTATAAAGTGGCAGTTATTTAAGTGGTTATTCAGAATCTGAATAAAAAAGCATAGTCATAATCCCGTTGATTAAAATAAAAGTGAACAATCTCATGCTCCAAATGGTAAATACGAGGAATGACTTTTAGTTTTAAGAACACAGGAGGCAAAGTTTCTTTCATAATGAACCTCAGCACTATGCCCAAACTGGGCGAGGTGCCTCAAAAGCAGAATGAAGAAAAACTCCTGGGGAGTTCACTTGGAAAATACCTACTTCATGTCAGCACTTTAAAGGCATCATCTCACTTAATAAAACAACCTAAGCTGGTCAGTGTTAGTCTTATTTGCAGATGAGTAAACTGAGTCTCAGAGAGATTAAGTAAATTTCCCAAGTCATAAAGATAATCACAGATGACAGAATTGGTCTTCAAACCCGGGTCTAATTCCAAAGAAAGTGATTTCCAGTATATCCTAGAAATGTGATAGAAAGAGTATTAAAAAATATAATCATTTGCAAGATTAGCCCTGTGTGTGAGAGTCATAAGTCACAAGAAAATATATGTTTGGGCTGGGTCCGGTGGCTTATGCCTGTAATCCCAGCACTTTGGGAGGCTGAGGCGGATGGATCACAAGGTCAGGAGTTTGAGACTAGCCTGACCAACATGGTGAAACCCCGTCTCTACTAAAAATACAAAAATTAGCCAGGCATGGTGGCATACACCTGTAATCCCAGCTACGCAGGAGGCTGAGGCAGGAGAATCGCTTGAACCTGGGAGGCAGAGGTTGCAGTGAGCCAAGATCATGCCAGTGCACTCCAGCCTGGGCAACACAGTGAGACTCTGTTTCAAAAAAAAGAAAACACATGTTCACCACTGTGTACCCCAGCACCTAGCATAAAGTTCAATCAACAAATATCAAATATCAGATGAAAGTTGAGGAGATGGAGACACAGTTGCATATACCACTACAAGTTCATTGAAATGGGATTTTAAAGTACACATATACCCATCATATGCATATGAAGGAAAGATGTATGCCTTTTGCTGAATAATGGCCATATTCATAAAGCTCTGCTTTCATTCCGGAGCCAGCTTTACTCATGGACTGAGTAGACAATCCCTGTGGGGATTGCTTCTATCCCAGTGAGTCTCCTGATGCAGTAAAGGCTTCCCACCTACAAAATCTAAAACACCCATCATGACACTTGCTTGTTTCCAGTGAATTTAAATATAATTGTAACAGGAAATTAGAATGAGATTATTTTATCTTATTTATTTTGAGTCAGAGTTTTGTTCTTGTTGCCCAGGCTGGAGTGCAGTGGCATGATCTCAGCTCACAGCAACCTCCGCCTCCCAGGGTCAAGTGATTCTCCTGCCTCAGCCTTCCCGAGTAGCTGAGATGATAGGCACCCGCCACCACACCCAGCTAATTTTTGTATTTTTAGTAGAGACAGGGGTTTTGCCATTTTGGCCAGGCTGGTCTTGAACTCCTGACCTCAAATGATCCACCCGCCTTGGCCTCCCGAAGTGCTAGGATTACAGGCGTGAGCCACTGCACCTGGCCAGAATGAGATTTTTTTTTTTTTTTTTTTTTGAGAGGGTGTCTCGCTCTGGCACCAGACTGGAGAGTGCAGTGGCACGATCTCAGCTCCCGCCTCGACCTGTCAAAGTGCTGGGATTACAGGCATGAGCCACTGCACCCAGCCGAGATTATTTTTAACTCAGTTTTGAGTGAGGCAATAGTCATAGTACCAAAGCAAGAGAGAGATGACTCCCTACATCCTTGCAACCATATGTAGATTTACAAAGAAATAGAATGGAGAAATGTTCCACAACCCTTGATCTCCTTAACTAAATGAAATCATCCAAAGGGTTTAGAGTGTGGACATGAGTTGAATTAATAAACAGATTACTTTGGAAAGGTCTGACTGACCCTTCCACCTTGGATGACAGGTGCAAACTTCTATCCACAAGCTTTTAGACATGACCACTCAAATAACTGTGCTCCCTAAATTTGAAGACACAGAGTACCCTTGTCTGACTCACATGTGAGAAAGCTTAAAGCGGTACTGAATAGAGGTCTGATTCCCAGCTAGGAAATCTAGACAGTGAAAGAAAGGGCTAATCACTTACTGAGGGGGTACTGAGAGGCTCTTCCTGTAGGATCACCCCACATTCCAAGAGTTTTGTGGGGCAAAGATTAGGCATTTCCAAGGACCAGTGGCTTAGGTTGTCATCTTGGCTGTTGCCCAGTAGGACCATCTAGAGTGAGCTGAGATCATTTTAGGAAAAAGCTGAGAGGAACCACCTGGTTGCCCAGGGACTGATGAAGAAATTCAACAAATTTTTATCTGTGCAGATCAAGGAAGCTACATGAGAGAAGGGCCTAGCAGAGATGCTGTCAGCATTAACTGTCAGCCCTGTATAGAGAATATGAAGCCACGGAGGCAAGCAAGCCCTGGCCAAACACCTTACCTCTCTCCATATACCCCATTCCGCTTTGATGCTGATGGGATCCAAAATCACAACTCATCTGGTGAGCGTAAGGGCAGTTGAGCAGAACCACACTCCCTGTTCCCAGTGCAGACTTCCATCCTGAGGCAGGCCTCCGCTGGAAGAGGAGAATCCAGAATTTTGAAAATTAAATGATATTGGACATTCTAGTTACTAAATTGAAACTGTGTGTACCAAAAGTGACTAGGGTGCTCTTTATTTTCTTTCTGGTTACTTTCTGTAGGAAGTGACCAGAAAACATATGCCTCCCTAAGTCTTCATTCAGGACAGCAGGGTATAACTTTCAAAAGAAAAAAACATGACTCTCACATAAGCACAGGATAGGCATGTGTCAAAATTTGTTTAACTCGATGAAAGAACCAGAAGGAAGCATTTGAGAAACTAGATATTTATAAGGACTGAAGTTAGAGAGGATTGGATGTTGGAAGACTGAGAGATTAGAAACTAAGCTGGCTGAAGTCCTATAGGGCAATAAAACCATAACCTCTGTGTTTTTCTTTTTTCTATCAGACAGAAATCATTTGCATCTCCAATAGACAGAAATTTAAAGGTATCAAGCAATATCACAGAGTGAGCTCTAATTAAAATAATTAACAATGACATATTCCCCTAGAAAACTAAGCAAATTTTGGGTTAGCCTGTGAGACAATGCTCCAGGAAGACACAAAAGGAACACAGAGCCATTCTCTTGCTTTAGTTACAAGTTTTCAATAATTTTTGTAACAAGAAACGGGGAAATTAGAACTCCTCTGCCCCTCATCAGTTTTAAAGGCCCACTATAAGATTGCAATTTTGACCATGATCTATAAGATATGTTTAACCTACTGCACGCACATTTTTCAGGCCTGAGAAAGTCACTCATGACTTTTTCTTCTGACCAGCATAATGAAGATTTAATGATCCAATGCAGTGTCAAGGTACAAGACACACGGCTAATAATTAAGTTTGGAGAAAGAAAAAGAAAACTTTGAGACAAAGTAAGAATAATCAGGGAAAAACCAGAGGACAAGAATCCAGAAAAGGATCATCTCCAGAATGGCATTTAGGGATGGCCTCTGGGGCTGGAAGTGGGTACAATTAGAGAGGTGGCGTGAAGGGCAAACTTGGCCCATTGCACAGCTTTTTATTTCTAGCATTCTCCAAAGCAAAGATAGAATTTGCTTGTTTTCAACTGTACTGGATGTTAAGTTTCTGTATTTTTCCAAGTAACCTAAGAACTTCTTAAAAAGAAAAGTCGGCACACTGTCTACTTGATCAAAACAAGTTTAATCTGGTCATTATCAAGTTTAGCTTAATCTGGTCATTGTCAGAAAATTTTAACAAAACAAACCAGTGTGTTGCAATCATTGTTCTTTGTAATTAAGATAACCAAGTGTTCTGCAACAATTCAAAATTATGTTTTGTTTTTCATCACCAATAGACTACCCATTCCAGTATTTCCTCTACACAGTGTTCTGACATTATGTAAATTATTGTGATATCCAATTCAAAGGAACATAGTGGTTGTTTAAGAGGCTGATACTATCTCTCTTTGTCAAACATAGTATTTTTTTCTTCTACCATGCAAATGGTATCCCAGAGCCGGAAGCACCTTTGTTTTGTTTCTGCAGAAAAACTGTTTCACCTTGCAGGGTTTTAGCTAGGCTCTCCCAGTTCATGCTCTTTTCTTAAACATGGTCATAAAGAGTTAACTGTTGCCTGTTATGTTCTGCCATCCTCTGTAATCTAACCCTGGAATTGGGCTGCTGACTAAGCAGTGGAGTCTTTCTTACTGACCTCCAAGCTAAGCAAACAAAGAAGCAGATATTTGTTTTCAAAGAAAAGTGCTTCTACTTACAAAATTGTGTGACAGCAACTAGAATAACAGAAAACTGAAAGGAAGGAGAAACCCAACACTATCCCACAAAACAAAAAACAAAACAAAACAAAAAAAATGAAAAAAAAACGGGTGGGTGATTTGCTCCAGAAGAGAGTAGGGTAGGGAATAATCTTAGAAAAATGATTTTTTTTTAACACAGAGAATAATCAAAACATAATTTAAAGAAAAAAAAAACCTTCATCCTTTTGTCTCTAAAATCATAAAAAAGGAACCAGCCTTATTCAATAAATGGAAAATGTAAAAGAATTTCTGAAAGGAAGAACAATGGACATAACATTATATGTAGTCTTGAAAAAGAAATTCCTTAAAATTATAAAAAAGTCTTTTAAAAATTTAGTATTTACTTGTGTTTGTTTTAAAAAATCAGTAAATATTAGCAAAAATTTGTTTGCTTTTTTCAAAATCCCTTCATCTTTCCACACTGTATATTATGAGAATTAGTAACTTTTAAGTATAGTATATCAAGTCTTAAAGTTAATATTTGCTCCAATATTTTATTACCAGAGAATTGATTTGGTGAATAATAGCCTTAGTCTTTCATATTTGCCAGGTATTGATCTTGCACTAAGATGAGAACATTAAATTTTAAAAAGGTTAAAAACAAAAACAAATGCTTTGATCCCAATTACATATACTGACACATGAGGCAGAGCAAGATGGTTGAATAGAAACCTACACCATTTATGGTCTGGCGCAGTGGTTCATGCCTGTAATCCTAGCACTCTGGGAGGCCGAGGCGGGCAGATCACTTGAGGTCAGTAGTTTAAGACCAGCCTGGCCAACATGGTGAAACCCTCTCTACTAAAAATACAAAAATTAGCCAGGCGTGGTGGCAGGCACCTGTAATCCCAGCTGCTTGGGAGGCTGAGGCACGAGAATCATGTGAACCTGGAAGGCAGAGGTTGCAATGAGCTGAGATTACTCTCACTGCACTCCAGCCTGGGCAACAGAACCAGACCTCATCTCAAAAAACAAACAAACAAACAAACAAAAAAAGCCTACACCATTTATACCCTCTGCAAGAACACCAAATTTTAGCAGCTAACTACACATCAAAAGCACCATCACAAGAATAAAAAATCAGGTGAGCAATCACAGTGTCTAGTTTTAACTTCATATTGCTAAAAGAGACATTAAAGAGGACAGGAAAGACAGTCTTGAATTGCTGATGCCACCACTCCCCTATCCCCTGCAGCAGCCATGCAGCATGGAGGATCTCTGGGTTTGGTAGAGGGAGAACACAGAGACTTTGAGCCTTTGCATTGCACTCAGTGCTGCCCTGTCATAGCGGAAAGCAGAACCAGGCTATACTGAGCTGACATCTGCGTATAGATAGAACATTTGGACTGGCTGTAGCCAGACAGAAATCGCTCACTCAAACAGGTCCCACAGGCTAGGGTCAGTCCAGATGCTCCCTCCATGGTTGGAGCTTGAGTTCTAGCAAGCTTTGCCATCACAGGCTGAAGTGCTCTGGGGTCCTAAGAGAACTTGAGAGGCAGTCTAGGCCACATGGTCTGCAAGTCCTAGTACTGAGCTGGTCTCAGAGCCAGTGGACTGGGGAGGCACATGACCTACTGAGACACCAGGCAGGTGGCTAAGGGAGTTATTGCACCATCTCTTCCCCATCCCCTGGCAGCAGCCACTTAGGAGCTCCAATATCTTATTACCAGATAATTGATTTGGTGAACAATAGCCTTACTCTTTTATATTTGCCAGGTATTGATCTTGCGCTAAGATGAGAATATTAAATTTTAAAAAGGTTAAAAACAAAAACAAATGCTTTTGATCCCAATTACATATACTAACAGATGAGGCAGAGCAAGATGGCTGAATAGAAACCTACATCATTTATGGCAGGGTGCGGTGGCTCACGCCTGTAATCCTAGCACTTTGGGAGGCCAAGGCAGGCAGATCACCTGAGGTCAGGAGTTCGAGATGAGCCTGGCCAATATGGCGAAACCCTGTCTCCACTAAAAATACATGTATGCTTGGGAGATGTAGAGTGCAGTGACTAAGGGACTTTACATTGGACTCAGTGCTGCCCCGTCACAGCAGAGACCTGGCAGGATTGATCACTTGCTAAATAAAGAGCCCCTGGGCCCTGAGTAACCAACAGCAATACCCAGGTAATATGCTGAGGGTTTTGGGCTCTGAGATGTGCTAGCTTCAGTAATGACCCAACACATTCCCAACGGGGGTGGCTATGGTGAAAGACTCCTTCTGTTTGAGAAAATCGGGGGGTGGAAAGAAAAGGGGACTCTGTCTGCACCTTAGATACCAGTTTGGCCACTGTGGGGTAGAGCAACAAGCAGGCTCATGGCATCCCTGAATCCAGGCCTAGGCTCTTGTCAGCATTTCTGGACCTGCCCTTGGCCAGAGGAGAGCCCAGTGCTCTGAAGGGTGAGTCCCAGGCCTGGCAGCATTTACCACAAGCTGACTAAAGAGGCTTTGGGCTTTAAGTGAACATCAGTGGTGGCCTGGCAGAAGCCCCCATGGGCCAGTGGTGGTGGCCACGGAGAGAGGATCCTCTGCATGTGGAAAGAGGCAGGAAGAGTGGGAAAGATTTTGTCTGGTGGCTTGAGTGCCGATTTGGCCACAGTAGCATACAACACAAGGTCAATTTCTAATTTCTTTTACTTCAATCCTTGGCTCCCAGACAGAATCTCTGGACCCACCCAGGGCCTATGGAAACTCACTGCCCTGAAAGGAGGGACACAAACCTAGTTGGCTTTGCCACTTGCTGATTGTAAAGCCCTAGGACCTTGAGTGAACTTAGGTGGTAGCCAGGTAGTGATTACAGCAAGCTTTGGGCATGATCCAGTCCTGTGCTGGCTTCGGGTCTGAACCAGTACAATCCCAGTGGAGGTGGCCACAGGGGTGCTAGTGTCCCACCACCTCCAGTTCCGGGACACCCAGCACAGAGATACAGACTTCATTTGTTTGGAAGAAAGTAAGGGAAAAGAACAAGAGTCTCTGCCTGGTAATTCAGAGAATTCTTCTGGTTCTTACCCAAGACCACTGTGGTGTTATGATATATATTGATTTTCATCCATGGTTCCTGGCTCATAACTCCCATGGCCCTCGTTACAGTCTTTTGTTATAATGTTGGGTGTGTTAGGCCTCAGGGTCAGGTTTCTGACCTTCTCCTGCCCTCCTTCCACTCTAAAATTCCCCCACCTTTCTGATTGTGGTTCTTACGATCCTCCCATGAGAGGGTCCCACCCCTATACCTTTGGGAAAGGAACACTGATATCATGAAGCTTCCATACAAACCCAAGAGGACAGGGTTCAGTGAGCTTCCAGATAGCTGAACACATGGAGGACTCTGAAGGGTGGTACGCCCAGGGAGGATATGGAAGCTCTGTGCCCCTTCGTCATAACTCACCCTATGTGTCTCTTCATCTGTATCCTTTGCAATGTTCTTTATATAAACCAATAAATGTACATAAGTGTTTTCCCAAGTTATGTGAACCTGAATCTAATTTGCTCATAGCAAATTAATTGAATGCAAAGAAGGGGTCATGGGAACCCTGACATGAAGTTGGTCAGTCAGAAGTTCTGGAGGCCCGGACTTGCGACTGGTGCATGTGTGTATGAGGGGGCAGTCTTGGGGACTGAGCCCTCAACCTGTGGGATCTGACACTATCTTTGGGTAGATAGTATTGAAACTGAATTAGAGAGCACATAGCTGGTGCCTATTGCTTGATGTATGGGAAAAAACGCCACACATTTGGTCACAGATGTCTTCTTTTGTGTTGATGATTGTTGTAGTGTGAGAGTAAAGGACAAAACATGATTAAAGGAGAGTTTTTCCTATACAAACACCAAGGTAGTACCTCTATGAGCCTGCAAGAACCACAGAATTATTGGGTTTGGGTCCCAGGTCCATTTGAATACCTAGAAAGCCTCCCCAAGAAGGATGGGCACAAACAAGCCCAGACTGTAATGACTACAATTAATATCTAACTCTTCAATGTCCAGACACCAATGAACACCTACAAGCTTTAAGACCATCCAAGAAAACATGAATTCACCAAACTGAATAAGGCACGAGGCACCAATCCTACAGAAACAGATATGTGACCTTTCAGATGGAAAATTCAAAATAGCTTTGTTGAAGAAGCTCAAGGAAATTCACAATAACATAGACAAGAAATTCAGAATCCTATCAGATAATTTTAACAAATGGATTAAAATTATTTAAAAGAATCAAATAGAAATTCTAGAGTTGAAAAATGCAATTGTCATACTGAAGAAAGCAGCAGAGTCTCTTAATAGCACAATTGATCAAGCAGAAAAAAGAATTAGTGAGCTGGAAGACTGGCTATTTGAAAAACACAGTCAGAGGAGTGTATAAAGTACCCTTAAGTAGAAAGGATAAATGATGAACCAATTGAAAATAGTAATTACAACAACTGTTCAAGACACAGACAGTATAATAAGCCATAAAAAGAAACAACAACACGTTAAAAACTGAGGAGAGGAAGTTAAATTGTAGAGTTCTTGTTAGTTTTCTTTTTGTGTGTTTGTTTATGTATTTGTTTACGCAATCCATGTAACATGGCTACCCTCCTAAAATAATGGGTTAGAAGATAGTATTGCAAGCCTCTTGGTAACCTCAAATCAAAGAACATAGAACAGATACACAAAAAATAAAAAGCAGGAAATTAAATCATACCAGCAGAGAAAAACACCTTCACTAATAGGAAGACAAGAAGAAAGGAAAGAAGGAAGAGCAGATCACAAAACATCTAGAAAATAAATGACAAAATGGCAGGGTTAGTCCTTACTTACCAATAATAACATTGAATATAAATTGACTAAACTCTCCAATCAAAAGACAGAGTGGCTAAGTGGACCCAATAATCTGATGCTTACAGGAAACACACTTTACATATAAAGACACAAATAGATTGAAAATAAAGGATGGAAAAAGATATGCCACGCCAATGGAAACCAAAGAAGAGCAAGAGTACTTATACTATATCAGACAAAATAGATGTCAAGACAAAAACTGTAAAAAGAGACAAAGAGGGTCATTATATGATGGCAAAGGGGTCAATTCAGCAAGAGGATGTATCAATTGTAAACATATGTGTACCCAACACTGGAGCACCCAGATATATAAAGCAAATACTATTAGAGCTAAAGAGAGGGATAGATCCCAATACAATAATAACTGGAGACTTCAACACCCCACTTTCAGCACTGGACAGATTTCCAGGCAGAAAATCAGCAAAGAAATATCAGACTTAACCTGCACTATACAATGAAAGGAACTAATAGATATTTACAGAACATTTCATCCAACTGCTACAGAATACACATCCTTGTCCTCAGCACATGGATTATTCTCAAAGATAGACTATATGTTAGGAAACAAAACAAGTCTTTTTTTTTTTTGAGACAGAGTCTCACTCTTTCACCAGGCTGGAGTACAGTGACGTGATCTAGGCTCACTGCAACCTCTTTCTCCCGGATTTCAGCAATTCTTCTGCCTCAGCCTCCTGAGTAGCTGCGATTACAGGCGCCCGCCACCACGCCCCGCTAATTTTTGTATTTTTAGTAGAGACGGTGTTTCACCAAGTTGGCCAGGATGGTCTCAATCTCTTGACCTCGTGATCCACCCACCTCGGCCTCCCAAAGTGCTGAGATTACAGGTGTGAGCCACCGCACCCGGCCAAAACAAGTCTTAAAACATTGAAAAAGATGGAAATAATATAAAGCATCTTCTCTGACCACAATGGAATAAAACTAGAAGTCAACAACCAGAAGAATTTTGGGGACTATAAAAACACGTGGAAATTAAACAATATGCTTCTGAATGACCAGTGGATCAACAATGAAATTAAAGAGAAAAATGAAAAATTTCTTAAAACAAATGATAACGGAAACAGAACATGCCAAAACCCATACGATACAGCAAAAGCAGTACTAAGAGGGAAATTTATAGCTATAAGTGCCTACATCAAAAAAGAAGAAAAATTTTGAGTGAGTAACCTAATCATGCGTCTTAAAGAACTAGAAAACCAAGAGCAAACCAAACCCAAAGTTAGTAGAGGAAAAGAAATAATAAAGATCGGAGCAGAAATATAATAAATAAATATAATAAATGATTTTGAAATGAAGAAAATAATACAATCAATGAAATGAAAAGTTGTTTTTTTGAAAGCATAAATAAAATTCACAAACCTTTAGCCAGACTCACAAAGAAAAACAGAGAGAAGACCCAAATTAAAAAAAATCAGAGATAAAAAGGGGACATTACACCTGATACTGGAGAAATTCAAAAGATTATTAATTACTACTATGAGCAACTATATTCCAACAAATTGGAACATCTAGAGGAAATGAATAAATTCCTAGACACATGCAACCTACCAAGATTGAACCAGGAAGCCAAAACTTGAACACACCAATAACAAATAATGAGATCAAAGCCATAATAAAAAGTCCTTCAGTAAAGAAAAGCCCTGGACCCAGTGGCTTTACTGTAGAATTCTACCAAACATTTAAAGAAGAATGAATACAATCCTACTCAAATTATTCTGAAAAATAGAGGAGGAGTGAACATTTCTACACTCATTCTATGAGGCCAGTATTACTATGATAAAAAAAAAACTGACAAAGACACATCAAAAGAAAAGAAGGACGAAGAGGATGAAGAGGATGAAGATGAAGTAGAAGAGGAAGAAGAAGAAGAGGAGGAGGAGGAGCAGGAGGAGGAGGAGGAAGAGGAAGAAGAAGAAGAGGAGGAGGAGGAAGAGGAAGATGATGGCTACTACAGCCAATCTCTCTGATGAATATTGACACAAAAATCCTCAGCAAGATACTAGCAAACAAAATTCAACAATGCATTAAAAAGATCATTCATCATGACCAAGTGGGATTTATCCCAGAGATACAAGATGGTTCAAAATATGCAAATCAATGTGATACATCATAGCAACAGAACGAAGGTCAAAAATAGTATGATCATTTCAACAGATGCTGAAAATCATTTGATAAAATTCAACATCCCTTCATGATAAAAATCCTCAGTATAGGAGAAACATATGTGAACGTAATAAAAGCCATACCTGACAAACCCAGAGCTAATATACTGAATGGAGAACAACTGAAAGCCTTTCCTCTAAGATCTGGAACATGACAAGGATGACCACTTCCACCTCTGTCATTCAACATAATTCTGAAAGTCCTAGGTATAGCAATCAAATAAGTGGAAGAAATAAAGGGCATCAGATTGGAAATGAAGAAGTCAAATTATCCTTGTTTGCAGATGATATGATGTTATACTTGGAAAAACCTAAAGACCCCATCAAAAAACTATTAGAACTGTTAAATTCAGTAAAGTTGCAGGATACAAAATCAACATACAAAAATCCATAGTATTTTTATATATGCCAACAGTTAATAATCTGAAAAATAAATTTAAAAAGTAATCCCATTTACAATAGCCACAGATAAAATTAAATACCTAGGAGTTAACCCAAGAAGTGAAAGATCTCTGTAGTGAATACTGTAAAACACTGATGAAAGAAATTGAAGCAGACACACACACACACACACACACACACACACAAAATAAAGATATTTCATGTTAATGGATTGGAAGATTCGATATTGTTAAAATGTCCATACTACTCAAAGCAATCTACAGATCCAATGCTATTCCTATCAAAATATCAATGACCTCCTTCACAGAAATAGAAAAATAATCCCAGAATTTATACGGAACCACAAAAGACCCAGAGTAGATGAAGCTATCCTGAGCAAAAAGAGCAAAACTGGAAGAATCACATTACTTGACTTCAAGTTATACTACAAAACGATAGTAAACAATACAGTATGGTACTAGCATAAAAACAGACATGTAGATCAATGGAACAGAATAGAGAGCCCAGAAACAAATCCATACGCTATAGTGAACCCATTTTTGACAAAGGTGGCAAGACCATATACTGGAGAAAGTACACTCTCTTTAATAAATGGTGCTGGGAAAACTGGATATCCATATGCAGAAGAATGAAACTGGATCCCTATATCTTGCTATATAGAAAAATCAAATCAACATGGATCAAAGAATTAAATCTAATACCTCAATCTATGAAAGTACTACAAGAAAACATTGGGGAAATTCTCCAGGGCATTTGTCTAGTTAAGGATTTGTTGAGTAACACCACAGGAGCACAGGCAACCAAAGGAAAAATGGACAAATGGGATAATGTCAAGTTAAAAAGTTTCCATATAGCAAAGAAAACTATCAACAAAGTGAAGAGATAGCAAACAGAATGGGAGAAAATGTTTGCAAACTACCCATCTGACAAAGGCTCAATAGCCAGAATATATAAGGAGCTCAAACAACTCTATGGGAAAAAAATCTAATAATCCAATTTTAAAATGGGCAAAATATTTGAATAGACATTTCTCAAAAGAAAACATACAAGTGGCAAACAGGCATATGAAAATGTGCTCAACATCATTGATCATCAGATAAATACAAATCAAAACTACAATGAGACGTAATTTCACCCCAGTTAAAATGGCTTTTATCCAAAAGACAGGCAATAACAAATGCTAGAGAGGATGTGGAGAAAAGGGAACCCTCATACACTGTTAGTGGGAATGTAAATTAGAACGATCCCTATAAAGAACAGTTTGGAGTTTCCTCAAAAAATGAAAAATAGAGCTACCGTATGACCCAGCAATTCCACTGCTGGATATATACTCAAAATAAAGGAAATCGGTATATTGAAGAGATATCTGCACTCCTGTGTTTATTGTAGCACTTCCAAATAGCAAAGATTTGGAACCAACTTTAATATCCACCAGTAGATGATTGGATAAAGAAAATGTGGCACATACACCCAATGGAATACTATTCAGCCATAAAAAAGAATGAGTTTCAGTTTTTTGCAACAACATGGATGGAAATGGAGGTCATTATGTTAATAATGAAATTAGTCAGGCACAGAAAGACAGACTTCACATGTTCTAACTTACTTGTGCATGCTAAAAATCAAAACAATTAACTCATAGTGATAGAGTTTAGAAGGATGGTTACCAGAGGCTGGGAAGGGTAGTGGGGATGGTAGTGGGGAAGTGGGGATGGTTAGCGGGAATGAAAAGTAGTTTAAAAAGAGTGAATAAGACCTAGTATTTGATGGCACAACAGGGTGACTATTGTCAATAAAAATTTAATTGTACATTTGAAAATAACTAAAAGAATATAATTGGATTGATTGTAACACAAAGGATAAATACTTGAGGGGATGAATACCCCATTTTACACTATGTGATTATCACTTATTGTGTGCCTGTATTAAAGTATCATGTACCCCATAAGTATATTTACTATGTACCCAGAAATTTTTTAAAAAACTACGAAAGAAAACCCACCTTATACCAACAGATGATATCAGACATACAAAGATACAAAGATACCTATAACCCAAGATACCCATATATGTATTTGGAATGAATAAAATTTTACTTCTATTTAAATCACTCAAATAAATCAGTGGATTATAATCGCTCAAATAGACAAGTGAAGTTACACTGAAGCCTTCACAAGGGAACTGTGGTCCACTTATCCCATTATCTAACTCCATCTTCGGAAGAAAAACATAAGGGCTCAAGTTTCCACACGGACTACTTAGACACACAGCCTAGCTTCTCTCTCTAAACTTCCTTTCTAGAAAACATCTTCCACGGCCTGTAATGAAAAAGAAAGATGGGGAGGATGACTGGTTTGTTTAAAAGGCTTTCCCAGATAATTGAGACAGGAATAGAAAGAAAATGTAATGCAAGTTGCTGAATTGAAATGTGGAACTGGCACGGCTATGATTTAAATGTGTTCCTCAACGTTTATGTTATCACGAGGGAGTGTGTTTCTTATAAAAGGACCCCACTTTTGTCTCTCTCCCGCCCATCTGATTCCTTCTGCCCTGTTATGACACAGGAAGAAGGCCCTCACAGGTGCCAGCCCCTTGATCTTGGACTTCCCAGTCTCTAGAACTGAGAAATATATTTTTGTTCATTATAAATTATCCAGTCTCTGGTATTTTGTCATAGCAACACAAAATGGACTAAATAAGGACGTAGTAAAAGAATGCCTTGACTTTCAAATCTTTAATGTTTAGCTTCTGCATCTTGGGATACAGAATGTATTCAGAATAAAAAAAAACACAAAAAAACAAGAAAGATAGTGAGAACATCACAAGAGTTTGGACATTTCCTCTACGGAAAAAATAAATCTCAAAATGAGTGACTTGTGTGTGTGTGTTCTTGTGGAGATCTGATTATAAACGCTATTTCTGGCCGAAATTATAAGTATCCATTTTTGTTTACATAATTAAGGTGTATTGTATCTACTTTCTTTTTCTTCTTCTTTCTTTCTGGTTCTTGCTGTACTTAGAGGCTAGAAACAAGCTCTCAAATTGTCTTTGACACATGGGCCTCTCAGTAAAAATGATAGCCATACTACATTAAAACTCCACTATGTGCTAGACACACTGTAGGTACTTTATGCTATTTTAGAATACATCAGTGGATTAAACACATCTGAATTATTCTACAAATCTTGAGTGCCTAATAATGATGAGCTTCATTTGCTGAAAAAGCACAGTAATGGATGTGCTCCAGTACATAAAATCACATACGCTAGGAAATTTCTTCGGACTTCTTGCCCTACTCTATTTTACAACAAGCCAAATTAGCTTTTTTTTTTTTTAAAAAAAAAAAAAAAACTAAGTTGATTTTAACAGTTTTGACTTAACAACCTTCAGTAATTTCTAAAAATATTTTTTCTATTGTTTTCACGAATAATAGAGACAATAAAAAATTTACTAGAAAATTTACTAGGAAAGAAAAGATTGGTGGATATAATAGTCATTTTCAGGTAGAAACCACCGATGGGTAGTGTTCATTTAAAAACCACAATATTGGCCAGGTGCGGTGGCTCACGCCTGTAATCCCAACACTTTGGGAGGCCCAGGCAGGTAAATCACCTGAGGTCAAGAGTTCGAGACCAGCCTGGCCAACATGGTGAAACCCCATCTCTACTAAAAATACAAAAATTACCCAGGGGTGGTGCTGGGCGCCTGTTGTCCCAGCTACTCAGGAGGCTGAGTCAGGAGAATCACTTGAACCCAGGAGGCGGAATTTGCAGTAAGCCAAGATTGTACCAGTGCACTCCAGCCTGAGTGACAGAGCGAGACTCTGCCTCAATAAAAACAAACAAAAACAAAAACAAAATTTATAAAAATTGATTCTGAATTACAAATTGATAATCCAGGAACAGATATTTCCCACCTATTTATTTGTGCTTTAATAGGAAGGCCAAAGGCATTCATTATAGGTATTCAAAAAACATAATATTCGAATTTTGAACACAGTTTTATTGCTCAGATATATCAAATTGAGCACTTTTCAACATACAGAAACACCTAACTTGTAGATATGTCAAATTGAGCACTTTTCAACATACAGAAACACCTAACTTGTATGCTGAGGACATTTATATTAAATCTCCTGGACATCAAAATTAGGACGCCTTGGATACCAGGCTAGGTTTATGAACCTTTTACCTCTTTTTTTTTTTTTTTTTTTTGGAAGCACTACTAAAATTCCTTCAATTTGGCTTTTCAATGAGACACATACTACTGCCTTTCTCTCTTTGCCATAGTAATTTATTTACTCATTTATTCATTCAACCTTTATTTAACTCATATAACGTATGAAAAGTATTGTAGATTCAAAGAGAAAAATAAAGAGCCCCTGTTTTCAATTATCACACATTGCAGGAATGAGATAATTATAACACAATGTGATTGCTATAATTACGGATAGAGTTATGTAAAAGTGCTTGGGGAATACAGATAAAGAAACTCCTCACTGATGAAAGGATGTGGAGGATATGAAAATAATCAGATTCTGCCACTGGATGTGCAGAGAAGGACAACAGGAAGGGCTTGCAGCATTTCAGGCAAAGGAAAATGGCATGTTCAAATATAGAGGTAGAGGGCAAGAACATCCACTTCTGAGAATGGCAAGTATGTAATTGGCAAGGCTGAAGCACAGAGTTGCTGGGTTGGAGGAAAGGGGAACCTGAGATTCAAAAAGCAATCAGGGTCCGGACTATGAAGGCTCATGTTAAGGATTTTAACCAATTGGCCAGTTGAAGAGTTTAAAACTGGAAAGGAGGTAAGATCACCAGGTGCTCTATTCTGAAAGCTCCTTTTAGCTGTTGTGTGGAAGATAGCTCCACCTGAATCCTAGCAAGAGTCTGCCATAGAAGTCTGAGAAAATGAAGATCTGAGCAAACTTAGTAGCTGTGAAACAGACTGGAGGAGACAGACTTGGAAGGCACCTGGAAGGCACAATCAACCAAACTTGATGACAGACTGGAAACAGGAATATGAGAAAAGGGTAGGAGTAGATGACGTCTCCTACATGTCTAGGTTGGACAAGTGGATACTCACGTCATTAGCTGAGACTATAGTCTCAGGAGGAAAAGGAGAAGCATCGTGGAAAGATAATGAGTTCTATTTATGATGTGTTGAATTTGAGGTGCCTGTGGGATCTACAAATGGAGAATTTGGAGCCAGATTAAAACTCCAGGAATTGAAAGATATATCTAGTGCCCTAGTCCGAGCAATTATACCAAAAACAATAATAAACCATACAATAAAGGAAGATGTAGGGACCCACTTGGAACCCCGGAGTTGGTAAAAGATTATTTTAAGATGAAGACACTTGAGATTCAGCAGATGCAGAAAGGAGCCTTTCCAAAGCTTCCCTTATCTGAGTAAAAGCAGGGTACTTCTGGGAGATAAGGCTAATGATGGGCTTCAGGACATGCTGTTCCAAAATATGGCAATTTGGTATTTGAGAAGACAAGAGAAGCAAGAAGGTCACTCTCGGATCTTCTCTTAGCTTTCTTTTCAGAAGCAGGTCATAAAAGAACTGACCTTCCCCCGAAGTAGGTTTTGACCCTCATTCTAGAGGTGATCTCCCTATATGCAGAGGAAAGGAATGTCCTTATCTCTGAGGACACAAGGATACAGAGAAAAATCAGAAGAAACAGGCTTTGCTAAGTTTCCCCCAGTTTATTATCATTAGACCATTTACGTCTTTTGTCCAACCATTTAAAATTATTTATATATAATAAAACTTAATATATGTTTTTAATATATAAGTTTATATTTTATATAAGTTTTATTGTATGTTTTTAATATATAAGTTTAATTACATATGTAAGTTTTTAATAATATATTACATATAAATACATTCTAATAATATATTCTTTAATATAATAAAATTATATTAAATAAGATTTTATGCTGTTCTCTTGTCAATCTGTCTTTTGTTTACAGGGGTCTCAGCCATGAACCTAGCAAGGGGTGAGGAAAAAAATTCTCTTCTCCCCTCCACTACAGTAAATCCCCTATAGGGGAGAAAACATGTCTTTTTTCATCCATCATTATATTCGTAACTGAGATCTCTATAACACAAGACATCAAAAAGAGAAAAGCATAAAAGTTTACTTTAAATTTTAAATAACATGGAAGCCTTCATAAGGAAATAAAGACAAGAAGAAATGGGTGAACCTGTGTACTTTTTAGGCTAGGTTTGATGAAGAAGTGGATATTCATGGAGAGCTATGAGGGGATAAAAAAGTATGATCTAATGGTAAGAAACTGGAAGAAACATAGCAAGTCATTTGTTCAGATTCTTCTCTGTGTCCCTGTGTCTCCAGAGATAAGGATGTCCTTTTTCTCCAGGTATAGAGTGGGTACCTCTAGAAAGAGGGTCTTATGACCTGCTTCCAGGGAAGGTCAGAGAATCCTTCCTAAGTTTTATGACCTGTTTCTGGGAAGAAGTGCAGGAGGAAAGTGAGTGAGACTTTCCTGCTTCTGCTGTTTTCTCAAACATCAAGATGCCATATTTTGGAGTAGCATGTCTTAAACCTCATCACCCGTCTCAGGTGCAGTTTCATCGCCATGAAGAAGACAGAAAGACCACTCATACCTGCATAAGTATTATCACAAACTTTCTTATCTTCTGTTTGTTCTCCTGAAAACCCATTTGTCTTTCCTAAACAAACCAATTTGTCCTTCCCATAGATGTCTTTCTCCCCCATTCCTTTTCCCTACTAAGTTAGGTATATAAGCCCCAAATTCTAACCACACTTTTCAGTTACTCATCACGGAACACTCCCACATGTGTGAAAATTGCCCGCATAAATAAGCTCTTTTCTCTTACTAATGTCTTTTTTCAGTTTAATTTGCAGGCTCCCATTGAAATAACAAAAGTTGGTAGAGGAAAAAGTTTTTTCTCCCCTACAAAGGCCAAGAATATTTTGGTTTTCCTAATAGTGACCACTTTGTTACTTTTAAAATACATTACCAAACATGTAGTTTAAAATATATGTATATATATAAAGTTTATATACATATTTATATTATAATGTGAATTGATAGAAATATATATTTATATTTATTTTTTTTCTGCCCCTGCTTGGCACGTGACAGAACATGGGCATAGACTGGCTATTGGTAATCCGGTCCTGGGAGATGATCAGGAGGCAGTACTCAATCCTACTTTCTTCTCTACAGCTTCCCATATGCTAAAGAATTTACATATCTGCCCACAGCAAATGTACTCAGGCTTCTACACTAACATAAGCCCACGGAAATGAAACAGAAAGGGGCAGTTCATATGTTTCTGAATAGATCCAGTTGAATAGTCTCATTCAATTTGGGACTGTTGAACAACAACTGTTGTTGTTGACATACATTTAAAGTCAGAGCACATGCGTCACTGCTTATTTTTCTTACTTGACATATTCCCTGCATTTCCATGTCTGCCTGTCCTTTAGATAAACAGTACAAGTTTCCCATGTGCCAGTATTTCTCAAATGGTTTACATCAGAATCACCTGGAGGACTTTTAAGCTAGATTGTTGCGTCCCATCCCAGGGATTCTGAATCAACAGGTTTGCGATGGGGCCAGATAGTTTACTTTTCCAACAAGTTTACTAACAAGTTTGCAAAGTTCCCCCAGTTTATTACCATTAGACCATACCTTTTTGTCCAATCATTTAAAACAAATTTTTATATAATGTTTTATTTGTATGTAATACAATTTAGTATATAAAAATAAGTTTTTATATATTATATAAAAAGTTTTAATAAATACATAATATATTATTTAATATGATAAAAGTTATATTAAATGAAATTTTATGCTGTTCTCTTGTCAATCTGTCTTTTGTTATCTTGCTGGTGGCTGTCATGTGAGGGACTGCAATCTGATATGCCTATTTTCCACAGTCAAAGCAATTACAAGAGAATTGTTACGATTACCCAGTTATGTCAAGAGATTTTTTTTTTAAATTCACTAAAGTAGAGATAAGGAGAATGTATTAAAATAGGATATTTTAATTATAAATGCATGACTGGGGAGGGGGTATTGTTTTTGAATAAAATATGAGGTTATTTGCCATGACACTCCACTGTGTTTTGGTTTTGGAAAGATAAACCTAAAAATATTTACAGGTAAGCATAAAAAGCCTCTCTAATTTGATTCAAAATACGGTTGATGACAAAAAGGACAAAGCAACTAATTCTGCATTTCAACATATTCTAGACAGCTGCCATATCTACTGGCATAGAGCAACACTGATCCTTTGAGAGAATAAAAAGCAATTTGAGTTTATAGTTCTTAGCTAAGAAGCTGTCTTCAGTTACTTGATTTCTGAACTTGTTCAAACCACATGCACTACTCTAAGCAAATGATGATTTTTCTATTCAGTAAACAAGTTTCATTGGATATTTTACTAAAGCCACTATTATCTGGAAAAAAAAATCATGATAGTAGTGATTTATCATGGCAGAAGATCAGGGGAACAAATAATATTAAAAGAGAAGTTAATATGACAAGGCTTGGGAACAGTTTAGTAATATTATAATCTTTTTTTAAAAGATACTTTCCAGTTGAACAGAATTTAGAATTTCTGTTCAACTTTAGCATGACCCAGACAGCTCCCAACTCAGAAACAAGTTGTAGCTAAAAACCTCACTGAAAACTAATTGCTTTAGAATTTGGAACAATTTCCAAATGACAGGATTATACTTAAAACAATCCATCTAAGGTTGCCAAGGGATTGTTTTAATTTCAGAATCACAGAGGCCTTTAAAAACAACCATAACTGAGGTTACCAGATCTTTGCTTGAAAAAGGTAGGGAAAAAATATTTTGTGATGTAAACTTTCTATATGTTGTAATGTTAAAGAAAGTACCTAATGGGACTGCATTGCTTTGTTACTGCTGTGTTGTCTTGGGCAAGTCATTTATAAACCTCCCAGCTGTCTTCAATAGTAAAGTGGTAGTGTTGTTTAAGAGCAATAAAAACAATGTTTACCTTGGTGTTGATAGAGCATTGGAAACAATGTATGTAAATTCACTCATCACCCACAGTGCAGAGTGCTGTCATTGTGCTTATTACCTGTTTATTGATCATCTATTCTGTACCAAGAAGAATATTAAGAATATACATGTTATTCCATTAATTATCAAGATAATCCAATGAGGTAGGGATTGTTATCCTGGTTGTTATAAGCAAAGAACAGAGAAAAGAAATGGCTTAAAATTTAGATATTAAAAATTGATCTCTAAGGAAAAACAGATTTAACTAGAGAAGAGTGATAATACCAGCCCAACATTAGTTATAACATATTTACAACTATTATCTCACTGAACCTTGCAGCTATTCTGTGAGATAAGGATAACTATTTTTTTTCTACAATTCGCACATCAGTTACAAAACAGTAGTTTCAGTATAGGACAATGTGGACAGCGTAGGACATTTCCAAATGTTTCTAAATTAGGTGTTTATAATCTAGGGAATGACTGCATTTCATGGATGTAAAATCTGTGAATACTCTATAACTCTGTGCTCAGGAATTTGGTATAAATTTCTTGGTTCATAAGAAACTGTCACTTACAAGTAAATGGTTTTGTTTACTGAAGAGAAATACATGTATCCCCCGACCCCCAATAAATCAGGTGTTTCCAATCAGTACATTCCTGCATACAAAACTGGAATCCAAACTATCTCTGAAGCAAAACAAATTAGTGTTAACTGTTGTAACTTCATATCCTGGTTATGACATATATATATATCAGGCTATCAGTTTTGTGTGAAGGAAAGACCCACATGACTTGGTATCCATATTATTACCAATATGGATATTGACTGAAGTTAGCTAAGCCTTATCAGATACCATAGGTTAAGAAAGTTGGCCGGGCGCGGTGACTCATGCCTGTAATCCCAGCACTTTGGGAGGCCGAGGCGGGTGGATCACGAGGTCAGGAGATCGAGACCATCCTGGCTAACACAGTTAAACCCCGTCTCTACTAAAAATACAAACAATTAGCCGGGCGTGGTGGCGGGCACCTGTAGTCCCAGCTACTCGGGAGGCTGAGGCAGGAGAAAGGCGTGAACCCGGGAGGTGGAGCTTGCAGTGAGCCGAGATTGCGCCACTGCACTCTAGCCTGGGTGACAGAGCGAGACTCCATCTCAAAAAAAAAAAAAAAAAAAAAAAGAAAGAAAAGAAAGTTCTGTGTATAGACAACACAGATTTTAAGGGATTAAGTGAGAAAGATCTTAAAGAAAACGGAATAAAAACAACAGATTTGGTGATTCAAACAGAATAGTCTTTCTTCTCTGAATGGGATTTTTAAAAAGGATTAATTGCCCACCAAACCCTGTTACTTGTTAAGGATTAGGCAAAGTGCTGGAAATACAAAGATGAATAAGAATATTCTTTCCCTGCAGGATTTCACTGTCTAATGGGAAGATATATGTACTAATTAGAATACAAGGAAACTAGCACCATAACGGAGGTATGAGTCTCTAGCTGTGGGAGGGATGAGTCCTGGAAAGGCATCATTTGTCTTTCTTCTGGACTGATTTCCAAAGGAACATTTGCTCCCTACTTAAACCCAAAATCTCTCTGGTGTGTGTTTGTATTTTAATGTTTTTTTCCTGTATACCCTTTACCCAGCTTTCCTAATGTTAATGTCAAAACTAAGAAAATAACATTGGTACTACATTGCAGTTGTTGTAGCTCCATTGTCTTCAATCTGTGACAGTTCCTTAGTCTTTTTTGCCTTTCGGGACCTTGACACTTCTAACCATATCTGGTATTTGGTCAGGTACTTTCTAGAACATCTTCAGTTTGTGTGTGACCCATATTTTCCCATGAGCATACTGAGGTATAGGATTTGGGGGAAGAAGACCCATGTCAGGGGGTACTTAATGACTAGTGATGTCAACCTTGGTCATTGCATTAAGGTGATTTCTGCCAAGTTTTTTCACTGTAATTTATTGTTTCATCTTTTATAATTAATAAACATTTTGAGAGGATACCTGATGTTTTGACTGAAGAAATTATCCAGAGCTGCTGCTTCCCTTTTTTTTTTTTTTTTTTTTTTTTGAGACTGATTCTCACTCTATTGCCCAGGTTGGAGTGCAGTGGTGCGATCTCAGCTCACTGCAAGCTCCGCCTCCCGGGCTCAAGCGATTCTCCTGCCTCAGCCTCCGAGTAGCTGGGACTACAGGGGCCCGCCACCACGCCTGGCTAATTTTTTTGTATTTTTAGTATAGAGGGGGTTTCATCATGCTGGTTAGGCTGGTCGAACTCCTGACCTCAAATGATCCGCCCACCTCGGCCTCCCAAAGTGCTGGGATTACAGGCGTGAGCCACCGCGCCCAGCCACCGCCACCCTCCCCTCCCCCAGCCCCCTGTTCCTTTTTTTTTTTTTTTTTCTTTGAGACGGAGTCTTGCTGTGTCACCCAGGCGGGAGTGCAGTGGCGCGATCTCGGCTCACTGAAAGCTTCGCCTCCCGGGTTCATGCCATTCTCCTGCCTCAGCCTCCCAAGTAGCTGGGACTACAGGCGCCCGCCACCATGCCCGGCTAATTTTTTGTATTTTTAGTAGAGATGGGGTTTCACCGTGTTAGCCAGGATGGTCTCGATCTCCTGGCCTCGTGATCTGCCCGCCTCGGCCTCCCAAAGTGCTGGGATTACAGGCGTGAGCCACCGCGCCCGGCCCTCTTTTTTTAAGTCTTACTAATGGCATAGTGTTATTTAATATTCAAAACTATAGTATTATAGACCTAGAAATGAGATTATGTTGATATACAGAGCATCTAAATATAAGGTCTATGTATCTATCTCTTAAATGAATAAGTCTTCAAACCCACATTTTCCAAGAGAAAAAAAAACACAAGAGAAAATGAAGGGTATCTATTGATGTCTAACAAACACATTGAGGGTCTCTCAGTACCTGATCAATGCCCCTTTTGAATTTAGTAACACAGATACTCTCAGAACCTATGAGTACAATAGGTGTGAAAAGCATATAATTTTAGAGGTCCCTCTAAGAGGGATGACCACCCCCATTTTAATCAGAAATTTCATTTCCGTCTTTTACTATAGAAGTATTTGAAAGAGAACAGGTATAGAATTTCTGTTTTTCTACTGTTTGCAGGGCAACGTTTGCTAGCAAAGCTAATGACATACCAAGACTTTCTCATTACAGGTAATAATTAGGTTATGGAAAAATAGTAGAATAATTTCTTACAGAACACTAGTTCTGTAAGTGTTACAGTTCACAAGTCTTGCTAATGTTGCCAAATTTAATCTTGCTAAATATCCTATTTGAGAAAAATTTTAGAAGCCTACCAAAAATACTAACAGTAGTTATCCCCTGGGGAATTCTTTTGGAGTCTTTTACATTTTTATTTACAGTTCTGTATATTTGAATTTTATATATTAATTATTTACCATGAACTGTTACCATGTTTAAATTGAAAATAAATCACACAAGAACAATTTCAAATTCCTATTTCAAATAAATACTAAAGCTTTCCAATAAAGTGAAATGAATGGAAGACCATATTAAATGCAACTAAAATGGTCGGGCGCAGGTGGCTCACGCCTCTAATCCCTGCACTTTGGGAGGCTGAGGCGGGCGGATCACGAGGTCAGCAGTTCGAGACCAGTCTGGCCAACATGGTGAAACCCCATCTCTACTAAAAATACAAAAAATTAGCTGGGCGTGGTGGTGGATGCCTATAATCCCAGCTATTCGGGAGGCTGAGGCAGGAGAATTGTTTGAACCGAGAGGCAGAGGTTGCAGTAAGCCGAGATCACGCCACTGCACTCCAGCCTGGGTGATAAGAGCGAAACTCCATTTCAAAAAAAATCAACTAAAAAAATGTTTATTTACTGGAATATCTGAGAGACAATTATAAAGGTAGTTGTTCTACAACAAAAGTTTTCTTAAAAAGACGATTCTAAGCTTATATTAGACTCAATGGATACCAGAGAATGTGGTATGTTCGATGTTTCACCACCACCCATATAATCAGAGATTTCCCATTCAGGAGTTTGCGGTTTAACCAAGCAAAGGATAAGAAGACATATCTTGCATCATTTAAAACACTGCACAAAATAAGAAGAAAAGGAGCTAAGATAAAATTACATTTATATTTTGTAAAAAGTGATTTAAAAACTTCATTGATAGGAGTGGCATTTCACTGAAAGTTTAAAATACTGCCATCTTTTACATAATTATTTGGTACCTAGTAAATTAGAATATCTATACATGAAAAAGTTAAAGGGGGAAATGTCTTTTAAAAAGAATATTATAGATACTGAAGAAAAGACATCTGTGAGGCTTATCCAGGCCTCACCTAACAGCAAGAACTCCTTGACTCACAATTCCTCTTCAAAGAATTGGCTTCTCCTTCAACACCTGGGCCACTCTCCTTCCCAAACACTGACTGAGAAGAACGAGGGCCTGTATTCTCCGTTGAATTCAGAGCAAGCTGTTTGGTGCATAACTGCGTAAGTAACACCGAATTCTGGCAAATTAAATAGGTAAACATGAACAGGATACACGTTCTATTGCAAAGTTTCCCCTCCCCCTAAAAAGCCAATATTTAAGAAATGTTAGCCTTGATGAAGTATTCAGTTTTTAAGATGTGTTTTCTAACATATGATCACCAAAAATGTTTTATCATTATAAGTATTTATTCATTTTTACTTTAGCATTTGAGTTGCTATGTTCTACTTAAGCTTCTTTCGTTTTATAAGTGCCCTTAGATAATTTTGCAACAATGTTCTGAATTAAAAAAAATTCAAATACGACTGCATTTAAGTGTCTAGATAGTAAACAAGGTAAGCTTTGAAAAGATACTTTTGTTCCTAAGTTGGAGGAAAATGCATTTATTTGTCTAGATAGTAAACGAGGTAAGCTTTGAAAAGATACTTTTGTTGCTACGTTGGAGGATAATGCTTGTATAAATTTATTTAACAATTAAATACTAATGGTCCCTGTTTCTTTTTCTTTTAGGCTAGTCAAGTGAAGCAGCGGGAGTGGAGAAAGAACAAAGAAATCTGTAACTGGTTGTGATCAATTAATTGTAAATACCACTGCCCTCAGACCAGCCTCTGATTTCTTAAGAGATCTTTTTTCTTGTGTATTAAGCTTATTCTGGGTTCGAAATAAGGTTTGCTCCATAGATAATGATGCATATAGTGGTAATAAAAAGAAAAGTAAATCGACAAATACCTAGGGAAAAACTTTTAATAATTCTCATGCAATCCGTATAGGCTTGTTTATTTTTAAGCCCTGGAAAGTCTCTTACACCCAGTGACTGCTGGTTTCCACCGCAGGACTTAGAAGCTTCCCACCCTGATTGCACCTGTCTCCCCTTTCCCCTCCTGCTCCCAAAGTTTCCTTTCTGGAGGGTGAAGGCAGCATTCCTCAGGAGTGGATTCTTCAATCCTTTTCCCGGCTGCCCGGCTCCACGTGACAGCCGCTAACACCTGTACCGCCTCCAGCTCACAGCGCCCCCATCCCCTCCGCCAGGTACCGACTCAGCCGGTCTCCCCCTCCCCCAGGAGGTCACGATCCCGGTGCGAGTCTCGCTTGGGCCGGCAGGGGAGGGGCTGAGCAACGGCCACCGCAGCAGCCTGAGCCCTTGCAGCCTGATTATCACATGACCCGGCGGCAGTAGCCGTGGCAGCAGCCGCGGCGGCTCCGCGAGCTCGCCGGGTGGGCTCAGTTCAGCGCACGCCGGAGCCGAGCGCAGGGGGCGGGGAAGGGACCTGCTGCAGCTGCAGCCGCCTGGGCGCTCCTGGAGCGCGCGGTGACTCCCCCGGTCGGCCCGCTCCATGCAGCTCCGTTGCGGAAGTGTAGCGGGGGGAGGCGGCGGCCACCGCGGCACTAAGCACGAGAGGCCGGGGCTCGGCCCCCTGCAGCACTAGGCTCTGGGAGCCGCGCGCGGCGCGTCCCAGTGGCCCGACTCGCCGTGCGCCCGGCGCCCACCGCAGCCTGCATGCCCCGCGCTGCGCCTTGCCCGGCCCCCGCCGCCTCCTGCTCGCACCGCTGCAGCCGGGCGCCGGAGTAATATGCTCACTCGAGTGAAATCTGCCGTGGCCAATTTCATGGGCGGCATCATGGCTGGCAGCTCAGGCTCCGAGCACGGCGGCGGCAGCTGCGGAGGCTCGGACCTGCCCCTGCGTTTCCCCTACGGGCGGCCAGAGTTCCTGGGGCTGTCTCAGGACGAGGTGGAGTGCAGCGCCGACCACATCGCCCGCCCCATCCTCATCCTCAAGGAGACTCGGCGGCTGCCCTGGGCCACTGGCTACGCAGAGTGAGTGCAGCGACACCGGCGGCGCCCCTGCTCTCCTCGCGGCCCTTCCCCGCACGGTTCCAGCCCTCTTCTCTCCCTGCTTCTCGGCCTCAGGGCTCTCACTAGCTGCCGGCGTCCAGGCCTCGGCGGGGAGCTCTTTACTTACACTGGCCATTTCCCTCTTCTCCCCACTCCCTCTTCCCCCAGCCCAAGGACGCGGCGTCTCCAGCCCCGGTATGGGTGGTGGAGGGGTGGGTGGCAGCGCTGGAGCGTGGGAAAGCTAAGGTGAGACAGGTCTGTGAATCCGGGGTCTCTGTCACTTGGGGAAAAAAAACGGGCAGAAAAGCTCTGAAGTTTGAAACACATAAGGAAAATCTGCTATCTGTACCCCCACCCTCCCAAAATATAGTTGACGCCCCCGCGTGATGAAGAGTTTATGGGGGTGGAGGCTTGGAGGAGATGTCACTGCGCCTGGGAGCTTGTGTCCGATTCCGGGAGGTGGCCGTGTCCGAGTGCGTGGTTGTACATTTCCGAAGGTCTCAGTTTCTCTCACTTTCAGCCCGCGAGTTCCTCCGCTTCTCCTTTAGCAGGTAGTAAAATGCTGCGCTTTCGGTAAATGCCAGTACTATTTCCCTCAGCCCTTGGGGAGGGGGAAACTTATTCCAACTGTCTAATATAACATTTTGGTAATCCGCTTTGGTGATTAAGCTTGCGTTTGACTGATCAGCTATTTCAGGAACCGACTGAGTTAGGTTGACGACCCAGAGTGGAATCGGGAAAGGAGAGGTGGAGGATTTTATTGCCCTTCCCCCAGCTCCATGGCCACTTTTCCACTGACTATTAATAACCATCTTATGAATGGTAAGATAAGTAACGTTTTCCCTTCTATCTACTACCTCAGCTGTACGAAACGGGAAAACTAGGAGACATTTAGAATAGAATTCAAGGTTATTAATGAACCAGGGAGTGCAAAAGTGCACGCAAAACCTGGTGGCTGGCACACCTGCGCCTTTTCCTTTAACCCCATCCCCTCGGTAGTTTTGGCCCTCCCCTATCCGTGCACGGCCTCGCTGGTTGATTGGTTCGTCCGGGAACCAATCAGCTCTTCCAATGCCTGGGCGCCTTGATGCTGACCCTGTTCTGGTGGCCCGGATACCCCGGGGCAGGCTTGGTTCCCGACCCTAAGGGTTCCGGTGGGAGAGACTGCTTGGAATCTGCTCTGCTTATTATCTCTAATTCTCCTTTCCTTCTCCCATCATCCTATAAAGCGTTTCTCCATGGGCTGAAATGGAAAACGTGTATAAATGGGGCTAGACGATTGGAGTGTGAAAGTGAGGAGGCAGAAATGCGCTTTGATGGGAGCTCAGACAGTAAAAATTAACACATCATAAAAGATGAGCACGGAAGAGAACGTTGTGGGTGGCGAAGGTACAAAATAGCATTGTAACTTCCAAGAGAAAGCCAAAGCAAAAATAAACACCTGTGTAAGGAAAGACCTAAAGGAGAAAAAAGAGCCTGCCAAACATACCAAACACTATTTCTTGACTGAAATAAAAACGTTATTTAAAAGCCCATTTAGGCCGGGCGCGGTGGTTCACGCCTGTAATCGCAGCACTTTGGGAGGCCGAGGCGGGCGGATCACGTGAGGTCAGGAGTTCGAGACCAGCCTGAATAACATGGAGAAACCCTGTCTCTACTAAAAATACAAAAATTAGCCGGGCGTGGTGGCGCATGCCTGTAATCCCAGCTACTCGGGAGGCTGAGGCGGGAGAATCGCTTGAACCCGGGAGGCAGAGATGGCAGTGAGCCAAGATCGCGCCATTGCACTCCAGCCTGGGCAACAAGAGCGAAACTCCTTCTCAAAAAAAAAAAAAAAAAAAAAAAGCCCATTTGGACCCTTTACGAGACAGCAACTTGGAGGCATACCCTGTGGTATAATTGTGTAGATGGGGGTCCTTGTGACTGCCAAACGCCTGAGATCTGTCCCCACTCCAGTGAGTTTCCCAGGGCGAGGGCGCCTGTCAAGGCGAGAAGGAAAAGCAGGCAATGGTGAGAAAGTTATGAGAGGTAGGAAAGAAGATACTGAAACACTGAAGGTGGAAGCCGTTTGGACACAGTAAAAGGAAAGCCTCAGATAAGCATGAGGGAAAGGAAAGAACGAATTTCAGAGTGTTTGCATGCCTATGGTAGGCACAGGATGCAATGAGACACGCATGAGAGAGTGCTTAGAGGGCTCCCCCCATCCTCTCTGGGCCTCCATTTCCGCATCCCTAAAAAGTTAATTTTTTTTTCCTAGAATAAAACATGAGAGATATTCAACTTGAAGCCTAGGAAGGCCACTGTAAAATGTTACAAATTTTAAAGTTAGTGGCAAAAATAATACATGTGTGATAATTCAAGCAAAGACCTATTTAAAAAAAAAAAAAAAAAGTCAGCCCCTCTTCCCCAGCCCTCACCTACTCCCTAGGAGTAATGAGGGTTCAATGTTTGGGTGATATTTGGCTTTCAGACTTCTTTGGATGCCCTCATAAATACATATCATGCGTTTCTTTTTTCTTCTCAAAATAGACTCATACTAAGCATATTATTCTGTAGCATTTTCACAAAACACTATGTCATTAACAGTATTCATAAGTAAACACAGAATTACCTCATTCTTCTTAAATATATACTATTGGTAATGGCTAACATAGTTAATGCTTACTCTTTAGTGCTTATACTGTTTTATATCATCTGATTTTCATAAAAGCCTAATGAGGTAGGCACTATCATTTCCATATTATAGTTGAGAATACAGAAGCACTGAGTGATTAAGCAACTTGCCCAGGGTCAAGCCTGTGTGTGAACCCAGGCAGTCTGACTCCAGAGCTCGCAACACCAAACTCGTTCTCTACAGTAGATTAAATTATGATGTATTCATCTGTACCCAGGAATAGCCACTAAAGTCTTGGCCATCTCTCTCTTCTCACCTTTAACCCTGTCAGATAATATACTGTACCGCTTCCTTATATCTTGAACTGTTAGTTTATCTTCCTGCAAAAATGCATCCTGAATGATCAAAATGGCTGAAATAGGGAAGGAAAGAGAAAGACAAGTAGGGACTGTGGCTGTGATCAGAAGCTGCCACCAGTAATGCTGCCCTTTCCTACAGGATTTACTGGGAGAAGAAATTCTGTTCTCTTTGTACTAGAAGGTACCTGAGAGGGGTTGAATAGGTAGGAAGATTGCTCAAATTGTGGTGATAAGAACTGTACTAAGGAGCTAATGCCTGAATCAGAAGTGATCTGTTTACCTCTCTAGAAAGTGAGTCACGTTCCAAGCCTTCCTTGGGAGGAAAAATTGACATCTTTTGGTCAATGAGTTAATGTTGATGACTGACCCTTTGAGATGGTAGAAAAATTAAGGAGAAATGGTCTAATCTTTTGCCACTTACTGTTAATCCCTTTCAAGAAGAGAGACTCTATAGGCTATAGAACTAGAGAATTAGCCGTAAGCAATCCCTGCTAGACTTGAGGTTGCAGAAACTGAAGATTTTCGTTCATTTCAGTATTCATTGGCATTGTCCTAGATGGAATTTCCCAGCTCTTGAAAAGCTTCCTATTACAGCTGAAAAGTTTAGCCACTTGGCTAAGGGGTATTTGCAAGGTTGTAAAGCTCTGTAAAGCATTGTAGTTATAGATAACATCTACTAAGCTAAAATCTTTCTAAAAACATGCATTAGCAAGTTTTAAGTTTGGCTTTGAAATCAGTGGCTGAGCCTGTTTGGTTTGCTCATTTGATAAAGCCCTTGGGGAGCAACAGTCTGACCCAGAGACCAGGCGGCAGCTACTTCCTTTCTCTCAAATACCACCCAAGTGGAGGTTGGTTCATTTTTATAATGGGTTGGGAACCCATTTTGGCTTTTTTTCTTTTTTTACCTGTTTGCCCGATTTTTATCCTGTTGATGAAACAGTTGGTCTTAGAGATGCCAGCAGGCATGGAATTTGTGCCTGAAACTACAGACGTAGGGAATGCCAAAGAATGTGTTGTGGTTTTGAGCAACAATATTGTGTATGTTAATGCATCATATTCAGGTTTTTATCAGTGATACATTTGTTTACTTGTACAGAAAGAATACATTAAGTATAGCTAATTTTACTTCGGTTATAGCTATAACTATAAATTTTTTTTCCTATTTCTTATAAAAGTACCCCTGGACATAAGTAGAAACAAAAGCTACTTTGAGAGTGTCTGTTAAATGTATATCATATAAGTGTATGTCTCACAGAGTTGAAAATTATGAAATTTTTGATGGAATAACCTTATTTAAATCCAGCCAGCTGCCTACAGGTATTTGGATTTGTTTTGGACTCTGCAGGCTGTCTGTCTCCTTGGTCATTGGCACTAATTGCTTATTACCAATAAATGGCATTAGTTGGCTGGGTGGTGGTGAAGACACAAAAACCGCTATTTCTTTCTTGCCCCAAAGCTCGGAAATCCCCTGGCCTTTCTTTTTCCCTTCTAACTTTTCCTGGCATACCTGCCCCTCTTACTGACTGATACCTCTTTGCAGAACTCCTGCTTGGAAACTTCCTGTTTGACTTTTGCAACTGAAGAAACTTGAGGTTCTCTACTCTTATGTAAGGATAAAAAGGAGTGGGTGAGGGTATCTGCAGATGAGTTACAAGTCCAGAGTAGCCTGAGCTATTTCAGCTACCTTTCTGGTGACTTGCAAAAGGTATTAATTTCCTATTTTAAAGCAGACAGCTAAGCGTTCCTTCATATTTCAGATATAGCATTATAAAGAAATCATCCCCCTTAGGTGGAGCTCCTGGGGATGTCTCTTTTCTTAGGAAAATGCATCAGCTTCTTTCAAGGACTGGTGATGCTTCAGGCAAAGGGTTTAACCATGCAGGGGGGTGTTTACTATATGTTTCAGTCCCAGTTTAGGTAGACATCCGCATCTCTGCTATGACCCCACTATACAGTGCTTTCAATTAAGGTTACAGCAGTACTAGTTGAAAATGTAAAACTGCATACTGGAATTGTTGTCTAAAAATACATTAATGTTCAAGAGTTATTTTTAATTCTCAATGTTTGGTAGAAATAAACTCTGGTGCCTTTATAGTTCTGTGATTTGCCTAATTTAAAGGGAGGATTAGTTAGCTTGTCCCCTTGAATTTTTGCTATCATTTTTCAGGAAATAATCATTCATCTGCTTCCATTATTTCTCTCAATTGATGAAATCATTGCACTCCTACTATGTGTCCAGCATTGGTCCCATGCTGGATTCATAATATAATAAGACATAGTCATTATCCTCAAGAAAATTTTATAGCATAATCTTTCCCCTTTTGTACTTTCTTTGAAATTAAATTAAAATGAAATAGACTATTAAGGTTCAAAGGGACCAGCACCAGGAGTTTTGTTTTGATTTTAATGTCTTAATGCTTCTGGGTAATTTTAAATCTCAGTATTTGGAGCCTTTAAGTCACATTAGGGAAGCAAACTTGTTTTTTCCAACCAGCTTATGATTAGCTTTGTACCTGAAGGCCCAAGACCTTCCCTGCTGTTAGAGAAAAAAAATTATTCTGACACTTGTTACAATGCTGGGGAAGACTTTACTCAAGTCTGTTGCAATATAGGAAAACAACCCAGCTCAATACCACGTTGACAGCTGGTACTTGTAGGCAAAGAGTAGAGTGTGAGGGGTCAGTGGAATGGAAAGTTACTCAGCGGGGACATTAAACCAAACTCAACTGACCTAGCAGGATTCTTGCTGAAAGCAGACCAAAGACTTGTAACATCAAAGGTGGGGAATGAGGAACTTGAGCAGGTATCAAGTTTGGGGGATTCTTGCTAACCTGACTTAACAGGATTCTTGCTTAAGGAACAGGATTGGCGCCAACGTTGTGACTTAGTAGAGAAGAGAGGCCTGACTCAAGTTTGGTGGAGGAGAGAATCTTTGTCATCCTTGCAGATGGGGGAGAAGGGGGAGAGAGTAGGTGGGACTGCAGTTATTTAACTGTGATTTTCATTCTGACTTATCTGCATTACTTCTGTGACCCTCCATAATTGACTGTGTTTCCTACTGACCATGTAAGGAGAGCAGATGCCCTTAATTATGGTGCAAAAGATGCAGGATTGAACCTAATTATACAACATAATGTTATGGCAAAGAGTTGAGGAGCCTTTCCCAAGTTGTTTTTTTAGATAAGTGGTTTTCACTAGCTTTCCAGTTTGGTACTACAGTAGATACTTTGCAAATTATTAGCTTAAGAACGGTATAGCATTTGATTTGTTTGGCCCATCTCCCATATACCATATAGTGATAGGATTATCCCTATTTATACTTTATTAGAGGCATTAAAAATTGCTAAATGCAATAGTCATTTGTTGAGCTAGTCCTGTGTGTAGGTTCTCTATTAAGCACTTTATGTATAAGGATTTAATGAGATGAATGCAACGTAGGTAAGTTATTTGTTCAAAGTAACAAAGCTTTTTAAGTGGCAGATCTTGGATTCATATCCAGTTCTGTGGAACGCCTACCTTTGGTGGTTTTTCACTGTGTCTAATGAAATACTTAAAACATTTTTAACCATGAGATACTCATTATAGGAAATTCAGATAATATAGACTAGTAAAAGATATGAAGAACAGAGTGAAAAATGTTTGTTAATTCATTAGCCACTGTTAGTATTTTAGATTTGGTCTCTCAGATTTTTTATATAGGTATTTTTTTAAAAAAAATAAAAGCTGATCATATGTTTACATGTCTTATAACATGTCTCCTTCACTTAAGAATATAAAATGGTCCCCTCTTCAACGTATATTATTTTCTTTTTTCTTTTTCTTTTCTTTTTTTTTTTTTGAGACGGAGTTTCGCTCTTGTTGCCCAGGCTGGAGTGCAGTGGTACGATCTCGGCTTACTGCAACCTCTGCCTCCTGGGTTCAAGTGATTCTCCTGCCTCAGCCTCCTGAGAAGCTGGGATTACAGGCGCCCACCACCACACCCAGGTAATTTTTTTGTATTTTTAGTAGAGATGAGGTTTCCTCATGTTGGCCACACTGGTCTTAAACTCCTGACCTCAGGTGATCCACCTGCCTCAGCCTCCCAAAATGTAGGGATGACAGGCGTGAGCCACCGCACCCGGCCTCCAACATATATTCTTATATGTCGACTGCCTAATATTCCATTGAAGGGCTTCCCATTCATGAATCTCCCATTGAACATTTAGATTTACTTTTAGGCTTTTAGTGAATATCTTCATATGTTTTCTTCAGCTCATTCAGTTGTTTCCTTATGATTAATTTCTAGACATGGAAAGCTTGGTTAGAAGCTATGCACATTCACAACTGTGATACATATCAGATTGGTTGTATCAATTCACACTGCAGCCAGCAGTGTCTACCACTTTAGTATTAAGCCTTTAATATTTGTCAGTGATCTGATAGATGAAATATACTTCATTGTAATCTGTTTGATTATTGAAGAAAATGAATAAACAGATGTATATACTTATATGTTATAGATATTTATTAGCCATTTAAATATCTTTTTGTTGTTGTTGTTGTTTTTTGAGACAGAGTCTTGCTCTGTCCTGCAGGCTGGAGTGCAATGGCACAATCTTGGCTCACTGCAACCTCCGCCTCCCGGGTGCAAGCAGTTCTCCTGCCTCTGCCTCCTGAGTAGCTGGGATTACAGGCATGCGCCACCATGCCTGGCTAATTTTGTATTTTTAGTACAGATGGGGTTTCTCCATGTTGGTCAGGCTGGTCTCAAGCTCCCAACCTCAGGTGATCCGCCCACCTCGGCCTCCCAAAGTGCTGGGATTACAGGAGTGAGCCACCGCACCTGACCCATTTAGAGATCTTTTTACGGTTTTCCTGTTTATATTCATTTTTCTGTTGAGATAATGTTTCATATTTATAAGAGCTCTTTATATTTTAAGGCTGTTCACCCTTGGCCTATTATGTTGTGATATTTTTTCTAACATGTTCATTTTTTAACTTCATTTTTTTTCTTTGCAATGCAAAATTTAATATTTGGGTGGTCATACCTAATCTCCTCTATGGCTTCTATTTCATATCAGGCTTAGAACATGTAAAGTACTAGAATAACCATCCTACTCCTTTTAGCTACTTACTGCCCTTGGTTGCAACTCATAGAAATGCCTTTGAGCTAACTTTGGGGTGGTGGGGGGAAGGAAATGGTGATTAGATACCAACTGTCTTATAGAACCCAAGTATAGGAATAACTTGGATTTTACAAGGGACTGGAACCCTGAACTAGAAAGCTATTCAGCAACAAAGTGGCCATTCTTTCAGTCTTTCACCAGGGCACGGGTGACTTCTCCATGCCACCAACAAGCAACCAGACCACATCAACTGTGGCTTCAATTCCAATTTTGAATTTTTGGGAGAGAGACTCCAATAGGTTCAGTTTGTCTCAGATGTCCACCTTCTCCACAGGTGATTATGGCTGCCAGGACCCACCCCTGAAAATGGGCAGTTCTTTAAAAAGGAGGTGGTGGTAGTTAGGGCTGGGCAGATAGTTTCGAAGATTCTACTACTATAGATAACTCAGTCAACAAATATTTGAGTACCTTATTTGTTTCAGGCACATATTAGAAGACAGATGAAATGACCAAATAGACAAATGTGTCAACAGGCAAATAGTGTTTGTGTCTGAATGTGCCTGCTGCCCTGCCTTGCAGACCTTGGGGAGCTGTCTAGGCTAGGAATTCAAAACTGCCCCAAAAATGCCATAGAAGGGATAAAGACTCAGGCCAGCTTTGGAACTAAATATGGCTATATGGCTTGAAGGTTTGTACCAATAAATGAGTATTACATGTTAATATAAGATGATGTAGCTCTTCAGCCACAGGGGTATAAACCTGGCTAGCATGACACACCAGAGCTCTGCTCATTGTTGTTTGTTCATTTGTTTGTTTTTTTGAGATAGTCTCGCTCTGTCACCCAGGTTGAAGTGCAGTGGCACAATCTTGGCTCACTACAACACCTGCCTCCCCAGTTCCAGCAATTCTCATGCCTCAGCCTCCCGAGTAGCTATGACTACAGGCACATGCCACCACGCCTGGCTAATTTTTGTATTTTTAGTAGGGACGAGTTTCCTCATGTTGCCCAGGCTGGTCTTGAACTCCTGGCCTCAAGTAATGCACCCACCTTGGCCTCCCAAAATGCTGGGATTGCAGGTGTGAGTCACTGTACCCCACCTGCTCCCTGTTATTTTATTTCTTTTGCTCATCTCATTTGTCTAGGCAGGTAGGGTAATGACAGACATATTTGGTGAATGGATGTTTATTTTATAAAACAAAAGTTCAACTTCTATAGTTTCCCCTTTTTTAATTAGTCTAAGATATTTACCTTTTTCCCTTTATTAGACATGGTTTTAATTTGATATTCATCTATTTATATTATTTTTGTAGTTTAAATGCAGGTTTATTGAGTGCATTTCCTTTTTTTGAGACAGAGTCGAATCTTGCTCTGTCGCTCAGGCTGGAGTGCAGTGGTGTGATCCAGGTTCAACGCAGCCTCTGCCTCCTGGGTTCAAGCGATTCCTGTGCCTCTGCCTCCCTAGTAGCTGCGACCACAGGCATGCGCCACCACACCTGGCTAATTTTTTGTATTTTTGGTAGAGATGGGGTTTTGCCATGTTGGCTAGGCTGGTCTCGAACTCCTGGGCTCAAGTGATCCACCTGCCTTTGCCTCCCAAAGCGCTGGGAGTGCAGGCGTGAGCCACCACACCCGGCTAATTGCATTTCTTCAATCAGTTGAAATCTCACGTTTTGTAGTCTGCTACTTGTATTGTTATCAAATGTCATCTCGGGTTTCCCTGAATATTAGCTTACAAAGAAAATGTATTCTGTTTTTTCACAATATTCTACATAAAATTCTGTGCCGGCCATTTGGCTATGAGAAAAGCTTAGAAAAAATAAGACCAGTGGATGATAGTCTCGAATGTAGTAAATTCGCATCTCCTTATGCACTTGGATTATGTCACTGTTCACCTATGTTTGTGCAAGCATGGCTGAAGGACTAACATCAAAATTCAGAAACTGGTTTCTGTAAGAAATTTGATCTAAATGCTGAGCTGACAGAGATTATGTTCAGAAGACCAGTGGCAGCACTGAAAAGTCAGCCATGTGGGTGATTCTTACAAGAGGCTTCCATCCCTGTATGTGTAACCTGGGATTTGTTCCTTGGATAGGCATCCCACCTATGATTAAGTGAGTCACCTTTTTAACCCTTTGAGTTGGTGAACTGCCTACAGTTGTCGAGTTGGCTACTGCCCCCCCCACTCTGGGCCTCAGTTTCGTCTTACAAAATGGGGTCATTGAACTGCATTGGTAGTTCTCAGAATTTTTATTTTATTCTGTAACCTTTTATCATTTCAGAAATATTGAGAAGACTGACATGAGGTTATTAACTTTATTTTGTCAAGTGTGGACATAATCAAATCTGTCATCTACCATCACCAGTGTTTCATGAAATAAAGGATTTTTAAAACCAGAAGCATAGAGGCATATAACCTCAGCAAAACAACAGTTTTTAAATCAAATAGTTTTATGAAAATATTGTTTCTATTTTTCTAAATTTTCATGGACTCATAAAACCATGTATTTAACCTGCCCTAGAGGATTGCCAATGCCCTTTGGGGTTCTAAACTCTGTGAGTTCCTGGGGTTGGGCCAGGAACCAAGTGTCTTGCCCTCAGGGCTGAGGTTTTTCACAGTGGGGCCTGCTGCCTCCTTTATTTTGATTATAACTCGGAATTATTTTCTCCCCCAGCATTTTACTATGAAAATTTTCGGCCAGGCTCAGTGGCTCATGCCAGTAATCCCAGCACTTTGGGAGACCGAGGTGGGCGAATCACCTGAGGTCAGGAGCTCGAGACCAGCTTGGCCGATGTGGTGAAACCTCGTCACTACTTAAAATACAAAAATTAGCCAGACTTGGTGGTACACACCTGTAATCCCAGCTACTCGAGAGGCTGAGGCAGGAGAATCGCTTGAACCCGGGAGGCAGAGGTTGCAGTGAGCCGAGATCGCGCCATTGCACTCCAGCCTGGGGGCCAAGAGGGAGACTTTGTCTTGTTAAAGAAAAAACAAAAAAAGAAAAAAAAATTTTCAAATGTGCAGAAAAGTTGAAACCAGTGTAGACTTAACACCCATATGACTGCCATCTAGATTCTGTAATTCACATTTTGTTAGATTTGCTTTATCATTTATCTGTGTGTGTACCCATTTCTGTGTCCATCCATCAGTCCATTCTTGAGTTATCTCTAAGCTTGTTTTTCCTTTAGTGCAGTGGCCTTAATTTATGCTTTTAAGTTCTTTTCCATAGAAAAATAAAAAAATAAGTTTGAGTGACTTTGACATCCTCAGTTGAGAAAAACAGCAGCAATTGGGTCCTTGTGCATGGAAGGGGCCACCTCAGACTTCAGTTTTATAACATTGGCCCCTGCAAATGCTCACTCAGTTGATAAGCTTCCCATAACTTAGCATCCACATAGTTGAGCTTCACATGGGGTCAAACTGGAAAGTATCTCTTTGCTATGCTCCCATTTAATTAAATTAGGAAATCTGCCTAAAACTTGAATCACTCCTCTTTTCAGCTGGTGGCCAGGCAGGAATGCTCCCTGAAGAGTACTCTTTCAATAGACTTCAGAATGTGTTACCTGAAAAGTGCTCATGATGAATCAAGACATCACTGTGTTTTCCATACTTCTGAAGTAGAGATTGTCCACTAACAGCTTAGGGAAAGCAGAGTACCCGCTCAGCTGCTCTTTTTCTGGTGTGGTCAGACCAGCTGGGTCCTCTGAAACATGAATCCATAGTGCTTCCTTTGTTATACTATTTCTGACTCAGTTTTCTCTAAACGGCTGTAAAATTTAACTGCCTAGCTGTATTTTCTTTCTGTGGACTTTATGCTCTCATATTTAGGAGAAAGAATAAGAGAACACCAACTTACATCTCTGTAGCTCTGGATGATTATTAAGGCCCTGGTCTAATGCTTAAAGGTAAGCATCTGTTATCTATATTCAATAAAAGAGGAAAATGAACCCCAGAGAGAAATCAAGTTACTTTAGAATCGCAGGCTGTCCCATGACCCTGGTGACCATCACTGAATTATTAAACCTGACCATTCATTGTGTGAAATTATTAAAAAAAAAAAGACATCCTATCCCCATAAACAAAATGCCACATAAGGGAATTAAATGCATTTTATTAACTCAAAGGAAACTAATTTTCAAGAGGCTTTACATGGAATAAAGGCATGTTGGCACATCAAGTTTTGTATAAAAGGATACATTTAACAGTACTTTAAAATAGTTCTATTGAGTATAGTAGTCTCTTAAAATTATACTTCCTTACTATATGTGCGTTCCTAAGTATAACAGTCCAAACCTTGTCAAAATTACTATATTTTTGGACTACAACTGCTATTTTAAAATATTTTAATGTTTTTGGAAAGCCTGTATGTCTTAAAAACCAATCTGTACATTTTATGTAGTGATGTTTCTTTTTTCTAAAGTTAATAAATACAGCATGTGTTTTAACATCAGTAGCTACTTAGAAGTAAGGAAATGTACTTAGGAATTCTGAATAATGGGGCTTAAATCGTAAGTGAGGTTTTATGTGAGTCCCCTGTAAAATTTAATTTGGGAGATTTTTTTACCTAAGTTTTACTTAAGCAGAGTCAAGTTTTTTGTTTGCTTGTTTGTCTTAGAGATGGCGTCTCACTGTGTTGCCCTGGCTGGAGTGCAATAGCTGTTCACAGGCACAATCATATCACCCTATGGGCTCAAGTGATCTTCCCACCTGAACCTCCCAGGCAGCAGGGAATTGTGAGTGGGCACCACCACACTTGCTTCAGAGTCAAGTTTTAATGGGAATCTTTCAAGTTAGTGAACTTTGGGGCCAAAAAGTGTGACAGCATTCAGTGTAGCATTTATACCTTTGTCTTTGGCAGCATGGTCTCTTGCGGTGGCCATCTTGAGTGTGTGCATCTACATTGCTGGCTTGCACAAGCCAGGCCTAATGGAGCCTTGCTGGATGCATGGTGTAATTAATCATCCCAGGGATGTGGGCAGACAGATCAATTACTTGCCCAGCTGAGAGGACCAAAGTGGCTTGTGTGCTCTACTGTACTTTCAGGGAGTTGATAAATAGACATTTAAGCTATTAAAAAATGGTGCATCTTTACCCTGTGATCTTTTTTGTATAAGTATAGGAAGGAAAAAAATCTTGTGATAAATTGATTTTTTTTAAAATGAAAATATGAACGGGCGTGGTGGCTCATGCCTGTAATCCTAGGACTTTGGGAGGCCGAGGCGGGCGGGTGGATCACCTGAGATCAGGAGTTTGAGACCAGCCTGGCCAACATGGCAAAACCCCATCTCTACTAAAAATACAAAAACTAGCTGGGTGTGGTAGCAGGTGCCTGTAATCCCAGCTACTTGGGAGGCTGAGGCAGGAGAATTGCTTGAACCCGGGAAGTGGAGGTTGCAGTGAATCAGGATCACTCTACTCCACTCCAGCCTGGGCGACAGAGTGAGACTCTGTCTCAATACATAAATAAATAAATAAATTAATTAATTACATAAAAATGCTATAGATTATTGAGTTTCTATATTTAAGTGGTCTGCTATGGTGTACTAATAGTCATTATATGCCTTTTTGAAAAGGTGAATGTTGACAAATTATGTTACACGCAGTCAGTAAAAATAAAAGATGGAGTGTAAATGTTCAGTAGGAAGCAAATTGTAAGGTACAGTGACTATGAATAGCCTATAAGAGGGTGCCAGTGAAAGCAGGAATGGGAAACCAAACTGACATTAATAAAGAAGGGACTATTAAGAATTTTTTCTTTCTTTTTTTTTTTTTTGATGCCGGGTGCCATGGCTCATGCCTATAATCCCAGCACTTTGGGAGGCCAATGCAGGTGGATCACTTGAGATTAGGAGTTCAAGACCAGCCTGAGCAACATAGCAAGACCCAGTCTCCACAAAAAAAAAAAAAAAAACCTCATTCAGGTGCACCTGTGGTACCAGCTACTTGGGAGGCTGAGGTGGGAGGATCACCTGAACTAGGCAGGTCAAGGCTGCAGTGAGCTGTGATCACACTACCACACTCCAGCTTGGGTGACAGAGTGAGACCCTGTCTCAACAACAAAAAAAAGCAATTTTAAAAAGAGGATTTTTTGTAACATAAAAGAGGAAATAGCTATAATATTTTGTTGTAAATAAGTAACCGAGGAGGATGGACTCTAAAAGATACATTTGGGACAAACAGTAATTTTATCAGCCTTTTAGGACAGTGTTTCCCCATAAGGTATGGTTTGGAGTGGAGCCAAAGAGTGCGATTAGATGCCCTCTTGGCAATTCTCCCTGTGATTATTAACAATGAGGCTATGCCACAGAGGACCATGCTGCTCTGTTGTTAGAACCAGGTGTCCAGAACTGGGCTGGTGACTCAGTGCAGCAGCAAATGGGAAGAAGAGAAGAATTGGCAACTCTGACTACAGCAGCTGGTGTTTATTTATGTATTTTTTTTTAATCTTGGTGTTCAGCTGGGAATCACATGGGCCCCATACTTGAAGCCCTGCCTGTCCTCTTCTCCCCATTCCCCTGTCATCAGTTTAGTGCTGACAGAGACTACCTGGCCACGCTGCCCTTTTGCCCCTTGCACACCACCTGAAGCCTTGCCACCTGCCTTGCCATCCTCAGAGGGACCACCAGATGTGATTTGTATCTGGTTCTGGGCTCCATGAGGACTTGTGCTGTAAATTCCTCAAGTCCTGGTTCCCAACCTTCTCAACATCATGAGCCCTTTTATTATTTCATTTTCTTGGATGAATTCCTTGTGAAAAATTTTGTCCAGCAAGCTGTATTAAATAAGCATTAAATTACTTCTATTAAAAAAAATTAACCAGATACATCATATCTCCTAATCATGAAGGTGTAGTGAAAATCATATTGAACTGATAACATTTCAGCCAAAAGCAAAGGATTAACCTTTGTTAACCTTGAGTACTTCTTGCCCACAATGTTAGTCATTAGCTTCTCCCCCAGCCCCCACCCCGCAACATTTAAAACAGGTTAGATCTCCTATTTCTACCTTTCCAGGTCTTCAAGGAGCCTGGACCACAGGCTAGGACTCTCTGCTCACAGGTTTGGATTTTTTATCACCTGAGTTACCAACAAACTATACTCAGATGAGTGTCAAGATCATTTTGTTTGGGTTTCAGAAGTGTAGCACCTTCCTCAGGAACACTATTTTAACGTCCCTGATGTCCTCTTTCTTGTTGAAAAACAGTCTTTTAATAGTTTTATTTTCTTGCTTTCCAAAGTGCTACAAGTTGCCCGAGAGGCACAATGCATGTCAGCTGCAAGTTTAATTAAACTCATGCTGAGACTATTATTTTTCTAGCAGAGTTTGACCCTTTGGCAAAAGTTTCTCTTGTAAAAATTTCTATCTCCACTGACTGTGGATGAGAAGAACTTCAAATTATCTTTAGATGTTTACTAACCTGTCAAAGTGGAGGAAGGCATTGGTTAGTCAGGAACTTAGAACATAAACTATCCATATATTCTATCACCTGTAATTAGCTTCGATTGATAATTTGTGTGCACCTATTAGTACATATCTATTTTCCAACTGCGATAATTCTACATACTGATGAGTTTTTTCACTTCAAATGGAGTCACTGTCTTCCCATGTAAACAAATATTTTACTCTATCATTTTTAATAGCTGCATTGTATTCTATTTATGGTTGTAACACACATTTTTTTTCCTTGATGTTAGCCAAGTTTTTACTATTGAAAGCAGTCCTGGGATGAACCTCCTTGTAGGTAAATCTTTGCTAAGCTATAATTTGAAAAGTGACATTTTTCTGGGAAAAATACTCAAAATGGACTTTCCTAATATTTCTTGTGACATTATTTAATAGTTAGAAAAGATCAATGTTTAGATTGAAAATTGTTTTGGGAAGTGTTAGCTATATACTTTAATGTACTTTACCAAAGTAGTGTTTTGGTGAGCTGGACATACTGATTAAAAAGCATTATTGCTTCACCTTAATATTTAGGTTTCAATTGCCCCTATTTTGGTACCATCATGCATTTACTGTATGCTTCACATGTCTTAAGAGGCAAAAGATACAGAGGTTTTAACCTTGGGAGGCTCACACTCTTCTTGGGAAAATAAGTTAATGAAAAATTGAGAACCCATGCACAGCATGACAGAGGAGTAGCATGGTGCTGGGGTGGCACCATGATCAATAACTTGAAGGGGCAGCTTGAGGTAGTCTTGGCTCTTTCCCTAGCCAGTCTGTGGCTTCAGCAAGCAGCCTCACTTTTTAAATCCTCAGTTTGCATATTCATAAAGTTAGGTCATCGACTTAGCCCTTCCCAGCTGTACAGTGCTGTGGGAGTAAGTGTCATAAGAGAAGTTGGGTACTTCTTAATTTCTACTGACTTTTCAGTGGGATATTTGTATACATTACAAATTAACATTTTTTCATCTGCCTTGTCTGCTTTATCTTAAAATCTCTGAATATGCATTTTAACAAAAAGTGGAAGTGAATTGAAAATCTAGTTACATTTGATTTTATGAAACAAATGTCTAAATCTAACAGCACGAAAAACCAAGTATGGTGTAGTGGAAACTAATCCCCTTGCTTAGAGGACAGTATCCTGCTCTCCCCACCCTTTACAGCATGAAGAATGAGCACCAAGCACAGGTTATAATATCGTCTCCAGAAAAAAAAATCAAAAAATAAAAATAAACTTCAGTAGCCTATCCTGAATTAAAAGAGACTAAATGTTTAGGCTTTTCTCCCCTAATTCTTTTAAAGTAATGTGATATGTTACTATATTGTCCAGAAAGGATGATTTGAAATATTTGCCTGGAAGGGGGATATGCTTCAAAATCTTATCAGTGAAGCAAACAAAATCATGGTGGTGATGACAAGCTTTTCCTTCCACTTTGGAATGTCCATTTTGAGACATGGTTCTGTTACAGCCAAATTATAATTTGTAAGGTATGTAGATATCTAATTAGGGTCGACTAAAAGTTGAAAAAATGTAAAATTGAAAGCTCTTACTGACCCTTCCAGGAAAAAAAGAAATGAAGATCACAACTAGATCTGATTTCAGCCTTTTCATTTAGCCCCAAGTTGTCTGTAGGTGGGTGACCTGAGGACATCTACATGGCTGTCAGAATTGTGCTGCCACTTGGCACAGAGCTAATGTTCTCCCACTTTGGCCGTTAAATTGCCGCAGAAAGCAGCTGCACTTGATGTAATTTTAATCAATACTTTGTACTTATACGTGGCCCTGCAGCCACGTGTCACTGTACTGCTCTCAGCATCTCTGACCTGAGTAAAGGACGCAGAGGCTTGCTTGAGGTTTGGTTTTGAAAATTCACATAAGTCAAATTATATTTTAAAAGCACCAGGAAGCTTGCTTTGTGACCTATGTCAGTGCAAGACATTTTCATAATGTTCAGAATGGTACTGTTAATCAGTATTGGTTCTTTGTAAGTTGAACTTTCACATGCTACCTTTTTTTTTTTTTTTTAAGTAGAGGGTAACTAGTGGTCTGTTCATTTCAGATGTTAAGCGACCGACAGCTAGCATCAATAGCTCCTTGAAGGTCATCAGGGTTAAGTGGCTAAGGATGAATGACTGGGACTCTGCCTACATCAGCTTCCTCCCTAATGTGCTTTTGAATATTCTTCAAGGATTGATTTATTACTTTTCAGTAACTCCATTTATACCAGAACTGCTTCAGCATCCATTTCTATAGTAGAGTTCTTCTGATTTAAGTACAATTCATTTAAAACAGTATGCTCAAGTAATTTTTTTGTCACCAAAAAAAAAAATACTCTTGGTGTTTGCACTTAAGTACATATCTTTTCCTGAGATATATTTATTTTTACTATATCTCAAAGCAGTGATTTACCTCATCAGTAAAGCCAGTTTTGCAGCTCTGTTAGGAATCTAAATAGTTTATTCTATTCAGTAAATATCATTGGTTAGGTACTTATAGACTTAAAGATGAACCATCTCTACCTAACATTCACACTTTTCAGACTATATTATGAGACAGATACCAAAACAGAAGATGTTTAGATTGTGTTATGTTATTAAATGGTTTGATAGTTAAGATTGTTTATTAAAGAAGATGATGTATGATCAACAATGCCCATATTTAGCAAGCCATATTAGTTACAAGTAAAACTTAAGACTATTTCAGCTCGGTTGACAGAAAACCATTCAGTTAACTCAGTTTTCAGTCAGCTAACATTTATTAAACCTCCTCATGGAGTGTAAGGAAGGCTCTGAAGGTTAAAAAATATATTTTCTATTTTCAAGGGGCTCACAAGTTAGCAGGGGAGACATTGTGTGTATAACTATAATATAATAAGCTACTGTGATGAAGGCATTGATCACATGTGCTGGGAACCCAGCAAATGGGCACAGGCTGGTTAATTCTAAGTTTGGAGAAAATGGGAAGGGGTGAGCAAAGCTGACTGACTGTTCGAACCCTGGAAGAACAGGTTTTGTGTAGAGGAGGCACATGAGGGAGACAGCAGCATGAGGAAGGTCATGACGGTTTGAAAGCGGCTATTTCTGGGAATTAGAAAAATCTTTTGTGACTATTTGTAGGCCTGTCAGAATCCCCACGTGGAGCCTGAACCACCTGACACTAGACATACAATGGTTCTTCCTTCTTACAGAAAGAGTGGGTGCTGGTAACATTTGACTGCTCTTTAGGTCTGCCAGGCATGTCCTCTGGAACCTCTCTGTAGGATTGGTGATTCCCTTCAATCATGTCTGAATGATGCCTCTGTATTTAGGACTCTTGCTGGGCTGCTCTTGGGTACGCCTGTATGCAATGTATCCAGGATTGAAGGGGAAGTGGGAGGGACTTTCCTTCTCAGGTAAAACCTGGGATTTGTCATGGATGGAGGTCCCAGGTGAATTCACTAAGGACCACAATTTTTGCTACAGAAAAGGTAATAATCCCTCATTTGCTGGTTTGATCACCTGGACGTTTCCTGCACAAACTCTGCTGCAGCTGTGCCCAAAGCCCTCCAACCATTCCTGATTGAACCACGCAGGGAGCAGAGCCAGTGCTGGAGCAGACAGCAGAACTCCTGAAGGTCGCGCGTGAGGCAGAGGGCTGCAGGCGCTGCAGGCACTCACCACATATGCCAAGAAATAAAGAGCCACTGAAACCCTAAGCCAAGTTTCTTTTGTCCTGAGATTTCTAACTCATTGCAGTTAAAAATCATCCAAGTAAGAGTCCAGAAGGCACTAACTCTTAACAACAACAACAAAAAACAAAAACTGCATAGAGGCAGGGACAGGGCTCAAGAGGTAGGTTTGCATAAGATTGTGAACGCCCTTGTATGTCATCAAAAGGAACTTTATTTACATCATAAGCAGTGAGCAGCCACAAAGAATTTTTTTTAGTAAGCAAGTATTGGGAATGACATGAGGTTTATGTTTGGGAAAAGTAGCAGATATGGGAGTGAAACAGATGAAGGGTGAAGTACAATGGTGAGTTGGAGAAGAGGCCTTGTTGGAGGCTTTCTAGATAGTAAAGCTAATAGATTGTGGGACTGTTTGGGAATAAGGAAGAGAGATGTTAGCGACATCTAGCGCATACCCTTCTTTCTCCGTGTGGGCACATGGGAGGCTTACACTTCTCTGCTCCCTTTGTAGGTAGATGAGTCCATGTGACTCGTTCTGGCCAGTATATTTGAGCATAAATGAAGTGTCACTTCTAGGCTGATGCATATAATTGTCATTGGAAGACCTTCCAGTATTGTCTTCCTCTTGAATGATAATGGAGAAGGCTAAATGTTAACACTCCACACAGCACGCTTGTGTCTTCCATTTCTTTCATTTGTTGTCCTAGCGTCCTGTGTCTTTAACCCTCCATCACCTTCCCTCTCCCACAGATGTGCTAAGTCATTGCTATTGGGTAAAACAACACACTTCCTTTTCCAGGCTGCATCACCCCTTCAAGTTACTGTGTGTACTATTGCTCCCTTTTTAAGAAAATCTTCCCCTCCTTGTCTTAGTTTGTGTTGCTGTAAAGGAATACCAAAGGCTAGGTAATTTCTAAAGAAAAAACATTTATTTGGCTCATGATTCTTCTGGCTGGAAGATTGGGCATCTGGCGAAAGCCTCTGGCTGCTTCCACTCATGGTTGAAGGCAAAGGACAGCCAGCATGTGCAGAGGTCACATGGCAAGAGAGGAAAGGAGGTGCCAAGCTCCTTATAACAACCAGCTCTCAGGAACTAATAGAGTCAGAACTCACTCATTGCCATGAAGATGCACCAAGCCATTCTTGAGAGATTTGACTCCGTGACCCAAACACCTCCCACTAGGCTCCAATTTCAACATTGGGGATCAGATTTCAACCTGAGACTTGGTGGGGACAAACCAAACTACAGCACTCCTTTATTTCCTTCCTTATAGAAATGTATATTGGGCCAGGCATGGTTGCTCACGCCTGTAATCCCAGCACTTTGGGAGGCTGAGGCCAGCGGGTCACTTGAGGTCAGAAGTTCGAGACCAGCCTGGCCAACATGGTAAAATCCCATCTCTACTAAAAATACAAAGTTAGCCAGGCATGGTGGCGCATGCGTATAATCCCAGCTACTCAGGAGGCTGGGGCAGGAGAATCGCTTGAACCCGGGAGGCGGAGGTTGCAGTGAGCCGAGATTAAACCACTGCACGCCAGCCTGGACAACTGAGTGAGGCTCTGTCCCACCAAAAAAGAACCCCCCAAAAAACCAGTATATTGAATGCTTACTTTGTCAAAAACTTGTCTGGGTGCCAAGTACACAAAGACAAGACAAACCTCTTTTCCTGAAGTTGTCTAGCAGGAGTCCCATCCAGCCGAACAAGCCACTGTAGGAAGGCTTCCCCAGGACATGAGTCAGGAGCTGAACCATAAAGCAGCCAGCCAGACAGTGGAGAGCTGGAAAGGAAAGCGAGTGTGGGTGCATGGAAGGGCAGAGTAGGATGCGCCTGGGAAACTGTGGGGTGCTCTCCATGCATTGCTTCCACTTCAGTGCTACTTAGGAAAACGCTCACCTGTAGTGACCTTCTAGGTGCAGATGGTCACTTTGAAAATGTGCGCATCTTCCACATCCTCACCGCAACAGTAATTGTCGCTGCTCACTCTCTAGTCCACGAAGTCTTTTATCCTGTAACTTCTGGGGACTCCTTCAGGTTCTTTTTCTAGTTTTCTCACCACATTCCCTTTTCTTCTCAAATCTCCCTTAAATACTGATGTTCCCCAAGCTTTCTAGAACATTTCCTCCCTTTCTTCCCCATCTTCATTAACAATTTTATCCATATCACTTTCTTTGGAACTTGAAGAATTTACCTATAGCCTTGCTTCTCCCTTAAGCTCTCCATGGGGTCCCTTCTGCTGTGATCTTTCCTTCACTCTGCCTGCCCATACCATATGCTTTGCATGAGCCTGCATTTATATTTGTTCAAAATGTGAGTATAAATTATAGTAGCCGTAAAGGACATGGTGGATACTCCGTGCCTGTGGAATCATCTACAAACTAATGGTTTTTGACAGTGCCAGGTGGAAGCAGTTGGATAATGCTGAGGCTTCACTGTGTCAATACCTAGGAACAGCTGGGGAACAAATCTGCTTTTAGTTTCTAGAGCTACGTCAGTCTGTTAATAAAATTCTCTTGTAGGTACTCTGGGAGTATGGATATGTTCCCTTGTCCAATTACATTGTGGTGGATTCTTTTTTTGGTTAATTGCCCTGTAGTGAGTTAATACCTGCGTTTGTCTTATTAGCTTTGAAAAACAAAAAACAGATTGAGTCTGTATATTGATTCAGACTTACCTTCTGGGATATCATAGTAGAAGGTTAACTACTCTTGTACATTCTGTACATTTCTGCCAAATCTCGTGTGATGGCCATTAAGATGCTGCTCACCAATTCTCAACTTCAAGTCTCCTCCTCCTGGGCACACTGCTCTTCCCCTCCTATTCCTTCTGCCTCAGCAAGGGGTGACCCTCCAGATTGTGGAAGCCCTGTCCTTCCTGAGAGAAGAGACACGGAGCCAACCTGAAATGGACGCGTAGAGTGAATGAAAAATAAACATCTGTTACTGCCACCATAATGTAGCCCGCAAGTTTTATCAGTACTTAGAAAAGTAAAGTTAATGGTTGTTTGGGGAATGAAGGTGGTTCTAGATTTTACTGTCCTAGGCAGTAAGTTGGGACTGTGAAGAAATAATTTTTTCTGCTAAATGAATGTTGTTAGCTTCATAAGTAGTTTTTCACTATGTTATCTGAATTTCTAATTAGAGTCCTTTCATATAATCACCACTTTTTTGCGTTGTAGGCTCAAGAGTATTGTGAAATGGATGCCATCTTTTTCTTTTTTAATTGAAAGGGGGAAACAGGTGAGTTCCTCAAAGATTTAATAAGGAATATCAGCAAATGTTGCCAACTGTTGTGAAGACTCTGGGATTTAACAAGAACCAAGACAAGACCTGAGGCTTTGAGAATTAAATCTAGCAAAGGAGATAAGCAACCTAAGGATCAGGCGATAAGGGGTGTCATTGGAGTACACATGTGTGAGGGACAGGATGAGAGGGCTAACCAACCAGTGTTCTGGTTTGGGGGAAGTTTTCTTGGGGAGATGACAGTGGTTCATTTCTTCAAACAAAATTTGTTAGACATCTGTCCTACTTTGTGACAGGTGATGGAGTAGATGATGGGCATGCAGTAGAGGGAAAGCGTGGTGCCTGCCCTTGCAGAGTGCACAGGCAAAGCTAGGACCTGAAGGATGAGTGATTAGCAGGAATCAGCCAACCCATTCTCTGAAAGTAGAAACTGATGTGCAAAGACTCAGAAATAAGTAAATGCTGGGGTTGAAAGATGAGGCTCAAGAGGAGCTGGGGACTGGAGGATGGGTGCCCTCACACACTGTAAGATCTCCAAACGGACTTGTCAGGTAATGCTGACTCGTACATTTAGGTAATTAAGGTCAGTAAATGAATTGTACAAGATAACAAACATATTTCTTGGAAATCTGATATGCAAGAAAAACTAACAGTTTTGAGCTCTACCTTTAATTTAAAAATGTGTTAAAGTAAAAATTGCCTTTTGGGACATTAAGGAGAACTTTTACATCGTAGGGTTTAAAAATTTGACAAACTCGTATAATTTCAGATCTTGTCATATTGTTGGGGGAAATATCTTTCTGATGATCACAGTGCCACTCTGCTCAATTTTTGCTAGCCCCACTCAGACTTTGGAGTGCCGTGTAGGGACCACATATCTGATACAGATATCATTAGACCCCCTGAAGAATACCAGTAATTTACATTACTTCTAGCTTTTCAGGTTTTTAGCTGATTTGCTTTCTAGGCCTTGGGAAGTAGGTAGTGGTGGTGAGATTTCATGGCCACTGGAGATTTTCTGTCCCACATTCTCTTGTTTTTGTTCCCAGTTTGCGGAGCCTGCCACATTGTAGGTGCTCAAATATTTACATAATTTTTTTAGTTTTTATCATGGATCTTTATTTAAACCTTCCATTATTATTTAACAGTTCACCTGTGAGTACTTTGTATTCTGAACTAGAGTAAGCTTCCTTGCGGGCAGCTGCTTTGTATACCTCAGATTTGCTGGCTGGTGCTCCAATGGCTTGGTCTGATTCTTCAGATAAAATGAGTATTGCTAGAGGGAGATAACAGTTGTTAATGCATGGGACAGGCAGGAGGTGGTGACCGTTTTTCTTATCAAGAGATATCGCTAAGCAACTGCTAAGCCCTTCCTTCGTCAGCTAATTCTCTCAGTCATGGTGTGTTAGCCTGGATAAAGTGCCATAAGTCAAAAGGATATAGACATAAAAGGAATTTTCTCTAAAAATTGTCATCACAGGCATCAGATTTCTGAATCCAATGTGCTAAATTATTTTTATACAATTGACTTAAATATATTGCTTCATTAAAAAAAAAGAAATAGAGAAAATGTCCAAAGAATTAGTATCTTTCTCTCTTTGAATGCCCTCCTGCCAATACCTGCCCCTGGTTATGTTACTGAAAAGTTCTTTTGAGGGACTGATAATCTTTAGGTTATTCAAACTTTTCCTGAACTACAAAAGAATATGAATAGGCACATCTTAAACTGATTAATATAAATAGACATAAGCATCCCAATGTATTCACTTAATCACAATTTGATAATGTGGCCCACAGCACCTCGTATGGTCTTGTCTCTTTCTGATTCCCTTCCATCCTCCCCTCTCTCCTGTGCTCCATCCACACTCATTCTTTTGCATTTTCTCCAACCTGCTGTCATGTTTCTTCTCCACTCCAGGCTTTTCGTGCATACTGGTTCATCTGTGGAGAATGGCCTCCCCACCACTCTACCTGGTTAACTCCTGCTTAGCCTCAGGTTTCAACTTCAATAGCCCTTCCTCGAGGCCATTTCTGAACCCCAGGATAAATTACCACCTCTCTGCAATTAATGTTATTAAAACCTCCGTAATCTTCAGCACAATAGTTGGTATTATAATTATGTCATTCTTCAATTCCACAATGGTATTCATTATAATACACACTACTGACTTGCTTTAATAATACTTTGAGACGCATTCTTTTGTTCACTGCCACGTGCGAAGGTGATGTTTTAAGTGCTGGGGAAATGGTGAGCAAAGCAGTCTCTGCCCACAGACAGCCTCTATTCTAGTGGGTGAAGCAGATAATTTGCAAATAAATATGTAGTGTGATGACAGCTACCTGTAAGTGCAGGGAAGAGTCCAAAGAATGAGACAGACAAAAAAGAGGGCCATGCTCCTTCACAGAGAGTGTCAGAGAAGAGCCCTCTAGGGAGGTTAGTTGTTGACCTGAGTGAAATCAGAGAGTGACATACATCAACAGATGGGGGCTTAAGAGTGTGCTGGCCAGCAGAAATCAGATGTGCAAGGACACCAAGATTGGGATATGCTTGTTGTGTTTGAGGACCAGCAGGGAGGTGAGGGTGGCTGGGGAGAAGGGAACAAAGGAGAGGGAGATAGGAAATGAGGGTCCAGAGGAGATTAGATGGCTGAGGCCAGTGGCTGCTGAGATGGAAGGTCAGTGGGAGATTTTGCGCAGAGGAACATGGGAAATTGTTTTAGAACGATGGCTTTGGCCACCATGTGGGAGGTAAATTGTAGCTAGCAGGGGCAAAAGCAGGAAAAGCAGTTGAAAGCTTTTGCATTACTCCGGGTATAAGATGATGTCAGTTTGGGCCAGGATGATAGTAGTGGAAGGAATAAAATGCAGTAGGATTCTGGATATAGTTTGAAAGGAAAGATGACAGGATTGATTGGTGAACTGAGTGAGAAAAAGAGGAGTCAAAGATAATTCCGGATTTTCAGCCTGAGAAACTGGGTGAATAGTGGTTCCATTTTCTAATACTTAAGAAGCCCAGGGGATAGGGTGGGGTGGGGGACTGGTGGGAACTGGTGTAGTGTTGTCCTTAAAGGAATGGTCTCCAGAGTCCATTGGCCCAAGTTCCAATCCCAAATCCACCCCTTTAAGCAGATAGTTAATGCCAGTTTTCTCATCTGTAAGCCAGGGATTAGTCATAACTGATAAGATGCATGTGAGGATTAAATAGATAAGGGAAAATGTTTTTCTTAGAGTTGAGAAAACGTGGTCCATAGTAATTTGTAATTATTTGTTTAATATCTACCCACTCTACTGGAGGCTCCTTCGGGGTGTGGTCTGCATCTCTTTTGTTACCCATTTATTCCTTGCCATAGCATAAACTTGGCACTTAAGAGGAGTCCATTCCTTCGGGTGGTTGCAGCCCCTACTATGATACAAACCACACTTTGGCCCCTCAGCCAGCATATTTGTGCCGTGGACTTCTACTCAACCTTATGTGCCATTCTTGGTTAGTTTTCTCCACTTGCATAACATTCAGAGTGCAGATAGTAAATAACTTTTGGTTAGTAAAAATATGCTTTCCTTGGGTAGGATTTTAAAAATAAAATAAAAATGAGCAAAACTCAATTTCTTTCTTTCTTTCTTTTTTTTTTTTTTTTTTGAGACGGAGTCTCGCTCTTGTCACCCAGGCTGGAGTGCAGTGGCATGACCTCAGCTCACTGCAACCTCCATCTCCAGGGTTCAAGCGATTCTCCTGCCTCAGCCTCCTAAGTAGCTGGGATTACAGGCGCCCACCATCACGCCTAGCTAATTTTTGTACTTTTAGTAGAGATGGGGTTTCACCATGGCTGGTCTCGAACTCCTGGCCTCAGGTGATCCGCCCACCCTCGGCTTCCCAAAGTGCTGGGATTATAGGCATGAGCCACCGCACCCAGCTGCAAAACTCAATTTCTAATGACCTGTCATGCATGCACGATTTTGATTGTAAACAAGTCAATAAGGAGATTGTCCTGTACTCATCGTCAATACTTTTTAATCTTGTGTACTACATTTTAAAATAAAGGGAATGTTAATTTCTTTTCTGCCTTGAGCTTTTAAAAATTATCTTAATTGATGTTGCCCTGATAGCTTCAGAGGCTGGTTTTAAAGCCTTTACACTCTGTTCTGAATGTAGAGAGAGCATTACAAGGACAGCCATGAGGGGGAGAAGGGTACTCTTTCTGTCAGCCTCTGGGAGCTGCATTGGTTGTTAGGCACCTTTTTCCAGATCTGAAACTGAAGTGCAGGCTGGTATGGAGAGCTTGTCACACGTGTGTGACTAGTAGAAAACTTAGGATGAGTTCCTCTTTTTGGTACAGGTACACGTTTAAATTCTCCAGGTCACACAGAGCACTATTGAGATTCAGGCTGGAATGATACAGCCTTCTGTGTAACAAGTACTTACTGGATAAACAAAGGAGACTTAGACTAGAACATTTTTATGTTGCTTTTTTGGGAACTGAGTTTCAGAGTTGAGGTTTTTGACTTGGCAATTCATTTGAGAAAGAACCGCTGACAGGTAGTCCCAGTAAAAAGAGTGGGGCAGAGAACCCAAAGGCAGCATGGGACAGTGGAAGAGCCTGCAGGGTTTGGTGGCAAACCTGAACACAGGTCTGAACACTCAAACTGCACTGATGTCCTTGTGCAATTTGCTCATTTCTGCAGAACTCCATTTTCTCCATTACTAAAAGTAGGGTAATAATATCCAGCTCCCAAGACTCGTGATGATGAAATGTAATGATCATGGGAATCTCCCTCTGCAGTGCCTGGCACATGCTGGTGCTCAGTGAGTGCCATTTGCTTTGTTGCCTTTCTCCCATGAGTGAGCATTTAGATTGCATGTCTTAGATGGAGGGTGGGAAGAACAGGGAGAAAGAATTGTAGAAATAATAATATCAGCCTTTCAAAAAGAAAAACATTAAATTTGCCAGGAGAGTAGTTGTCAGGTATAAACCCAAAGATTTGGAGGTGATCGATCTTGTTTGATTTAATCCCTGTAGGGGAAATGGGTCAGTGGAATCTTGAGAGTATTTCTCAGCTCCATTTTCACCCCTCTCCACATCTGAAACTTCACCATTGTATTTCATTGTTCTAGACACATTTATATTCTTCATCATTTCAGATTCATTTTATTTCAAAGCTATAACAGAAGGAACGTGTTGTTACGCTATACATGTCTGATTGGATTTATACAACAAACTGAAGCCAGGTTCTATTGTAGTTCATTTCCCATTATCCCCCTGTCCTACTTTTAATACGGAAGAACTCTTATCAACTGTGTAGCATTTTTATCTCATATCTTCTTCTATTGTTGCCTCTACCTTTTGTTTCCCTTGGGGTCATGGTGATGGAAGAAGTGGATAACTGTGCTTCTGAATAGTCTTTTATGTGGAGAAATACAGTTTACTCCTCTGGACATCATGTTGGTGACCCACTTTATGTATTCTTTAATATTCTAGGGGTTTTTGTTCATAGAGAGAAGCACCTGCTACTATTTGTAATTTAGCGCTCAAACTATTAAATTTGTATCTAAAATCAAACTTTGAAAATTAATTTCTGAAATCTGTTTGAACATGGATTACCGACTTAACTCTTTTAACAACTTAAACTGCAATGTTGATTCTTTTGAGCCCCCTGACACTGGAAACAGCACACAAAGATCCAGTGATTATGAAACATAAAACATACTTAAAGCTGTTGTAAAATACCAATGCCATGGTGGTTCATTTGTTGTTCTTAAACTTGTCTGTTTACTTTCCTAAGTTTGTAGCAACATATATTTTGATAGTGTCCAGTGTTAGAGCAATGTGCATTTTGAGACTTTTCTACAGTAATATAGTACTAGTACATTTCCACAATTACAGAAACTTTATTGGAGCCAGAAAGATAGTCTGACCAGCTGATAACTGATCTAGTTATTTTTGGCCATCTCTAGCTTCATCAAATCCAAGCCACTGGTCATCTGGCTAGGCTCCATTTTATATTTGTCCACAATTTGTTACAGCAGTAAGATTTTGGAGTTATACTTTCCACACAAGTTCTAGTTTTTTTGAAGCATGGTGCTTCTCCCAGAATGTTTTCTTTTCCAAGTTTTGCTTGGCTGGCATCTCATAGTCCATTGTCCTGTCCTCCTAATCTTTGCCTGGTTCTTTGCATCATCATATGGAAGCTACCATATGATCTATTACTATCTCCATTAGTAAGACATGGAAGGGGTATTATCTCCTAGGATATGAGGGATGAAGTCTGTGGTTAATACACCTCTTAGAACATTTAGCGAATTCATCATCTTGACACACTTCGATTTTCTTTCCCCCTGGTTTTTAAGTATGTTAAAGCCTTCCTGTTATTGGTCTACTCTGTCTTACCGAGGACTAGTATTACTAAGTTCCTGATGTTCATTCTTCTCTACTTAAACGGATAAATATTTAATAGAAGAAACAAAACACCTAGCACTCTTCCATTTATTAAAATAAAGTGGAATGGATACTCTCTTCCTTTCTTTTGTATGATAACACCTCATTGTGTGCTTTATATTAACTTTTTCATGTGTGGGATATCATGAAATCATGTCTTTCACATTTAGATGGCCTTACTATTTTTGATGCCCACATTGTCCCATCTTGGCTAGTGATTTGTCTTTTCATCACTACCCCTGAGCTCCATGAACATCTTCTATCTTCCTACTAGCCACACGTTGAGCCTTGCCAATCCCTAACTTTCCCCGCCCCAAGATATGGAACTACCCTCTAAGAAACCCTGGCTTCTTTCTCTGGAGAACAGTTTGACACCAAAATCTAGGTGCTAGTTTTATTTAACAATTACTTACATGATGCTCACTGTGTGAGATACTGTTCTGAGCTCTCTACCAATACTGTCTCATTTAATTGTTGTAACAACCCTATGAGATGGGTACTGTTATCTTTGTCACAGATGAAGAAATTGAAGCCCAGGAGAGAGAACTAGCTTGTTTAGGGTCACACCATGAGTAAGTGGCAGAGCTGGAATTTTAACCTAGAGGGACTGGCTCTGAAGCCCCCTCTTAGCCACTATCCCTGTTATTAGGAGTGAATGCTGCTGGCGTGGGAAAAGGCTGCTGTGGCTGTTAGGCTACATCTAGGTCAGAGCTGAAAAAAAAATGGCCTTTAAAGCTTATAGGTTTGCATTGATTTTTTCTAAGAAATTAATATTTCATATACTAAGATACTGATTTTGGGCACGCTACTATTTTATATACTAATAAGGAAAAGAAGACATTGCAGACTTAACTGTGACACAGTCCACATGCTGATGGTCCTGGTGACCTCTGAATAGCTCACACCAACCTCCGTAGCTTTAAAATGTCTTTATTTCACTTCAAGGGTGGAAATTCCTCCTGCCTTTACTTTCATTGCCTGGCATCTGACAGCAATCCTTTTGCCCATATCTCATAACAAAACATATGGCACCGTTCTGTCTACTGGTCAGTTTCTTCGTTTCTTAGAAGGGCCCATGAAGCCGTCGGGTGCAGCATTGTAAGAAAATATGGCATTGTGTTCACTGATCTATAAGAAATATTTACAGGGAGTTCGAGGTCAGCCTGGGCAATATGGAGAAAGCCCATCTCTACAAAAAATAAAAGAAAATTAGCCAAGCATCATGATGTGTGCCTACGGTCCCTGCTACTCAGAGGCTGAGGTGGGAGGATTGCTTGAGCCTGGGAGGTGGAGGTTGCAGTGAGCCAAGATCATGCCACTGCACTCCAGCCTGGGCAACAGAGTGAGACTCTTTCTCAAAGAAAAAAAAAAATTTATGAAGAACTAATTTTGTACCCCACAGCTCTGTTTGTGGGCCTTTTTGTTACTAGATTACTTTTTTGTTTTAATGCTTTATGTAATGTAGCCTTTTTGAAGGCTTCTTCAATGGTATCTCGGTTCCCTACAAGAAATACCAACAGTGAATGTAATTCCTTTGAAGTGAAGGCAATATGACAGCCTTAACCATTTCGACTTCGTATTACGTTTCTCTATCCTGTTCTTTTTATGGTATGAGGTTTCATCAGTCACTAAGATTTGCTATTACAGGGTGACTCTAAAAAAATAAATCGACCCTTTCAGAAATGTATTACCCATTAATTAGATTAAATATGAACATCAGTGTACACCAAATTTTGCAGCTGCCTTTCTATTTCTCAGTTCTCTTCTAGAAACTGAAGCCTCCCTTACAAATATATTTTGACTGAATGTTCATATATAACCTAGTTATTGAATAACATTTATTGAAATGTTCAATTCTTTTAGACCCCCACCCCACTCCCCCACCCCATGGCAACTAGACACAGTACTGGTTACTTAGTACACATAAGGTTTGCAAATCTTAAGTAAAGTTGATTATTCGTGTCTTATGTTTTCTGCCATTGAAGGAATTGGCGGTGGGTGGATATTTTCCATGATTTTCTGTCTGAGTGTATCTAAAATCACAGAGTTCTTGTGCTCAGTGGTTAAGGGACACCTGGCCCTCAGGCCTAGTTGTTACTTAACCAGAATTAATTTTATTCATCATTGTTATTTTCCTGTCCCTTCCTTCAAATATCACAAAAGCATTAAAATATGGAGGATGAGATTGCATCGCGGGTGGAAGTCTTAAAATAACATTTCAGGGTATTTCTGGACGGTGCATGTGCTTGACTTCCTGTTGCTTTGTCTTTAGCCAAGCTCTGTGTTCTCCTTTTAGAGTTTTTGCCACTGACACGCTTCCACCCCTTCACCAGCTGTTTTATCTTAATCTTAAAAGCATTAAAGAAGCTTTCAGACTTGATGTGGATGGAGGCATGTCTAAAGAAATGAACTGCACCAGCTACTTCAAATGGGAAAAACTTGGAATCTGGTAATGTCTGAATGCAGTGGCCATAAAGCTGGACTCTTGCCAGTGTATTATATTTTCTGTCCATGTGTCTCAGGAGGGGGTGACAACTCACATAGTGAGTTGTCCATATTGGGCAATATAATTGTGTCCTCCAAAAACCAGCAATTTGAGTACTACCTTAGTACCTTGTAAAAAAGCAGTGATCAAATACTTAGTCTAGTGGTATTAGTTCAACCCATTTGATGGGGCAGTATTCCATTTGCCATAGGAGATAGGCCTGTATGATTGCCTAAACTGTGGCTGGATGTTTCAAATCACAAGTGGGCCCTCCATCTAGAGTAGGGCCTCACTGCAACTATTTCCACTATCTTTCTTAGTACTACTCATAATTATTACAGTCATGAGAGCCTCAACCTATTATTGAGTCCTTCAGTATATGCCAGGCATTGGGCCAAGGGTTATACATGTATTATTTTAATTAATCCTTGAAGTAATTCAAAGTCAGGATTGTCACCATGTAGAAGAAGAATGGACCCTTAGAGATTAAATGACTTGTCCAAGGCCTCAGCCAACAAGGGGAAGAGTCAGGATTTTGACTCAGGTAGGCTACCCCCAGGGGCGGGGGGACCCCATGAGAGCCTTATCAGGCTGTGCTGAAGAAGGCTGAGTCCTGGGATCCAGAGCTTTGTCTGGAAAATGTTCCAGTGTTGGGCAGTCACAAACAGTGCTAAAGTATCTCAACTTTGTAAACTGTTTTAAAAATCCTAAATTTTTTTAAAAAGCTTTTATTTTTATTATTTTTTTATTTTATTATTATTATTATTATTATTTTGAGTTGGAGTCTTGCTCTTTTGCCCAGGCTGCAGTGCAATGGTGCGATCTCGGCTCACTGCAACCTCCGCCTCCCGGGTTTAAGTGATTCTCCTGCCTCAGCTTCCCAAGTAGCTGGGATGCCCACCACCACGACCGGCTAATTTTTGTATTTTTAGTAGAGACGGGGTTTCGCCATGTTGGACAGGCTGGTCTCGAACTCCTGACCTCGTGATCTGCCCACCTCAGTGTCCCAAAGTGCTGGGATTACAGGCATGGGCCACCGCGCCTGGCCAAAAAGCTTTTATTTTAAAGTGTTTCATATATTGGTTAGTCATCCCTCTGAATCGGTTTTAGAGGAACCCTTTAAAGTAGGCAAACCATGTTTCAGATGGATTATTTCGTATTTGTTTTCTGTTTTATTATCCCATTTTATTCTAATCTTAGAAGCTAATGTCAGAAGTAGTAGCTGGTAGAACTTGAAGGCAAGGAGGCTTGCCTTCATTTGAAACCAAGTCCTCCTTGCACTTCCCTCCTGCAGGTTCAAGGACAAATGGCATTCAGGAGCCCCAGGGATGCCTGGAGCAGAGGATCTTTCTGCTCAAAGCTACCTGTCAGGGACTTCCTACCATGGCACCTAAAAGCATTTTAATAGTCATTAATTGGCTATCATGTATAGGAAGGATTTTCTTTACCTGTTAGGAGTGTTAAGAATGTGTCCCACTTAGAGAATAGCTCTGCTTCTTAAATTTAACTTGATAGCCTTAACAGCAAGTGTGTGTGTATTAATATGATTGCACTTTTGTAGAGGCAATTTCTATAAAGACGTATATAATTTTAGAACAAGTACTATTGACAGTCCCCCTCAGCACAAAAACATAATTTTACCCAAAAGGCCTCTGTTGCCTGAAGGCACAAACTGCCAACATTTCTCTTTGGCTTGCCTCAGATTTCATCTGTGAAGTGGCAAGCTTTTAATGAAACTAGACAGTAAGTTCCATTATTAATGATATTCAATCTTTTCCTCCAATTCAAGAAACTTAAAAATAGAAATCTGAGAATTAATTGGATTTGGTTGATGATAATTGTCATTTCTTCATTGTAAATGTAAGCTCACCTCCCAAGGGTTTTGAAAAAGTGATTGGCTGTTGCCCACTGGGAACATATGGTATCAGTGAATACTAATATTCATTGTGCAACAGAATGCTCTTTGCTGTGATTAGAAGGCACCAAACTTGCAGGACTAGAATCTCTGCTGTGTTCTGAGCAAACTACATGATGCAAAAATGTATCCGGCTACATGGAAATAGAGGCGGATGACTCTCCAAGTTCTCTATGTTCCCAGAGCTTGTCTGGGTTTAAGTGGTGGTGGCAGTAAGGGGGAAAGACCAGAGAGTTTAGAGAGGGTGAGATCTCAGATGTGACTCGGAAATTATATCATAGCACATGGAAATAGAAATATGTAGGGGCATTGAGAAAGGCATGCTCAAATTAGTCCTTGAACTCTGGAAACAGAATGTGTAAGGTCAGCATAGCAATTGGGTATAGCCTTGAAACCAGACACCGGGGCTTAAGTCCTATCTGTACTATGTCCCCTGTGACACTGAGCAGTTTCCTCCCCTGGCCTGGCTTCCCTTTTTGTAAAATCAGGAATTAGTATGTGGATTAGGTTAGATGGTATAAGGACAATGTTGGCCTGTAGGAGATGCTCAGAAGATATTAGTACCTCCTCCACCCGCATTCGTTTCCACGTAGTCCTTTCCTTTTTTTTTTTTTTAACTACTGGTAAGCAAATTCCCATTTCTTCTTCCCTTCTTTCTTTATTATTATTATTATTATTATTACATTTTAAGTTCTAGGGTACATGTGCACAATGTGCAGGTTTGTTACATATGTATACATGTGCCATGTCGGTGTGCTGCACCCATTAACTCATCATTTACATTAGGTATATCTCCTAATACTATCCCTCCCCCCTACCCCACCCCACAACAGGCCCCTGTGTGTGAGGTCCCCCTTCCTGTGTCCAAGGGTTCATGTCCTTTGTAGGGACATGGATGAAGCTGGAAACGATCATTCTCAGCAAACTATCACAAGGACAGAAAACCAAACACCGCATGTTCTCACTCATAGGTGGGAATTGAACAATGAGTCCTTTCCTTCTTATCCAAACGAGGAAGTCAGTATTCAGAGAAACTAAATGGCTTGCCTGAGTGGCAGAACTGAGACTACAGCTCGGTGTTAGTCCATTTGAGCTGGTATAACAAAATATCACAGACTGGGTGCTTATAAACAACAGAAATTTCTCACAGTATTGGAGGCTGACAGTCTGTGATCAGGGTGCTGGCATGGGCCTTCTCCCAGGTTGTAAACTGCAGACTTCCTATTGTGTCCTACATGGCTGAAAGAGGGTGAAGGAGCTCTCTAGGGTCTCTTTTATGAGGGCAGTAACCCCATTTGTGAGGGCACCACCCTCACCTCACCTTCGTAATACCATTGCATTGGAGGTTAGGATTTCAACATATCAATTTGGAGTGAACATAAACATTGCCTGTTGCAAGCCTAGACTACTTTAGTCCTACTCTCCAAAGTTACTGTAATGCTTTACAAACGTATGGGGTTGGGCTGGCATGAAACCCTAGTGAGGACTGAGGCTGTTTGAGCTTTGTTGTCTTTACAGTTGAGTTCAGTTGTGTTTCTTTGCAAACAAATAAAGCCTGTGTATCTGTCTCAGCAAAGCTGGCCTGTCCCTGCGGTTCTCTGCTGTTAGTTAAGGGGCCCATATAAAAGCTCTTTAATAACTATGCACATAGATATTTTAAAATGTCAAAGTGCATCCTTTTTAAAGAGAGGGGTGCGTCTCTGAGGTTTGTCAGTCAGACTTTTGTAAACTTAGCCATTTCCTCATTGATTTACCATCTAGTTTCAGTTATATTGAGTTTAAATTTTTAATTTTTTTTAGTGTTTTTAGGGATGGGGGTCTCTCTGTGTTGCCTAGGCTGATCTCAAACTCCTGGCCTCAAGTGGTCCTCCCACCTTGGCCTCCCAAGTGTCTGGTATTACAGGTGTGAGCCACCACGCCCAGCTTTTGTTGGGCTTTTTGATCACCAGTTGTCATGGGCACCTATCGCCTTTTTGTGTCTTTCCCCAGGCTGTCAGATAGCTAATAAAAAAATACATACAAAAGTGCACCTAGGAGTTTTAAGGGAAAAAGTAGTCTTTTGTGATACCATTATGCTATGATATATCTGTTTAATAACATACTGTATAAATTAAGGAACTAGAATATGACTGTAATAACACGTATTACTGTTAATATATGCTATTGTTCCCGGCTTCACATACTGATCTTTGATTACAGTTTATCCCTAAGAGTGATCAACATCCCCTAACCACTCATGAGAAATCTTGATGTACACGAGCCTTTCAGTGGCCTTCCCAGTGTCTGAACCCAGTGGACGGCTGCTTCTCTTTCAGTGGAAGGTTGACTTTCCTGTTTTCCTTCAGTAAGGAGTAGAGGGTACACAAACTTTAATGTATGTAAATTAAGAAAGCAGATTGCCACAGAGCCAGAGATGATCAATTTTGAAGTTTCCATGAGTCATACAGGCATTCAGTAATATGTTTCAGGAAGTTGTTTGGAGAAATGTGGGTTGGTAATTACCAAATAAATTTCTACCTCTAACTGGCTGCCTTTTTGAGGCTTCTTTGCAAGTATGCCTATTTTCTAAATTTGGAAAAAATCTGTGTATTTGAGCCCTGAAAAAGACAGTCTCTTAGCAACACGTGACAACAAAGAGGAACAAATTAAGAAGTGTGTTGTGATTTGTGTATGTTTGCACTGTTTTGAAAACCACCCTAAAGGTAAGTATTTTTAAAGCTGTTTATAACATTTGGTAAATTTAACCTAAAAAGTATCAAAACCAGGAGTGGTGTCTGTTCTCTTTTCAGTGCGTTTTTTCCTTTGTCGCCCCACACTGAATATTTTTGGCCACTTGGAGGACATACGTGGGCATTCATAATTAAGAATTAATTAAAAGTGTCTGCTTGGAGGACTTTCTGCTCCGTACTTAATTAACTTAAAAACTTATTGCCTTGATAAACAGATGGATCATTTTAAAAGAAAAAACAGAGTTCACCCTCACTTTAGACATCTACAATAATTCATTTAGTTAACCTTGGAAGTATTTTGCATCTATTATGCATCCATTGACAATGAAATGCAGAAGTGTTTATTGCCACCATTTAAGGATGATTATGTGCTATAGTTTAACTCATTTATGAGGTGTGGGTGGCAGCAGAAGGAGAGGACCTATAGTGACTGTTCCCCAAGCTGGGCTGGGCTGGACTATACAGTTGGTACCCTGGCTTCTTTAGGCTAAGGGTCAGTTTCTTTGTCCAGTCCTTCCTGCTGGTGATAGGCTGTTTCTTTCTGCATCTCTGCACTATTCCCCACTTGTGATGGACTGGCTTTTCCCCACTCCATTACACCTTCTGTTCCCCACATCACTTCAGTTTGGCAGTAGCCCATCATGGCTTCTCATGGTGCTCCCCGAGAATTCACTGCTCTCTTGGTTTAGTTCCCATAGTTAGTTGGCAAGACCCTCCTGTATTTCTTGGTTTAGAGTCTTGAAAGAGATCTTCTGCTTGACCCAGCTGAAATCTTTCAGCCAAGCCACAAAGTCATAGGTAGATTGCCATGCCAAGGCTGGGTGTCCTTCATTGGGATCCCACACCATTCCAGCTATTGGGGCTGTCACACACAAGGTGTACCCATACATGCTTCATCAGAGGCTGAAGTGTGGACAAGGTTCTTACAGGGTATGGACACCTGCTTGATAGGTCATTGTAGACATTGTATTGTCTTAATCAAAGGCTCCAATAACTGTCTATTTCAGACTGTTCACCAAAATCATTAAGTGGTGTGTCTTAAAGATTTGGTGTTGAATTTTCCTTTATTCTTCCACGAAAATAAAATTTAAATGAGTCCCACAGATACTGCTTGCCTGAGGCTGTTATTAGTGTATGTGGCGTGAATTGCAAAGGGCTGTGGTTTTATTTTATTTGATTTTTATAATGGGGGAGGGCACAAGGGAGTAGGGAAAAAACACTGGCAATTTTTTTTTATTATACTTTAAGTTCTAGGGTACATGTGCACAATGTGCAGGTTTGTCACATATGTATACATGTGCCATGTTTGTGTGCTGCACCCATTAACTCGTCATTTACATTAGGTATTTTTCCTAATGTTATCCCTCCCCCCTCCCCCCACCCCGCAACAGGCCCCGGTGTGTGATGTTCCCCACCCTGTGTCCAAGTGTTCTCATTGTTCAATTCCCACCTGCGAGTGAGAATATGTGATACTTGGTTTTCTGTCCTTGTGATAGTTTGCTCAAAATGATGGTTTCCAGCTTCATCCATGTCCCTACAAAGGACATGAACTCATCCTTTTTTATGACTGCATAGTATTCCATAGTGTATGTGTGCCACATTTTCTTAATCCAGTCTATCATTGATGGACATTTGGGTTGGTTCCAAGTCTTTGCTATTGTGAATAGTGCCGCAATAAACATATGTGAGCATGTGTCTTTATAGCAGCATGATTTATAAGCCTTTGGGTATATACCCGGTAATGGGATGGCTGGGTCAAATGGTATTTCTAGTTCTAGATCCTTGAGGAATCGCCACACTGTCTTCCACAATGGTTGAACTAGTTTACAGTCCCACCAACAGTGTAAAAGCGTTCCTATTTCTCCACATCCTTTCCAGCACCTGTTGTTTCCTGACTTTTTAACGATCTCCATTCTAACTGGTGTGAGATGGTACCTCACTGTGGTTTTGATTTGCATTTCTCTGATGGCCAGTGATGATGAGCATTTTTTCATATGTCTGTTGGCTGCATAAATGTCTTCTTTTGAGAAGTGTCTGTTCATGTCCTTCGCCCACTTTTTGATGGGGTTGTTTGATTTTTTCTTGTAAATTTGTTTAAGTTCTTTGTAGGTTCTGGATATTAGCCCTTTGTCAGATGGGTAGATTGCAAAAATTTTCTCCCATTCTGTAGGTTGCCTGTTCACTCTGATGGTAGTTTCTTTTGCTGTGCAGAAGCTCTTTAGTTTACTTAGATCCCATTTGTCTATTTTGGCTTTTCTTGCCATTGCTTTTGGTGTTGTAGTCATGAAGTCCTTGCCCATAACACTGGCAATTTTTTTAATGCTTGGAAGCAAACATCGTTGCAATAATTAGCCGGTATTCACATCATCTGAATAAGCTAGTTTGTGAAACACAAAGGGAATAGACATTTTGTTACCAAATGTAGCTGATAATAGAAATGCATTTCCCTAGGCTACTGATTCTCTAATGTGTATCAGAATCACCTATAGGGCTTATTAAACTATTATTTGCTTGGTAGTTCTGGGTGGGTCTCTTAGTCTATTTATTTTGTTATAAAGGAATACCTGAGGCTGGGTAATTTATAAAGAAAGGAGGTTTAGTTGGCTCATGGTTCTGCAGGCTGTACAAGAAGCATGGCTCCAGCACCTGCTCCACTTCTGATGAGGGCCTCAGGCTGCTTCCACTCATGGTGGAAGGCAAAGGGGAGCCTGCATATGCACAGATCAGATGGCGTGAGAGGAAGAGAGTAAGTGAGTGCAAGTGCAGAGGAGGCCCCCAGGCTCTTTTCAACAACCAGTTATTGCAGGAATGAAGAGAAGTCACTCACTCCCTTGAGAATTCCACCAATCTATTTGTGAGGGATCTGCTCCCATGGCCCAAACACCTCCCACCATGCCCCACATTCAACATTGGGGATCAGATTTCAATATGAGACTTGGTGGGGTCAAACAAACAAACCCTATGCAAACCGTAGCAGTAGGGCAGTAGAATTTGCTTTCTAATGAGTCCCAGGTGCTGCTGCTGCTGTTGGTCTAAGCACTACACATTGAGAACCACTACCCTGTGCCCCTGGCCTTCAAACATAGGCACTTATAGGTTTGGGCAGTGATTGTCATTGAACTTGTCCATTTAGGGTCATCTTTCCAAAATGAACCAATACCACCATTGAGTTGCATGTAAAAATCACATTAAAGGGGATATCTCCTTAATTCTTTCTGAGACTATTGGCTTGCCCTCTCTTCTATGTTCAGTAAATATTCAGTATCTCTTTTATACCAAGCCCAGTGCTAAGTCCCGCTGGTGATAAAGAGGACACATAGTGGAACTGCTCTGGGGATGCCCCGCTAAATAGACGGGGGTGTTGCTGAAACACAAAAAAAGAATGGAGTTATGAAGTTCCTCCTATCTTCATTTTCCTTCTTCAGATCCTGTGCTGACCTTCCTTTCTGAAGATGGAGATGAATAACTAGAATAAACAACTGATGCTGGTAACTTTAACAGTAACTATATAAAAACAATTATGCAGATATACTTAAGTTTTACAAAGTTGCCATGCAGCCCCCAACAATAAAAATTGTATTTTAATATATTGCAATCGTATTATTTGGTAGGGCTTAATACCTTTCAAACCATTTTTGTGTGTTTTATTGAATCTGAACTCCTGGGCTCAATTGAGCCTTCCTCTTTGGCCTCCCAACATGTGGAGATTAAAGGCGTGAGCCACGGCGCCTAGCAAATTTGAACTTATGAATAAGCCTTTCAAATAGGATAGGCATTACATCTTTTGGAAAGACTGAAACACAGACAAGGTGGTATGCCTACCATTTGTCCAGTGCTATGCTAAGGACTGCATACTTTTATGTCTAATATTTTTAAATCTGGGAGGTAGGTTGTATTGTCCCTGTTTTATAGATGAGGACACGGAACAGCTAAGAGTATAAGTATCTTACCAAAGCTAATTTGAGGCAGAACCTGGATGTTTCCTGGGATTTGTTTTGGGGCTTTTGTCCTTTTCACTGCAGCCATCTACTCTCTGATACAACCCTACTTTCAATATACATACTAGGAGAGTTCCTTGTTAACACGAGGAGCAACGTTCTCATCTAAATACCTTTTTGGGTCTTGGCTACTGTATATTCTTGCCCTTGCCTTTTATCCCAACTCTTCCTTTGCTGTCACCCCTATAAAAAGCCCTTCTCCCTTTTGGTTCCATGCCTGGGAGCTCCTATCCTGGGGCCTCTGCCACGGAAGTTATTCCCGTCATCTATTGCTGAGTTTAAAACACTCCCAACTTAGTGACTTAAACACAACCATTTATTTGATCATGAGCCTGCAGTTTTGATGGGGTTCAATGAGATGGCTTGTCTCTGCTCTACATTGTATTGTCAGGAGTCGCTTAGGTGGCTGCATTTAGCTGAGAGCTTGGCTGTGGCTGGACCATCCAAGGGGGCTTTATTCGCACGTCTAGCTAGTGTGAAGCTGTAATGGCTGATGTCTGGCTGAGCCTCTCTCTCCACCTGGTCTCTTCTCATTCAATAGTGTGGCCCAGAGATTGGGAACATTTTCTGAAAAAGACCAGTGTTAAAGGCTGAATTGTGTCCCCCAAAATTCATATGTTGAAGTCCTAACCCCTAGTACCTCAGAATGTGACTATATTTGGAGATAGGGCCTTTAAAGAGGTAATTCAGATTAAATGAACGCGGGGTGTGGTGGTTCACACCTGTAATCCTAGCACTTTGGGAGGCTGAGGCAGGTGGATCACTTGAGGCCAGAAGCTCAAGACCAACCTGGGCAACATGGTAAACCTTGTCTTTACCTGAAAAAGAAAAACCACACCCCCTCCCCCCCGCACACACACATATTAGCCAGGCATGGTGGCATGCATCTGTAGTCCCAGCTACCTGGGAGGCTGAAGTGGCAGGATTGCTTGAGCCCAGGAAATAGAGGCTGCAGTGAGCCATGATCATGTCATTGCACTTCAGCTAGGGCAACAGAGTGAAACCCTGTCTCAGAAAAAAAAAGGTTAAATGAGGTCAAGTGGGCCCTAATTCATTATGACTCAATATGACTGATATCCTTATAAGAAAAGGAGATTAGTACACAGACATGCAGACAGGGAAGACCACCTTCAAGGAGAGAGGCCTCAGAAGAAATAAACTCTGCTGACATCTTGATGTTGGACTTTTAGCCTCCAGAACTGTGAAGGTACAAATTTATGTTGTTGAAGCCACTGAGTCTGTGGTATTTTGTTAAGGCAACCCTAGCAAATAAATACAGCCAGTTAGTAAATACTTTAGGCCTCATAGCTTTGGGGCCCATACGATCTCTGTCACATATTTTCTTATTTTAAAACTCTTTTAAAATATGAAAGCTATCCTTAGCTCAGAGGCAGTATAAAAACAGACCAGATTTGACCCACTGGACCATAGTTCACCAACCCCTTCTCTAGACTGTAGCCCAAGCTTCTTAATACTTGAGCTTAAAGTCTCAGAATCTCACTTCTGCCATGTTCTGTTGCTGAAAGCAAGTCACAAGTGAGGGACCAGGACTTTGTTTCTTGATGGGAGGAATGGCATGTCTATACAGAGATGGGAGGAATTTCTGATGTCCATTTTTGGAAATGATTTTTTTACATAAATTAAAGGAGTATCCACTTATGCCTTACTTTTGAAATGTACATTTGCCCCCACATTTTAATTTCTCTGAAATCAGGATGTATTTACTGTTGATAGCATCTTATCACCATTGACTAGATGGCAATGATAAGTCATTGTCATTATGTGAGCTTGTGCAAATTTGGACATAACAATTGTGTTGATGTATACTGTTGGTAAACACATATTGAGTTTAGTTGCATATAAAATATCTTCAAATATTTTAAATTGTGACTCAAAATTTAAAAACGGGTTTATATGTGTAGAAAGTTATAGAAGTAGAGCAACAGGATGTAAATTTGGGATTAGTGAAGCAAATTTTTGTACAAGAATGACCTCAGTTGCTATTTTTGCAAAGAAGCAACCAGGAACTGTGGAGGGCCTGAGGCAGAAGACAAGTAGCTGAAGCTGTGTTACAGAGTTATGGCAAAAGTATTGCGTCCTAGGTGACAAATTATGCAACTGAAAGCAGGAAAAATTGGTAGATCTCTTCAAAGAGATGAAAGGAATTTCAAAGCAGTAAGAGGCTGGTATGTCCAATTCATAGGTTACACAGGACTGTTGTTGAAGCGTAGAACATCAATTTATCAAACTTCCTGCTGACTTTGAACTGTAGCTACTTATTTTCTAGTGATTTAACTGGGAAAAAAAGTTGAATTTAGACAGATAGGAAATGCTGATAAAAACTCAGTGTGCTTTAAAAGGCTGTAAATTTTTTTTGAAATGTTAAAGGTACTACAGAGATCAAAGGCATGAGCAGAGGCTGTGAAAAGTTTCTGTGATACTTTGCACAATTGGTGGTGGCTGAAAGTTGTAGCCATAAGTTAATCATAAACTGCAAAACAATTCCTAAGAGTTCTTACCCAAAGATGTTATCGTTTATCTACACGCCTGCACATACACATGCACACACACACTTCAGCCAAACTGAAGAAGAAATGACTCAGTAGTCTGGAACAGATGTCCCAGAGCCCCCATATAACTCACCCAGTATATAGGTTCTTGATCGCTTTCACAGATGTGTATCTGAACAGTAAAGAATATATTCACTGAAGAGTATAGTGATCCACTTGTAATTCTTTCGGCAAGACTCGACAACTGCTAACCTTGTGGCACTTTTAGTCACCAAAGATATGAGTCTTAGTTATTCTAAAGGCCCTCTGTCGTGATACTAGGTAAGAACAAAAAAGCACCAGCCTCAAAACTGGCATATTGAGTATAGGACAGCTAGAAAAATGTCCCAGAGACAATAGTGGAGCATATGATGGAAGAAATGGACATTAGCATCTGAGTTAAAATGATTGAGAAGAGGCAAACTGGGCAGGTGAAGATGTGTTAAGAAAATCTTGGCCAACTTATTTTAATTTTCATGTAGGTACATGGTTGACACATGGAAAAATCTAATTATCTAAAAGCTTCTTCAATAATTGTAAATGAAAAGAAAGCATTGTATCAGTTTACTTGGCTTTCTTAGCAGTCTGTAAACTAATGGTTCATCTTATTGGTTGATCTTAGACTGGATAAATGTACCAGGCACTGAGCCTTTTATGATTGCTGCTTTTATGGAGTTTCCCATATAGGTATGATATGAGTATTTCCATTCGTATATGGAATGCATTTTCCCAGAGAGAGTGTGTAACAAGATTATGAAGAACTTACATCACTTTTAAGGAAAAATATGCTCTAGAATTCAAACAGCCAAGTCTTTTTTTTTTTTTTTTTTTTTGAGAGTCTTGCTCTGTTGCCCAGACTGGAGTGCAATGGCGTGATCTTGGCTCACTGCAACCTCCACCTCCTGGGATCAAGCGATTCTCCTGTCTCAGCATCCCAAGTAGCTGGGATTACAGGCGCCCACCACCACGCCCGGCTAATTTTGATATTTTGAGTAGAGATGGGATTTCAACATGTTAGTCAGGCTGGTCCTGAACTCCTGCCTCAGGTGAGCCGCCTGCCTTGGCCTCCCAAAGTGCTGGGGTTACAGGCATGAGTCACCACGCCTGGCCTTCAAACAGTCAAGTCTTAAAGGAGTTAAGTGTTAGACATGTTTTCTTGCTGTTTCATTCATATATATATATGTGTGTGTGTGTGTGTGTGTGTGTGTGTGTGTGTGTGTATACACACACACGAAATGATATTATATATATTCCCAATCAATAAGTGTTGACTCCATTAATCACTTATTGAAAGATTTCAAAATAACGTGATGTTTTTCAGTTGCTAATAGCTGTTTACCTTTCGGGGCTGCTAAAACTTACCCTCAATTCTTTCATAACAATGTCTACAGATGGTAAATGTTCAGGAACCCTTTTATTTTTCAAATAGACTTTATTTTTTAGAACAGATTTAGGTTCACAACAAAATTGAGCAGAAAGCACAGAGATTTCCCATATTCACTCAACCCACACACAAAATTGGCACGATCATTGTTCACTGCAGTCTTGACCTTCCAGGCTCAAGCGTTCCTCCCACTTCGGCCTCCTGAGTAGTTGAGACTACAGGTGTGCACAACCACACCTGGCTTATTTTTTTGTTTGTAAGATGGGGTTGCACCAATGTTGCCCAGGCTGGTCTCAAATACCTGGGATCAAGCGATCCTTCTACTTCAGCCTCCTAAAGTGCTGGGATTACAGGCATGAGCCACCGGCATGTCCAACCTGGAACACTTTTTAATATGTTTATTTGCCTTCTGTTTATCTTTGGTGAGATGCCTGATAAAGTCTTTGGCCCATTTTCTAATCAGGCTGTTTTTTTATTGTTGAGTTTTAAGAGTTCTTAGTATGTTTTCAATAATAATCCTTTACCAGATATGTCTTTGGCAAATATTTTCTGCCAGTCTGTGGTTTGTCTCTCCATTTTCTTGACAGTGTCTATTGCAGAGCAGAAATCTTAATTTTAATAAAGTCTAGCTTATCAATTATTTCTTTCAGAGATCGTACCTTTGACATTGTATTTTAAAACTCATTGCCAAACTCAAGGCCACGTAGATTTTCTACTACGTTATTTTCTAGAAGTTTTATAGTTTTGTGTTTTAAATTTAGGTTTGCGATTCATTTCAAATTAATTTTTGTGAAATGTGTAAAATCTGTGTCTAGAGTCATTTTTTTGCATGTGGATTTCTAGTTGTTCCAGCACGGTTTGTTGAAAAGATTATCTGTGCTCCATTGTATTGCTCTTGCTCCTTTGTCAAAGATCAGTTGACTGTATTTATGTGGGTCTATTTCTGGGCTCTGTCTTCTGTTCCGTTGGTCTACTGGTATTTGTTCATTTGCCAACACTAGACGTTCTTGATAAATGTAACTTTACATTATATTTTTATATATATATTTTTTAAATTTTTTTAGAGACAGGATCTTGCTATGTTACCCCAGATGGACTTGAACTCCTGGGCTCAAGTAATCTCTCGCCTCAGCCTTGTGAGTAGTTAGGACTATAGCAAGTACACACCACAGTGCCCAGCTATAAGTCTTGAAGTCAGGTAGTGTCAGCCCTCTTTGTTCTTCTTCTTCCTTCAGTATTGTATTGATTATTCTGGGTCTTTTGCCTTCCCATTTAAACTTTAGGATCAGTTTGTCAGTATCCACAAAATAATGTGCTGAAATTTTGATTGGAATTGCATTGAGTATGTAGATCAAGTTGGGAATATCTGATATCATGACAATATTGGGTCTTCCAAGAACCTCTTGATTTTGATTTTGAAATTCTGACTGTGGAATGGAAGTGGGTTAAGACTGCAGGTGGACAGGCAGCTAACTCTTGGGCCTGGTTTCTAATCAGTTTGGGCCACAGTTTCTAAAGAGTCATTGCTAGGGATTCTAGGTAGTTTAGTTTGACAACCATGGGCATAGTTTACCACAAACCCTCCTTTATGTCATACGCAACTTTTTGAAGTTCCACATTAGTGTTAAAGAATGCGAGCTCTGGAATCTCTCTGGAGGTTCCTAATTCTGGCTTCGTCACCTTGCATCACTCACAAGACTTTAGCCAAGTATCCTCTCAATTGTAAAATGGACTTAATTGTGGGGATCAAATGGGAAAATCTGGGTAAATGCCTGTAAAGTTGCTTGTATATCCTTGTTTTACCTTATATTCCATTCTCTCCTCTCCCCGACCCTTATCCAGACTTCCTCCCTAACTTGCCCTTGAAACTGTTTTTTATAATGTCACCAGTGACTTCCGTGTTACAAAATACAGGGGTTCCTTGCAAGATTATTTATTTAGCAGTATTATAGCTCCATGGCCCACTTCCTCCTTGAAACACCCTTTTCTTATGTTGGCATCTCTGACGATAGTTTCTTGGTTTTCTTCTGTCTTCCTGGGATGCTGTGTCTGAAGTTTCCTTTGCTGGCTCTTCCTTTGTCTGAACAACCAGGGCTTGTTTCTCGGTTCCAGTCTTTTTTATTCCAGTGTCTCTAAATACCATTCATAGGTAGATGGTGACCAAATGTGTGTCCCCAGCCCTGAGTTCCAGACCCTTGACTGAAACAACTACTGGACGACTCCCCTTGGCTTCTTCCTCATGGGCAGAGCTCTGAATTTTCAATGCCTTTGTTCCCTTTCCTGTAATTCCTGCCTCTCCCTCCATTTTATAAATTTCAGCAAATGGTGCCACCATCCACCTAGTTGATGAAGTGGATACTCAGGCTCTGTTCTTTGTCTCATCATCATCCCCCTCATCAGCGTGTTCTTTTGTCTCCACCTCTGAAACATATGCCATAATCATCCTCTTCTCTCCATCTTCACTACAGCCTCTTCTGGACTCCTAACTGCTTTTCCTGCATCCATTCATACCACATTCAGCTCCCAGAATGATCTTGAAAAATGTCAGATCATGTCGCTCATGCTTGCATGCCCTTCTGTGGCTTCTAGGTCCTTGACCACCTTGAGGAGCATTGCCACCCAGCTCCAGTCACCCTGGCTTCATTTCTGTTCTCTAACCATGCAAACTTGCCTCCACTTCAGACCTTTGCAGTTGCTCTCCCCTCAGCCTGGAACACTGCCATTGCCTTTGCCAGTGGGTACCTCCTTGTCTTACAGGTCTGAGTTCAGATGTGCTCTTTGTGGCCCTCCATGACCATCACCTATATTTAGTACAAGTCTACCCTTCCCCCAATGCAGTCGTATCTTCCTCCTTGTCTTCCCTGTGCATACCACTATTTGAAATCACCTCGCTCATTATTTACTTATTTATTGTCTGGTTTCCCACAAATAAAATAAGCACCATGAGAGCAGGGTCCTTGGCTGTCTGATTCAGTATAATATTCTTAGAATCTAAAACAGCCTAGCACTTAGTATAGTGCTTAATAAATATGTCAAGTGAATAAACAAATGCAATTAAGGCTCCTAGCATCATGCCTGGTACATTAATAACTGCTCAATAAGCATTGGCAATTGTCACTTGAACATGAAAACGTGTTTTACATGTCCGTCATTAGGCTGGCTAGATTCCTAAGGAGCAGCAAGGTCCACATCTTAGATATCTTTGTATTCCAAAGTCTAGTACTGTAACTGACACATGGTAGATGTTTAAGAAAGATTTGTTTCATACATGAACTTTTGGAAGCTGCACTTTTGTTAATTGGACACACTCTATGCAACTCTGTGACCACTTCTCTTACCCTGTACTACCAGTGTATTTTCTGCCTTCATCTCACTTGGCCTGTCTGTGGAAATGTCTACTGTCCCTCTGTCTCAGCCGGTGAGAAACATGGCACCTCCCTCTTTCTCCACATCCAGTCTACTGGCCGGAGTCCTTGTATACAGCTTCTTAATGGAGTCCCCATTCATTCTTCGGCCAGTTCTCTGTCTCACTTCCTGTCCCCCTGTACAGCAGTGCTTCCTCATTTCTGGCTTAGATAGCCACTTTTAGGTAGGCAGGCTGGTCTTCCCATCGCTTTCCCCTCCAGCCTACCTGCCACCGGGTTTTGCTTTCTAAATGCCAACATGATTCCATCCTTTACTGAGTTAAAACCGCAGTGGCAAACCCTTTGTTTCAGCAGTTCTGGCCCTTACCAGGCTTTCTCATGCCTTTCTCTCTGCATAAATTGAGTTTTTAAAGATTTGAAAAGTCCCAAATATTCTGTATGTGACAACTATTTAAAGACATTCCTGTGATGAAATAATTGTGTTGAGCTGCTTACCCTGATTTGTCACTTCTGATAATGAAATACTTTGGAGTGAAATTTTAGAAGTTTTGTGAATTAGTTAAATTTCTTCTGATTGATTGACATTTCTGGTAACATCTTGCAGCCAGCAAGGTTAGAAAATAAGGTCTTATGCATTCATAGATATTCTCTGAGGAGGTGTAGACATTCCTAACAGAGTGACTAGATGCTTTCAGTGCTACTGTTCAGTTTCTGCTGTTTATTGTTAAAAAAAAAATACAGCACTTTTCCAACCATAGAATTTTAATCGGATAATCCAGTTATATGAGATTGTACACATCCAAAATGCACAAAATAACTTGGATTAACACCTTATTCTTTGAGAGCATAGTACATAGTTTTGTAAATTACCTATAACAGAGGGTATCTCCAATTAACAGAGATTTGGTACTCAGAAGTTATATAGAGACTGTGTGTGCACATGTGTCTGATGTGATGCTTGCTTACTAAAGATAGTCATGGCGTAGAGTGTCAGAAACCATATGAGATATAAAGGCCCAAAGACAATAGTGATGAAACGTTTAAAAAGCAACTGGGCTAACCAAAGGCAGTGCACTGGTGAGAAACTTTATACTTGAAAAAATATTGACTGTAGATGTATAGTAGCCTTTCACATAGCCTTTTTGTAAGGGTTATCTTGAATTCTGGACTATTCACCTTTATTTAAGGTAAAGCAGTAGCACTGTGGTGTTCTGTAAGGCTTATCTCACTAATTTGATTTGATGTGTGACTTTAGAGAAGTTTTATAGCCCTGATGTTACTATAAGCAGGTGAAATGATACCTGATATTTCATGAACTGGCAAATTCAACATAGCAACATAAGCCAGAAGAGAAGATGGCACAGATATGCAAATTATTGTGTTAATTCACAGCACATGAGTATTCCATGTTTTAAAATTTTTCAGTTTGAGATACAGAAAAATGACAAAAATCATTCAGTATTTTCCTGTTTCCACAGTTGTTAACGTCTTACATAAACATAGTATAATGATCAAAACTAAGAAATTGACATGAGTACCTATGGTAGGCAGAATTATAAGTTGACCCCCAAGATTCCAGCCCTCTACTGTGTGTGCCCTGTGTAATCCCCTTGAGTGTGGGCAGGACTTGTGAATATGATGGACTAGCACACTGTGATTGTGGTACATTATATGGTAGAAGGGATTTTGCTGTGTAACTAAGGTTTCTCATCAGTAGACTCTGAGTATTCAAAAGGGAGTTTATCCCAGGTGGGCCTGACCTAATCAGATGAGCCCTTATGAGAGACAAGAAGCAGCAGCCAACCCTCTTTTGCTGTCCTAGCAACAGGGAAGAGCCCTGTTGTGAACTGCCTAAGGAAGGAGCCAGGTGTCCTCTAGGAGCTGAGACCAATAGCCAACAAGAAAACAGGGCCCTCTGATATGGTTTGGCTGTGTCCCCACCCAAATCTCAACTTGAATCGTATCTCCTAGAATTCCCATGTGTTGTGGGAGGGACCCAGGGGGAGATCATTGAACCATGGGGGCTGGTCTTGCCTGTGCTATTCTCGTGATAGTGAATAAGTCTCATGAGATCTGATGGGTTTATCAGGGGTTTCTACTTTTGCTTCTTCCCTATTTTCTTTTGTCGCCACCATGTAAGAAGTGCCTTTCACCTCCCGCCATGATTCTGAGGCCTCCCCAGCCATGTGGAACTGTAAGTCCAATTAAACCTCTTTTTCTTCCCAGACTCGGGTGTGTCTTTATCAGCAGCATGAAAATAGACTAATACACCCTCAATACTGCAGCTGCAAGGAACTGAGTTCTGCCAGCAGCCAGGATGAACTTGAAAGTGAACCTCAATCTCCAAATGAGAACCTTGATGTGCCGACACCTTAATTTTAGTTTTGTGAGATTCAACTCTACCATGCCCAAATTTCTGACCTACAGAAACAAGATAATAAACATGTGTTGTAAGTTTGTGTAAATTGTTACCTAGTAGTAGAAAACCAATACACAATACCGTATAACTACTATTAACTAAAGTATGAGCTTTGTTCAGAACCAGCTTTTCCACTGTCTTGTCTTCTGTTCCAGGATCCACCCATTCCTAATAGGTCTCTTATTTTTAATAAATCAAGGTGAAATTACACCTGATATTTCTTTTTTTTCTTTTCTCTCTTTCTTTCTTTCTTTTTTTTTTTTTTTTTGATATGGAGTTTCATTCTTGTTGCCCAGGCTGGAGTGCAGTGGCATGATCTCAGCTCACCACAGCCTCTGCCTCTGGGGTTCAAGTGATTCTCCTACCTCAGCTTCCCAAATAGCTGGGATTACAGGCACCTGCCACTATGCCTGACTATTTTTTTTTTTTTTCATTTTGGTGCTTTTGTCAAGACAGGATTTCACCATGTCGGCCAGGCTGGTCTCGAACTCTTGACCTCAGGTGATCTGTCTGCCTCAGCCTCTCAAGTGCTGGGATTACAGGTTTGAGTCACCGTGCCCAGTCTATACTTCATATTTCGTGATAAGCAATCAACTAGTACAAATTCAGTATCTGTAAGAGATTTCATCTCACTGATTTGCCAGGGACGGGGGTCACCAGGCAGTGTAATCTGAACATTTGAGTTCAAGTTTGGTCACATTAATAGTGTGTGGTGTGATTCCCTCTGGGACTTTTGTCTGTTTGTTCTCATCTCTTTTGTCTGTTTGTTCTCATCTCTGTCGAAGGGGCCTCTCCAGGTGACTTGTCACGTGCATGCGAAGCTGTAACAGAATACTGAGAATCTAAGAAATAGACCTCAGACTCTGTTGTCTTTTTTCTTCTTCTAATGACACAGAATCCAGCTGTCTGAGAAGGATGCAATTATGTGAGGAAATGCCTCCTGCTGGCACTAATTCCTGAGCTTTGAATTGTTGGTTTGGGTCCTGGCAAGGTATTTTTGAAAACTCAAACTGCCATATAATCAGGATAGTTGACTCTATCCTCAGTGCATTCATTTTACAAGTGACAAAGTGGAGACTGTTAATGGTGCACAGGTTTTCCACGATCAGAATCTAGGCTTTCTTGCTTCTAGTATGTTCTTACTACAAGCAGGTTAGTCTTTTCAAACATGGTTTGCCGTATTGCTCATGTTAGAGATCGATGGTCAGGTTTGGGTGCTATGTTGATGTAATTTATCCAAGGGTCATGAATATTTATATTGTGCCCTGCCAATACTTCATGCCCTGCTTTGAGGTTCTGGGAGGCTTTCTAACTTGGGACTCAGAATCTACTTCATGAGAAGCTTCAAAAGCATCTAGTACTGCACCCTAACTCAGATTAAAGGCCACTGAGTCCATTGATCCACTCATGGAGCCCGGGGGTAATGGGTGGGGGCAGTACTGGTTCAGCTGGGAGTCCCGAGTTCCTGCTTCATAAGACCCCACTACTCCATGGCTGGTTACGGTGGCCTGTCAGCATCCTGTGTTCAGAGGAAGCAGATTAGCAACTTCTCCCCATCCCTTGTATGTCTGAGAGGTGAGCTGCAGGTAGGCAGAAGTGAGCAGGATGGAGGAGGGTGGTATGAGAAGCTCCTTTCTTCTGTAATACCAGATTCAGGGCTAGGTGCTGGGCTAGCAAAAACAGTTTCTGACCTCAAGAAGTATACATTTTAGTGGAGGTTACTCACAGAAATAAATAAATATACTACAGTGATTCTTTCTGAGGAGTGAAACATTTCACAGGAGAGCTATTTAGGCTGAGTTTCAGAGGTTGAATAGGCCTTTGCTAAACAGATGGGGCTGGGGAGTGGCGGTGGGGGTGGAGGGTGGCCATACCAAGCAGAAGCAGCTGCACGTGCAAAGGCACTGAGGCATGAAACCGCACTGGGGGTATATGTGAGACAGTTTGGAAAATTGCTCAGTATTTCTAAGGAATTTTTAAACAGAAGTGACATCAGACTTGCATTTCTGAAATAAAGCAATATTTCTATTATAAAAATACCAGAAAGCACAGAAAACAACAAAGAAGAAATACTTGACCCGGGTTTGGGTTTGCCCTTCTGTTGACTCCCTTAGGGACCCTGCAGGACCTAGCTTACCATTTTGGAACGTGGAGCAAGGAGAATGGTGCTTTGTCCTTGCAACGAAAGGGATACAAGTGGGACAGCCCCACTCTGCCCCTGTTTCCAAGGACTCTTGGGCTGCGTCTGATCCAAGTCTCTAGCTCTGTCCATTCCTAGAAGCTGCTAGAGGTGCATCTGGGACTGGAGGGGCTTTAAATATGTGGTTTTTACAATTACATGTTATCTGGCTTTGGGGTTCTCGAAAGGTCAGTGCCCTGGGGCAAAGCCTTGGCTGCCTGCCCCAGCTCTAGCACCTGTTATACCTCTCACCACACAGGATAGACTTTGCGTAGCTACTCAATCTGGTATGTAAAGCCTCTGTAGGGTGGCAAAACAGGGACTGTCCAGTCTACAATCTCCAGACTCTAGCAGGGCACCTGGCACATAGTGTATAGATGCTTAGCAATCATTTATTGAATGAGTTGAAGAGTTTCAATACACAGAGTTCATCACCATAGCTTAATATATTCCCTCATCTTTTGCATATGTATAGATTTACTTTCATTTTATTTATTAGTATTGTTGGACAGTTTCCAGTATTTGACTTACTTTGTTTTTGAGAAATGTCTGAATTATTTGGCATGTTTCTTGGATTTTTTTAGGACAAAACCCTGATAGTCTAGAATTGTGCTGTTAAATATGTAGCTGGTAGCTACTAGATTGGACAGGACAGATCTAGAACATGTCCATCATAGAAGCTTCTGTTGAACAAGGCTGATCTGGAGAGTGGATTGGTGAAGAGGGAAACCAGAGGCAGGGAGACCAGTGTAGGTGGGTTTTGCATTATGCCAAGCAAGCGATGGCAGCTGGAACTAAGGCATTGACCCTGTTTCTGGAGAGGAGGGATTGAATCAGAGAACTATTGAAGAGATGGAATCAACTTGATTTGAGCTGAGGTGAGGAGGGAAGAGGAAACATTGATGTCAGGGTTTGTCAGGGTTCAACCAGAGAAACAGAACAAGTAGCTACAAAGTGAATATGTGGGTATCTAGATATGTATGAATTAAAGGGATGCATTGCAAGGAATTGGCTTATGCAATTGAGAACTGGCTAGGCAATTTGGAATCCCATAGGCTGAATCTTGTTGCCCACAGGTAGGAAGCAATTCTTTTTCCTCCCTTTCTCCTGCAACATTCTTTCTCTTTCTTTTTCTTCCCCCCTCCCCCTTCCTTCCTGTCTTCTTTCCCTTTTCTCTTTTTATCTCTCTCTCCTCTCTGCCTTCCACTGATTATCAGCTTATTTAGCATAATCTCCTATAAAGTCACCTGATTAGGGACTTTAATTACATCTGCAAAATCCCTTCACAGCAGCACCTAGATTCATGTTGGATTGCATATTTGAGTGAGTGTATGTGGGTGCTACAGACGGCCACATCTCCCTTCCATCTACCAACTTTCAGGAGAAGGTCTTCCTTGTAGCCCACCCTAATCAGAAACATACTAGAAAGGGAATTATGGGGATATTGTTTAGCCTGGCCAAAATGACACCACAAAGCCATCACAGATGACTCCCAGTTTTCTTAACTAGGGCAACTTTGTGCCTTCTTATGTTAGATCACTGAGATTGGAGTTACAAGGGGACACCATTCGAGGGTGGAGGGGAGTAACTGATGAGTTCTGTGGCTTGCTGAAGTTCTGAAGTGCCTGTGGACCATCATGTATCCTGCTCACGAACGTGGGTCCAAGAGCTCATTAGGAGTCTGGGCTGCAGACACAGAGGATGGTTCCCCAACATATGCATGGTAGTTAGAACCAGGTGACTCCACTCGGTGGATCATCTGGGGTAGCAGGGCGAGCACCTGGAGAAGGGAATGTTCACACATAAGGGGTTGAGGAAGGAAGAGAGAAAAACAGGCTTAGCTACTTAGAAATGTTTTGAGGTGGAGCTGAGCACGGGACAAGTGAAAGAATTGTGGTGGCATAAGTCTGCAGAATGACACAATTTTCTCTTCCCAGCCTGGGGAGGAGCAGATGAGGCCAGCTTTACAGCTGATTCCCAGTCAGAGGAAGACACAAGGAGAATGGAATCGGGAGTGCTGATGGAGGGTAATCACGACGTGCACTGGGGGAAATCAGATTGTCTCCCCTCAAGTGTATAAGTGTGCATGCCTTTATGGTGCAGCTTCCAGGCTGGGGGTTGCAAACTCAAGTGCCTGCTGGGTTCTGGCAGGCAGGGGAAGCCCCCCGATCTAGTCTTGGGGCTCAGCAAGGGTTCACAAAGAAATAATGGAAGTTACAATCTCTGAGATGTGTAGTAATTGGCCAAATGAAGAGGGCACCTAATACCCTGCCCCAACAATCATCCTGGCCAAACTTGATCTTTGCAAATTAATTCATTGACTTTGTTAGAGCAGTATTTCACAATGCAGGCTGCTCTCAATTGGGAAGATGTCTGTTTTCTACTAAATTACATCTAAATTATATCAGAGAGGTATTTATGTGTGTGTGTATATGCATATGTATACATGTATAATTGTTCTATTTTAACAACTTTTTTCTCTCTCTCTCCTTTCAATGAGCATGCTTAAGTCAGAGTAAAATTCATTTTCCAAAGGTCAGCTTTTAAAGTTTGTAGGTTTTGAAAAATAAAGATCTTCAATAATATAATTTGGCAGACCTGTAGACATTTGCCTGTGGCATAAATGACTTTAGAATAGAGTGTCTAATCCAGGCTGTCTACCCTAGTTGCCCAGCACAATCACCTGAGGCATATTTCAGAAATGCTAAAGCTGACCCAACTTCCCAGAGATTCCAATTTAATTAGTGTGCAGAGGCGCCTGGCCAGCAATACCAGTTTTAAGCACTACAGAACATTCTTTTTTTATTTTTTTAATTTTTTATTATTATTATTATACTTTAAGTTCTAGGGTACATGTGCACAACCTGCAAGTTTGTTACATAGTTATACATGTGCCATGTCGGTTTGCTGCACCCATCAACTCGTCATTTACACTAGGTATTTCTCCTAACGCTATCCCTCCCCCAACCTCCCGTACCCCAACAGGCCCCAGTGTGGGATGTTCCCCTCCCTGTGTCCATGTGTTCTCATTGTTCAACTCCCACTTATGACTGAGAACATGTGGTGTTTGGTTTTCTGTCCTTATGATATTTTGCTGAGAATGATGGTTTCCAGCTTCATCCGTGTCCCTAAAAAGGGCATGAACTCATCCTTTTTTATGGCTGCATAGTATTCCATGGTATATATGTGCCATATTTTCTTTATCCAGTCTATCTTTGGTGGACATTTGGGTTGGTTCCAAGTCTTTGCTATTGTGAATAGTGCTGCAATAAACATACATGAAGCACTACAGAATATTCTAATGTGCAACCAGAATTGAACCCCTGGTTTATTCATATCGTTTACATCTATTTTGAGGAGGAGAGAAGATCCACCACAGCCTCCAGAGGAGGATAGAGAAGGAAAATAGCGAAAGAAACACTTCCTGCTAAACGGTGACTCATTGGGACCTCCTGCTCTCGCCCCCACCTAGAGGGTAAGACGTTAGTACAAATTGACTAGACCAAGCCTATATGGTGAAAATGGATTCTGTTCAAAATCAGCTTCCAACAGAGCAGAATCCACTTGCCATCGCAGGTGCTCTGAACGAGGGAAAATATTTTTATCTCACAGATACCTTCAATCAGTAGTTTTCTTTTTTTTTCTTTTTTTGAGACGGAGTCTTGCCCTGTCACCCAGGCTGGAGTGCAGTGGCGCGATCTCTGCTCACAGCAACCTCCGCCTTACGGATTCAAGCCATTCTCCTGCCTTAGCCTCCCGAGTAATTGGGACTACAGGTGCGTGTCACCACATCTGGCCAATTTTTGTATTTTTAGTAGAGATGGGGTTTCGCCATGTTGGCCAGGCTGGTCTCGAACTCCTGACCTCAAGTGATCCACCTGCCTCGGCCTCCCAGAGTGCTGGGATTACAGGCATGAGCCACCATGCCTGGCCTCTTTTTTTTTTTTTTTTTTTTTTTTTTTTTAAGCGTAATCATTGTTTCAAACAAAATCTTAGAACTCCAACCCCTACCCTCCAGCCACCATCCTCCCATGGGACCCTTTTTAGGACTGGTAGGATTCCTTAAAACACACTTTAAAAACCAGACCATCAAGTGTTAAAGCTACTTCTGTCTTGAGTAAAAACTAAAATTAGCAAAAAATAGTATCAAATTGAAACCAGCTGTTCTATAAGAGGAATCAAACCATGGTGTATTATTTCCTCCTGAGATTTTCTTCTCAGATAGTGCCCTGGGTAGATTCTTTCCATCTCCATCGTGTGCCACACCCTGATGGGGGTCAAAGCGGGGATGAAGAACATGTTTCCTTTTCAGTATAGGTAACATTTTAAAAATAGAAACAGGCATTGAGAACAAAGTAGAATTTAGTATTAGACATTAAAATAGAGGGCTTCAGGCTGGGCGCGGTGGCTCACGCCTGTAATCCCAGCACTTTGGGAGGCCGAGGTGGGTGGATCACGAGGTCAGGAGATCCAGACCATCCTGGCTAACATGGTGAAACCCCCATCTCTACTAAAAATACAAAAAATTAGCCGGGCGTGGTGGCGGGCGCCTGTAGTCTCAGCAACTCAGGAGGCTGAGACAGGAGAATGGTGTGAACCCTGGAGGCGGAGCTTGCAGTGAGCCGAGATTGTGCTACTGCACTCCAGCCTGGACGATAGAGCGAGACCCCGCCTCAAAAAAGAAAAAATAAAGAGGGCTTCTGCCTTACCTCTTTCTTCTTTATTTAAAATGTCTGGGCAAGCTTTCCTGCAAATACAAAATAATAGTCATTGACTGGGAGTTGAATGTCTAATAGTGCAAACCTCTGAATCATTCCTGTGTGTTCTCCTGGTTTCACTCAGCAAATGTGGATGTGAATCATTCATTCACCCAGTGTGGCTGTGCCAGGTGGAACAGAATGCTTTAAGATTGCAAGCAGTCCGGGGTCTGAGAGGGGATATCTGCCGGGCCACTTAACAGCCATATGACTTTTTTGGTTTGCTTCATCTCAAAAATGAGGAAAATCATATATATTTCATGGAGAGTTCAGAGAATAGAGAGAGAGAGTACATCGAGTGTTCAGCAGAGTTGGTAAGCTCAACTGATGTTAATTACTATTACCGTATCGCGTGGTACCTTGGAACAAAATGCTTTTGAAGGAGCTCGGGCAGTGATGCTAGAAGCAGATGTTGAGCGCTCAGCCGAGAGCACTGACTGCTCTGTAGGTGAGGGGCCCCCAATCTCTGCAGAAAGTGCTTAGTGCCTCACTGCAGGAGCATGCCTTCATACTATCTCATGGTCTGTGTTCAATATCAGGAAGCCTTTGCAGATGGCCCTGGTGCATCTGCGGACACAACAGCCATGAAAACAGCCCATAATAGCAGGCTGCTCACACAGTATAAGTCCTGGGAGGAGGATACTGCCAAGATTTTTAAAGATCTGGCCAAGAATACGCCTCCAGAGTGGCTATCTCAGACTGAGCATAGACTGTATTTCTAATTAGAGCAAAATATGCGTACCCTAGGTCAGTGAACACAATAACTTTTTTTTCTGAGATTAGAGACTGCAAGAAATAAATTGGGCAACAGTGTGTTTGTAGGGGCAGAAAGAACTGAAACTTGTACGTAAGATGGGCGCAAGTGCCGACTGGAGCCTGTTCCAATTCTTGCTGAAGGAAAGCCATAATGTGGGTGTGTGCTTAAAAAATAGTATGTGGCAGCTACATCATTGGATTCAACACCTTCGGCAACTGGGTACAATGGAGAAAACTGATCACTGAACTTACATAACGGGATGTTGGGTTTGTAAGGGACTACTAAGGTGGCTAAATTCAGCCAGTCTTTTCCACATTATTTCTGTGAAGTGGCACTCAGCCCCCATTGGAAGCCTCAAATGATGGTGAACTCAGACTTTTGGGCAACACTGTTTCACCTTGTTCAGCTGGTTTCCGCTCTTGGGGCCAGTTCTACGTCCTGGGGACCTATACTGTACATACCCTCTCCCATCTGACTGCATATAATTTCAAAACAGCTCTCCTGCCCACTTGTGTTTTCTTTTCCTAAGTTGAACATCCTCGTGTGTCATGGTTTTAAGTCTTTTTACCATCTTGATTACTTGCCTTCATAGGTTAGTTTTTCTCTACTCCTTTTATGGGTAGCATTAAGCACTGAATGCATCATTAACAAATGGCCTGATTTGCCTTGAATAGAGCAAAATTATGGATCTCCACCTTCATCTTCCTAAATCAGGCTTCCATCAATGAAGCCTAAGGTTTGCTAGAGCTCTGGGTGACAGCATACTAAGCATACTTGTCTGCTGACATCTGTAGAGATGGTTTTGTTTTGTCTTTCTGATAGTTTAACTAGCATCTCCTAAATTTCTGCTCTCCGTGTATTTGTACACTTTGTTTTTAGATCTCAAATCCATGCCTTTTATTGATCCTTATTTTAATTTTTCAGCATGTACAGATTATCAGATCCTGATTTGGTTGGACAGGAAGTTCACTACCACCCTGGGCTTCATCCTAACCAGAGATGTGAGAATCTTGCCTTCTGTGTTACCATTCAAGTTGCAGCTTGTGCCTGCCAGGCAAGAGCTGAGTGAAGGGGTCTTTGGCAAGGCTTGAGCCAGCCCCCATCTTCATTAGCATGCTGTGGACATGCTCATTATTAGAACAGTTCTCCAAGTTGTTCAATCCCAATATACCATCTAGTCAACAGGAATATCATGAGAACCTTCACAGAGGCCTTAGTGATGCCCAGTTCTCCCTAATTCCTTCCTTAAATTTCACCAACAGTGGATCAGTAATAAAATTTCCAAGTTGTTGAAAAGAAGCATAAAACCATGCCAGGTGACATGAACCCATTTTGAACCAGCCCAGTGCTCTTTTATAATCTTTTGATTAATCTTGGACTTTCGTTCTGCCTTACCAATGTTCATTTCTTCCTTTCTATCTAAAGAAAATTTTCTTTAAAGAAGCTGAATGGAAGTTTCCTTAACCCCAAGCACCAGAAATACTCCATCCTTGATTTGCTATATAGAAAAATATTCATGGTATTTTAACGAGCCCATTCCTAAAGCCTAATTTTGTTGTCTGAATGATTTCTGTAATCCTCAGTTCATTCTTGTCTTTGGGTTTCTGAGTGAATGTACCTTTCCTCGCCATCCTCTTTCTTACATTCACCCTGTAAGGGTGAATCGAAGTATTTCCTTCAATTTGCCTTCCTAAGGTTTAGTGTGACCTTTTAAGATCAGAGCAAGCTCACTGGTTTCCATAGCAACACTCACTTTTCTTCTGATTAGGATTTTTGGGGGGAATTGCCTAGTAAGAACTTCTAAGCTTCGTGAACACTCTTGTTTTAGAATTTCATGTCCCAGAACCATGTCCCTGTTGCCTGAGAACTTCCAACCTAAGCTTTACCACTCACTGGTTGTGTGACCCAAGATGGTTTCCTCTAAGCAAGGAACAATAAGACTTCTCCCAGGCTTGAATCCATGTATAAATATAAAAGAGGGTCCTACTAATGCTTACGTACTGAATGGCCATCTGCTGCCCTGGAGGCAGTGCCTGTTGGAACTCAGCTTTGGCCAAGAGAACCCTTGCCCTTTGGCAGAAGACAGGCATCAGAATAGTTGCAATTTGGTGGTGAGTTTTGCGACTCTCTCCTATGTGTCCCTTCCACTCCTTGGTTCTCATGTTATAGAAACCCAAGGGTGAGTGTTCAGTGTTACACAATTTGGTATTGAGACTGAAAATGGCGAGACAGTTTGTTTTTCATTCTTACATTAACATAAAGCACGGAAGCTATATAAACGTGTCTGGGCTGTTCTTAAGACAATGCCATCTGAATTTCCTTTGAAAGAAAAAGACATTTGAAATCATGCCTATATGGATGAGAATGTTTATCACTTTGGGTCTTGGACTTTCCTAAGCAGGGAAAAATCTCTGACCTTAGGAAATGGTTCTCAGCAGTCTTGATTCAGCTGTGTCCTAGTTTCTTAGATCCCAATTCTTGGTAATAGCTTAGGAAGGTTGTTGCAGTGGTCTTTGGGGAGTGCCTTCTCTATTTGGCTCAAAGTAATATGGAGACAGCTAACCATTAAAAAAAAAAATGGTAGCTGGCTGCCACAACAAGCTGGAGAAACTTACTGTCTCTTGACTTTAGATGTATGCCCTGTTTTTAAATTTTCTTTGAGGGTAAGATGTTAAAGGTGTATCCTGGGCCTCTTGGATCATGATGCAGTCCCTGGATCCTTTGGATTTAACAACCAAGCTTTGTTCTCCTTTGAAAGTCACTCTTATCCATTTATATTTCCACTCTTCTGTGCCAGCCTTGCCTGGGACACTGTCATGGTCTAAGTGTCATTCACCTGTCACTCTTATCTCCCTGCAATTTATATTCTGGACTAGACAGTGGCTGAAATGCACTTTTAAGAATGTAAGTCAGATTATAACATTCCCTTGTGAAAAGTCTTCAGTGGCTTCTTGCATTTCGGGATAAAAACATTCTTTACAGTCTAGGGTGGGGCTCATGATCTGCCTGTGGAATATCTCATTAGCTGCATCTCCTAGCACACTGTCCCTCTGCCAAGTGATTTTTTTTGCCTCAGGGCCTTTGCATATATTTCCCCCTGCAAGGACCCTCCTCTCCTTCCTCACTTGGTTGACTGCATGCCTAAGCTTAAATGTAACCTCCTCAGAGAAGTTCTATCTAACGTTCTCATCTAAGTTAGGGCTCCTTGTTACATTCTTTAGTAGTCGTTATTTTCCCTTAGGCAATTATCGTAATTTGTAATTATCTCCTTAAACTTTGTCCTCACAAACTGGCAAATTTATAGGGCTAAAGACCGTTTTTATTTATTCCCGTCCCCACAAACTTTTACACAGCCTGATGCATCATATATAATTAAATATTTGCTGAATGAATATATAGGTGAATGGGTTAGTGCGAGTCCTCTCACCAAATGTGGTAAAATGGAACCTGCTCTGGGATTGCAGTAATGACATGGATCTGGGCTCTGATCTGCCATTCAGCAACTTTGTAACTTTCACCTCCCTGTGTTTCAGTTGTCTTTTGCTTCAGTGGGGGATAATTACCTTGACTTGCCTTGGGAGATGTTGTAAAGATTAAATGAGTCATTTTGTAGGTGAACATTCTCGGGACTGCAAGGTAGAGTGCCTTCTTGTCCTTAACGTCATTGCTTTGCCCTGTGATATCCCAGATCATGACTAGCAGAAGGTAACAGGAACTGAAGGATCTGGAACTAGGCTAGCACAGAAGCTTGGAGACAGAGCAGGTGCCAGCACAAAAGGTGCGCATGTGTGTAGTTGAGGATGTACAGAGCTGTGGGGTTATCCTAGGCAGTAGCCTGTGCTAAGGTCCCATTTGGATGTAAGACAGGTACTAATGCTTAGTCTTACCAATTATTTTACCATTTCCATGTGGAGGCTATGTGACAGAGTAGGAAGACACCCAACTCAGATGAGTTATATCAAAATAGAGTCCTAACCCTGCCACTAACCAGGTCTGTGGCCTTAGAAACACATTTAACCTCTGTTTTTTTGCTTCCTTATTATAAAATAGAAATTAAAAAAGTAGTATTTTTCTTGCCAGTCTTAAAGGGTTGTTATGGGGAAGTATTGAATGAAATTTATAGTGAAATGTATAAACATGCTTTGAAAATGTGTAAGGTATTATATGCAGAAAGTAGTATTTAGATTCAAAATTGTGGAAGAATGCATTTAACTGTCTAATGTGCCTTCTTTGCACATACTTTATATATAAATTTCCTGGAAATACATTTTAGTTGAATAATTTCATTTGCAGTTAGAGTACTTATGAATGTAGTAAATATTATATGTTGATTTGTAAAAGAATTTCCACACATCCTGATTGGTCTAAGGGTAGTATATTTTGATCAACATTTGCCAGCAAAAGAGCCACTCTTACCATGTTTGCATGGTGACTGCTAAAACATATGCAAATATAATTATTCTTTCAACACAGAAATCATGCATTTAGAATATAAAATCCATTATAGAGAGATTGAGCTAGAAAATGTGCCTCTAGCTAACACCATCTGAGTAGACTACCACCTACTGACATCAATCGATTTTAAGCCATACCAGAAGTTAGTATCTTAGTGAAAAAAATGCCATCATATTCCATCTATGCCATTTGTAAAATTCATTGTGATTTTAGGAGAATTGAAATGCTAGAAGTAGATCTTAGAATCAAGAACACATCCTGTCTTGTTCTTTTGGTTAGTGTTATATCTTGGTTGCTAGAGCATCACAGGCTGTAATGTAGCATCTAGAACCATGGGCACTTCTTACTTTCCTCAGAACACCACTGTTGTACTCTCACGATGCTGTCAACCCTGCAGTACTTCTGTCTCTTGATAGGAATTAAAATGCTTTCCTTAGATATGTGAGATTTCAGGCTAGAACAGAAAATGATTGAAGTTGTCTTCTTCTAATTAACATGTTTATACCTCATCTCAGAAATTCTGATGAGATTACAAAAGCCACACATTAAACTTTAGGTTTATGGAGAAACATTTGGCTAGAAACTGAATGCTGTATTTATTTTCATAGATCCAGGTTTCAAAAGCTTAGTGAGAGCTTAGAGCAGGACTTTGTAAATCCTGAAAGTTAATATTCTGTGACCCACTGTAAGAGTTACAGATGCCACAGACCTGCCCTGTGCCATCCATGTGTTCTTTTTTGTTTTTGTTTTTAATTGAGATATGATTTATATGCCGTACAGTTCACCCATTTAAGATATACAATTTTGGCCAGGCATGGTGGCTCACACCTGTAATCTCAGCACTTTGGGAGGCCAAGGAGGGCGGATTGCTTGAGCTTATGAGTTCGACACCAGCCTGGGCAACATGGCAAAACCCTGTCTCTACCAAAAATACAAAAAACTAGCCAGATGTGGTGACACATGCCTGTAGTCCCAGCTACTTGGGAGGCTGAGATGGGAGGATGGCTTGAATCCAGGAGGTGGAGGTTGCAGTGAGCCAAGATGGCACCAGTACCCTCCAGCATGGACAACAGAGTGAGACCCTATCTCAAAAAAAAAAAAAAAAAAAAAGTACCACAGTTCGGTGGTTTTCAATATATTCACAAGGTTGTCTAACCACTACCACTAATTCTAGAACTTTTTATCACCCCAAAAAGAAACACTGTATTTATTAGCAGTAACTACTCCCCATTCTCTGCCTCCCCTATGCACTAACCACTAATCTACTTGCTGTCTCTATGGATTTGCCTATTCTGAACATTTCATATAAATAGACTCATATAACATCGTTTTTTTTGTCTAGCTTCTTTCACTTAGCATAGTATTTTCAAGATTCATCCATGTTGTAGCATGGATCTGTACTTCCTTTTTATGGCTGAATAATATTCCATTGTATGGATATATCACATTTTATTTATCCATTCACCAGTTGATAGATATTTGGGCTGCTGTCACTCTTTGGCTGTTATGAACATTAATGTACAAGTTTTTGTGTGAACATGTTTTCAGTTCTCTTGGGTACATACCTAGGAGTGGAATTGCTAGATCTTATGATGTATATTTAACTTTTTCAGGAATTGCCAAACTGTTTTCCAAAGTGGCTGCACCATTTTACCTTCCCACCACCAGTGATAAGGGTTCTAATTTCTCCACATCCACAGCAACACTTGTTATTGTATCTTTTTTTATAATACCCAGCCCAGTGGGTGTGAAGTGGTATTTCATTGTGGTTTTGATATGCATTTCCCTAATGACTAAAGATGTTGAGCATTTTTCCCTGTGCTTATTGGCCATTTGTATGTTTCTTTGCAAAAACGTCTATTCACATCCTTTGTCCGTATGTTCTATAAGAGTCTAATATTAGCATTAAGTCCCTGGGTGTTCCAGTCTAAGAACAAACCTGTCATCCTCCCATATTCCCTCCTAATCCATTAAGAGAACCATTCTGTCCTGTCGACAAAGCCAGAAACCAGAGAATCTTCTTTTCTCCCCTATTCAGCATGTCTAATCTGTGATTGTGTCCCCTAAATTCTTTCTCTTTAGTATCTTTCAAATCCATTCTTTTCTCCATTTCCACCCATTTCCGCTGTCACCATGTTGCTTCAGGCTGTCCTCTCATTTCTCTTGAAAAACTGAAATGACCTCTTCATTGATCTCCCTACCTACAGTCAGCCTCTCATCTCTCTTCTGCTTTGTCTGGAGCAAAATCTGATTGCTAAAAACCCCTCTATGGTTACCCAAATTCTGTAGTCTAATGGCCAGCCTCCTAAAATGAGCTGCAAGGCCCTGGCTCCATCCCTTTTCACTAGTGCACAATTTCGTCAAATTCGAGTCCAAGATTAGATTCTTCTCTGGATGCCCTCCCTGACTCAAGGCATCTCCAATCTCAGCTTTGCTTCCTCTCCGTTTCTCCCACAATACCTCCCCATATTTTTGTCATAGAGTTTATTTCACTGCACTATGTAATTACTGTGGATGTCCTACCCTCCCTTCTGCTTTTGATAGTTCCTGGGATTAGAGTAGCACTTCAAGTGTTTGTTCAACAAGTATCTGTTGAACATCTGCAATATGCCAGGCCCTGTGTTGGGTACTGGGAGCATCTAAACATGGTCCTGCTCCTCGATGAAGGATTGGGAAGGCCTCTCTCTGAGGCACTGTAAGGCAACCTGTAAAAAGTGAACAGAAGTCAGCTGAGAAAAGAGTTGGGGGTAAGAGTGACTCACACACATGGTACAGCATGTTTGAAGGCCTTGAAGTTAAAAATATTATGATGTGTTTGAAGAAAAAGACCAGAGAGTAGACTCAGAGGAAGCATTCTTGAGGCTGTGATGGAGGCAGGGGTTAGCTCATACACGGTTTCAGGCCAGGTTACGGAACTTTGAATTTTATCCCAAGTGCATTGAGAAGTCCTTGCAAGGACTTTGAGCGGGAGATGGGATGTTGTCATGCTCCTGTTTTAAGTTAGAATATCCACAGAGAGATCTTTTATGTGGTAGTGGTTTTGAAGGACAGCAAGGCTTGGAGGCAGGGAACCAGCTAAGAATGTAGCATAGAGGCAGTGTGTCTAGTGGCTAAGTTGTAGTTTCTGAAGTCACATTGCCTGCATCCAAATCCTCCCTCTGTTACTCTAGGACCTTGGGCAAGTGCTTCAGTTTGCACATCTATAAAATGGTACCATTAATATTACATGCCCCTTTGAATTCTGAGGATTAAGTGAATTTATATGTGTAAAGAATTTAGAATAAATCTTAAAATGAATGAAGTGTCAAATATAAAAACATTTGAAAGTAAAAGATTTTAAATGACTTTAATAAGAGTACTAAAACATTATTTGTAATACATAAATAAATGATAAAATGAAAATACTGTGAAAACAAATCCATAAGAGAAACTCCAGGAAGATGGTTGTTTTCATTGCAATGTACCTTTATACCCTTGTTCTTAATATCTAAAGCCACATATAGGGTATTGATGAATCAGTGTATGACATCATATACAGCAAGGTGTACCTCCAGAGGCACAAGTCATGTTGTTATCTGTGTGACTGTGTGTACTTCGCAGCACATAGTGGGTACAGCACACAGTGGGTACAGTGAGTGGTTCAGACCAGGTCTGGGAGTCATTTACACCTGGTTTTTATCCAGGTTCTTCTAGTTTTGGCTGTGTAACTCTGGACAAGTTTTACAGGCTTAGGGAACCTCAGCTTCTTAAGTGAGAAATTGGGTATCCTGAGGAACTCATTGGAGATTGAGGGTGTTAGATGACAATGCGCAAACAGCCCTGTGCGTAGTGTTTGCACCATCGTGCGCACCCATTTGTGTGCCAGTGGCTGCTGCCATGTTTTTTTATCATCTCTGAAGCAGTTCTTTTCCCCATTGGCACTTCCGTATCTCAAGTTATGCATCTTCTCCTGTGCATATTTGTACAGGGTATTGTAATATTCTTGAGGTAAGTGTAAACAGCTCTTAAAAGTAAAAATTAAAATTTGAGCTCATTTCCTGCTGAGAATTAGTTGCTACAGAAACAGTGAATGTTTCAGTAGCGGTCAATAAGATGGTGTTCAGTGGATGCCGTCCTTGTTTTTAAAATCCAGCTGTGGGTTTATCTATTTGGGGGAGGGGCAAGTGTGGGATCTGCTGCTCTTTAACCCAGGTTCTTCACTGCCAGAGCAGAGACAATTCTGCCTGAGTCGCCGAGGCAGGGAAGGCTTTGTGGATGGCCCTAGCAGGAAGCGGGCTCCAGCTTGCGACCTACACGTTGTTCAGGCTCAGATGTTACATGGTCTTTACAGGGAATCTATAACAAATCCTTAATTTCCAGATGCTATTAAGGGGGATGTAGATTGAGCAGAACAGACCATGGTGTCATACACCTGGCTTCTAAGAAGTCTGATTGGCCTTGAACTGTTCTTGGTATTAAGAAAACTGCTTTCAATCCTTGGTAGCACACTGCAGGTTTAGGACAAGCCAGGGGAGGAGGGCAGTTATCATGCATTTGGCAGCCTTTTGGTAACCTACACTGCTCTCAACCTTGTCGAAGTCCCACAGTCCTATTACATCTTGTTAGACATGGTGAGACACTGAGACGATAGTGACAAAATGAAAAACATAACCAACCCTCTGGAAGCACCCCAGAACGTAATATGGGCATTTACACCAGCTGCTGTGATGCCCATGAAAAGGCAATGCATTTTGCTCCTAACACTGGTTTTTGGGCATCATAAGCAAATTCCAAAAGAACATTTGCTTTCTTTGCTGGATAAATGTACTCATAAGTCAAGACCATCCTGGCTAACACGGTGAAACCCCGTTTCTACTAAAAATACAGAAAAAAAAAAAATAGCCAGGTGTGGTGGCAGGCACCTGTAGTCCCAGCTATTTGGGAGGCTGAGGCAGGAGAATGGCGTGAATCCGGGAGGCGGAGCTTGCAGTGAGCCGAGATCGCGCCACTGCACTCCAGCCTGGGTGACAGAGTGAGACTCTGTCTCAAAAAAAAAAAAAAAAAAAAAAAAAAAAAAATAGTGCTCATAAGATGTATTTCAGGAGAGGAAGCTACTTTAAAGTCATTGTATCAGCTATGATGAGATCCTAGCGTGTTTTGTTTCCCTGCGGTTATATTTAGCACTAATATGGGTCTATGGGAGGAGGCAGGAAGGTGAATTCAGAAGGAAAGTAGGTAAGAGGGCAAAACAATCAAAGGGGAAAGTTTAAAGATACAAAGTTTGAAGGACCATTGCTCTGGTGTAAAATAGAATTTTCAGCACTTCTAATGTGCAGTAAGTGACTGATAAAGTAAATGACTGATTATCTGAAGTGAGGACCATGGAGATAAAGGCATTGAAGCTATGACTTAGCATTAGATTAGCACAGACAGATGAAAGTGTCAGCCAAATTTAATGCTCCAAATCCAGATCCTGTATTAATAATAAACTCTTCATAATCAGGAGACAGGTTACAAATTACCATGCACTGTCTTAAGTTCTGTAAGCATTCGAGGATCAACTCAGCTTTTTGGTACATTTTTCTGGGTTGTGAATGAGCCACAGGAAAGGCTGGAACTGGAGGTATTTCTTGAATAAACATTTGTGGAATGCCTGCTGTATGTGAAACCTTGAGGCAGGAGGGGGAAAGCATGGGGTGTGGGGTGGAAGGGAGCAGGGTAGAGAAATACTGATTAAGACTGGCCTTGAAGGAGCTCATCCCTAGGGATGAGCGTCATGGACTCAATTCTAAGTGACAGAATGGAGAAAGGGGAACAGTGCTGTACTAGTTATCTATTGCTGTACAGGTTATCCCAGTCTCAGTGGCCTAAAACAAGTATTTATTATGTCACACTGTTTCTGTGGGTCAGGAATCTGGGAGCGGCTTATCTGGGTATTTCTGGCTCAGCCTCTCATGAGGTTCCCATCCTGATATTAGCTGGAGTCATAGGCATCTGAAGATTTGACTGGTGCTGGAGGATCCTATCTGAAATGGCTCACTCCTGTGGTTGGCCAGTTAGTGCTAGTTTTTGGTAGGAAACCTCAGTTCTTTGCCGTGTGCCCTCATGACATAGTAGCTGACTTCCTCGTGGTGAATGATCCAAAAGAGCAAAGAGGAAGCCTTGATGTCTTTTACCACCTGTTTACACACTCTTCCTGCCACCATATTTTATAAACTAGATGCAAGTCATTAAGTCTTGCCCACACTTAGGAGGGAGGGAATTAGGCTTCACTTTTTGAAGGGATGGATGTCAAGGAATTTGTGAACAGGCTTTAAAACCACCAGAGGGGATAAGTGTAGATGTCAGGAAGTACCAAAGTCAGTGCTCCAAACCCTAGTCCTGGAGGAACTGGACAGGCTCTTTACCTCCCAGTGGGATAGCAAGACATCAAAAGGACAGGGTCGGGGAGCCCTGCTGAGATCAAGGGACACAGGAAGAAGAGAGTAAAAAAACAGCTTGACACAAGTCTCTTGGCTTTCCCTCTTCGCAGTTTCTTACTCCAATGACACCCCTCCCACATCTGACATAACTAGACTGCTTGGAAGAGAATGCTTGGAGTTCACCACAGACGTTGGCTTGTATAAATGCATGCTGAGAAAAAGCTCTTTTGCTGAGCTGGAAGTTTAGGGAATTTATAAACTGAGCTGGGACCCAATAGTCGCTGTGGCTACTTATGCATTAAGTGGTTACTACTGGTCAAGAACAATTTGGGTGTTTAACTGGGTCTTATAGGGAGTCTGAAAAATATACTTTTTAATATTCTCTTTACCTAGAAAGAGAAACCTGTTAGAAGTGAGCCCTTTAGGCCAGGCATGGTGGCTCAGGCCTGTAATCCCAGCACTGTGGGAGGCCAAGGCAGGTGGATCATTTGATCCCAGGGTTCGAGACCAGCCTGGGCAACATGGCAAAACCCCATCTCTACTAGAAATAAAAAAAATTAGCAGGACGTGGTGGCACATGCCTGTAGTCCCAGCTACTCAGGAGGCTGAGACATGAGAATAGCTTGAGCCCGGGAGACGGAGGTTAAGTGAGACCTTTAATAATCTAGAAGAGATTTTAAAAAAATGACAAAGGGCCAGAAAAAATGATCCAGAGAGAATACAGTTGGAATTCAAGTGAGGGTGAAGTTCCTAGTGGGAAGGTTTGAGAGCAGGGAGGTCAAAACTAGGAGCTGAACCCTGAAGGGCATGTGGAGACTAGAGAGACAGAGGAGGGGAGGATATTACAGACAGTGACGGTGATGGGGTGGAGGGAAGGAACCACATGAATAAATGTGTCTCTGGATGGCAGTTTGTGGGATGGTTGGAAGCCAGCTGCTTGGACAGAGAGTTATTCTGGGGAGCTGAGGAGATCTGGTGACGTCTTTCTGAAAAGCTTGGACCAGATCCTTGTCAGGCTACTAAATAAAATGAAAGGACACCTTCTTAGGAGGGGCTTCTTTGCAATCCCTCCCTAGTGACAGACATAGTCTTCACTCTTAATTGGAGAGAATGAGCAAAAGGAAAAATAATTATCCACAGGATTTGGCCAGCCAGCCAAGTGCTCTTTCCCTCTGCCGAGAGAGAATTCATTTGGCCCTAATGAGGAGTGGACATTTAAGTATTATTGGCAGTTTATCATTTCTCATTGTGATTGCTCAAATTATCATCTTAAAGCTTCACCTTTAAAAAGTAATAATCCTAAAATAGTCTATTGAGGCCTTTTGGACTTCAAAAGTATTTTCAAAGGTCATGCAGGGGAAACAGTTTACTCAAATTTGTGCCATTTCTTGTAGGCTTAGCTTAAGGGAACTTGAGTTGCATATTGAAAGCAAGTTTCTCATAAAAACATTTTACTCATATTGTACCTGTGTGTGTGAATCTGTTCCACTATTATTATGTGATAATTCTAGCTTTAAGAATGACTGCTTTGATTTAAGAAGTTCTCAGTGGGAAGATAAAGTGGTTAAGGGTTAAAGAGAGGTTTGGATTTCCAAATCTAATTTTCCTGCATGAATTTCAATATTAAAAAAGTTTTCATATATCTACGTATATTTTGTTCCTGCAACATAAAAGTAACTTGGTTGTTCTAAACTGACAGCAATGCTAAATATCCTGCAATCCTGCAAAGCTAAAATTCTATATAGCAGACAAAACCAGCAAGTGCTCATTGCACAGTTCACAAATTCTGGTGGCATGAGAATGTCAGCTAAGTGGCCAGTCACTCTAGGTTCATGTTATCTTCTTTAAATATAATGCCTATTTCTGATTTTTTTAAACCAATATTAGTTCTTACCTTACAAGTTATGTACCATGCTTCAACAGTAATGCCATACCCAACTTTATTACTGCAAACTTGCTTTGTAGAAGCGCCCACCTTCTTACTTTACCTGTAGACCAGCCTTTTGTAGCCTTGGCACTAATGACATTTTGGGTGGGCTAATTTTTGTTGTCGAGGGCTGTCTTGCACATTACAGGATGTTTGCCAGCATCCCTGGGCTCTGCCCACTAGATGCCTGTAGCACCCTTACCTGGCTGCTGCAACCAAACTGTCTTCAGACATTGTCAAATATCCCCTGCAGTAGAACCAGTGCTCTAAACTTAAAGTGTTGGTGCTAGCAGATAAATGTGCAAAATGAGATTATAACAATGATGTGGATGAATGGAGCTAGAAAAGATCCTTATGTCTCATGGTTAGATTTATTGCTTTGCCAGTTTTTATCAAGAGCCTCGATAATGGAAAAAGCATTGGGAATGAAATTAGGATACCTGAATTCTGCTGACAAATTGGGCAGTGGTCTTAGTCATATTTAGTGACTGTGTTTCCTGTGTCTGTCAAATGAGAAAATATCCCTGAACCCTTTTCCAGCTTTAAAATTAAACCCACTTTTTTCCTGAAATTCAGTTCTCCCTTTTCATTCACCTTGATGGTACGGTGTAAGACAATAGCAACCCTATAGTGCCTATAGTAAGAGTCAGATTAACTCTTACTTAACAAGCAAATTTAAAAATTTCCAAACTTAGGCTTATGGAGAATGACAGTATTGCCTCTACACATTTGCTTTCTTTTGGGGAACACTAATTGTTATATTACCTTATGTGTGAAAGTGAGTCCATTGAAAATTCACTTGTGGGAAATGGAATATAGGTGATCAACAATTTAGCCATAGTATTAGACACCCTTTTGCATTTTGAATGAGTATCTCTGAATAGGAATATGTGGCCTATAAAGTCCACATTTGTGAATAATGGGGTGTGGTTAAAGTTATAATCATTTTTACTTAAACAGCTCTGGGCCAGGCACAGTCGCTCATGCCTGTAATCCCAACACTTTGGGAGGTGAGAGCAGGGGGATTGCTTGAGCCCAGGAGTTTGAGACCAGTCTTGGCAACATGGTGAGACCCCCATCTCTACAAAAAAAAAAAGTCAGAAAAATTAGCCAGGTGTAGTGGCACGCACCTGCGGTCCCAGCTATGCTGGAGGCTGAGGTGGAAGGATCACTTGGGCCCAGGAGGTGGAGGTTGCAGTGAATTGAGATCACGCCACTGCACTCCAGCCTGGGTGATGGAGTGAGCCTCTGTCTAAAAACAAAAACAAACAAAAACAGCTCTGTAAGTGGAAGCAATGCTGTATAATATAATTTCTGTGAATTTAAAACTTTGAGTGATTCTTAGGGTTATTTGATATTATTCTACCTTGGAGAGCAAAAATCTCCATTTAAAAATGTATTGAATTTTCACTAAAGCATTTTTAAAAGATTGAAATGATGTCTGTTAAATTAGATGATAAAGGATAAATTGGTGTTTTACTATATCTCTGCCTTTCATATATAAAAGAATGATTGGAATCTCTGACTAATGGATTTTCTCAGCACATTTTTTAAAGTTGATTATGCCATGAGTCATATATTTCTAAATATGATATTAAAGTGCTGCCTCTCTTTGCTACTTCTAGGTTTGTTTCATCAGAGAAGATAGATGTCTGTACATATCTGTTAAAGCTGTACACCAAATTCACAAAGATTCTTTTACATTTCTTTTTATTCCAAGTTTTTTCAATTTCAGCCCTCTAGAAATGACATTCAAAGAGGCATGGGTTATGTCATCAAAACAAAGTCTTTGAAAGAGGCCTAAGGATCATATATCATTCATGCATCTGAAAGCCTTGAAGACTCGATAGATGCTCAGAAGTACTCAAGTCAGTTTGCCTCTCGCAGACATTCAAGTTTATTTAGGTCACAGCCTTATATGTAGTGAAAAGCCCTTATATCTGTTTTTTCATGCAAAAACCTCTCTCAAAGGCCTTGTTTTCCAGCTAATCACTCTCACTGTCATCTTCTGACCATTAGAACTCTTGCCTCTCCTGGGGCCAGTAGCCATCTTATATCCTAACCCCCGACTTCTCCATCTTCCTACTTTCCAGTGGATTCTGTTTAAGATTTCATCCTTTTTAGGTCAGCAGCCCGCTCTCTGGGTCTGTCATGATCTTTGCTCTCTGCACAATTTTCCAGGTAGAAAACTCTAGGGCAGAGTTTCTCTGCAATTTGGTGTATTAGATCTCAGAAGGCTTTAGGGTAACACAGGAAATGTTGGTGACCAGATTTGCGCATAAGCATTATTTGCACATAAGCATTATTTGGTTTGGGCCAGATTTGCACATAAGCATTATTTTGTTTGGCCCACATTGTATTTTCAAAAATCTAGAAATTTTTCATAATACAGATTCTTGGCTTTCCTTGAAATGCCTGGAGACTTGGTAACACTGAGCCATATTCCCAGGCAGCTGGAGCTGTGTACAAGCTGCCCCTTTAGAAGGGACACATGCTCTCCAGCTTGCTGCAAGCACCACGGTGCCCTAGATACAGCATTCTGGCCCAGGAAATGTTTGGGTCTATGCCCTGCTTAAGGGAATGAGACTTACTGATTCCTTCCAGGAAGTCTTAGCGGTGAGGGTTCGTTTCCTCACCTGCCTCTTTCTCTATAACCATATGGCTTCTGTTCTGGAATTAAACGATCTATTACTGGGAGTAAAATGGAGAATAAGACATGTATTTGAATATACAAAGTGTGCAATGTGTCTGACGAGGAGAAAGCAACCTGCAAAAAGTCATAGAAAGTCAATAGAGCCAGAAATATTTAAACAAATAGAAAAGGGGATGGCTATAAATGTCAACTGAAGCTAATCATCTGTTGTCAGCTCCATGTCTGAAGATTCTGTAGTTTAAATGAAACTGTTAGTATTAACTACTTACTGTTTCCAGGACTTGAAACTTGTGATTTGTTGGAATGTTTAATTTTAGTGCTTCCTAATGCTAGCCGGCATTTGCTGAGAGACTGCTGCTGTGCCAGGCATTTTGCAGAATCTCTGTCTAATCCTCAAAAATGCCTGGAAGGAAGGTGGTTATGGTAGCTCCGATTCAGAGGAGAGAAATGAGGCCCATAGCTTATTTTGCTAGTAAAGAAGCAAGTGGGATTTTAACCTAGTCTAGTTCAATTTTTAAGCTGATGCTAATCTCAATAAATCTCACTGCCTGTCTTAGTTTCCAATATCGTCTTACTCGTATTACATTTTGTTGCCATTAGGCAGGTCTGAGACTCAGTTTTCTTATCTAGAAGAAGGGAGGTGTAATGCCTGCTCTTCCTGCCACATAGGAGTGTTGAGTGTTAAGGAAGATGATGCATCTGGAAGTGCTGGGTAAATGATAAAACACGAAATAAGAGACAGTGCAGTTTCATTTTCCCACACCCAGTCAGTGTTAAGCCATGTTCATCCAACAACCCCATTGTTTCTGTGGCGAGGAAACTTAATAGCAACAATTCAAACTGCTGTAAATCGGAGCAGGGGATATTGGAATATGATTCTTTAGAAGGCAGAGGTTATAGTGATGTTGTAAATTTAATCTTTACGCTTGGAAGGAGGAGCACCAAGGCATGCTGAGCCTTTCAACACTGAGTTGTAGGAGATGCGTCAGGGATTCAGTACGTCATAATCAGGGTTATCACCATATGACCTTGGACAACTTGGAGAATTTTCTACAGTTCATTTTCTTCATCTGAAAGATGAAACAGTTTATATAAATCATTTTCAAAGTCTGACTTCTGCTTTTCCCATAATTATCAGTTTAGATGACATAGAGCTTTGTGCCTGTTTTGTTTCTTGATTTTTTAAATGGATATATATTAAGATCTTTAGGCTTGAAAGGTATACTTTCAAGGTTTTGATTGTTGATTCTTTTCAACATCCCCTGTAATATGGTTTGGCTGTGTCCCCACCCAAATCTCATCTTGAATTGTAGTTCCTATAATCCCCATGTGTCATGAGAGGGACCCGGTAGGGTAATTGAATCGTGGGGGTGGTTACCCCCATGCTGTCTGCATGATAGTGAGTTCTCACGAGATCTAATGGTAATGGTTTTATAAGGGACTTTCCCCCCTTTGCTTTGCACTCCTCCTTCCCACCACCATGTGAAGAAGGATGTATTTGCTTCTCCTTCTGACTCGATTGTAGGCTTCCTGAGGCCTCCCCAGCCATGTGGAACTGTGAGTCAATTAAACCTGTTTTTTAAATAAATTACCCAGTCTCGGATATTTCTTCATAGCAGCATGAGAACAGATTATCCTCACGTCTTCACCTCCCCAGAAGACAAGCACACATGCCTACTTTCTCTTTCAGCCTCTTGGGTTTATAATGTTCTCTGTTAGCGCATGCTGTATTCCTTTTTAATTCTGTGCTTCTAACTCTTGAATGTCTCTTAAGAAGTGAAAGAGAAGCCTACTGAGGAAATTCTAGGCAGAAGGTGGCCCCCACAGCAACAATGGATGTGCCCTCTCCTTAGGTTTTTTCAAGGCAGGGGCTTTGTCCCTTGGGATGTGAAGGGCCTGGTGGCAAGCACTGGTGTCAGATGATAGCTTTGTTTCTTCTCATTCAGGTGATCTATTTCCTAACTTGACATTTTTGAATGCAAAGCCTTGAAGGCTTTGCATATGTGATTGTTCCATAAGACAATAAGCAGTATAAATTTGGAAGAGGAATTAGGCCATTATTTGACTGACTGATGTGAATGAATCACTATTCAGAGCTTAGATTACTAGCTGCAGATGTGAAAGGATCATTTTCTGTCATTTGCTGAGACAGTTAACTTCCTCCAAAATGTGGCCAGTGCTATTATTAAAGATAATGCACCATGCTGTTTAAAATGCAAGTCACTGCAGGGTTCATTTTGAAAACAGACATTTGGGCATCTTGCTTTACCTGTGGAGCCGGAAAAGGCACAAAAATGAACAAATTACTGATTCCAGAGCTAGATGTGAAAATGTAACATCCACCTGTTTTGAGATCTGACCTTGCTTTTTACACACTATTTCCCCCTTGTTTTTTGGATGAATGTTAATGAGGAACTAGAATTGAAGATCGCATGCTTCCTAGTGGCTTGTTTCCTAATACAGCCACCTTAAGCTACCCCTCCCCTGTTTCTTCCAGGGATAGCATTTGCTGCTGTTACTGAAGCTGGATCAATGTATATGGTTATAGAATTCATATGTATCCATTATGGTAATTGTCAGCCTGTTGCTACCAAGTTAGCTTCTGACTTTACGGATTTTTTAGCTCATTTGTGTTTGTACATAGTATGAAGCAAATAATGAGAAATTAATGTGTGACAATTAGAATAAAGGAAGAAATCTTTAAAATGGGTTTTAGGTTGTATTCTCTTGAAATTCTATGAATTAAAACATTTTGTCCCCCATGACTGTTCATCTTCCTCATCTGGCAGAGAGTGAGAGGTATTTAAAGCTCCTGTATTGTACCAAAGCAGTTAAATTATAAAGGTGTTATAGCTGAGGAATAAAACTGACATTGAATAATAGTCATGTTTACCCATATCTCCTTATTTGCTTAAAGCCTTAAGAAGATTTTGATGACCAGCATTTCAGTTTTCCTGTCAACTGAGTATTAGACACAGTGTAAAATTTGACTAAAAAAGTTTGAGGACAGTTTTGAAAGCTTAGGCAGACCTGCCGGGACACTATAGGAATGGCAGTTTACTCACAATTTCTGCCCTGTGGAGGTGTGGACAGTAGGGGAGACAGATTGCATGCTTGCAAGTGGTTTCTGAAAAGCAAACTTTTAGGAAACCTGTAGAGTTATTTATGAAAAAAACAACAACAACAACAAAAAAAGCATTTCCTCTTTGCAGTTACACTTGGCAGGGCTGAAAAATGAGCCTAAATTAGCTTATTAAACTGGCTAGAAACCCTAGGGAAAGGCTTAGCCAATCTCAATTGGTGCCTGTAATCAATAATAGCATAATATAATTATTTGTACCCCAATCTCTGGGCCACATCCTGCAGGCAGCACAAAGATGAATACTACTGAGTTCTGACTCTGGATTCTTGTCAATTTAATAGGGTAGAAAGATACCTGATTATGTAATTATAATACAAGGCTCTCTGTGGCAGCTACTGAAAGAGATGTAAAATCAAATGGAAGTGAAAGCAATGGAGAGATTATCTGGGGAGTGGTAGGGGGCGTGGTGGGGTGATGGGGTGGTGGTGGTGGTGGTAATGGTCCATTTGGGGATCCATTGCAAATGTAGACTAGGACTTATTTTTGAAAGATGGGTCAAAGGGGAGCCATAAAAAGTCTGAAGCCTCATGACAAATAGATAAGGGTATATACATTAAGTAATTATCATATAAAAATATATGCAAGGCGCTGACCTGGGTGCATGACTGCCCTCATGAAACCCTCACAAAGAAAACTAACTGTGCCTTCAAATGAGTACAATAAAATATAATGTGCACAATATAATAAATGTTTAATATAAAGTTCAGAGTTATGAGGGGCTAGTATAAAGAGCAAGCAAGGGTGGTCTAATTTGGAGAGGTGAAGGTTGAGTAGGACCTTCAGTGACAGCAATGTGATAACATGAATTTGAGCTTCAGCATGAAGGGCTTAAATAAAATTTAAAAACTTGACATTCAGTGGACTTGAACCCAGACCCAAAACAGCTGAATCTGTTCCTGAGGCATCATCATGAAGACTAAAAGAGAACTTTCAATTTGGACTTATAAAGAGCATGTGAGGCTGTTTTATAAGCAGATGTTATGTCTTTGGAGTGATTTATAATCTTACCTATTATGTGAATAAATACAATAAATTTTTTAAAAAACTAGGATTAGTTGGGTAACAACTACAAAACCCAGTTATCTGTGTTCTCATTGATCACAACCACCATTCTTCCCTTTGCTTCTAACCAAACCAGGAGGACAAAGGAGGTTATATATGTTTCACTCAAGATGCCTTGGAACCACTGAATGGAGTTTGAGTTCATGTTACATATTTAACTGGCCAAAACAGTAGTAATCTTTCCTTCCTTCCTTCCTTTATTTGTTTGTTTGTTAAAATATTTGAGTGCTGTCTTTGTGCCAGCCCTTTGCTGGGTGCTAGGGATGTTGTGGTAAATAAGTTACATCCCTCCTTTCTCCACCACACGCACACACTGAAATCTGGTCTTCACTGAAGGTGAAGACAGTAGGGAATTATATGATTCCAGAAGATCCTTTCACACCTTTGAGTCTGATTCATAAACTACTATAATGATCACATATACACATTAGACCTATGTATTACCCAATTTAAGAAAAGACAATTCTTAGGTAAATTAATATCCTAGCATAGCTAGGAGGTGAAATAGATTATTGTGACAAAATGCCAAGTGTCTGGTACCCTGTGAAGCCGTAGGGATCTTTCCTGCTCTTGTGATCACCCAAAAAGCCACAAGATCCCATCCATTGTTATAAATACTGCTTCACTCTCTAAAGTAAAATTTTCAGTGCAGTACTAGATACAGTGTCAGATCCTGTTTGGCATCAGTTCATTTTTAAAACGTTGACAAAGATTCCCTCTTTTAATTTTTAATTTTTAAAATTGACACATAGTTGTACATATTTATGGGATACATAATGATGTTGCAATACATATAGTGATCAGATCAGGGCAATTACCATATCATCTCAAACATTTATCATTTTGTTGTATTGGGCACATTCAATATCCTTCATCTAGCTTGAAAATGAGCCTGGGATATTTCTGCATCTAACCAAGATGAAGTAACAGTAATACATTGGATGTACCATCTCATCTGACAAAATAAAAAAAAGAGACAACAAATACATGAAACAATGGTTTGTGGGACACTGGGCATCAGGCAACAAAAGATAGTGATCTCTGAAAGATGGGAAGGAAATGGGGTGAGCCCTGTGATTGTCCCCACTTTGAGAGATTGCCCCCTCTTTAACTTATGCTCATTAGAGAGGCCCCCACCCAGGCAGAACCAAGCAAACCCTCTGAGTTGAAGAGGAGTTGAGAGTCTGAGGAGACCAAGAAAGCTAGATTTCACAGAACAGTGTCCTGGAGAAGACATAGTTGTACAGAGGGAGAGTTCTGGAGATCTGCAGAGAGTCTACCTCAAGTATTCACCAAGGTTCTGATCAGCACATTCACATGAGGAAACCAGCTGGAGAAGAAGCCATCCAAATGCATTAGAGGGAACAGTACCCAGTGCTTGCACAGAGCCAAGAATAGTGCCTCTTCCATCAACCAAATGGGAAAACCTCATTCACAGTGCATTTGGAAGGGTCTTGCCTTAAATAGTAGTGGATAATTAGCTGTACACTTAACACAGTCTCATCCCACATAACACATCTTAAAGGGAAAACCTGAAAGGATCAAACTCTTTCAAAGTAACTATGTCCCTTTGTTTGAGAACACAGCTCAAGAATATTTATGGATATACAAAAATATCCAGTACCCAATAAGCTCAAAATCAGTGTCAGGAATCTAATTAAAAATTGCCAGACATGCAAAGAAGCATGAAAATTGGACTCAGTTGTTGACTCTTCACTTGACAGTTCATTCACAGGCCCAGAGACCTGGAATAACATGGGTGCTTTAGATGAAAAAGTCTTGAACTTTCTACTGATTACCGGAAGATTGGATTCATACAACTTGAAATCCCAGGGATCCAAGGAATCAGCCCCAAATGTAACACATTAACCCAATGATGTTGGGTCCTAAGAAGTCATCTTTTCTCGCTGCTAATTGAAACCTTAGCGCTTTTGGCACCGCAGTGTTCAAAATCTGTTGTGACTCTTGGGCTTCATTCCATGACAACCTGTTTCTGCTCATTGCCTCAGAGATAATCCTCTCTGGGTTCTGCGTGTGTCTGAAGTATAGTTTGCCCCTTTCTGCCTTCCTCAACTTTAGACTTAGTAGTTTGTTGGACGTACTGTCTGATATCTATGTCAGTTTCCAACTTAAAAAGTCTCCAGTCTGTGTCGCTTGGAGCAGTGTTTTACATGAAGAGCAAATTAGCTTTAAGGAGGGTTACCAACATCATGGTTTGCCAGGAAGCGAGAGGGTGGGAAAACTTTCAGCACTAAAACCAGAATAGTGCCAGGCAAACTGGGATAGCTGGTCACCCTACATTTGGCCTATTATTCTACTATTACTGGGATCAGTACATTCTTTATCACATGGGGAAATTTTTCAAGAGCATTCTAACACAGTGGCTTTTGCTGACTCTCCTGTGTTTGACTCTGGAAAGTGGCTGGTTTAGAGGAAACTATATTAGTTACCAGATGTCTAATCCCTGAAGCTTATACTAAGCCTATACTGTGGGTGAGGGTCAGGGTCATAGGAAGTATCTCTTGACCACTAGAAGAAAATTTTGGTCTATTCTCCCTCTTCTTTCCCAAAACAAACATACTTCTAAATTTTTTATTTTTATGTTTTTTTTTAATATTGCTTTTGTGTCATTCTGCCTTCCAGAAGAGAGTGACAAACATTTACCTATTTCTGATGGCTACAAAATGATTTAAGAGGCATATTCTCTCAATGTCTGTTAAATAAAAGTAAAGCTTTGATGTGATACTCGTGATTTCATGGCGATTACTTACGATGAATCTACCTAAAAAATAAGTGTGCTGTAACATTTTTGAGGCCCTACAGTATGCCAGGCTTTCACAGGTTGTTATAAAACTCATTTGATCTTCATAACCCTGAGAGGTTAAATACTAAATTATCCTCATTTTTAGGTGGAGAAACTGAGCTATCAGTAACTTGCCAAGGTCACTCCTGCCCACCCCCACCCCTGTGACTACCCCAAATAATTAGAAGTAGTGTGCACATAAGGCAAAAGGGTAAAGCTTGTGGAGAGTGATCAAAGTGTCAGATGCGTTACTTTTCAGCATTAAATGTTAAGATTTTCTAGACTGTAGATCATTCCTGAGTTGCAGCAGACCAGAGTAACTTTTAAGAAAAACTCTGGCTATGTGCAGGTGGGGTGGCCATCCATTGCGGTTAAGAGTTGCCTGAGTGATCTAGTTTTTCCAGAAGTAATTTCTACACTGTTTATACTTGTCAGAGTTCAACAGTAAATGTGCTGCTCAGCTTTAAAGAAAAAGCTGATCTCTTTTCAACAATACAGAAATCAATCTTGTTTCCGTATGTGAGCAACAAACAGAAAATGACGGTTTTTGTTGTTTTTTTCATGTTTTGTTTTGTTTTGCTTTGTTTTGTTTTTTGGTCTGCTGCCCAGCTTTTTATCAGAAGACTTTTTTGGAGCAGATGGCATGTATGGAAGTTAATTTGAATGACGTGCAGCTTGGCCATCTCTGTAGTACTCTGTGAATTTTGTCTTTATTCTTCATCCCTACCTACCTCTCTTCCCAATAGGGCTTTCAGTGCACTTGACTTTGGAACTACCCCCTTACCTTCTGTAGAGAGATAGACAATAGAACTTCCTTATCTTCTATAGCAAGACAGACAATAGAAAGGAGTAGGCTCCCTTCCCCTTGCATATATTGTGGGGGTGATGATGAGGATGTTGTTCCCTTTATCAATGAGTTTTTCCCATAGGAAACCCATGGGAAGAAGCATTTCCTCTGAACCAGCTCTAGTTTCCCTACAGAACTAGCAGTGTTGGCCTTTGGATGACGGAAAGTTGCGACAGTGGCCACAGTTCTGCGTGGCAGCCAGGAAACCGAGAACTACATTTGAGTCTTAATTTTTAATAAGTATCTGAACTGTGGTTAGTATATGTGCATTGAAACTCCTCCCATTCTTGATATTTTCTTTTATTCCTTTTTCTATAATTTTGAATTTTACATATGTTTTCACATTTTATTTTATGCATCTGTAAAAACTTTCATTTCCTCATAGGATTAAAGCAAGATGTAGATTCTTCTCTCAACCTTTTATTAAACATTTCAAACATGTAGAAGTGTTGAAAGAATAATTTAACGTGTACCTGAATATCTTTCACCTAGATTCATGTTATTAACATTTCGCTAGTTTGCTTTATCTCCCTAAATACATTTTTTCCTTTGAATCCTTTTAAATTATCTAACCCTTAAATATTTCAGTCTGAATCACCTAAGAACAAGCACATTTCTCCTGCAGAAGCACAAACCATTATTGCCCCCGAGAAACTTCTCATTGATTCATGACATATGGTCCATATTTGCATTTCCACCGCCCCCATCCCAGAAATGTCTTTTTATGGCCTTTTTATTATAAGGTTGACCTTTTGAAGAAACCAAACTAGTTTTCTACAGACTATCATAATGTTTTAGTTTTTTCTAGTTGTTTCCTTGTGATGTTTAGCCCAATTCTCTATCTCCTTTGTTTCCCGTACACTGGGATTTATGCTTAAAGGCTTAGTTAGATTGGGAAGAATACTTTCTAGCTGATGCTGTGCATTTCAAGTTGCGTCACATCAGGAGATGTATCCCACTCATGCAGTGCCGGGTCATCCCACTCACAGGACCCATGTTTGATCACTTGGTTTCACCACCATATCTTTCCCTTGTAAAGGTATGTTTATCTCCATGAAATTAGCAAGAAATCTGTGAGGTGGCACCACGTAACCACTCTTTTGACAATAATCTTTCATCTAAGAGATTTAGCATCTGTGGATGATCTTTGCCCAAACCAATTATGTCATTGCAGATTGCAGAATGATTATTTTCCAATTATCAATTCCTCTACATGATGGCATTTTTCTGTAAAAAATAACATTTCTTTATTATTTCTTAGTCTGGGCTGCTGTAACAAAGTATCGCAGACTGAGTGGTACATAAACAACAAATTTACTTTTCACAGTTCCGGAGGCTGGAAGTCAGATCAGGGTGCCAGCATGGTCAGGTTCCAGTGAGGGCCCTCTTCCTGGTTATAGACTGCCACCTTCTTGTAGCCTCACATGTAGGAAAGAAAGCCAGAGAGCTCCCAGGGGTTTCTCTTATAAAGGCACCAATCCCATTCACCAGGGCTCCACCTTCATGACCCAATTACCTCCCAAAAGCCCCATCTCTTTTTTTTTTTTTTTTTTTTTTTGAGACAGAGTCTCGCTCTGTCACCCAGGCTGGAGTGTGGTGGCACAATCTCGCCTCACTGCAACCTCTGCCTCCCAGGTTCAAGCAATTCTCCTGCCTCAGCCTCCTGAATAGCTGGGATTACAGGCGCCCGCCACCACGCCCAGCTAATTTTTGTATTTTTAGTAGAGACAGGGTTTCACCATATTGGTCAGGCTGGTCTCGAACCCCTGACCTCATCCACCCACCTCAGCCTCCCAAAGTGCTGGGATTACAGGCGTGAGCCACCGCGCCCGGCCATCCAAAAGCCCCATCTCTTAACAGCATCCTATTAGGGGTTAGGATTTCAACATATGAATTTTGGCAGAGACACAAACATTCAGTCCATAGTACTTTATTAACTGGGAAAAAACTAGTTTTTTTCTCAGCAAGATAGGTCAGTGTTTAATTTCTCTCCTTTAATTATCAATTTTCAGAATAAGTAACTAGTATAATAGTCACCTTCAGTTGTAACAATTTAGTTTTTTGTTTGTTTGTTTGTTTGTTTGAGATGGAGTTTCACACTTGTTGCCCAGGCTGGAGGGCAATGGCACGATCTCGGCTCATGGCAACCTTCACCCCCCGGGTTCAAGTGATTCTCCTGCCTCAGCCTCCCAAGTAGCTGGGATTACAGGTGCCTGCCACCATGCCTGGCTAATTTTTGTATTTTTGATAGAGACAGGATTTCACCATGTTGGCCAGGCTTGTCTTGAACTCCTGACCTCAGGTGATCCACCCACCTTGGCCTCTGAAAGTGTTGGGATTACAGGCGTGAGCCACTGCGCCCAGCCCTAGCAATTTAGTTTTATTTTTCCTTTTAACTAGCACTGTAGATTTAGGGATTTCTTTTTTCTCTGTGTTAATATTTGTTTGTTTTTGATGTTAATTGACTCAGAATTAACCAGTGATAGCCCCTTCAAACATACTCCTGTGTCCTTCTGAAATGCCCTATTATCTTTGAGTGCTTTTATGCTTTCTGGCCCTACAAGCTGCCTCTGCCTCACCTTACACTTTTACTGTCTCGTATCTGGAATCACCATTTTGCCAAGAAACGCTGGTTTCTTTCAGTGGGGAGTAGTATTTGGAAACCAAAGTCTGGGTGTTTAGAATGCTCACAGTCCTAGGATGTCCTTGTTTCCAGGCCCTTTGAGTAGACAGCATTAAAAAATACATGTATTTCAACAGTTGACTTCATATTGATATCTCCAATTCAAATTTAACATTACAAGGTTTTTCTTCAATTTAATTTATATTTATTGCCTTACATTAACAATTATGGCTGTTAATAAATAACATTTATTCTATATCCCATTCTTACCTGGCAGGGGAGATAACATGATCACGAAGGTGGTTTTCCCAGGGCGAGGTTTATCCATTGCACTCTGGGTGTGCTGACCCCTGTGATTTCCCCAAAAGTGCGAAACTCGACTGCATGATTTGTGGTAGTGGGGGACTGCATTCATGCTTTCCCCTAAAAAAGAAAAAAGAAAAAAATATAAATATATATATATTTTACCTATATGTTACTAGAATATATATTTTATATAATATATATTTTAAAATATATCTTTATATATCCATATATACATAGTTTCAACATGTCAATACCAATATTTCTAACAGTAAAACTGCCAAGGACATTTTGGGATTTTTTTGCTTTTTACAGTTTTCCTCTTTAGATTTTTGTCCTATAGTTGTTTAAAAGTCACTTGCATTTTTTGATTACTAATTTGTATTGTTAGATTACCAATTTGCTATGCAGTTAAGTTTTTAATTATTGGGTGTGCTTTCAAAAATTTTTATTTAATTTTCAGGAGTCAAAATTATTTTTAAAAAATAATTTGAAAGTTTAAAACTAAATTATCAGTAAATCTTTAACTACAAAAACATATATATTAAGTTTTGAAATGTCCATGGAATTTGAAGCTAACTTAAAAAAATTGTTGCCCAGGCACAGTGGCTCACACCTGTAGTCCCAGCACTTTGGGAGGCCAAGGCAGGTTGATTGCTTGAGCCCAGGAGTTTGAGACCAGCCTGAACAACATGGTGAAACCCTGTATCTACAAAAAGTATAGAAAAAAAATTAGCCAGGCATGGTGGCTCACGTCAGTAGTTCCAGCTGCTTGGAGGCTGAGGGAGGAGGATTGCTTGAGCCTGGGAGGTTTAGGCTGCAGTGAGCCATGATCACACACCACTGCACTCCAGCCTGGGTGGCAGACTGAGACCCTGTCTCAAAAAAATAAAAAAGTAAAAAATTGTTATTTAATTACTCTGTAAATTGCTATTTATAATTTCTAGAAAGTTGTGACAGCATTTTAGAGCAGTTGTTTAACAGTGTCACCTTTGGATTAGAGCTAAAATTTGTGTAGAGGCATGGATGCTCTTTCAAGTTTTTAACTTATTCATAAAAAGGAAGCAGACAAGTGAAATACTTCCCTGGAAACGAATGCATTCCATCTCAGACTTAGTGCATTTTATCATCTTAAAACTTTTCTTCCTCTGGGAGGGGAGAGTATTTTAGTACTTTGAATTTTATAGTCCTTACCAGTGGCCACTGATAACCTCTTTGCCATATCTAGTGGGCACTTGAACTTTTCTTAGCACCTGGCACCTTTCCCTCTTAAAACCTCACACTTGGCTTGTATGATACTAGTGGACCCTTGGTTTTCCTTCTAGATCTGAGAGCTGCTCAGCTTCCTTTCTCTGCTGCATAGGGTAGTGGGTGAATAGGCTTTGGAATCAGGTGGGATATCAGTCTGATATTACCACCCAATGGCTATCTGACCCCAGGTCAATCAGCTTTCTGGATTCAGTTTTTATAGAATGGGACAGATAATACCTTCCCTATCTATCTTGTTGTTGGGAGGCTCAACTGAGACAATATGCAATTAAATCACAAGTATTTACAAGTGTTATTTCAGTCCTTTTTCTTTCTAGTAAAAGTGTGTTGTAATTGATAATTTAGATAGTGTATCATTATCTTTGATATAAAAAGAGTTGTCCCAGATGGTTATTCACCTTTCAGGTTGGATGTGCTGAGCAATCCAGATGCCCTGTACCCCTTTGTATGGCAGCCACTTCCGCCTTGGGAAACAAGCTTCCTGTGTGTCCCCTGCCCTCTCCCACCCTCTGTTACCATTTCTTTTCTATTCCCAACCATTTCCTAACAGGAATTCCATGTGAGGTAGTCTCTCACTCACCACTATTCCCACTCCCTTCCCCTGCAGCTAATGACCTGCCAGTATTTTTGTTCCCAACTTTTTTGGGAGTCCCCATTATCCTAGTCCCCAGTCCCCCTTGTCCCACTCCCAGTGACTGCCCCCCCAACCCCACCAGGTTTATGTTCCTATTACCATAATTCAATGCCTCACTAGGATCCCCTTTCCATCTCTAGGAGTCTCTTGAGCTTCTGACTCTGGTAGTACCAGCCACCACCAGTGGATTATAAACTAAGGGTATATCACGTACAATTCTCTAGCTCAGTGGAATGAGGCTGAGGTTGCAGGGGAATTCCAGTGCTTGGTGAAATTAAAACGACCATGATTCATCCAGGCCAGTGCAACTCAGTCATCATCAGTAAACCCAAAGTGTCACCACCACTTGGGAGCTTTGCTCAGATCCTACCTTAGATCTACTGAGTTTGAATCTCTGAGAGTGGGGCCCTAAAATCAATGTTTTAAGAAGTCCTCCAGATGACTCATAGGCACATGAAAATCTGAGAACCATTCTACCCAACAGAGCTTGGAATTCTAAATATAGCTTGCCATGGAAAGTGTCCTAGATTGCATTTGTAGTCATTTAGTATTGTGTTTTATTAAGTTGTGGTTTAATAAAATTTTCAGGTAAGCCTGAATCTAACGGTGATTTGGTGTTGGTTTTGGTTAATTCATATATCAAGTTTATCAGTCATCTTATTAATGAACTTTTGCACCTTAGTTATTTTTGGAATAAATTAATGAGTTAGGAGCTATTTTGAAAATGTAGGATGTAAGAATTTTATGTATTTACTGATTAATTTATACTTCATGTCAATACAGAAAGGATATTTTGCAACCAGCATACAAAAATATATGCAATTTAGAAATGTAATGAAATGAAAATTAACCTCATGGTCCTTTTTATGAAGAAAAATTTTTCCTCATGATTTCCTCTCTTATGCTTCTGGTTCCGCTATTAAAATTTATTCTCAGCCATTGAGAACTCATTTCTTACCATAGGCAGGATTCTGGAACAATGAGATCTATTTTAATCTCTAGATTAAAATGCAATAAGGAAGGTAAACAGTTACCTCATTTTGAGTCTGTGGAATTTCCAACAATTTCTGAGTCCTTCCGCATCCCAGGCCATGGGAGTGATGATTTGTTTTTTTTTCAGTTGCTAGATTTCTGAACAGCTTACTGTCTACTCTTGGTAAGCTTCAGTAATAGTTATCTATGTAAGTTTAACAGCTTTTTTTTTGAATCCTTAAAATAAACTTTGATTTACTCAATTGATAATAAATCAAAGATATTCAGAAGATTAAATATGCCTGATCAGTGGCTGTCAGATGTTTACCTCACTGGCTTGCTCTGGTCATAACTGGCAAAAATTTGCTACTTCTTGTTGTCTTTTACCTCTTAGCACAGGATGTTAGGTAGAGATCCTTGAGCTTGTGATATAAATTTTAACCCTGAATTATAATTTCTCCCCTGAAGTCAACAAACCTTTCATTTAGTAGGTACTTGACTGCCTGCAGTATATCAGGCACTATGCTAATCTCTGAGAATACAGAATTAAATAAGTTTCTACCCCTACCTTCACGGCCCTTGCAGTTTAATAATGATAGTATAGTGAGGGTGTATTGAGAGTTGGGTCTTGCTATACTCTAGCTTGCAATTGACAGCCATTCAAGGGAAATTTATTAGAGAATATTGGGGTTACCCAGATATTCCAAAGACAAATGGGTCTTGGGAACACCTAGAACTAGGGACTCTGTTGAGATTCTATTTCCAACATGTACTCTTCTCACAAATATGTACTCTTCTCCTCTTTGTCTCTCCCTCTCTTCCCCTTCTTGCCTTCTGCTGCCTTTTTCTTTCTTTCATTTTTCACAGAAGGGCCCTAATTGGCTCAGCTCAGAGATCAGGTGGCCATCCCTAAACCAGTCACCTCTGGCCATGGAAAAACCATATGAATGGGACGGAGGAGGGTGGGAAGGAAAGATGATGTCTAGGAGAAAGGGAGTCTGGGCAGATAAAAACATCTCTGACAGGTATATGCACTTTACATTTATGCATTCTCTTAGTCCACACAGTAGCCCATTAACCTCCCCAAGACACACAACTAGCCAGTGGCAGAGCTAGGATACCAATCCAAGTTTCTGGTGATTTCCATACTATGAGCACTGTGCTACTTACTGGTTACACTGCAGTCTTTAAGAACAATAAAGTGCATGCAAAATAGCCTTAACAAACTGAATACTGAAGGACAAGGGATGTTTGTCAGACAAGAGGAGGTTAGGTCATTGCAGGGGGTGGAAAAGGCATGTGAGAAGGAATCGTGGTATGTAGCAACTGGGTGCTTTTTGTAAACCACAAACTGTTTATTATGGCTAAGGATGAGGGGGTGCGAGGAGACCAGATGGGGGAAGCTGAGGATATTCAGAGGGCCCGTCAGGAAGACACTGATATGGTAAGCTAAAAAGTTAAAAAAAAAAAAAATTTTTTTTTTTTTGAGGCGGAATCTCGCTCTGTTGCCCAGGCTGGAGTGCAGTGGCGCAATCTCGGCTCACTGCAACCTCCGCCTCCTGGGTTCAAGAGATTCTCCTGTCTCAGCCTCCTTAGTAGCTGGGACTACAGGTGCCTGCCACCATGCCCAGCTAATTTTTGTATTTTTTTTAGTACCGATGGTTTTGCCATGTTGGCTAGGCTGGTCTCGAACTCCTTACCTCAGATGATCCGCCTGCCTTGGCCTCCCAAAGTGCTGGGATTACAGGCGTGAGCCACCGCACCTGGCCCAAAAGTTTAAATTTTATCCTGAAATCTTCAGAGCCCATTTGGAGATATTTGAGCATGGGAGAGACATGGCCACATTCACGGTTGAGAAAGGTCAGTCCGGGCCTGCTGTGCAGGATTTACTAAGAAGAGACGACAGGTTAGGAGGTTTAAATATTGGTGCCTGCTGGATGTGACAAGGGCCTGGACAAGGCATGGAAATGGGGATGTAAGTCATAGTTATGACTTAGCCCCGCAGGCTGAGAAGCTAGATGTGGGGAGAGTAGTAAGCTGGGAGGACAAGGATGCTCCTTGGAATTCTTTGTCCACTAAGACAAAGAACACCAGAAGGAGGATTGTATTTGAGACAGGAAGGAGACAGCAGAAGGAAGGAGAAATGAATATAGGGTTGGGCAGCTTGCATGTTGTGCAACATGCAAAGGCAGATATTCTACAGGTATTTGGAAACACAGGCCAGGCACCCCCAGAGATCTGTACTGTAGATATGATTTTGGCAGTGCTTAGTGTTTGGATCTTAAATGAAGCCTTGGGAATAGAGACGATCTCCCAGGGAAAGTTGTCTGGGGAGGAAGAACAGCAAGCCACATTTGCAGCCCCAAGGAACAGCAGCACTTGAGGTTCCCTTGTACACCCGTATTAAAGGTCTAGTTGGGGATAGGAAGTCAAGTCAATGAAATTTCCATTTTTACAAGACTTTCCATACCTCATATATGGTCTACCAGGTGTCAGAGAATTGCCTCAGCAAGAAGTACCACTCCCCTTTTCTAAAACTATGTTCCATGTAAATTTTAGCTCTGAAAGAAGTATAGATTTTGTATTAACTACAGATGGAGGCAAGAAGAGGATGGAGGTATAGGCTCAACAGTTAGAAAAGAAGCCTTAGGAACTTCCCATTCCATGCAGAGATCCTCAGAGTATCCCTGGGAGGTCATAAGCCAGCTTTTGGACATTTCCAGTGAAGGGAATTCTACTTTTTGAGGTAACTCATTGCATGGCTGGGTAGCTTCAAACCGATAGTGTCAGAATTATCTTTCTGCTACTTCCAGGTCCTGTTTAGACCTTTGGAATTTCCCTCCTTTGCAGTAGTCTTTTGATGTTGTAAAAGAGCCATCCTGGCCCTCCAGGGCCTTCTTGGTCGGCTCTAACTGTTAATAGGGTGAGAACTTATTTATAAGGCAGAAGCCAGAGGTGGAATTTGGATGAAGAGGTACCCTAGGCTCTGACATCTATCAGCTACTTCTTTGCTGGAGAATGTTTAGGGGTCACTTTAACATATCCTACTCCCAAGCTCATTTCCTAGTAGAAGTGCTTATAATTAATTTTTTTCTATGGAATGCAGAAATCAAATGAGGAGAAACTCCAAATATTGTAAGCTTTAAGAAATATATAGGCAGGCTTAGAACACCGTCATTATTCTAGTCTCTCTCCCATGGGGTGTTATGGCAAAATGAGTTCATTTGTTTATTCATTCAATTAACATTTATCGAGTACCTACTCCGTGCTATGTGATTTGAGATAGGGAGAACACAACTGAAATAAACACACAACATTTTGGAACACATCTACCCTTGACTAATTGAAATATATTGGTAGTCCACCTTGTCCTTTTTATTTAAGGATGGTATTAAGCATCTAATTTAAAATCGCTTACATTCAGCGCATTTGTCTCCTTCAAAGTGTGAAATTAAATAATCCAAACTTAAAGCTGTTGGAACTTTAAGTTATCTTGAGCCTTGAGGGGAATGTGGCTACGTAGCCTGAATCATGTAGCATGCAGTTGCTATTTCTGCTTTTTCCTATAAATGATTAGCAATGAAGAAGCAGCATCAGAGATAAGACGCCCCCCTTGCCCCTCAGAACATTATTTCTCCTCAGGAATGCTAAAGCAATCTTCCTTGGAATGTAGTAATCCATACTAAGCAAATCACTGTAATGTTACATACTGGCTTTGTACAGAAAGTGCTGAACCCTGCTAAAACTGTTTCTGCCTATATAAGTGAAACCTTAGCTTCCCCACTTTGGAACACCAACCCCATCCATTTGGAGTGTGTGCTGCCCAGGTGGCTGTTCTTAAGCTTTGCACTGCGCTGGAATAAACTCGATGCTTAATCATAATTTCTGAATCTCGTTATTTAAGGTTGACAAAGGCAAAGTCTTATTGTACTTTCTAGCTTCCTTAGGGTAGAGAAATCAGTTTGCCTAAAATGAAACTCAGATGGGTTATTCTGAGACCTCAAGGGCTAAATTAGCATGTTCTTTCCCTTGTAAATTAGGGAGACTTGGATTGCTAACTGAGCTTTGCCCTGGGTCTGGGGACAAAGGTAAAAATATTTGATCAGATAACAGCTAGTTTTCAAAGGGCTACTTGATGTATTGTTCAGTCTTTAATCTGGAAACACACTTTCTCTGCAGGTTAATTAACACTAGGGTAAAGATTTTTCAAAGCAGATTGTTTTCAGTTAAAATAAAGTACTTTTTTTAAAAAGTACTTTTTAAAAAAGACTGAAGTAGTAAGGGGAAAATTAATTATCACTTTTAATGTACATTTGCAGTAATACTGTGCTTGCCTTGGAAAAAATATATTGAAGTACTGAAACCATGTGAAGTGTCACAATTCCTTCTTGTGTTACCTGTGTTTTATTTATAGTCTGTTGTGCAACTAATTGCAAGATTATCATATGTGTGAGCACAATACATAATGTAAAACCTCAGTTGCTATAAGAAGATATCAGAATGGCTCACCTAGGACATTTACCTAAATAAGTCATCATGCATATGACATTGATTTGGCCAATAAAATGAGGATAATAACAACACCTTTCTCACGTTTACAGTTGAAAGCATTAAGTTGTTAAGTATAAAACACTTGTGGTTTTTTGTTTGTTTGTTTGTTTGTTTTTTTGAGACAGATTCTCCCTCTGTTGCCTAGGCTGGAGTGCAGTGGCGCCATCTCGGCTCACTGCATCCTCCACCTCCGGGGTTCCAAGCAATTCTCGTGCCTCAGCCTCCCAAGTAGCTGGGACTATACGCACGCACCACCATGCCTGGTTAATTTTTGTATTTTTAGTAGAGACAGGGTTTCACCATGTTGGTCAGACTGGTCTCAAACTCCTGACCTCAAGCAATCCGCCGGCCTCAGCCTCCCAAAGTGCTGGAATTACAAGCGTGAGCCACCATGCCCAGCCTATGAAACACTTTTAACATTTCTTTTTTTACAACAGTCAGACAGCTACCATATGAGAAAAATACTGTTCATTATCCCCATCTTATGAGAAACTGAGGCACAGGGAAATAACTTGCCAAAAGTAGTGCAGTTACCTACTTGCGGATCCAGGATTCAAACCTAGGGAGTCTGGTTCCAGAGTCTCTCTGCTCTTAAAAGCTGTATGAGACTGCGTCTCCAATTTCTAGCAGAGAAAAAACCTGTCTACCTGCCCCTCCCATGTTTCCTGCTTTGCTGTATGTTTAGGTGGAGTGGCCTCCTATGTGAAGGTGGATAGCACCTCTTTAAAGATAACTCCCAAGTTAGGGCTTAAAACCCTCCTTACTACATAACAGTCCCCTTCTGTATAACTTTATTCCTCTTGTGTTACTTTAAGGTTTAAAGAAAAATACCAGAGGCCTAGATAGTCCAATATTTTCTTTATCCAGCAACAAGGAGAAAGCCTAGGTGGTGTCTGGGATTTTTGAGGACCTGTCAATTAAAAATGTATATGTTTTATCTGAAGTCTGTTGAGATTAGAATACTTCTGTCTTTTGGTTTCATATTTTATTAGTTTCAGGCTTTTTAAAGTTTGGGTTTTTAAATTACACATTTGAAACTGACTTTCAAAAAAAATTTTGTTTAAATTACACATTTGAAACTGACTTTCAAAAAAATTTTTTGTTTAAAAAAATTTCTCACATTGCCGATAGTACTGATACAGCTGGTAAATAAAACAAAATCTGATCTTTAGAAAAGCAGAACTTTGCTTTTTTTCCCTTAATCACCAACAGATGCAAATAGCTATATACAAATGATATTGTTCTAAACCTGCAAAAAGCATTTTTTCTGCTTTATTTTATGCAAAACTTCAACACTTCAATCTTATTTGGATTGGCGTTTATTTTGATTTCAGTTGGCTCCAACAGAGCAGCACTGGGGCCTTCTACGGGAATTGTTCCAGCATCTGACAGAGCACAGACTTCCTTATTTAAATAAGGAAGTTGGACATTGGTGGTATTAATGGTTTTGCCAAGGGGACCCAGAGGATTATTGAAAGGAAATACACAAAGATGACTTTCTGATTTTCATTTTTACTATGTTAAATGTTCATTTCTAAACAACCAATATGAAGAAGAAAACGCTGATATTTATGGGGGGAAATCTATGAGGCAACATTATATCTTCTTTTGATCTTTATTGTTTGTTTTTTCATTCTCAGTTATTTAATTATATTGGTGAAGGGGATAGAAGTTAGTGATGGCCTCCAAATGGTAAAGCAAAGTGTATCCACAGCTAATGTTACTACTAATGCCAAACTGCATGTTAAGTTCTACCCAAACCTGTATCTCTCTTTTGCTTCACCTATGTATTACGTGTAACTATGTGAAATCGTCAGTATTCAACTGTTTTTGATCTGCAAAAACAATTTCAGATAATTCAACCTAATAAGTTCAGGGGTCAGTACACGTTTTCTGTAAAGACCCAAATAGTAAGTAATTTTGGCTTTGTGAGCCAGATAGTCCCTGTTGCAACTACTAATAACTCTGCCATTATAGTATGAAAACCACAAGAGACAATATGTAAATGAACGAATGTGGCTGTGTTCCAGCAAAACTGAAATTTGAATTTTACATAATGTTGACATGAAATATTCTTTTTTCCCCCCAGCTACTTAAAATATAAAAATCATTCTTAACTTGCAGGCTGTGTAAAAACAAGCAGTGTCCAGCTTTGGCCCATGGGCAATAGTTTGCCAGCCACTGTTTAAGTTGAACTTGGCAGCTACTGACTTTGAAATTTCTGGTACCTTGTACTCTCTTTTCATTGACCTAAAACCAATTGCATTATCTCACCCCTCAGAACTCCCCACCACCAAGACTTGTTTCACCTTCTCACCTCCCTTCATTATCAGTGGCACCTCATTCTCCTCATTCTGCCATTTTGGAAACATGGGATTCATCCTCTTTTCTCTCTTCTCCATAACCCATGTCCAACAGGTTTCATGGGACTTCTCGGTTCATTCGCCTACTCTCTTCCCTTCCACCGAGAGCCATTGTTCGGTTCACAACCTCTTTGTCACTAGGACTATTGTAAGAGACCCTGCCTGAGTTCTTCCTTTGTCATTTGTCCTCTAGAACCCATTTTCTACTAAGCCACAAGTGTTATTTTTCTAAAGTAACTGTGATCATATCAGTCCCTAGTTTAAACAGTCTTAGATTTCTTCCATTGGTTATAGGCTGAATAGAATAAAGCTCCTATAAAATTTCGTGGTCTAGTTCTGATGTAGCTCCCTCACCAAGCCAATACTTAGGTCACACCCTACACCTCTTTATAAACTTCACAACATCTTCAGTTTTCACAGGCTGTTCCTCTGCTGGGAGAGCCTTTTCTTACCTTTTCTCTGAGTGTTGATTTCCTTCATTCCATAACACTGAGCTCAGATGCCTCTTCATCTGTGATACTTCCCCTGACTCTTCTTTTGTTGACTTGCCTCCTCTGTATTCTCAGATCCCTTGCGACATAGGCCTTGAGTATGGCATTAATTCAAGCAAATTGTAGTTTTTGTGAGAAGGGCCAATGGACTAAATGTGTGCATCCCTCCCCTCCCAATGCATATGTTGAAATCCTCACCGCCAGTGTGATGGTTTTTGGAGGTGGAGCCTTTTGAAATTGTTCAGGTCATGAGGATGGAGCCCTCATGAATGGGATTAGTGCTTTTAGAAAAGAGGCCCCAGAGAGCTGCTTTGTCTCTTCTGCCATGTGAGGTCACAGTGAGAACACAATCATCTATGAACCAGAAAGGGGGCCCTCACTGGACACAAAAACTTGCTGATATCTTGAACTTGGATTTCTCAGCCTTCAAAACTGTGAGAAATTTACAAGCCACCCAGTTTATGTTGTGTGTGTTTTTGTTTTTTATTTCTCTCGCTCTCTCTCTCTCTCTCTCTCTCTCTCTCTCTCTGTCTCTCTAGAGAGGCACGGTCTTATTCTATCATCCAGACTAGAGTATGGTGGCACAATCATAGCTCACTGCAGCATCCAACTTCTCCTAGGCTCAAGCAGTCCTTTCACCTCAGCCTCTCAAGTACCTGGGACTATAGGCACGTGCCACCACACTGGGTGTTTTTTTTTTTTTTTTGTAGAAACAGGATCACACCATGTTGACCAGGCTGGTCTCAAACTCCTGGCCTCAAATGATCCTCCTGCTTTGGCCTCCCAAAGTGCTGGGATTACAACAATGAGTGGTATTTTGTGTCAGAAACCCAGAAGGACTAAAACTAACATAAATGACTATAGGGTCCTTGAGAGTAGAAACCATCTCCTTGCCATCTTGACTTTTTTTTTTTTTTTGGATTTACTCATAAAGTCACAGAGATCTAATTGCAAGGTTACAGATTCAAATGCCCATGAGGCCAGGCTGGTCACTTCAATGACAAAAGTGGACAGAGTAAGATCTGGGGTAAACTAGCAAGGACATGTCCTATCTCGCGGGAGTCAGCCTCTCCTCAGGTCCAGCTGATTATAGTCATTCAAGAGTGTGATGTGTGTAGCTGGATGTATTAATTTTCAAAAGAAATTGGAAAATTAAGATTTTAATGTAAATATCCCAATTTTAAAATATTGGCAACTAATTTACCTTTTAATGAACACTTTGTGGACAAAAATTTTAAAATATCAATCTGATTGTGGGCTGAATGTGGCCCTTGAGACCCCAGTTTGCAACACCTCGTTGGTCACTGCTCTTAGCCACAGACAGAGCCTGGGAGCCAGAAGATCTAAGGTTGTGGGGGTACAGAAGGACCTCTTCCTAGCCTGTGTTTATTCTGCCTTTACATGTGGCTTCCTCCACAAGATGGCACTTAGACTGCCCAGCCACACTACCACACAAGTCATGAGATGTTACTTAGCCACCTTCAAAAACGTGAAAGCCAAACACCACAGCAAATTCATTTTATACCATCCTTTCTTCTCCCTGGTCATGGATTGTGAACAGGCTGAGATGATCTCCTGTCCCCCTGCCACCCGGAGCCAGGTGAAACCCTCTGGGAGAAGCTATTATTCTTTTTTTTTTTTTTTTTTTTTTTTTTTTTTTGAGACGGAGTCTCGCTCTGTCGCCCAGGCTGGAGTGCAGTGGCGCGATCTCGGCTCACTGCAAGCTCCGCCTCCCGGGTTCACGCCATTCTCCTGCCTCAGCCTCCCGAGTAGCTGGGACTACAGGCGCCCGCCACTACGCCCGGCTAATTTTTTGTATTTTTAGTAGAGACGGGGTTTCACCGTGTTAGCCAGGATGGTCTCGATCTCCTGACCTCGTGATCCGCCCGCCTCGGCCTCCCAAAGTGCTGGGATTACAGGCGTGAGCCACCGCGCCCGGCCAGAGAAGCTATTATTCTTGATGGATGTTTTGACTGGCCATCCAGCTGGATTTGCTGATGGCTGTTACCAAATGCTTAGGTTCCTGGTCAGAGCTGTGGTTTCTTTTCTCAGTACCCCAAGAATAAGAGGTTATTACTGCAGCTAGGAATTAAGTTGTCCTTCTTTTCCAGCCCATCTGTGTGGCCAGTAACCACTTGAGAGAACCACATGAGACATTGCCCAAGAGGTTACCTGGAAAAGAGAATTTTCATAATTGATAGCTTTATTTGGTCTTCCATAAGTTATTCATCTCCCCCCCCCCACACACACACACACTGTATTTTACTGTCTACCTCCTAGTTATATATAAATCTCACTTCACCTGATGGCCCTCAGGAGACACCTGTCCTTAAACATTTGTCAATACTGTCTGCTAACCAGTATGAACACTTAGTGTAAACTTTTTAGCCTGAACTGTCAAGGCTTTGATATTTCCTTGAAAACAAAGCAAGACAACAATAACCACAAAAGAAGATTCTCTATTTGGTCTTTTTCTGTAGTCCTGAGACCTGTGCTTCTGAGGCCAGGAGCTTGGGGGCCCAGAGCCGATGTGGGTGGGCAGATCGGGGTGGGAATCTGGAAGCAGCATGTTCAGAACCATGTGGATACTCTCCTGTGTACAGAGCATGTGGCTTGAGAAGAGGGCTCAGAGGAGGTCCCTGTTCTGGGAAGTGTCATGCCTTGTCCCTGAAGGCTCTGGATGTCTGGCCATGTGTTCCTGAGGGAGGCAGAGGGATGCTGATGGAAAGGCGTAGAAAGGAGGAGATGCTCCTCTAACTCGCATGGCTGGATAACATCCTTGGGTCCTGACAGAAGAGGCAGCTAGCTTTGCATTTGGTGTATTATTATTAAATAACATATTTTAAGTGCTTACTATGTACCAGGCACTCATCAAATACTTTTCATGCTAGAGCATTTAATTCTCATAACTCTTTTCTGATGGGAAGTGACTATTCTTATTTTAGGGGAAAAAAGTACCTTGCCCAAGTACCCATAGCTGGAGATAGTAATTAACAGAGACCAAGTTTGAATCAGTTCTCTCCAACCATTGTCCCTGTGTCTGCCTTCTGCACTATGCTGAATGCCTCATGGTGGGGAGGGAGAGAGAGTTGGTGTTGAGTGACTTTGCCACCTGTGAAGTATTTAGCACCATACATGCCACATGGGAAACCTTCAAAAATGTCCAATCTGTCCTTTGTTGATTGGCTATCTTTTGTAAATCTGTTGAAAACTATTCTGGGGCCAATGGCCTTTGTGACAGGACCACTATGTGAGAATACTTGAGGTACTTACTTTGTCTGTGTTTAGTGATAGGGATGCTTTCTAAGTGTCATGTCATCAGATGAGTGTCCTTGAAGTCAGGTTTATAAGGTGAGAAGGCAGATAACTTGACAATTTAACAGTTGCATGTAAAAGCAAGACTTTTCTGCTGAAATTGAGGTGGTGATGATTACAAAATAAATTGACTAGAGTATTTCACAAATAGAAGAAAAATGAGTTTTCCAAGTGTGTGTATCATGGTAACACAGAATGAATCATTTGCTCCTTTTAAGTAGATTCTGCTATTGCTATGATCTCATGCATGTTCATTCCTGAGATTTAGGTTATAATTTCAAGGTGTATCTGATACACATACAGGATTTTTTACTTTCAAGTTTGTAAAGGTCTGTGTTTACCTACTTTTACAAAGGGAAAAATCTTAGGGGTTTTGGTTCAGTTGAAGGTAGGCTGGTAGGTTAAAGCAGTATATAAATAAATTTAACTTTGCCATGTGTCTCTCCCAGGGCAGATGTGTCTTGTTCTTCTAAGAGTTGAATAAACTGGGTATAAACTTTCCATATTGAGGAGACAGTAGCTGTGCTTCACTTTCAACCTCTAACATTTTTCCTACTTGAATTTAAACCTAACTTCAAAATTACCCATGTGTTTAATTATGATGACTAAAACACCCCTCCCCAACACACACACACACAATCTTAATAAGTCATAGAATTTAATCCATGAAGTACAGCTAAGGAACTGAGATTTGCAAAAGTTAAGTAACTTGACCAAACTACTCTGCCAGTCACTAGCTGTGACTTCGTTTAAAAAGGGAGTAACAGTGGCAGCTACCTTATAGAGTTGACAAGAGGATGAAATGAGTTAATTACTTTCTACAAAATATTAACAGCAGTCTCTGGCTCATACATAGTTCTCAACAAATGTGAGATACTGTTATCCACACCTAGGAAGTAGCAGAGTTGATTTCTGTCAGATTCATTCATTCAGTAAACATTTGTTGAGCACCTGCTATGTGCTGTATTCTAGGGAGATAGTTTTTGTTAAGAACCACCATGACTTATTACCTCCAGTTTAATTTCCAGAAAAATACTTTCCCTCTTTGTAAACTGGAAAATAATGTGACCAAAGGTATGATGATTCGTGGTCCACCAGCATTTCTTTAAAGCCTTCAAAATAAGCATCATGCGTAAGTATTGTTTAGGCCAAGAATGTAGATAGCATAGTCGTTTTTCCTGTTGACCTCAAGGTGGTACTGACTTTACGCTGGAGCATACAGCAATGGAGTGGTGCCCCTGGTCCACCTGCTTGCCTTTAAGGAATCTGTTGAATCTGTTAACAGCATGCTGCTCCTCAGCTTGTGAAACAAAGTTTTTCTCAATTACTTTTTATAAAATTAAAGATTTTGTTCACATATAGTTAACAAAGCATTTACCTTTGAAGTGCAAAATAAAATATTTAAGTTGATACTGGTCAAACTTGTTAGAGCCAAATGAGATTGAGAAGAATGAGGCCTTTCTACTAAAGCTGTGTAAAGTAGGGGAGTTGAAATAATATAAAATAGGGGATAAGAGTTGTGGCATTTTTTTTTTAAACACAGTGACTTTAAATTGATATTTAAAATTTAATATTTAAATTAATATTTTATCATCTGAATGGTAATCAGGTTTCTGACAAAACAGGCTTACATAGGTGGGACCACCATCTTCCCATTAGATTGACATTTCTGACTGTCTGATACTTCATTAGTGCTATTCATAAGCTACGTTCAACATGAAATGGCAAAGTAAGGGCACCAGTAATTGTTCTTTCACAGTTCCCTGGGTTTGAGTCATTGCAGGACAGACCTCTGAACCAGGCACCGACAAGAATAGATGCACAATAGGAAAATAAAACAACCCAAGAGCTGAAGCAGAAAGCTCTCAGAACTCCCAAGTGTGTTCGCATTTAGCTGTGTGACCTTGCGCCAGTCATGATCATCCAGGTCACTGGTTTTCTCATATGCATGCAATGAAGTTTCTAAGACCTCTTGCTGAAGTTAGGTCAACTTTGGAGTTTAATAACCACTCAGGGAAAGACAGGAGACGAAGCACGTTAAGGGGACAGGGATTCGTGATTTATGTAATTATAGTAGCTTTGTTGTCTGTTGGAAACGGCAGTGGTGGATGAGTCACCTTGGCATGTAGCTGTTGGAGATCAGCGATGCTTTTTTGGTTCAAAAAACGAAACCAAAGGAAAAAACACCTTTCTACAGCCCAAGATTAGGTGCCAGTGGTCAGAGTGATGCCAAGTTCTGGAAATAGCATCCAGGATCTTGTACGGATGACAGTATGGAGGGATGGTTGTCATGAACAGGTTTTCCCAGCTGAACCCCCACTTGAGCTTTCCCCAGGGAAGGCGCACATTTGGGACACCATGGTGGTATAACATCACCCAGTAAAAAATCCACCCCAAACATGTTGCTTGGGAAGTCACCACCAGTGACCGAGAGGAGGCAGGTGGTATTTTGGACCTCCTTCCTCTGCCTGGTTTGGTTCTCTGAGGAGAGATGTAAAAGGCACGTTCCAGACGAATGCATGTTCTGTACTACGAGCTTCAGCAGCAGGCCCCCCCAGTGACTTGGCCTGGATAGCATGAGCTTCTCTAGGGACAGGCAGATCTGAGCCACCTGTTCTTTCCTCTTTCCTGGGCCTTTTCCCAGACTCCTCCAATAGCCAGAGATGCTGGGAAAGGCCCGCCCTCTCAGGCCTGGACCAGACCTTGCCTGATTTTTTTATTCTATGCTTCCCCACAGTCCAGCTCAACCTGTCACAGACTGATGTCCCCAGGGCACAATAGGAAGAGGTTGGGTTAGGGGTCAAGATAGGCTCATTCTGAATCCCAGCTGTGCCACTTCCTGGCTGTGGAGCTTCTGATAAGTTGCTTAGCTCAGGCAGTAAATGCGGTAGGATTAACCATCATGCAGGTAGCCTCATTGTGTCCCTAATATTTACATTTTATCCTTAAGCCATATGAAAATGTCTTTCCTTAGAGGAAAGAGGAAATGCATTTCCTTGAAGGTGGGACAAGAAAATAGACATTGAATCCTCCCTTTCCCCACTGCTCAGCCCCTGAGAGTGTGTGATAAGCCCCCGAGGCCAATTTGACAAGCCCCAGGACAACAATTGTCAAACTTTGTAAGCAACAGTCCACTTAAAGACAAATCTTAGGAAATACTGTAATATGTGAAATAAGTAAACATAGGCTTTTGTTTATAGAAATATGCTAAAGTTGAAATTAGTAGTAAACCCGATAGGACCAGCGAAGCCCTTTTTATTGATACAGAAATTTGAAATTGAGGAAATAGATGACTGATATGATCTTTTCGTTAGAACTTTCAGATAAGTAATTGCAAATAGTAGTTAAAAAAAAAATTCTCCTTCCAATCAATGATATGGTCAATTGAAAAGATAGATGGCTTAATATGCTAAAGCTGCCCAAAATATGTCAACTTGCATTTATTTGATCACATGTACAGATGGGAATGAACTTTTAAATTATTGCATTTTTTAAAAATGTGTATACATTTTTAAAATAAAGAAAATGTTAAAATTTCTGAAACACCTCCATAGAGTTCCAGAGTTTGGCAGAAGTGTGCTTTGAAACACGCTCGCTTACATCTTGCGGCACTCAAATCTCAATTTGCTTTCCATTTCCTATTTGGTTGTGGCATGTGTGTGTTGGCTTATGGAAATTGATACCATTTTTAGTACTAAAAGCTATTTGATGTAAGAAATGGTGAAATTTGAATAAGGTCAGGAGTCTGGGTGAGAGTATTGTATCAATGTCATTTTCTCAGTTTTGATATTGTACTGTCTTATATAAGATGTTACCGTTTGGGGAATTGGTCAAAAGCTACATGGGACTCTGTACTATTTTTGCAATTTACTCTGAGCCTATAATTATTGTAGAATGAAAAGGTTTTTAAAAAGTCATTTGAAAATAATGATTTTGAACTGTTAGGAGGCTGTGCAACTCAATCAATAGAGCAGTGTACACACCACACTTATAGAGCTAATTTTTATTTAGCTTACCTTAAAAAGAAAAAACACACCTTTTCTTTCCTTGCTACTGAGTTCCATAAACTCCACACTCACTCTGTCAGGACTGTGACACTGTTGAAGCTTTAGAAAGGAAACGCAGCCAGTGGCAGATCAAGGAGAACTCTTTAAGGGAATCTGTTTTAGCTGCTGCTTAATTACTTAAGAAGAAAGCGGTGCGGAAACCCAAGAGTTGAGTCTATAGTCACCTGATAGAGAAAAAGGTGCATGAATGATGCAGCATGTTTTCCTGAAGCATTTCTATGCTTAAAACATGTAGTAATTCGAGCAAAGCAGTGTCAACATGCCTTATTATTATGTGTCTTGGTGTCCAAATCAGAGTGCCTATAGCCCAGTGTGATGAGTATTATTCTACATGAAAAAAGACCAAGAGTTAAAAATAGTTTTAAAAGAGTAAACCTTTGACCCATTTGCTTGCCTTTGTGTAAAGCAAAAATGGGGGGGTATGGCCGTAGTGAAATATGGTTCTCTGTTCTCTTGGATTTTTACGACATGCTGTAAGTTACTGCCATGTACCTTGATAAGATTGATGGTGGTTTTGCTGTTTATCACTTGGAGAAGTGAAACAGAATTCCCTGAGTCAGATTATCTGTCTTCATTGTAATTGCCGAAACATTCAGGTTCCTTAACCTGAAAGAGTGATTGCCTCATGTGTTTTGACTAAAATGGATTAGTGTATTTGATCACATCTATCAGACACCTGTGGGTGAACAGGTCTCAAAACAACTTCTTTAGTAAATATTTTAATGGGTGCTAACATAATGCCATTAAAAAATTTTCATTTATTTGGGAACATAAAATACCAAGACCATAATGTTCTTAGCATTAAGCAGGGCTGTAGTTCTGGGCCAGTTGTAGAGACTGTCTTGGCTGACCCTTGACAAGGGACTGTGCCCTCAGCTTTATCGGTCTGTCTGACCAGCTTTTCCGGCTTCTTCTCCAGGGTTATCAATGCCGGGAAGAGCACACACAATGAAGACCAAGCCAGCTGTGAGGTGCTCACTGTGAAGAAGAAGGCAGGGGCCGTGACCTCAACCCCAAACAGGAACTCATCCAAGAGACGGTCCTCCCTTCCCAATGGGGAAGGGCTGCAGCTGAAGGAGAACTCGGTAAGACCCTTCTCGATCCTTGGTTCTCAGGTGAGAAGAATGGCACACACTTTGGTCCCACTGGAAGACATTAGGGCTTCACCTAAATCTGGAATGGAAGTGAGAAAGCAGTGTCCCCAGAGTTAGTGGGGTGGCGGGCCTATCGTCACGACATCACACATACCAAGCTGAAGGCGACACATGTATGACCAGCTTGTGGTTAGGTTTTTAACACAAAGTAAATGAAACACCCACACCATATGTATCTAGCTCTTGTTGCAATAATTGATATATTTATGTGTGTGCATATATATATATACACATATATATGTGTGTGTGTGTGTATACGTATATATATGTGTGTATATATATATACACGAATATATATACGTATACACACACACTCACACACACACACACACACACATACACACACAATGTTTGACGGTTTCAAAGGAGCCACTTCTAGGTCTTTGTAAGGAAATAGTCCGAAAGCCTCTCATGAGGGGTGGAAGTAACTCTGGCTGTTGCTTTGAGCCCTGCCATGACTCTGCCCCTTTCTCCTCCTTGCCTGCTCATGATCCATTTGCAGCCTGTGCCTGATGTTCTTCCAAATAAATATCTATTTCAATTGGCCCAAAACTCTTGCAGCCCATGGGGTGGCCTTGCAGACTGAACACTGTTGAAAAACCACAAAATATTTATCCTGTCTCCAGTTTCTGGGGAATAAAGCAGTCATATCCTCAGAAAGCTCTGAAGAAGCTCTCAGCAAAGGACGGGGAGTCATTGACACTCTGTCTGCCAGCAGATGATGTGCTTTAGAGAGAGATGTTTCCTGGGAAAATCAGGAGACACAGAATGGACTGACCCAAATGTGACTATTCATTCTGATCATCTTGAGGATATTTTTGTGTAAAAATTTTCATAGGATTTTAAAAGATCTAGGAATCTTTTCTTAGTTTTAGAAATAGTATCTCATTGCGGCTGGGCATGGTGGCTCACGCCTGTAATCCCAGCACTTTGGGAGGCCGAGACAGGCGGATCATGAGGTCAGGAGATCCAGACCATCCTGGCTAACATGGTGAAACCCCATCTCTACTAAAAATACAAAAAATTAGCTGGGCATGGTGGCGGGCGCCTGTAATCCCAGCTACTCAGGAGGCTGAGGCAGGAGAATGGCGTGAACCCAGGAGGCAGAGCTTGCAGTGAGCTGAGATCACGCCACTGCACTCCAGCCTGGGCGACAGTGCAGACTCCATCTCAAAAAGAGAAAAAGAAAAAGAAATAGTGTTTCATTGCGTCTATGCTCAGGGATTGATAAGTATTGATTTATTTTGTTAGTCCTAGTTTAATTTAAAGTTGACTTACGGGGATTTATCAATTGTACATATTTTCTAGGTTGAAGGAAGGCCTTTTCCAAACAACCAGAGCTGAGGACCCAGATGGGCAGTATAGAATGGTGATGGTTAAGTGCCCAGGCCCTGGAGTGAGATGACTGTGCAGTCTACCACTTTAGCTACTTAATTTTGGGATGGTTATTCTTTGAGCCTCAGTTTTGTCTACTCTAAAAAGGAATAACAGGCTGGGTGCGGTGGCTCACGCCTGTAATCCCAGCACTTTGGGAGGCCAAGGCGGGCAGATCACGAGGTCAGGAGATCGAGACCATCCTGGCTAACACAGTGACACCCTGTCTCTACTAAAAATACAAAAAATTAGCCGGGCATGGTGGCGGGTGCCTGTAGTCCCAGCTACTCAGGAGGCTGAGGCAGAAGAATGGCGTGAACCCAGGAGGCAGAGCTTGCAGTGAGCTGAGATCACGCCACTGCACTCCAGCCTGGGTGACAGAGCGAGACTCCGTCTCAAAAAAATTAAATAAATAAATAAATAAATAAAATATAAAGGAATAACAGCAGTAACTACCAAATGGTAGAAGGAGGCTGATTGGAAATATGAACTCCAGTAGTCCGTGGAAAATGTTGAGCATGTGTCTTAATAAATCTGTAATAAGCGTTAGTGATTATTATCCTGAGGTTAGTCCCACTTCGTTATTCTCTATGAGTGAAGTTTGCATGTTTCTTCACTTGTGAATTAGAGATTACACAATTCCTTTCATACCTACTCGACAGGATTGTTTTGAGGATTGTTATTATGGGAAAGGGCTTGGAAAGCGTGAAGTGTTCATGATCATTGAATAGGGGCGCCAGTGACTTAGTGTTGCTCTTTCCACTGATATTTTCCCCCTGCCCCTGGGATATAAAGTGATCTCTGTAAAAATCAGTCAGTGTTGACATATGGCCCAAGGCCAGTTGGTGATGGCATTTTTCCTTTTTACTGAGTTCCTTCTAGAAATGGAGCTGGGGTGACTTTTTAACTTCTTGTCCTTAAGAACAGTGAAACTGGTGCATAAGCACTTTGGGATGGAGCTGTGGCCCTCCCCTGTGGTGGTTCCCAATATCTGTGGGGTCCGTCCTTCAAGAGCAAGGGACCAGCAGAGTGGAGACACCCTGGTGCCCCAGTCCTGCTCCGACCACAGCAGCTTCATTTCTGTCTGCTTTACCTATTAGGCTTCTTACTGAGTTTAAGACAAGAGTTGAGCTTCTTTTCCTTTTTTTAAATTGTGGTAAAATGTACATAACATAAAATTTACCAATTTTAGGCATATAGTTCAGTGGCATTACGTATATTCACATGTTTGTACAACCATCACCCTCATCATCTCCAGAACTTTTTCAGGTTCTCAGGCTGAAACTATGTATTCATTAAACACTAACTCTCCATTCTTTCCTCCCTTGGTGCCCACCATTCTATTTCCTGTCTCTGAGTTGACCACTGCAGGTACCTCACATAAGTAGAATCATACACTATTTGTCCTTTTGTGCCTGGCTTATTTCACTTAGCATAATGTTCTCAAGGTTTTACCCATGTTGTAATGTGAGCCAGAATTTTTTACCTTTCAGCTATTCTGAATAATGCTGTCGTGAACATAGGTGAACAAATATCTCTTTGAGTCCCTGCTTTCAATTCTTTTGGCTATATATCTAGAGGAGGATTTGATGAATTATGTGATAATTCTGTTTAATTTTTTGAGGGACTACCACCGTTTTTCACAGTGGCTGCTCCATTTTACGTTCCTACCAACAATGGAGAGGGGTTCCTATTTCTCCACGTCTTCACCAGCACTTGCTTTCTGTTTTCTTTTTTTAATAGTAATCATTCTAATGGGTATGAGGTAGTATTTCACTGTACTTTTGGTTTGCATTTCCCTAATGATTAGTGATGTTGAGCATTTTTTCATTATTGGACCTTTGTATATGTTCTTCAGAGAAATGTCTATTCAAGTCCTTTGCCCATTTTAAAAATTGGGTTGTCTGTTCTGTTGTTATTTTTGTTTGTGCTGCTTTTTAAAAATTTGAAAACCATTACCTAGTGAGGAAGATAAATCACTGAGCACCTGCTATGTACTGAGAACTGGATGCTGGAGATTTGGCAGGGAATGAAATAGACAAAATCCCTACTTAGAGGGAGCTTCCATTCGTAGAGGGAGACAAAATATAGTGTGCCAGATGATAGACACTATGGAGATACAAAACAAAGTGGGGAACCCAGAATATAGGAAGTCTGAGGGTGCCGGGGTAGTTAATGAAGGCATCACTGAGAAGGTGACATTTGGGCAAAGATCTGAAATTGCAGCTATTTGAAGGAAGAGCATTTATCGTTCTGGACAATTGAAAGACACCAAGGTGGGAGCCGGCCCTATGTTCTCAGGGTTTAGGAAGGAGGTCTGTGTGGTTGGAGCAGAAATACTGTAAAGCCTGGATTGCAGGAAATGTTGTCAGAAAAGTCATAGGAGTGGAGTGAGCCAGTCGGGAAGGACATTGAAGGTCACTGTCAAGACTTTGGCTTCCACTTCTATAATTTACTAGCAGAGGACACTGGACACACTGGTTAAAAGAGGCCAGTGATTTTTCCCATCTAGAAGACATGCCCTTAATGGTAAAACTCAAATATGGTAGCACTTAGGAAAGGATGGTGATAGTACAGGGCTTAGGGCAAGAAAACATCCACAGAGATAAGTAAAGCGGATTGTACCCACCCTTCCTGTTCCCTCACCCACTGAACATATTGAACTCTGAGTCTGCATGCTGAGCTTTGGGATAAGGAGACAAAACACAACATAGTTCCCATCCTCCTAATGCTGAGTCGATTGGGGAGATCACTGGCAGTGGTACTACAATGGAGTGAGTTTTCAGAGACAGATGAAAAGCCCAGGTTGTAGGGAAGTCTGACTCATTTTGGTCACTGATGATTTGGGGAACAACCAAGGAGAAGGGGATGGGTAAGGTTAGGAAAGCCTTCCTTGAGAAATTGACATTAGAGCTGGGATCTTGGAAAGTGAATAGAAGTAAAGCGAGCTAACAAAAGAAATGGGGGTTTCTTATAGAAGGAACATGTATAGGCAAAGACAGGTTGGCATGAGAGCACATGAGGCATGTCTTCCTGTGTTTTGGAAAATATATGGTCTCTTGGAGGGTTGGCAAGACAGGAAGAGTAAGCAGGCATCACAAGGGTCATCATACACCATAATAAGCTGGGATTTTTACCAAAGTATTTTAGACAAGGGCAAGATGACTCAAGACAGTGATGGCAGTGGGAAGGCTGACTTGGGAAGGCCAGGAGTCCAAACCTAGAGGCTGGGATGCTAGTTAGGAGGCTCATGCAGAAATATGGGTGAGAAATGATAACGGCTTAAAATAAGGCACTGATCAGTGCAAGGGACAGGCTCAGAAGAGATTAAATGAGAGATACAGTTAAGGTGAGCAAATGACCAACTGCTTGGAACAGGGAGAAGATGAAGGTACCAGGCTCAGCCACTAGGTGCTGGTCACTGAAAAGTGGACCACTGGATGGTAAGGGGATGGGCAGAGATGATGACTTGCGTTTTGAGTATACTGATTCTGATTCTACCTTTCCAGGTGAAAGTGTTTTGTAGGAAATTAGAAATAAGGGTTTGGAGCTCACACACAAGCCTAAGGAGGCTTAGATTTAAGGAGTTACAAGATTGAAAATTATAGTTGCAGCCATAGAAGTGGCTTAGGTGACACAGAAGGTATAAAAGTGTGTAACAGAAACATGATGACAGTGGGGTTCTAGAAGCTCCAAGAAGAGAGGGGTACTGTGAAGAGGGAAGGTATCTATGGCATGGGCCACACAGTGATAAGAAAGATAAGGATGGGAAAAGTGGACATATAATGTTATAAGCAAAAAATGGAACAACAGGATAAATAATGGCATCATGGTTTTATCTGCAAACAGAGTTGACAGGCATGAAGGATGGCAAACCGAAGATGCATGAAGTCCCTCTGGAATACATATGCTTAATTTCTCCCTCCTTTCTTGACCTCTTTTGTCCCCTGTAAATTTAGTAAAGTCAAAATATGTGTTTTCAAAAGATTTCTTTCATGTATAATATATCTTCACCTTCCTTGGAGGTTAAAGAAAACCTAAAATTTTTAATAAAATAACATGAAATTTACAATGAAAACAGTATTATAGGAATTTTTTATTTGTTAGAAACATCAGTGATGTACAGAGGATTTCAATAGAAGTGTGACTTTATATTTCATGACCTTTCTTATATTGAGTGGCAATATGGTAGCCGGGTAGCAACGAGATGACTTCTTTTTTTGAGATGAAGTCTCACTCTGTCGCCCAGGCTGGAGTGCAGTGGCATAATCTCAGCTCACTGCAACCTTTGCCTCCCAGGTTCAAGCTCTTCTCTTGCCTCATCCTCCTGAGTAGCTGGGATTACCGGCAAGCACCACCATACCTGGCTATTTTTGTATTTTTAGTAGAGACAGGGTTTCGCCATGTTGGCCAGGCTGGTCTTGAACTTCTGACCTCAGGGGATCTGCCCACCTCAGGCTCCTGAAGTGTTGGGATTACAGACGTGAGCCACTGCACCCAGCGAGATGACCTTTTCTACTACAGATAATAATGAATTGGTGTTAAGATTTAAAGACAACTCTTAGCCATCCCAAATACCAATTCATAAAGAATTATTTTATCCTTTTCAGCCTCCCATTTTAAAGCAAACCTTAAACACATTTTTTTTGGTAGAGAAAATAATATAACTGTTTTCTGCCTCTCCCAGCTTCCATGAGGCATTTACTGAAGGAATGTCATTTCCTGTGTTTGAGCTCTTTTTTTTTAATTGTAATTGGTGGTAATTTGGCATTTTATTATTTTTTTTTTATTATACTTTAAGTTCTAGGGTACATGCGCACAATATGCAGGTTTGTTACGTAGGTATATGTGTGCCATGTTGGTTTGCTGCACCCATTAACTCATCATTTTCATTAGGTATTTCTCCTAATGCTATCCCTCCCCCTGCTCCACACTCCGCGACAGGCCCCTGTGTGTGATGTTCCCCACCCTGTGTCCAAGTGTTCTTATTGTTCAACTCCCACCTATGAGTGAGAACATATGATGTTTGGTTTTCTGTCCTTGTGATAGTTTGCTCAGAATGATGGTTTCCAGTTTCATCCATGTCCCTGCAAAGGACATGAACTCATCTGTTTTTATAGCTGCATAGTATTCTGTGGTATATATGTGCCACATTTTCTTAATCCAGTCTATCACTGATGGACATTTGGATTGGTTCCAAGTTTTTGCTATTGTGAATAGTGCTGCAATAAACATACGTGTGCATGTGTCTTTACGGTAGCATGATTTATAACCCTTTGGGTATATACCCGGTAATGGGATGGCTGGGTCAAATGATATTTCTAGTTCTAGATCACTGAGGAATCACCACACTGTCTTCCACAATGGTTGAACTAGTTTACACTCCCAACAGTGTAAAAGCATTCCTATTTCTCCACAACCTCTCCAGCATCTGTTGTTTCCTGACTTTTTAATCGCCTCTCTAACTGGTGTGAGATGGTATCTCATTGTGGTTCTGATTTGTATTTCTCTGATGACCAGTGATGATGAGGATTTTTTTCATGTGTGTGTTGGCTGCATAAATGTCTTCTTTTAAGAAGTGTCAGTTCATATCCTTTGCCCACTTTTTGATTTTTTTTTTCCTTGTAAATTTGTTTCTTTGTAGATTCTGGATATTAGCCCTTTGTCAACTGGGTAGATTGCAAAAATTTCTCCCATTCTGTAGGTTGTCTGTTCACTCTGATGGTAGTTTCTTTTGCTGTGCAAAAGCTCTTCAGTTTGATTAGATTCCATTTGTCTATTTTGGCTTTTGTTGCCATTGCTTTTGGTGTTTTAGTCATGAAGTCCTTGCCCATGCCTATGTCCTGAATGGTATTGCCTAGGTTTTCTTCTAGGCTTTTTATGATTTTGGGTCTAACATTTAAGTCTTTAATCCATCTTCAATTAATTTTTGTATAAGGTGTAAGGAAGGGATCCAGTTTCAGCTTTCTACATATGGCTAGCCAGTTTTCGCAGCACCATTTATTAAATAGGGAATCCTTTCCCCATTTCTTGTTTTTGTCAGGTTTGTCAAAGATCAGATGGTTGTAGATGTGTGTTGTTATTTCTGAGGGTTCTGTTCTGTTTCATTGGTCTGCCTCTCTGTTTTGGTACCAGTACCATGCTGTTTTGGTTACTGTAGCCTTGTAGTATAGTTTGAAGTCAGGTAGCGTGATGCCTCCAGCTTTGTTCTTTTTGCTTAGGATTGTCTTGGCAATGTGGGCTCTATTTTGGTTCCATATGAACTCTAAAGTAGTTTTTTCCAATTCTGTGAAGAAAGTCATTGATAGCTTGATGGGGATGGCATTGAATCTATAAATTACTTTGGGCAGTATGGCCATTTTCACAACATTGATTCTTCCTATCCATGAGCATGGAATGTTCTTCCATTTGTTTGTGTCCTCTTTTATTTCATTGAGCAGTGGTTTGTAGTTTTCCTTGAAGAGGCCCTTCACATCCCTTGTAAGTTGGATTCCTAGGTATTTTATTCTCTTTGTAGCAATTGTGAATGGGAGTTCACTCATGATTTGGCTCTCTGTTTGTCTGTTATTGGTGTATAAGAATGCTTGTGATTTTTGTACATTGATTTTGTATCCTGAGACTTTGCTGAAGTTGCCTATCAGCTTAAGGAGATTTTGGGCTGAGAAGATGGGGTTTTCTAGATATACAATCATGTCATCTGCAAACAGGGACAATTTGACTTCCTCATTTCCTAATCGAATTCCCTTTATTTCTTTCTCTTGCCTGATTGCCCTGGCCAGAACTACCAACACTATGTTGAAATAGGAGTGGTGAGAGAGGGCATCCCTGTCTTGTGCCAGTTTTCAAAGGGAATGCTTCCAGTTTTTGCCCATTCAGTATGATATTGGCTGTGGGTTTGTCATAAATAGCTCCTATTATTTTGAGATAAGTTACATCGATACCTGGTTTATTGAGAGTTTTTAGCATGAAGGGCTGTTGAATTTTGTCAAAGGCCTTTTCTGCATCTATTGAGATAATCATGTGGTTTTTGTCATTGGTTCTGTTTATGTGATGGATTATGTTTATTGATTTGGGTATGTTGAACAAGCCTTGCATCCCAGGGATGAAGCTGACTTGATCATGGTGGATAAGCTTTTTGATGAGCTGCTGGATTCAGTTTGCCAGTATTTTATTGAGGATTTTTGCATCGATGTTCATCAGGAATATTGGTCTAAAATGCTCTTTTTTTGTTGTGTCTCTCTCTGCCAGGCTTTGGTATCAGGATGATGCTGGCCTCATAAAATTAGTTAGGAAGAATTCCCTCTTTTTCTATTGATTGGAATAGTTTCAGAAGGAATGGTACCAGCTCCTCTTTGTACCTCTGGTAGAATTTGGCTGTGAATCCGTCTGGTTCTGGACTTTCTTTGGTTGGTAGGATGTTAATTATTGCCTCAATTTCAGAGCCTGTTATTGGTCTATTCAGAGAGTCAACTTCTTCCCAATTTAGTCTTGGGAGGGTGTATGTGTCCCGGAATTTATCCATTTTTCTATATTTTCTAGTTTATTTGTGTAGAGGTGTTTATAGTATTCTCTGATGGTAGTTTGTATTTCTGTGGGATTGGTGGTGATATCCCCTTTATCATTTTTTATTGCATCTATTTGATTCTTCTCTCTTTTCTTTTTTATTAGTCTTGCTAGCAGTCTATCAATTCTGTTGAACTTTTCAAAAAACCAGCTCCTGAATTTATTGATTTTTTTGAAGGGTTTTTTGTGTCTCTATCTCCTTCAGTTTTGTTCTGATCTTAGTTATTTCTTGCCTTCTGCTAGCTTTTGAATGTGTTTGCTCTTGCTTCTCTAGTTCTTTTAATTGTGATGTTAGGGTGTCAATTTTAGATGTTTTCTGCTTTCTCTTGTGTGCATTTAGTGCTATAAATTTCCCTCTACACACTGCTTTAAGTGTGTCCCAGAGATTCTGGTACGTTGTGTCTTTGTTCTCGTTGGTTTCAAAGAACATCTTTATTTCTGCCTTCATTTCATTATGTACCCAGTAGTCATTCAGGAGCAGGTTGTTCAGTTTCCATGTAGTTGAGCGGTTTTGAGTGAGTTTCTTAATCCTGAGTTCTAATTTGATTGCATTGTGGTCTGAGAGACAGTTTGTTGTGATTTCTGTTCTTTTACATTTGTTAAGGACTGCTTTACTTCCAACTCTTTTGGAATAAGTGCTATGTGGTGCTGAGAAGAATGTATAGTCTGTTGATTTGGGGTGGAGAGTTCTGTAGATGTCTGTCACGTCCTCTTGGTGCAGAGCTGAGTTCAAGTCCTGGATATCGTTGTTAACCTTCTGTCTCATTGATCTAATATTGACAGTGGGGTGTTAAAGTCTCCCATTATTATTGTGTGGGAGTCTAAGTCTCTTTGTAGGTCCCTAAGGACTTGCTTTATGAATCTGGGTGCTCCTGTATTGGGTGCATATATATTTAGGACAGTTAGCTCTTCTTGTTGAATTGATCCCTTTACCATTATGTAATGGCCTTCTTTGTCTCTTCTGATCTTCTTTGGTTTAAAGTCTGTTTTATCAGAGACTAGGATTGCAACCCTGCTTTTTTTTTGCTTTCCATTTGCTTGGTAGATCTTCCTGCATACCTTTATTTTGAGCCTATGTATGTCTCTGCACATGAGATGGGTTTCCTGAATACAGCACACTGATGGGTCTTGACTCTTTATCCAGTTTGCCAGTCTGTGTCTTTTAATTGGGGCATTTAGCCCATTCACATTCAAGGTTAATATGTGTGAATGTGATCCTGTCATTAGGATGTTAGCTGGTTATTTTGCCCATTAGTTGATGCAGTTTCTTCCTAGCACCGAAGGTCTTTACAATTTGGCATGTTTTTGCAGTGGCTGGTACCAGTTGTTCCTTTCCATGTTTAGTGCTTCCTTCAGGAGCTCTTGTAAGGCAGGCCTGGTGGTAACAAAATCTCTCAGCATTTGCTTGTCTGTAAAGGATTTTATTTCTCCTTCACTTATGAAGCTTAGTTTGGCTGGATATGAAATTCTGGGTTCTTTAAGAATGTTGAATATTGGCCCCCACTCTCTTCTGGCTTGTAGAGTTTCTGCCGAGAAATCCACTGTTAGTTTGATGGGCTTCCCTTTGCAGGTAACCCGACCTTTCTCTCTGGCTGCCCTTAACATTTTTTCCTTCATTTCAACCTTGGTGAATCTGACAATTAATGTGTCTTGGGGTTGCTCTTCTTGAGGAGTATCTTTGTGGTGGTCTCTGTATTTCCTGAATTTTAATGTTGGCCTGCCTTGCTAGGCTGGGGAAGTTCTCCTGGATCATATCCTGGCAGAGTGTTTTCCAACTTGTTTCCATTCTCCCTGTCACTTTCAGGTACACCAAACAAATGTAGATTTGGTCTTTCACATAGTCCCATATTTCTTGGAGGCTTTGTTCATTTCTTTTTACTTTTTTTTCTCTAAACTTCTCCTCTCACTTTGTTTCATTAATTTGATCTTCCATCACTGATACCCTTTCTTCCACTTGATCGAATTGGCTATCGAAGCTTGTGCATGCGTTACGTAGTTCTCTTGCCACGGTTTTCAGCTCCATCAGGTCATTTAAGGTCTTCTCTACACTGTTTATTCTAGTTAGCCATTCATCTGATCTTTTTTCAAGGTTTTTAGCTTCTTTGCAATGGGTTCGAGCATCCTCCTTTAGCTTGGAGAAGTTTGTTATTACCGACCTCCTGAAGCCTACTTCTGTCAGCTTGTCAAAGTCATTCTCCATCCAGCTTTGTTCCGTTGCTGGAGAGGAGCTGTGATCCTTTGGAGGAGAAGAGGTGCTCTGGTTTTTAGAATTTTCAGCTTTTCTGCTCTGGTTCCTCCCCATCTTTGTGGTTTTATCTACCTTTGGTCTTTGATGCTAGTGACCTACAGATGGGGTGTTGGTGTGGATGTCCTTTTTGTTGATGCTGATGCTATTCCTTTCTGTTTGTTAGTTTTCCTTCTAAGAGTCAGGTTCCTCAGCTGCAGGTCTGTTGGAGTTTCCTGGAGTTCCACTCCAGACCCTATTTGCTTAGGTATCACCAGCGGAGGCTGCAGAACCGCAATATTGCAGAACGGCAAATGTTGCTGCCTGATCGTTCCTCTGGAAGCTTTGTCTCAGAGGGGCACCCAGCCGTATGAGGTGTCAGTCGGCCCCTAATGGGAGGTGCCTCCCAGTTAGGCTACTCGGGGTTCAGGGACCCACTTGAGGAGGCAGTCTGTCCATTCTCAGATCTCAAACTCTGTGCTGGGAGAACCACTACTCTCTTCATAGACAGGGACTTTTAAGTTGCAGAAGTTTCTGCTGCCTTTTGTTCATCTACGCCCTGCCCTCAGAGGTGGGGTCTACAGAGGCAGCAGGCCTTGCAGAGCTGTGGTGGGCTCTGCCCAGTTCGAGCTTCCCCAGCCGCTTTGTTTACCTACTCAAGCTTCAGCAGTGGCAGACGCCTCTCCCCCTACTAGGCTGCTGCCTCACCGGTTGATCTCAGACTGCTGCGCTAGCAGTGAGCAAGGCTTCTTAGGTGTGGGACCTGCTAAGCCAGGTGCCATTTGCTAAGGCCATTGGAAAAGCGCAGTATTTGGGCGGGAGTGTCCTGATTTTCCAGGTACAATCTGCCATGGATTCCCTTGGCTGGGAAAGGGAATTCCCCGACCCCTTGCGCTTCCCAGGTGAGGCAATGCCCCACCCTGCTTCGGCTCGCCCTCTTTGGGCTGCACTCACTGTCCAACCAGTCCCAATGAGATGAACCAGGTACCTCAGTTCGAAATGCAGAAATCACTGTCTTCTGCATCAATCCCACTGGGAGCTGCACACCAGAGCTGTTTCCATTCGGCCATCTTGGAACCGACTCGTGTTTGAGCTCTTGACAGTGGCACCTGACTTAAAAGAAATAAAATACAAATTAATTTCGGGTTTCATCTGCATATAAGTAAAAAGTCAGGAGCTAAAGAAGCAATGTTTGAAATAAGTAAAACAACAACAACAACAACAAAACAAACTTAAAAGGCACACAAATTTAAATGTTTTAAGGTGTTCTGCACTGTAGTATTTTAGCCTGAAGAAATGTAAGGGGATGTGGTTGAAGTTTTCTAGTCTCCATCTCCAACACTCTTGAATGGATCTAGGTTTTGTTCTGTTTTGTCTTTTAATTAAGAGTTTAGTGATATAACTTATAATACAGAAACAATAAACATTTCTCCTTTGGGGTTAAGAAAGCAATGTTTGGCCAGGTACGGTGGCTCACGCCTGTAATCCCAGCACTTTGGGAGGCCGAGGCAGGTGGATCATGAGTTCAGGAGTTCAAGACAAGCCTGGCCAAGAAGGTGAACCCATCTTTACTAAAAATACAAAAAATTAGCCGGGTGCAGTGGCAGGCGCCTGTAATGCCAGTTACTCGGGAGGCTGAGGCAGGAGAATCACTTTAACTTGGAGGGCAGAGGTTGCAGTGAGCTGAGATCACGCCACTGCACTCCAGCCTGGCGACAGAGTGAGACTCCATCTCAAAAAAAAAAAAAAAAAAGCAATGTTTTGGCCGGCGCAGTGGCTCACGCCTGTACTCCCAGCACTTTTGGAGGCCGAGGCAAGGTGGATTCCCTGAGCTCAGGAGTTCGCAACTAGCCTGGGCAAAACAGTGAAACCCCGTCTCTACTGAAACACAAAAAATTAGCTGGGCTTGGTGGCATATGCCTGTATTCCCAGCTTCTTGGGAGTCTGAGGCAGGAGAATTGCTTGAACCCAGGAGGTGGAGGTTACAGTGGGCCAAGATCACACCACTGCACTCCAGCCTGGGCAACTGAGTGAGACTCCATCTCAAAAAAAAAAAAAAAAAGAAAAAGAAAAAGCAACATTTTGAGATATTTGATGAAGCAGGTATGTAGTATAGTAGAGAAGGGCGTTCTCAATGACAAATGAAGGTGGAACTTTTCTTGTGCCTGGATCATTTTTGGGTAGCTTAATGTGAAGAGCTATAAGCCCACAGTCTGGCAAATAGCAAATAGATACTCTTTGGCAATGTGCAAGCCTCTTGACATGCCTACCTCTGAGAACTGATTTGGAAACAGGATGGGTGGCCAGGAAAGAAGGAAATCTACAATTCTAGCACTTCCAAAAGACACTTTCATGAGACTGTCTCTTAGGAAAGCTGCTGTAAGCTTGTTGAGGACAATACCTTATTCCCAATGGCCTCCTGATTCCCACAGAAGGCTTTTTAATTAACCAGCTCAAGATTTGTGCACATGAATCACCATTGCTAGCTCTTCTTTCCTTTGACTTGGAAGGTTATAAAGAGTCTTTATTTATCATACTGATTGCCATACTCAGGTGAAAACACAGCTTTTCCAAGAGCTTTTTCTTCTTAGTTCCCAAATATTTAGTCATTCCAGGAATGAGATAAGAGGAGGAGGGTACCAAGTGACTTCTCTGTGGAAGGAGAAAGAGATCACTCTGAAAGGCATGTCATAACCTAGTGTTAAGAAGTGCGTGTACTTACATAAGATGCGTGGGTGGGAAATATTTAGGGTATTGTGGCCATAACCAGGAAATTTTTTTGCCCACGTCTGACTCCCTATTTCGAACAGATTGTTTTTGGCTTGAGACTAGACTTCTGAACACATGCATTCCAAGTCTACTTCCTTAGGAGCACCCTTGTGTTGTTTAATTTAGCCAAAACACATCAAAGTGTGTGGTTTCAGTATCTGCTAGTTCAGTGTCTAATTACAATAACAGGAGATGGCTGTGTCAGCATCTCGGCCAAGACCATCAGCAGGGGAGAGGAAAGCTGATTATCTTTCTCAGCAGAGGACGGGGCAGCACTGTGGGAACTCCAGGCAAATAGGATCAAAATGGGGCAGGGAAAGGCAAAAGGAACATGAGAAAGGGACTATTTCAACTTTCCGAACTGAGGTTTTGCCATTCTTTTTATCTGTTTTTGTAAGAAGTACTCTTTCACCCCCGAAACATGAAATGAAGGTTGCTTCTGGTTCTACAACAGCAGCCCTTTGGAATATTTCGCCCTCATCAGGCAGTTGGCTCCCTGCAATGATGTCAGCTATAAAAATGCAATAGGAGCAGCCTTTTATTCATCTCATTTTATTATGCTAAAATTTTGTTCCTTGTTCTGCACATGTGAAGAAAATAAGAATTTTCTTTTCTTCTTAGTTTTTTTTTTGTTTGTTTGTTTGTTTTTTTTTGAGACAGGGTCTCTCTCTGTTGTCCAGACTGGAGTGCAGTGGCGCTATCTTGGCTCACTGCAAGCTCCGCCTGCCAGGTTCACGCCATTCTCCTGCCTCAGCCTCCTGGGTAGCTGGGACTACAGGCGCCCGCCACCACGCCCGGCTAATTTTTTGTATTTTTAGTAGAGACGGGGTTTCACCGTGTTAGCCAGGATGGTCTGGATCTCCTGACCTTATGATCTGCCCGCCTCAGCCTCCCAAAGTGCTGGGATAATAGGCATGAACCACTGCGCCTGGCCAGTTTTTTTTTTTTTTTTTCTTTTTTTTAGTTTTTTTTTTTTTCTTTTTTTTTTTTTTTTTTTTAGTAATGCAGTGGTTTCTTTCAAAACTCTTTTAGTTCTAGGGACATAGAACTCTTGCCAGTGATTAAGATGGATGATTTTAAAACCAGGAATTGAGGAGGCTGATGTCAGCTAGAATCCCTTTAAAGGCCCCTTATTGGTGGGTGTTGGATTACTCTGAAGACCAGGTTTGACCAAAATGTACATAGTAGCTGAGAACACAACATGGTTTCACTATAGTTTCCCACTGTGGCAAAATGTAAGGTGCAAGGAAAATAAATCATGTTGAGATGGAAATTTCTTCTTGCTTCACTTATAATCTGACTTCCCACAGCTTTAAGTGGGAAGAACATTGTCAAGGGCAATAAACTTTATTTTCTTCTTTCATTTCTTCTAAAAAAAAAAACCAAAACCATAAATAATACTCAGCACTCGTGTACCAGACGCCGATTTTAGTGCCTTGCTGGTATTAATTTATTTAACCTTATATAGGCTAAGTATCCCTTATCCAAAATGTTTGAAACCAGAAGTGTTTTGGATTTCAGATTTTTTCAGATTTTGGACTATTTGCATATACATAATGAGATATCTTGGGAATGAGACCCAAGTTTAAACACAGAATTCATTAGTGTTTTGTATGCAGCTTACACACATAGTCTGAAGGTAGTCTTATTTCTCCATGGGGTTGCTAAATAAACCAAATGTAGTGTGCCTGTGTTTCTACCATGACCCACTGAGATCAGGTGTAGAATTCTCCACTTGTGATGTCACGTCCGTGCTCAAAAGTTTTGGATTTCAGAGCATTTTCCAGACTTTTGGATTAGGAGTGCCCAAACTGTAATATGTGCATAAATATGTATTATTATTGCCTTTTTTAACTGGTGAGGAAGCTGAGGCACAGAGCTAGAAAGTGTAGATCTTGATTCGACCCAGGCAGTCTGGCCTCAGTGTCTAGACTTACACCATGCTGCCTCTGTATCCATTAGCAGTTGAGACATGGAGCAGGAAAATCTCTTTGAGAAAGTCAGACATCAAGGAAGAATAACTCCTAATGTTGACATGTATAATTTCAATAAAATTTGACACTAAATATTTTCTCATTTCCATTATGATTTCTCTTTTGATATGGGAGTTAGTTAGCAGTGTCCCCTGTCAACTCAGAAACTGTAATAGCTGTTACTAAGATGAAAAACAGAGCTAAAATGAAATTATCATCTTCTCTTTATAGTCCATTTTCTTGCTAAATTATAGAAAGACCATCATTTGCATAAACCATGGGAAGAAAAAAAAGCCCTCTGATTGGATAAGCATGAATACCTGAGTTTGAATCCTGCCTCTGCCCCTTACTAGATGTGTTATCTTGTGCAAGTCAGTCGGCTTCTCCATACCTCAATTTTCCCATCTGTAAATTGGTTATAACAGGTACTATTTCATAGGCTTATTAGAGTGAAGTGAGTTAAAATATGAAAAGTGCTTAGAATAGTGCATGGGGTAGGTGCTCAATAAATATTATCTATTGTTGTTGTTGTTTCTAATAGTGGATTGGCAACTGCACTTCAGTATTATTTCACAGTACTTATGTTTTTTCCATAAACTAATTTAGGGAGAAGTTGTTGATGTATAAACTAATAGTTTAAGAATATTCTCGAGTTGATTCTAGAATAAATCACAATGCAATTTAGCAAAAACCGTTATAAACTTTGTACTTCCTTTTATAAATTAATGTTTTAAGACAGGTCTAAATTGCCATTTAAAAACAAAAGTCAAACTTACTAAACCTATCCTGCACCTTACTGCCTCATTATGTTGGAGGAATTGAACCAAAGAAACCTGCAATTCATATTGTCATATCCTGAGAAGGAAGCAGCATATTCATTAAAGTATATGAAATTAAGGGATTTTTTTCCTCCACTGCAGAGCAGAGTATCCGAACAATTTAGTCAAAAAAAAAGAGGTATGGTAAAAAGCGAACAACGCTGTAGGGTCATGGCTCCATGTGGACAGCAATAGAACGTGAGCCCTAGGAAGGTCTTTCATGAAGTCACTCAAATGTTTTCTCATCTCTACCTCCTCATTGGCTTATTCTTCTCCCTTTCACTGTGGTACTGTGAGGATCAGATGGAAAACTGGACATTGAAAGCCCTGTGGATGGAATGCCTATAGCAGATACTCTGGACTGTGCATTATCATCTTCACTGAGATTCCTGGAAAACTGGCCAGAAAGTTTGTGGAAATCAAACCATATAATCACATATATAGTGGGGAAACAGAAAAATATGGCAACTCTGTTTCCCCAAGGGGAAGTGATCAATCCCTTTTCTTTGGTAGTGGGAGAGACGGGGTAGAAAGTGCATTCTGTGCTCATACAGGACATTTTGTAAAATCAACGATGAGATGTCACTCAAAGTGGGATTTCTACATTTGTGATAGGCCTTTCCTGCTGTTGATATGGCCCCTCCACCGGTTGTATAAATACCTGAATAGTTAGGGTGGCAAAGGGAAGAATAATATTAAATAAGCTAAGGACTTGTGAATGCTACCAGGAGGATACCACTTTTTCCCTTCAGACAACTATTTCTAAATTAACAGTCTCCAAATCGTAAGTTAAAAACAATTTTTTTGGCAGGGTGTGGTGGCTCATGCCTGTAATTTCACAGCATTGGGAGACCAAGGCAGGAGGGTCACTTGAGGCCAGGAGTTTGAGACCCAGCCTGGGCAACATAGCAAGACCCTCTCTACAAAAAATTTAAAAATTAGCCAGGTGTGGTGGCACATGCCTGTAGTCCTAGCTTCTTGGGGCGGCCAACGTGGGAGGATAGCTTGAGGCCAGGAGTTCCAGACTAGCTTGGGCAAAATAAGGAGAACTCATCTCTACAAAAATAAAAATAAAAAATAAAGCCTGGTGTGGTGGTGCACTCATGGTCCCATCTACTCAGGAGGCTGAGGTGGGAGGATGGCTTGAACCCAGGAGACTGAGGCTGCAGTGAACTATGATCATGCCACTGCACTCCAGCTTGGGTGACAGAGCAAGACCTTGTCTCTTAGAAAAAAAATGCACCCCCAATGTGTTTGTTCATTTATTGATCATTTATTGATATATAACCTACTACTGTGTATCCATAAAGTATATAATTATTTTAAAACTATAAAGATACATTTAAAATTTTTAAATGTTTTAATAATTTAAGGGCAATAAAGATGAAAAGGCAACGTTTTAAAATAACAACAGCTAACAGTGATACAGTGTTAATTGTATGCCAGGCATTGATTTAAGTGTTTTTCACACAGTAACTCATTTACTGTCTTGCTAAGAGCAAAGACTTCCTGCTATCATTAGCTAATATCTCAAGGCAAAATTCATCATTAACAATAGCGAGTATAATTCCATATTTCAACTCTCCCCTTGAGCGTTTCAGAGTATTTTGGCTAGATATGATGATGATGATTGTCAGATATGACTGGATTGTCATTCCTGGGAATATCAAGTGCCAGCTCTGACATGTTCTTATTTGCTCATGTTTTCTATCTGTAGTTTCTTTGCAGAAATTTTTTTAACCTGTTGTCTACTATGTGAGGAATAATTTTAATTTAAAATTTAGTAGTATAATCACCAGTTAGGGGCACAGGTCCCCTGCAATGGGTTGCCATATACCAAAACTAACAGGCATGGAAGAGCACCAGCATCCCATGCACGCGGAGGATTGACTTACGTACCACGCGAGGGCGCCAGTGTCATCCCGAATGAAAACTAGGAAAGCATTTCTAACGTGTCTCTTACACGCCGACCAATTCCCCCTCACATTCATGTGCTTCGTGTGGAGAGCACTCGTCTCAGGGGAAGAGGGATAAAGAGGTTTGCAAAACTCTAGAGCTCTGTGCAGTGAGTAAAGGAAGGCAAAACCGTCGTTTCCTTAAGCTGGAACAAATACCTCAAACCCCACTCCTTGGCTTTGTGTATTTCCTCTCCTACATCTGGGTATTTCTGTTGGTCTCCACAGGAAACGTCTGAGGTTATGTCTAGAACCTCTCCTTCTCAGTTGGCACTCCATAAAGAGGGGATGGGTACCTCACAACCACCCAGATGGCTAACGCTGGCTGTTTTAGTCTATGGATTCCCCGGAGTTCAGGTGCACGTTGATGTAGCTCCTGTTCGAGTAGGGCTAAAATTTAAGCTGGTCATTTTTGACATCTTTGGTTGGCCCTGGGATCAGTATACCTGAAGCTGAATGGACACCACCTGCTTGTTTCTGAAATGACTTCAGCTCCTTGTTTAATAGTTAGATTTCTGTTTGGAACAATCTTGTATTTGTTGAAAGGCCCAAGGAGTCTTTTCCAGTTAGAACTCATTAAGTTCTGGCATACTAGATTTTTTGAAAAATGGGAAAAAGAAAATAAAATTATTAAAAAGCAGTTTCCTTTTGCGAGAAGAGAATGTGATAGTGAGCCTACTGTAGAGAAAGTCTAAAAGAGAAACTGAATTTTCAAGCTCTCAATTTTTCACCTTCTGGAATCTTCCTTCATCAGGCTGCAGATGTATTCCTGAATAGAAGTAGGTAGGCATTTGTGTGTTATAAATTGCATATAAGACTGATTCTTTGTAAATGAAATAATTTAGAGTGCAACTGGAAAACTGCCTCAAAGTTATTGTTTTGTGAGTCAGAAGTGATTTCTGCCAAATTGAATTATATGGTAAGTCAGGAAGGGGCTTGATACTGTTTTTCTTCAAGTGGAGTACACATTTAACTCATGTTTATCTGGAGCAAAAATAAGGTTAAACATTTGTTAGAATGAATATGAGTAATTTTGAAGGTATTATGTCAAGAGCTAGGTTACTCTAATTATGAAGGGTCTGATTTGCATCCTGTGCTGGTGCCCCATCAACATTTTCTGAAGCTTCCGGAAGAGTAATGCAGAGCCATTGCCGAAACATTTGAGCAATCAGACACGTATGCAATTACTAGTAAGCAATAAACAAATTAAAATAACACAAGCAACACTGAAGTGCAAGGCCACACAGTAACAGAAGCCGAGGAGATTAATTACACAAAGTTATGTGACACTGGGGAGAGGGAAAGATCCCTTAACTTGGAGTCTGAAGAACTAGGTTCAAATCCTATCTCTGCCACATACCAGCAGAGTTACTTAAACTATCTGTACCCCAGTTTCACTGTTGGCAAAATGGAGTGACAACAATTTTATTGTGATGTTAGGGGGATTAAACATAGGTGCTTGATAGATTTGTATTAGTTTATTCTCACGCTGCTGAGACATACCAGAGATTGGGTGATTTATAAAGGAAAGAGGTTTAATTGACTCACAGTTCAGCATGGCTGGGGAGGCCTCAGCAAACTTACAATCACGGTGGAAGGGGAAGCAAACACATCCTTCTTCACATGGTGGCGGAAAGGAGAAATGCAGAGCAAAGGGGAGGGAAAGCCCATTATGAAACCATCATATCTTGTGAGAACTCACTATCACAAGAACAGCATGGAGGTGACCACCCCCATGATTCAATGACCTCCGACAGGGTCCCTCCCACGACATGTGGGGATTATAAGAACTACAGTTCAAGATGAGATTTGGGTGGAGACACAGCCACACCATATCAGATGTCCTTTGAACTAAGACTTCCTTTAGGGGAAATAAGAAAGGTGAACAGAAGCAACAGGAGTTGCACAGTAGAGCGAGATGAGTACACCATTTGGCAGAATTGGAAGTCAGGAGCTCAGATGTGCAGCCTGGTCTCCCCACCTGCTCAGTGTCCCTCCAGGCTATTTAATAGTATAAGTAATTACCATTACTTCTAGTGTTTTTGCCACTCCTATGTGCTGAATACAGTGCTATACATTTTATCATTTTTAAAACATACAGTACAATTAACTTTTTCCTTTTGGTATACAGTTGTATGAATTTTAATGCGTGCATAGATACATATCATCACTGCTGCAACAGGGATTCAGAGCAGTTTCATCATGACAGAGAACTCCTTCTTGCTATCCCTTCATAGCCATACCCCTTCCCGTGTGCCCCCCATACCCCATGGTTAGCTGCACATTTAATACATGTTATCCACTCACGTGATGCCATGCACTTTGTTTTTCTAACATTCATCACACTTGTAATTACCTGATCATATTCTAGATTGTTAGTTCAAGAGCTTGAGAACCATGACATTTTCATTTTCTGCTGTATCTCTAGTGCCCAGCATGGAGCCTGGCACATAGGAAAGGAGGCTCCAAGACATGTACCATTACATGAAGTAATCTTACTGTCTGTGCCACCATTTTGCCTTGTCCTTTATCATCTTCTTCAAATAAGGAAATGGAGTTGAGAGAAGTTAAGTAACTTCCCCAAGGTCACATAGTAGTACATTTCAGAGCCCAGATTTGTCTTGATCTAAAGCCTGTGGTCTTTCTATGTTAAGACATATCATGGTAGATAGAATATGTTTGTTTTAACTCATTTGAGAATGCGTAAGTAAATATCCAGCATTTAAAATAACTAAAATTGCCCTTGGACTGTTAAATAATGTAAATGCTTAAACCTTGTTCATTTACCATATAAACACAAAATCTTAGAGTTAATACCAAACTGAGGAGATGTTCCTCCTTTGCCAACAGTATGAGGGGTGGATATGCCCTAGCTCAGAAGAGATTGGATTGAGAGAGAGAGGGAGACAGTGAGTTTCATACTGGTTATGTAGGAACGAGGCTCAGCAAATCAAGTACAGCCAGAGATGGCAATGTCTCTTCGTTTCTTTGGAGCCCCTCTGAGATTCCCAGGGTCCCAGATGCAGACTCCTTATTTGCTTGGCACACTTGGCCTCAGGGAGCTGAGAGGACACAGTCCTGGGTAAATAAAGCAAGATCAAGTCATCCCCAATCCTGGAGTAGGGTAGGGTTATGATATTCTATTGGTTTTACCAATGTGAAGTGTCTTATATAAAATCCCTATTTGCCAAGCTACTGTATTGCTTTGAAAAAATAAAAACCATTCTCTCCTTTTCTTTCTTTGTATATTTAATAAGTATTTATCGAACATCTATTCTGTACCAGACACTCATTGGGAATACCAGAGCAAATGAGACACACCTAAGTCTCTGTGAGCAGGGCTGATGCATACTGGTGTACAGAAAATGGGATGCACAGGGGCTGAGGTGATCCAAGCAGGCTTGATGGAATAGGTCACGCTTCCACCAAAAACCGAAGGATAGTTTTCCAAGCAGAGAGATAGGGATCAGTGTTTCACGCAGAAGAAAAACATGATGGTCATAGTTCCAGAGGTCACTGAGAGTTAGAAGAGAGGAAATGAGAGAAGTTCAGGACCACTGAAGGAAGCAAGAGATGTGCTGAAGAGTGAATAGTAACTAGATCATTCAGTGTCTGTAAGACATGTCAGCATCTAAGAGAAAAAAGTGGCATTTTAAGGGCAGTAGGGAGTAACTGAAGATTCTGAGCAGTGAAGCAATACATGTGTATTTGCAGTGAAATCGCAGGTTTCAGATGCTTTAAAAGCATCACCTTCATACCACTTGTGATTCCCCAGGCCTATCTCTTAGATTCACAGTTGCATTGCCCAGGCCACCTTATTTCTGGCTTAGACCCCTAACCTTGATGAAGGCCCCTCCTGCTCATGTGACATTGAGGAGACATTCATTCCTTCATGTTCACAGATCTGACTTTATGCATCAAACCATCCTGCCTATCTTACGGCAGTTGATGGCATCATTTTGAGGAGAACCAGGTAGGAAAGAAGGGAGAATCCTCATATCCTTAAAATAAGTGTACAGGCCGGGCCTGGTAGCTCACCTCTGTGATCCCAGCACTTTGGGAGGTTGAGATGGGTGGATCACTTGAAGCCAGGAGTTTGAGACCAGCCTGGCCAACATGGTGAAACCCTGTCTCTACTAAAAGTACAAAAATTAGCCTGGTGTGGTGGTGTATGCCTTAGTCCCAGCTACTTGGGAGGCTGAAGTGGGATAATCACTTGGGCCTGGGAGGCAGAGGCTGCGGTGAGCCAGGATCGCACCACTGCACTACAGACTAGGTGACAGACTCTGTCTCAGAAAAATAAAATAAAGGTACAGCAAAACCTATTTGATCATTCCACCTTTGAAAATAGATCTTTAATCTCTCTAATATTTTGGTCACATTTCAAACACATGTAGCCCTCTCTGGCCTCATATAGTTCTTTGAAACACCTCTTGCAGTCCTTCATGAGCCTTTTAAATTCTAGCACTTCTTTCTTGCCATCCAGCTTTCATAGCACTCCTAGGTACAGAGGCATTGCAACTCACTAGTACCCACCAGGTGGTAAAATGGAGGCTTCTCAGTCTGCTTTGCCAGACTGGAATGTCACCCTAGCCCTCAAGGCCGCTGTCCAGATGGTGCTCAGGGTGAAGTAGGGGCTTCTGGAAGGAGATGATATTTAAGCTGAGTACTGAAAGCCAGGTGGGAGTTATGTAAAGGAGGTGGTGATGGTTAGTGGTTTGTGATGAGCTGCAAGTTCTGTAGTTTGGTGTGGGTGGGATTTGAGTAAGGGCTAGAATGTGGGGAGATCATCAGAGATTCAATCAGAGACGGCAAACTGGAGGCTCACGGACAGGAGCCAGCCCACAGAGCAGGCTGTTAGACTCATAAAAGAAAATGACCAAATGTTGTGTTTTAGGAAAAATCACTCTGGTTGCAACTCAGATTATAGAGTAGAAAAATGGACTATGGCACTATGTATAAATTAAGGCAACCTTCCCTCTGGTGGTAGGGTAGGGGTGGTCACCTTAGCATAGAGGTTGATGGCTGAAAGCATAGACTCTGGTCCCTGCTGCACAACTTAATAGGTGGTGACCTAGAGCAGTTATATTCTCTGTCTCTCATTTTCCTACAATATAAAATGCAGATAATTACCACACCTCTCACAGAGGAGTGGAGTAAGGATTAAACGAGTTCATATTTGTAAAGCATTTAGAGTATTGCCTGCTATATAAGGTTTATTAAATGATGGGATGGGTGGCCAGACACGGTGGCTCATACCTGTAATCCCAGCACTTTTGGAGGCTAAGGCAGGAGGACTGCTTGAGCCCAGTTCACTAGCCTGGGCAACATAGCAAAACCTCATCTCTCTGAAAAATACAAAAATGAGCTGGATGTGGTGGCACATGCCTGTAGTCCCAGCCACTCAAGAGGCTGATGCTGGAGGATCATTTGAGCCTGGGAGGTTGAGGCTTCAGTAAGTCGTGGTTGTGCCAGTGCACTCCAGCCTGGGTGACAGAGCAAGACCTTGTCTCATAAATAAGTGATGGGAAGGTTTTTCTGGACCTGTAACTGGATGTGTTTCTCTGACCTTAGAGTCTCTTACACTTTTAACAGCTGAGCTGAACTCTAAGCACATAGCAGAGCCCACAATGTGGTTGTATTTCCCCGAATAGTATGTCCCTTTTTTACATCCTCCTAGCATAGGAGGACATTGAAGATTTTAACATCTCATTATAAACTTGTTTTTATCTAGTTCAAGGGATTAAAAAACAACAAACCATGGCATAGAAATGTTAAGCAAAAGGGACAACCAGCTAATGGCCTAACACCTGTCCTGCCACCACTCAGCTGATGATTGGTGTTGAAGATGGGATTAGAATCCAAATCTTCTCACCTGTAATCATTGTTCTTTCCTCTTTCCTATGAGTTAGAGCTCTTTGTGTTTTTACCTTTGTTTTATGACACTTTTCATTGTTTAAATGTGTTTCTTATGGCCTGAATGTGACTGAATGTTTTTTAGGGCAGGATTTACCTCCTACCTTAGCATCATGACTTTCACCCTTATTTCTTTTCTAATCTCACAGAATAGCTTGAGTGATCTTTTAAAAACATAAATTGATTTTGTCATTCTTACTTCAGTCAATGGTTTTTTTTTGTTACACTTATGCTAAAGCCAGGATCCTTCATGTGTCCTGTAAATATTGAGTGGTCTAGCTGCTACCTCTCTCTCCACCCTCATCTTGCTCCTCACTCTCCCACTCAGCCACATGGCCATGGTTGAGTCTATGCTCGTGCATCATGCCCCCATTCTACCGCAGGGCCCTTGCACCTGCTGTTGCTACTGCTTGGGATTCTCTCCCCTCCCCTCCTTATCTCATGAACTTCCATGCATCCTCAGCCTAGTCCTCATGTCCTCAGGAAGCCTTCTCCAATGTGTCCTGTCCCTCTGCAGGCTGGCCTTGTAGTACTAAGAATTTCTCCTTGTCCTCTCTTTGATCAGACTTGTGATCTTATGTTTGTACGTGTGATTATTTGATCAGTGTCTTAGTATGTTCTCTCACTTCTCTAAAGAAATACCTGAAACTGGGTAATTTATAAAGAAAAGAGGTTTAACTGGCTCACTGGTCCACAGGCTGTACAGGAAGCATGGCTGGGGAGGCCTTAGGGAAACGTTCAGTCGTGGTGGAAGGTGAAGGGGAAGCAGGCACATCTTACATGGCCAGAGAAGGAAGAGAGTGAAGGGGGAGGTGCTACACACTTTTAAACAACCAGATCTCGTGAGAACTCACTCACTGTCACAAGAACAAGGGGAAATCCACCCCCATGATGCAGTCACCTCCCACCAGGCCCCTCCTCCAACACTGGGGATCACAATTCGACCTGAGATTTGGCAGAGGACACAAATCCAAACCGTATCAGTCAGTGTCTGTCTTCCCCACTGGACTATTAAGATCAGGCCATGTCTGATATCTCTTTCAGCCAGTCTTTTATCTCTACTGCCTACTCCAGAGCCTGTTGCATAGAAAGTGCTCAAATCACATATTGGTTGAATTAAAAATCAGCTATTTTATTTCTTAGCACCTAACACAGAATCGAATGGAAATCAAGTTTTAAAGAGCACAGAGTAATGGTTCATGTCACCATATCTACTCAGTGTCTTCTAGCATTATACTAAAAATTTTATTTAATGGCTTCAATTAAAAAAAAAAAGCCTTCAGTATTTATTGCCATAGGGTAGATAAGCCAGCTAGTCAGAAGTAGATGTTATATCCATACCTTACCTCTTTGTCCACCAATTTTCTGAAAATAGAGATCCCAAATATTTATTTTTCTTAGTGTTTTATATCCTACCCCTCTAGTTACATTTTTTCAAATGTAATGTTTTATTTCTCCCAGTTTTATTGAGGTATGATTGACAGAAATCATGTATTTAAGGTGTGCATGATTTGATATACGGGTGCATTGTGAAATGACTGCCACAATCAAGTTAATACATCCATTCCCTTACATAGTTACCAGTTTTTGTGTGTTTGTGGTGAGGACACTTAAAATCTACTCTCTCAGGTAATTTCAAGTATACAGTACAGTGTTACTAACTAAAGTCACCATACTGTACATTCGATCCCCAGAACTTACTCATTTTATACCTGAAACTTTGTACCTTTTGACCATTATCTCCCCACTTTCCTCAACCCCAGCCCCTGGCAACCACCATTCGACTCTCTGCTTCTACGAGTTTGACTCTTTTTTAGATTCCACATATGAGATCAAGTGGTATTTGTCTTTCTGTGTCTGGTTTATTTCACTTAGCATAATGCCCTCCAGGTTCATTCATGTTGTTGCAAATGGCAGAATTTCCTTCTTTTTGTGGCTGAATAATATCTTATTGTATGTAAATAATATACACCACATTTTCTTTACCATTCATCTGTTGATGGATGCTAAGGTTGTTTCAGTGTCTTGGCTGTTGTGAATAATGCTGCAATGAACGTTGGGCTATAGATACTGATTTCATTTCCTTTTGTTATATAACCAGCAGTAAAATTGCTTTATATGATGGTTCTATTTTTAATTTTTTGAGGAACCTCCATACTGTTTTCTGTAATGGCTGTACCAATTTACATTCCCACTGACAGGACAGAAGTTTCCTTTTTCTACACATCCTCACTAACACTTGTCTCGTTTTTTTGATAATAGCGATCCTAACAGGTGTGAGGTGCTATCTCATTGTGGTTTTGATTTGCATTTTCCTGATGATTATTGATTTTGAGCATGTTTTCATATACTTGTTAGCCACTTGCTTATCTTTATTTGAGAAATGTCTATTCAGATCCTTTGTCCGTTTTTTAATAAAAAACAAAAAGATTTTTAAAAAGTGAGTTTAATACATTGCAGTAGAAATTAACCAAAATGGGCCGGGCGCGGTGGCTCAGGCCTGTAATCCCAGCACTTTGGGAGGCCGAGGCGGGCGGATCACGAGGTCAGGAGATCGAGACCATCCCAGCTAAAACGGTGAAACCCCGTCTCTACTAAAAATACAAAAAATTAGCCGGGCGTAGTGGCGGGCGCCTGTAGTCCCAGCTACTTGGGAGGCTGAGGCAGGAGAATGGCGTGAACCTGGGAGGCGGAGCTTGCAGTGAGCCGAGATCCCGCCACTGCACTCCAGCCTGGGCGACAGAGCGAGACTCCGTCTCAAAAAAAAAAAAAAAAAGAAAAAAAAAGAAATTAACCAAAATGAAGCATTAAAAAAATGAAAGCATCCTTAATGAGCTATGGGACAACCTCTAGGGACTACTACAGGTGTAATTAGATTCTTCCAAGGAGAAAAGAGAGAAGGATACCAAAAAAAATTTTTTTTAAGAAATAATGGGTGAAATTTTTCTAAATCATATGAAATAACTGTAAGTCCACAGATCTAGAAAGACAAACTCCAAGCACATGAAACATGAAGAAAATGACACTAAGGTACATCATGCTCAAATTGCTCAAAGCCAGGATAAATGCAACTTTATTTTCTTAAACAATCTTTTTTTTTTGAGACAGGGTCACTCTGTCACCCCAGCTGGAATACAGTGGCAAGATCTTGGCCTGTTGCAGCCTCCTTCTCCTCGATTCAAGGGATTCTCCCATTTCAACTTTCTGAGTAGCTGGGATTACAGGCGTGAGCCACTGTGCCCAGCTATTTTCTTATACAATCTTTAGGCCTTTTCTTTTTTCTTGCCTATCTAGAACCTTCCAGTATCATATTGAATAGAAGTAGTGAGAGCATACTTTTTTTGTTTTGCCCAGTGTTATGGGAAAGCATGCAGTATTTCACCATGAAATATGATATGAGCTAAAGGTTTTCCCTAGATGCCCCTTATCTGGTTGGGGAAGGTCCTTAATTTCAGTTCACTGAGTTTTATGAAAGGTATCGATGGTGAGCATCTTTTCACAAGCCTGCTGGCCATTTATTTTATGTCATCTTTGATGAAATGTCTCTTCAAGCCCTTTGCCCATTTTTTCATCGGCTTGCTTGTTTTGTTTTGTTTGCAATAGAATTGTAGGAGTTTCTTGTGTATTTTGAAAATTAACCCCTTATCACACACATGCTTTGCAAGGGTTTTTTCTTATGCCATAGGCTACCTACCTTTTGGTTTTGTTGATTACTTCCTTTGCTGCGCAGAAACATTTTAGTTTAATGTAGTCCCACTTGTTTGTTTTTGCTTCATTGCCTGTGCTTTGGGTATCATATCTAAATAATCATTGCCAAGACCAATATCAAGGAGTTTTTTTCCCCCATGTTTTTTTCTAGGAGTTTTATGATTTCACGTCTTACATCTAAGTCTTTAGGCTATTTTGAGTTGGATTCTGTATATGATATAAGAATAGGGCCCAATTTCATTCTTTTGCATGTGGATATTCACTTTTCCTAATACCATTTATTGCAGACACTCTTCTTTCCCTAATGTGTATTCTTGGTACCCTTGTCAAAGATTAGTTGACAACATATGTGTGGGTTTATTTCTGAGCTCTCTATTCTATCAGCTATGTCATAATTGAGCTCCTTTTCTCTAAGATCTAACACGTGTGTAATTCAAACATGGGTTCAAAAGTGCTCATCTTGAAGTAGTCTAGAAATCCACCAGCAGCCACTAAACCCAACGTAGATGAGGGAACACGGGTTGCATGTAGCTGTAAGGCAAGAAGAAGGAATGGAGAGACCGAGAGTGACATCAGCTGGAGAACTAAGGGAGGTGGGAAGTATAAAGAGGAGATTTGAATTGGCTGCATCTTGTGAGGCCTGGGCTAGACTGGCTGTCTAGGGTGAAAACATGTTCTAAAAATTCAGGATGTAGACCAAGAAAGATGGGACAATTATCCCAGCATTTAAGGGCTCTAAAAGGGGAAAATGGGTCTACTTATTTCCCGTTGGAAAACCTGAGAAAGGGCGTTTTTCCAAGGCCCCAGATCAAACCTACTCTGGGGTTGAAATAGATGGGAGGTTCCAGGCACGGTGGCTCACGCCTGTAATCCCAGCCCTTTGGGATAATCTCAGCACTTTAGGAGGCCAAGGTGGGTGGATCACTTGAGGCCAGGAGTTTGAGACCAGCCTGGGCAACATGGTGAAACCCCATCTCTACTAAAAATACAAAAAAAAATTAGCCTGGTGTGGTGGCACGCGCCTGTAGTCCCAGCTACTCCAGAGGCTGAGGCATGAGAAGACTGAGGCATGAGAATCGCTTGAACCTGGGCGGTGGAGGTTGCAGTGAGCCTAGATCGCGCCACTGAACTCCAGCCTGGGCCACAGAGTGAGACTCTGTCAAAAAAAAAAAAAAGACGGGAGTTAAGGAGTTAGGTGTTCAAGCTGGACTCGTACAGACTTGTCTGTTTGTAGGAGAGTTTTATGCAAACACCTACACTTCAAATTAGAGTAGATCTCACCCTCCAAGTAGTAGCTTAGTGTATGATCATTTGGGCTCCCTTGCTAGGTGGGGAGGCAGAGACCGCTTCATCCTTCTGGTGCTAGTAACAACAATGGCTCATTTGGGGACCCTTCCCTGAGTGTTTTTTTTGTTTTTGTTTTTGTTTGTTTTATTTTGTTTTGTTTGCTATGTTTTGACCGCATTGTTTGCAGACGACAGACAACCAAGTGGACCCTCAGTCCCATAGATGTCCCACAATCTGTATGACCCTGAGGCAAAGTCCACAGCCGTTCTCACTCCTCCCTGTCGTCCTCTCCCACAGGAATCCGAGGGTGTTTCCTGCCACTATTGGTCGCTGTTTGACGGGCACGCGGGGTCCGGGGCCGCGGTGGTGGCGTCACGCCTGCTGCAGCACCACATCACGGAGCAGCTGCAGGACATCGTGGACATCCTGAAGAACTCCGCCGTCCTGCCCCCTACCTGCCTGGGGGAGGAGCCTGAGAACACGCCCGCCAACAGCCGGACTCTGACCCGGGCAGCCTCCCTGCGCGGAGGGGTGGGGGCCCCGGGCTCCCCCAGCACGCCCCCCACACGCTTCTTTACCGAGAAGAAGATTCCCCATGAGTGCCTGGTCATCGGAGCGCTTGAAAGTGCATTCAAGGAAATGGTAGGTATTCCTGGGAGTCTGGGGCAGCAGGGCCAGGCTGGCGCCTGCGCCAGGTCTGTCCGTCCTTCCTGGAGGGCTCCCAGAAAGCGCACGGTTTTGCTGCCTGGCTCCACCTGGACGGCCCCCTGTGATAATGGGGCTTCCATTCCCAATAGAAATTGGCAGCAGACAGAGTTCCTGGCATCAAGTGCTGGCAAAAATGTAAAAGAAGGCTGAGTGCGGTGGCTCACGCTTGAAATCCCAGCACTTTGGGAGGCCGAGGCAGGAGGTCAGGAGTTCAAGACCAGCCTGGTCAACATAGTGAAACCCCGTCTCTACAAAAATACAAAAATTAGCCGGGCATGATGGCCGTTGCCTGTAATCCCAGCTACTCGGGAGGCTGAGGTGGGAGAATTGTTTGATCCTGGGAGACAGAGATTGCAGTGAGCCAAGATTGCGCCACTGTGCTCCAGCCTGAGCAACAGACCGAGACTGCGTCTCAAAAAAAAAAAAGTAAAAGAAGATGAAAGAGGGGGACAGTGCATGAGGTCAGAGGCTTATTAAATACAGGCCTTATTGCTTTTATTTCCTATATTCATATTGATGCCAGCTGGTACGATTGCACTTAGATGTGAGCATGATCACCATCTGTTTTACAGATGTGTATAAAGTCCGGTGTTGGGGGAAACAGGGTTTAGGAAAGTGCTCAAAAGTCCCCATCCTATACAGATGTGATCTAAGAACGGCTGTTTTACCACAACTGGGAATGTGGTTCACACTGCAGACAAAGTGCTGGAGGAGAACAGAGCCAGGGGCCAATATCCAAGAAGTCTTAGTCTTACCCAGGCATGTGGATTTGTCTGTTCGTTTCCATCTGAATGGGTCTGATCGGGAGTTCATCATCCTTCGCTGTTGGCCTCACTCCTGAGCATGTCCTCGGGAGAGTGCCACAGCTCTCGCTGTCCCTTGCTGCCCCTCTGCCTGGCAGGAGTGCACATAGAAGCCGCCTCTGCTTTGTTCTATGCCAGCTCTTTCCCTCTGTGAGCTTACTTTATCCTAAGCCAATTATTTTGGTTTTAAAGATTTTATTTCTTGCTCGGCAGCCTGCATACAGATAAAGAATAAGAGATATTTAAGGATATTTATAAGGGCTTGAGTTAGGCAAGTGGGCAGTCATGGCCTTAAAACCTGGAGATTACAGGCCGGGCACGGTGGTTCATGCCTGTAATCCCAGCACTTTGGGAGGTCGAGGTGGGTGGATCGCAAGGTCAGGAGTTCGAGACCAGCCTGGTGAATAAGGTGCAACCCCGTCTCTACCAAAAATACAAAAAAATTAGTCGGGCGTGGTGGCACATGCCTGTAATCCCAGCTACTTGGGAGGCTGAGGCAGGAGAATTGCTTGAATACAGGAGGCAGAGGTTGCAGTGAGCTGAGATCATGCCACTGCACTCCAGCCTGGGCAACAACAGCGTGACTCCATCTCAAAAAAACAAATAAACAAAAAAAAAAAACCTGGAGATTACAAAGTGATGAGAAGCTGTTAAATGAAGTCAAAACAGCTAGAAGCGTCTTGCCAGAACCGGATAGGCACATGGTGCATGTTCCAGGATCTCACGGCATCAGGTAGTGTGCTAAGAAGGAAAGTAAATAATGACTATACATATCGTCATCTGATTTGTTTGTAAGGCAAAAATAGTTCATATATTCACCCCTCAAATTTGCATCCTCTTTTTATTTAAACGTGTCCCTTCTTTGGTCTCAGCTTTTTCTCTCCTTGTTACAGAGATAACATTTACCCTTTGACTAGCAGGTGGTTTAAAATGCACCTTGCTGGGCGTGGTAGTGGTGCATGCCTGTCATTCCAGCTACTCAGGAGGCTGAGGCCGGAGGATTGTTTGAGCCCAGGAGTTCTGAGCTGTCATGTGGGTTCAGTGTCAATGTGGTGACCTCCTTGGAGCAGAGCACCACCGGGATGCCTGAGGAGGGGTGACCTAGCCCAGATCAGGTTATATCTCCAGTGCTTTTTTGTCACTGTATTCCAGCTTGTGCAACACAGCAAAACCCCATCTCTTAAAAAATAAAATTAAGAATAAAAATGTAAAAATAAAATGCACTTCTATCTCAAGACTGTCTGATAGCCTGCAACCCTGCAATCCCAATGAAAATACCAGGAGGCTGGAAAAGATTATTTAGGAAAAAGGGAATTAAGGTAGGAAAATTGACTCCCACTCAGTCGTGGTGTAAAATCTCACTCTCTGCCTCTGTAGAGGCTCTGATGTCAATAAATGTTTCTAGACACTAATACTCAGAATGCCAAGTATTGAATTTATTTTTTTAATTATTTAGGCAAAAATTTGACAATGGGCTCTCCTTGTAATGTAATGTAATGTAATTCAGTTTGCATGGTAGAAGTGAAAAATAAAGGAAACGTTGAGATTTTCATTTCCTTCAGTTGTGACTAGTGCCACAGGACATCTTTTACCTGGAGCTGCTGCATTCTCAATTTTGTCCACTAGAGGCCAATGTCACATTGACTCAGGACTCCACAGGGGTCTCAGGCTGTTCCTGCCCATTAATGGCTCAGGGTTGCTCTTAACAACTGTGCTGGCAAAGAAAGGTTCATTCAGAAAAATACTTAAGAGGCTCATTTTTAAAATATTTCTACTTTTAATGAACCAATTCATTACCTCAAATTTTTCTTGGAAACTTAGTCACCAGCAAAAACAACAATTGTTTGCTTCATTTTCATGTGTAATTCATTCAATCAGTAATATTTGTTGAGAACCAACTAGAAGCCAGGCCTGACTGGGAAAAGAATATTGAGCCGATTAGGCAAAGAAGGGTGTTAAACAAGTAAAATATAAATGGGAGGAGCCTTGAGAGGGGAAATACAGGGTGATGCAGGAGTCTGGTAAAGAGATGAAGGGAAAGGTTCCCTGGGGAGGTGATGCTGGGGTGTGGGGGCTCAGGAGTAGAGCAGACATGTGCAGGGCAGGGTTGGGAGAATGAATGCCCTGGGGCTCAGGAAACCTGGGTAACAAACCGAGCCTGAGAAAAAACCCAGGTAGGCCAAAGCCAGTAAGCCACCATTGCTGTGGTGGGAAGATAGATCTTAAATGTAGCAATGGCAGGTGAATGAGGAGGAAGGCTGGAGTGCCCCTGTGGAGACCCAGGCCCAGATGTGCCATATCATGAACCTTTAGCTTTAAGCTATGTCTCTTCCCTGTTTGTTCCTTTCAGGTTTACCCCCATGCCCTAGCTTCCTCTTCACACTTTTTCCCCCCAGATTGTCTGTCTAGGTCCCCAACCTGCCTACAGCTTACCGGGGCTTTGCACTGTGAAAGGAAAATAAAAACTGGGCCCCCAATCCACTATGGAAATTGGAAATCACTAGGAAAAAAAATTAAGCTGAAAGCTGAGTCGTGGAAGAAACTGTTTCCTTTTGTTCCTAAGCAGATACTACAGATGAATGGTTGAATATCTCCACAGGTAGCTACTCTGTGTTCACCTTACCTCACGCAAAGTGTTGATTTATTGATTTCCAGAGCCCCAGACTATCCCCTACCTGCTCCTTTTCTCTTGGAATATGTGGATGACCATACCCTCCCTCTTTCCCCTCCGGCCCACTTTTCCCCTTTAAATACTGAAGCCTTCAAATTCATCTTTGGAGAAAGGTACAGACTACAGACTGTCTCTGTGATCTGTGTTTTTTTTCTTCCAGGCATGTCCTTACCCTTGGCAAAATAAACTGAATGGATTGAGACCTGTCTCAGATACCTTTTGGTTTACAGCACCTTTCTGGTTGGCCTTATTAAGTGAGAAGCTCACCATTCTTTGGTTCTCATGGCACCTGGAAGGGTGGCCATACCTTGTGCTTTGCTGGGGACTGGGTCAGTGGGTGCCTGCTGTCTTAATTGTTAATACTCTCCCATTTCACTCTCAGATGTGACCTTCTTTGGAATGATAAGTCTTCTGTTTAATCACAGATGCTCTTGTTTTTCTTTGCGTCATCAGAGATTTCAGAGAAACTACACTCCTGTTTCATAGAAACAATGCCTGTCTTAACCTTATCAAATTGCTTAAGGTGAGCTTCAGAATCCACAGCACAGAAATTATACCAGCTTCAAAATAATAGCTGGAAGGCCATTGCCAACTCCTTTTTCTTTCCTCCCCCTCTCAATATTAGGTTTTTGAGAGTCATTGTCTTACCGTGTAAACCTTTGGTTTTTTGAAATGCCCACAAGCGCCACGGTGTGCCAGGCAACCCGAGGACAGTTCACACAGCTGTCTATAGCAGGACAGCTTTGAATTTTCCAGATCATTCCTAAACTTTTTTTTTCACCGCAGTAGCCACCCACTCTCTAATTTTCCTGTTTCTAGATGTCCTTTAGGTATTGCGGGTTTTGTGCCATTGATTTTCTATAATAGGAAATTCAATATTAAGTAAGAGTTGTCATATAGGCATTTCAGCTTTGTGGCTCTCTTGCCTTCTCTTCCACTTTTAATCCCTAAAAGTAAAGTTCCCCAAGCCTTGCACCTAAGCCTCTAATTTGCCTCACTGATGACATTTATGCAGCTGTCCCTCTGGAGATTCTGAGTGTCACAATATCCTTAAAAGCAGAGCTTCTCCTTCACTGGGAGTTTTTGCTTTATTTATAAGAGCTCAACAATGTGGAATCAGAATTCTTTGGACTCTCTTTGTTTCTGTCTACCTGCTTGTCTGTCTCCATCTGTTTGTCTTGTCCCTCAATGGAATGCTGTGATATTATGATATTCTGTCTTCAACTCCATGTCCTGACATACAACTCCTAAAATCCTTGAAATCTTCAAAGTGATAAGTATCTTTTTGTATCCTAATGAGATGACTGGTGGCTGGCAGCCCCTGGGTAGCTTCTGGATGGGGTCTGTTCATCAAAAAGACCAAGGCAGGATTAGAGGGCTGTGCAACTAAGTAGAATCACACAGTAAACTGCCGTTGATAATGTAGATGTCAGGTGTATTAATGTGAATAAAATGAAAGAATAGCCTAATTTAGATTTGCCCCAATAATTTGTGTGTGTGTGTGCGCGCACACGGGTGCACGCATCCTCAACCTCATGAGAGGGGAGAAGGGCTGAAGGGTGAGTTGATCACCAACAGCTGATGATTTAAACACTCGTGCCTATGTAATGAGGTCTCCATAAAGGCCCAAGAGAATAGGGCTCAGTGAGCTTCTGGGTAGCTGAACATGTGGAGGTCCCTGGAGGGTCACGTGCCAAGTGAGGGCATGGAAGCTCCACACCGTATGCATCTCTTCATCCATATCCTTTGTAATATCCTTTATAATGAACTAGCAAATGTAAGTAAATTTTTCCTGATTTCTGTGAGCCACTCTAGCAAATTAATCGAACCTTAGGAGAGGGGGGTCTTGGGAACCCAGATTTATAGCTGGTCAGTCAGAAGCACAGGTAAACCAACCTGGGGCTTGCGACTGGCATCAGAAGTGGGAGTCAGTTGGGGGACTGAGCCCTCAACCTGTGAAATCTGATGCTATCTCCAAGTACATAATTGTGTGGAATTGAACTGGAGGACGCCCAGCTGGTGTCTTCTGCAGAACTGATTGCTTGCTGGTTATGTGGGGGAAAACTCTCACACATTTGGTCACAGAAGTCTTCTGTATTGGTTGTTGTGGGATGAGAACAGAGGAAAAACAGTTTGTGTTGTTTTCACTAAGAACTGCTCTTCTCAGTCACTAGTATTTATTGAGCTTACATCTTAAAATCAGTATTCTTTTAGACACCACTGAGGAAGTAAAACATAAGATCTTATGGTCAGGCACTTTGGTCCACACCTATAATCCCAGCACTTTGGGAGGCCCAGGTGGGCAGATCACTTGAGGCCAGGAGTTCGAGACCAGCCTAACCAACATGGCGAAACCCTGTCTCTACTAAAATTATTAAAAATTTAGCCAGGCGTGGTGGTACATGCCTGCAATCCCAGCTACTTGGGAGGCTGAGGCATGAGAATCATTTGAATTCCGGAGGCAGAGGTCGCAGTGAGCCGAGATCACACCACTGCACCCTAGCCTGGGCAACGGAGCGAGACTCTGTCTCAAAAACAAAACAAGGCTGGGCGTGGTGGCTCACGCCTGTAATCCCAGCACTTTGGGAGGCCCAGGCAGGTGGATCACGAGGTCAGGAGATTGAGACCACGGTGAAACCCCGTCTCTACTAAAAATACAAAAAAATTAGCTGGGCGTGGTGGTGGGCGGTAGTCCCAGCTACTCGGGAGCCTGAGGCAGGAGAATGGTGTGAACCCGGGAGGCGGAGCTTACAGTGAGCAGAGATCGCACCACTGCACTCCAACCTGAGTGACAGAGCAAGACTCTCTGTCTCAAAAATATATATATATATATATTTTATCTGGGGGCATTTGTAGTCCCACATTATATGAATATAGAAATATGCAATATCTTATTTATTTTGATATTCTAAATAACAAAAGGAGGTAGTGAAATGTTGACACCTTTCCAAAAGGGATACACTGTTAAAAATGTTCAGAAACACTCAAGTCAAAATAAATAGTACCTATTTCTGGGGAAAAAGTAGGTACTAGTCACAAAATACAGACGAACAGAAGAGAAAAAAATGCTTCCAATGAGGGGAGATGGTAACAGTTTCATCAAATACTATAAGCTTCTTTGAGAGCAGTGCTTTTCATCTTTGGTCCTCGGGTTGCCTGGCACAGCTTGGGGCTTGTGGTGAAGGTGACCTATGACCACTGGTTTTTAATACTTACTGTGTACACTGTCAGAGGTAGGTGTGCCCCTACAACCCCCTGATTGTATCTCAGATCTTCCTTCATAGTGTGAAGGCTATGTAGCGAATCCCTCCTGTGTCCACTATGAAAAGTGAGCCATGGCTTCCTAAAGGACCAAAATCTCAGGAATTTTCCGACTGACTTCAATTCTGCTTCCCAGCAAGGCCTGGCTTAGCTCTGTTTTGTCACCTATTATATTTATATTGTCGCTTGGCCCAGGACAATAGGTATAAATAAGACAAGTGTCTTCTAAGTCCTGATTTCAAACCTCCTCCCTACTTCTCCACCCTCCCAAAAACATGGTTGAATAATCAACATTTCAGACTCATGGAGGAAGTCGATTCCACTGCAGGGTTAGTTACAGGAAGCCTTTGCCCTCCTAGGGATCAGAACCAAGTTAGCAGTGATTACCGTTTTAACCTGTTAACTATGGGATTTGAGCTCTGGACATAGCCGGGAGGATCTCAGAGTTCTATTTCCTTTTAAGAGTGGGTCTAGATTCCCCACCAGAGTCGGTTCTTAGGAAGGGAAGAAAATGGCAATATTTTAACTTATGGAACTACTATATGTAATTCCATCACTGGGTAAATGATTGGAAATACCAAGCAGCTAGACTTTGTTGATAAAAACCTTATAAATACATGGTGACATTGTGACAAAAAGGGGGCAAAGTTTATAGTTTAGAAATCTATAAATTAGTGTTTATAGATTAATTATAATAAATAAATTAGTGTTTTCCAAAATTAGCATGTTAATGGTAAATTGGGAACCCACATAGCTGTCTTAAATTTAAGTTGGTTTTGTTCTCTTTGTTTTTGTTAGAACGGGAAGTTTCTCTAGGAAGGAATGAGCATGTGATTCCACCAGCAGCCGGCAGGTGGCAATAGTAGGCAGTAGAGTGCTGGCTTTTCTTCCCCATTGCCTGGCTGGCAGATGGCCTTGTTCTCAGAATAAACTGGGATCAGATTTGGATACTAAAACCATGCAGAATCTGATTATTTGTGACTGACACTATTAGCAATGTGCTCAGAGCCGTGTTTTAACTCAGCTAGGGGGAGCTGCCAGGTCCTATTGAAACTACCCAACACTTGCTCCTTTCTGCTACCAGATATTGCTTTCCTTTTGCAACCTGAAATTGGTAGGAAACAAAGAATGACCTTGGAGTTGCATCATCTATGAGACTTTCAAACCAAATTATTACCATCCCGGGCAATATTTTTCTCTTGCACTTCTTTCCTGCTGAATTAGTCTCATTGCACACACATCTCTGTTTGCCTTTTTTTTTTTTTTTTTTTTTTGAAACGGAGTTTCTCTCTTGTTGCCCAGGCTGGAGTGCAATGACGCGATCTTGGCTTGGCGCGATCTGGGCTCACCGCAACCTCCACCTCCCGGGTTCAAGCAATTCTCCTGCCTCAACCTCCCGAGTAGCTGGGGTTACAAGCATGCGCCATCACACCCGGCTAATTTTGTATTTTTAGTAGAGACGGGGTTTCTACGTGTTGGTCAAGCTGGTCTCCACTGCCCGACCTCAGGTGATCTGCCTGCCTCGGCCTCCCAAAGTGCTGAGATTACAGGCGTGAGCCACCGCGCCCGGCCCTCTGTTTGCTTTCTCGGCTCCCGTTTCTCCTTGCAACAAGGAGCAAAATAAAATCCCACATCTTAAAAACTGGATCCATTGTTTGATTTAAAGATTAACCTCGCTTAAATGTTGTGTTTAAGCAGACACAACAGAAGATAACTCAGTCCTGCTACCTAGAAAGTTGCCCTGCAAGGTCTTCAGGACTATTGATTAAGCAGATAAATCAATTATCTTGTTAATTGAATCTTAAGAGTCATTTAATCGATCCTTTTAGACCATACTTGAATGATAGTATATGCATGTGTTTTGCTAATCAGTTTATTCTAGACACAGGGCTCGGGGTTCATTGACAGCAAAAATAGGGAGATATTCTAAATCAGTCCTTGCTTAGCACAAAGCAGTAAGCAGTTTTTCCCGTGGTTTCATTGATTTTTGTAAAAATACCAAAAACTTGAGGTTTTTAAGAAAATACTTCCATGTTTTTATTTATTATGTAGAATATTAAAAACTTAATCTAATCTGAAAGGTGAGGATTTGAAGAAAAAAGGTAGATAATGCAATGGTAAATGTATCTTTATTGACTTAATATATCATGTTTGCTCTGATAGTAAAAGAACCACCCAGATGGTCCTTTAATGTTCCTTTCAGTACTAAGATTTTGTGAAACATCTTTTAAAGAGGAGTAGGTGGTGTATGTAGGGAAAAAATAAATGTGCTATTTTGGCTTCTAGGGAGGAGGGGGAGGGAAGCAATTATTTTTAGAATATGTTCTAGTTGCACACGGTTTTAGAAGAAATAGAAGAGTGTGTTTTAACGACAGTGAATCCTTCAGGGGGATGAAGTCTATGGAAACACGTCTTTCAAATCCTTCCCACCATGATCCCAGAGAGGACACTTGTAATTAAAGTGTGTGTGTGCACATGTGCATGTATGCACACTTATGTTCCCACACAAATGTGGGGGAGGGAAGTGGCAAACGCATGCACATGTTAGCAAAGTTTCTTGGATTAAAAAGTACTTAAGTTCACTCTTTATGAGAAAGTGCTGCCAAATTTAGCATTCCTTATTCAGGGGGAGCTACAGAGGGAATGTAGCTGAACGTAGAAAAAGGTGAAAGAAATAATGAAATCAGTTAGAAAAAAAATATTGAGTCACACTATTAATATAATACCAAGGGGTTAAATGGGTAAGCTAACTGGAATGTTTCCCCCAAAGTTAAAGCAGAAAAGTTTTAGTGCTGAGCTCTTTACCTTGATTTTTTCCCCTAAGCATTACATAATTTTCTAAGCAGAATTTCTTGTGATAGAAACCATGATAAATAATGTACCTACCTGTGGTGTAGCCCGAACTTGCTTAACTGAGTCCCAAAGGAATTTGTTGCCGTGGACGGCCCTGTTACGTGGACTTTTTGCACCATAACGTTTCTACCTTTTGGATCATACTAGTGGTTTGATCAAGTCTATCAAACAAACATCATTCACATTCTAGTCTATAGACAGTATACAAGCAGTAGGTGTTCAGATAATTTTTTGAGATGAAGTCTCGCTCTGTTGCCCAGGCTAGAGTGCAGTGGTGTGGTGCGATCTTGGCTCACTGCAACCTCCGGCTCCCGGGTTCAAGCAATTCTCCTATCTCAGCCTCCCAAGTAGCTTGGACTATAGGTGCACACCACCATACCCAGCTAACTTTTTTTGTATTTTTAGTAGAGACAGGGTTTCATCATGTTGATCAGGCTGGTCTCAAAATCCTGACCTCAGGTGATCCACCTGCCTGAGCCTCCCAAAGGGCTGGGATTACAGGCATGAGCCACCACGCCCGGCGTTTTCAAATAATTTTTAATAAATATTGTCTTTCAGCCTTTTAGGTATTCAAGCAAATATTGATTCTGACAGTGAAAAAATAGTCTCTGTAGCTGAGCAGTTCCTTTTGATGTATTGGATGCAGACTCTTTATCAACTTATATAATTCAGTAAAATATGTATCTATCATAGTATCAACTTTATATGCGTTCTTTAAATGCAAAAAAAGTAGCAATTCCATCCACAAACCCCTTAGTAGGGTTTGGGGTTCTGTTTTTATGGGTTTTCTTGGAGGTTAAACAGGCATCTTGATGTTTTCCTTCTCCTCTCTTCTATTTGCTTGAGATAATTCTTCCCACCTGACACCCGTGCCCCTCCTCCTCATCCTCCAGCCTTCTACCAGTCTTGTGTAGGTTCTGATAACCATTCTTGGCAGTCAAGCATTTTAATTGAAGCATGGGTTTCTGCTTAATTATTATCTCAGCGAGCGTTGGCATTGTAAGCTTTTCATTTGTGAATTGTGGAATCCATTTTTCATATTAAGGCAGAGGTAAGGGGAGAGGCAGATAAAAAAAATTTAAAATTTATTTCTTCATTTGTCCATTGAACAGATATTTATTAAACTACCATTTACCTGGCCTAACCTAGGTGTTGAGGGTCTAAGATGAGCAAGAAAGGCCACCGCTCTCAATGTTGAAGCTTCTGGGCTGCGGGAAGGGTCCAGATATCCTACTAAGCCCCTCACACATGCCAGCTAATTTAGCCTTACGACAGTCCTTTAAGAAAGCTAATTTATACACAGTTGAAGTAAATGTTAAAAATCCCACATAGTCCTTTGAAGTTTGCCCCATGCTTGATGCTTCTGCAGCTTTTGCTGCTGCTGTTCACTCCCATATTGAAGTGTTTCCTCACTTGTTTATAAACCACTACATCCCCCAACACATATTCCTACCTCCTCCCCGTGGCTCTCCAGTTCCCCTCCCGCAATCTCTTACCCAGCTCTCTCCCAGTGTGTTGGTCTCTCCCAAGTCCTGGCTTTGTGTTTTTTCTCTATTTACTGGTTTTTGTTGTTATTTTGTTTTTGTTTTTGAGACAGGGTCTCGCTCTGTCACCCCGGCTAAAGCACAGTGGCATGATCATGGCTTACTGCAGCCTCGAACTCCTGGGCTCAAGAGATCCTCTGTCCTCAGCCTCCCAAGTAGCTAAGACTACAGGCATGTGCCACCACACCCAGCTAATTATTTTTTATAGAGATGGGGGTATCACTATGTTGCCCAGGCTGGTCTTGAACTCCTAGCCTCAAGTGACCTCCTGTCTCTGCCTCCCAAAGTATTGGAATTACAGGCGTTAGCCACCGTGCCTGGCTTCCATTTGCTCTTTAACCAATATGATATCCCTAAGCTCAAGCTCTTCTGTTTCCAGTTTCCCATTGGTGATTTACCCTTTTTATGTTACCATCTCTGGCCCCTAGAGCAAAGCAGTTGCTGGTAAATGCTGGGGTCTTGACTTCTCTCCCCCTTTTCCATGAGGAGTCTGGTTGAAGCAGCTGAGCTCTAACTCTGTGGGATTCTCAGGATTACAATAGTGGCCTGACCCTAGATCTGCCAACAACAGCATCAACGTCACCGTTTCTTCCTCTTCCTGTAATTTTTAGCCAGCCCTCATTTTCCTTCCCTCTGCACCAAAAGTAGTAGATTACCACTGGAAGATTTGGCATTATTTTAGCCAGGCATTCAATGTATCTTACTAACACAGATTTTTCTGAGGTAACAGAACCTTTGCTTCTATCGCTAACACAGAATTTCACAGGTATCTGTCTTGATGATGCCAGTGTTGGTCTATTTTTAATATCAATTCCTTGGGGAGGCCTCATTAGGTGGCAGGTAACAACACAAACTTTGGAAGAGAAGCAGGTTGGAATCCAGACTCTAGCCAGGTAAATATGGGCAGGCTACCCCACTTCTCTGCAACTAAACAATGAGGTTCATAGTGATGGTCTTGAGGACGATATGAGAGTTTGAGTATAAAGTGCTCAGCACACTACGTGACGTAGAGAAAGTTCTCAATGAATGTTTCTAATTATTATAAACGTTTTACCATTGTAAATTGGTGGCTGTGGGAAGAGGAAAAGTCAGGTCAGAGTTCAGAAGCCCTATAAGTCATTTGAAGTCATTTAAGTCATTATAAGTCATTTATAATTTATTTAAGTCATTTTAAGTCATTTATAAGTCATTGTAAGTCTTTGCCCTATAAGTCATGGCTTGACTCCTGCCTGTGTTGAATAGAAGACATCTTTCTGTAATTTATCTGTAAAAGAGACTATTTATCCAAGACTTTGGAGTTTAAAACATTGATCATATCTGGGCTGGGTATGGTGGCCCAGTGCTTTGGGAGGCTGAGACAGGATTGTTTGAGGCCAAGAGTTTGAGACCAGCCTGGGCAACATAGTGAGACCCTGTCCCCACAAAAAATGGAGGAGTTAGCTGGGTGTGGTGGCTGCACAGACCTGTAGTCCCAGCTACTCAGGAGGCTAAGGCAGGAGGCTTGAGCCCAGGAGGTCAAGGCTGCAGTGAGCTATGATCATACCACTGCACTCCAGCCTGGGTGACAGAGCAAACCTTCTCTAAAAAGACAAGGCTGGGCGCAGTGGCTCATGCCTGTAATCCCAGCACTTTGGGAGGCCGAGGCAGGCAGATTGCTTCAGCACAGGAGTTCGAGACCAGCCTGGACAATGTGGCAAGACCCCATCTCTACAAAAAATACAAAAATTAGCCGGGCATGGTGGTGCGCACCTGTGGTCCCAGGTACTCGGAAGGCTGAGGTGGGAGGATTGCTTGAGCCTGGGAAGCACAGGTTGCAGTGAGCCAAGATTGGGCCACTGCACTCTAGCCTGGGTGACAGAGCCAGATCCTGTCTTCAAAAAACAAACAAAACATTGATCAGGTCCAAGTACTTGTCATCCTCAGCCTCTCTAGTGTATGTTTCACATGGTAGCTCATGCAATCCACAAAGACTAAATTTTCCATAAGCTGTGATATTTACTGAATACAACTTACATTTTATTTGCATTTTTGTCTGATTGTTTCTGTTTGCTGTCTATTGTTTCCTGTCTCTGGTTCACAGATGGTCTAATATGTGGCAGTTTTATGCCAGTGTCCTCTCCAGAAATGCTCATCAGGTGGTAGGAAAGCAAGCACTAAAGATTTTTCTAGTCCCTTCTTGAAGCACATTCAGAGTCTGGGGACTGTCAAGAGAATGAAAGTGAGAAAGCTTTTGCTACACATCCTGCACAATCCAACACTAACTCTGTTTTATTCTCCAGGACCTACAGATAGAACGAGAGAGGAGTTCATATAATATATCTGGTGGCTGCACGGCCCTCATTGTGATTTGCCTTTTGGGGAAGCTGTATGTTGCAAATGCTGGGGATAGCAGGTAAGCAGATGAGCTGTCTGATTCTTGCTAATTTCTAATGCCTTCTGATGTTTTTATTTTGTCTCAAAAATTAAATGATTAGAAATAATTAAAGACAGGCCTTCTACATCAGAATGAAAATGCATTTAAGGACAATCAGGTTGATATTACAAGGTAAAGGCAGTCTCTTACTTATGCATATAGCATTTCATGTACACGTCTGTGATAAATCTAAACCAGTAGTATTCAAACGTTTTTTGACTTCAGAATCTGTTTCTCAGTGAAAACTTAGCAGGAGCATAATATGTGAGAGTGATGAGGAGGAAGGAAAGGGATTCGAGTGCCCTGGGTGTTTGGAAGGGGGCCTGGGATGACTCCCCAGTTGACTCCACTTTTACTTAGTGACTTTGCACTGTTCTCTCCCAGAAGCTTCTCCTTTTATGCACATTCCCTTAGAAGCTGCAGTTGCCTCACGTCCGGGTTCAACTGAAGGAAATTTGAGCCAAGAGATCATTGTTAACCCTTCCTTTATCCAGCATTGCCAGGGAATAAGATACATTTATGTTTTTATTTCATTTATTTTTTAAAAATTAGACACAGGGTCTCACTATGTTGCCCAAGCTAGACCCAAATTCCTGGGCTCAAACAATCCTCCCACCTCAGCAGCCTGAGTAGCTGGGATTACAGGTTGCACCACCACCTGGCAGTTGTGATTTTCTTTTAAATAACTGATGCTTCTTCACTTTTGGTGTGGGGAATTTTTAAATTACAGATTTTGCAACAAATATTCTAACATGTATTACACACTTCTCCACCGCTTTCATAACGAAATATGCTGGCCTGAGAGTGGGGCCTTTTCCAAAGAACTGACTCTTTATTCCGAAAGTAGTAAAAGTACAGGACTCTTCCCCCCGAAGGGCTGTGAGGACTCTCATTCTTCTGTCCCCTTCCTCTAGGTCACATGGCTCTTGTGGGCTCTCCTGCTTGCTCCACCCTTTTTGAGGTCTGATCCCACCCCTTCCCTTTCCCCTTCCCTGTCTCCAGCTTAAGTTGCTGTTGCCTCTGCAGCCCAGACCACCAATTCCCTTGAGGCAATCAAGAAATTCACCTTAATTTTACTTCCATTTACAAAGCAGACTTAGGCTGAGGCAGCCTTCGTTCCTCCTAGTAAAGCGTCCTTTCCAAGGGAAGATCCCAGAGAACAAGGAGCAAACCGACCTGGCAGTGGTTTTGGGGGCTTGAAGATTGGTGTTTGTTGAAGGTCTGTTGCTTTCAAAAGTATATATGTGGTGACATAAACGTATATATATACATTTTACAACAAATATTCTAACGTGTATTACATGAAATGTAATTACATGTTCTAACATGAAAGAGGTGGAGAAGTGTGTAATACATGTTGTAAAAATGTATATATTTACGTTTCCTTGTAAAATTCTGCCCAGTAAATGGAAGTATGTGTAAGATGCTATCTATGTTTACCCCATGGCTGCCATTCCCATGTCTCAGGTCAGGGTTCTGACAGGAGACAGACTCCAACTCAGATGGGTCAACTGTGAATGAAGGAGGTAGAGAGAACCGGCCAGGAGTGTTGAGGTCCCCAGGAAGGAGTTGACCACCCTGAGGAACCAGGGAAGGAAACGCTGTAGCAGAGCCAAGGAGAGTGGGAGCCACTAATGAGGGACCACTGGGCAGGAGCTGTTAGAAGGAATGGGAGAAGATATGCTGACTTCTCTCTGCCCGCCCTCCCATCTCTTGCCTGACCTTCCCATCGGCTGACCCCAGCAGGAAGCCAGCTGATGAGTGGCCCAGGGAGGTCAGCCTGCCAGGACACAGACACAGGCCAGGGCCGTACCTCCAGGATGGGGACAGATGGAAAAGAACCAGCACATCTGCTACCCCTCCTTTCCTCTCCCGCCTCAGGGTTTGAGCAGCTTCAAAGACAGGAATCTATGGTCTTCAGGGGCTTTTAAAACACACTGAGTGGCCAGCCCCTGGCCTCTTGTTCAGTTCCTGATCTTGAGCTGGTCGGTAGACAGAGGAGAGCAGCAAAGGAGGCAATTCATTGCTCTTTGTCTGCTCCAATTGAGTAAGACCGAGTGGATGATTCAGCTGTTGCACTCACGTTCACCTTTTAAAGCCTTTATGTCTGGTTTCCTGTCCTTTAAAATGAGTTTGCTTCCTGGCCCACTCAGGGACTAAGGAAGTGACTGAGTGCCTTGCTCCTGGAAACAGGCCCACCCTACCTCCCAGGGAAGTGCCTTTCACCAGATGACCTGAGTCAGAAGTTAACTCAACTTCCCGGCTGGAATACCTTTATGTTAGACTGTTCTTCGAGACTCAACTCCTCCCCAGTGCCTTTTTCTCTCTTTTTTTTTTTTTTTTCCTCATTTTTAAACGTAGTTTCCTTCAAAGCTCCAGGCTCCTTAAAAGAGCCACCTACCTAGCCAGGGCTTCTAAGCCTGCATCCCAGAAGCTCCAGTCCTCTGTCCTGGAATCTGCCAGTCCCAAGAGTTCATCTTCTGGGCTCTTGCCTTCTGTTGTACTTAGGTGCCAATTTCCAGACCAGACTTCAATTTCATCTATAAAGGCAGTGGTATTGGACTAGATAATCTCTAAAAATTATCCCATGAGGAGTGACACTTTTAGAAAGTAAAGTTGTACTATAAAGTATCTTTTGGTTATTTTATATTTCTTAGAATTTGTTTTGGAAATGTTAATGTAACTGAAGTTCTTGTATTTCTAAGTGTTCATAAAAGTATGATGTTTTGGCCGGGCGTGGTGGTTCACGCCTATAATCCCAGCACTTTGGGAGGCCAAGGCGGGCGGATCATGAGGTCAGGAGATCGAGACCATCCTGGACAATATGGTGAAACCCCATCTCCACTAAAAATACAAAAAAAATGAGCGGGTGTGGCGGCACACGCCGGTAGTCCCGGCTACCTGGGAGGCTGAGGCAGGAGAATCACTTGAACATGGGAGGCAGAGGTTGCAGTGAGCCAAGATTGTGCCACTGCACTCCAGCCTGGGCAACACAGCAAGGCTCCGTCTCCAAAAAAAAAAAGTGTTTTGTTTTACATGTTATATCTAATCATTTGAAAAGCCTAACAGATACTTTTATCCTTAATAAAGCTGTAAAACATTTAAAAAAAAATCAAAAAAGCAGTATCTCTAAAACCTAATAAGCTTAATGATAAAATACTACCTCTAAAACCTCATAAGCTTAATTATGCTTACAGTATTCTAGTCCCAGTATCCAGATATAAATTTGGGGTTTTGTAGTTGATTATTTGGGTTTTCTGTTCACATATGGGTCATACTTCAGGAAACCTGAGAACAATGTGAGTTGGTATTTTTATGTGCTATCCAAAGGATCGTTTATGCGACACTTACTAGAGTGCTATTTGCAGCTCTTTTACAAACAATAGATACTGATATCATCTTCTAGGATTGTTGTCTAGTTTGCCATACTAATAATATAGGTATTTGAGCTTACAGAAATATTCAGTTATTCCCAAGAAACCACAGCTAAGTGAGCTTTGATCATATCTGTGGAAATGTAGGTCCATTATCACTGATTGACGAGCAGTCAGGAATCCCAGGGCTCAGTTTAAAACAAATGCTTAGAGCCGCAGAAGGTTCTGGCAACAGAGCCCTGATTAATGAAGGGCTAAGTTTTCTTTATTGCTAGATATTAGCTGTCATGTGCTTTTTTTTTACATCTTGACAGTTTCGAGAGTAAAAAATATTTGTTATATGTTCACTGCCCCCATAATTATTCACGCTCAGGAAAAGAGAAGCTTTGCCCTGGTTTGATTTGGAAGCTGCCAATGGTCAGGAACTAAGCTGTGTATCATCTGATTTACCATCAGACATCTGCACACTTAGGGGTTGTATTCAGGAAATGTTGCCTGATGCTGTTTGTGGCTTTATGGGTTTTTGAGTCAACGACCATCCCATTCAGAGGACATAGGACCATTCATGTAGGATGGTCCACAGTGACGCGAGTACCTGATCCATGTGGTCTGGTCCGTGCCCTGATAGAACTTGCCCTTCTACTCTGCCGAGCTAACCAGCCACAGAGGCACATGCAGTAACTGCTTGATGCATGCCAGTTGCTTTATTTTTCCCCGGCAGAGTCAGCCAACTCAACACCTAGGGGATCATAAGGGACCAGGAAAGAAGCAGATGGTGGGCGGATTTTCACTTCAAGCAAAAAATGAACCAGTAGCATGCAAATGTCATGCAAAGCAATATGCAAACTATCACCCATTGTGTTTGAGTCATCAGCTCCTTAGGGCTCTGACTGATTCTTCAGTTTAGGAACTCCATTTTAGAGATCATTTCATTTCATCTCTAGAGAACTAAGGCACTGAGGAAGCAAAGCCATTACCACGTATTTTAAACAATGTCTAAAGGTTTAGCAACTGAGACTGGGTGAAGTCACTCAGAGTTTTAAAAAGCATTTAAGATTTATTAAATTCATAATTCTACTCTTGCCAGACTTATAGTAATAGCGGCATTAAAATAGCTAATAAGTGCAAGGCACGTATTAAATACTATAACAAAGGATCACATTTAATTTTCTCAATAATATAGTGAGAAGTAGGCACTGTTAATACGAGTTAAATACAATTTACCAATAAATAAACTGAGGCCCAGTGAGGGGAACTGGTTTCCCCAGGCTTCGACAGCTGTGGAGGAGCAGGGACACCACCCGCCCAAGACTGGGAGTTCGATCTTGTCCACAATCTCTGCACTGTACCCTGGGATTTCCCATCCATGCTGAAACTCACAGAGGTTTTGTTTTTCTCATTTTAGCATCTCTAAATAAAGAAGTTCTAATTAACATTTTTTTCTTCCTGCTTTTATGTGAAATAGTGGCACACCTTATAATCAATGGCATCTTAGTTTTCACCTAAAATGGATTATGGAGGGAGTGGAAGGCTGCCTTAGAGGCTATTTTAAACGCACTGCAGTTGTTGACAAGATAAGCTTTGGATGGTCCAATTCATTCATTTATAATATAGAAAAGGAGTGTTTTCTCAACATGAGAGCTCCCATCTCCTTCCAAGCGTCCCAAAGTTCTAAGACTATTTTAAATGTTGTGTTTTTGGCCGAGTGCAGTGGCTCATGCCTGCAATCCCAGCACTTTGGGAGGCCGAGGTGGGAGGATTACTTGAGCCTAAGAGTTGCAGACCAGCCTGGGCAACATGGCAAAACCCCATCTTTACAAAAATATATATATACATTAGCTGGGTGTAGTGGCTCACACCTATAATCCCAGCTACTCAGGAGGCTGAGGTGGGCAGATCACCTGAGCCCAGAGATGTCAAGGCTGCAGTGAGCCGTGATCACACCACTGCACTCCAGCCTGGGTGTCAGAGTAAGACCCTGTCTCAAAAAATTAAAATTAAAAATAAATGTTGTGTTTTCATTTTGATCATAATCTATTGAAAATAATATAAGCATTTTCTGATTCTATAAATGATTACTACCACAAATTCAGACTTCCATTTTGTTGTGCTTATAACTTCTTTGGAAGCAAGTGTCTCACTAAGTTTTTGAATTGAGCCCACAGACTCCTGGGAATAGAGGGTCATCTTCTCATGCTTGAGAGTCTCCTAGGAAAGGGTAGGGAAAGTCGAATGTGTCATTCATTAGCTCTTTAGGACCGGAGTGAATAGCATTCCATGAATTGTCACTGAACGAAGCCAGTGATGGTTTCCTTTCATTTATCTTTCACTCCTTTTTAGTTTTCCACAATTACCCCCCTTTACAGTTAAAGCTTTCTCTATTAGTTCAAAGGTGAGTTCCTTTGACAAGTCTGACTGTTCCTGAGGACAGGAGTTAGGTATTAAACAGGACTTACGTTCCTAAATTCAAAATCAATTACACATCTGTGGCATCTTCTCTCCAGGTTTCTTCCCTTTGCTGGTGGTAAAATAATGAAATATTATGTAACTGCCTCCAAGCCAAGGGAATGCAAAGAACTATTCATTTCTTCTTATGTTCATGGATTTCACCAACGGCCAGTACAAATCCTTTCTGAAACTCCTTTTTGCTAATAAGTGGTTCATCTATCCACACGTGCCAGTGAGCTCCTGCTCTGTTAGTAGCCTTCCTCTGAGTTCAGAAATATATTTGATCTTAAGCCATTAACTATATTAAATACACTATTCCTCTCACTTTCTTTGGCATGTATTTGAAAAATAACAGAAAAAAAACAAAATCAACAACTCTTCTCCACTGTGAAAGTTGAATTGCTGTTTCTCCCTTTTTTCTGCAGAGCCCCCTCCCCATCTTTTTAGTGTGTATTTCATGTAATCCCTTAGCTATACCCATAACCTCTAGAAGGGATTAGCAGAAAGAAAATAATGCTACCAAATGATCACAAATACAGGCAGAGACACAGAAACCAAGTGATGGCTCAAAACAGTCTGTACTTTTCCCATCAGGCCACTTGCCATCCACACAGAGGGCACCCGAGAGGCCCTTCTCTCTCTGACCTTCCTCTCTCAGGTACTTCTTGCTCTGAATCAGTGATCTTCAAAGTGTGATCCCCAAACTGGCAGCAGCATCACCTGGGAACTTGTTAGGAGAGCAGATCACTGCTCGCTGAAACTCAGTGGGTGGACCCAGCAGTCTGTGTTTAGCAAGTCCTACAGGTGACTCCAATGCATGCTCAAGTTTAAGAATCACCACTCTAAAGTCTACCCCTGGGCATCTGAAAGAGCTAGGAAGGATTGAAACATTTTAGCTGTTCCTGGCCTGAGGGCCAAAGCGTTAGACTGCAGGCACACTATAAGGCAGTCTCAGCAGTCCTGCAGCAGCCGGACACCACACGCAGGGCAAGCTCCTGGAACCCGTGTCTCCCCTTCCACTCTGCAGCCTGCTACCTGCAGTGGGGCGGGGGCGACCTGCCTGTACCTGGGCCGGCTGACTGCAGATTCCTTTCTGCCAGCCTGACATCCTAGAACTTAGGCCCTGTTCCTCTGAAGAGTAGAGTTGGGTGAGAATTTCTAACATGATCCAGCTCCACATGTCAGCCTCCTCTTCCTGCTGGGTAGTTCTGAGGCCTGAGTAGCTGTGAAGCATCCTATCCTATCCCGGCCTCCATTCCCTTGTCTGGAATGGGTCAGACATGCCCCCGTGCGGACTTTTCGTCTGTCATTGTTGGGCCCCTGGGAAAGTGTAGTTGTAGTTCCCCATTCCAACCAAGCTGTGCCTTGAAACACGTCCCGTGTCTCTTACACACTGAAAGGCTAAGCTGGGAAGTCTCATGAAGTTCATAGAAGTAGAATATTTGCACTTAGAAATGCTGGCGTGAGATTATTGTGATCGAGATAGTCACCTTTTCTATGCCTGGCTGCTGAGCTAGGGTAGAACAGTGGATCAGTGCCAGGAGGAAACTTTGTAGTAGAGAACCCAAGGCCCTGTGTTTGCCCACTCGAGCCCACACCAGGATAGATTTCCAGGGCCTGATCATCTAATGTGTAGGTGATATGAAACCGAGTAAGACAAACTAGCAAGATTCAAAAAGTCCTTTAGTGCCTGGGAAAGTGGGTAAATACCAGGTGAAGCTTAACCACAGTAAAGGTAAAGTATCACACCTGTTGAAAAGAGAAAAACCAGCCTGGCAGTCAGTTACGGTGGCTCATGTCTGTAATCCCAGCACTTTAGGAGGCCAAGGCAGGAAGATCATTTGAGCCCAGGACTTAAAGACCAACCTGGGCAACAAAGTGAGACCTTGTCTCTATTAACAAATTTTTGTTTCAATTAGTTGGGCATGGTGGCACATGCCTGTGGTCCCAGCTACTCAGGAGGCTGAGGCAGGAGGACCACTTGAGCTTGGGAGGTTGGGCTGCAGTGTGCCATGATTGCACCAATGCATTCTAGCCTGGGTGACAGAGTGAGACCCTGTCACCAAAAAAAAGAAAGAAAACTAGCAGGATAGGGGAGACAGCTTATCAATGGTTCACATTTTTTTAAATGTATTTAAGTAGACAGTAAATTTAATCTGGTCAGTAGTGTGATATAGACACCAGAACCTAATCTGATCATAGGCTGCAGTATTTAAGCTATAAGGCAAATAATAGCTAATGTTTCTGACTGGCTGGCTTACTTTGTCCATAGTAAGTACTGTTGCTAGTGTCTAGGGCTTTACATGAATTTTACATAAATAACCTCATTAATCCTAACATCAACCCATTTGGGGAAGTACTATTAATGTCATTTTACCCATGAAGTCCCTTTCTAGGTGACATAATTCAACATGTGTATAGATGATCAGGAACCTTCAAAAGAGAGACTGGAGTGCTGAAGAGATTGGAATTATGTTTGAAAAGATGAGGAAAATTCAAAAGAGCTAAAGTTTCTCAGCCACATGAAAAGATAACTTTTGTTGATGTAAAAGATCAAATATTTGTCAGTTATGGGGTAAGGTGGTAAGGCTAGCTGTCCATGAGCCTGGGATAGAAGTGATAGCCACAGGCAGGCAGGATGGTGGTTAAGAGCAGGGACTCTGGACTCAGATGGCCTGAGCTGAATCCTGGCTCTGCCACTATTGTGTGTGACCTTGAGCCAATCTCATGTTTTCTGTACTGAGTGTTGTCAACTGTAAATGGAGATAATGATAGTACTCACTCCTCAGGTGAGGATTAGATGAGCAGATGCCTGGAAGGCCTTCAGCACAGAGCCAGGTGTATGGCAACTGCTCAGTAATAGTTAGCTGCTATTATTGTTATCATACTGATCAGGAGAACTGTTTATAGATGCAACAAGCCGCTGAAGAATGTAGTGGGTTCTTCTTAATGGAAATAGTTGTGCATCAACTGCATTCTACCTAGCAAGGATGTTGTGCTAAGTTTTTCAAGGTGTCCATGAAATATTATGTTTGAGGCCCTGTGCAGTGGCTCACGCCTGTAATCCCAGCACTTTGGGAGGCCGAGGCAGGCAGATCACAAGGTCAGGAGTTCGAGACCAGCTGGGCCAACATGGTGAAACCCCGTCTCTACTAAAAAAATATATATATTACAAAAATTAGCCAGGCATGGTGGCGTGGGCCTGTAATCCCAGCTACTTGGAAGGCTGAGGCAGGAGAATTGCTTGAACTCGGGAGGTGGAAGTTGCAGTGAGCAGAGATCACGCCACTGCACTCCAGCCTGGGTGACAGAGCAAGACCTCATCTCAAAAAAAAAGCAAAAAACAACAAACAAAAAGAAATATTATGTCTTTCTTTCTTTTTCTTTCTTCCTTCCTTCCTTTCCTTCCCTTTCTTCCTTTCTTTTCTTTTCTTTCCTTTTTCCTTTCCTTTCGAGACAGAGTCTTACTCTGTCACAAGGCTGGAGTGCAGTAGCATGGTCATAGCTCACTGCAGCCTCAAACTCCTTGGCTCAAGCCATCTTCCCATGTCAGCCTCCTGAGTAGCTAGGATTACAGGTGCGTGCCACCATGCCAAGCTAATTTTTATTTTTTGTAGAGATGGGGTCTCACTATACTGGACCTGTGCTCAAGCCATCCTCTTGCCTCGCCTCCCAAAGTGTTAGGATTATAGGCATGAACCATCACACCCAGCAAAGCATTATGTTTCTGTGACTTTGAGGATCTTAAGTAACATGACTATTTTCATTTTTGTCTCTTTCCTTTAAGAGTTTAATGAAGCAGTGCCTTTGTCCCTTTCAGGCACTCGAGGACCTAGGCCGAAGGAGGCTCTGTCATTTTTAACTCTTGGCTTCCAAGAGCTCTTGAGGCATCTCCATCCAGTGAGACAGAAGGGGACAAGAGTGTGGAGGAGCACTCAAGAAAGGGTGTTAGGGGCAAGGCCTGGTAGAGACACACAACATTTCTGGGTGCATTCCATTGGCTAGAACCCAGTTATGTGACTTTACTGAGAAGCAAAGAAGGCTGCTGGGAAATGTAGTCTAAGTCGTGTACCCAGGCCCAAGGGAATTGATTTTGGTGGACAGTTAGCAGTTTTGGCCAGCAGTGGCATTGAAAAGGGAATTCATATTAGGTTCAATTAGTAATAGTGTCTTCATTCAGTTTTTGATACATTTTCCCTTTTGTTCTGATGAAGTTACAACTTGGATATCACTATCATTTTTAAAGTCCAAAGACCAATTACCTCTTTTGTTACCTGAATTTTGTCACTGTTAGTTTTAGGAGAGATGCAGTAAGTTCAGCTTTAGCTGTCAAACATAGTGAAGAAAGAGGTTTCTGAGTAGCTAGGATTACAGGTGCGTGCCACCATGCCAAGCTAATTTTTATTTTTCTTCTCCAAGATCCACTTTCATCTTGGAGAAGAACACATTTGAATAATGAAAAAGCCTACAAGTAAACAGCATACCAAATATTTGTCTTTGGAAAGTTCATCATAGAAAGCAAAGATTATTTCATTGCTAAAGGAGAAAGATTACATTAATCAGGCAGGGTGTGACTATACTGATGTTTTAACAACTTCTGTTCTTTGGTGGTTATTTTTAAATTGTCATAGTTATGTTGTAAAGATTTTTAAATGATATACCAGTTCAGTTTAATAGTTTCGTTTCTTATCTGCTCTCAAACTGCAGTTCTTTGGTATGTTTTTTGAGTTCATTTCCTCCCATTGCTGTCATCCTTAATATAAGATTTGAAATAACTGTTAGGAATGGATTACTTATATATACACCTCAATCCATCCTCGGTTTGCATATGATAAACTTTTACAGTTCATCGTGCATATATTACATAGTTAGAAGATAAAGTATAAGCAGAGTAAAATGTCATGGTAGGAGCAGGATTCAATGAATATTTTTATGCCTTCCATGAGCCAGGCATCTGCTGGGCACTGTGCTGGGGAAGCTACCGTGAAGTAGGCAGATGAGGTCTCTGTCCTCTTCTACTTGTAGTCAGCCCAGGTAGGCAGGCAGTCAGGCATCCATTTACAATGCAGTGTAACAGGCAAGGCAGGTGTTTCAGGAGACACATGAAGCTCTGGGCTTTACTGAGTGAAGGCTGCCTTGGGTTAAAGGCACACATTTGTAATCATGTTCTTTGGCCGCAGAAATAGCAATGCTGGTACACTGCATCAACAGAATTGCCTCACAGGTCAGAATCCATTGCAGCAGAGTTCTACAGGCTAAGCCCTGTGCTTTATTATTTCACAGTGTCATTGTGGTTGTGAATAGTGCTTCAATGTTTGGCACTTGGGGTCATTTTGTGATATAAATGTTGGATGGGATCATACTCGTTTTTGTGAAATATAACCCTCATTGAGCCACCATCAACAGACAATGGTTTATGAAGGTCTTGTTTCCTGAAGGGATGTTGATGTTCACTGAGCAGTCCTTACTGGTGTGTGGTGTACAGTTATCAAATGATTTGTTTGCTTCAAGGAGTTAACTGAACAATATGGGCATTTCACCTTCAACTCTATCCTGTCTTGTTTAAGCAAGGTAATAAACTCTCCAGGCCCAAATATGGTTTAGCTGTTAGTACAGGAAGGGAGGGAGAAACATGTCAGCCCTTGGAAGTGAGCCAGGGTTGTGGGAGGTAGAGTGTTGAAATGGGATGATCACAGGTGCTAGGGTCTGGAAATGCTGGCCCTCACCCCTCCAGAAAATACCTTGCTTTCCCATTTGTGGAAGGGGCTGGTTCCTGCTCTTCTAGATTGCCATGCAGATTACAGATGATGTGCTTAAAGCACAAGTATGGTTCAGCCCTTCATTCTTTCACCAAATATGCCTCATGCCAGACACTGTCAAAGTCACTAGGAACGTAGCTATGATCAAAAAAACCCTGCCTTCATGGAGCTTGCAAACCAGTATGGAAAGACAGATAATGAGCAAGGCACATAAGTAAAATGTTGAGTATGCTATTGGTAATAATTTCTAAAGAGAAACATAGGGCAAGGGAAGGGACTTAGTAGTCAGGGGTGGGTTGCAGTTTCAAATGCGACAGCAAGGGAAAGAGTCATGGGGGATAGAGTCTTAGAGTAAGGTCTGAAGGAGGTGAGGCAAAATGTTCTGGCAGATGAAACAGCCAAGGCCTTTGATATGATTTGGCTGTGTCCCCACCCAAATCTCATCTTGAATTGTAGTTCCTATAACATACTCCCACGTATCATGGGAGGGGACCAGGTGGGAGGTAACTGAGTCGTGGGGGAGTATTTTTCCCATGCTGTTCTCATGATAGAGAGTAAGTCTCGTGTGGTCTGATAGTTTCATAAAGGGCAGTTTCCTTCACATGCTCTCTTGCCTGCCATCAAGTAAGACGTGCCTTTGTACCTCCTTCACCCTCTGCCATGATTGTGAGGCCTCCCCAGCCATGTGGAACTGTGAGTCGATTAAACCTCTTTTTCTTTATAAATTACCCAGTCTTGGGTATGTCTTTTTAGCAGCATGAGAACAGACTAATACAGCCTTGAACCAGGAATGTACCTTTTATAGTTGAGGACCAGATAGAAATGGACCAAAGAAAGAGGGGGTAGTAGGTGAGGCAGAGGAGGTGCAAACAGGGCCCAGGCATGCTCAGTGGCAGCTAGTGCTGCAGTGACCATGGCAATGGCCATGAGGTCTGAGCTTGAACTCTCCTCTCTTGCTTGACTCTTATAATAACCAAGAGGGTGTGTGTGTATGTGTGTGTGTGTACACACTCATTTATATATAATATTCATTTTTAAAGCCTTCGTTCCATCTTGCCTACCAAGGCGTAAGTAATTTTGTAAATTCATAAACAGTTGGATCTATGTAAGGCCTTAAAAACCATCTTGTAAAGTGGTTTGTATACATTAAGCAGTGGGTCCATTGTTGGTACGCTTTCTGGTAGAATCTTACACAAATTCTCCTGTGTATAAACAAACAAGGTAGAGCTGCCCAGACTAAACTCTAGAACAAGGCTGAGGTTCACACCAGCTCCCTTTTCCCAAGGTGGCACCTGGGGCTGCTCTGAGGGACTGTGAAGCCCCCTGAACTCGGTCTGAGGCTGACTTCTGGTCCAGAGGCTGCCGGACTTGCCTGTACATCAGAATCACCTGGGGGACTTTGCCAACATATATAATAATTGAGTCACTCTTGTACACCTACTACCTAGATCCTGCAATTAGCAATTTTCATCAAATGTATCTATCCATCCTCCCGTCCCTCTATCAATCCAGCGCAGACATTCATGTATTCACCTGTGGGATTTAAAAAATAACAGTAATGAAAGTTGCAGGGCCCCTATTCTCAGGCTTACTGAATCAGAATCCTTGAGCTTGGGGCCACTGTGGGAACCACTCATCTAGTCCAGTTTCCCTTTTTTACTGATAAGGGAAGTGAAGCTCACAGAATTGTCTTTCTCAAGTTCCCACAGATAGCCGGCGGCAGAACTCGTACCAGAACCTGGATCGCCACCTGTTTTTGGAGGACCTACCTCCTCCGTTTCTGAGATTTTGCTTGTGATCCGCTTAGCAACATCAGTTCTTTCTAAGATCAGATAATACTCTGGACCTACTCTTTATCCATGAACAGTTTGCTGAGCCTCTGCTATTTTAGGGGATTGCTAAGAATGTATTTTCTCCTTGGTCAAAACTTTCAATCATTATTGGGGAAAAAAGGAGTATAACTACAGAGACAGATGTTTCCTGGCTGGACATGGTGGCTCATACCCATAATCCCACCACTTTGGGAGGCTGAAGCAGGAGAATAATTTGAGTCCAGGAGTTTGAAATCAGTCTGGGCAACATGATGAGATCCCATCTCTACCAAAAATTTAAAAATTAGCCAGATGTGGTGGCACACACCTGTAGTCCCAGCTACTGAGGGGGCTGAGGTGGGAGGATCGCTTGAGCCCAGGAGGCTGAGGCTGCAATGAACCTTGATCACGCCACTGCACTCCAGCCTGACAAAAATATCTCAAAAAAGGAAAGAAAGAAAGGTTTCCAGAGTACAGGTGTGTGTCTTTGCTCTTAGCTGCCTCATTGAGACAGCAATGGAAAAAACACTGGGCTGGGAGTCCAGAGATTAATCACAATCTTGTCCCGTAGCAAACTGCATAACAGTTGGAAATCCACTTCACTCTCTGAGCCGGTTTCCTGCTTTAAAGAACAAGTGGAGTTAACAGGATCTTACTAATTGATTTCAAGGGTGTTTTCCAGCTCTGAAATTTGGGAACCATTAACTTAGTATCCAGCCAGAGACTGACCTGCCTCTATTATTTACTCTATCAAAGTAACTCTTTTGTCAGACATATCACTTAGGTTTGGGGGGGAATGCTGGTCAGCTCAGCTTCCTGGACTCCTGCAGGCTATGATCCATTTTCTTCCCTTCAATCTTGTTAGGTTAGGCATAGATGGCAGAAGACAGGTAAGATGCTCCAAACCTAGAGCATAAAGAAAATTTTCAGTTGCCAGCTCCAGTGGGACTTGGTTCCCCCTGAGAGCTGTGCTTCAGCAGTTTCCCGAAATCTAAGCTTCCCAGGAAGCCCCCACCCTGCTCCTGATGTTCCTCTCTGTAGCTTCAGAAGAACTGTACGGCACTGACCTTTGAGTTCCTTCTGGCTCTCAGAGGTCCCAGTCAGCAGGCTGCAGACACAGTGTCTGCCACTTGGATGTTAAGGTTGCCTCTCTCACTCTTCAAAGCCCAACCCTTCAAGAAATGAGTTGAACTAGCAGCTCATGGTTTAGTGGCTGCATGTGGGCCTAAGTGGTGACTACCACCTTTCCCTTGATATTACATCCTGCCCTTCAATGTGAGAAGTGGATTCTTTCATCCCTTTATTTTTCAAAAAAATTTTTATTAAAAAAAATTTTTAGAGACAGGGTTTGAGTCTGTCACCCAGGCTGGAGTGTACTGGTGTAATCATGGCTCACTGCAGCCTTGACCTCCCAAGTTCAAGTGATCCTTCCACCTCAGCCTCCCAAGTAGTTGGGATCACAGGCATGTGCCACCACACCTGGCTAATTTATTTTTATTTTTACAGAGATGGTTCTCCCTACATCACTTAGGCTGCTCTTGAACTGCTGGATTCAAGCAATCCTCCCACCTCAGCCTTCCAAAGTGCTGGAATTACAGGCCTAAGCCACGGCACCCAGGCTTCATGCCTTTGTGTTTTGTTTTGTTTTGTTTTGTTTTGTTTTTTTGAGACGGAGTCTCGCTCTGTCACCAGCCCAGGGTGCAGTGGCACCATCTCGGCTCACTACCACCTCCAACTCCCTGGTTCAAGCGATTCTCCTGCCTCAGCCTCCCGAGTAGCTGGAACTACAAGCGCGCGCCACCATGCCCAGCTAATTTTTGTATTTTTAGTAGAGACAGGGTTTCACCATGTTGGCCAGGATGGTCCCGATCTCTTGACCTCGTGATCCACCTGCCTCAGCCTCCCAAAGTGCTAGGATTACAGGCATGAGCCACCACACCCAGCCTATGACTTTGTTTTAAATACTTCCCACTCTTGGCGCCTCCCGCTACTACTGCCTGCCTGTCAGCTGACAGAGCCAACCAACCTGACTGGGATCAGTTTCCTGTCTCTAATCCTCCCCAGCCCTGCAGATTCCCTTTGACTCATCCCTCTGATACTTTCCCAAAGGAAAGTGGTTTTCCAGAATCCCTTCATAAGGGTTTTAGCACATCACAGATCTAGAGTTGCAGCTGGCACCACTTCCTCCTGTTATGGCCTGATATGGTTTTGATGGCCCTGGTTCAGTTCACCTTCACCCCTCAGACTAGGGGTGCTGCTCTTTCACTTAATGTTAGTCCCTTTTAGTAACCCAAACTTTATATGGGTTATGAAAAAAGATAGTATGAACATTTTAAAATTAGATACAAATCTAAAATAAAATTTTTAAAGAGTAAAGAAGGGAGACCCATAGCTAAAGTGCACAGTAGCTCTCTATGTGAAGGATGGCTCAGGACACAGAATGGGGCAATGGTTATGAGCATGCACTTGGAACTCACGTGGGCCTGAGTTTGAATTCTAGCCACACAACTTAGCAGAATGACTTTGGTCAAGGTAGAGGATCCTTCTAAAGTGTGTGAATAAAATAATAATAGCCTCCTTTGCAGAACTGTTATATTAATGAGAGGGTGCACAGAAGGCGTTCAGTGTGGTACCTGGCACATAGTAAGCACTTGCTACATGTTAGCTATTGTCATTATTAAAATAGAAATGCTAGGGGTTCACCAAAAGTATAGGGTTTGGAGTCAAATGGCCCAGGATTGAATCCTAATTCTATCACTTACTGTGCAACCTCCAGCCAGTTACTTAACCATTCTGTGCCCCAGTTACCTCGTCTGTAAATTAGGAATTCTAACAATCCCTATCCCTTTCAGTCATTGTGAGGATTAAATGAATTAATTCAACTCAGAAAATATTTGCATTCCTACTGTGTTCTGAGAACTGAAGGCTTAGTTAATAATGAAGACAAAAACCCCTGAGCCTCTGCCATTATGGAACTCACATTGTAACGGGGTGTGGGGAGGAATGGTGGCAAAATAAGTAAAACATAATTCATGCAAAAGCATTAAACATTATGTGTGAATCGAGTGCATTTGAAATGTTTATACAAGTGCTTGCCTGCCTTATGGAAAGCACCTAATAAATGCTAGTTATCAACAGTGATTATCAATATATTATTTCTGCCACTGCTACTACTGCAGATAGTAAATATATTTAAGTTTATAATAAATACATGATGCAAGGTGAAATATAATTTGCATTACAGTGTAGATGGCTTGCATATGAAAGGGCTACATGAACTTTTGGGCTGATGTAAAAGCATGTGGTGAACTTTTCTGATAGCGTTCCTGAGCTGCTTTAGGACTCCACTGTGTCATATAATTCATCTTAGCCAATATTGCTGCCAGATATTAGCTCTGGACCCTAGAACTGTATTCTTACCAGGTTAGATGTGGACAAGATGCTGAATTCAAGTCAGCACACTCCAAAGGCCCGTGTGTGTGTGTGTGTGTGTGTGTGTGTGTGTGTGTGTGTGTGTCTTCACAAAGTTTATAATGATAATTTAGTTGCTTTGGGACACACTGGGCAGCCTGTAATATTCTTTCCAGCTCTCGAATTTTGTGATTTTTTTTTTTTACCTAGTATTTTGGCAAGCAATGGTTGTCTCTAAGTAACACAGAAGAAGTCCTTTTTCAACAAAGCCTTTAAAAAGCCTCCCAGCTCTCAGGCATTCGAAAAACACAGTTGTGTGTGTGTGTGTGTGTGTGTGTGTGTGTGTGTGTGTGTGTCTTTTTCTTTTTCCTGCAAGACTTAGCTGTGAAGTCAAGGTCACTATTCCTAGGGAGCTCAGCTGCACAAGAAGCCTAGAGCTGCATTGCTGGGCCTGGAGCCTGCCCTGACCCTCTGTGCTGGACTGTGCTTTCCCACCCGGCTCCTGGACCCTTGCTTTTCTTTTCCAGTGGTATCCCAGGCAATAATAAAATGGCTTTTGAAATCGCAGAGTGGGAACGCTTTCCCTACTGTGGGCCACCAGGCCTGCCTGCAAAAATTGGATTCGTGCAATCCATTTTCACACTGATTCATCTCTCTGCTCGCTTTTCACTCCTGTTTTGCTGCTTTTCTGTGTCAAAGTTTTTGTATAATTGTTCCCCCACCACACCCTTGTCATGTTCTTTGTGATTCTGAGCTGGCAGGTCATCATTGCCACCAGCATTTCAAAGACACATGGTCCTTCCAAATGGACTGCACCAATTTCTCAATGTTAATAGATCATCTAAAAAAAAAAGCTGTATTATATACTTTCCAGACCCTTTGTTTAAATGAGACCTTACAACAGAGGCCCAGTATGTAAAACAGATAGGAACACTTGTGATGTAGAGCAGGTTATATACTGATTAATAGCACAGATTCTGGAGAAACAAAAGCTGGATTCAGGTCCTGGCTTCTGTGACTTATCATAGCGCTGTGGGACCTTGAACAAAATGCCTAACCTCTCTGTGCCTTCCTTATCAGGGAAATGGGGGAAATGGGGATAATAAGAGGCCTTATCTGTGATAAGGTTAGTAGAAGGATTAAATGATTCAAAGTGTGTAAAATGTTAAGCACAGTTCCTGGCATATAATAAATGCTCAATAAGTGTTTTATTACTATACCAATAACCATAATAATTATCATTAGTAATATTATCCCCCAGGTGGAAAAAAAATAAAAACTAGGGACCCCAATTTATTAAGCCAAAAAGGAAAAAAAAAAAAAGCTGAAAGTTGAGTCATGCAAGAAACTGCCTTTCCTTTTGTTCCTAAGCAAATAGCTGCAGATAAAAGGTTAAATATCTCCACTGGTAGCTACTCTGGGTTCATCTTATCTTATGGAAAGTACTAATTTACTGAGCCCCAGATGAATAGATAATCGACTATTCCCCAACCTGTTGCTTTTCTCTTGCAACATGTGGGTTACCATACCCTCCCTCTTTCCCCTCCAGCCCACTTTTCGCCTTTAAATGTTGAAGCCCTCAAATTCATCTTTGGAGAAAGGCACCGATCACAGACTGTTTCTGTGATTCCATGTTTTTTTCTCCCAGGCATTCCTTAACTTAAGTTGGCAAAATGAACTTTTAAATCAATTGAGACATGTCTTGGATACTTTTTGGTTTACACCCATCAACAGTCCCTCAGGGTTTCCCATGGCGCTGTTAAAAACAGCTGTTCAGTATGGTATTTTCAATGCCATGCTTTTCACAAATTGCCTTTGCCCATAGAAGACATTGAATGAATGTCAGAAGACCAACAAACCCATCTTCATATTGTTTTCTGGAATGGATACTTAATTCTTTAGCTTATGAGCAGGCTCTCAAACAGGCTAATTTTGTTCAGGCCACGAGGCTGGTTTTGTCAGTGATTGGGCAACTGTGCCCTTTCTCCCTCTGTGTGAGGACCAGTTGCTCACACGCAGGCCACCTCTGCATGTCACAGCCATCAGGATTCTGCCACTTAAAAGGGTAAAGCGGTATTCTGGTTAGGGACACCACCTTTTCTGAATGTGGACTCTGCAGACAACTTCCTTACCCCAAGTGGTGCAGGTTTGTGGATCAGAGCTTCTTAGGGCTAGTGGTGCCACAGCAGGAAGAGCTAGACTAGCCCACTGTTCTTTCTGCAGCAGATACACAATTACATGATGCTAAAGTATTCATTACTGTTTTAGTGCATTGCCAGCAAGCAGTCTTCTGGTTGACCCAACATTTCTGCAAGAACTCTCAGGATTAGCACATTGGGAATGTACTTGGAAGAGAGATGTTCCTAACATATCTGTGTATAATGTGTGTAGTATAGGTATCTGAATATATACAATAAGCTGTGCAAAACAAACATGTCTCAGGTTAGGCCTAAAAGAAATCAGGTAACAGGCTTAAAAAGCCAGGCAAACCCCAGCTGTCTTGTCTTTTATCATTTGGTATTTCACAGGATTTGTGCCTCTCCGTACTTAGATTCAGGGATGTGCTGATTTCTTCCACCAGTGTTCTTTGTTCCACCTCCTCCAAAAAGTCTCCACCCATCCTCTCTGCCCCTACATATCTGTATTTGCTCCCTTCCCCTTGGCTTCTTACCTGCCTGCAAACATACTCAAAGTTCTCTCATTTCGCACAACCTTCCCCTTATCCCTGTGTCTTCCTCTTTTTTTTTGAGACAGAGTCTCACTCTGTTGCCCAGTCTGGAGTGCAATGGCGGGATCTCGGCTCACTGCAACCTCCACCTCCTGGGTTCAAGCCGTTCTCCTGCCTCAGCTTCCCAAGTAGCTGGGATTACAGGCGCCCGCCACCATGCCTGGCTAATTTTTTGTATTTTTAGTAGAGACAGGGTTTCACTATGTTGGCCAGGTTGGTCTCGAAGTCCTGACCTCATGATCCGCCCACCTTGGCCTCCCAAAAAGCTGGGATTACAGGCATGTCTTCCCCTTAACTTGGTTCTCTTCACATCCCGGATTGTCCCTCAGAGCATGCATTCCCTGGCTGCATTTCCCCCTCATGATAGCCTCAATTCTGTCCCAATGTGCTCCCCCATCTCCCTGCCCTGTGGTATGGTGGAGCTGACTAGCTGCCCTCCTGCTGCCTTTTCCTTTCTCCTGAGCACAGGGAACAACCTTCCTCGGCCTTTGGTGTACTGCAGGTATAGCTACATGACTCAGTTTCAACCACGGGGGTGTGGGCGAGTGATGTATGACCCACGAAAACCTCACACATACTGTTGTCTTGAACTGTTATGTTCCCTCAAAAAGTTATGTTCAAGTCCTAACCCCCAGCACCTGTGAAAGGGACCTTACTTGGAAATGGGATCTTGGTAGATATAATTAAGATGAGGCCAAACTGGAGTAGGGCAGACCCTAAATCCAGTGACTGGACTTAAGAAGGGCATGTGTAGACAGACACAGGGAAGATGACCCAGTTAAAATGGAGGAAATGGAGGTAGAGACGGGTTAAGAAGACACAAGTCAAGGAACACCAAGGATTTCCTGGAATCACCAGAAGCTGGGAAGAGGCCAGGAAGGATTCTGCAGAGCCTTCAGAAGGAGCGTGGCCCTACGATTTTGATTTCAGGCTTCCAGACTCCAGAACTGTGAGAGAAGTCATTTTCTATTGTGTTAAGCTGCCAAATTTGTTGTGACTCATATTACACGAATCCTAGGAGACTGCCACACATACCATCCTCACTCTTCTCCAGACTGGAAGTTGACAAACCAGGATGGCTTTGGAAGTGCATGCTGAAGCTGGCAGAATACCCCTGCGACTATGCCCAAGCCAATCAGACCTTGTATTTCATGTGTGAAATGAACACACACTGTATGAAGCCATTGAGATATTTAGGATTATCTGCTATAGCAGCTAATATTACCTTATCAAAAACACCCACTTACAGAGAGGTTAAAGGCAGCTACCATAAGTACGCACCAACTCCTCTTGAAACAATCTCTCTGCTCGGCCTCTAGGATTTCCCTTCCCCCTCCCTCCCCTTCACTGGTGGAACCTCTTCACACCTGCCACTGAAATGCAGGCTGCCCCAGGGTTTGTCTTCAGCCAGCTTCTCCACATCCCACCCTGAGCCATCTTATGCACCTACAGCATCCACTCACATCCCGATGTTGCCCAAGTATAGAAGCCCAAGCCGCACTTCCCTCCCACACTCCAGGCCCCATGACAACCTTCCTCCAGTCACCTCTCCCCTCTTGTCAGCCTCCCACCTCTCTGCAGAGCGTCAGGAGCTTACCATGAGGCATGTGGCAGGGTTCGACTTGAACTTCCCTCACACTTGATCATTCTGCTTCCCCCACAGCCCTAACCAACTGAGCAAGCCTATTTGTTGCTTGGCTGGTGGTGTAACTGCTTTTCAGGTATTTATTGGGCAGGGTGGCCATGAACTTGCTGCCTTTTGGTATTTCTGAAAGAGTCTGTTGAGAGAAACAGTATATAGGAAGGATTTCTATTCCTCGCACCCTTCTAGAAATTCTCAAATCTATCCCTGGTAAAGCCTGAAGCTCACACTTGTGGCCCTGCACAATGGTTTCCTGAATGGCTTGCTTATGCCATGTGCCTCCACTGGAGAAGATTGCAAGAAACAGCTGTGTGAAATGTGCTGTGGCATTCACTGAAGGACCCTGCTGAAGAGCTTGCTCATTCTATCACACAGCCTCCTCTTTTTTCAGGACCACAGAGGACTTTTCTCTCATATGCAATTTAGGAAAAGCCTGGGGACTGAGAGCAGGGTAATTTTTTTTTTGTTTCTGTGGCTTTTTTTAATTCATTTTGGGCCCTGAGTTGTGTAAACTGATCCTGGTTTGTATCTGTGTTGCCTGTTAGGAAGCATTTGTGACCCACTTCTAATAAGCGCAAGGGCCTTACAGTACATGTTTTTTGTATTAACTTAATTCCTACCTTCCTGTGATCTTTCTAGTTTTATTTTCCACATATATTTTTATTTTATTTTGTGTGTGTTTATGTAATCACCCTTTCAATCAAGGGTAAAGGTTAAGTATGGATAAATAAGATGTCCTGCAAATCTCACACTTAAGATGCCCAGAACTAGCATAGTTTTCTTTTCCCCAATAGAGCCCTCTCTCCTGTTTTCTTAGGCCACTAAGTGCCTAAACTTAAACCAAAAACCTAGGATAATTTACCCTGACCTGCATTCCCCCTCCCCACCCCTTCTGTCATCAATCCCTGTTAATCACCAGCTGCATATTTTGTAGACTCCATATAGGAGCCTCACCTGGGCCCCTTACACGGCTGGCCACTGCATTGGCACCCATCTGGCAGTCCCCAAGATTACTACAATGTGGGGTGGCCACACCACTTCCTTGTTGAAAGCCCTTCAGTGATGTATCTTCAGACTGAAGTCCAGATTCTAGCCTCTTTCTACCTTCACCTGTCACTTCTCATCCTCATACCCTGAGCTCTGGCAATGCCAGACCAGGTACTCATATCTCCCTTGTCTTGATAACATGCTGCCCTCCTCCTCTGTCAAGAACAGCCCTGGGATGTCTTCTAGAAGATTCAGCTTCAGCATCACTTCTTCCTTGAGGTCTTCCCTGACTCCTCCATCCCATCCCAGGCAGACACCTGTTCACTGATCCCTCTCTGTGTGCCGGGGGCCCAAGGGTCTCCCCTCTATTTCTTTTGCTTCACTTTTCACACTGCACTGTAACTGGGTGTCTCTCTCTCTTCCCTAATAGGCCAGAGCTTGTTTGTGGCAGGAATCAAATCTTATCTTTGTATTCTCTCAAAACTCTTCTAGAAGCAGGCTCAACTCTGCTTAGGTGTTGAAAAATTGATTATGTATAGTATTGCTGTTTGAAAAGACCATGACAGCGTTGATACCATTGCAGGCTTTTCCACATTCTTTAAAGACAAGTAGGTGCAGTCAGTCCAGGGAGGACATCATTAACAGTGGGTGCACAGGGACCTGGCATATGAATGACAGAGATGGCTTCTTTTAGGGAAACACACTCTCCTTATGCCCAGCACATAGAGGCATTTAGCAAACATGGCCTCCACCCCACTGTGCCCAGCTCCCAGTCCATCCTCACACATCAGTTCTGATTCCAGATGACATCTCGTGGACATCAGTTCTCTTTTTCACCATTGCACTGCTGTTGGTCATGTACTGTCACACACCTCACTGAACTTCAGCAACAGACCCTGGTTCCCTCTCTCAGCTCTGTCCTATACCAGTCCAGTTTCCACACACAACAGGGATAACCTTTGTAAAAGATAAACCCTCCTCTCAAAGCCCTTCAGAGATGACTACTGAGCTCATCTGAACTTTTTTGATGACCTGCAAGGTCCTTCTGACTGGCCCCAGCCCATCCCTCGAGCCTCCCCTGAGCCTGTCCTCTTCCTAACTAAGCGGCACGCATGGCTTTGTCCAGCTCCTCACACAGGCCGAGCATCCGCCACCATGCGGCCTTCACACATGCAGTTGCTTCTACCTGAACTTCTCTCCCTCCATCCTTCTCCATGGCCCCCCGTGCCAGTCCTTTCAGCCTCAGCCTCACTGTACCCTCCTGGACCTCCCTGACTGAGGCATCTCCCACCTTCACAGATGGATCACGGCTCCTCCCTATATTGTGAGCTCTGTGCAGCAGAAACTGCCCTCTCTGCTTCCCCATCTGAGCCCAGTGCCTAGTACAGTGCCTGGCACGAAGTAGGAGGTGCTCGAGGAGTAAACGCTGAAAGAAAAAAAAAACAAAATGGGAGAGGAAGAAAGGTCTTGGAAGTTCTCATTTGATTGGTAAAAGTGTGGTGTTCCTGGGGTTCCTGTTACACTCAAGGTCACATGGATTTAATTTGAGACCTTTTTATAGTTAAAAATGTCAAGATCCTTTGGAAGCTGAGCCTTCCATATGCACAGAATGTTTTTATTCAGAATAGCTGTTACTCAACATTTGAGACAGATTTGCTTCAGGATGGTGGTTTGGCTCTGTCTAGCATTTGCAGCCATGATCTCCACTCACTAATTTAGGGCATACCTAGATTTCCAGCACAAATATCCCCCTCCTGGCAATATAGGACATAAGCCAGGGGACATTGGTGTCCCTAGACGGTGCCTCCACATCCTGACTCCAGAGTCTGTGGTCTCTCTGGGTGCATCTCTTCTGGGTCACTCCCATTTGTTCTCATTTCACTATTTTTGTCCCTGGCAATTGTCTGGACGGAAATTCACCAGAGTTCAACATTTTCAGTATTATTGGATCTTACAAAGGAGAGGAGAGACAGGATGGTCCCCACGGCATGGAGCAGAAACCAGTGCAGACAAAGAAAAGGCAGCAGCTGGATCGAGGCAGGAATCCAGGACTGAGAAGCACCCTGACCTTCGCTGGAGGAGACAAAATGCATCAGGAGTGTTCCTCTATCTTAGGACGTCGGCTCTCTCAAAGCTCACCCCACATGTTCAAAAGCAACCAGGAGTGGAGGTGAGAATTAATAGTCCACCATGAGTGGTAGCAAGCTCAGCAAATGGAATAATGAACCCCTCAGGTTTAGGTCTGGCCAAACCACTAGCCTCTCAAGATTTTGGTTGCTTCACCCCTAAAATGAAACGATTGAAGATTTCTAAGCTCAACAATTTCTGTGAAGAAATGTCATTTACCACATCTCTGCATTATGCACCTCTAGTAAATGTTTAATGATCTGCAATAAGTTTTAGAGTCACATTAGTGATTTCAACTTTCTGTATTTGACAAGTGTTCTAATTACCCATCAAGTAAGGAAGAGCTGAGGAAGAAATGAGCCGAGGACTGGCAAGAGGTTGTAGCAATTTGTGTTGTACTTTGACCTGCTTTGTCAAGTTGTGAACAATTAGTCTCACAGCTGAAAAGCAACTGCTGCATGCAAAGCAGGTGATCTGAAATCAGGACCTCTGCTCCTGATGCCCGCTCCCACTCATGCACATTTACCCTATCTGGATTTGGTGCTCAGCCCTGACTGATGATCTTCATAGCATGGTGTGCGGTTGATGGCCATGGTTTATAGAGGGGAGGGAGCCGAGGCTTGGAGGGGCTCAACAGCCAGTCCAGGGTTACAGGGGACAAGTGGAAAGGCCAGCACTCAACCCCGGTCCGCCTGATTCCACCCAAACAGCCCAGTGTGGGCAGGCAAGAGATGACCTTGGATGGATTCACAGACCTGAAAAGACCATTTGCTTGATCTGGGAGGTAGCACATATTGGGAGCCAGGTAAATCTGCTTCTCGGTCCCTGCTTGGGGACTTCGGGACCATCACTTAAAAACTCTTCTTGCCTCCTTGGGTTGTTGAAGAGAAATTAGACACAGTACCTGCTTCTTGGCAGGTGCTTTGGAAAAAAAAATAGTTTCTTTCCTTTCAATAAGAGGAAGGATTGAATCATGCACAGTTCTTCAGGTCCAAAGGCATTTCAGCCTCCTCCAGGTTTCCCTGCCAGCCTCTCCCTTCTCGGTCATCAATGAGGTGTTCTTTATTTCTTAACCGGTATTGCCCCTATTTTTAGCTTATTTCATCACATGTTCCTCTGTCATGCTAGATCCCTATTGATTTCAGTAGGGATGACACCACGTTCAAGAACCTGAAGAAGAGACCCAAAGCCAACAAACAAGGCACAAGGTTTTATTATGGGGAACTTACACACAGAAATGGCCCAGTGGTGGCAGGCTGGACAGAGCTGCAACTGCTTGTAAAAAGGATGCAGATTGTATAGCATCTTCACTTAGCATCCTCCCCCTAGCACCCTCCACATGGCAACCCTCATTTCTTGAGTTACTGCTGTCAGGTGTGTCTGCTATAAGGATCATTTTCGGGGTATGCATAAGTTACTGCTGTCAGGCGCATCTACCATGCCTCTTCTGAGCCTCCAACAGAGTCTACAATTGAATGAAAAGCCAAGCTTGGAGGAAGGCGAGCTTCTGAAGTTTCCTGTCCTGCTCTGTGGCTTTCTGAGCATGGGGCTGCTCCTTGGCTATCTGGAGTTCCCAGAGGAAGATCAGGAAGGCCTTTGCTGAGGCCTCTGACGCTCATGGCCAGGCACTGCTACAGACTCCATGGCAGTGAGCCCCCTCTGGACAAGCACACATCAGGTGTGGTCACCACAGGGTCTAATCACAGAGCTTTGTGCACACTCACCTGACCACCTGTGCAAGACAGAAACCTCTCTAAGGAACTCCTAAAATGGGCCATACGTAGTTAGGGGTTAACCCAAAGGCAAACTTGGGGCTTGGCAGATTCTCTAAAACAGGGACTCCCAAGTTGTTGGCACACAGCAAGGCAGTGCTACCAAGACAGGAGCTGCAGACGGAGCACTGACTGGGCCTGTGCTGGGAGACCCTCTGCCTGGCTGTGGGTCTCTGGTCTTAGGCCACAGATGGCAGGTCCTGAGAGTGGGAAGAGCCGCTTCTGGGAGCCACGTCCATTTCCCTCACACCAGTCTGCAGAGGTCAGTCTTCATGTCTAAGCCTTCCAGCTCCTTGCTGTGTCATTCCCCATGGGTAAAATTAAGGCAGATCATGCCCCCATGAGTGCTGTGGCCTAGAATGACTCTTACCGCAGCCTATTTATTACACTAAGCCAGCCAGCTCCACTGTGTGGACTCCCTAAACTCTTGCAAAACGCTCCTATAAGTGGCTACCTTTTATAGAGATTCTCAGTACCCTTCTCCATCCCTTTTTTTATGGGGAAATGAGGGCCTATAAGGCTGGGGCAATGAGAAGCACTAAACAGGCCTATCTCCACCTGGTGTTTTGTGGTAGAGATCTCTACCTTAGTACAAAACATAGACCAATTTTAGCAGGAAAATTCAAGGATTTTTTACACAGTTTTTGCTGTAGATATATGTCATGTTTCTTGTAGAAAATATAAACAGGCAAAAAAGAAAAATTGCCTATAATCTCCTCCCCTCCCCAACCACTGTTACCAATTAGGGGTATATCTTTCCAGCCTTTTTTCATACATAATCCCATTTGCCCCCCAGGGAAATTACACTCTGCATACAGGTTTGAAACAGCTTTTCCCCTTCCTCCTCAAATACAGAGTAATGGAAAATAATCTAAACATTTCTTAATGCTTCCAAATAATGGATATGAACTTCTGATCCCTTATTCCTCCGTAACTGTGGAGTCCTTAGGACCTTACTTTATAGTATTAATATTTATTGTTGGCTGTAGTCTTCTTTGAGATTACGGCTTTTTATTTAGTTTTTTTCTAAAGCCTCCTGTGTTGTGGTTTTGTTATCTCTTGCTGCTGTCAAGGAGCCTGCATGAAACAGAATTCCTTCTCCTTTCTGGATTAGTCCTTATCTTTTTTGACTTGAAAATCATGTACACCCTGGTGTTTGCACTGTATGTAAACTGAAAGTAAACAACATCTAAGTTAGGGACAGAAGGTCACAAGTACTTAAGGTTTTTCCCGGAGCAGAGTATGACTGGTGTGTGGTTAGAATGTAATCTTTAACCTGGGACTCAGTGCTTACCCTTCAGAGCTAGTCTAGGTCATTTGGCCATTTACTCACCTTTTATAGGAAAAGTTATTTTTCTTTAGTCATTCTGGGAATTGGCCTAACTATTAGGATGACATTTAAGTCGCTCCAGGTTAAATTGTAGGACAGAGTTAGATATTGGAATTCCTGTATATATTTAGTGGGGTCTGATGAGAAAGAGCCTAAACACTGGCTGATTTGGGAAAGGTCTGATAGAGAAAAAGGCACATGTACCCTGACTATGCCTTCAGCTCCAGCCACCTCTCTAAGCGGAAATTGTTGAGCAGGTGGGGGAGAGCTAGTTGCAGAATGAAACTGTAAACCAGACTGGGTGTGAGGGGAGGTAATAGAAGGGTTATAGGGTGGGGGAGCAGAGGCTGAAGAAGAGTTGGAGCCTGATTCAACCTGGCAGGGAGCGACCGGAGGAGGAGCAGCCTGGGGAGGAGGTGAGAGGTCAGATGGGTTAGTAGAAAGGGAAGATTCACAAGACTCAGTGACACTTGGGGTTGGGACTGAAGGGACAGGTGGGAGGGAAAGAAGAAAGATTTGGGACGAGTCTCACTGGGAGCAGAGACTAGGGAGGAACCAATGTGTAAAAGAATGCCTGGACGTCAGGCACCTCAGACCATTTGCCCATTTTTCGACAAAAATTATCTAGATCTTGTAAAACAGAGAAATCAAAAGTGCCATTTTCTGGCTATTTAGAACCATTGTCGAGTTTGTACTGGGGCCAAACAGTATTGCAGAAGAAAATAAGATGCTTAGATTTTAGGTCAGGCTAGAGTTGAAGAGGTTTTAAGTTCTTGAGAACACAGGCTAAGGGAGAAGAAGGAAGAATGGAGGGTGGAAGGTTGCCCATAGTGAAGGAGGCAAGTTTAAAGAGAAGGGTAGAGACATGGAGAGAAGGGATGGGGGGTGCTTGCCCCCCAGGAAAGTGAAGAAGGGGTGAGAGGTGCTTGCCCCCCAGGAAAGTGGAAACAGGGTGGGAGATGCTTGCCCCCCAGGAAAGTGGAAACAGGGTGGGAGGTGCTTGCCCCCCAGGAAAGTGGAAATGGGGTGGGAGGTGCTTACCCCCCAGGAAAGTGGAAAAGGAGTGGGAGGTGCTTGCCCCCCAGGAAAGTGGAGAAGGGGTAGAGACACGGAGAGAAGGAGTCAGGGGTGCTTGCCCCCCAGAAAAGCGGTGCTTGCTGCTAAGGGTGAAAGACCAAGGCAGGCATCCCCGAGTGGTCAGACACCTCTGAAACGTGGGTGAATAATCAGGCAGGCGTCCCCGCAATGATTAATCACCAAGGGAAGGCTGTCTTCCCGAGTCCGTGACCAGTGCCAGAATTTTGGGTCCACGGATAAAATGTGTCTCCTTTGTCTCTACCAGATAATGAAAGGAATTGAACTTAAGAGAAGGGAGAGATTGAAGGGTGGTGCCAAGATTGAAAGGAGAAAGAGGTTGAGGGATAGTGAGAGAGGTTGGAGAAGAGAGTAAAAATAGACCGCTTACCCGATTTAAAATCAGTGAGATGTTCATTGGGCTGGTTGGTCTGAGGACCTGATGTCATAGGTGGATCTCTTCATGGAGTGAGAGTGAGGTGAGGACAGGGGACTGGTCTCCCGAAGGAGTCCCACTTACCCGAGTCTTCGGCACCAAATGTCTCACGTGTTCGTGTGAAGAGACCACCAAACAGGCTTTGTGTGAGCAACATGGCTGTTTATTTCACCTGGGTGCAGGCGGGCTGAGTCCAAAAAGAGAGTCAGCAAAGGGTGGTGGATTATCGTTAGTTCTTAAAGGTTTTGGGATAGGCAGTGGAGTTAGGAGCAATGTTTTGCGGGCAGTGGGTGGATCTCACAAAGTATATTCTCAAGGGTAGGGAGAATTACAAAGAACCTTCTTAAGGGTGGGGGAGATTACAAAGTACATTGATCGGTTAGGGTGGGGCAGAAACAAATCACAATGGTGGAATGTCATCAGTTAAGGCTATTTTCACTTCTTTTGTGGATCTTCAGTTGCTTCAGGCCATCTGGATGTAAAAGTGCAGGTCACAGGGAATATGATGGCTTAGCTTGGGCTCAGAGGCCTGACACTAACCACCACAGCATTTCATGGAGAAAAGAAATTCTCTTAGCTCTCAGATAGTTCCTGTCTAGGTGACACCTGTCTTGGGTTAGATGCTCCTTTTTTTTCCTCCACAGTTGGAAGGTTTAAATAAAATGTAGCCAGTGTGGAGAGTGAGATGATTGCAATTATGGAGGCAGAAGGATAAGAAGTTTGAAGTTTAGGCAAAGCACATGTCCCACCACCAAGATAAAACAAACAGTGATTCAGTCAAGAATCTGAGTTTTGGCTTAATTTCTCATGCATGTGCATTGTAGGTCATCTTTAAATTTATTTGACTTGTGAAAACAATTTTAACTACAAATAAACACACAAAGCAGTATAAATATGGAAACCCCACACAGGCAGGGACCTCCCTTTGGTGAGAACGCTATAGGCATAGATGAATCATGCTGAGATAGTTTGCATCTGTGAGGTTCATGTGAACTTTGAGGCCACCAGACCTCAAGGCAAAAATAAATACCCTTCAAAGACTTTGTAGCTTCCAAGAATTATTCATGTGGAAACCAAATGAAGATGTTGATTTCCAAGAAAGAGATCTCACAACTACAATGGATGACTGAGTGATTCCAGCCAAACACAAGAAAGTATTAACTTTTTAAATCTATTATTGAAGGAAAGTAATTGTAATTATGGTACATTACTTTAGGGTTCTGGGGTAGTTTTAAGCACTTAGCTTTAAGCACTCCAGTTTAGCCTTTTGAACAGCAAATTCATGTTTCAAATTACAATGACTGTCTCTATTACTGCGCTTTCTAATTCCTTCTAAACCTCACTCCTAAATTGCACCAGGCTGGAGCCATAAAGGGTTGCATGTGGGAAGCCTCCATCTGCTTTTCTTCTTTGAGAGGTGGTTGTGAATGAGACCAGCCAATGGGAATAAGATAATAATTGTGTTCTAAGAGCCTCTTGTTCTGTGGAGTGTGTGACTTACTGACTGATGCTAAACATTTGAAATTGTAAATTTGGATAAGTCCATAGAAATTGGGACACAGAAACATGGGTCTTAAATGATAGAGCTGCTTCCGAGTGTTTTCTGGAGTGGTGTTATGGTAGGAAGTGCCTTTCAATAATTCTATTGTAAAGACAACCTTACAACTTGAAACTTGCCCCAAGAAAGACACTTGAAAATAGTAGATCTATGATGGTACATTTCTGGTGAATTTACTAGAGTGTGTTTTCTTCTAGTGAATTTATCTCTTCATTGATTTTATTCATTCCTGTGATCTAAGGGTGAACTGGTCTATTTTCATTTTACAGTTTGAGAAAGAAGTTAAACCCTAAGCAACTATAATAGTTTCTCTAGAACTTAAAATATTTTTTACACACCTGAAGATTTTTTCAGCCTTACTAGGCCATGGTATAAATATTTCTCCTATTTCTTGTGTTGAAATGGGAGGTGTCTCAGGAAGCTGAGTTTCCACTTTTGGCATAACTAATCCCAGCAAAAACAGGAAACAGTTTATCTATCAAAAATCACACTCCTGATTTTATCCATGATGTTCTTCCTCCTTTCCTGTTCCCTACTGTCTACACTCAGATAATTCAGATTCATAACCCAGCCCTACGAGAGCATGAGGGAGTATGGGGATAAAAGCCAACCCACTGAGGCTTCTCACGAGGACCAAACAGTGCCTCTCAGTGCCTCTTTGGCCATGGGTTTCTGTCTGCAGAGTCTCATCATTGGGGGTGCCATTTTCTGGTCATCCACCCTTTCCCCAACCTCATTTTCCAGCTGGACCAGTCATAGCATTGAGTGTCCCTTGTGAACTCTGGAAGGAGAGTTTTCCCCTTTGAGCCCTTGGAGATGCTGTCTTTGGCTTTGGTTAAATCTTTGCTGACATCACAGGTGCCTCTCAAGTCAGCTTTCCTAGGTCCAACTGGTTCCTGGTTAGATATCCTGCTTTCTCTTTCCCTCTCATCTCTGCAGCTTACTATAGAGGCTGCTCCCACAGTTCTTTAGGCTTTCACGTGCCGTCATCTTCGGCCGTTCAATTGGCTCCTCCGAGATTCAGTGCCCTCCTTCTTTTCCCCTCCCCTACTTTTTCCTTGTATTTCTCAGTAAGTACTCTTCACCTTTTCAGGACCACATTCCCAAATGTCACCAGCTCACCTGAGTCTTAGTATTCCCTGGCCTGGACCACCTCTTTGTAGATGATGACTCTCCTCCCTCAGGAATTTATTTTGTATATTTATAAATATACAAAATACGTTCATGTACATGTTTCCTTCATGAAACATTTGTTTAAAAAAACTGTGATTACATATGCAGTATATGTTACTTATGTACAATTTTTTTTTTTTTGGCTGAGTGCAGGGGACTTTATTAATGGCACACGACAAGGTGGGGCTCTCTAGGCCCCTCCCTTTTCAGGGGGTCTACATGGAAACTTGAGAAAGGGAGATTCTCAGTGTTGTGGGGGACTGAGTATGGCAGGGACTTCCCAGCAGTGAGGGCCTCTCTCTTCCTCTCTCGCTCTCGCTGGGGTTGGTAGTCCAGGGGTCTTACTCCTTGGAAGTCATGTGGGCCATGAGGTCCACCACCCTGTTGCTGTAGCCAAATTCATTGTCATACCAGGAAATGAGCTTGACAAAGTGGTCGTTGAGGTCAATGCCATCCCCAGCATCAAAGGTTGAAGAGTGGATGTCGCTGTTAAAATCAGAGGAGACAACCTGGTGCTCAGTGTAGCCCAGGATGCCCTTGAGGGGGTCTCGGACGCCTGCTTCACCACCTTCTTGATGTCATCATATTTGGCAGTTTTTCCAGACAGCAGTTCAGGCCCACAACTGACACATTGGCAGTAGGGACACAGAAGGCCATGCCAGTGAACTTCCCATTTAGCTCAGGGATGACCTTGCCCACAACCTTAGCAGCACCAGTAGAGGCAGGGATGATGTTCTGGAGAGCGCCGTGGCTGTCACACCACAGTTTCCCAGAGGGGCCATCCACAGTCTTCTGGGTGGCAGTGATGGCATGGACTGTGGTCATTCATGAGTCCTTCCACGATACCGGAGTTGTCATGGATAACCTTGGCCAGAGGCACTAAGCAGTTGGTGATACAGGAGGCATGCTGATGATCTTGAGGCTGTTGTCATTACTTCTCATGCTTCATGCCCATCACAGACATGGGGGTGTCAGCAGAAGGGGCAGAGATGATGACCCTTTTGGCTCCCCGCTGCAAGTGAGTCCCAGCCTTCTCCATGGTGGTGAAGACACCGGTGGATTCCATGATATACTCAGCACCAGCATTGCCCCATCTGATTTTGGAGGGATCTCGCTCCTGGAAGATGGTGATAGGATTTTCGTTGATGACAAGCTTCCCATTCTCAGCCTTGGCAGTGCCATGGAATTTGCCACAGACAAAATCATACTGGAACACACAGACCATGTAGTTGAGGTCAATGAAGGGGTCATTGATGGCAACAATATCCACTTTACCAGAGTTAAAAACCGCCCTGGTGACTAGGCACCCAATACAACCAAATCCATTGACTTTGATCTTCACCTTCACCGTAGTGTCTCAGGGATGCAGCTGTCAATGAGAGAGAAGAGGCGGCTGTCTGTCAAATGGGAGGAGCAGAGAGCTACTTATGTACAATTTAAATATACAAATAAGATTAAGAAAAGAAAGACATGATATTCTCACCATCCAAAGACGATCACTGGCTTGAGCCTCTCATCATCCAGGTCGCTCCTTGGCCTGTTCTTGTGTGATTTCCCTGTTCACATGTGGCATCTCTCAGAACTGAATTGACCTGCGTGGTAGAGAGCTGAAGGCCACCCATCTTGTAAAGATAACATCCTTAAAACCTACCCTCACTCTCCCGACAGCCATGCCACAGAGCTGAATCACAACAAGTGTCTCATGGATGGAAACCCTTCCATTTTGTTACATTTCGACTGTTTTTAATTTGTTTATTTTTACTTGTGCTAACCCTTCCTCTTCACTGTCAACCAAAAGATCATGAAAGACTGTTGATTTCTAAAGTCCAAGTAAAGACTATGGCTTAACATTTCTTTTAGCTGGACAAGGAAGGGGTTTGGGAGAGAAGCATTGGGAATGAGGTGACTTACTCTCTTAAGGAACCCAGGTAGACCACCAGTGACTGCTGCTTTCTTTCACTAGCCCTCATAAGGCTTCCTTTCATGATCTACTCTAGTATCTGTTTTTGGACAGTGTCTGTCTCTCACCTGGGCTAGAGTACAGTGGTGGCTTGATCTTGGCTCACTGCAACCTCTACCTCCTGGGCTCAAACCATTCTCTCACCTCAGCCTCCTGAGTAATTGGGACTGCAGGCATGTGTCACCAAGCCTGGCTAATATTTTGTGTTTTTGCTAGAGACGGGGTCTCATCATGTTGTCCAGGTTGGTCATGAACTCCTGCACTCAAGTGATCCTCCCGTCTCAGCCTCCTAAAGTGCTGGGATTACACTGTCCTCAGCCTACTCTAGAATCTTATCAAGACTGGATACCAACTCTCTCCTTCTCACAGTGCAGAATCCATAGTCTTCTATGTTAAAAAAAATTATACCTGATTTGCCTATCTCTAATCTTTGGCCACAGCCACATCTCTTCTTCAATGCCCTTCCTTCCAGATCCCTAACAGTACTGTGACAGCCTCATTTTTGAGGACTTTTGGGGCCCTAAAATATAATCCATTGAAGTCAGAGGATTTGATCCCTTTTATTGCAGCAAGATTCTCTTCTGTAATATTTTTATCTGTTTTGGAGACTTAGTTTTTCCTGTGGTTTTTCTCCACCTTCTCAATGTGAGAGGGAAAATAATACTTCTAATCCTGGTGATGAGGGAAGGTTATTCCAGAGAAGCAGCAAAAACAAAAATCAAGTAAGAATCAGAACAAGAAAGCCCAAGCTCCAAGGCAGAACTAGTGGAAATGAGGTTAGTGGGAGCCCGCCCTGATCCCCCTTATCTGGAAAACTATTTAAGGGAATAACCAGAATGGAGAAAGCCAGAGAGAGGGGGAGAGAACCTGGCATTCTCCCAGGCAAGCCCCCACCAGTCTCAGCCTCTTTATCTCTGCCTGTGCATCTCAAAAAAGAAAATGGAAGCAGAGAGAGATGGTCTGTCATGGCCTTTTTCCAAGAGGGAACAGAACAGTTCCGATTTTACATCCAACAAGGCTTCAAGAGTAGGGGGTGAGGATGCAAGAGTGAAGCCCACTGTATCCCTAAGCTATAGCTCAGTCAAATGCTTCCGTCCCTGAATCTGACCCACACATGGTAGAAAGGTGGAAAGATGTTAGATGTTCATCCCTTAGTTAGATTTGGGCATTGTTACAAAGGAACCTGGTTTTGGAGAACAACAATCCACGTGAGTATATTAAAGATTCAGAAAAGTCCTGTGACAAAGAAGAGTGTTTCCTGAACTCTTTCGAGCATGAGGAATCTTCATTTGGTCGTCCCCTGTTTTCATTCAGAAGTGGGTTCCATAGGAAATGTTGTAGAGGCCAACCTAAATTAACTGATTTATTCAGTGAAGAGGAGTTTGCCAGGCAGCTGAGGTTAGAAGGTAGATGAGAGAACAGACCTATTTTTCTGTGTTTTCACTTAATATGTTAGTTCAGTTCTCGGCTTTGTTTTTCTCCCCTTTTTCTGTATGCATTCCCTAGAACACTTGTTTCAATTTTATAATTTAACTAGCATATAGACATGACTATTCACAAATCTTTTTTAGCCCTGACCTCATTCCTGAGCACCACTCCCACATTTCCAACTGTGTCTTCACCAGCCCCTCCACCTGACATCACACATATGCCCCAAATTCAAATGCCCAAAATGCAGTGTCTTCTCCAGACCAACTCTTCTGCTCGTCTCTCCTGTGTTAATAGCATCATCGTCCTTCGTTGTCCAAGCTGGGAACCTCAGCAGATTTGCAGGCATTTTCTTCTCCTTTAATTCCCACATAATTTTTTTAAATTATGTATGTTATCTCTAAGAATTTTCTGTTTCCACAGACATAGTTCAGACTCATTTTTTACTTGGACAGTTGTAAGAGCCTTGGATAAATTATGGGTTGAGTAGAATTTTTGCAGGAAAAGGGGATTTGGCATGGGACTCCTTTATATGTATCTCTTTGTCACAATAAAATTAAAAATTATGGATATGCTTGGAAAAATGTTAAGGAGACTCTAATATTAATGAACAGAGTGAGGTTTCAAAGCTATTGAGCAAGAGAAGCAAGAATGCCCCCAATCCCCCTGTCAATCTTCCTTCTTTTCTGTGGAATGTTGGGGGGATCTGAACACATGAATGGAAATGACAATGAGAAATCTTCAAAATGTTAAATTTTTATTTAATGATAAAATGTGAGATAACCACTTTATTCTTAAAGCCTAAGTGAGGTCACAAAATTTTTTTTTCTTTCATACAGTTCCTTAAGATCCCATTTGTAGACATTTATCATTACACAAAAATAACGAAGTTCCAAGTAAATTACTATTCTACTGACTCTTATATGTGAGTTTAATTTATTCATTCAGCATCACTAATAATCTATAAAGTCCCTTCATACATATACTCATTTAGTCTGAAGAAAGTGGTATTTATCAAGTGGGGAAAATTGATTCTCAGAGTGGCTAACTCACTTTCCCAGTATACTTAATTCATAGCTTGAAATTGACTTTGGACTGCAAACTTTGATTACTTTTCATTTCACCACAGCCAGCTCCCAAACCCAACTTAATGGGTTATGTTCAACGAATGAGAGATGGGCTTCCCAGGCCTTTGCTTGTAAGGAACTGACACCGGGTAACTGTTACCAGGCAGAGCCAGAGAGGCCTTACAGGTAGGGCTGGTGTGCAGCATCTAGCCCATATAACCTAACCATGAACCACAGATGAGCCTCCCTGCCCTGCCACATGAAGTAATATAACTTATTTTGAACAGGAGCATGTAGCAAAGAAGAGGTCCTGTTTACTTCCACAGTGCACACTGCAAGACATTCTCAGTACATTATACAGTCTAGATCTCATTGTTTATGGGTCTGGTTTTGCCCTCATGTAGCAGACGTAGTTCCTGATTTATAGCACCATAAAGAAATTACAGTGAAGGACGCCTCAAGATTCTTGGCAGGCAAATATAGACAAAGCTCCTTTACATCTTTTTAAAGAATTCCAGGGATGGAGATCCATGAGCTTTCGTCAGATGTATAATGTGAAGATCAAGAAATTATTTTCCCTTTTCCAACCATAGAATTTTACTGATTTGATGTGATTTCCTCCTGTCTGTTTCACTCTGAGCATGAAGAACTGGTCACCCACTGTTCTCTGAATAAACCCATTTTAAATGCGTGAAAGCGAGTGTGATGAGATTGTTCCTCATTCTTTCCCTCAGGCTAAAATACCACTTTTCCTTTAGCCTCTTCAAAGCTTCTATTTTCCACCCCTTGAATTGTGTTTACTCCTCTTCTTGGGACCCTGCTCAGTTGTTCCGTCACATTGCTGTTTTTTAAGTAAAGAGGTCCGAATCAGACACAAATCAAACAAGGGTGTGACCAATGCAGGGTATTAGTGAAGAAATTGCTTCCTGGGCTCTGCAAGTCCTACCTGTCTTGGCACACAAATAGTGAGCCATTGTAGTCAACAGTCATCTTTAAAAAGAAGAGAAAAGTTCGTCCTACTCATAAATAGACTGCAGTAGAGAGAAAAATAAATGCCTTTGGTGGCTTCACCCAGTCTGGCTACTTGCCATGAGGAAGAAAATGCTTGATTTGGCACTTAACAAATGGTTGTATACATTTGTGCTGGGGAACCGTACGGTATTGTGAATTTTAGATATTGACCCTGCACTAGAGAGAAGCAGAATACATATCCTCTGATGCAGATGAAAAATAAAGCATTGTGTGATGTACACATTGAAATCTAAACATGCAGGCAAAACTTTTTCAGCAAGGTGCCTTTAAAAGGGTGCTGAATAAGAAATCACTGAGATTTTCAGATCTGAATCTAGTTTGAACTCTAGAGTCCTTTAAGAGAAAGTTCTAAAACCTACCAATTGGGAATATAAAATTGTACAGTCACTTTGGAAAGCTAACTGGTAGTTCTTCAGAAAGTTAAGGTTACCATATGGCTCAATAATTTCACTCCTGGGTATATGCCCAAGAGAACTGAAAACATATATTTACACAAAAACTTGTACACAAATGTTCATAGCAGCATTATTCACTGTTTCAAAAAAAATGGAAACACAAATGTCTGCCAACTAATGAATGGATAAACAAAATGTGTTCATGTGATGGAATATTATTTAGCCACAAGAAGGAATGAAGTATTGATGCATGCTGTAACATGGATGAACCTTGAAAACATCTGTTTAGCAAATGAAACCAGTCATAAAGACCATGTATTGTATGATGCCATTCATATTAAATGTCCAGAATAGATTAATCCATAGAGACAAAGTAGATTAGTATTTGCAAGGGCTTAGAACGAAGGAGAGATGGGGAGTGGCTACTAAAAAGTACAGGGTATAGGGAGTCCTTTTTCAGATTTTGAAAATGTCCTGGAATTGGATAATGGTGATGGTTGCACAACCCTGAGAATGTACCAAAAAACACTGAATTGTATCACTTTAAGAGGGTATATTTTATGGTATGCAGACTATAATTCAAAAACAGAAAACAAACACATAGACCTCTTTTTTTTTTTTTTTTGAGAAATGATATGCACCTTGAAAACCTTTCATTAATGACTGAGGCATTTAGCTGATCTGGAAAATTTTGCGCTGGCGCACTGGGTTTCATGAGTGTTGCTGGTATAGCAAAATGGTAGACTAAGATGTTTCTACAGAAAGTGGCTGAATATGACACTGAGAAATTATTCTGGGTGGTATGAGTACAGACTGGGCTGGTTGTGAAGAAAGCAAGGAACATGGGACTCAGCTATGGCTCTATGAGTGGTCACTTATTTTTGCTGCTACTTAAAGATCTGAAATATTTTTCCCTTGACCATCATTTGTGAATATTTTTGCTTAGGAGCTTAATTGCATAGTTGGGGTCTTGTTAAATGAATCATCGTATTTGCAGACTTATTTAGTAGTTTCCATTCTGAAAATTGAATGACAAGAAATACACCCAAACTGATTCCAGGCTGTTAAGCTTACTTTTTTCCTTTCAGCTATTTTTTGATACCATTAATTAGCATCTACAGAGTAGCCATCCTCTGACGATGGTAAGGTAACCCTGGCTTGTCCCTCAGCTGCCCTGCTTTCTTTCCCAACAATGCGTTTCTAATACTTTTGAAAGAGAAGAACACTTCTGCTGCATCCAAACAGAATCCACAAAGTCTGATGCTTTTGAACAAAATGGATGTTTCCTCCCTGTGCCTTGAAATTGATATACACTGTCAAAAAGGGTTTTCCGAATGGTTTCTCTTTGTCACCTTGTACCAGATTTTCTCCTCCATTCTGGAAATGTGCAGTTTAATGTTGCGTTTCGAATCACTTTCAGCTGAAAGAGTGTGTAATGGAATCAGGGCATCCCATGAATACTCTTAACAGTGTCAGAGATGCCTTTTTGTTTGTAGCTCTGCGTTCCAAGGGGACTGATGACAACAGTGAAATTACATTGGGGGCCTTGCTCAATAGTAGGTTCCTTGTCTGTGATGTTTTAAGAGAAGTAGTAAGGGTGGCTTCTCCCATCCTGGTGCTTCTGTGTTTGGTTTATATTACTTAGAATCTAAATTGTAGTGGTTATTACCTCCTGAGAAGAAAAGTAGTAACTGGAGTCCTTGTCAGTATTTTCCTACCCCAGTGTGTATCAGACTGTTTTCAGAAGCATTTCACTCTAACCTTGAAAGTTGCCTGTAAAATCACCTGATTCTGACCCTTTTTGTTATCAGCAAGGATGCCAGGGCCCAGAGTTAAAGACAATTAACAGCCCACTGTGGAGTTGGCACCTATAATCACAGATTCCCAGGCTGGTGCTGGTGCTGTTTCTGCCACAACACACAGGCTCCTACCACCAATTACTCACATATATGTGAATTTCCTCCAAAGCCATGAACCTTCTGAGCTGGAGGAGGGCTTGACAATTAGTCTTTGCCCCACAGTCTTTATCATTTCATGCTTTGGCTGTCACAGTATAGCCTTTCAGGTTAACTGTCAGAACCTAACAACCCAGAAAGGGTAGATGATGGCAGGCCCTTCCTCACACGTGTGTGTGTGTGTGTGTGTGTGTGTGTGTGTGTGTGTTCTACACTGAAACACATTTAACTACATGAGTGGGTGGATTCCATGCTACAGGGCTGGCTGATTGCTTAGGAATTAAAGATGGGAATGAATTTCTGCACTCCCAGGACTTTTTTAAACTAGAGCCTCAAAGCACTTTGCTTTGCCATTCAGCAAGTTCCCTTGCTGCGGAGAGAAGAAACCAAGGTATAACAAAGTGAAGTGACTTGGTTTGGAATTGGACTTCAGATGTGAGCTTGATCGCTGCCCTTTGTCTTACTTGGAGGACTTTTTTTTTCTTTTTTTTTTTTGAGACGGAGTCTCGCTCTGTCGCCCAGGCTGGAGTACAGTGGCGCAATCTCGGCTCCCTGCAAGCTCCGCCTCCCGGGTTCACGCCATTCTCCTGCCTCGACTTCCCAAAGTGCTGGGATTACAGGCGTGAGCTACTGCGCCCGGCCACTTGGAGGACTTTTAATACCTTTTACTCCATAGAAATTGGACTCCTGGACACCATTACCTGCTTCTCAAGTCCAGCAGCTAGGGGATTTTGGATTTCTTTTCCATTTCTACTCTACAGAGAGATGCTACCTTTATTTTTTAGCTTGGCTATATATTTGTGTGTGTGTGCATGTATAATTTTTTTCTCTTTCTCTTTCCCACCTCATGTTATAGGTCATTGTTGTGTATCTAGAGCAGAGGGAGTACTTGGTGGGTTCTGCCACATGGGCAAAGCTTTCTACTGAGGCTGAAAAGCTCTATGCCTATTGTCTCCATGCCATGTTTACATAGCACCTGTTTATTACTTGACTGTGAATTTTGGGATTTTGTCTGGTTTTAAGACAAAAGGTTTTTACCTTGAGAGGGCAGAAGGGCTGAAGTGTGCTCTGGAATGTACCCTGGCAGAACATGGGCTTTTAGGCTTTCTGAGGGTTACATGAAGAAGGTGCTAACAGAGTGTTCCTACATTTGCCCTACTTGATTCTCCAAACTTTGTCTTCCCCTTAAAACTTAATTTACACTGGGCATGGTGATTCATGCCTGCCATCCCAACACTTTCGGAGGCTTAGGTGTGAGGATCACTTAAACCCGGTACCCATCTCTAAAAAATTTTTAAAAATTGCCAGGCACAGTGGCTCACGCCTATAATCCCAGCACTTTGGGAGGCCGAGGCGGGTGGATCACCTGAGGTCAGGAGTTTGAGATCAGCCTGACCAACATGGAGAAATCCCATCTCTACTAAAAATACAAAATTAGCCAGGCCTGGTGACACATGCCTGTAATCCCAGCTACTTGGGAGGCTGAGGCAGGAGAATCACTTGAACCTGGGAGGCGGAGGTTGCAGTGAGCCGAGATCGCGCCATTGCACTCGAGCCTGGGAGACAAGAGCAAAACTCCGTCTCAAAAAAAAAAAAGAAAAAAAACCTTTTTTAAAAAATTAACCAGGCATGGTGGCACATGCCTGTGGTCCCATCTACTCAGGAGGCTGAGGTGGGAGGATCACCTGAGCCCAGGAGGCCAGAGCTGCAGTGAGCCACGATCGTGCCACTGCACTCCAGCCTGGGCAACAGAACGAGATCCTGTCTCAAAAAAAGAAAAAAGGAAAGAAAGAATTTGTTACTCGTTTGCATGAATCTGAAGATTTCTCTATAGCTGTAGCCAGTGACACAGTAGCTCTGCAGTGTACTGAGGCAATGTGATTTCATATTAGGAAATTTAGAAGTGGGGGGGTGTGAATGAGCTTCTACTGTTCAAACCCAGTAGCACCCTGTGTGTTGGGGCTCCGTGAAGGGAGAACATTTCTGAGACCATCTAGAAGGAAAGTTCCTTATTCTGCAGGGTGAAACCACACCACACAACAGTGTAAGTTGAGTTTTGCTTGCCCCGGAACAAGGGAGATATCTCCCAGGCAATAGAAAGCGTAATTGGCTGTTGGCTGCCTCGCAACAAGGACATCCCCTAGTCCATTTACTCCTAGTAGTGATGTATGAAGGGGAGGTGGCTTTCCCATCCTGCTGCTACCTCCATACTCCTGGGTGGCTGTCTGGGCCTGGAACTCTGGCAGTCCGTGGTGGTAGGTAGCCCATAGGCAATGCATATGGTAATTGAGTTGTCAGTGGTGGTTTGGTTTGGTTTGGTTTGGTTTTGCTTTATCAGTGTTACTGATGGAACACATTGAAAATTTCCCTATGGCCACTGAATAAATCACACCTGGATATATACTGTCAGAGCCTGTGGGCATAGTTTCAAGTCAGTTCTTGGGTGCCTAGTGAAATATATGTATCAGACTGTTACAGAATGCTCAGGCTGCAGGGGAAGATCACACCTGTTCACACTTTGTTTTTGTTTTTGTTTTTTTTTTGAGACAGGATCTTGCTCTGTTGCCCAGGCTGGAGTGCAGTGGCATGATCATAGCTCATCATAGCCTTGACTTTCTGGGCTCAAGTGATCCTCCCATCTAAGCTTTCTGAGTAGCTGGGACTATGGGCATGTACCACAACGCCTGGCTAATTTTTTCTATTTTTTTGTAGAGACGAGGGTCTCAGTATGTTGCCTAGGCTGGTCCCAACTCCTGGGTTCAAGTGATCTTCCTGCCTTGACTTCCCCAAGTGCTGGGATTATAGGTGTGAGCCGTCATGCCTGGTCTAGACTTCTTTATATGGCTAAGATTAACAAGATCTAACCTTCAATCAAAGAGCTGATGAATTCTTTAGTCATGCATGCATTTAATCCCTCACTTGGAACCTCTTCTTATACTTTTATTTTGAATGTGATTGGCAGTTCTAAACCTATTTTTCTGGGTCCTTTCCATAAAGCACAAGTGATGTAGAAAAGTACAGACAGTTTTAGGCTTAACCAGTTCTTATTTTTCTAAGAAGATTCAGTCACTGGCTTCTTAGTTAGTGGCTCCTGAAACAGATGCAGGATAGTTGTGCTGCTGTGACTGAGCTCCAAATAATGGCCTCTGAGATGTGGTTGGGCCACCTAGTAGAAGAACTTCATGGAGAGGTGCTTGAGGCACATGGGGTCATGAAGGGTGGTAACATTACAAAGATGAATCAGCATTCAGGAAGACTCTAGGTCTTCTGTGACTGCATAGCCAAATCTGGACAAATCAGTTCCTCTTCAAACTTACAAAAGGAGCATACGTTTCCTGTAACAGTCAAATAATACAAAAATATATAAAGAAAAGTTAACCAGGTGCGGTGGCTCATGCCTGTAATCCCAGCACTTTGGGAGACTGAGGTGGGAGGATTGCTTGAGCCCAGGCATTCGCGACGAGCCTAGGCAACATAGTGAGGCCTCGTCTCTATAAAGAAAATAATAATAATTTAAAAAATTAAAAATAATAAAATTTTTTAAAAAGAAAAATTAACTTTCTCTCCCACTTCCATAACTTCCTTGCCACTCATTGAAACATAATTATATGTTATCAAGCTGCTAGGTGTCGAGGTGGTCAGTTAGGACAATGAACCAAACAGAAAGTAACAACCAAACCTTTCTTCTCTTACTGCAGTAGTCCTGGCAAGAGGCAAAGAGGAAAGTGCTCTTCCATTTTTCCCCATAGGACGGCACCAGGTGAAGGTCTGGCAGATGACATGCAGCGCTGGCAGGAGGGAGTCTCACTGCCCAGAGCTCTGAACTAAAGGCTTTGCCATTTTGTGGACCGAGGGTTGTAGGGCCAGGGAGAGAAGGGGAAGGACTATAAGAAGACTGAGTCAGAGCAGAGAAGTGTCTCAGTGGAGACTCCTAGGCTAGTGGGGTATGAGTCCTGGGCTGCAGCTGTCCTGGCGGCTGCAGTGCAGGGACTGTGCACCACATCCGGTGTGGAGAGGGCAGCTTCCCCCGTGAGGCCTGCTGGGCAGAGCCTTTGTAATGGCCTGTGGTCAGGCCTGAAACATTGCACACAGGATTCGGGCATGGAATCAGACTCCTCACATAGATGGAATATCTATATATAGTTTTTGTTTTTACAAAAATGGGATTGTACCACCCATTACTCTGCAGTTTACTTTTCTCACTTACTATATCATGGATAACTCCAGGTCACAAAATAGAATTTCACTCCTTTTTTTTTTTTTTTTTGAGACAGAGTCTCACTCTGTTGCCCAGGCTGGAGTGCAGTGGTGCAACCTCGGCTCACTGCAACCTGTGCCTCCTGGGTTCAAGCAATTCTCCTGCCTCATCCTCCCAAGTAGCTGGGATTATAGGCACCCACCACCACGCCCAGCTAATTTTTATACTTTGAATAGAGACAGGTTTTCACCATGTTGGCCAGGCTGGTCTTGAACTCCTGACCTCAAGTGATCCACTCACCTCGGCCTCCCAAAGTGCTGGGATTACAGGTGTGAGCCACAGCGCCTGGCCTTTTTTTTTTTTTTTTTTTTTTATGACTGTATAATGGCTTATAGAATACAAACCAATCCATTCAACAGTTCCCCTTTTGACAGACATTCAGGCTGTTTCCAGTCTTTGCCCCAATGAATAACGTCAAAAGTCTGAATTGTATGTATATCCTATGTACTGAGTCTTTTATTTCTTTAGCATGTATTCCCAAAAGTGGAATGACTGAACCATTGGATATGTAATTATAATTGTAATCAATGTAAAAGGTGTAACAATTTCCATTCCCATTATGAAAGTGACTTTTACTCTATGAAAACTATATATTGTTGTTTTTTTAATGTTTCCCAACCTAATGAGCAGAATTATATATTGCTTTTACTTTAGTGTGCATTTTCATGGACTAGTGAGATTGAGCATCTTTTCATATCTTTATTAATCGTTGCATTTTTCCTTCTGTCAGTTGCCTAATCATATTTTTTATCAGCTTTTTTTCTTCTGCTTGTTTGTTAAATACCTGTTGGCACATGTCAGTCCTGCTCTGAGAACATCACACTGAGTTGAGATTTAACAAGAGTTAATATGATCCCTTTAAGAAAAATTGTAAAATCAAGTTAATATTCGAAGTGACCATCCTGTTTTACCCTCCCTGTTTCTCTTAACCACTTAATATTTAGACTAGGGGAATAAAGATATGTGTTTTTAACTCCAAAATATAACATTAGAGGAGAGAAGTAGCGGGATTTTCTAGGAATTAGTCTGTAACTCAAAATTCTCATTGGTTAGGAATAAATTACCTTTATCCTCTCATGTAGCTAATATTTGGGGCAGGGACCAGGGGGAGTTTTGTTTTTGTTTTTGAGACAGGGTCTCAATCTGTTGCCTAGGCTGGCGTGCAGTGGTGCAGTTTCGGCTCACTGCAACCTCCCCTTCCCAGGTTCAAGCAATTCTCCTGCCTCAGCCTCCCAAGTAGCTGTGACTACAGGCGCCTGCCACCACACCCAGCTAATTTTTGTATTTTTTTAGTAGAGATGGGGTTTCACCATGTTGGCCAGGCTTGTCTCAAACTCCTGATCTCAAGTGATCCATCCCCCTTGGCCTCCCAAAGTGCTGGAATTACAGACATGAGCCACTGCGCCCGGCCTGAGTTTTTTAAACTATTAATGTCCTTGCTTTACCTCCTTTTCTCCCATTCTTGCGGTTGACTCATAAGAACACCCTAAACCTTACTGTTCATTGTATCGCAAATAACGCCCCATCGATTTTACTGGAATTAATGTCATATAAATTTCAGCTGTAGTCTTTAAAGGAAAGGCTAACCTTAATATTGGATAATATGCTGAAAACCCATCCCCTCTGTATGGGAATGGTTATTGGGTGGGAGGTGATTGCCAATGGATTAAATCACCTCAACCCCGGCAACTTTCTCGTTTAACCTCTGGAATGTTACTCAGATTCTGGTCATGGTGGTATCCACAAGTCCAGGCCTGAGGCCCCAGAAGGAAGGTCAGAGTGTATACGTAGCTCTCCTGCACCCTCGCAGCCACGGCATTTGGTTTTTGTTTTTTTCTTAATTTTCCTTAGGAAAAGCATCTCATAAAATAATGAAATAGAAGCTAGGAAGTACAGGGGTCCTGTGATGACAGACTGTAGCTTTAAAGGCATTTCTCTACTTTATTGATTGTTTAGTATGAGGTTTGTCAGCTTTCACATGCATTTCGTTCCGTTTGAAACCCCTTTCGTCTCATTGCCCTACTCCAGATTGGAGACCAGCACTCTGACAAATTGATCCCAAGATCAGAGTGATGAAAGAGAGAAAGATCAAAAGGAAGCCAAGGATCACATAGGAAGAGGCATCGTGATGTAGGCACTGGGAAGGTTGGCAGTCGAACATGCTGTCATCTTTAATCCATGGATGCCTCTTAAAGGAAGAGCTTGGTAGTTCAAACGGAAGTGAAAAAATGTTCTGTACATAGATGGATTTGGATATAATTATCTATTTAAGAAAGTAATAAACTAGGCTTGCCCTGGCAGTCATATTGTAATGGAACGCAGATACCTCATTGTGTGTGAATTTGAAATTAAAAAACAAAGTAAACATGGTGAGCTGCTACCATTGCTGCCCCCTCCCTGCCTTGCCCACTAAGGAGAGAGGCACTGCCTTGTTTCCCTTTGTATTTCAAGGAGCTTCTCGGTGGCAACTCAGCCAGAACACTGTCCTCTTAGGCCTGCCGTCTTTTTGCAAAACCAACAAAAAGGCGTATGGATTTTTAAGGGCTCAGACTATAAGTTATATAATATTGCTACTAAGAAAAGTCTTATGTAGGGCCCTCATTTCTGGATTCTTCTGTTCCTCCACTCAAGTCCAGCTCCCCCTTCATCTATTTAGCCACTTATCCATCAGCAAGCAATTGTTGCACGTCTGGCACGTGCCAGGCACTGAGCACTGGAGATTCAGAGACAACAACATAGACTCTGCCTGGAAAATATCCGCGGGGTAGTTCAAGACAGCCATGGAAGCCAGCAGTCATAGCAAGGACTGGTAAGGGTACAGCTAGGCATAGACACCACGGGGTCACAGAGAAGGGGCATGGAGGGTAGGCCAGGAGGACAACAGAAGGCGTTCTGAGCTGACTCAGAGAAATGGGCTAACCATGAGAAGGAAGAAGCCATGTGAAGGGAGTAGCAAGAGTGAGGCTAAAGCAAGAAATACAGGCAAGAACCAGATAATAAAGGAAACTGGAAAAGCTGGGAAGCCATCACAGGGCTTTCGGTAAGACATGTGGCATGATGAGAGCGGTGCTTTAACATCACCTTTGTGACCCTATGAAGCACGGGGCAGAGGAGGGCAGAACAGGGGCTGAGGAAGCAGTGGAGAGCTCCTGAGTCATGCAGGTAAGCTCTGATGGAAACCAGAACCAAGGCACTAGCAGGAATCAAGGAAAGAGAGGGATTCCTGTGCTGCTGAGGAGGTGAAATCTACACGCCTGGGTGCCTATTTGGACATATGGGGTGAGAAAAGGGAGGAGTCTAGAATGGCTGCCTGTCTTCTGGGACGAGCAACTAGGTGGAAAATTGTTTGGTTCCCGGAGATAGAGAATGCTAGAAGACAGATTTGGGAGGGGGCTGGGGACAGGATCATTAATTTTGAACCTTATTAAGTATGAAATGCCAGTGAATATATCGAAGTGGATATATCCGTTGGCAGTTGGCTGTTCCAGGCCGAGCACAACAGAGATATGTGGGCTAGAAAGGTTGTCTGGACTCACCAGCATATGTCGTTGTTGGAGCTATTTATCCATGCAGCAGATATTAAGAGTATACACTCAGGGCTATCTTTGTGAGCATGCAACCTGTGCACCACACAGGGCCCTGCTCTCCGAAGGACTTCACATTTGGTGTAATGCTCTGCTGTGGCTGTCTTGAAATTCTGCATTTTTTAATCAGGGGCCTGTGTTTTCATTTTGCGCTGGACCCTGAAGTTACATAGCCCTGCCTACAATGGCCTGGCACCGTGTGCAGTAGTAGGGCTGCAGTGTCGATCAAGACAGGCATGGTTCTTGTCCAGCTTACAGGCTAGCGTGGAAAGCAGACAGTTAAGTAATCAATTATAAAATGTGATGAGTTCTGTATTAAGAGAGGGACCAGGCTAAGGGAACACGTATGGAGGGATAGGGGTCTAACCTAACCTAACCTTGGTGGCTGAGAATTTAGGGAATGAGAGCACCCAGGGAGAATACTGAGACAGAATCCTAGTCCACAACAGCAAAGAAGGGACGGAGAAGTTGGAGAGAGAATGTCCCGGAAGTTAGGAGGGAAACCAGGAGAAGAAGTTGTATCCCTGGTGCCAGGGTTAGGAGACAGTCAGATGCTGCCTGGGAGATCAGAATGATGGCATGCCCAAGGGATGTAGCAACAAAAGGGCCATTTGTTGACTCAGGTGACAGTAGCTGGGTGTAGAGGGAGGCAAGAAGTTAATTTACCTCTGTTTGAGGGATCCATGGGAGGCGAGGGAGTAGATAGACCCTGAATGTAGATTATTATCAATTTCTGAGGCTTAGGTTCTTAGGAAAGAAAAAAGGACATTTCAAAGGTGGAGTTCGGATTAGGAGAGTATCATCTGTTTGGTTTTGGTTTTACTTTGATTTTAAACAGAATGCTTTAGCATGGTTTTGTTCTATGGGCAGAGATCCAGTGGAAAGAGAGGTCAGAAATACAGGAGTGGGAGTAACTGACATTGGGAGAACCCCGAGGTGTGGGAAGTGACAGAGAGGAGCTCCGGTCAGGAAGAGAAGAGGAAAAGATAGCTGAGGAGCAGTGAGTGTCTAGCTGAAGGCCCCTCTTTCCTCTGTAAAATCTACCCCGTGTGACTTGGTTAAGTGAACATCTGCTGCCTTTTAGTTCTTTTCTCTTCGGGCCTCAAATTCAAGGAACAGTTTCTTCTAAGTTCTTTCATCTGCTCCTTTAATCAGCAAACATTCACTGGGCCCCTGCTTTGTGACAGGCATGACCTAAGCCTTTGGCGTTACCAGGCCCCTGAGCTCCTGGCACTCAGGTCCTAGAGGAGATGCTTCCATGGCCTGATTGGGCATCGCTGGCTCTTCCTAGTCCATGCCTGGGAATTCAACTGCAATTCAGGGGCCGTGCAGAAAAAGAGGAAAAAGTTAAGAGTAGCTTTAGGCAAAATCTTGAAAGAGGAGATTATCTTTGGAATTTATCACATAATAACTTTCACTCCAGCTCCCCGAATTCTCAGGGGCCCTCTAGATCCTGTAAGATTAGGCCCAAACCTAGAATTTCCTGACCCCGCCCCCTTTCAAATTCTCCTGTGTTTCTCCATCCTGTCAAAACTCCTACTCCCTTGTTATAGTCATACTCACCTGGTAATTAGAACAAAGACCATTGGAATTAATTCACACTGATTTGTGAATGGTGGATAACACCTTAGTGGGGGTGGGGTAATAGTGATTGCATTTGACAAGTGGCTCCTGTTTATAAGAAGGAATCTTTAACTTGTCATATTTCAGACAGCATAATAAAAGTGATAAGGAGTATTATAAGAGGCCTCATCTTCTCACAGTCAGTTCCCCTAAACTTTTCCATTTTCTCACAGCTTCCACTGTTTTTTTTTTTCCTAGAGTCATAAGTTCTCTAAAACCCCTAAGATTTTTGTCATCACTCCTTCCCTTCCTGGATGCGCTGCCCGCCCCTCCGCCGCCCCCGCCCCGACCCCCCACTTTCCCGTTTCTATGACAGCAGCAACTAGGGCACAGGTGGTGAGGGGTTGGGGGTGGGGTCATGACAGCTGCAGCCATTTATAGGGATTGTTTCCAAGTCAGGAACTGCCTCTGCACTGGGAGAGAGGGATGCCCAGAGGCTTCTTGGCACAAAGAATGCAGCCTCCCTAGAATGAAGGAGGCATCCACTCAGATCTGAGCTGATCGAAGGCATTTCCCATGTTGGTGGCTCCTCACTGAGAAGCATGTCAGGTCTCAGGTCTCTAGCTCCCTGATGCCTGGGAGCTGTTGGGTTCATATAGAATGCAATTCCCCAAGCCACTTCCATTTGTTGTAGAAATGGCAACATTCTGCCACAACCGATCGATAGCTGAAAAGTGGCTGTCAGGAACCACTTTGGAATCAGAAGGTCTGGGAACAGGAGGCACCGCTGGGAATAGACCCAGGAAAGGTTGCTCATGGTTATCGATCCTGCAGCCTCTCCTATAGACATCTGCTTTGGGGAACGCCGTTCCCTCAAAAGTCCTTGACTGGGCAATAGCTCTTAGATACACTTTTTGGAGTGTATGAGTTTCCTGAGCCTTGAGATGAGTGGTTTTGGTTTTTTTTTTCCCCCTGGACCCAGGATATCACCCTAGAAATTCAACAGTGTAGGCCACACATTCTCAGACATCCCTGTGCTTATGAATCACCAGGGGATCTTATTACAATGCAGATTTTGATGCAGTAATCTCAGGGTGGAACCTGAGATTCTGCATTTCTAACAAGCTCCCAGGTGAAGCCAATGCTGCTGGCCCACAGCATCATTGGAGTAACAGGGATCTAGAGCTGCACTGTCAAATACATTCAACACTAGCCATATGTGACCGCTTAAATTTAAAGCTAAGTTCATTAAACTTCAATAAAACGAAAAATTCAGTTCCTTGCCTGCACTAACCACAATTTAAGTGCCTAGTACCCGCATGTGGTTAGTGCCTGCCATATTGGACTGCACAAACAAAAACATTACCATGATCACAAAAGGTGCTATTCGATAACCCTGGGCTAGAGCAAGACTCTGTTGCATCACTCATTCATTCATCCATCCGTCCATTTATTCACTGAGCATTTGTTATGTGCCAAGAAGTATGGTTGGGGCTGGAGCATTAAGGCACACTTCCAGCTAGCAGAAAACATAAACATAAGCTAACTAGAATGCAATGCACTTAAAAGAGAGATGCCTCTCATGTGGTGAGGGATTCAGAGCTGGGAACAGTGAACTCTGCCATGCAAGTGGGAAAACAAAAACATCTCTTGGCATTTCATGTGTGACCTGAACCAAGCAATGGTTGTAACAGAATCAGAGCATTTATGAGATTGGCTACTGACAATGCATTTTCACCATTTCAGGGCCATAATCATCAGAAATGGAGAAATTATCCCCATGTCTTCAGAATTTACCCCCGAGACGGAGCGCCAGCGACTTCAGTACCTGGTAAGAGTCATCTAGGCTTGGCAGAGGGCAGTGGCATCAGGGATGGCATCGGAGCTGTTCTGGAGGAACACGTTGCTACTGACATGGGAGCAGGCTCACCGCATTCAAATGACATATGGTATTAACTCCCCCACACACACCTTCTGGATCACACATCCTGGCTCCGTGTGTGACGACACACTCCACCTCCGTGAATTTATTATTGCGGCTGATTTTCTCCCATCTGTGACCAATTGAAGACATGGTGTGCTCTGGTTTTGTTTTTTTTGTTTTTTTTTTTTTTTAATGGCTTCTTATGTACAATGTGAAATGCAGTTTTGAAAAACACAGATACCTTCTTCCATGGCCCGCTACTCACTTTAACTCAAACAGGGAACTTGGTCTGATTCCCGTTGTGAGGAAGAATCTGCCCACGTGGCAGCTCTGAGGTCTCTGCTGACATGCCACTACTTCATGCTCAGATATGAAGTCTTACAGGCCCTTTGGAAAAGGTGCAGGTGTCAGAAAATCTGTTTCTATCCTGAAAATAAGTTCTCTATGTAGATTATTCTCTTTGGAATGAAATTATGAGCGGGCTCAGTTTTCTGGGAAACAGAATAGACTCACTTCCTTGTCTTCAAATTCCAGGGGCAAGGGTATTAGGCTTAGAATCTTGGTTTAAAGTGACTCTGGTAATCATCCCAGGTGGCCTTGGGGCAGATACCTCTAGGAACTAACCCTGTGAATCATAGTTCTGTGGATGAAATATTTTCTCGCCAACTGGATTTCTTTGTAGACAACACAGCTAAAGTAGTGCCCATCTGCTCTTAGGAAACAATTGATCCAGGCTACTCAAAAAGGACTTTGCATCTCTGCATTTCAGTATTTGTGGTCAGGATTTAATTAATTTGGTTGATTTAGAAAGCAGCTCTGCACTTTCCTTCCATTTCCATGTCTGTGTTTTCATTCATTTTATTCTATGAACTGTGTCACTTTAACTACTTATTTGGTGTATAAGACAGCAGGAATCCAAAATGACTGTAAAAACAGTACTTCAATCTTTCACCTACTGTTGCTTTCTAACCTTTGTGGTGGTGTCTTAAGCTGATAAACTTGAAACCACTACTAGGGAATCCAGGCTTCAGACCTCGTCATTTTCTTTGGTAGTCTAGGCCGGTGGAAAGGACCCCACTGCAGCCTTCAGATCTTCATTCTGGCCCCAGCTGTGTTACCAGCTGGACAGTTTTGTGCAAGTTTCTTAACCTTTCCTGACCTCGGTTTATCACTTGTGAAATGGAGAGCTGGACGATAGGGCCACCAAGGGCCTCTGAGCTGCAAGGATCCCTCCAAGTAGAATTCGTTATAGCTAGCCTCTCTGCCACCTGTCTGGCTTTCTCCACTCTATTCCACAAGGCTATCCAAGTGACCTCATTACCCACCTTGTCACTCCCCTATCTAAAAGCCTTTGGCTCCCTGCAATTTACAGAATGCAGACCGCCCTTCTTGGCCTTGCTGGAATCCTGGCCCCTGCCCACATCTCCAGTCCTATCTCAATGTTGCCACCACCACCACTGCCACCAGGCATCCCATGCTCCAGCCACAGAGAACTACCTTCCATTTCCAGGACATATCATGATTTCTCTGATCTCTGACCCCCATGCCTTTGGAAGTATGGTCTGCCTGGATGGCCTTTTCTTTCTTTTCTGTTAGGAGAACTCCTCTTCATTCTTTAAGACTCCAGCACAAATATCACTTCTTCTGCAAAGTGTCCCCTAATCCTCCTAGGGAGTCAGTCCCCAGTGCTTGTACCACAGCTTCCAGATCCCTGCAGTGTGGCTCTCAGCATATGGTGTTGCTTGTTCTGGTCTCTCCCCCTCTTCAGACTGTGTTCTGGAGGGCAGGCCACTTACCTTAGTCACCTCATATTGCCAGTATTCAACACAGCACCTGGCACAAGGGAGATATAGAACCAGTATCTGTTTACTGAACGAAAGATTTAAAAACAGGCTGGGCACGGTGGCTCATGCCTGTAATCCCAGCACTTTGGAAGGCTGAGGTGGGAGGATCGCTTGAGCCCAGGAGTTCAAGACCAGTCTGGGCAACATGGCAAAATGCTGTCTCTACAAAACAAATCCAAAAAAAAATTAGCCAGGCATGGTGATGTGTGCCTGTAGTCCCAGCTACTCAGGAGGCCGAAGTGGGAGGATCACTTGAGCCCAGAAGGCAGAGGTTGCAGTGAACCGAGACTGCACCACTGCACTCTTGGGGCAGCCTAGGTAAAGAGTGAGACCTTGTCTCTTTAAAAAAAAGAAAAAAAAAATTAAAAACAATATTCATATTGACTTCTAGATCATTACCAAACAGTCCTTTCTCTTCTGCCCTCCGCCCAAACATTTCACAGCAGGGTATGAAGCCTTTGCCTTCCTTGCCTCTATTATATCCTATCCTCACCTTCCGTTGTTTTTTTGTTTTTTGTTTTGAGACAGGGTTTCACTCTGTCGTCCAGTCTAAACTGTAGTAGCACAACCATGGCTCACTGTGGCCTCAACCTCCTAGGCCCAACAAATCCTCCTACCTCAGCCTCTGTTTAGCTAGGACTACAGGTGCACCACCGTGCCTGGCTAATTATTTTTTTCTTTTGTAGAGATGGGGGGGTCTCACTGTCTTGCCAGGGCTGGTCTTAAACTCCTGGGCTCAAGCAATCCTCTCACCTCAGCCTCCCAAATTGCTGGGGGTTACAAGCGTGAGCCACTATGCACAGCCCACCTCCTGCTCTTTATTGAAACCCATTTCCTATTCAGGTTTCTGTTTTCCTACAAGAGGCAATGAATAATAAGTTAACTTTTTGCACTTTCTGTTTTAAAATGATTTCATCTTTTCATGTTACAAGAATGGACCTGGGAGGTTAACTTGGTTGGGGGAAGTATAGGAATGCTGACATTTTCAGATTCCCAAATGTCAGCGGTATATTTTGGGATGGTTGAAATAAGATGCATGTGGCTTCAGATCTCACGTAAGTGTATGTAATTTCCACAAGGAACTTCAGTGACTCCCAATTTCTTCAACAGTAATGGGATAGAAAACTTCAGAAGTCTGTGTAAGGACTAATACATGCCGTACTGTTTTGTGACAGAAAGTACTACTCATTTAGCTATTGTATGAGGAATTAAAGTCTTACCACTACAAATCTGTCTTCATCTGTTTGGGCTGCTGTAGCAAAAAACCATAAACTGGGTAGTTAATAAACAACAGAATTAATTTCTCACAGATGTAGAGGCTGGGAAGTCCAACATCAAGGTGCTGGTAGAGTCAAGGTCTGGTGAGGGCTCTACTTCCTGATTTGTAGGCAGCCGTCTTTTTTTTTTATTTTCTTTAAAAAAAAAAAAAAAATTCATGTGGCAGAAGGCACAAGGATGCTCCCTGGAGCCTCTTTTATAAGGGCTCTAATCCCATTTATGAGGGCTCTACCCTCATGACCTAATCACTTCCCAAAGGCCCCACATCTAAATGCCATCACACTGGGGATTTGGCTTCAACATGTGAGTTTTGGGGAGATACATTCAGTCGGTAGCAAAGATCCCACTGGCCTGCAAACCAGGGTAATTTTTTTCCTCGTTTTTATTTAAGAACCATTTCTAACGTTGCTAAGATTAATGCATAATTTGGTGTCGCCCTTAAACAATCAGTGTGGACACTATTAGTCCACAGAACCGAACCTAATGTCTGAATTTTTAAAAGGTGAAAATGCTGCCCATATCCTTTTTAATCCTTACTCCTAAATCAAATGGGTTACTCTAGTTTATAACTAAAAACATTTCTCCTCAGACATCAGGAGTTTAAATACTCAGAACATAAAATACCCTGAGTTAGAATATTCATAGCATAAAATAATCTTATGGTGAAATCTTTATGGTAAATACTTGAGGGAATTAGAGATTAATAGTGTAAAATCTTGAAAATAGTATCGGCCAGGCATGGTGGCTCACACCTGTAATCCTAGCACTTTGAGAGGCCAAGGTGGGCAGATCACAAGGTCAGGAGTTCGAGACCAGCCTGGCCAACATGGTGAAACCCCATCTCTACTAAAAATACCAAAAAAAATCAGCTGGGTATGGTGGCACGCGCCTCTAATCCCTGCTACTCAAGAGGCTGAGGCAGGAGAATTGCTTGAACCTGGGAGGCGGAGGTTGCAGTAAGCCGAGATTGTGCCACTGCAACTCCAGCCTGGGCAACAGAGCAAGACTCCATCTTGGCAGGGAGGGGGGTGGAGAAAATAGTATCAACTATGAGAGGAAAATAGGAGTGTGATGTGGATTTCTCCCAGCCCAGCCCAGTCATGAGTCATTTGACCTCTAGTTTCCCCTCACACTCTGTCTCTGAATCTCCTTTCTTCCTGAATGAAACGGGTAGCAATACTTCCTTTTAGGTACTCATAACATGCTCAGAAATTAAAACGAAAAGTAACTGCATGGTAATATAAAATACAGTATACTGTGTTATAATTTTAAGTGCGTGTAATCCTACTGATTCATTATTTTAAGCATTCATTCCCTTGAATGATTACAAAATAGTTTAGTACAATGATAGTTGTATCATCTTCCTTAACGTGGCCTCATCAGTTATTAGTCACTGAAAAATTAACAGTGTATTCCTTGTTCTTAGGGTAAATCAAATTTTATATTTAGGGTATATGAAGAAACATCTATGATAGAGTCATTAAAACTTCTGGGTCCCCATCCTGGCTAACACGGTGAAACCCCGTCCCTACTAAAAATACAAAAAAATTAGCCGGGCGTAGTGGCGGGCGCCTGTAGTCCCAGCTACTCGGGAGGCTGAGGCAGGAGAATGGCGTGAACCCGGGAGGCAGAACTTGCAGTGAGCTGAGATCGCACCACTGCACTCCAGCCTGGGTGACAGAGAGAGACTCTGTCTCAAAAAAAAAAAAAACCGAAAACAAAAAAAAACTTCTGGGTCCCTAGCCACTTGCATTGAGCAGATGTCTGCAGTCCCAGGTCTGTTTGACTTGTAGAAATGGTAAATGCTTTTCTTGCTAGTGAAGAAGGTGGTCAGAGTCCTTTCTACATGAACCATTTTGATCCACATCAAAGAGGAATGTTCAGTGTTCTTGGTATGCACAGTCTGGACATTCGGGGATTATGGAACTGGAAGCAGATTACAAGATGATGGATGTGGCAGGCACATTAATTTTGTTTGGTCTTGCATTCTGACCTCAGAGGGCCCTTCATGTGGCTCTCTGGGTAATGTGAACTTTGTTTCATAGATTCTCAGGCAGGGTGATTAATTGAGCAGGCTTGAGGGTTTGACATGTTCACACGGAATGTGGCAGGTGTGTGATGAGGAGTTCAAGGGACGGGCACTCCTGCCTCAGCACCAGGGAGAGCTGATGATCTGCAGTCGTGACTAACCCTTGCTCTTCTGTTGCTGGGTTTTGTTTCTAAGGTCTCCATGGTGATTGAAATAAAATATTTAAGGGGCTTCACCAAGCTGGACAGAATGTTTTGGTGGAGTCAAGGCTCAGATAGGAGGGAAGGGTGTCTGGTTGATGGACATTTCACAACAGATTTTACTGTTCTGATACTGTGGCCTCAAGGAAATCACCCCTACCTTTGCTTCAGGTCACAGCCAGAAATGGATCTCCCTCAGGAGACATCCATAGCCCTGAGGTATGAGAGTGATGGTTTTCCCTCCATTCTGCCGGTACATATTTATAAACTCTGACTTGATTACATTAAGTCGTGCCGGTGTCATCATATCTTCAAATAACATACTTCTGTCCTTGCAGAATAATCCAAGTTTGCAGCTGTTTTTCATCAAGGGCAATGTATAGAAGAGATGAACGTGGGTTTCAAGTACATATTTGATGAACACAAGTGCAACATTATCTGAGGTGATTTCTTGCAATGTCCTTGGAACTACCCCCAGCTCTCAACGCCGAGCCGGGTTCTGTTTGTCTGCTGTTTCCCTGGTGCTGCTTGGCTCTCTGGGATTTTTCCTGCTCAAGAGTTGTCTGCAGAAAAGTATTCCTTAAGCCTGAACCTGCTTTGAAGACAGGAGGCTATAAGTGGGGAGGTTCAAGCGTGCTGGTGGGTCAAAATGACAGGTGCACCACCTTGGCATCCCACCTAACCTTGAGAGCAGGTGGCTAAAGCCAGCAAGCCTGGCTTTATTCAGAAAGAGACAGTTTCAATATCTCCGTGTTTTGCTCCCTGGGAGAATGTCTGAGTCATAAAAAAATCCACTCCAGTCCCACCTACTTCCTCATTTAACCTCCTTTCATAAAATGGCATATGAGGTTCAAATTTTCTAATTATAAAATGGCAGACTAGAAGCTATTGTGGCATTTTTTTCTGTTTACAATAGGTCCCCTGGATCACGTAGAAATTTAAATGTGAACTTCTCTTAAAATCTTCATAAACCAGGCAGAATTTTATTCGTATTCAGTTCTGTAATAGCTTATATATACAAGCTCGGTTCTTGTTACTTTGAGATTTTTGACAACAAATTAAGAACAGAGTTCTTTATGAAAGAATCCAACCTATACATATTTGGGTCTCAGCCATTTCACATTTTTTCTAACCCAAACCAAAATATTCTATTCCTGCACTGTAAATCAGGCAGCCAGCCTTGGCTCTGGAAAAGCTGTCTCATTTGACTGTTAGCGTGACTGTTAGTGATCACCAGTGGTTTGGCTGACATTATTAATTTCATTTCATTCTTGACCTTAGACTTTCTATCTTGATAAATCATCTTGAATTGCAAGGCTTCCAATCCTCTTCTCATATAATCTGAGGAGATTTTCCCCTTCTAAGGGCAAGAAAAAGGAGAGATTACTCAATTAAAAAAAAAAAGTTTTGTATTGTACACGGAAAATTCGTATTTTGATTACTTTCTCTCAAATGCTGTGAGGTCTGAACATTTAAAAAATTAATTAATGTATAAGTTTTAGGTAGAGGATTCTAGTTTTAGTCAGAGAACTTTACAAAAGATTTTCTGTCGTGGAATCTGCCATCTCATTTATCTTATTTAACACATGAGTATTCTTATTTTCCACATTCTGCTGATGAGGGTGGAAATTGGAACAACTCCTTTGAAAAAGAGTTTGGCAGTCTCCCTGAAGTTGAAAGTGCTGTGGTCCAGCAGTGTTACTCCTAAGTGTGTACCTAACAGAAATGCGTATGAATGTTTACCCAAAGACCAGAGCGTGCATAGCAGCACTGTTTGTAACAGCTTAAACGGGAAACTTCCATGTGCCTCCATGTGAAGAGACCACCAAACAGGCTTTGTGTGAGCAATAAAGCTGTTTATTTCACCTGGATGCAGGTGGGCTGAGTCCGAAAAGAGAGTCAGCAAAGGGAGATAGGGGTGGGGCCGTTTTATAGGATTCGGGTAGGTAAAGGAAAATTACAGTCAAAGGGGGGTTGTTCTCTGGCGGGCAGAGTGGGGGTCACAGGGTGCTCAGTAGGGGAGCTTTTGAGCCAGGATGAGCCAGGAGAAGGAATTTCACAAGACCATGTCATCAGTTAAGGCAGGAACAGGCCATTTTCACTTCTTTTGTGGTGAAATGTCATCAGTTAAGGCAGGAACCGGCCATCTGGATGTGTACGTGCAGGTCACAGGGGATATGATGGCTTATCTGAATGCCCCTGGAAAGTAGAATGGGTAAATAAATAATGAAATAATCACAGGATGGAATTAACATACAGCACGGAGAATGAGCAAGTCGCAGTTACACACAACATGGATGAATTTCGCAGACTTAATACCCAGCAAAGAGGGCATCCTGTAGGATTTCAGATGAAGCACAGAAACAGGCAAGGCCAGTCTTGAAGTTGGAATAGTGCCCCTTTGGGGCAGTGACAGTGATTGGATGGGGTGCTGATGATGGGGTGCTGGTCCCAGGATGCTGGTAATGTTCTTTCTTGATCGGGAGGCCAGCTACACAGGTGTGTTCAATTTGTGAAACTTCATCAGCTTGTATGCGTATGAGAAGAGCACTTTACCACATATAATTCACTGAAAAGTTTAAGTAGTTTCACTTTATTTAACTCCATGTATCCTTTCTTTAACTGCACATTACCCTTTGCAGGAGGGGCCATCTTTGGTGCCAATGTCTGCACTCCTGCCTCCTCTCTGCCCCACTCTCTTCTCTCCTAGGATTACCTCCAAATGCCATGCTCTCTCCCACTTCCCTGCCTTTGCTGTGGCCACACTTGCCCTAGAGCTCTTGCCTGACCAACTCTTAAGCTCCTTTGCAGATTCTCTCTGATCCTCTTCAGTGTGTGACCCACTCTGTTCCTTGGTCCCTGTGAATGGCTCCATTTCTGCCCGTAAGCCGCCCTCAGCCTCCTTCACTTGTGTGGGTCAGCTCTGAGCAGAGGGTCCTCTTTTTGTGTTCTTTGAGCCCCAAACCCCTAGTCCCTGGTACTTAGCATATGTAAGGGCTCAAATGTTAGTTGCATGAATTCCTTTGTCTGGATACCCCAAGCCCTGGGACAGTCTCCTTCTTGGCTGACACTACTCACTGGCCAGCTGACCACAAAGCAACAGGAAAAAAAAATTATCAAAAGGAGGAAGAAAATGAGGAAGCATTTTGTATTCCCTAGCAAGCAATTTTGAGTAACCTCAAAGCCCCATCTTTGTGTCCACTGGCAGGCTGGTGCTCAGCCCTCCGCTGGAGCCCTGGTCACCTTAGACTTCTCCCATAACCAGGGCTAGCTTCCCTCCCTGGGGTCTGAGTTCCCTGCTTCCGGCTACCCTTTTTTCCTTGCCCTGCTGAGGTGCTCGAAACTCTCCCTGAGCCCAGGAAGGTGGAGCTCAGGGCCATGTGATCTAGAGTGAGACAGCCTTGGGTGCAGGTTGCTCACCTACTCTAGACTTCTGGCCTCCCTCTTGCCTAGTGAGAGGCTTACTGGAAGGTTCTGGAAGGTGCCTCTTCTTCAGGCTTGTTCCCTCCTGTTATGTCTCCATTCTTCAGGGTACTCAGAGACTTTCTTTGGGATGGAGTTGTTGTATTTTTCCACAGTGCAATGCTCATCTCCCTTCTCTTCCTTTGAAACCAGTTTCTGCTCAGGACTAGAGAGGAGAGTGGCCATAGAAAGACATCCAATTCCCCTACTCAAACTCTGGTGTCCTGCCCTGACACAGTCAGTTGTTCCAGCATCCTTTCCTGAGAGGTGTCCTTGTTCCTGGCCAGATATAACCATGTTTGTAAGTTTCCTTTTTTTAGCTGCTCAGATCACTAAGTGATGAGGATATGTCGTATTCTCTTTAACAAATCTGTGCTCTTTAGAGTCCCTAAGAGTCTTGGTTACTTGCATTTGGTCTTGCTAGGGCAGAGGTTATCAAGCTTTTTCCCCCAGGTGATATTTGTGGCACACACATGAACTTGGGGTATACCTCCGCCCTCTCCCCTCATTTAGTAGCATTCTGTTATGTTTCCTTGAAGGAAAACCTCAAAATTTAGGATTAAAATGGAGGTACAAGAAGAGATCCTTTTTTTTTAATCGGAGGGTGGGCTGGTACACTTTAAATTGCATTTTAAGGCTGGGCGTGGTGGCTCATGCCTGTAATCCCAGCACTTTGGGAGGCTGAGGGGAATGGATCACCTGAGGTCTGGAGGTCAAGACCAGCCTGGCCAACATGGTGAAACCCCGTCTCTACTAAAAATACCAAAATTAGCCGGGCATGGTGGCGCACGCATGTAGTCCCAGCTACTCAGGAGGCTGAGGTGGGAGAATCACTTGAACCTGGGAGGCAGACATTGCAGTGAGCCAAGATTGCATCACTGCATTCCGGCCTGGGCAACAGAGTGAGAATCCACCTCAAATAATAATAATAATAATAATAATAATAATAATAATAATATTTGCATTTTAATATCAACTGCTAATTTATAGGTTTCTCATCTGCAGGCTTATTAAGTGAAGAGACAAAGCATTATTATTTAGGTATTCTTAGGATTGTAAAATAACATCATGGGGTTTTAAAAACCACATGCAGCCATGCACATGTGTTTTTATGGGAAGACATCTATCAATTTATAAGAAGTTAACTAAATCCAAACTACGTGGGTCCAAGATGGTTTTTATACAATATGGGCCTTACTTTTAACTTTTTCAAAAGATTGAAGGCTGTGTTATCTTATAGTTTAAATAATCACTATGTTGTGATTGTGTAGAGCAGGTCAGAATGTCCTGTATTCATTCTTTTAGCAAATACTTACTCAGCACCTTTACTATGTTGGGTGCTATGCTGGGCACTGGAGTGGAGTTAAGGTTTTAAAAATGATGGACACATGGCCGGGCATGGTGGCTCATGGCTGTAATCCCAGCACTTTGGGAGGCTGAGGCAGGTGAATCACCTGAGATTAGGAGTTCTAGACCAGCCTGGTGAAACCCTGTCTCTACTAAAAATACAAAAATTTGCTGGGCATGGTAGCGGGCGCCTGTAATCCTAGCTACTCAGGAGGCTGAGGCAGGAGAATTGCTTGAACCCAGGAGGCGGAGGTTGCAGTGAGCCAAGATCAAGCCATTGCATTACAGCCTGGGTGACAAGAGTGAAACTCTGTCTCAAAAAAAAAAAGTCAGTAAATTATTAGCAAACTAGCAAATTCCTGCCCCAACACTTTACAGACTTTGGGCTTATTGCTTATGGTAAATCCAAAGTAAAATCATTTTGAAGACTCAGGACTCCAGAATGCTGACTTGAGCAATGCTTCCAGAGGCACAGACCAGTACAAATGAAGTAATTCTAGCCAGTCATGGTCACCTGAATTCTGGGCAGGCCCTAAGAAGTTTCCAAATCACCAAGTTGTTTGGCCACTCTGCGTTTGCGGACAAAACATCTCTGCGCTGGCCTGATGGGAATCTGCGGCTTCCACATCCCCGCATTGGAGCCAGGCCCCTGCTCTGCTTGCCTCTTCTCCAGGATTTTGGCTTTCCCTAAAATTATTAGAACAAGAAGCAGTAACGCTCTTCTCAGCAGTCTTTTAAAACTTGCTTTAAACACTGGGTTCTCAAAAAACTAATTTTTAGAGGGTTTTTTTTTTCAAATGAAAGTAATCTGTGTCCAATGGTCAAAATATCCACAATTATGGATACATTAAAAAGAAAACCCTCAGATAACTTTTTTAAATATTTTGATGACTGTACATGTGTAAACATGTGTGCATATAAGACTATATAAACTTTTATGATTGCACAAAAAGATAGACTAATAACCGTAAGTGTTTTCCTCTGAAAACCAACAGGTTTTTACAAATTGTGTGCAGCCATGTATTTTAGCATCTCATTTTTCATTAAGCAACCATATGTTTGCTCTGTTTGTACCAAGTTCTTGAGAAGAGTTCCTTTAATGCCATTAACTCCATAGGGTTTGACATATGCAACAGCAGTAAGTATTGAATGTGGTGGCAAGGAGGTGGGTGGTGATTTTTTAAAAAAGAGAGAGTGGTAAAAATATATCACAGGTACACAAGGAGTACTTATAATTTCTATGGTAAGCATGATTATGACAGAAAATGAATCATGCCACCTGTGCTGTGTCAGTTAGCAACAGAGGAAGAAAAATCAGAAGGATGGAGAAATCTAAGAGTGTGGCATCAGTATCAGTGGGGGGGTGACTATGACAGTATTTCCTCAGAACTAAGACACGTCTTTGTTTTTTTTTAACATATCTGAATTTTATATTTGATTTTTGCTGCCAGCCAGGGGACAGGCATGACATGTCATCTCCTGGACATATGTGAACATCAAAAGGGCAGACACCTGCAGGGGCGGAAAAGATTTCCTCACCCATCACAAGGTCCCCCATAAGAAAAGACAAGATAAACAAGAGAAAAGCATACAAATCTATTTAATATAAGTTTTACATGACACAGGAGACTTTATGAGAAATTGAAGACCTAAAGAAATAGGTAAACTTTGTATATTTTTATGCTTAAGTTTGAGGAAGACTGGACAGTCATGGAGAAATATAATTGGATAAAGTGGGTGTGATCTAATGGGAATAAACTGGGGAGAATTTAGCAAGGCTGTTTGTTCAGATTCTTCTGTATCCCTGTGTCTTCAGAGTTAAAGATGTTTCTTTCCTCTGGATATGGGGCGGGCACCTCTGGAATGAGGATCCTGTGACCTGCTTCAGGGGAGAGGGACAAGGGGAAGTTGAGAGACTTTCCTGTTTCTGCTGTTTCCTCAAATGCCAAGGTGCCATTTTTTGGGGTAGAATGTCCTGAGTCCCAACACACCAAACTTTTGTGGGATGGGTGTCCAGCAGCTTGGAAGAACATCCTGCAGAGAAAAGTGAAGGGCTTGTTAAGCATCACTGGATCCAACTAATTGTGCGGAGGAGTTTGAGGAGGTGTGACTCAGACTTGCTTAGCCACATTCCTGAAGTGGGAGTCAGAAGTAAGCTGGCTCTAGAGGATTGCAAAGCTGGCTTAAGAACTTCTGCACCCTTAGCTTTGAGGCTTCCAGTGCTGTTGTGGATTAATTAAAAAATGCTGCGTCACCGGTGCTCTCATGAAACACACAACACTTCTGTGTGGAAAATTATGAACATACATGATTCAGAGTTGAAAAATGATGAGAGCAGTTGGATTCTAAATGTAAAAGTTTTGGAAACCTTAGCCAACCTACTTCAATTCTATATCCCTTATTAAATATATACAATAGTGATAGATAATAAAAATGTGTCTAAGTCTCAGCTCTTATGAAAAGGATAAAATTAAAATTTGAAGTGTTAAGAAAGAATTATACATATTTTAATTGGCTGCTTTTTTTCTTCCTGGAAGTAATAAAATGATGGTGCGTCTAATGGCATATATGTTTGATGAAATATCATACCCTGTTGTTATCCTGGAAGAAAGCAAGCAGTTTGTGGAAATCATGAAAGGCTCTGTGTGTGAAGGCGCCTCAGAGTGACACAATATTTAAGGCCCTTTCAAACCTGCACATCCTCAGAGGGAGAGGGTAGGTGGCCCCTGCAGTTATCAAAGCTGTTGAGGAGTTCCCAACTAACCCACAGACATCTGCCTCAACAGATCTTCTGACGCAGCCACCCAGGCAAATGGATATCAGCCAAAAAGAGCCCAAGGGTCCCTGGTTTAAAGCACCATCAAAGGGCCCACTCATCCTCCTGTTAGGAGGCAAAGCGCCTGAAATCTCCACACTTACCCTTATGTGGGAGAAGAGATTTCTTACCCATTCATGGCTGATGCCCCTATAACAAAAGACAGATTAACAAGAGAAAAGCAAACAAATTGATTTAATATAAGCTTATGTCACATAGATGTCTTCAGAAAGCCCCAAGGAAACAGGGCAAACTGTATTTTTAGGGACAGTCATACAGAAGTTTGATCAAAGGACAAAAGATCTAATGGTAATAAACTCAGGGGTAGGGGTACTTAGCAAGGCCTGTTTGTTCAGCATCATCTTGGCATCCCTGTGTGATATTTCTTTCCTCTGGGTATGGTGCAGGGCCCCTCTGGAATCGGGTCTTAATGATCTATTTTCTGGGGAAGGTGAGCTAGGTCTCATGGCTTGCTTTAGAGGAGGAGTAAGGGGAATTCTTCCTAGTTTCTATGGGCTGCTTCTCCTGTTCCCTCAAATGCCCAGGTACTGTGATTGGAGGTAGTGTGTCCTGAACATGCATCACCTTCTTAGACATGGGGTTTGTTAAGAAATGTGCTCAGGAATGTCGTTTGGATTCTTACCTGTTTGTTAATAATATATATGCATGCCACGTATCTGTATTTACACACACACACAGCCTTAGTCTGTCTGGTGCTGCTATAACAATACTACAAACTGAGTAATTTATAAAGAACAAAATTTATCACAGTTCTGGGGTCTGGGAAGCCCCAAGATCAAGACACTAGCATCTGGTAAGGGCTTTCTTGCTCTGTTTTCACATGGCAGAAGGTGGAAGGGCAAGAGAGTGAACTCACTCTCACAAGCCCTTTTCTATAGCAGCATTAATTCACGAGGGCTCTACCTTCATGGCCTAAACACCTCCCAAAAAGTCTGCCTCCCAACATTGTTGCATTAGGGGTTAAATTGCCAACACATGAATTTTAGGAGACACATTCAGACCATAACATGTTCATTTGTAAACAGATGGTTCCCAACTTACTTTTTTTTTTTAATCAGGGCAGCCTTCATTTTACAAAGCAGAATGAAAGCACCGCTACTTTTTTTTTTTTAACTTTCTGATATTGTGAAAGCAATATGCATTTGGTAGAAATCATACTTCAAATTGATTTTGAATTTTGACCTTTTTCCAGGCTAGGGATATGTGGTATGATACTCTCTTGTGATGCTGGACGGTGGCAGTGAGCCAGCAGCTCCTAGTCAGCCACCCAATCATGAGGGTAAACAACCTACACTTTACAGTGGACTGTGTTGCCAGATGATTTTGCCCAACTGTAGGCTAATGTAAGTGTTCTGAGCACATTTAAGGTAGGCCAGGCTAAGCTCTGATCAGTAGGCTAGTTGTATGAGATGCATTTTGACTTACAATATTTTCAGGTTACAATGGGTTTACTGGGATGTAACCCCACTGTAAGCAGAGGAGCATCTGTGTACGTATGTATGTCTTCTATAAAGATCTGTGCATATATGACCCAGCACTCACAAGTTCATGCACACACACATATTGTTTGATGACCTGCTTTTTTACACTTAACGCAACTCTGTGTCATTGCATATTCTCTGTAGTGTCATTGTAAGTGACACCATAGAATTCTTTTGTTTGGGTTTATGCTAGTTTATTTAATGAGTTATTCATTCAATGATTTCTTCTAGTTATTTAATGTTATAAATAATGTCAGAGACATTTTTGTGCCCATACTGTGTGTGGCTCTGTGTGTGTGAGTTCTTTTAACAAGGTTTACTGATTCAGACTTTGCTTGGTCTAAGTGCAAAGGATCACAGGCCTCTTATGGCCCCTTTACTATCTTTTGTAAAAATGTGTGTGTAGGTTAAAGGCCCAAAATATGGTTAGGATGAGGGTTATAACCATGATATTAAGCTCAGGCTCAAGATCCACCCAGTCTTGGGCGAATGACCTCGGGCTAGGTCTTAACCTCTCCAGGATGTAGTGTTCTCATTTGTAAATCAAATCGACTCCTGCTTTGTAAAATTGTTGGGGAGTAAGATCAGGTGTATGAAGTACCTGGTATGGGGCTGGCACATGGTAACCCCTAAGCCCATGTTAGTCCAGCTTGGGTAGTGGATTGTATTCATGCTGATACAATCTGAAAGTTCTGAAAGATCATAAAGGGCTTATAACAGATGGTGCTGTCCGTTGACCACTTATGCCTTTGTTCCTTAGTTTTCATGGGCGGACTAAAATAAAAAGAATAAAATAGTATGTACCCAGTAGGCATGACGAGCTTCATGGGCCTGTGACTTGTGCGGTCGCGGAGGGTGCCGTGCTTAGTTTAGTGCTCTGCTTAGTTTAATGCTCTGCTGTCCCTGTCTTGAAATTCTTGATTTTGAACACAGGCTCCCTGTTTCTGTTTTTCACCGGGCCCCACAAATGATGTAGCCAGTGTTGTCCAGAAGATTGTTAAGAGGGTGAAATTAGAACTCTCAAAGCACTGAGTGTAGTACTCAGGATATAATAGGATTCAATAATCACTAGGTGACTATAATAATTTTTTGTAAGCAGAAACAACTAAGTATATTAATAGACATTACATTATGAAAACAGCAGTGTGGGATATATAATTAATCTCATTTACAGATAAACTGAGGCCCAAGAAATTAAATAACCTGCTAAAACCACATTGCTTATGAAAGCAGAGCTTGGATTCACACCCAAATTCTTCTCACCCAAAGCACCACTGTTGACCTGACCTATTAAGTGTTAGTTCCCTTCATTCCTTCCCAGGAGAACCTCTCTGTAAAACCTCGTATTTAAGCTTCCTTGATACCCATCAGCACCCCAAGCCTTACTCCCAGCAGAATTTTCAGAGCCCCTCAAAGTGATCCAGAATTCCCACCAGACCTAGAAACTGTTGAGGCTACAGCAAATGGGAAGCACAGTTCTCCTGCTCACCCTCAGTCACCCTGTCTCATCCCATCCTGTCCTGTCCCCAAGCCTGCCCAGAATTACTTGCTCAGAGTTCCATATCTGGGCAAATATGACCAGCCTGGTGACAACTTAGCTTCCTTCCTTTGGTTCCTGAAAAACTTAGCATTGGATGACTACCATCTAACTAATACCTCCAGACCTTCATGAGAATCAGTGAGAGATCCGCCGGCATTGGGTCCTAGCAAAGTAGCTGTAAGAGATGCCTATGACCCATACACTGAGGACCTGACCATCTGCCTGGTGGCAGAGATCCCTTGCTTTCCTACACTGCCAGGCTGTGATTTGCTCTGCCCACTCTTTTCCCTGCCAGAAAAGAAAGAAGATCCATTCCACCATGCTGCTCAGAAGCAGGTAGACAGCTTCATGTGGGGAAGTTCTAGTGCAGGCCTGCTTGCAGCATGTGGCCTCTGAGTAGAGAAGTTAGTACGTGAGCATTGCGTCTCTCGGATTGCTAGATTTGAATTTTGAATGTGACAATGAGACTGTTGTTTCAAAGCAATTCCCTAAGTGGCTGTTTGCTCAAGACTTTTGTAGTGTGAACAGAGATTTGGGGGAGGGGGAGAAGCCATCTGCTCCAGAATAGTCTTCGAATGACACGATCAAATGACTGCAGAGCAAACTGGAGGGAGTCCAACAGAAAGTTCCTGTCTGCTGCATCCAGCCCCAACCAGCACTCAAGCCATTGTGTTTACATGGAAGCTCACACACAGGTTTCAAAGGCAAGGCCGTGATAACCAAGGATGTAAGTGAGATGAGTGTGGAAAAGACCACGTCAGGGAGCTTTCTCACCCCGTATCTCACCAGTATACCATTTGGAAAACTAAAAAGCCATTCTTTAGAGAGAAGCTCAGTCTTTTTTCCTGATCCCTTCAGCTATGCATTTGGTTACAATTAATGTATCAGATCAAATGAAAAAGTTACATTCCTTTGTAAATTCATTTTTATGTGCTCGTCTTCTATTAGTGTTTAAACTCTGAAATCTATTTACTTAAAATATGAGGCAATTTTCTTGTTTTTAAAATATGGCCTGTCTCAATTTGCAAAACATCCTTGATTCTTATTTTGTTTCTCTAAATACGTGTATGTGTGTGTTTTTTCTTTTTCTTTTTGCTATTAGGCATTCATGCAGCCTCACTTGCTGGGAAATGAGTTCACACATTTGGAGTTTCCAAGGAGAGTACAGAGAAAGGAGCTTGGAAAGAAGATGCTCTACAGGGACTTTAATATGACAGGCTGGTAAGAACATGCCTTCCTCTGCCTCGGAACCACACAGTGTGTGTGAAGGAAGCATCACCACCATAAACAGCCAGTTACACAGTTTGGATCAGGAAGCACAGCCAGAGACCAGGGTTTGTGGTAAAAGACAAGGGGGTACACCTGCCTCTGCTATGTTTGCTTAGGACCAAATCACGAGCCTTGGTTTGCCTCTCTGCTTCTTCGAGGCCCTCCTTGGGGATATTGGACCCCAGGAAACTGACCTGATTTCTCACTTCACATGTAGCAAATATTTGAGGGCTTTAAAAACACATGAAGCTTTATGTGTTTAGGTCAGGGTTATTAAAGAGGTAGAATGGCCAAAGGTTTATTGAGCCAGACTGACTTGGGTTTGAATCCTGACTCTGATTCTTCTAAATGAGCAAAGTTGGTTAAATTGCTTAACCTCTAGAGCCCATTTTTCCATGGATAAAGTGATAAAAAGATATATCCTTTGAAGATTCATTATCAAGGCTAAAGTTAATGAGCTATTCTCATTAATATCACATTCAAATTGAAATAAGAACTCTTGTCAGGGGGGTTGTCGTATTCCGAAAACACAACTGTGTAAGCATCAAGAACATTTCTAGGATGGAGCAGTGGCTAATGTTGACTAAGACCTCAGCTATTTCTTTTATCTGACTGATAGATATGATAAGTACTTATACACTATAGGGTTAATGTAAGGATTAAATGAGAGCGCAGTGCCTGGCACTGTGTGGGTGAAGATTTGCTCTTGTGCCCTGGGGTCCTAACGAGCGAGCCTCCTGCCAGTCTGGAGACCATATGAGAATGAGACCATGGACCCTTTCTTCCCCATATCTCCAAAAGAGTCAAAGAAGTAGATTAAGTAGATTTTCTTATCTCTTCCCCATTGACCAAAATAGCAATAGCAGATGGTCACAGCCCAAATTCCCATGGTGATGACTTGGCCAGGGATCTACTGCCAGGGTACATACTGTCTTCAGGGAACAAGTTGAGCTACCCAGAGAAGATAAGAGGCCAAGGGGCTTCTGGTTGTCCTTTGCCAACCAAGAGAAGTTTCTCACCTGTATCCACTCTTCTTCCTCTACAACAAGGTTAGCAAACTATGACCTAAGAGTCAAATTCTGCCTACCCCATCTACTTCCAGAAATAATTTTTAAAAATATAGCTACACCCATTTGTTTGTTTGATCTGTGACTGCCTTCACACTGCAACAGGGCAATTAAGTAGTTGCATCACAGACTGGTTCTCAAGCCTAAGAATTTACCCCTGCTCTAAAATATGAATGGATTTATCAGAAAGGGTTCACCTTTGCAGCTCTGAGTTCTGGAGTTTTGATGCCCCAGGGTCATCATACCAACCCTGACTGGGTTTTCTTGTGAATCCATTTTTATTTAGTTAGCAAAATCAGCACTTGTACAGGAAAAGTTTAATGTGAGAGCTAGTGTAATTCAGCAAAGCATCATGGGGTTTAGTCTGGGAACTGTAGAGTTTGGAAAGATGGAACGTTAGGAACCCACATGGTTGTAAACACATAAAAAGAGTAGATCTAAAAGACAGCAAGGAACATGACCAAATAGAAGAGGAGAGACTATGGGAGACAGATGGGGCTGGTACTGAGGGAACATGATAGGGAAAACGGGATGCCAGACAAGTTTAGATTTACTGGGAGGCTATGGGGTGCTCTTATATATTCCTGAGAAAGAGAAATAAATGAAAGTGATGTTTTTGGAGGGCCATTCTAAGAGAAGTTGGAATGAGATTGACTAGGAGAGAAAGCAGATTCAGGTACTCAGAGAAAAACTATCATAACAACATTTATGTGAGGTCTCGAGGCCTAAATAGAGGGATAGAAGCAGAAAACATGGAACGAAAATGAATAAGAAACTAAATGATTTAGGCCAAGGGATAAAGGTAAGAGGTTAAGTCATTGACAGCACCAGTTGCCTATTTAAATATGTCTCTTTAACAAGTCTGTAGGCTCCTTGAGGGGGACACCAGTGCCTAGTCCTGTGCCTGACACATAGTAAACAGGCAGCAATTATGTATTGGCTGAAAGGAATAAAGGAGGTATAATTGACAGAAGTGGGGAGATCAATGTTGCAGACAGTTGATGTGCACATTTAAAGCAGATTGAGCTTGAGGCAAGGCTGTACCTATGTTCTTTCTATGCCAGAAAGGCAAATTAGATCTAAAGTAGTCAAAACAAATGATAAATATCTGCCTAGGATTTTGTAATAAGGAAAAGTATCTTTGTTGCAGATGCTTAGTATTGATTCAAAGGGGGAGAAGAACAGCTCATTGTTACTAACTTTGAAAAGCACTCCTAATGAGATAATAGGCATCGTCACTTTAATGGGCCAGATGCTTTCAAAGGCTGTAAAGGTTCCACTCAAACCTCTCTTTGTAAGTAGAATGTGTGATGAGGTTAGTTTTTTTATGTTTCTTTCTCCAAACCCTGGAAGCTCTGCTTTTGTGTTTTGTTTGTTTTTGTTTTTTGTTTTTGTTTTTAGTGGCTTGTACATTTTAATATTTAGAAAATGGCTAAAGATTGTCCTGGTTTTATAATTAAAAAAAAAATGTAGCTAAGTTCAGGGACTAGATTATATCCAACTTTATATGCACACAGTTACTTTCTTTCACTCTTGCGTGCACACTTGCTCTTGTTCTCTTTCTCATTTTCCTTCTCTTTCTCTCTCTCTCTCTCTCTCTCTCTGCATTAGCATGGTCCTAAGCAGATAAACAGTCCACAAATGGGCTATTTTTAATTGTATAGAACTTCACAGAAGGTAATGAATAATGAAGGAGCCACAACTGAGAATGGCTTTAGTCAGATGTGATTTGCTGATTTGTTTTCAGCCTAATTCCCCAAACGGCTGTTGGCTCACAACCTTGGCTACAAGCAGATTTATGTGCATCTTTGTGCATTTCCTACCTGTTCCAACTTTTGATTTGAAAATAGGACTTAAGTTGAAGAAAAGCCCTTTACATCTTTGTCAGAAGAACCTAAGAAATTGAAAACCAGTTTAGGCCAAGCACAGTGGCTCATACCTATAATCCCAGCATTTGGGGAGGCATAGGTGGTAGGATCAGTTGAGTCCAGGAATTCGAGGGTGCGGTGAGCCAGAATCATGCCACTGCATTCCAGCCTGGGCAACAGAGCAAGACCTCATCTCTAAATAAATAAATGAATCAGTAAATCAATCATCCATTCAATTTAGACTACTGCCTACGTAAAGCACTCCCCCCAACTTTAATGAATTCCTTTTTAAAATGTTTTTACCCTCTAGCAGAAAGCCTTAGATCTAGCAGTTATTTTTTAGGACTTAAAGATGGGAGGCTGGGCATGGTGGCTGATGCCCATAATCCTAGCACTTTGAGAGGCCGAGATGGGAGGATCACTTAAGCCCAGGAGTTCAAGACCAGCCTGGGCAACATAAGGAGACCCCATCTCTATAACAAATTTTTTTTAAATTAGCCAGGCATGGTGGCATATGCCTATGGTCTCAGCTCCTCAGGAGGCTGAGGTGGAAGGATTGCTTGGGCCTGGGAGGTTGAGACTGCAGCAAGCCATGGTTATGCCACTGCACTCTAGCCTGGAACCCATTCTTCTGAAACCTTCTAACAAGTAAAAAGTCCACCTACTGCAAAGCTGTTTAATCCTTGTAGTAAATGCCTAGTTGTGGAATTTTTTTTCTTCCTCATCTTCCACTAATCATCATGGTAATGGGGCTGACAATTATTGGAAGAGCTAAGGGCCAGACACTATGATGAGAGCTTTACCTAATTCCTCATACCTAACGCTTAAAACAGTCCTGTGAACTAGGTACATTTTACAGATGAGGAAACTGAGGCACAGAGCTAAGTTGCTCAAGGTTACATAACTCGTAAGAGGAGAAAGTGGGATATGAATCCAGGCAGCGTAACTTCAGAGTGTGTGGTGCTTACTAAGGTGCTAAACTGCCAAATGTGGAATGACCCCCCCTTACTCCCATTTTGCAGGTGAGCAAATTGAGGCCTAGAGGTATTAGGTGGTTTGCTCAGCTTCTGACACAGCTTGCACACAGCTGATGCAAATGTGTCAGAATAAGGACTAGAATCCAGGTTTCTGACTTTTTGTTGGGGTTCTTTCTAATACAGTGTGCCAGTCAGCTTTTCTTTAGGATAATTAGACATGATCATTCAGTTTCGAGCTTCGGTGTACATTTAAGCAGGGGCCCTCTGTCCACCAGGACTGGTGTCTTGACGATCCTATAGGGTCAAGAGGATGGAATGAAGCATTTTAGGACTGCTGAGGCCGTCCCTTTTCTAGTCCCCAGTCTGACCCTGTAGACCATTGCTCAAATTAAACTGATGCTTCACACTTCTCACTAAGAGCTTGTGTCATTTGGGGGTGGGGGTTCTGGGGAAGATCCCAAAAGGACCAGTTCTTAGAAAAATTGCCTGCTCTCATTAGAGGAGCACCACGCCGGCACTCAGTGGTGTGTCTGCTGCAGGAGGAAGTGTGGGAGAGGATGTCAGCTCTGGGAAGGCTTGTCTCATAATTAAGGATGAGTCTGTTGCCTCTTAATGGGGATCCTTTTTTTTCCCACCCTCATGCTTTCACGGAGACTGTGGAGCAGCTTGGCAGGCTCAAATTGTTTTGAGGACAAAAGGTTATTGTCACCAGGACCTTCATAATGCAGTTGGCCTCTTCCCTGGCTCCCCCACCTCCCCTTCCCCCTCTCCTCAGATAGTTTGCACAGTGGCTAGATTTACAAAGCCATTCTCTTCGCAGTGCCCCCAGTGCTGAGTTCATTCCTGATGGAGTCTTCCCTTGCTCTCCCTATCACCCCCTTGGCTCTCACCTCCTGCGCATGGTGTCATTGGTCCCGGTGCCAGAATCCCCAAGCTGGGGCCCATCCTCCCCATCCCTTTGTGTTGAGCTGCTGTTGCAGGATGCACACTGTAGCTGGCATTGTGTTGCCTTGAGAGCAGTGTATCCCGACCCGCAGCCCTCTGAGATGTCTCAGGCCATAATTTACTGGCAAGTGTCTATGTTACCGAGTTGAAACAGCAGTTTCTCACAGCTCGCTTTGTGGCACCAAGTCTCTGCTCCTGTGACCACTGGCTATTCCGCTTTCTCAAGTAGGATCAGCGTACTTCGTGCCATGTCCAGCCACCTGGGGTGGCAAGCAAGCCAGGGACCCAGAGGGACATGTGTGTGGGAGGGGGCTGAAACTTCACCCCTGGCGCCAGGCCAGATTCTCCAGCAGCTGTTCCTGGGCTGATGGGATTTGTAGAGAGAGCAAGGGCCAAAGAAGAAAAGTCCATCTTGTGAATGCTAGATTGCTTCCAGATGGTTCTGGTCATGAGCAAAGTATACCAGAATTCTTCCTTTAAGCAAAGCCTTTCTAACGTTATGATGGTCTCATTTCAGGGGCAGGCTGGACTGGTAACTTGAGATCACATGCTTGACTTGGTAAAGAGAGTCCTGTTTTGGCGATAGGCACCTTGTGTACTTTGCTCTGCCAAGCTTCTGGGGCCTTGGGCAGATCCTGGCCTAGGTCTCTCGTAAATACTTCCTCTGACCATTGCTGCGAACCTCTAAGTGTGGTGGCGGCAGGGGGTAGGCTTTGCTCTGCTTTTAGAGCTGCTGGAAAAGACAGATCCCATTAGAAAGATTCCAGAGATGGCAGTGTTTTATTTTGTCCCTTAGAGCCCCTAACTTTTTATAATTCTAACTTGATGATACATCACGATAATTTTCCCTCCTCTGTTTCCCTTAAAACTATGAGCAAATAGGGGATTTTCCACTGGGAGCAGAGTGGAGTTAGCCCATTTTCTCCTTTCAGCACTTTCTACTTTTATTGAGGCAAAGAGAAATTTCCATTCTCTGTGCTCTCGAGCACAGTAGCCACTAGCCACATGTGGCCATTTAAATTAGCTAAATTACATAAAATTAAAAATTTATTTCCCGAGTTGCCCTAGCCACATCTCAGTTGCTCAGTAGCCACATGTGGCTAGTGGCTGCTGAATTGGACCATGCAGATATAGAACGTCTCCATCATCACAGAAAGTTCTACGGCATGGTGCTGTGGTCTACATAGTAGAAGAGCGTGGGTATAGTTGGGAATGGTGTGGTGCAAGGAGCTCTCTGTAACTCAGCATCCCAACAGCAAAGAGTTTTTTGTTTTGGTTTGTTTTTTTTGTTTTTTTTAAAGACAGGGTCTCACTCTGTCACTCAGGCTGGAAGGCGGTCACATGACCATGGCTCACTGCAGCCTCAACCTCCCGGGCTCAAGTGATCTCCCACCTCAGCCTCTTGAGTAGCTGGTACTACAGGTGTGTGACACCACACCCTGCTAATTTTTGTGTATTTTGTAGAGACAGGGTTTTGCCATGTTGCCTAGACTGGTCTCAAACTCCTGGGCTCAAGCAGTCCTCCTGCCTCAGCCTCCCAAAGCGCTGGGATTACAGGGATGAGCCACCAAACCTGGCCCCAAAGAGTTTTTTAAAAGGTGGGATGGGTACTGATAACTGTGGACAGGGAATGGTGTAGCCACACCGGCCTCTGGTGCCTCTGATGCCAGACTCTGAGTCAGCAGAGGGGTGGGCTTCACACCCCTTTCCTGATCCTCAGGGGCATCAGTCATTGTGCTTAGGAACAACTCACTTCATAGCCAGTAGTCACTTTTGGGCCACCAAGAAGCTGCATCCAGCTGGCCAGACTAAAGGGAGACCCATTTCATCAGCCCTAGTCAGTAGCGCACCTCCCCTCCTCAAGCAGCCCAGCAGCCTTCTTTCAGCTCTCTCCCCTATCTCCTGGATGAGGACCAGCTGCTGGCACTCTTGTCCCTCTTGCTTTTCCTTTGATTTCTTGGGGAGTAATTCAGGCCCTGAGAATATGATTTAAAAGCAGCTTGGCTTCCAACCCTTTCCACTGTGTTTGGGGTGACCTTTATTCTCCATCTATAGCCTGGAGTTTGGCTTGGGGTGGAGAAGCACAGCCCCACAGCATCAGGCTTCTCACCAACCATCCAAACGCTTTCTGGAGAGAGAAACTCACTGGAGATAGTTCCACACATGGTCTGGAGCTGCCAGGTTGGGTTTTACAAATATAGATACAGCTTCTATCTTATTCTTTATTGCTCTCTTCAATGCCCTCTGACAGTGCATTCAAGCAGGCTGACAAGGAAGTGGATGAGCAGATTGAGAAACGCCACAGAATGCTTATGAAGCCAACTCCAGAGCTGCGCCCGCATTTAATATAAATTGATTTATTGAATCAAGCACAGAAGCCCTGTTACAGAAACCCCAGGCTTTATCCTCTTGAGGACCACCTAATAAAGCAGCCCCAACTGACACTCCTCATTAGCTTTTCCACGGATCCCAAGGCGGTTTTTAAAGGGACAGTGTCCCTCTTTGGGGCCCAAATTTATGTGTTGGCCATGCCTGTGGGTCTAATTAGCTCAGCGTTATTAGCCTACCTTAGAAAGCCTACATTTTTGAACAGCTTGACTCTTGAGTTTTACAGAGTAATTGAAAAATTCAAACTCAGTACTTTTCCCTCTTTCTGCTTTTAATCACTCTTAACCCAATCTTCGGAAATTTACCTGCAGATGTCTCTGGCATTTTGGGGACACAGAAGGATCTCTCAGTCCCACCCCAGTGTAAATCCTGATGTTGCCGTCATGCCACAGACCTACCTCATGGGGAGGCTTTTTACACTCACCAGAGAAATATCACATTTTAATTTTATAATTACTTCACAAGAAAGCAGGCCTTTCCCTAGTGAAACCTGGTATTCATTTCCTCTCAGCAACTTGTATTTTCATAATTTAATGATTACGGGCCACCTTGGCAGCAGTCTGATTGCTGAAAGCACTCTGAAAATCTGACCTTGTAGAGACAGGGGCAGGGGGGATCATTTCAGAGAATTTTAACCCCAAACCTCAATAGATTATCCAGGATGGAGAATGGCTGGGCCAGGGATTAGGCACCTGAAAAGTCCCTGTGTTCCAAATTCCAACGGGGCTGGAGTCCAACTCAGAATGGGTCAGCCCCACATGGGGAGGGGCCTCTCCCGGGGCTTCCAGAGCTGAGATGATGAATGGTTATTTGCTATGTGCATGTTCTGCATCTTTTCAAGATTTGCAGCTCTAGCTGCAGGAGCAGCAGGGAAGAAAGCGGGCCCTGCTGTGTGCAGCACATCTCCTGACAGTGATGAATGACTCCCTGCTCCCTGCCCTCCTGCGCAGGAGGCCAGTGGAAGCTATGGGGTCTTTACGAATGGTTGCAAGCCAAGACAGACAGGCTTTGTCAGACCACAGGGAGGAGAAAGAAAAGAGATGCCCCACCAGCTCGCTCCCCATTGATCATCACTCACCCTACACACGCATGCACGCATGAATGCACTCACACACGTCTCTCTGCTTCAATGAGTAAAAGTTTATTGTCCTAAAGTGGCTGAACTATTTCCAAGCCTTTCTTCCCCCCTCAGACCCTTCAAACACTCACAGCATTTATATCTATTATCCACATACGCTTAAGCAGAGTCACACGGCGCTTCCCCTGTGACTGGTGTTTGGGGTTGTACAGTATGTATGTGATAAGAACATAGCTGCAAGTCATCTGGGGAAGTTTGGGGATGTCAAGTGCTTATAAAAATCTCTCTTAAAGTAGTGTCCTTTTAACCAAGAAGGCCCTGTAGACACTTACCATCTATTTGACAGGCTTGTATTGTACACCTACTACACAGTAGATGTTGAGTAGCAGTTAAGAGCAAGGATGCTGGAGCCAGACTGCCTAGCTGGGCCAATCCCCACCACAGATCATTTTGCCACTGTCAGCCTTGGTTTCCCCATTTGTAAAATGAAGCTAATAATGGTACTTGAGGCCAGGTGTAGTGGCTCACGCCTGTAATCCCAACACTTTGGGAGGCTGAAGCGGGTGGATCCTTTGAGGCCATGAGTTCAAGACCAGCCTGGGCAACATGGGGAGACCCTGTTTCTATAAAAAATACAAAAATGTTCTGGGTGTGTTGGCACGTGCCTATAGTCCCAGCTACCTGGGAGCCTGAGGTGGGCAGAACACTTGAGCCCAGGAAGTCAAGGCTGCAATGAGCTGTGATGATACCACTGCACTCCAGCCTGGGCAAAAGAACAAGATCCTATCTCAAACAAACAAAACAGTACTTGATAATAGTTGGGATATTATGGGTTAGTAAGGTTGAGTGCATTGAACAAAGCCTGGCATATAATAGCGCGTGATGAGTTTCTAATACTATAATCATTAGCTATTATGGAGAGTGAAAGGGTCAGCAAGAGCTGCTGCTGGCCTCAGGAGGTCTACAGTCTGTTGCTGAAATGCTGCCTCTGCAAGGTAATGAGAAGCTAGAAAACAAAAAGACAAAGGAAGGCAGTTTCGAGAAGAAACTAAAGTCAGATCAGGTCTGCTGGCTGCCTCTGCCTAGCAGGTCTGTCCTGCAGCATGGCAGATGAAGATGGGTTTGACACAGAAAACGTAGAGCTCTTGTCTGTCAGAAGAGACACCATCACTACAGCCAGGAAGCCCGTTGCCAGCCCCTCTGTCCCAGGCACTATTTGATAGGATGTTTTTTGGTTTGGGGACTTTTTTTTTTTTTTTTTTAAAGAGACAGTCTCACTCCACTCTGTTGCCCAGGCTGGAGTGCAGTGGTGTGATCTCAGCCCACTGCAACCTCCGCCTCCCAGATTCAAGCGATTTTGATGCCTCAGCCTCCTGAGTAGCTGGGATTAAAGGCGTGCACCAACATGCTGGGCTAATTTTTGTATTTTTAGTAGAGACAAGGTTTCACCATGTTGGCCTGGCTGGTCTGGAACTCCTGAGCTCAAGTAATCTGCCCACCTCAGCCTCCCAAAGTGCTGGGATTACAGGTGTGAGCCACACTGCACTCAGCTGATGCTGGACCTTTTAATGTACTCCTGTAGTCTTCCAAACCATACCCAAGAAGCTGGGAGGGTCAAGCCCATCTGTGGTTAAAGCATGTCCTTGCGTAGGAAGGATTTCATCATATAGGACTATGTTAGCTTTAAAGAGATTGCCACGTGGCCCAAGACTGGCTTTTTTTTTTGAGACGGAGTTTCACTCTTGTTGCCCAGGCTGGAGTGCAATGAATGGCGTGATCTCGGCTCACTGCAACCTCCGCTTCCTGGGTTCAAGCGATTCTCCTGCCTCGGCCTCCCGAGTAGCTGGGATTACAGGCATGTGCCACCACGCCCAGCTAATTTTGTATTTTTAGTAGAGATGGGGTTTCTCCATGTTGGTCAGGCTGGTTGTGAACTCCCAACCTCAGGTGATCCGCCCGCCTCAGCCTCCCAAAGTGCTAGGATTACAGTCGTGAGCCACCACGCCCGGCCTTTCTGGAAATTTATTGAACAATATCATTTCACCTTTAAACCTATTCTTCAAACTTCCACAGTGGGGGAAGTAGATCTGTTGGGACATATGTATAAATAACTAAAGCAAGACAAAAGATAAGAGTTATACAAAAAGGTTTGAAGAAAATGCCTGTGGCTGTGGTGGAGGGAGTAGTTGTTTTGAGAGGGGAGATTGGGATTGGGGAGGACTTCCTGGAGAAGATTGTTTGAACCAAAGATCTGGATTACGAGAGGGGTTTCAAGAAGTTTGGAGAGAAGGACATTCGGAGCAAAGGGCACTGTGCCAGCAGAAGCCCAGAGGAGTGAAAATGTGATGTGTGTTTTGGGAATTTGGAAGCCAGAGATAATATTCAAAATATTTGGACAATCAAAATGGACAAGTAGGCCCCAGCTGGGCTGCAGCAGGGTCCTAGAAGCCTCCCTGCTGTGCCAGGCATTAACCCTTTATTTACTGTTACCTCTTGGGGATTCTAGGGGAGAGTCCAGAGCAGCAGATGGGGGCATTCATGGAGACTGAGACAGCCATTGTTTGCTGACTAGCATGGAACGTTTCAATGTTTTAGCCCTTCGTGTGCAGTTATATTGGTGTGTATCAGCTAGATAACAGTCCCGGGAGGCTCACATAAGTGACATGTCAGAGGGAGCAAGAGGGTGTAGAGCAGTGGTGGGCAGTGAAGCAAACCATGAAACTAGGTAATTACATTGGAGTCAGCTCATGGGGAACTTTGAATGCCAGGCTAAGGATGCCAATAATGAACAGAATTTTATTTTCCCACCCTTAAGAGCTCCACACCTTAAGGGTGGAATATGACGTATGAAAATTACACACAAGGCAGAAATATAGAGCTGACAATATGTATATCCAGGACATATAGGGGACTACTAGGAGAAGAGGGAGGGGGTGTGAGCTGAAAAACTACCTATTGGGTACTGTGCTGACACTTGGGTGATGGGACCATTTGTACCTCAAACCTTAGCATCACACAATATACCAGTGTAACAAAGCTGCCCATGTACCTCCTGAATCCAAAATAAATAATAAATGAATAAAAATACAATTTTTATCAGTGACTTAGAAGATGATTTAAGAAAAAAGAAAAGGACCTATGGGCTAATTCTCAGCCTATTTTTAGGATCCCATTTCTAAGGAAATTCCAGAGAAGTAGGTACACTACCACTCCTGAAATTTTCCAGGTACTCACAAACCCACCAAGGAAACATTTTCCTGTGTCCAACCAACACTCTTTCAGTTACAATTAGTTCACTCTTACCAGAGCTTGATAAATTTTCTGCTTTTCCCAGCTCTCCAGGTTTCCCAGCAGGAAATTGGCACAGCTGGTTTCGAGCTGATAATCCTATGAAGATGGTCACCTGCGGTGGCCTGGGGGCCTCTTCATCTAAATCAGCTGTGGTGATGGTTTCAAACTCCTTGCTTCTGGGCTTACCCTAGTAATCCACACACAAGAGCTGGAGAGCCACCACTCCAAACCCTGAAAAATCTCATCCTACCACCACCGTCCTCTTACCTTCAGACAAGTAAATCAAGGACTTATTAAGAGAGAGGCTAAAGTTTTGTGTCTGTTCCTTGCTGGAGAGCTGAAAGCAGATCTCTCTGTAAGAGCCAGGAAGGCTGATAACAAAGATGCCAGCGGTGTTTCAGAACTAGTGTGTTGTCAGTTGCCTCTCTCCTTTGTTGTAATCAGATCATAAGGAAAGCTTCAGAAGCCTCATGAGGGGATGGAACACATTCACTTTTTGTTCTTCACCTGGTTGCTCTGGCAAAAGCTGTAGTATTCTGCCATATTCCAGGTTCAGATTCTGCTGAGATGGGATCAGCCTTGTCAGTCTTCCAGGGTAGATCAGATGCTATGTATCACTCTCTGTACCTAAAGGACAAGGCACAGAGCTTCATCTCTGTGGGACAATCAGTTTCAACTACTATTCATTAAGTGAACCAGGTATTAGGTTGGGCATTGAAGATACAAAGCAGAAAAAAACAGTGCCAACCCTCATGGTGTTTACAGTCTAGTGTCAGGACAGGGCCATATATGGATGATTACAGTTTCATACAAAACTAATAGACAAAGGTTTACCTACATTGAAGCTTTGTCATCTGGGGCAATTACTGAAAACATTTCAGGGTCTATTTTATCTGCTGAATTAGAATCTCTATGGATTCTGCATTTTTTAATAAGCACCCCAGGCGATTGCTGTATATCCTTAAACATTGACTTTGGGCAGCCCTAGAGTTTGTTACAATGGATATGAATAACAGTTTGCAGAAGTGGTCGGTTAAAGAGCGCTGGGCAGCCTGGGCTGTCAAAGTATTGTGACTCCTGGGCTGCTGGTGGTCTTTGCCCCTGGTTATCCCCTTGCTATTGCTTGGGAATGTCTTTGTCCACCTGCAGTGAGCCAGTGACTGTTCATAAGGTGCCAGTAGACTGGACTGGCAGTGGCTGATAAGGGATGGTAAAGCCTTCAGGTGCAACGGTGGGTCAGGGTCAAATTAGGCCTCCTCTTTTTCCTTTTTGTGCCCATAACCTGGATAGTCCAGGCTTCACACATAGTATAAATACATGGGATAGGTCAGGAGACCATGCTGCCCAGGGCATTTAACTTAATGGTTTCTGATTCCTGCTCATCTTCAGTAAATGCTACACACCCCATCTCCAAGGCCTGATCCTCTGGGTCACATTGGATCACCCTATAGAAAACTGGGCACCTAGGTATGAAAATTTGGAGTCTGAGTTTATTGCACCTGAGCACTTTGAACGTCAAAGCTCAGGTTAAATCTAATTCTATAGTGATCTTGTACATCTGCAGTATTGTTAAGAGACAACCCTAGTTTTCAACCCTAGGAGTACTGGTATGTTTTAACTTCTATGCGACTGACCATTATAAAAACCTAGAATGTGAAGATGAGCTTAAATTTTTTTTTTACAATTTAATTTTAGGAAGAGAATTAATAATTAAACATTCTTTTGCATCTCATGCCATTTTGTGGCATTTATGCAGATTCCTAGCTCTTCACAGAGGCACAGAGAAGCGTGGTTAAGAGTGTAACTGTTGGGACAGACCTGAAGTGAGCTTGACCCCTATTTCCTCCCAGATATATGACCTCTCTTATGCCTCCATTTTCTTATTTGTGTAATGAGGATAATGTTTCTATCTAGCTTACAGTGTTACAGTGAGGATTATGTAAGTTTTTAAAAATATAAATCCTTAGTGCCTGGAACAAAAAGATTGCATAATAAACATTGGGGTATGTGAAAATCCGTTAACTGCTGGGCGTGAGGTGACAGCAGAAAATTTAACAATGGCTGCCTTTGCTCTCCATCCTCTGAAACAACAGGGCCACCTGGATGCAGGAGCTAAGAGTGTGGTATTCCTCCCTTTGGTAAATATCGACAGCTGTTACTCAGGCCTGCGCTTCTTGCCTTGGCGGCCTGAATAATATGGGGGTTAGTAGAAGATTTCAGAAGAGTATGGGAAGCTACAAGATAAGCCTCTATTTCACCTGAAAATTTTGGGAGTGAGGTAGAAGGACTTCATTTGTAGGCTTGTGCAAAACTCTCATGGTTTTTAAAGATAAAACAGAAGACTCAAAGCACTGATACTTGAGATCTGCACCGTGTAATGTTATCAGTTCAAAGGCACTTGGGTGGAAAGCCTTGAAATGATGTAGCATAGGTTAAAGTCCCTGCATGTGGCTTCTCCCAGGGGACACTGCAGGACTCTGCTCCATGATATGAATATCCATCTGAGCAGAGTGGGAGAAGCTTCGTGAGGGAAAGCCGCAAGGGCCGACACAGAGGAACTGCCTGTGCAGCAGAAACCCTCTTTGTAATTAATAATCTGTTTGCTATTTTCACCCCACCATTTGTAGCTATGGGGTCCATTTTGTTCATATCCTGATTTGTATATATTGACTTGATCTCATACAGTATAAAGGGAATGTCAATGAAATTCATGTTTATTTCAGAATAAATGGTCTCTGAGAAAGCTGAAATCACTTCACATTTGTGTGCTCATGAAGTAAGGGTCTCTGATTCATATCGGTGGAGAGAGCTAAATGTTATTGATTAGAATATGAAGCTGTTACGGCCAAGTGTGAATGCACACCAAGTGGATACTGAATCAGAAATAATTTCCAAATCTGGAATTTCCTTAAGAGTCATTCATAATGTTTTATCCTGAAATATTATTAGTTCTGTTTTATACATACACATGATTACTTTTTTTAAAAATACTGATTTTTTTCCAAGTGCATCCTTTTCTGCTGCTGAACTCAGCCTACGAATCAAAAGGTGACTTTCACTTTGTTTACTTTATTCTACTCCGTATACCCAGCACCTGTGCCAGTGCCCGGCACCTACTAGGTGCTCAGTAAATACTTGCAAATGAATCCAATAGAACCCATTGTTTTTATCTGGTCAAAGCCTGAGCTCCTAATTTGGAAGCTACTTAGAGCAGGTTCTGTTCTTCTACCAAACTTTGAGCTGTGGGTAGGGACCCATTCACAGGATTGTGAAATCAGTTTAGTATATGGAGAGCAGCATTTTAAACAAATTGAATAGCACAGGATAGAAAGAAAATATCGGTGTATATCACATAGTTAGGGTAAATATTGTTTTTTGCCGTGTGTTTGTGCATATGTTGGGTTAACAGGATTGATATATTTCTTACCACCGGTGAAACCTCTGCTGTAACCCAGTAGAGTCTCCCAAAGAACATTGACCAGCAAAATGAGAGCAATCTCTGTTGCCTCTTGCTATTTTCCATAGGCCTGGTGAGAAGAAGAATCTTTAGGCCAAAAGAGAGAAATGTTTACTACTCTCAGAACTCCAGGCAGGGTCTGGCTCAGGCGTGCTGATAGGGAGAAGTGGGGAGGTAGGCATTTTCCTAGGGACTGTTGGTTAAACCTACCAATCAGGTGATTTCCTCCAGGGCAGCTGCATTGTCGGGGACCAGAGCTTGGGCCCCATTATGGAGAGTTTTCATGGAGGAAAAAAAGCCAGCAGCCTTTCTTGTGGCTAAGGAGATGAGCAGGTGGTAGCCAGGTATGCACAAGCTAGGCTGCTACCAGCCCTCTTCTGTTTATCACCAAATATTAATCACACTCACAATTCAAAGGTACTATTTGTGCCTGAATCTAACTTGCACTATATTAGCAGAAGTCTATCAGGTTGTTCACAGCTTAAGGCCTATAGGCTTCAACTAATTTAAAGAACACTCCAAGGACCAAAGAAAGAAAACAAGGTAGCATTTGTTTGGAGAGCTTCCATCCCACAGGGTAACTTTCCCAGGGATCATATCATTCAGATACCTACTGAAAATATCTTCCAACACATAAATTCAGGAACCCAATGAGCCAAAATATGACCCCCAAAACTAGATTTATACATACTTAAAGCCTGCTATACAATGATGAGCCTGGGGCGAGATGTTGGGTCCATCTCCAAACATTCTAAGCCCCAAAACTCCCAGCTGGATAGAGGGTGTTTCGCAGCCTCTTCAGACTCACCCTGGGGACTGATCCTTGCTCCACAACCCTGACTTGAGCCTGCTGTTGTTAAGCATGCCTCAGATTCACTCTCCTTCACAGTGCAGCTCTGTCTTTCCAGCAGACAGTTTCCATCCAAAGGCAAAGTGAATCTTAGAAACCGGGAAAAAAAGACTCTAAAAGATGACATTTAAAATATAATAGTAAGATCTAACCAAACATCAGACTCTTCTTGTGTTGCCTTAAAGGACACACACACACACACACACACACACACACACACACACACGCTTTCTCTCTCTTTCATGTAGTGAGGGGGGAAGAGCTGGCTGCCTGCTGTAAGGCCGCTTGAAGGTTCAGAAAGCAGCCTCCATTTACTGAGCACTGTGGTTAGACTTGGGGCCTGATTCCTTTGGAAATACAGATGGCTGGCAGAAAAAAAGGAAGCACGAGGTGGTTGCCAATCCTGCATTGCTTTTTGCAGGAAGGTCTCAGGAGAGTGGGTGTGGGGAGAGGGGAGTCAAGGGAGAGCCTCTGTGGATTCCAGAATTGCTTAACTGGGGTCATGCCAAGCTCTTAAAAGCCACAAGTAGCATTTGGGCTCCAGGCTTATGTCTGTTCCTGTCCAGCCAGGCCTGGGTGGTGTTTCATCCCAGGCCTCCTGAGATTTAAGCTACTGCTGAGATTTTGTTATAGAAAGGCAAGAAGGGGGACCGAAGATGTTTCTGTGCTCCGGCCTCCTCCCAAACCCAACCAGCCCCTGTGGAATGTGCCTCTGCCGGGCTAGGACTTGGTTTCTAATGAGAAGAAAACAAGGCTGCCTGTGGCTTTCTCCTCCCTCCTGGAGGGGCACTGAGCTCCCAGCTAAGGAAAAAAAAAAAAAAAAAGGGCTCCTTTTATGACTATTTCAATCTAACCCAGCTATACCTTCTTTAGATTATTATCTCTGAGGCATCCTTCTGAGTATCTGAGTCCTCATTTTAGAGGAGAACAATGGACTGTTCTGGATAAAGTTGCACGGGTATGCTCCTTCATGCTTACAGTAGAAAAAGTATGAATTAGGTGGCTTGATTGCTCAGCAGGAAGTGGTTTTTCCTACGGGGATGTGCTGTGTCTTCCTGCTTACGGTTGCCTGTTAGCTCTACATCTGCATGGAAGAAAGAATGAGGCTCCGAAGACCTTAATAGCCACAACTGATGGCCAAATAGCACCTTATCCTTCACAAAGGATGTTCCCAGACATGTTTGCCCTTAATCCTTGCAACCATCCTATGAAGTGTCCAGTTGAAGAGGCAGATTCAGTGAGGTCTGAGGGATTTTCCCAGGTTCATACAGCCAGTTCACATGACGATTGAGATGTGACTTCAGAACCTCTGACCCCAAGCCTGGTGTGCTTTAATACCACAGTGGGCTCTGCCAGGAGGGAAGAGAGACTCCAGGAAGGAAGATCCCCAGGGGAGAAGAGGCAGCCAAGGCAATGTCTAGAGATTAGTGGAAGAATGTGACTCACTGGTGTGTGTCATTGGAGCTGCACAAGTGAATTGTTGAGATTATGCTGTCCCCGAAGGGAGCATAATAGGGTCCCCTGTTATACCCCCCGGAGGGGATCACGTTCCTCTCGTTCCTCTTAAATGACTTTGAAGTCTTGCTAAGGGAATTAAGACTTAGGGAAACAAGTGGTATTTCTCTCTCTCTCTCTCTCTCTCTCTCTCTCTCTCTCTGTAGCTCAAGGTCATGACTTAGAAGAGAAGGGAGATCGTGGGAAGTGATTTATGTTGATGATGCCAAAGTGTGAACTCTAGGTTCCTGGCCCATGGGTTAAGCAATCAGAGTAGGGGCTCTTCCTGGAAATGGAGGAATCCAGCAAAGACTAGGAAGAACTTTAAAGGAGGAACTTGCCTTTAAACCAAGTTAGAAAATTGTCTTGGTAACACCATATACACTGGTGAATAGCTGTGGCAAAAAAACTGCCATTCTGACGTGGTACTAAGGAACTGAGAAAGGAATAGACGAGAGAATCATAAATGTTATTTTTTATGATTTTATAACTATTTGTATATATACTAATAATAAAGGGGAACTTGAAATTTTAATATAAGTAGGTAAACATATGTCAGAGGTATCACCAATGGGAACCCAGCCATGAATATTAGCCATAGAAAAGCTAGCTATTAAGGCAGAGTGAATGGGGGATATCTTTAGAGGGAAACTGACATGCTAAGGGAGAGATACCAGCCTTTGTTCATTCATTCATCCATTTAGCTTGTGTCTACTTTATGTCTACCATGTGCTTGCACAATTGTAGATACAAAGATAGACAGGTAAATAGGAAGAAAGTCTGTGCCTTTATGGAGTTAATGTGCAGGATGTTGGGACAGAAGGTAAACAAATTAATAAGAGCATTTCAGATTGTGCTTGAAGCACTGAAGCAGGATGAGCAGGAGCAGAGAACGCCAGACTTGTAGATGAGTGGTCAGGGGAGGCCTTTCCAAGTGATGTCCAGGAGCCAGCATGGCAGGATCAAAGGGAAGAATGGCCCAGACAGAAGGAATGACCAGGCCCCCTGGTGTGTCAAAAAAAAAAAACAAACAAACAAGAAAGCCATTGTTACAAGGCGTAGCAGAGTGATCGACGATGTCAGAGTGCAAAGGCCAGATCATGGAGGGCCTCATCATTGGATTGTATTTTAAGATGACGGGAATTCAGTGGAGAACTTTAAGGTGGAGAGTGATGCTTGTGGATTAAAAGAGAAATGTGGGAGATTTGCTAGCAGGCCTCCCAGCTATGAGGACAGTGTGAGCAAAGCTTTACTGAAGGGATGTATAAAATTGCCACAAAGACAAAGTATGTTTATGGTGGAGAAGTCCTATAACTGCTGCTCATTAGGGTAAAAGGGCTTCGGTGTGGCTGCATGGGCATCTCAAATTCAGATGTTCATAGAGAATGTCTGAGCCTGTAAGGACAGCACCTAGCCCACTAGGGCAAAGGTGGGAAAGGGGTGCTTGTGAGTGAGCATCAGCCGGAACAGCATAGTCAGACATAGAAAGCAGCCGAACAAGGAGACTCTTTGCTTTTGTTTTGCAAATATATTATGGAACAAGAAAATACGAATAAAGCCTCTGCATAGGGAAGGTAGTATTAATTTGCTTGCTTAACCAAATATTTATTGGGTACCCATTATATGTTGAGCACTCTTGTAGGTATAGGAGATGCCATAGGTAGCAAAACAAAAATCTATCCCCATAGAACTTAAAGGGCATGAAGAAGCAGTAGAAAAAATAACCATAGTAAGGAAGTAAAATTCTTTAACTGTTAGGTGGTGGTGGATGCTATGGAAAAAAAATAAAGCAGGAAAGGGGACTAGGAAATTTGGGGGACAGGAACAATGTTAAAGAAGACCATCTGGTTACTTGGCTTTTATTTAGATCGCAATAGAAAACCTTTGATGGGTTTCAGTAGGGTAATGACATGACCTGACATTCTAAAATAATTACTCCAGTTGCTCTGAGAACAGGAGTAAGGGAAAATCAGAACAGTTTTCAACACTCTCACTGCCATCCACCTGGTGACATCATCCTAGCACCATCGCCTCTTGCCTAGATCATTGCACAGAGGCCTGATGGATCCGTCCCAATAATGTAGGCAAGAAACTATGGTGCTAGGGCTCTGACAGCAGGGAAGGTGTTGAAATCTGAGGATTCTGGATTTGTTTGAAAGGTAGAGATGACAGTATTTGACATAATGTTAATAGACAAAATACTCAATCCTTGTTGTGTTACTGGAAAATTGAGAAGGTGACAAGTTCTAGCAAAGAAAAGTATCAAAAAGCTTTGCCACAGGTGGAGACAGGATCAGGAACATGTTTAGCCATAAGGTAGGAAGAATAGCAGGACCAAGGAGAGAAACTGGCCTGAGAGCTTCAACAAGGGAGTGAGAGAGGAAAAATGATTCAGAATTGGAATCTCAGAGGTGGGGGGTGTTCTTGCTGCAGGCCACATGACCAGGGTGATGATGGGGAACAGAGAAGAAGGTCAGCAGGAAGTGAGCTAGGAGTTTTAAAGCGAGGAATCCAAAAGCACCACCAAATTCTAAGAAAATGCTGAGAATGACATCCTGGGAAAGAGTGAAAAAGCAATCTGAACCTAGGCTGAAGTCATCGGGGCAGGTGGGAGAATGTCCTGAAAGGCTGGTGGGTAAGGGAGGGGGATATGAGGCAGATGGAGGGACTGACAGAAGGGCAGTGAGAGAGCCTCAGCCTAGAAGGATGGGGTTGATGTAGGAACTATAAGCATCACTCATGTGCCTTAGGAGCAAGAGGGATTTGAAGGAATGTCGTCCACTGGAGGTGGTATGATCAGGAGAGCCAGCTTAGGTTCAATAAGGCAGGCTCAATTAGTAATCTGTTCTTGTTGGGTAAGGTTCCTAGATTGGGTGAATACTGTATGCATAGATATATTCTGAGTTTGTAAGAAATCGGATTGTTTCTTCTCTCAGCCTTTTGGACAAGATGGAGAAATACTGAGTGGATAATGGTTCAGTTAAGTTGCTTCATAGATAGCCCAAGAGCTATTCCAGGAGAGTTGAAATCCATGAGGACAGTGTCCATCTGGATCAGTGTTGACAGCCTTTTTAAATCCTAAACACCTCCTCTTTAAACATTAATATCTCATTGTCCACCCTCTACTGTTGAGTCTGTCTTCTGTGCTTCTCCACCAGACAAGATTCTGCCGAGCTTTATACCATCTGTTTTTTGTATTGAAAAGGAAATTGCCCGGTGTAGTGGCTTACGCCTGTAATCCCAGCTCTTTGGGAGGCCAAGGCAGGCGTATGACCTGAGGTCAGGAGTTTAATACCAGCCTGGCTAACATGGTGAAATCCCGTTTCTACTAAAAATACAAAAAATTAGCTGGGGGTAGTGGCGCACGCCTGTAATCCCAGCTACTCGGGATGCTGAGGCAGGAGAATCACTTGAACCCAGGAGGTAGAGGTTGCAGTGAGCCAAGATCGCACCATTGCACCTAAGCTTGGGCGACAAGAGTGAAACTCCATCTCAAAAAAATAAATAAATAAAAATAAAAAATAAAAAGGAAATTGATAGGTTCTTCATTTTCATGAAAAAGGATACTGCTGAATTTGATGTTTTTGAATTGCTTTCCTTCACATGCCTGAAATGTTGCCACCCCCCTTGTGTGGTTAGCTTGGCCAGTAGGAAGGTCTCTAATGATTCCACTTAGCAATTTTTTCAGTGATGTGGATGAAGATGGCAGGGCTGCTTATCAAATTTAACATGATATAGCATAGACAGCTGATATTTTGGATGGAAGGATCTGAGTTCAGGAAGTTGTCAGTGAGTTGGAACAATGGACTAAAACTAACAAGATAAAATTAATAAGGGCAATGGAGTCCTCCCTTCAGGGTAAAATATCTATTGTGTGTGTCATTATAAACTAGAGGAGACCATGAGCCAAAAAAAACATTCTCAGGTCTTTTTTCTTGTGGACTAGGGTTTTTCATTTGTTTTCATTCAGAGTCTCCATATGTAACCCTAAAAAAAAATACACATAATGGAAATAGCTTTGTTAATTTTTAAAAAATGCAAGGCCCAAATCAAAAGAAGTAATAATTTTTTTTCTTATTTGGACCACATCTTAAGTGTTTTCAGTTCCGGGTACCATTTTTTGAGGACACTGGCCAACCAGAAAGACCCTAGAGGGCCACCACCACAGTATTCAGTGCTCAGTTACTGTTTGTTGGATGCATGGGGACTAGAGTGGTTAGGATCCTCCAGGTCCTGTGAAGAACAGTTGAAAGAACTAAGGAAAAGGAAACTTTGAGATAGTTCTCTTTAAACAATTGAAGAGCTCTCAAGCAGAAAATAGTCTGGATTTATTTCATGTTTTTCCAGATGGGCCAGCGGGTTTGGGTCAGTTTAAGAAAGAATTTCCCAGAGCTGTTCTCCAATGGAATGGGCTGACATTAAGTACCGTTAAACTCCTAGGACAGTGACTTTCTGTGGCAGTCCATTCAGGAGAGGCCAGGAACCAAGGTTAGGTGTATTGTAGAAGGGATTCCTACACTTGGGGTACAGCTGTCTTGGTGGCATTTCAGTCTTATTGCTGAACTGCTCCTTCCAGGAAGTCCAAACCAACAGTGGCTTTTTTTTTTACAGCTTTGCACAATCAACATTACAAAGGAAACTATTACTTTAAAAAAGTATTTAATGGAAACTTCTGAGAATAATGCCTCTCAGTTTGGGAAAGCCAAGAATTTAGCAACCCTTTTAAGCCTTGCATTTTTTTTCTCATCTAAAAAAATGATTCAGTTGGCCTCATAAATACTCATTAAGGAATTGGCCCAAAATATTAATAAGAGTTTGTCTAGAAAATCTTTCCTAAGCCTTTCAGTTTTGCTATCTCGTAACAAATAATATAATCTCTGGTCAGTCATATTATTGTAAAACTAGCGAGTGATTTGTTTGGGGCGCTAGTTCTTAAAAATTTAATTAGGATTTCAAAAATCTTAGGATGTGGTGTAGAAGAATTGGTTCTATGACTAGACACTCTCTATTCATCTCAAATCCAAAGTACCTTCATGTCTTGGAGCTCTCAAGCTTCACTCTCCTATCTTCCCCCAAATGAGAAAGAAGGAAGCCAAGGACAAGCTGGAAGCATAAATTCAAGCCTATAGCCTTGACATGGACTATAATATAAAACAGACAGGCCTTCCAAGTGGGCCAGAACTTAGATGGCCTCCTTAAACTGAGAGCAGTTTGAGGAAAGTCTGTTCTCTGTGGGAGGGGGCTTGGTTGACTCTGTGGTCACTCATTGCTGGCGAGATGGCCAGAAAAGCAGCTGCAGGTCTAAGAACATGGATCAATCCCAGCATTTTGGGAGGCCGAGGTGGGCAGATCACCTGAGGTCAGGAGTTCAGGACCAGCCTGGTCAACATGGTGAAACCGTATCTCTACAAAAATTAGCTGGGCACGGTGGCACTCACCTGTAATCCCAGCTACTTGGGAGGCTAAGGCAGGAGAATCGCTTGGACCTGGGAGGCAGAAGTTGCAGTGAGCCGAGATCGCACCATTGTACTCCAGCCTGGTCAACAGAGCGAGACTCTGTCTCAAAAAAAAAAAGAACACAGACCATCACTTCTGCTGACTTTCCTCTCTTCTTCTCTGTAGACCCAGTACCGTAGTAGCCACTAGTTTTGTACAAACATGACCCCTTTTGTTCTTTTGCCACTCACACAGAAAATTCCCCTTCCTCTTTTGCCAAAAGTCTTCTTTTCTTCATCAGATATCAGCTGGTCACCCGAAGAGAGTGGACAATAATGGTCTCATTTCAGACTCGGACTAGAATGAGAAATTCCCAAAGCTAAGTCCTGATATCACATTTCTTTGTCATGTTTTCCGGAAAAGTCCAAGTCCGGTTTTAAGGCCACTCCACCTTTTTGGTCTGGGAGGAGTAACTTAACCTCTCTGGGCTCAGTTCTCTCCTCTGTAAGACAGGACATTATAAGGCCATTGAGAGATTTTAGATACTATAAGTCAGCACAGAGCCTGGTGTCTGGCATGTAGAAGATGCTCAGTAAATCATAGCTGCTGTGATTACTATTAGCTATTATTAATTTATACAGACTCTAATCAAGTTGCCAGTTTTAACTCTTGAGTACTATATTTTATACTTTATTACTCAAGGCTTTGTAACTATGGATGGAAGTCCACTTAACTTTATATGATGATCTGTGCTTAGGATTCAGAAAGATGGAGGGGGAGAAGGTGTTGTACTTTTCCTCCTCATTGGTGCTATTCCCCCTTGTCGTTAGTTGCTGGGGGAGAGGGAGTGCTCATAGTTGATTGAAAACCAACACTGGCGGGGCAGAATAAACCTTCCTTTTCCACCATTGTTTCTATTTCTAATGTTTTGTTGTTCCTGAAGATAAGCAGAAGCTAACATATAATATTAAAATTTGCATTTGGTTTGGTCCTGTGGGTAACAACTCTAAGTGTGTGTCTTTCAGAGTTGTGGGACATGGACTTCGTGCTCCTGCAACACTCTGCCATGTGAGAATTCAATGACCCGGCTTGTGATAGAGCAGTTTTCTTACTACTTCTCTAAGCCTGTTAAGAGTGCTCTTCGCCTGTCTCTATTAAGCTCTAGGTAATACCCAGTCATTGGTTCTAGAGCTGCAGCCTTCTGCCTCTATTTAATTCTAGCCTTCTAGCTCTATTTAATTCCTGTGAATGTCTAGTCATAGACCCAACTCTTCTACACCAGATCCAGGCTCCTCCTGTGCCTGGATCTCAAGGCCCAGCCCCTTTCTACATCTGGTCTCCACTGCTGCATCCTCTCTGTGCGGGCCTGTCTCCTCACTCTCCACATGGGGTCTTCAATCCCTGTTCACGCTCATCTCAGGGCCTTTCTCAGGCCATTTTCCTCCTCTCCCTTGAGCCATGTAGTCTGTTGTCTTAAGGGTCAAGCTGATAAGGGGCTAATTGCTGAATCATTTTGAATGGTAGTTAATTGATGCTTGATGTATAGTAGTGGATCTCAACCTTGGCTGCACATTGGAATCACCTGGAAAGCTTTAAAAAACCCAAATTCTTCTAATAATAGCTTTATTTGTTCCCCCCCCAAACTCATATACCACAGTGTTTAAAATAGCTCATGTGAGTATGTAAAAACATCAAAGTGGTTATTTCCACTTTGTGTTAGTTTGGTAGATTTGGGGGAAGGAAACAGTATATTTCCTTTTTTGAAAATTCAATTCCTAGAATACCTCTCAGCTCACTCAACAGCAGCAGCATTTGTTTTGCCAGGCACAGTGCTAAGTACCTCCTAAGCTCTCCACATTCATTTCCCTATTTTAATCTTTGCAATAATCTCACGAATGAGCCCCAGATTTTGCCCTAATTGATTAATGAGGATCCTGAGGGACTGAGAGCACATCTACTTGTGCAGGGCTATACCAAAGGCATTGCTGAACTCCAGCTCAGGCACATCTGGTGCCAAAACCTCACTGATTCTCCACCCCATGGGAAGGACACCTTACCATGTAACTTTCTGAGGATGGACCTGCTTTAACTTTGGGGTTGCATGCTTTTTAAATTTAGTTACATTCTTTTGTACCTCAAGAGCTTCCATAAATTTGATTTCAGACTCACTCCCAAGCAGCCTAGATATGTCCAGGAATGGCAGGCCATTTAATAAATTAGGATTTTTAATGCACTCAGGAGATGTTGTTGTAGAAAAGCATCTACTTATAGCACCTAATTCAGCAGAACCTACCCTATCTTTTACTTAGTCTTTTAAATAACTTTGAAGTTATGAGCAGTGTTATCCCCATTTTGCAGAAAGGGGAACCGGTATGCCACGTAAGTGTTAATTATCTACTAAGTATTAGTAATAACTGCCACTAAGTGGGCTCTTACTAAGTGCAGGCTCTGTACTGAGCTCTTTGTATCCTGTGTATTAGCCTCATTGTACAGATGAGGAAACTGAGACTGAAAAAGGTGAAGCTACATGCTCAAGGTGATAAACAGCTGTAACTGGGCTAACAGTTGTTTGTTCGCTTGTTTGTTTTTTAACTTGGTTATAAGCAAAATTGCAAGACATGGTCTTCATCAGCTCTGTCCCTTTCATCTTACCCGCCTCCGCTGTGCAGGCTGTGGCACTGGAGAACCCTATCTGGAATAAACCATTGAGGCATAAACTGAAGGTTCTTTCTGTGTATTGAGTGGCTATTTAAAAGCTATTGTGAAACAAAGAATGTTTTACCAACCTTGCATATTATATAGAGGACAAACAGGCTCGAAAGATTTCTTCCCTAGCCATCCCAATACAAGGCTGTTTTGGTATAAACAACCCCTGAAGGTGAGAACTGGCTCTCGAAGCAGTTTCACACTCCATTCATCTCTGAGCTCTGCTGTTTCTCACAGTTTTGGATTCGTGATGAGAATACTGTTGCTGGGTCACTTCATTATTACACAGACCCTAAGGCCAGAAACCCATCTCCCCTTTTTGCTAATTATGCATATGCCAACTTATTTCCTCCCTCTTCAAGCATATAAAGACAGTATTTTCTGGTTTGGTAAAAGACACACACACACAATTCTGTAGGGAGAACAACTCCCTATAAAGGAAGAGGTAGTCAGTGTGGTGAGTGGATGGGGTCTCAGGGAAAATGAAATCCCTAGCAGTCGGTGTCAGGGCAGCAGGTCACTAATTGAGTGCAAACCTTTTTTAAAATGTTGTTTATCCCCTACAGGGCATACAAAACCATTGAGGATGAGGACTTGAAGTTCCCCCTTATATATGGAGAAGGCAAGAAGGTAGGCACGTGTGCTTCCCCTGGGTAGAGAGGACAGGGCTCTGTCCCGCCTTCGCTCCACATAGCCCGTGGCAGTCCGTGTGTTCCACTCAGCAGCTTGTGATTTTATAGCCTTGACAGCTTGAAAGCATATCCCATCCATCATCCTTCAGGCCTCCTGTCTTCAGGGTCCAAGGAGTAGTGGGGGTGGGAGGTGGGCGGTGAGCACAAGGGACTCAAGCCAATTTTGTGAAAATAAAGTCCCCCTTCCCAATCCATTTGAATAACTTTTTACAGTGTTTAAACATGAACCACTTTCACACACATCATCTCATTTATATCTGACAACGAGCAAGGAGGCAGGTCAAGCTGGCTGTGTTATATCCATCTGGCAGACGAGGCAGCTGGGACTGTGAGGTTAAAACAGCTCAGGCAGATCACGCAGCCAAGCGAGGGGCAGCTGCGGATGTGGTGCCTTGGCTTTCTGTCTGCTTCGCGCGTCTCAGACTCCACCATGGAAGTCCAGACTTTGCAAGTCTGTTTGCCACTTGCCCCATGGAAGAGAGTCCAAAGCGTCACTGTAATTAGACTATAAGGTCACAGCAACCAGAGTCCAGACTAAGATAACAAAGACCATCATCAGCTCCCAGGGTTCCAGTCAGAATCCAGCACTGAACAGCACGTTGTCGAACCAAAGAAAAGCTGTGGATCCTAAAGTGGTCTCTGAGCAGAGGCCTGGAGGAGGTTGAAATCCTGGAGTGGAGAGCAAGAAGCTTGGAATCTATTTCCTAGTAAGAACAAACACCTTCTGAATCATTGCATTCTTCCTCGGAACACTAATACATTTCAACTCGGTGTGAAGCATTCCAAGTGAAAAATGTGGTCACATTGAGAAGAGTCTTCAACTGATAATTTTTCCAGCATTCGATACGATAGTTTTTATCAAGAAGAAATGACTCAGAAGAAAACCAAAGGATGCCTTCCATGGGCAGAGTGTGTGTGTGTGTGTGTGTGTGTGTGTGTGTCAGAGCAAAAGCAAGAGAACAAACATGGTTAGGTTTTGGGCTCCGTGTAGACCAGCAGTGATTTCAATGCAAAAAGACATCTCAACAGAAGGAGGAATACCAAACACAAATATCTGATCCATGTAGGAATCATTTTTTAAACGAACATACCCCATTCATGAAAATGAACACCTTTCAGATCACAGTCTCTGGTTAAGAATCGTGTCAGGGCTAATAGGCACTGTTCTGATATAAATATTTGTGCCTTTTGGTACAATGGGCACCATTAATGAGTATCATTCAGCCCAATGACCTATGCCTGCAGCTCCATTTCTTTGTGGGGCTGAGATTCTCTGTATTACCCTTTAATATCCAGTGAGTTCCAGTAAACTCAGGAACACATTCTGTTACCCCTGTATCTCTAGTTCCTGTCTAGCCTGGTACCTGACATAAATGCATAAGTATTAAATAAGCTGTTCAGTTATGTTCAGTATACTTTCCTTAGTACAATAGGAAAATGGAATGATGTATTCTTGGAAGTTTATAGCAGTAAGATTTGAAGGAGCAAGAGTTTTCTAATTTTAGTATAAAGTTCAATTCACCAAAACATCATGTTCCTCAAGCATTTCAGGTAATTTAAGCTTGATGGTCTTGCGATGGGCAGGTGGCAAGTTCTGTCCGTGTACCTGTTGGCCTATTTAAAAGCCACCATGTCTCCATTTTGCTTTTGTTGGTAGATACCACCCCTTTCTGAGGACTCCATGAGTTCTTGGAGCTCCTTCTAGATCCTGGACTGGGATTTTCTCTTTCTTCTCCGCGTACCCCTACGCAGAAATTTCAGAGTACTTCTGTGGCCATTACTTCTCATTTTCTTTCTTCAGATGCTTTTAAAGACTGGTGTGGGTAACACCTGGATACTTCGTAAACAAGGTCAGTCACTAGCAGAAACATCAGATTTCTTTGGCTGGAAAGAGCACACAGAGAAGCCGCCATTTCAGGGAGGAGAGCAGGAGAGCCACAAGGGACTCAGAATTTTTCACATTTAGAGTTGAGCACTTCTTGGCTAGAAGGGAGCCAGTCCAGCCTCCCAGCAGGGCAGAGGGCCCCAGGCTTTGCTTTGCATCACTTTTTTTTTTTTTTTTTGAGACATGGCATCAGGCTGGAGTACGGTGGCACAATCTCGGCTCACTTCAGGCTCGACATCCCAGGATCAGGTGATCCTCCCACTTCAGCCTCCTGAGTAGCTGGGACTACAGGCGCATGCCACCACACTGGCTAATTTTTGTATTTTTTGTAGTCAGGAGGTTTTACCACATTGCCCTGGCTAGTCTCAAACTCCTGGGCTCAAGTGATCCTCCTGCCTTGGCCTCCCAAAGTGCTGGGATTACACATGTGAGCTACTGTGTCTGGCTGTGTCTCGTGTCTTTATCCCCTCTGACCCTTGCCCTCAAAAAGGTGTCATGGTTTCATTTCTGCTTAATGTGAACTCTGCCTACCTTCCGAACCAAGGCTGGCTTCAAAATTCACAGCCCTGTTGACAGTCTAGGATGAAGATGAAGACAATATATTAAATTGCAGTGTTTCTTAGCATTTATTTACTTCATCCCCACTCATAGGAGGTAATTACTCTTATCACCCAGGTAATAGAGTGAGGATTCAAGCTCAGGTCTTTGAACCATTTCACTACACCGGATATATTTTTTATGATTAAGGGTTAGGACACTGCTTTCTTCCACCCAGGATGACTTTCACTCCATCCCTCTGTGTCGCCTGTCTTGATGCAATCCACCTTTCTGTGCTAAGTGCCACCTCCTCCGTGGAGCCTTCTCAGTAGAATTTTTACCTCCTCTAAACTTGCATAACCCATTGTCTATGTGTTTTTCAGTACTTAACCATATTTTATGTGTTATTAATTACACATCTCCCTCTTATCTCCCTTACCAAGTTTCTTTTTGGTTTTTTTATTTGTTTGTTTGTTGGTTTGAGACTGAGTCTCACTGTGTCACCCAGGCTAGACTGCAGTGGCATGATCTCAATTCACTGCAACCTCCACCTTCCAGGTTCAAGTGATTCTCATGCCTCAGCCTCCAAGCAGCTGGGATTACAGGTGCCCACCACCATGCCTAGCTAAATTTTGTATTTTTCGTAGAGATGGGGTTTCACCATGTCAGCCAGGCTGGTCTCAAACTCCTGACCTCAAGTGATCCACCTGCCTCAGCCTCCCAAAGTGCTGGGATTACAGGCAAGAGCCACCGCACGTGGCCCCAAGTTTCTTTGTAGTAGGGACGAGGCCTTAGACATTTGTGTCCCCAACATATGATGTAAGTACATAGTAGGCACCCAATAAATGTTTGGGTAAATCAGATCTTCAGCATAACAGGAGATATTTAAGCTGACTGTGTAGGCATTGGTGTAATAGTGTTACTTCCTTACACCATTCAAAAACAGTTCAGGATGAGGTCTCAGCCCTGAGGCCTCTGTGTAGCTATGTCACAGCACTGGTGACATTTTGTTCCTTTCCACCCAGAGGGAATTTGTGGAGATCTTAGCAGGATAGGTTATAGAGTTGATAAGTTTCTTTTCTCCAGCCATAAAACATAATAGGTGAACTCTGGGAGGGCAAGAGCTATTTCTGATTTTTTACACCTTTTACTAGTACATATCACAGGACTAAGGACATAGCTGGTGTTGAGCAAATACTTGTACAGTGGATATGTAACAGAAAGATTGGTGGGTGTGTGGATGGGTGGGTGGATGGATGGATGGATGGATGGATGGATCGATCAATCCTATTGGGTTTGATATGAACTGATTTCTGCAGCTGTAGACGTCACGCATGCATTGGAGTTAGTTTATTGGACATCCTTCCTTCCAGTCTCCAAAAAAAGAAAGCTGAAAAGAAACAGCAGCAACCTGTCAAGCTTAAGATAATGGATAGAAAAAGCACTCCTCAAATACAGAAGTGATTTTGGTGAGCCCTTTCTTGGTAAGAGCTATCCACGTATGTTAGCAGCAAGGGGCCTGGAAACATATCTGGGCAGGAGGAACTGGAAAATTGTTTGGTTGTTCCTAGCCCAGGCAGCTGCACTGGAATGGGATGCTTTCACTGTGTGCGTGTTTCTGATGACCCTCTGCTTATACTCCTAGGCCCGGGTAATGGCAACTATTGGAGTGACCAGGGGACTTGGGGACCATGACCTGAAGGTGCATGACTCCAACATCTACATTAAACCATTCCTGTCTTCAGCTCCAGAGGTACCGCATGAGGTTTTTGTTTATATTTTGTGCAATAAAACATTTTCGGCGTTATTCCTCCTGTGACTCACACCCCATATCCAGACAGTAGCCAACTTGTATTATATGTACTTCCACTGTATCTCTCACGTCTGTGTCTTTTTCCCACTCCATTCTCACTTTGACTCTTCTGGTTCACACCTTCATCACCTCTTACCCAGATGGCTGCACAGCCTCCTCCTGACATTTTCTAAGTCTGCCAATCCATGCTACTTATTGCAGTCAGGTAAATTTTCCTTAAAAACTGACTCCTAATTGCTCAGAAACCTTCAATGGCAGCCCAGGCATGGAGAGTAAAGCTCAGACTCCCATTCACTTGGTGTTCAAGGCTTATTATAATTTGGTCTGGACTTCTCTGATCTTTGTTCTCCTGCACCAGCCAGAATGAACTTGCTGTTTCCCTTACATGACCTTAGGTTTCCCATATTTGCTTAAACTATTCCTTTTGCCAAGAATGCCCTTTCTCCCCAACTCCAAACATCCAAATTCTTTTTTTCTCTGGAGTTTAGCTTAGATGCTTTTTTATGGAGAGTTCCCTGATTTCTTCCTTGCCCAACCAGAAGTAATGTCTCTCCCTACTTGGGATATACATAGAGCACCTTCCACGTACAGTGTTTTCACTGTCTGCCTTCGGTCACAGTTGTTTTGTTTTGTTTTGTATTTTGAGACAAAGTCTCGCTCTGTCGCCCAGGCTGGAGTGTAGTGGCATGATATCGGCTAACTGCAACTTCTGTCTCCTGGGCTCAAGTGATTCTCCTGTCTCAGCCTCCCGAGTAGCTGGGACTACAGGCACACACCACCATACCCAGCTAATTTTTGTATTTTTAGTAGAGACAGGGTTTCTCTATGTTGGTTAGGCTGGTGTTGAACTCCTGACCTCAAGTGATCCACCCGTCTCAGCCTCCCTAAGTGCTGAGATTATAGGCGTGAGCTACCACACCTGGCCTGATCATAGTTATTTATGTATACCTTATCCCCTCGTTAGACTAATTACCTGAAGAGCTTCTGTCATTCAGCTGATGTTTAGAGAAGTTAATTTACAAACAAGTTGGTCATATATTTGGTTTAAAAAAAATCATGTGTCTTACCATATAGGAAACAGTATCGATTTCTATGTTGACTTTCTGGATATATCATTTAGAAATTTTTTTGCTTCCAAATTTGGAAAAGTCTAACCGATAGTATTAGGTTGGTGCAAAAGTAATTACAGTTTTTGCCATTTTTTTTTTTTAATTACTTTTGCAACAGCCTAAGAGTTTAAAGGTAAATTTTTCTCACCCAGTAAGAAGGCTGAAATCTGGTGGCTGCTGGCGTTGGTTCAGCACCTCCATTGTGTCAGGGCTGTAGCGTCTCTGCATTTCTTTGACTTTCCCTTCATGGTTACAAGGTGGTGGCAGTAGGTCCAAGCCTGACATTTCTATGCAAAGATGGAAAGGAGGGGCAGCCTCTGTCCCAACAGATATTCACTTGCCTCTCATTGGCCAGAACTGTGTTACATGACCTTCTAGCTGCAAGGGAGTTTGGGAGAGCAAGAGTTTTAACTCTCCCAATTTCGATAGTAGAAGGAAATCAGGAAGGCATAAGTCAGGAACCAATAGCATTTACTACAATGTGTAATTAAGGTTTTTTGTTTCTTTTTTTTTTTTTTTTTGAGATGGAGTCTCACTCTGTTGCCCAGGCTGGAGTGCAGTGGTGCAATGTTGGCTCACTGCACCCTCCACCTCCCAGATTCAAGTGATGCTCCTGCCTCAGCCTCCCAAGTAGCTGGGATTACAGGTGGGCACCACCATGCCTGGCTAATTTTTGTATTTTTAGTGGAGACAGGGTTTCACCATGTTGGCCAGGCTGGTGTTGAATTCCTGAGCTATAGTGATCCACCTGCCTCGGCCTCCCAAAGTGCTGGGATTGCAGGCATCAGCCACTGCGGCTTGCCTGTAATTAAGCATTAAAATAATTCCTTGGACTGGAAATGCTCAGAACATTTAGACATAACTCTATTTGCATGTACTTCCCAAGAGCAGGTGCTGTTTTAACAAAGACTATTTTGGTCAGAGGAAACAGAAACTTACTAGAGCTAACTCAAAAAAAAAAAAAAAAGTACTGCAAGAAGGCCGGCTATGGTGGCTCATACCTGTAATCCCAGCACTTTGGGCGGCTAAGGCAGGAGGATTGCTTGAGACCAGCATGGGCAACATAGCAGGACCCTTGTTCTTACAAAAAGTAAAAAATTAGTTTGATGTGGTGGCACATGCCTGCCCCAGCTACTCAGAAGGCTGAGGTGAGAGGATTGCTTGAGCCCAGGAGCTCGAAGTTGCAGTGAGCCATGATTGTGCCATGACACTCCAGCCTGGGTGGCAGAGTGAGACGCTGACTCAAAAAAACAATAGTAATAATATTAGAAGAGATATTTATGGTGTCCATGAGCAGAATGATTGAACAGCCAGGCTTTATGGGAAAGTGGTTTTGAAATCAAGGCAGCCCTGCAAAGCCTCCACAGCGGAAAGCTCTCAGCCCTCACATGGAGTTCTGCCACTGATGTGGCCAACCACATTCTTTATGGCTCTGCTACCAATCAGCCCAGTTTCTCACTCTCCCAATTCCACATTTCCGGAGAGGAGTCTGGTTGGCCCAGTTCACCTTTTATATCAGACTAAAGTGACTTCCCAGCCTGTGTATTTGTCCCTTCAGATTATATGTCCACTTCAGTACCCTTTATGGGCACAAACAGTCACCTAGACCCACCACTTTGGCGGAGCTGTGAGCCAGGGAGTGGTTTCCTTAGGGTTTTTTAGAGCTGGGCTGGCATCCATAGTACATGTAGATAAAAGGGACTAAGAAGCCACTGAAAGAGAAAACTCTAGTAAATGTTGGGCATGGAAGATACACACATTTCCTGGTATCACCCAGGATTTCAAGTGAGGTCAGCTCGGTAGAAATAATAATTACCATTTGTCAAAATTCTGCAAGTGTTCTCTCTTGAGTCCTCATAGCAATTCTGCATAATGAAGACCATGACTACATTAGGTGTCCAAAGTTCCCCCTAGAAGCTGGTGGATTCCTTCCCAACATCAGGATCCGTGAATTACTGCTAAAACTACTTCTCACCAGAGAAGAGCAATAAATGTCGGACCTCCAACTCTCTTTTTGAATGCCATTGAGCACAGGGCTTGTAACTGGACTCGTGGACTTTTCTATTCTCCCCCTTACAAGAGAGGCATTTGTCAGATAACTTAAATGTTGCCTTCACCTTTCTACTTTCCAAAAAGCATCCGTAAAGGTCTTGATTTTGCTCCTTAAAGCAAAGTAAAAACCTCCTTCTCCACCTCCCTTTCTCACATTTACTTTTTATATAAAATGAGAAGCAGCAGCTCCACTTGGCTTGAAGGAGAGTGCTCTGTATGCATTAGATTTTAGATCTTCCAATCTCTCTGCTACTGCAGATCTCAGGAAGGGACTGTAGGTTTAAAACTTGGGCCTGCATGGAAGAGTCCCTGAGAACTCGGTAAGAATCCCAGGTGGTTGGTGAGAAACCTTATGTCACCTCGCTGAATGATACTGGTTTGTAGGACACTGAGTTGGTCACTTCAGCATTCGTGGGAGTGGAGAGGATTTAGAATGAAACTGTCAACCTCTGCAAAAATTTAAATGCTCTTAGAAAAGTTCTAGAGTTGAATAAAGTGTGGCAGTTTCAATAATAATAAAACTAATTGTTATTAACTACTTAGTCTGGGTGAGACAACATACCAAGTTTATTTTTAATTGACAAATAATTATGTATATCGATGGGATATAGTGTAACGTTTTGATATATGTTTACATTATGGAATGACTAAGCTAATTAACATATTCATCACTTCATATACTTATCATTTTTTGTGGTGAGAACTTTTAAAATCTACTCTTAACAATTTAAAAATACACATTATTATTAACTGTGGTCATGCTGCCATGCAATAGATCTCTAAAACTTATTCCTCCTGTTTAACTGAAACTTGGTATCCCTTGACCAACACCTCCCTATCTCCATGCAACAAATTAAGGTTTTTACAGGACACATCTCATTTAATCTTCACAACAACACTGTGAGGTAAGTATAGTTATTATACCCAATTTACAGATTGGGAAATTGGAACCAAGGAAAGTAAAATAACCCCCAAAGTTATACAGTTAATAAGTAGCAAGCTGGTACTTGTACCCAGGTCTATTTAATTAGATCAGGTTCTGTAGGGGAGAGAAGCCAAATTCAAGGAAATTTATTTGGTCAGTGTTTAGGGACGTACCAAGTACTGGTTCAAGGGGCTCTGATGAGGGTGCATTTGTCTTAAACCTAAGAGAGCAACTTTGTCTTGGGACCTTGGGGGCCAGAGTTTCCCAGAGAAATACTATTGGCCTCAGATTGAAGTTGTGGAAAATGATGGTATAGTAGAAAGGGTAATTGGGAAAGACAGTAATGGCCTTTGTTGTGTGTGCAAACCGAGACCAGACAGAATTGTGCAAAGTAACACTGTGCACCTATAATTTAGCTTAATGGGTATGTAGTGCGTCTAAGATTCTCTTGCACAAGATTAAAATTGTTGTACATGTTAAATGTTTCCAGATGGAGAGGCCTCCACCAGAGCCAGGAAGGGGTGGCGGGGGGAGGGGGTGGAACTGTTAGAAGGGAAGCGGAAGAGCAGCTTGAATTGGCTACTATGGAGGAGAACACAAGGGAAAAAAATAGGTACAAGGAACCCCCTGTCCACAATTTTTGGAGCAGGAACCCCCTTTCCCTGGGTGGTAGTGACAAAAGCATTCCCATGAGAAGTGGCCTCTGTTGGGAGCCTAGAAAGCTCGATTAACATACTGAAACCACCTAAGGAAGAATAACTGACCCACTTCCTCTCTCATTATCCCATCCTGGGCCCACCTTCTTTCTGTGACTCCCTAAGAACATTCCCCTGCTATGTTCTGTCTTTGCCAGGCGTGGATCTTTATTTCACATTTGGGTTCTAAATTTCAAACCCAGCTCAGTCTGGTAGTTTTAACAGTTGTAGGGGGCTGGGGGTGGAATGTGTTTGAATTCTGAGAAAAAGTGCGCAAAAATCTTCTTGGAAATCAGCATTGTTCCCATTCATCATTGTGGCTCCTAATTTGATTTGATGAGTTAAATAGAAATAAATCAAAAACATGTGGATCAAATTTATGTTAAAAAAAAAGAAACTCACAGGAGTTTAAAAATTAGTGAAGGGTTTCTAGCCAAACACATTTTCAGTTTCGCTGAACACAAGGCGCTGGAAAAATCTCGAGTTTGCCAAACCCAAAGAGCAGCCGCCAGGTTTGCTGAGCTTCTCTCAAACCTTCCCCAGTCTAAGGCAGGGATTTCTGGCCAAGAACTGAATTCCAAGAGAGGCCCTCACCACCAGTCGAGCACAGGCCTGTTGTCTGGAGGTGTGGGTTGAGTGTAGGGGATGTTTTGACTCCCCTCTAGCCTACAGTGCCTGGTTTTTTCTGCCTAACAGCATAGAGTGCAGCCTCTCCCCCAGCATAAGGAAAATGTTCCCAGCCAGGTCCCCCATCCTCTTGCTTAGTGAAGTTTGCCATTAAACTTTTTTATACTGTCCTGAAAGAGTTCAGTGGAGAAGGATAGGATTTGTTAACTCAAACGCACTGGAGCCCAGGCTCTCCTCACATTCTTCTTTCTCAGCAATTCTCCCAGTCCCAGTCCAGCACACATCTCCTGTTCTGTAACTCAGACAGCCCAGCACAGGCTGGCAGCCCAAAACTCCAGATGTTCTCTGTGCCACACCCCTTCTTGGCCAGTGACAGGCCCTCCGTAGAGCTAGGATTCTTCTTAATTTCACCCTTCTTTCCAGCCTCCACTCAAAGACTGTGCTGTTGCCTTTAGCCCCATTTTGGGCTCTTGGAGAAACAAGGCCCTCTCTATTTGGGGCCAGTTTGCGGAGCCAGCTCTCTCCTCAGCTCAGCAAGCCCCCTTTCCGCCCCTGCTAGACTGAACCACAGGGGCCCAATTTTATTTCTGCTTCATTTTTCCTTTCCTTGGTTATCAAGATTCCTATCAGGTATTTTTTATAACTCCAGATCACTTATTTAGCTCACTCTCCATTTTCTAAAATCTAGATTTTCTTTTTCTTTTATCTGAAACAGCCTTCTTTAAAAGAACAAAGACCTTAGACTGTAGTATCTGAATTCCAACCCAGCACCAGTGTTACCAGAGGACTGCACAAGCAATCACAGCCTGTCTTTTCTCTTCCTTAAGGTGGGGTAAAAATCCCTATGTTGACAAGTTGTTAGGAAAAGCAAATGAGAACATCAGTGAAATGAGAGCATCAGTGAGAACAAGATGTGGTACGTGGTCAGAGATAGTAAATATTAGTCTTCCTTCCCCACCGGCTTCTGGAGGTCTTCACACTTAAAGATTCCTTGTATTCACTTTCATATTAATAGAGAATGGGCCAGGCACAGTGGATCACACCTGTAATCCCAGCACTTTGGGAGGCCAAGGCGAGAAGATCATTTGAACCCAGGAGTTCAAGACCAACCTGGGCAACATGGAGAAAACCTTGTCTCTACAAAAATAATAATAATAATAATAATAATAATAATAATAATAATAATAATAATAATAAATAATAAACTCTCCCAAATGTAGTATCTATAAATAATAAATTTATAAATAATAAATTAGTGGTACCTGCCTGTAGTCTCAGCTACTGGGGATACTGAGGTGGGAGGATCACTTGAGCCTGGAAGGTTGAGGCTGCAGTGAGCCATGATTGTGCCACTGCACCCCAGCCTGGGCGACAGAGAAAGACCCTGTTTCCCACCACCCCTCCCCATGAAAAAGAGAGAGAATGAAGGCCAGGCACAGTGACTCACGCCTATCATCTCAATGCTTTGGGAGGCTGAAGTGGGAGGATCACCTGAGCCTAGGAGTTCAAGACCAGCTTGGACAATATAATGAAACCCTGTCTCTACAAAAAGTTTAAAAATTATCCGGGCATAGTGGTGCACACCTGTAATCTCAGCTACTCAGGAGACTGAGAGGCCAGAGAATCACTTGAGCCCAGGAGTTCAAGGCTGCCTTGAGCTATGATCACACCACTGCTCTCGAGCCTTGGTGACAGAGTGAGACCTTGTCTCTTAGAATTCCTACTTTTTTTGGGATTCCCCCATTTTCTCCCATGAAAACATGAATAATATTTAACATGTTTACATCTTAACATTTATAATCTTCTGATTCTGGGTGACTTTTTGTTCCCAAGCCAAAATCCCATTTGGAGAAAGAACATATTTTGTTGTATTTTGTGCTTTCTACAGTCTGGCCCATTCATAAGAAACAATATTGGTGCATACTGACATGGGAAAATGGCTGTGCCATCTGAAGTGAAGCAGAACATGATTGTTCATACAAAGAGAGTGATGATATGCAGAAAAAAGCATATATGCATGGCCGAAAGTCTTGAAGTTTTAAAAAATGGTAACAGTAATTCTATTTGGAAGAGGAAGAAAAATTTGTTTTAAAGAATTTCCTGGACACCTCAAAAAAACCTGGAGGCCATATAATATGGTGGTTAAAAAACTTAGACTGGTAATCAGTCTTGACTTCAAGCTCTATCGTTGCACTTGCTAAGTGACCTTGAAAAAGTACTTCCCTGGATCTCAGGTTCCTGTTTGGTGAAAAAGAGGACAATAGAGTTGTTATACTAAGGAAACCAAGGAAAAAACTGAATGACATATGAAGTACTTAACAAAAAACCTGGCATAATAAATATTAGTTCCTAGCTCTTCTTCCTACTCCATTACAACCACAAAATTTCAGTGGTTCTTTCCATAGGTATCATGAGTCCGGTGGTGTTTACTGAGTAGAGCACTGGGGAACATATCTTCAAGGAATTCAAATTTGTGGCTAGTTAGATGGTTAGCCAAAGAAGGATGAGCCATAAAGCATGTGTTTCCTGCTTTCTAAGGGACTAGGGGATTTGGATATAGGAGGGAGAAGTATATCATCTAAAGAAAAAGAGATAGGACAATTTCTTTTTTTAAAGAAAGGAAGAAATCGTCTAGTGTGAAATAAAATTTGCCTTATGGGGTCATTTGAGTTTGAAAGATTAGCTTGAAGGGCTGTTAGCTCTAATAAAGCTAACTGCCCCAGAGGTCCTTGAACTGGACCTAAGGCAGTAGATAAGGTCTTCAGCAAGAGGAATATCTTAGCCGTAACCATGGGAGATGGGGGAGCTGCAGACAGGGCAGTCATTGCAGGACTGAGACTGTGGCAGTGAGGAGCCGAACTGGGGAAGGGACCGTGGAAACTAAAAGGTGGCATAATGAGGCAGACTGGATTTAGAGGATGAAGCCAAGTAAAATTTAAAAAACAAGACTTCGCTTTCCAGACTATGTGAAAGGAAGAATGGTGGTACTTGTTGAGGTCTAAAGAGGAAAAAATATGCTTTTTTGCCGTAAGTTTTCTGAACCAATTAAAAAAATAGACACTGGAGTCTGGGGTCAAAATAACTTTATAACTAATAACTAGTATAAAGTTAGATTGGTTTGGTTAAGGTTTGGATTTGAGACCAAAATGGAGTTCTCATTCCTCTCCTCTAGCCCCCACATCAAACCCATGGAATAGCTGTGGGCTCTCATCTCCCAATCCCAGAGCGGGAGGGTCTTCCTAGTATTTACCTGCTGGAAGACAGGAGCAGAGGGAACAAGCACCACTTACAGACAAATAGGGACCAGAGAAATAACTCCAGGGAGTTCAGTGTCCCATGTTTCATCTTTCCAGTCTTATTGGGATAGAGGGCATACAAGAGTTATATCCCAACACAATTCCTCTATGCCTTTTTTGGTTACAAAACAAACCTCCTCCAAAACTTAGAGGCTTTGCAGAACAATTTCTGATTCTCTTTCATAGTTCTGTTGGTTGACTGGGTTCAGCTGGGTGGCTCTTCCTTAGGACCTCTCACATGGCCAAAGTCAGATGTGAGTTGGGGCTGGGGTTGTCTGAAGACCTGTCTGGGCTGGAAGTCCAAGATGGCTTTCTCACATGTTAATGTTGGCTGTCAACTGGGAGTTTAGCTGAGGCAGCACTACATGCCTCTCCAGGTGGTTTTGACTTCCCAGAACATAGCAGCTGGATTCTGAGAGGAAATATTCTAAGAGTGGGTGGTTTAAGAATCCCAGATAGGCATGGTGGCACGTAGCTATAGTCCCAGCTACTTGGAGGCTAAGGTAGGAGGATTGCCTGAGCCCAGGAGCTCAAGGCCAGCCTGAGCAACATAGGTGATACCCCATCTTGAAAGAAAGAAAGGAAGAAAGAAAGAAACAGAAAGAAAGAGAGAGAGAGAAAGCAAGAGAGAGAGGAAGGAAGTAAAGGAAGGAAGGGAGGGAGGGGAGGGGGAAAGAGGAAAGAGGGAAAGAGAAAGAGAGAGAGAGAGAAAGGGAGAAAGAGAGAAAAGGAGAAATGAAAATAGTCCCAGGCAGCATCAGCAAGGCTTCTTAAAACCTAGCCTAAGAAGTCCCAGAACATCATCACTGTCACATTCTGTTGGTCAAGGAAATCTCTAAGGCCAGTCCATGTTTGAAGTTAGGGGAATTGGATCCACCTCTTGATGTGAAGAATAACATGCTTGTACAGGGAGGGAAGGAATTGATGGCAGTCATCCTGGAGACAGACACTGTATCACAGCCTTCCTGTAGAATTGCCCTCCCTGCTGTGCAATCTTGAGGGTGAAAGTAATAATCATCTGTCTTTCCAGGACTAAGTAATATAAGTTGATGAGTTAGCTGTTTAGCTAATTAAGAAAGGAAATCTACTTTGCAGTGTAAAGGCATATTTACAAAGAAGCTAATTAAACTTAAGTACTGGGGACCTGCGCTCAGATCAGACCCTGTGAGTTCTGATTGTTGCCGGAAAATGTAGACAGGCTGTTCCAGATGAAGAGGAGGAGCCGGGTTGCAATCAGGAAACATTTATGTAAACATTTCTCAAAGGAAAGGGACCTCAGCTTCCAGGGTTCCAGTAATATGTTGTAATTTTTTTCTCATTAATAAACATTCACATTAGTATCTAAATTTGTATTCATAATTACTTTTGCATTCTTGAGAGCCCCCAAAATTTCATAAACCTCAGACCTCACAAAACATGTATCCCCCTGCAAAAAGGGAAAATGGGGAGTTCTAAGGATACTTTGTTAGGCTAAAGCATTCATATTTGACAGCTTTCTTGATCCACTCTCCAGTCCTGCATATCTGTAATATCTCATACTTCTGTGTTCTCAATTAGCATGGCACACCCTTGGGGGCGATTTGCCTCCCCCAACCACCACCACCACTTTGAATATTTTTGGGGATGAAATCACATTAAGAATATACAGGTGGCCAGGCATGGTGGCTCATGCCTGTAATCCCAGCACTTTGGGAGGCTGAGGCGGGCAGATCACGAGGTCAAGAGATCAAGACCATCCTGGCCAACATGGTGAAACCCCATCTTTACTAAAAATACAAACATTAGCTGGGCACGGTGGCATGTGCCTGTAGTCCCAGCTACTCGGGAGGCTGAGGCAGGAGAATCACTTGAACCCACAAGGCAGAGGTTGCAGTGAGCCGAGATCTCACCGCTGCATTCCAGCCTGGCGACAGAGCGAGACTCTGTCTCAAAAAACAAAGAGTATACGGGCTGGGTGTGGTAGCTGCTGCCTGTAATCACAGAACTTTGGGAGGCTGAGGCAGGCAGATCACTTGAGGCCAGGAGTTCAAGACCAGCCTGGCCAACATGGTGAAACCCTGTCTCTACTAAAAATACAAAAATTAGGCATGGTGGTGCATGCCTGTAATCCCAGCTGCTTGGGAGGCTAAGGCACGAGAATGTCTTGAACCCAGGAGATAGAGGCTGCAGTGAGCTGAGATCACGCCATTGCACTACAGCCTGAGCAACAGAGTAAGACTCTGTCTCAAAAAGAAAAAAAAAAAGTATGCAGAAGCTACTTTCTTTGAATCTGGTATATTCTCACCTTACATGGGAGAGACTTCATGATGTGGCCTGTCCATCTCCATCTCTAACTCTCAGGTCTGGCTATAAAAATCAGTTGTGTGCATCTGTGTGTCATTTACATGGCTTGTTCTCATTTGGCCAATGACTTGAGATTTGCCAACCAGCTATTTGAATAAAACTTGAGATTTACTCTGACACACACCAAAAAACTAACTTAGCAACTCACAATAATTCATGGTCACACAACAGAAACCAACCTGTATGTGTCAAACATTTCCTCTCATTGGAGATTGTTGCCCTCTGATCCCCTCCTGAAAAATAATAATTTCATTTGGATGTTTCAGCTAAATATGCTATATCTTTTTTATATTTATTGCATTAATGCATATAAGAATGTTTAGAAGTTGGTTTCAAAAATGCAAATCCTGGGCATGGTGACTCATGCCTGTAATTCTAGCACTTTGGGAGACCAAGGCAGGAGGTTGGCTTGAGCTCAGGAGTTTGAGGCCAGCATAGGCAACATAGTGAGACCCTGTCTCTAAAAACAACACAAAACTTAGCCAGGCATGGTAGTGTGCACCTGTGGTACCAGCTTCTTGGGAGGCTGAGGTGGGAGGATCGATTGCTTGAGCCTGGGAGGTGAAGGCTGTGGTGAGAAATTGCACCAGTGCACAATTGTCACCACAGCCTGGGCAACAGAGCAAGACCCTGTCTTTGAAAAAGAAAAACTGCAAATCCCTGGAATCCACTTCCTGAAAATCTGAATCACTAGATCTGGGATGAGTTCTGAGCATTTTTACATTTTGGATAATTCTGAAGTAAGTGATCCAAAGACCACTGTTTGAGAAACAGATAATGTCACAGGATCCTTACCGTGTTGCTTCACCAGCCGGAAACCACTGTGGCTGGTGGCATCTTTGCCCAAGTTTTGCTTGGGCCCGCTGGGCCTGTTCTGCCCACTCAGCCTGGCAGGCTGCGCTCAGCTTTTGCTACTGGCCCAGACCCCATGCCTGCCAAGAGTGAGCCAGGCACAGAGCAGTGAGGGGTGTGTGAGCGAGTAAGCAAGTACAGGGTTCGGCCACTACACACATCCAGACATACCACCTTTGGCACCCCAGCACGGCTGAACCAGGCACACCACAAGCGGCTTCCACTGTGGGCACTGGGGAACATGGTGGTGCCTGAAAGCTTGGAGGTACCAGGAACTGTAGAGCCCCAAAGAGGGCATCACAACCCTGGCTCGGGGAGCTCCTAAGTCTGGGTTCCCCAAAGGGCCATGGCTCTTTCCTCCTCTCTTCTCTCCTCCTCATTGCCTGCAGTGTGGCAAGAGGGAGGCGTGTTTCAGCACTGTTTGTGTTACAATTCTTTCAGTCCCGCCATTCAGTGGGTCCTGAGTTCTTGTCCCACATCCAGGAAGAATGAGGTACATGGGCAACTGGAGGGTGAGCAAGGTGAAGAGGTGCTTTACTGAGTGATAGTACAGTGCTCAGGAGACCTGAAGTGGGTAGCTTCTTTCCACAGGCAGGTCATCCTGATGAGTGCAGCCCTCAGTGGAGATGAGACCCAAAATGGGTAGCTCCTATCTGCAGGCAGGTTGTCCCATTGTCTCTGTGAGTCTGGCTGAGTCTGGGGTTTTTACAGGCTTCAGAAGGGAGGAAGTGCAAGCTGATTGGTTCAGGGGTGGCCATGAGTGGGCCAGAAAAGCACCATAAGCTCTCACTCCAGGCTGTGGACTCCACCTGGAACTGACAGCCTGGCTCCCATGCTTCAAGTCATCCTTGGCTTGAAGATGCTGCTTTACCGCGGACCTGCCCCTTTCCCCCCAGGAACCTGTGTGCTTCCTGCTGCCATCGACATGTCATCCACGACACCCTGGCTGTCTACATCAAGAGGTGCCTGCAGGCCCACCTTGAGCCACCCTCAGCCCTTCCCCTCGGCCTCCCTCCCATGCTCGGTGGCGACCAAAGTCCAGAGGTGGCTGAGATGGCAGGGAGCTGGCATGTCAGTGCTGCCCCAAGCCCCCACACACCCAGCCGGGTCACGACAGTGACCAGGCTCAGCGACAACTTTGCTCCACACTGGAGTAGGCACTGGGAGCTGAGAGAGGCCAGGCAGCAGGAACAGACACTTCCAAGCCTGCAGGGGCAGGGGGACTTCCAAGACACCCAAGAGCATAGGGATGCCTGGGTCTGCAGCCATGGTTGGGTGGCTGCACCTGCACCCAGGAGGACAGGGCTCCTGTCCCACCAACTTGGGAGCTCCCACCTGTTCCCAGCTCCCACCAGCTCCATGGAGCACACAACACTGGCTGTGCCACCCCTGCTACAGCCAGCATCTTTGCAGCAGCTGGTCCAGACAGGCTGCTACTGCCATCAATAAGCTGTTCTTCACTGTGCTGCAGGAACTTGCTTTACAATCCTAAAATGGGTTTGTGATGCGTCCATATTGTAGTCTCAGGTTGTGTGAAGCAGCACCTTCAAGCCAGGGATGACTTGAAGCATGGAAGCCAGGCTGTCAGTTCCAGGTGGAGTCCACGGCCTGGAGTGAGAGCTTATGGTGCTTTTCTGGCCCACTCATGGCCACCCATGAACCAATCAGCATGCACTTCCTCCCTTCTGAAGCCTGTAAAAACCCCAGACCCACAATGCATGTGGCTCATGCCAGGCTGGTGGGTTAAGGATATGATATACCTCATTCTGCACTTGAACAGCTATGTTCTGGGCTTCTTGCTACCAGAACAACTGCAATCAGCGGGATTGACTTTGTCACACAGCAAATATCCCACAGTTTACCCATGGTGATTGTATCTCCCCTTCTAAGGCAGCATGCATAATAGCTTGCTCACTTGCTCTTGAGATCTCTGAAAACCTGCTGTGGTGAAGAGTCCTGTGAAGTAGTGACACTGATTTTTTCAGTCCCAATGGCCAGAAGTAGCAGTCATTTTATTATTTGTCAGGTGACCATCTTAACCCCTCAACCAGGAATTTTCAAGAATCAAAGGGGACACTATTAATAATTATGCTGGAAAAACAGGCGCAAATCAAAACTATTGGAGTAAACAGGGATGTATGGTCACTCTCTGCCTCACCTGCCTTCTGGGTGGACTTGAGGCAACTTGGTTCATCTGTTCTGCACCCTCATGTTTGCATTCACAGGCTGGGATTTCTTCTGATGCTTATCTTTGCAAATGGGCATTTTTGTGAAGATAGACTTATTCTTCAAATAATTATTGAGCTATGTTGAAGCCCATTCATTCACTAATTCATTCAATGGTCCTTTGGATCTAGTGGTGAACAAACCATTGGAAACCCAGAGAATTGTAACGTGCCAGGCCTTGTGTGTTAAAAAATGGAATGTTTATGCAATAGCAGCTAGGCATTGGTTATACCTTCAGGCTCTCTGCACAATACCTCATATTTTAGCTGGTTTAGAAAGAAACTTTTTGATCTGTTATATCGTATCTACCCTCCAAAGTCAAATGTTTGGTCTGTAGACTCCAAAAAACAAACTCTCAAGAGTATCTGTGGCATATTTCAAGTATAAATTTATACCTGCAGCCAAAACAGCTCCTTTTGCAATAGTATGAGCAGCCAACATATTTCTAACACTTCAGTGTCACTGGATTCACTTGCAGCCCAATGTTCTGAAGTCCTGTGATCAGTTACATCAAGGCCTGATGCTGTGAGGAGAGTCAGAGGATGTTGGAGCCATGAGCAGCCCCATTGGCCACCTAGGCCTAACCTCTCATTTCACAAACAGAGACAGGGGAGATTGGAGAAGTCCAGCCTCACCCTCCCCACTCCCCAGGGGACATCCAGTACCACAGCCAAACCAAGCAAGGTAAAGCTGCCCAAACACACCAGCCCTTTCTCACATCCCCAGGCTTTAGCCCCTGCAGCTTCCTCTTCGTGTAAGGCATACGATGTCCAGCTCGTCCATCCAAGGAATCAGTATCCCATTTACCTTTGGTGTTCCCAGCAGATGGTCTGTAAGCTTTGAAACTGAATGAATAAAGTGATTTTGCCTAATGCAGAGGTGGGTTTCAAACCCAAGTCTTCTGCCTCCAAATTCAGTGTTTGTTTCATGACATCAAGTAAAGTAGATAGACTACTACAGAGAATTTGGGTATAGTCTTGGTGGCCTGCTGGAATGCCAATCTTGAAATGATCTACTTGGTTTATAGGGCTGCAGGAAGTGTGTTGGTGTTTTATTTTCTTCTTGTCATAAGTGTCATATTCAAAGATCCATAGGTTGAGCTGTTGGGTTGGACACATGAAATAGAGGGGACAAGATTTCATCTCTTTATTTCCCACCAACTACTGGCAGCCTTTACCTTGGGAACCACCTTGGCTATTTCTGCCAGGAAACACTATTGAGAGCTCCAGTCACTGCTGTTTTAAATGAGACTTTGGGAATTGAATCCCAGTTTCCCTGAGCCCACTCTTAATCCTTTCCTTCTACCAACTAGACGATATTCAGATGTGGTTGCCCTGAGATCAGTGCCATAAAAGAATTAAAATTGGCAGTTCCCTTCCACATTATTTGATCTTAATTACAGCTTTGTGAGAGAAGTAGAGCAGTTGTTATATTTCCTTTTTCTTGTGTTTTTCAGTTTTTGAAAAATGATTTCAGAGATAGGAAAATTGAGCGCTAGGCCAGGTGCAGTGGTGTGTACGTGTAATTCCAGCACTTTGGACGGCCAAGGTGGGCAGATCTCTTGAGCTCAGGAGTTTGAGATCAGCCTGAGAAACATGATGAAACTCGTCTCTACAAAAAGTAAAAAAGTATAGGTGGTGTGCACCTGTAGTCCCAGCTACTTGAAAGGCTGAGATGGGAGGGTTGCTTGAGTGTGGCAGGTTGAGGCTGCAGTGAGCCAGAATTGTGCCACAGCACTCCAGCCTGCGCGACACAGCAAGACCCTGTCTCAAAAAAAAAAAAAAAAAAAAAAAAAAAAGAGTGGCTCTTCTCAAGTCACAAAGCTTGTTAGAAGCAGAGACCTGAAGCAAGGCTTCTGATAACAAGGGCAAGCCTCTTTCTCTTCCACAAAGCCAGTCCTGAGCTGCAGGAGCTCATTGTCCTACATTGAGTACTTAAAAGGGAAAAACCAGTTTGGAGAATCTGCTGAACTGATCAAGACACAAAAGCTGTGAGGGCATCCTAGAGAAGCGGCAGAGATTTGGCAAATGGAAGAATTGATGGATTCTTTTTAAAAGTAGCTTTAAGAAGCCAGAGTCAGCTTATAGGTGTATGAGCCCTCCTAACATGCCACCAAAATATCATCAGTAATAAGGCAAAGATGGGAGCAAGTATTACACAAACGCTGAAACAGCAGCCTGCAGCCGAGCACTAAGTGGAGGTGCTGTATTAAAGAGTTGCTTGTCACAGGCTCCTGTGTAAAATAAGTGCCCAATGTTGACATTAAGGACATCTCTAAGTGCTCTGAAGCTGAGGGCTCTGTGAGAGCAGTCAGCACTTGGCTCATTCAGAGCACATTAGTCAAGGTTCTTGTTTGCCCCCAGACTTATTCCTGCTCCCCCACACTGAATGTTTATTGGCAGCTCCACTGAAAACAAAGGAAGAAAAGGAAAGAGTTTGCCACTTCTGTTATATATCAGCACATTACATTTGTTTGACGATTTGGAAGTGTCTCAGTTAACAAACTAAATCTGTTGGATCACCGTGAAATGAGGGGGTCTTCTGAAAGTATCTTGTATGTTTAATTTGTTTCTTCCACTCTCCTTCCCCTGTTTATGCTTTGCCTCAGCAAGTATGTCCTGAAGACCTACTGTGGTTTACACTATAGAAGATGCTGCTAGACCCACAGAGGAAATACAAATTGGGATTTCTGGGCCTTCAGAAGTTGAATTTTGGTGGGACAATAAGATGACCAACCCCCTGGGTGTTCATTGTAAGCTGGACAGGGGTAAAATACCCAATAAGGAAATGCTTTCTTCGGTTGTGAATTGAGTGCTAGGCACAGTGCTCTGTTCTGGGTACAAAAACAGATAGGATAAGATGGACCTTATCCCTAAAGGAGTTGATCGTCTGTTACAGTTTTTCAAGGTGAGATTCCCCCCACCACTTGCATCAGAATTCCCTGGGGTCCTGTTGAAGTATGCAGCTCAGATCTGTACAATCAAGACTCTTACAGGTAGGATCTTTGAATCTTAACTTGGTTAAGGTAGCACTCCAAGTGATTCTAAACACATTTAGGTTTGAGAATATCTAGTCTTTTAGAAGAGACAGAAAAGTGGGCCCTGAAAGGCTGATAACAAAGATGCCAGCGGTGTTTCAGGGCCAGTGTGCTGTTTGTCAGTTGCCTGTCTCCTTTGTTGTGATCAGATCATAAGGAAAGCTTCAGAAGCCTCATGAGGGGATGGAACACATTCACTTTTTGTTCTTCACCTGGTTGCTCTCGCAAAAGCAATAGTATTCTGCCATATTCCAGGTTCAGATTCTGCTGAGACAGGATCAGCCTTGAGAGTCTTCCAGGGTAGATCAGATGCTGTGTATCACTCTCTGTACCTAAAGGACAAGGCACAAAGCTTCATCTCTGTGGAACAATCAGTTTCGACGATTATTCATTCAGTGAACCAGGTGTTAAGTTGGGCATTGAAGATACAAAGCAGAAAAAAACAATGCCAACCCTCATGGTGTTTACAGTCTAGTGTCAGGACAGGGCCATAAATCGATGATTACAGTTTCACACAAAACTGACAGACAAAGATTTACCCACAGTAAAGCATATAGGTAAATCTTATATTAGTGGGTGTGAAAGGATTGTGCCTGCAGAGGACCAGGGAAAAGAAAGATGGCTTCTCTTTGGTCCTCCTTAGGGTTGCTTTGGCAGGAGAGAGTGACACCCACCTTTCTCAGCCCTCCCTTCTTCACCACCAGTCTAACACTGAGTAACAGGAATCCAAAAGAAGGTTGGGGAGGTGCAAGAAGGGACCCATGGGAAATTGACTCGCTCAGATGGTACCTTCCCAGAGAGGTCCACCATGACCTCATCTTCTAAAATGACTCTATTGTTCTCCTTACCATGCTGGATTTTTCTTCAGAGCATCTTTCATCTTCTGACATTGTAATTTATTTGGGTGTCTATCTCATCTACTAGTTTAGAAGTTGTGAGAGGCTTTGTCAGTTTTAGTCACTGTGTCCCCAGTGCCTGGAAAACGAGTTGGCACACAGCAAGTATGCAATAAAAGCGTACTGAAGGCAGCAGAAAGGCAGGTCCACACAGGTCCCATTTTTTAGCTGCTCAGATTATATTGTTCTGAAAAACTGCAAGAATCTCAAGGATTCGTCTGGCTTTTTTCTCCCTTTCTTGGTGGATGGGAACCCGGGAAGGAGCCATTAGAAGGTCTGACCATGTCCCCCAGTCCCACTTCAAAGCCGTTTCTGTAGCACACCTGTCCCCTCCAGGGCTGCAAAGACTCTTCCAGATGTCTGAGTCCTGGGGAGCTTCAGAGCCCATTAGTTTGATGTGAGGCTTCCAGGAACATTAAGAAGCTATTTAAGGAATTGAACAGGGGAACTTTGAGGATGTGGGTATGGTTCGATTGAGTAAGGCCAACAACAGCTTCAGGGAGGGAAGGTCAGGACTCCGGAGCCCAGTGGAATCCTTTGAAGCCTTTGCTGCTGGGGAGGATAAGCACACAGTGGGATGACTTGCGCGGCAGTCCAATTCTTCTGAAAACATTTTTGCAAAATGTTCTGCATCACAGGTTAATGTATAGGACACGAGTTGTAAGTGGAAAGTTAGCAAAGATTTTTGGAAATTGGCTAAAGGGCAGGAAACAGAGGGTGGTTGTAAAAACCTCAAAAGATGTTAATTGGGGAGTGCTTCACAGACCAGGGTTGTGACCAGCTTTTTATTATTTTCATACAAATTACATGAAGAACGGTCTTGAGAAGGATTTTCATGTTGGCTAATTAAACTACATTAGGGAGCCGAGCATAGAAATGGGAACGGTAGAATTAGGGAAAGATTACATTTATTGATGGAATTGAAGAGTAGCATTTTATAACGTGTGTATGTATCAACCCACACCCATTCTGTTGGCCAGATTTCCATTTGAGTGTGGACAAGACAACTTCAGCTTGAATAACACAACCTGTCACATTTCTTGGGTCAGCAGGAAGCACTTTAAAGAGGGTTTGGCACCCTACTCATAGGGCAGACTCTGAAATTAAATGGATGTTATCTGCAGACCTGAACCCTCTCTTTTAGAAGAAGCTGCAAGGCAAATGGAATCTCCTGTTTAACTGCAAGCATAAGATTGAGACATCCACATCTCACCACCTCTTATGACTCAATATTGTCTATCATAAAGAGTTCAAATTATCCCAAAAATTTATTGTAGGTATAACCCAATAAGAAGCTAGGAATCGGCCAGGCGCGGTGGCTCATGCCTGTAATCCCAGTACTTTGGGAGGCCGAGGTGGGTGGATCACCTGAGGTCGGGAGTTCGAGACCAGCCTGACCAGCATGGAGAATCCCTGTCTCTACTAAAAATACAAAATTAGCCGGGCGTGGTGGCACATGCCTGTAATCCCAGCTACTAGGGAGGCTGAAGCAGGAGAATCGCTTCAACCTGGGAGGCAGAGGTTGCAGTGAGCTGAGATCATGCCATTGCACTCCAGCCTGGGCAACAAGAGCAAAACTCCGTCTCAAAAAAAAAAAAAAAAAAAAAAAAAGGAATCAATCCTCTAAACACTATTTTTTTTTTAAAGACTGGGTCTCACTGTCACCCAGGCTGGAGTGTAATGGCACAGTCATGGCTCACCACAGCCTCAAAATCCTGGGTTCAAGCAATTCTCCTGCCTCAGCCTCCCAAGTAGCTGGGATGACAGGCATGCACTGCCATGCCCAGGGTCTCATTGTTTTCTTTAATTTTTGTAGAGATAGGATCTCACTATGTTGCCCAGGCTGGTCACGAACTCCTGGCCTCAAGTGATCCCCCTGCCTTGGCCTCCTATTAGCAGTGTCTCTCAAAGTTATTGTATACTGAAAGTAACAACACAGTGAACCAGTACTTGAAGCTAGGAGCCCAGGGGTGACATTTACAGTCTGTCAACAGCCCACTCTAAGGAACAGTCTCCACAGTCATCATAAAGTCCACTGAGACGTTGATTCCCTTGTGTACAAATCTGGCCCAGTAGGAATCCTCTCTGGCCTTGCTACTCGGGGCCCGGTCTGTGAACCTGCAGCATTGGCATCACCTGGGAGGAAGTTGAACCACAGCTCTCAAGCCCACCCGGAACTGAATTGTAATCTGGATTTTAGCAGGATCCCTAGCTGACTTCTGTGCACATTAATATTTGAGAAGCTCTGCTCTAACACACCGAAGAACCATGGAAAATAAAGCATAGGAGGGTTGCTTGTTTCTGATACAGTGAAAATTGGACCACATTCGTCAGTGACCTGAGGACAGAATTCTGACATTTGGGACTTTCTGGTCTGCCGGAAACTGAGGCTTTCATGTTTTCTTTAATTTGGCTTAAAAGGCTGAGTGCCCTCTCCGGAACATAAGTTTAGCCTTAAGTGAGCATGCCTTTTGGAAAGAAGATGTTAAACACCAGTGCAGTGTACTCCTGAGTGTTCCTCCCTTGAGCGCAGCTCATGTGCTGGGCCATTAGCTAATTGTTACCTTCTTGTTCACAGGCCACAAAGGCCTGGCGCCTGGTGGCTGCTTTTCATTTGAGCTCATTCACCCAGGGCCCTGTGGGTAAACATTTTGTTGTGTTCTGCTGCTGGGAATAGACTGTCAGCCCACAGGACCAGCCCCATGCCAGGGCATCACTAGCCTGGACAAACCTTTCTAAAACATAGGAGGCTTGGCTTTCAAAGACCTAAACAGATTTAGTCTCTAGGCTGAGGTGATATGATTGTCTCTAGATCTGAGGTGACATAACAATGGCTGTGCCATAGGACATGTGCCCTGACCCATCGCTTTCACTCAGACTTGCATTTAGAAAATAACAGGAATGGGCTGGGCATGGTGGCTCATGCCTGTAACCCCAGCACTTTGGGAGGCTGAAGCAGGCGGATCCCTTGAAGCCAGGGGTTCCAGACCAGCTGGGACCCAGCTGGTAAAACCCCATCTCTACTAAAGATACAAAAATTAGCTGGGTGTAGTGGCATGCACCTGTAATCCCAGCTACTTGGGAGGCTGAAGCGGGAGAATCGCTTGAACCCTGGAGGCGAAGGTTGCAGTGAGCTGAGATCACGCCACTGTACTCCAGCCTGGGCAACACAGTGAGAGACTCCGTCTCAATTAGAAAGACAGAAAATAGAGTAATAAGGGAGGCTGAAGGGGATTGATTAAATTGACTTGCTTTTCTTCTCAGTTCATGAGATGGTATAATAGGCAGGGATTGATTCTGCCAAATTAGGAGGGAAGAGCAGTGAAACCCCAAATCCCTCTCCACACCTCCCTATCCCTCCCCTCCCACATTGAAGTAGGATGGACATAGAATTGTGGCCTAGCCCAAGAGAGGCTTGATTTTTATTCTTACTAGTTTTGCCTAGGCTGCCTCATTCTCTTTCCAGAGCTTAGGTGGGTGTTGAAATATCCAAGTCATTTAAGGTACTAGACATGAGGAAAGACTTAAGTCTGTCAAGACAAAGACATACTTTGGAGGTTCAGAGTGAGCGTGTATCTTCTGTGAGCCTCAGTTGAGGCTCCTGAAACATGAAGGTAGTGTCAGAGCCCCCATCCTTATGTGAGAGGAGTTGGCTGCTTGGGCCTCAGAGCAGGTAATGCAAGAAAGGTTTCAAGTGAGTGCATTAAATAGAATGTCTCGTTACTCCTAGACAAATACATGTAGAGCAGCTACTAAGAATCCTGAATTGGTTTTATCTCCCCCACAGACTGAGACCTCCTCTGAAGCAGAAAAATCAGATATTTAACTTTGCATTTATAGCACTTGGCACAGGGTAGGCCCTTAATAAATGTTTGCTGAATGAATACGCAAAGGAAGACAGCAAACAAGCTCACTGCTGATCTTCTGGCTAGCATAAAATCCACTTATAAATCATCATTCTGACTATACCTCAGACATTACATTTTCAATTAATTTCTTCTATGTCAATTACTAAGCCCACCGCTTAGGCTCATTCACAAATGTGTATTAGGCCCCATGTGTCTATATAGCAAGTCTCCAAGGGAGACTATCCCTGGCCACACAGCTCGCTGTATAATCAAGTACCCTACAATGCATATCTGAAAACCACTAGGCTGGGCAGGAAAAGGGAAGGGGAATCAGAAGTCAGTTTGTTAGGGAGAATAATATGCTTCCAATTTCTTAAGTGGTAGTATTCTTGTTTTTTTTCAGGTAAGAATCTACGATCTTTCAAAATATGATCATGGATCAGATGATGTGCTGATCTTGGCCACTGATGGACTCTGGGACGTTTTATCAAATGAAGAAGTAGCAGAAGCAATCACTCAGTTTCTTCCTAACTGTGATCCAGATGATCCTCACAGGTTTGTGCATTTCTACAATTGTAGGGTTGTTCCTCAAGCATTCTTCCATGACATGCCTGAAATTAATAATCATGCAATTTTCATAATTCATGACTTAGAGGCTGATATGGACGGTACAGTAACCAAACTGCAGAAGGGATTACCTTTCTTGTAAGAGGTACTTTCCAGCCAGGTGTGGCGTCTCATGCCTATAATCCCAGCACTTTGGGGGGCCAAGGCGGGTGAATCATGAGGTCAGGAGTTCTAGACCAGCCTGGCCAACATGGTGAAACCCTGTCTCTACTAAAAATACAAAAATTAGCTGGGCATGGTGGTGGGCACCTGTAATCCCAGTTACTCGGGAGGCAGAGGCAGGAGAATTGCTTGAACCTGGGAGGTAGAGGTTGCAGTGAGCTGAGACTGCACCACTGCACTCTAGCCTGGGTGACAGAGCGACCCTCTGTCACAAAACAAAAAAAAAGAGGTACTTTCTCTGCCAAATAAAAATCCCCCTTAAGTTGAACGTAGATACAAGTGGTAAAGAATTTGAGTGTTTGTTTAGGCATTTCAGCGGCATACCTTTCTCACATTTTTACTTCCTCTAAGCTATCCTCTAAAGTAGAAATAATCCCATTTCTGATCCTGTTGATGAGAGTGATGGCAAATGCACCCCAGCACTGATAGTCATCCATTGGAGAATTGTTTCTTTTGAGAAATACTTGGTAAGAAGAGAAAGATCCAAGTTAAGTATTTCTTACAGTCTAGCAGCAGTGTAAATAACCTAAATATCCTTAGAAGACTCTCAGAAATAAACAGAAACTACCTCTCGAGAAAGGCAGCTTTATCTAGAACACAAGTCACCATGAGTAAAAGCCAGCAGGAATAACAGAGGCATCAGAATTGGACCTGTAAATACTTCTTTATTGGATTTAGCAGTCAAAAATATAAATATTTTTAGCTGGGCATAGTGATGCATACCTGTAGTCTCAGCTGCTTGAGAGGCTAAGGCATGAGAATCGCTTGAACCCCGGAGACAGAGGTTGCAGTGAGCCAAGATCGCGCCACTGCACTCCAGCCTGGGTGACAGAGGAAGACTCGGTCTCAAAACACAAACAAAAGAAAGCCAACAATAATATAAAATATTTTAACATGCTTCAGAAATTTTTTTTTAGCCAAGCATGGTGGCTCACACCTGTAATCCCAACACTTTGGGAGATAACGCAGGAGGATCACTTGAGCCACAGGAGTTTAAGACAAGCCTGGGAAACATGGTGAAACCCCATCTTTACAAAAATTAGCTGAGCATGGTGGTGCATGCCTGTGGTTCCAACTACTCAGGGGGCTGAGGTGGGATTGCTTGAGCCCAGGAGGCAGTGGTTGCAGTGAGCCAAGATCGATCACACCACTGCACTCCAGCCTGGGCAGCAGAGCAAGACTCCGTCTCAAAACAAACAAAAAAATTTAAAGCATTTAAAATAGGAGTCTTAAAAGAGACTAAAAAAATGACTAAACAATTTTTAAGAAAATGGAATTCTAGAGATGATAAATTTAAAAATAGGAATTAAAAATTCACTGAATTAAACAGATTAGAGCTAGTTGAAGAGAACACTGGTGAACTAGAAAATTGATCTAATAAATAATCCAGTAGATGGCTTAGACAAAGAGAAAAGACAATGTGAAATGAGATTAAGAGACTAAAAAGATGGCCTAAGGTGCTCTAAAAGAATTCCAAAAGGATAAACTATAGAAGATGGGAAGAAGTTCCAGAATTTTTTGTCAATACTAAACCTAAGATTCAGAAAGCCTGACAAATCTCTGGAAGGAGAAATAAAATAGTGAAACCGAAGAAAAGCCGAGTGCTGTGGCTCATCCCTGTAATCCCAGCACTTTGGGAGGTGGAGGCGGGCAGATCACCTGAGGTCAGGAGTTCAAGACCAGCCTAGCCAACATGGCGAAACTCCCATCTCTACTAAAAATACAAAAATTAGCCAGGCATGGTGATGCATGTGTGTAATTCCAGCTACTCAAGAGGCTGAGGCATGAGAATTGTTTGAACCTGGGAGGCGGAAGTTGCAGTGAGTTGAGATCACGCCACTGCACTCCAGCCTGGGTGAAAGAGTGAGACTCTGTCCCAAAAAAAAGAGAAAGAAACTGAAGAACTTTAACCCCTTTGCCTTCCAAAAATATATTAAAAGCAGCCAGGAAAAAAAAAAAAAAAGAAGACATTCAGACTGACAGCCAACTTTCAAAAGTAAACGGTGCCAATGGTGGGATTATATCTTCAGCTGGCTAAGAAAAAAATAACTGTCAATCTAGGAATTTTAGATGTAGCAAAACTATCAATAACAAGGATGAAGTAAACAAATTTTCAGGCAAAACATAAACTGATACATATTACCGCCAACTAACCTCTTCTGAAGAAATTTCTACAGGGTGTGCTCAGGTAAGAAAAGGAAATGATCCCACAGGAAATATCTGAGAAGTAAAATGGATTATTAAGCTAAGGTATTAGTAAACATGTGGTCATATTTAAATATACCTTGACTATATAAAACAGTAATAAGAATGTCTAATGTGTGGGTTAAAAATGATAGAACTAAAATATTGCATAAAAATAGCGTACAAATTGTCAAGGGAGGGGTGTTAGCTCACATGCTATGCTTCTTTTGAGAAGTTAATGGTGTTTAACTTTAGGCTTTAAGTAAACAAGTTGAAATAGCTAAGAAAACTGTTAAAATAATAGAAAGGGTAACTTCTAAACTAGTAAAGGAGAGGAAACTCACATGGAATAGAAACCAAACTTCTAAACAACTTATGAATCAAAGGAAAAAATTATAATGAAAATTAGAAAGTACCTGGGCCTGAATAATAATACATATCAAAACTGTAAAGGCTGAAATTTTAGCCTTTTTTTCTAATTTAATAAACTAAGCATAGATGAAGACTCCATTCACCTCTGACCTGCCAGAAATGACTATTATCCCTCTATGCCATGAGCTAACTTTATCCAAATGTCCCCCTGTGTCACAGGGAACCTCTGGCCACAAGATCCTGATTTCTGGAAACAGAGAAGAAAAGAAAGATACCCTTAACCACAGAGAAAGATATTTCTGAGTGAGGCCCTAAGGGCTGACTTGTGTTACTTGGCTAGTTCGGTCTATATTCTTCGCATAAATGTACACAGAATAATTTTTTTTTTTTTTTTTGAGATGGAGTTTCGCTCTTGTTGCCCAGGCTGGAGTGCAATGGCGCAAATCTCAGCTCACCGCAACCTCCGCCTGCCAGGTTCAAGCAATTCTCCTGCCTCAGCCTCCCTAGTAGCTGGGATTACAGGCATGTGCCACCACGCCCAGCTAATTTTGTATTTTTAGTAGAGATGGGGTTTCTCCATGTTGGTCAGGCTGGTCTCGAGCTCCCAACCTCAGGTGATGCGCCCACCTCGGCCTCCCAAAGTGCTGGGATTACAGGCATGAGCCACTGCGCCCGGCAAGAATTCTTACAACTTAAAGGCTCTAAGGAGCCAAAGTGAAGCTGCCTACCTAAATTGATCCATAGAATCAGTACAATTATAACCATAATACCAATGGTGTTTTTATGGAGCCCAGCAGTTCTACTCTTAGGTCTGTACCCTGGAGTGGTGGTTCTGAAAAGCACGGTCCTTTGAGCTACATGGCATCAGCAGCACCTGGGAACTTGTTAGAAATGCAAATTTTGGCTGGCATGGTGGGTCATGCCTATAATCCTAACCCTTTGGGAGGCTGAAGCAGGAGGATCACCTGAACCTGGGAGTTCAAGACCAGCCTGGGCAACATAGTGAGACCCTGTCTCTACCTTTACATATATATTTTATAAATTTTTTTTTTTAAAAGAGAATTGCAGATTTTCAGGCCCCACCTGAAATAAAAACTCCAATGGTAGGACCAACCATTTGTGTTTTAACAAACCATGCAGGTGATTCTGATGCTGCTAAAATTCAAGAACCGACTCTCCTAGAAGAACTCTTGCATCGTCGTTCATGCAAGAAGATATTCACAGAATTGTTTTTATTACAGAAACTGGAAGTAACTTGCGTGTCCAGTGGTGGGACGGGTAAACAAATATTGGGATACTTTATAGCACCTCCCCCACCCCCAAAATGAGCCAAAGCTGTGCTCATTAACAGGGAAGAATCTCAAAAACATAATGTTGAGTTTAATAAGCCATAGAGGAATACATACATTAGAATTCTATGTACATGAAGTGAAAACTACCAATATATTGTTTAGGGATATAGACATTAAAACTATAACAAAAACCAAGAAAATTGGCCCAAAATTCAAGATAATGGTTACTTTGAGAGGAGAAGAGGCAGATACCAAGGGGAATATATGCTTGAGGCCTGTTGGGTTTCTAAGATATTTACTGATAATATTCTGTTCCTTCAAGTAGATGGCAGGTACATTGTTGTTTGTGTTATTTTTAAACTATAAATGGTATATGAGAGGCAGGGTAGTCTCGTGGTTAAGAGCCTGTAATCTATAATTACTTCCCGAGTTGAATTTTGGCTCTTCCCCTTCTAGATTTAGGATCTTGGGAAAATTTCTTAACTCTTCTCTGATTGTTCATATGTAAAATGGAGATTCCAACAGTATTAACCTCATGCATATATATTATTAGGTGAAGTGCCTAATAGATAATAAGCACTAATAGATGTGTGTGTTGTTATGTCTCACATATTTCACAACAGAAATTCAGGAAACGTGAAGGTAGACCATCTGTCTCCTCCTCGAATTGTCTGATATAATTCAGCTCAGGTGTGGAGGAATTGATGGCACTATAATTAAATATTCTTTTATTTGAATTTGAATGTGTTTTTCGCCTTTCAAGTTTCATGTTATGTATCCCACTTGTTAGCAACATTCTCATGTTGATTTTTCTCTACTATGATTATTTTTATAAAGCTTTGCAAAGCCACCTGCCAGTTATGCATTAAAAGGCACTCAGCACTTTTTTTCTGTGTCTAAGCTGGCTTGGTCTTGCTTACCAGCCTTCCTCCAGAGTGATAAATCTGTATGCCAAGGAGTGGTAACCTGTGGGCAGCGTGCACATGCCAGGTCAGAGCAGGCTCCTGGGGTCCACGAGAACTGCTGCCTACGGAGGCAGGGTTCACAAGGATCTCTTTGGAACAAACAGGATGGGAAAGAAAAAATGTTTTCTGTATGCCTTTCGGGGAAGATGGCAAACCAAAGCAATAGAAAGAATCCTATATCAGATGGATGAATGAATGAAAGGGAAAATTGCAAGGGGAACACAGTTTATCAGCAAGAAATAGACTATCAGTCTGCAGATTAGACAATTATGGTTGTAAAGACAGGTGCAGTGGCATGTGCCTATAATCTGAGCGACTCCATAGGCTGAAGCAGGAAGATGGCTTAAGCTTGAGTTCAAGACCAGCCTGGACAACACAGCAAGACTTCCTCTCTAAAAATAAGGAAAAAAAAAGTGTTTTAACAGACAGAACTGGCCTAGGTGCAGTGGCCCACACCTGTAATCCCAGCATTTTGGGAAGCCAAGGCAGGCGGATCCCTTGAGGCCAAGAGTTCAAGACCAGCCTGGCCAATATGGCGAAACCCCGTCTATACTAAAAATACAAAAATTAGCTGGGCATGGTGGCACCTGTAATCCCAGCTATTCGGGAGGCTGAGGCACGAGAATCTCTTGAAGCTGGCAAGTCGAGGTTGCAGTGAGCCGAGATGGTGCCACTGCACTCCAGCCTGGGCAACAGAGCGAGACCCTGTCTCAAAAAATAAAAAAGAAAAGGAACTGAAGAGTCAAGGTTTTCTTCTTAACAAATAACTCCCATTCTGATTTGTTCATTTGGGAAATACCACTAAGGACCTATTATTTTGTGAGCCAAGGCCTGCTAGATACTCGTGAAGAACACACACCTCAGCTCTGCCCTCTTTGAGTTTACAGTCTGGAGGGATTACAGCAGCATTAACCTAAAGCAAAGGATGTCTACACTTAAACCTGAAGAATAAACAGGAGCGAGGCAAGGGTCAGGGGAGTTGGGGAGAAAAAACATGGCACATTCTGGGACCCAACAGTCAGTGTGGCTGACTGGTCTTGGAGGTGGGGAGCAGAATGTCAACAGATGAGGTGTGAGGGGTCAGCAGGGGCCCATGATCTCATGAGATCATGAACGTGAAAATTATTTGTGTTAAAGGAAGTCTGTGGTAACGATATGGAATTTATGTAATTTGTTCATTATGATTCACAACCAGGAAGCATTCTGCAAAATCTGATGGTGAGAAACAAGATGAGGATTGTTTTCCTACCCCTGTGTGTTCCTTTAAGTAATTACACAATATTGGGACATCAGAGAAACTTAATTTGTTTCAGACTGACAATTTAGGTCTTAGCCAAGAAACCTTTGCTCAGACCAATGTCCTAAAGCATTTCTCCAGTGTTTTCTTCTAGTAGTTTCGTAGTTTCAGGTCTTATATTTAAGTCTTTAATTTGTTTTTATTATTTGATTTTTGTATATGGTGAGAGACAGGGCTCTGGTTTCCTTTTTCTGCATGTGGATATCCAATTTTCCCAGCACCATTTATTGAAGAGACTGTCCTTTCCCCAATGTATGTTCTTGGCACCTTTGTTGAACATGAGTTGGCTGTAAATGCATGGATTTACTTCCAGGTTCTCTATTCTGTCCCATTGGTCTATGTGTCTGTTTTTATGCCAGTACCATGCTATTTGGGTTAATATAGCTTTGTAGTATATTTTAAAGTCAGGAAGTGTGATGTCTCCAGCTTTGTTCTTTCTGTTCAGGTTTGCTATGGCTGTTCTGGGTCTTTTGTAGTTTCATACAAATTTTAGGGTTGTTTTTTCTATTTCTGTTGTCAAACTCATAATTTAGGAATATGTGAAACAGTGTTCTCTTTCATGTGTTTGCCATCTTTGTACATACCTGTGTGTAATTTGGTAGGAGGGCACCACACTCACACACCAGTTTAGGATGTCTCCTTGGGAGGCTCATGGACAAAGAGAGCTCAGTCCCAAGAGCCAGTGCCCTCCCAGCTGGGAGCTGTTCTAATCTTGTCATGCCAAATGGAAATATGAGTAGAAGTTGCCAAGTCATAATTTCTGTGATGAGGAAAGGCCCACTATAATTCCAGAGGCTCTATTAGCCCTTCCTTGGCCAGAGAGTTCCTATTTCTCCATATGTAGCCTGGGACTACACGTTTGCCTGTTTAATTTTCAGTGGAGAGTTGCTGGGTTCAAGCCTGAGGGAACTGACCAAAGGAGGTCAGCCTATTGTTGGACACAAAATGAGAAGGGAAAAGTTCTCCCCAGGGTGGGAAGCCTGAGGGAAGGGGAATGGAACAAAGCCGGTGAGAAGGGTAAGGTGCTTCTGCATCTGAGGTTTTGAGTGGGCCTGTTTTACTTTGAGTCTTACCAGGATCTCCCAGTTTTGTCTAGAAAGGAAGCAGGACAAAAAGAGGCAGGGAATGAGGCCTGAGACAGGCAAGACTAGGGGCTTTTGTCGTTTGATTGTTGGGCTTTTGTTTATGTTGCCTGTAGGTTCCTTTTCTTTTTGTTTTTCTTTTACCTCCTAGTGACAGCCATTCTAAACAAATTGCCAGCATTGTCTTCCTCTGTTGACATCCTTCCCAGCAAGGAATTTAAAATAGCATCTCCCCCTCCAGAATGTGCTGTGAGGGAAGAGGTGATTAGCATAAAGATGTGTTCTGACCCTCACACCATCCTCTCAGGCAGAGATGGGAGTAAAAATGAGCTGTATGATCTTTCTGACCCTGGTGTATCTTAAGTCCTTTTGCTCTTTTGAACTGTCTCAACAAAGGAACCAGAAAATTAAAAGGCGGCTTTATGGATGAGCCAGAATATGAGTGCAGTAAGTTTTTCTCTTTTTTTTTTTTTTTTTTTTTTGCAGTTTTTACGGTTTTTTAGAACACAATGTGCACATGAGCTGTCTACCCATTTTCTTCGCTGCACAGCCTGGCATTGGGGTTGGTGACTCTGATGGCCAGCTGGGCAGCTCTTTCCACAACGGCTTTGCAGTTCTTGGAGGAAACATTGTGAATGATCTCAGCACAGTAAGATTTGTTGCATGGCAGCAGCACTTCCGGCTCCTTGACGCTGTGGATCAGGAACTTCCGGAAGCCACTGGGCAGCATGTGCTGTTTTTCTGTTGCTCCCATAACCAATGTTGGGCATCAAGATCTAGCCTTTGAACCTTCTATGAGCCCTGTTGTCAGTACCTCTGGGTTTCTGCCAGTTACGCTTAATTTTGACATATTGGTCAGACTGGTGCTGGATGAACTTCTTGGTTCTTTTTTTGACAATCTTGGGCTCCACAAGGAGTCTGAAGTTGGCCCTGATGCCAAGGAGGAGATGGCCCCTCTTTCTTTCTTTCTTTTCTATCACAGTTTGCCCTGAATTGTAGGGAAGCTGGCAGTTCTTTTACTCTTGTGGGGTCACGAAATGAACTGTTCCTAGGAAATGCATTGCGCTAACATCCTGGAGTGGGGTTGCTGCAGGTAATGGAGGTTGGGCTGCACAGTCCTCTGGTTCCTTATAATTCCAGTAAGGTTCTCTTTTAAGCCCTAAAGATCCTACATGATTTGGAGAAGGCACTCAAACCTGGAAAGGGTTTTCTGATGCAAAATATCTGCAACTGACTGTCCCCTCTGTAAGGCTGGAGGTTCAGTGGGGGGGTCTCCTGGGAAGAATATTCAAAACGGAGGCAAATATGTAAACACTCAGAGAAGAAGACGCTTACCATTTTGTCAGAAAGGAATAAATTGTTACTATTACTGAAGGGGAAGGGAGTGGGCAAAGCCAAGAGGAACTAGGGCCAGGGAATAGCTAACCAAACTTGGAAATGCACATGGATTCACATTCCCAGTGCCCAGGCAAAACTGTGCAGGCTTTGCTCTAGAGCTTCATTTCCCCAAAACTGTCTGTGGAAACTTCTTTTTTACTTAAAAAAAAAAAAAAAAAAAAAAAAAAAAAATTCACCGTGTTACCCAGGCTGGTCTCAAGCAATCCTCCTGCCTCTGCCTTGGCCTCCCAAAGTGCTGGGATTGCAGGTGTGAGCCATCATGCCTGGCCCCACCTCATTTTTTTTTTTTTTTTTTTTGTAACCTGGATTTAATGACCCTCTGTCTCCCTGCCATGACCCTTGAGGGGCTTTTTATGCAGTATTTATGCAGTATTAAATCTGTAAGAACCAGTATACCATAAACCCTACAGAGTATGTCTCTAATGAGAGAAGCCTTCCTGATGTCCACACTTGTCAGTCTTCACATCCATGCTCTCCTTGGCTCAGATAGCTGTGTGCCTTGGAAGGAAGAGATTAATCAGTGAAAGGTTAATAGTAAAACACCAACACTGACAACAGGCGTTAATTCAAGTATTAAATGCTAGTTTGCATTACCCTAATATGAAATTTATTTTTGCAAAATACAAAGGTTCTTTTTATGAAACCTTTCCATGAGTTAGCTGAACTAATTTCTTGCATGCCATAAGGTTTTCAAAAACTATGCCTTAAATGCAAAAAGGAAGGGTTTCCTCCACTTTTCACCATACCAATTACTGGTTTTAAGAACAAATTCATGAGTGTTTGATCTGGTGTCTGAAGACTAGATAAAAATCTGCAGTTTTCTCTCTTTTGCAATGTTTAGCACACTCAGATCTGTGGGAATTCAGAAATCAGCCTGAGGTCCTGGCTGTGGCAGCCTCTAACAGCACACAGCCAACCACCGTCCCATCCTGTTTAGGGTGTTTATGTGGCAGAGCTGTGTGGCCCCTTAGCTGTGTGGCCACATCAGGATGTTTTACAGGGCTTCCCAGGGAGGATTGAGAAGGAAATAGTCTATTATGCCCCCTCGTATTGAAATGTTACTGTTTGGAATTTGAACTAAAAACCTACCACCTAAGAAACCAGGGAACCAGGGCCAGGGTGCATAGAGGTGGATGAGGCCTGGCAGGGCGTCTCACCCTCTCTCATGGGGGTGGGGAACTCCCTCCAGTCTGCAGCTTTGTGTCTGCTGGCAGCACACAAACTCCCAATGAGCCCAGTGACAGCACTGCAGACAACAGTTGTCGTTATTCTGGTGTCTCAGGGTATTCTGCCTGAGTGGAGTCCCCATAACCTGACAGGGGACAGAAGCTGGCATGAGCAGCTTCACCTGCTTAAGAACTCGGTTCCAGAGCTACACAAGGGGCATCTGTGGACCAGCTCTCAGCAGTGAATCTAAGATGTGTGCCTCTTCCCAGGATGAGTTGCCTAGTTCTGGGCACAACAAAGGCCATTCCCTATTCTAAGCCACCCCTGACCCTCCACCCACCAAGACGCCACTGCCATAGACCCCTGCCAACATTCCAAAGCTGGGAGAGCTTTTCTACCTCTTAAATTTCTGAGGCCTGCTCAGAATGCAAAGGGGATTCCTCCTCCTGTTCCCCTCACACTGTATTACTGCGGGTGTCAGCAGATGGAGCCTGCCTTTTATATGCAAATATTTGGAAGCCATTAATTCCCCAGTTCCTGCCACTACTCACCCTCTTATAAGACCCTGTCTGTACCATCCAAATGGCAAATTGAAGTTCCCACCCAACAAGAACTATTAAGAACTTTAAGATACGGTGATAGCCTGCAGCCTGAAATTGACTTATTTTTGACACTGTTGTGCTGATTCAGATGCTAAAGATTCAGAAAACAGACTATAAGACGTAGATGACTTATGACAAAACTCCTGGGGAGGAGAAAGGCATTTAATATCTAATAAGGAACATAACTAACACTTATTGACCTCCGATTGTGTGCCAGGCACTGTGCTGAATGCTTTATGGAAAGATCACATGGCTGTTACAGGAGCCTTGGAGGTCTGCACTATTATTGAGTAAGGAAAGAGGGGCTCCAAGAGGCTAAAAACTTCTTCCAGAGCCACCCATCTGGATGGTGGGAAAGCCAGGATTGGAACCTGGGCAAGCCACGCTTACACCCAGAGCCCTTTTCTGGTCCATTAGGAAGGAAAAGAACTAAGGACAGCAACAGAATCTGCAAGGACAAGAGGACAATCGAGGATTTATGGCCTCCTTCCGCCTGACTTTAAGAGTCAGTGGTTATGAAAAGAGCTTTGGCCTTCCCATCGCTCTTCAGCCCCTCTTCCTTTTTGTTTTCCATGCCTCCCCTGCTGTCCTTTCTCTGCTCCCTCCCGCTCAGAGCCTGAGCCCTGTGGAGTTTGCCAAGTCTGATCCCTGCCCAGCAGCCATTGCTTTCAGCAGAGCTTTGCTGATAAATATTGAAAGCTTCAGCTAGAGAAGAAAAATGTTCTCAAAATTCAAAACATGTCTCCTGGGGAGACTCTTCATTAGGAGTGGGCATTTCAAACTCCTCCGCAGTTGTCTAATGCAGCCTGGCCCAGCATTCAGTGACGGCACTAGGGCTGCTCCACACACAGCTTCCAGAAGCATCGGGCTCCGGCTGCCACACAGTCCCAGTTGGTGTGTAACAGAATCCACTACCCATTGGCTGTCTCCAGCTGTACCATATTCTTCTTGGCTGCTCTCTTGGATATTTTATGCTTATACAGTATGTATGTTTTGACTCAAATTTTCTTCTACTACTTTCTACAGTTCTCCTTTGATGGCACCTAAATGCCCTTGTGTTCAGCCTCAATAACAAAACCAATAAAGCCTTCCTGTTTTAATACCACCTTAAGCACTTTCACTGTCACCAACCCAGGGATCCCTGATGTAAGGTAGAAATTGGAGAATACAATGGGGGCAGGAGAAGCAGTTCTTTTCCTTCAGAGAAAGTTGTTTGTTTGTTCTTGCCCCAGTCTTGACATAAAGCAGCCTAGCAAAGGATTTCATGCATTTCATATGGCAAGGTGGCTCCGAAGATGGATGCAAATGAGCTCTGAAATGGCCACCAGCCTGGCCCAATATGGTAGCTAGCTGACACAAAAGGCCTTCTCCCAAGAGCTGAGTCCCCGGGGTTGTGTTGAGTTAATGAATCTATGAGGAAAGCTCCTGCGAGTGACTTCATCTTCCCCTAATGCTGTTGCTGAGTTTCACTGCAATGCTGGTCTCCTGTGGCATGAAGGGAATGTCAGGAAGCTGGTCCTAGAGCATTCGTACTGTCACCTATGGAGTGCAGCATCTAACGGCTCAGTTGTCCACGCACACTGCTCTTGGACAAGGAGGGATAGACATGCACTGGAGAAGCCGGCGGAGAGAAGCCGTGTGAAGGAATCCGACCTCCTGGGAACAGGGTAGGAAGAACAGGTCCTAGGAATCTTCCCTAAACTTCTCCCTCAGGCGGGGCTGTCCTTACGCTTCTGAAGCACATGGGTACATGGATCAGGGCAGCTGCCTGACAAGACTGAGGTTTTATGAGGAGGAGGAAATGGCTGGGTAGGTTTACCACACAGGAAAAGTGTGAAGTTAAACCTCATATGGTTAGCAGCGGCGAATCCATACAGGTCTGCAGCAACTCAGTTCTTGCTGCCTTGGAGGAAAGAATTCAGCCCAGGGACAAAAGGCAGAGTGAGAGACCGAGGCAAGTTTTAGAGGAGGAACGAAGGGAAGTAAAGTACATTTGGAAGAGGACCAAGCGGCCAAGCGGCCAACTTGAGAGATCCAAGTGCCTTGTCCGGCCTTGACTTGGGGTTTTATACATTGGCATGATTTGCGTTTCTTCTCCCCTGATTCTTCCCTTGGGGTGGGCTGTCTGCATGCACAGTGGCCTGCCAACAGTTGGGAGGGGCTGCATATGCAGTGTGCTTACTGAAGTACGCATGCTCATTTGTTTTTCCCTTATCTGTTGAGTGTTTCTGGAGGAAGGCCATATGATAGTTAAACTCGGCCATTTTGCCTCCTAGTGCGTGTGCCCACTCGCCTATCTCCTGAGACCTTATCAGGAGGCTGATCACCTGCTTCAGGTGTTGCTTTTTTTTTTTTTTTTTTTTTTTTGAGAAAGAGTCTCTCTCTGTCACCCAGATTGGAGTGCAGTGGCACAGCCTCGCTTCCCAGGCTCTAGAGATCTTCCCACCTCAGCCTCCCGAGTAGCTGGGACGACAGGCATGTGCCCAGCTAATTTTTGTATTTTTTTGTAGAGACAGGATTCACCACATTGCCTAGGCTGGTGTCTAACTCCTGGGCCCGAGTTAATCCACCCGCCTTGACCTCCCAGAGTGCTAGGATTACAAGCGTAAGCCACTGCACCTGGCCAGGTGTTTTCTATTGGGAGACTGCATTTCCCTGGTGCCAGCTGTGACCAATTGTTATTTTAGAGGGTTTAACAATGGCCTGACTATCACCTGATGGTCGCCAGACATTCCTGGGGGAGGGCCCTCCCCTGCCCTGATCATGTCTACCTAACTGCCTACTCTAACAATACTACTCCTGTGGTATGGGGATCCTAAGCCAAAAAGCTGAAATGAACATGTTCTAGCACTACAGAAATCCATACTGCCCCTCAGTAAAGGCAAATTTTAAATCTCTTTGGATAACCCAGGGCACATGTGAACAACCCCTTCTGAAGAAGCACTTATTCTTCTTCACACTCACCATGAAAAAGAATAACCAAATACAATAGAGCCTTCCCTCCGGGCCCTCAAAGAAAACCTGGGTGTAACAGAACAAGTTTAGAAGAGAGTTAAACTTGTGCAAATAGAATCATAAGGTCAGAAGAGGTCAATTTGGTTCTTTGGACAAGAACCAAAGAGAAATTCACAACGGTGAAACACTGTCATTGAAACAAAGTAATTCACTAAATGGATAGTAAACTGCTAAAGGGAGTTAGTGAATTGAAAGATATCGCAGAGAAGTTGAAATCTGCAAGGTAAAATAAGATCTAATAAGAGTTTATGGAGAATATCTACAAAATAGAGGAGAGGCAATATCCAAAAAGTTGATGGCTGAGAATTTTTCAGAAGTTTTCAGTTTGAAAGAGTAAAACTAATTTCTTACCATGATAAGTAAAAAGCTCCTTTTTGTTATGTCTTAGTGGTACTTCATATCAGCAACAAAAACACAAAAACTTGAAAAGCTATCAATGACAAAAGCCATTTACCTATAAAGGAATGATAAAAGACAGACTTCTCAAAAAGAGTAGAAGTCAGAAGTAAGCAGAATAATGTCTTCAAACTGCTGAGGGAAAATAACAGACAATCTAGAATTGCATAACAATAAAGCTATCAGCCAAAATCAAAGGTAAAAATAAAGATTTTCTTAATCCAAAGACTAGGTGAGCTTACCACTCACAGACCATTGTTAAAAAAATTACTAAAAATGTAATTCAATGGAAGGAAATTAAATCCAGAAGCAAGGAGTAGTTTCATAAAAAGCAAAGAAGTTAGTATGTTGGTTTATTTATGTAAGTGTAGATTGTAAATGATAATGATTAAGGCAGGCTCAAAAAAAGGTGAATTAAAATAATAGGCAGTAACATGGAAAATGAAAGAAGGCATTCTAAGGTCCTTTTATTTTCAGGAGGACAGAAATACGATTAACTTATATACTAAAAATTTAACATAACTGATAATAGAAATAACACTTCCAATCCAGTTGGGGGAGGGGAATATTAAAGCTATCCACCTGACAGAAAACAAGAAAGAAGGAAAGAAGCACATAATAAATTAAAAACACAAAATAAGTTTTCATATGTGTGTGTATATATGACTGCAAAATATAGGTACAGGTCTACCAGTTTTTGCAATAAACAAAATTATCATCTTAGTGACTATATGGATTTTGTTTTAATTAGCCATGTGCTACTAATAAAATACACTTAAAATAATGCAAAGTTTATTAGCTGGGCATGGTGGAATATGCCTTAGTCCTAGCTACTTGGGAAGCTGAGGTGAGAGGATCACTTGACCCCAAGACTTCAAGGTTACAGTGAGCTATGATTATGCCACTGCACTCCAGCCTGGATGACAGAGCGAGGCCCTGTCTCTGAATAATAATAATGCAAAGTTTAGAAGTCCTACACTGCCCTGTGGATTTCATAATTGAACAATATCAGGGTGTGAAAGTGGCATTGAAAAACACTATGATTTCTTGCCTAAGAGACCAGGATACCATTAACTAAGGATGATAGCTGGGGATGTTCCACTTTGGAAGTAAAAAGAAATTAATGATCATTGAGTTCTTCCTAAGTCTTAGTTAGGGCCTACAAAGGAAATTAAGAAGGAGCATCAGAGAGAAGGACTTGTGCTGTGTGTCATGGAAGCCCAGTCACAGGAGAACTTGGAGTGGGTTATGGCATGGGAGCCCCAGAAAGAAAGGAGAATTCAAGAACAGAGATTTTTAAGGATAAAATAATCAGCAGTATTTGTGCTGAACACAAAGGGTTAAGCAGAATAAGTATTGAGAAGCCACCCTTGGATCAAGCTTTAAGAGGACAGATTAGTAGAGTATTGGGCCTACTGGTAAGAGACAAAGGAAGAAAATGGGAAGTAATAAATTGAGAAAGCAAGAGTGGATTTTCCCTCAGGAAGTTAAGCACCTAAGGGAAAACAGAGTGGATGGTGAAGAGAGAACCAATCTCAAAGGAAGTTATCTTGGAATAGGAAATAACCATATTGAAGAATGAAACCTTAATTACCTACAGCCCTCAGGGAAATGAGTTTCCTGGGTAGCCATCTTTTCTAGGTGACCTAATCCTTGCTTTTTAAAAATACCAAGCTAATTTTGACCATTTAAAAAATATGCAAAGTCACTAGTAATAGCAGCATCAGGGTGGTCTCTTGTTCATCTTTCATGACTCTAATAAAGCCAGTCATTTCTCCATGACTGCAGGACCTGTTGAGGCCTGTTTGGAGCTTAAAATAGCCATAAAGAGTTGTGTTTTGAGTTCCTGTATCTGTTTTTTGACATCTTTGAGTGTCTGTCTATCTCTTTTTCCATGTCTCATGGGTAATGTGCTGACGTAGTAACAAGGTTTAAGGGAGGCACATTTCACACGTAAGTGTGAAAACTCAAACATCAAGCTTATGAACTACAAAAGGATTGAGTATCTTTTATTGTCAGGCATATTTTCTCATAGCATACCATAATTTTCTATGTCTAGTCAGCTCATACCTGGGTTAAGGTGTGTTCAGGCCTGATAGGCAAATAAACTTAGCCAGGTTTCTGAACCTAAAAAGCTCAGGTGCAGACTGATCAATCACCAGGATAATAAACATCACTCTGGTGTGGCTGGTGGCCTTTCCCCATGTGTTTATGTCTCATATACAATTTAATATAAAACTAAGAGTAAGCTGGGGTGATATGGTTTGGCTCTGTGTCCCCACCCAAATCTTATGTCGAATTGTAATCCCTACATGTCAGGAGAGGGACCTGGTGGGAGGCAATTAGATCATGGGGACCGAGTTCCCCCATGCTGTTCTTACGATAGTGAGTGAGTGAGTTCTTACGAGATCTGATGGTTTAAAAGTGTGGCATTTCCCCCCTTCACTCACTGTCTCCCGCTGCCATGTAAGACATGCCTCGCTTCACCTTCACCATCCGGCATGATTTTAAGTTTCCTAAGACTTTCCCAGCCATACGGAACTGTGAGACAATTAAACCTCTTTTGCTTATAAATTACCCAGTCTCAGGTAGTTCTTCATAGCAGTGTGAGAATGAGGTGAGCAGCTGAGAGGCTTTTCTGACTATAGTGTATGAGCTGCAATATGTCGATTTTCAGATATTTACTTAGCTCTTCAGCCAAAGATCTCTTTGGAGGCCTTTATTTCCTGATCTCAAGAGGAGGAGAACCTCAGGACGAACTGTTTGCATCTTCCCTCAAGAATAACTTAAAGATTTCTGCCTCAAAGATGATAATTCTCTCAATACAGATAGAAAAAATTATTCACCTACTACCCCATCCTCTAGAAGGAAAGGTATTTATTTTGTATTGACTATAATATCCTTTCTGCTGTAGTGTATGTTACACTTCTGTCTGCTATCTGGGCTGTACAAATAGACTTGATCCTCAAAGACTGAACAACTTGGAATCTTCACAATCCTGGGATCATTTGTTAGAGGACTTGTTCTTAAATAATGTAACAATGATGCAGTTCTCAACATGAAAGTCTGTGAATTTTAGCAAAAGAAATGGAGAGGCTTCTGGGGTTCTGAATTCCATAACTCACAGCTCTGAAGGCGAGACTACTGAAACATTCCAAGTAGAGAAAGGTCACTAGCAATATCAGGGTGGTCCCTTGTAAAAGGCCCACAGGCTGGCTTCCAAGAGGACTTATACGGTGACATTTATTATCTTGATGATTTACCAGTCTGGCTCTTAGCTTTTCAGGTTCAGAAACTGATTTAATCAAGATACAGAAAAGAGATTCATTATCAGAGTTGGTCTCACCTTAACCAAGCTCACAAGATTGATCTGTAAAGCAAAATGCCACTTGACATTTAAGCAAAGAAATATAACTGATGGATATTCTTAAAGTAAAAACGACTAGCTCATTCTTTCCTGCAGGCAGGCCTACACAGGGAGGCAGATCATAATCAGGAGGTTCTTTGGTGAACACGAAATCAGAATAAAGCTGAATCATATGCTTAATGGTATAGACTAAGAAAATAGTCCATCCCACACCAAATATGACCCTGCCAGTGGAACTAAGTTCCTTTGAAGGCTGTCAACTATGACTCCCTCTGCTCTGGTCAGTGTTTGGATAGACACCTGCCAATGTTTTGTCTCATTTTTTTATGCCTCAGGGCTAACCCAGGCCCATACCCACCCAAATCACTTCCCAAGTTAGTCTTTCTCCTAGATGTTAATACTTTCCCATCAGCTTACAGTGTCATTCTTTCTCCTTAAGCTTACAGTTTAAATCTCAGCAATCTTATTTTCAAATTCTTAAGGGATCCCTTGCTGAACTTACATTGGTCAAGAGGAGAGGGTGACGCTGACAAGTAAGCAGCTCACTCACACCAAGGCTTATCAGTCATTTACAAAAAAAAAAATTAAATAAATTAAAAAAAAAAACCAAAAAACTTCACATTCTTGCTATATGCTTATGCCAGGTTGTATTATTTTTAACATTTTTCCTTAACTCACTTTTTTAAAAAATTTATTTTAAATGATTTTTACCATAAATAGAAAATGACTATTCTTTGTCACAAAAGCAATATAACTCTAAAACTAAATATATTGAAAACAAAAGTTCTGATTTTTCCCATGTACTTTTTAAGCTAGATACCATTTGTCATGGAAAGCTCTGAGCTTGAGCAGCTCTTTGAGCTATACTAGCAGCAAACTGAGACTCCCCTCAATGTAATCAATCAAAAACATCAAAAGAGGACTGAGGAGGTGAATAATGTAAGACATTATCTAATGTATTTAGTGCCTTATCCCACTACCATGTAAACAATAATCTCACATTAGGTGTCCTACATTTTGGGAAAAGATGACCTTGTCTTTTTCGTATTGTAAGTGTATTTGAAACTTATTTATACAACTGTAGTGATGCCTCCCCCTTCCCAGCCTCACTTGACCCTGGCTTCTGTCTGATGCTCTACTGACTGTCTCGTTCCTGGTTCTCCTGTGTAGGTACACACTGGCAGCTCAGGACCTGGTGATGCGTGCCCGGGGTGTGCTGAAGGACAGAGGATGGCGGATATCTAATGACCGACTGGGCTCAGGAGACGACATTTCTGTATATGTCATTCCTTTAATACATGGAAACAAGCTGTCATGAAAATGGCCCAGGGGATTGGGAGGACAGAGGGGAAGAAAGCTGGGATGCCTCTTGGCAGGACGGAACTGGGAAGTGCCCCAGCTGAGTTCCAAGTGATGCAGTCTCTTCCCAGCCCAAGCGGGGAGTTCATGGCCAAAAGACTATGCTTCAAGATGACCCTTTGGTTTCCATTTCTTCTTTAGTAACAGGTCAACTCAACAAGAGCAAAACACAAAGGCTGCTACCAAGTGTTGTTGTATTTCAGTTCCTTTCATAGGCCTCCGAGGTGGCCATTGACTATTTGGGGTATATATGTCATATTTATTTTATCTAGAGTAGCTGGGGCAGCCATTTTCAGGTGTAAATGGCAGAGGACTCTTCAGCCTGTCAAGCTGCCAGCTTATCTACGGGTTAAAAAGTGCTGCATTGGAAAGTAGGGGGTCATGCCTCAAAATGTAAGTAAGTGCCCACCTTCTAGGAAGCCTGAGGTTTATTTCAGGGATTGCCGTCTGCCCCCCGCCCCCCTTCTCTTTTTTTCTTCTCTGTTTCTATTCTTTTATGGCAGTGGTGGAGTGAGGCAGGGATTTTTTTTTTTTTTTTTCGTGTTTTTGACATTCCTTGAATCTGTTTTTTATTCCCCTTCCACAGAACAGGCCTGGGACTTTCCAACACCCTGCTAAGGAAGTTCTGTGTCCAAGTCCCACCCAGGCTGGGTTGTCCCCACCTCCTCCAGCCCACACAGCCCAGGCAGCATCCGGGCCAGTGCCCTGCATGACAGAGGGTCTTTGTTGTGTAATGTTTGTTCCCAAGTTGCATTTTCTAACCGAATCAGTGTGTTTTCATGAAACTGAGTGTTTCTGTGGACCAGTAGTTCCTCTGTTGTCTTCAGTGGTCTTCCTGTGTGGCTCAAGGGTTCTCTGTGAGAGTCTGGATTTTCATTTCTGGAATGGCTGGCCCCATCCCACTTTTCTGTATCATGGGGACACATATAAAGCAGTGTTTAATAGAGCAGTTTAAGAAGTTGCTTGCATCTGTTGGTTCACCATGGCTCATCTGGGGACCATTTTGGATTCATGTTTCATGGCTTGTGACTGTCCCCAAGCCCACTCCAAACAAAGTGTAAGGATCAGAGTTCTGTCAAGGAGCAGCAGTTCTGCTCTCCCCATCATCTTTGTGCAAGGCCCCTCGGGGGGCACTTTAATAAAAGAATTTGAAATGGGTTGACTGGCCATTCTCATGCTGTGCTCCCTGTCTCTTCTCTTCTCTAAAGAATCATGTCCCAGCTCCTCAAGGTCCCTCTATGGTTCCACATCTGAGTGTTCGCCACAAGAGCAGCAGCAGCAGGCACAGTGCATGCCATATCTACCTGCTGCTTCTCTGCTGGGAGGAATGGCCAAGTAGATTATAAAACTCACTTCTGTCTCTTAGGCAGACTTGTACGGCCACAAAATTACCTAGTCTTCTTCCTGCTGAGCTACTGAGGTATTGCCACCATTTTGACAACTTTGAGTAATTAAAACACTCTTCTGACCCAAAAAGGAAAAAAGGTCACTGACGTGACCCCCCCAGCATGCTAGAGAGCTAATTCCAGTTCTCATATTTGTTTGAATTTCTTCCCAGAGGAGAGGATAGGAACCTCTCCTCCAGGGCAGTAAATCACCTGCATTTCTGGAGTTGTCGGTATTGTATTCGAAAAGGCCTGGAGCCCCTCCTGCTCAGGAAAGAACTCATTCCAGGGTGTGGAGACAGTGCCGTCTGGCAGGTGAAATACTGTGGGAATTCACGCCACCAGGTGTTTGTGCAAGTGTTGGCCTGGGAAGAATGGGACTTCGGCCTTGTCAGGAGTTGTCTTCATCTGCAGCACGTTTCTTCCTCCTGCAGTAGATCTTAGCTACCCCAGATATCTCTATGGAGAGAAGTTTGTGGAAAATGCTTTGCTTCGTGGCAGAGTCTGATGCTGTAGGAAAACCTTCGGGCATGTGACAGCAGTGTGGTCCACTCCCTGTTCTGCCCTGGCACTCAGAGTCATGTGTAAGTAGGAAACCTGAGCAAGTCTTCCGTGGAGGACCCTGAGCTGCCGTCTTTGGGATCCTTCCTGTGTCCCCACCGTCTTTCATTTATTTGCTTTCCTGGGCCTCTATCTGGGCCCTACCTTGAGCTTCTCCAGTTTTATTCAAGCCACCAGAGTAAGAATTTGGGTGTAGATGTCACAACTACCTTCTACTCAATTCACCAATTCATTTACTGCTATGGCACGTCTCAGGAATAACTCTAGAAACCTCTAAATCGAAATATTATAAAATCTTGAGCACTTAGTCCTGCTGGTTTTAGTTAGAAAGGCATCCAGGAATTGTTTTCCTACGCCCCCTTGAGTGGAAAGATCTTAGTTAGAAGATAAAGTCAAGTTTGTGTTCAGGGGATGGGAGGAAGACTATAAATAAGATGAAGAAATCAAAAGTAGGAAACATGATGTAAACGAAGCATGGCAGATCTGTCCAGCACTGATATTGCTCTATAAATTGAGCTTACTCAGTTTTGGCCTTATTTTTTTACCCAGGCCCCATGTCACCCAGTCCTAAAACAGTAACCGTGTCTACATAACGGGTTGGCCCCTGGTGCATCCCTGGAAAAGTCAAAGGACGCACACTTCGAAATTCTGCAGAACGTATTTATACATGGTTCAGAAATCTTGCGTATCTGACTTATAGCCAAATCTGCTTGCTCGAATAGCCTCAGAGGAAGTCTTGTTTAATAAAAACCTTTTGATTTCCTAGTCAAGTCTTTATGGTTGTCTCGAGGGGTGTGTGGCTACTTTAATGAAAGGCTTTCCTGCTCTAAATCTCTTTGCTGGGCTGGGCCTCTTCAGACTATCTGGTGAAACTCCTTTCCTTAGAACAAACTCAGTCCGTCCATGCTCTGTGGCATTTTGCTAGATGATAACCAAAGCCTTATTCCTGTAGCCAGTGTCAGCAGTCAGAGAGGTGGAGGGTGTGTTCTGCTGTGGTTATGCATACCTATCTGCTGTTCTTGAGGTGTAAAAGGAAAGGTGAAAATCGGGCCAGGCCAAGTACTCAGCTGTCTTAATAGGATGAAGCCTTAAGCAGTGGAAATTTCAGTTATTTTCCACAGTATTCCATTTTGGAGGATTTGGGGTGTTTACTTTTTAAATTCTTGAACAACTTAACCTCCATGAGGCTTTGTGAAGTCAGCTGTGACCACCCTCCTCTTACTGTGTTCTCAGTATTCATTCACTTCCAGGGAAGAATGACAGCCACAGGGAGATGGTGGTGGGCAAGAATGAGAGTCCCAGGATCCAGATTTAGCCTCAGATCTTCCCCATTCAGGAAGGGTTTTCCATTTAACAAGAGCACTAGTATGAAAACATTAGGGACAAATCTCCCATGTCTTTGAAATTCGGATTCTCCTCTTGAGATCCCCTTCCTCACCTGCCAATCAACTTTATAAGGCCACAAGTGGTCACTGGTTTTCCTTCCACAGGTTTGAGGTTCTCAGCTTTCCTTAAGCGACCCAGCAGCTCCGCTGTTTTCAGAGTGAATATGTTAAGCTTTGATGAGATTCTATTTTCAGTAAGTTAGTGCTTCTGGGACACTTGGAGAAAGCTGTGAGAGTCATTGTCTACGCAAAGAACAACGAAGCTGATCCTAAAAGTGATCCAATCTAAGAAAATGGTAAAACGAGCTCTGGCCACAGCACAGAATTTTATGTGAGGAACTCAGATTTTTGAAGACTTAACAATTGCAGAGAAAGGTTGCAGCCTGCACACCATAGCCCACCTCTCTGAGCAGACTTTGGTTTTGTGTGGTGACGTGGCACATGTTTGTACACTGGGATTTTTCAAAGGACGCTACGCGAGCAGACTGACTTGCCTCTTCTGTGAGCACTGTGGCTTTTGTCAGATGGAGTGCCGGTCTGCAGAGGACTGCTCTTTCGAATCCACAGTGTTATCTGTGTAAATAGCTTTAATTTTTCTTCTGTGTCTTAGGTGAAGTTTTGTTCATGTAGCAACCAGGTAGACAGTGACCAAATAAGGCTGTAAATGTGCTGTAGTTTTCTACTGTGATGTACTTGAAGGAGAACCTGTGTCCTCTACTTTTCTGATCTCCCACAAGTATTTTGTGTTTGTTTCCTGAGTCCTGAGGTTATTATTTTACTCCTGTTTTGCCCCCAGTTTTCTTTGTTTTTTTTCTGGAGACCCAGGGAGGCCCATGGTGGAGATCATTTGTAAGGAATGGATCATGGTCTGGGTTTCCAAAACTACCCTAGTACAGTGAATGAGAGAAATCTGCCTGGAAATTGTTTCAGAACCATGTACCTTTATGCTTTGTGATTGTGAAACATTGACTTTTTTGTAACCCCAAAATGAAAACTGTTTAGTAAAGGGGATCTATTTTGTGTGTTTTGAAACTTAGGTGCAATGTCCCCTGGAAAAAGCTAAAGAAATGTATATGTTCAATGACATTTTAAAATAAAATATTATATATATGTATATACGACATATTCAGCAAAACTTTTTTCTGTCTTTTCTATGAATTCACTGTGAAGTTTCTTTGTATCAGGTAATGGTCTGTCTGGTTTCTTTATATCAGGTAATGATAATGATACAAAGAGTATCATGGCTCAATGTGAGATTATCAACTGTGAACACAGACTCGAAATCCAGAGGGAATGGATGCCAACACTATAAGCCTTCACAGGAATAACAGTAAAGGCTAATACATTTCAACTATGCCTTTGGATACCATTATTACCATGGATACCATTAGTAAACACATGAATAATTCAGAGAAAAGAATTACTCCCAAGAGGTATTCTTAAGTGAGAGGGCTAGAGCCTAATCTTGCTGAAGACAGTAAGAATCCAGACTTCCCTTCATCGCTTAAGCATTTTAAGTATGTACTTACAAAGGGTTAGTAAAATGTACCATCTTATAGAGGAAAGTTACTGTGACAGGTGGGATAAGGCATCAGAGCATGCTAATTCTGCTTAGTTCTAAAATCCAGGAAGTTAAAAGTAATCTATAAAATACCAACAAAATATTTTAAATGACCAGGCATGGTGGCTCATGCCTGTAATCCCAGCACTTTGGGAGGCCAAGCGGGGAGGATTGCTTGAGCCCAAGCGTTCAAGACCAGCATGGGCAACATACCAAGACCCCATCTCTATAAAAATTAGCCAGGTGTGGTGATGACTATAGCTGTGCCTATAGTCCCAGCTACTCAGGAGGCTGAAGTGGAAGGATCACTTGCACCTAGGTTGGGGCTGCAGTGAGCTGTGATTGTGCCACTACACTCCAGCCTGGGGGACAGAGGGAGACCCTGTCTCAAAAAAAAAAAAAAGAAGAAAAAGAAAAAACTATTTTGAATGATCCACGGTCTTGATTCACAAAAGCAAGCTAAAAGTGGAAGCTTGGGAAGAACAGAATGGAAGACAGTCATATTAGAATGCTATTATTGTGAAACATCCTCAGCTCTATTCACCTTCACTTGTACCCTAATGCTGATGCTGCCTCCTTCTCCCCAACTCAGTAGTGGAAAACAATGGAAAAAATCCATCCTTGGATTAGATACCAGGAGATTGGGACATTTCTTCTCCATGGAAGATGGAGGAGTCTTCTAACATTCTGTCGTGATTAGCTCTTGAAAGGTGTGGCAGTTGTCTCCCAAAATGGCTGCCAACAATGCTTCCTATGTCTGTATGCAAGTGTTCCTTTTCCCATCAAGAGGTGGAGTTTGTTTCCCCACCCCTTGAGTCTGGTCTGGCTTGTGACTTGCTTTAATAAAATGCAGAAGTGACATTCTGAGACTTCTGAGCTGAGATCTCTGGAGGTCTCCTAGCACCTGCTTTTTCACTCTTGGAAGCCAGTCACCCTGTAAATGTCAGACTAGATTAGTGAGTGAGTAGAGGCCACGTGGGAGAGAACCACAGTGCCCAGACATTGGGAGTGAGGCCCCAAATGAGTCCCTCCAGGTGATAACATAAGGAGAGAGAGGCCTAGCCAGCTCTCAGCTATTTGGGTCATTCCGCTTGAGGCCACAAACATTATAGAGCAGAGAATCATCCCCACTTAGCCCTGCTCAAATTCCTGGCCCACAGATCCATGAACAAATAATAAGGTATAGAGAACCTGGCTCTCGGGGTTTGGGAGTAAAATGGTTAAAAATGTAAATTTTTTAAAGAGAAAATGGCATTGAGAAAATATACTTCTGACGTGGGAAATAATCTTCCATATGCAATGTGGTAGGGTGACTGAAATGGGAGAATCAGTTTTTTAGCAGTAATGCAGGGACGAACTCATAATCCCTACATTCACGTGTATGCTTTTGCTGCTGCTTGCAGCTGGTAATGAGCCTTACTAAGCCAAGAAAGTGATGGCCATTTGGAGGCTATGAGCCTAGAAGGGGAAAACAAAGGTCGCTAATTTAACCACAAATTTATGATAAGACCATCCTATGTTGTACTACTTATGACCTTTGGTACAGTCAAATGGCTCTTTGATTCTAAAGAACTTCACAGTGTTAGGGAAAATAAGACCATTTTCAAATTGTGTGTGTATATTTAAAAATTCTCATTTAAAAATCTCAGCTGGACATGGTGGCTCATGCCTGTAATCCCAATCTCTGTGAGGCTAAAGTGGGCAGATCACGTGAGCTCAGGAGTTTAAGACCAGCCTGGGCAACATGATGAAACCCAGTCCCTACAAAAAAAAATACAAAACTTAGCCAAATGTGGTGGTGCACAACTATAGTCCCCACAACTCAGGAGACTGAGGTGGAAGGATCATTTGAACCCGAAAGATCAAGCCTTCAATGAGCCACGATCGCATCATTGCACTCCAATCTGGGTGAGAGAGCGAGATCCTGTCTCAAAAAAAAATCCCTATCTACAAAATACTTCACACTTATTGCCATCCCAGTTGTTTCCTTTAAATGACAAGCCAAAGAATGAATTACCTTTCCTAGCAATTAGTCTGCCTTTTTAATTGTGTTCTCTATCATTAGAACCCTGAAAACACTGCTGCTCACTCAGTATATTCCCTACATTTTCAGTCTCTTGTCTTTCACTTCTGACAAGATCCTCCAGCTAGCTAACCCTTTTTGCTTTACTGATTTCAATTAGGCTGCCTGCGACACATTCCAAGTATGACTGAGCACAAGGTGGGGGCAGTGTGCACCTCGGTTGTCTTCTGGGGACTGGGTCGGATCAGTTTGTTGGTGCAAGTGGGGCCACGGACAGGGCTTTGGAAGGTCTGAATGCAGACCTAAAGGACAGCCCTTCCCTGAAAGGGCCATACAAATCTGAGCTTTTTCTTTAATCCTCTTTTTAAAATTTGGTATTTGCAAATTTAATCACTATAAAGTAAAAGTAGGTGAGCTCATTCAGAACTGTGGATGGGGGTATAGGAATGGTTGACATGAAAGTGAGAGAAATGTGAAGTTACAGCAGCAAAATGTCCCAAGCTGAGTCACCTCACACCCTTCAAACACTACAGGAAGTGTAGGCTTAGTAACCAAACATCTTTGATTTAAACTAAATAACTGTAAAACCTGAAAATAGTGGTCTCAGCAGTTCTGAATTAGATATTTACCTCCCTACTGAGTTTGGTCAGTGAAAAAAAAAGTTGGGAGAAATTTCTGGAGAACTGTGAAGTTTCCACTATTACTGTCTTAGGTGAAAAAATTAAATTTCTCATTTTGGGATTTTTTTTTTTTTTTCTTGAGACAGGGTCTTGATCTTTTGCCCAGGCTAGAGTACAGTGGTGCGAACATGGCTCACTGCAACCACAAATCCCTAGACTCAAGTGATCCTCCTGCCTCAGCTTCCTAAGTAGCTGGGACTACACGCATGTGCCACCATGCCTGTAGAGACAGGGTCATGCTATGTTGCCCAGGCTGGCCTCAAACTCCTGGGCTTCCACCTCAGCCTCCCAAAGTGCTGGGATTGTAGGTGTAAGCCACCGCACCCAGCTCATTCTTATCATTTTTAAATACAAGTCAGAGAACATTTGGCCAATCTACCAATTGCACCGTAGAATTTGAAGGAAAATTAACAGTGTGGTTGTTCTCATATTTGCAAAAAAGATAAATGCTATCATAAGTATTATATGCCTTAAAATACAATGCAAATAGACTCCGATATTTGTAGATAAAATATTACCAATGTATGTCTTGGATTTGCTTCAAAGTAATAAAGGGAAGGGAGGGGATGGGTTTACAGATGAAACAAGATTGGCCATATTGAAGAAAGTTATGCAAACTTGGAAATAAAAGGATGACTGCATGTTTTTTTCAGTGTCTTTCCTGGAATATCATCTGCCAGCGCCACCCAAGGATTATTTATTTAGTTCTTAGGTTATGGTTCTGCAAACTTTTTCTGTAAAGATCCCAATTGTAAATATTTTAGGCTTTATGAGCCATTTGGACTCTGTCACAGCTACTCAAACCAGCTATTGTTGCACAAAAGCAGCCATAGATAATCTGAACTAAGATCTGTTTTAAGACAGTATAAGGTCAAGCTTTATTCCTTGACTAGAAGAATTAACTCGTAAGAATGTGGCCTGGCCGGGCACGGTGGCTCACGCCTGTAATCCCAGCACTTTGCGAGGCCGAGGCGGGCGGATCACGAGGTCAGGAGATCCAGACCATCCTGGCTAACACGGTGAAACCCCGTCTCTACTAAAAATAGAAAAAATTAGCCGGGCGTGGTGGCGGGCGCCTGTAGTCCCAGCTACCCTGGAGGCTGAGGCAGGAGAATGGCGTGGACCCGGGAGGCGGAGCTTGCAGTGAGCCGAGATAGCGCCACTGCACGCCAGCCTGGGCGGAAGAGCGAGACTCCGTCTCAAAAAAAAAAAAAAAAAAAAAAAAAAAGAATGTGGCCTGATCTTGCCTCTCTGGTGTGAAATGAAGAGAGTCAAACATATGAATGAACACTCATGGCCTATTGCTAAGGAAAATTCAGGTAGATCCATAATCATTTATCTTGTTTTATAAACACAGGGCAATTTATAAATTTGCCAGTTTGTATTCTAAGGTAGTCCTACATTCAGCTTCTAGTCATATTGGTGGTAAGATGCATCGGGGTTGTGATACTGTATTTTCTCAAAACTATAACACTATCAATTTTATAATCTGCCACAAATTGAAAATGGTTAATATTTTTTTCTAATTTAAAAGGAGGAAGTTAACCCATCATTTGCCACACTCTAGTCATGAGGCAAAGGAAAGCATACATGCAATCTGTTCTTACAATTAACAAAGTATCTCATAATAAAAAAGTTTATTATGCCCCATGCTGGCTACTTGGTTTTAATTCTTGTATCGCCCGCTCAGGTAGATGTTATCATTTTTTGCAGATGAGGAAATAATTTCATTCTATTGTGATCTGAGAACATACTTTGTATGATTTCAATCCTTTTAACATATTGGTTTGTTTTGTGGCTTAACATACGATCTATCCTGGAGAAGGTGCCATGTGCACATGAGAAGAATGTGTATTCTGCTGTTGTTGGCTGTTCTGTAGATGTCTGTTAGACCTAGTTAGTTCATCATACTGTCCAAGTCTTCTATTTTCTTATTGATCTTCTACCTAATTTTTCTATCAATTATTGAAAGTAGGGTATGAAAGTCTCCAACTATTACTGTTGAGTTGGCTGTTTCTTCCATTCTGTCTGTCCTTGCTTCATGTATTTTAGGGTGGGGGCTCTGTTGTTAGGTGCATCTGTGTTTATAATTGTTTTCCTGATGGATTGGCCTTTTTTAATTGTAAAGTATCCCTTGTCTCTGCCAGCAATTTTTGTCTTAAAGTCTATTTTGTTACATATTTGTACAGCCACTCCTGCCCTTATTTGGTTACTTTTTGCATAGTACATCTTTTCCCATCCTTTCACATTCAGCCTGTATGCATTTTTGAATCTAAAGTGTATTTTATAGAGAAATATAGTTGAGTCTTTTTTTTTAATTCATTATGCCAATCTCTACCTTTTGATTGGAATTCTCAGTCCATAGAAACTTAACCTGATTAACGATTAAATAGGAATTACATCTGCCATTTTGCTATTTGTTTTCTATGTGTCTGTCTTTTTACTCCTTTATTTTTCCATTACTGCCTTATTTTGTGAGAAATAATTTCCAGTATACCATTTTAATTTCCTGTTGTTTCTTTATTTTTTATTTTTTGCAACTCACTTTTACTGTTTCTTTATAAACTTCCTCTCCCATGGAGGAATATATTGTTATAGTCATTAGCTTATTTCTTTTTTTTAAACTATGCTAACAGCAATGGAGCCAAGAGGAGGGAAAACATAAGTTACAATAGAAAGGCACTTAGAACCTGTTAAAATACTGATATCCTGGAACATACAACAACAAACCAACGACAACAATGACAAGTATACTGGCCCTTCCAAACCTGGTCCATCACTGAATCACATGCTGAGCTCACTTCCAGTGCCCTGTTCCTCTGCTCTGCTGGAGTCACAAACCCATAGCACCCCCCCCCCCCGCCCCCAACCAGGGACTTAAGGCCTGGGGCCCTCACAGGGGTAGGTGGTGCTCGGGTCCTAGGTGGGGCCCAAGAAAGGAGACCAGCTCCCTCCTACCTTGCTCACAGCCCCTTTGAGGGGCAGAGCCAGCACGGCCGGGCCTTTTCAAGACTGGGGTCCAAAGCCCAGCAGCAAGGTGGGTGGGGTCAGCGTGACTCCTCTGGGACAGAAGGGCAGTTCAGGAAAGGGTGGGGTCAGCAGAGCTGCCTAAAGGAACCATACTGAGGACCCCACTGCTCTCCTAACAGAGTTATTTTCTTAATGGTTGTCCTGAAGATTACAATAACATCTTAAAACAATATAGTTTGGATTAATACAAACTTAATTTCAATAGTAAACAAAAACTTAGCTGCAATATATACTTCCATTTCCTTCCTTCTCTTCTGTGCTATTTGTCATACAAATTACAACTCTCTACAGTATAAGCCTGTCAACAGTTTAGTAATTATTGTTTTATGTAGTTGTCTTTTAAATTATATGGGAGAAGAAAAGAATTAGAAACAAAATACATTTCTACTGCCTTTTATGGTTTCTGTGTATTTACCTTTACCAGCATCCTTTATTTCTTCATGTGGATTCAAGTTATTCCCTAGTGTCCCTTCATTTTAGCCTGAAGGACTCCCCTTAGTATTTCTTGTAGGCCAGGTATATGGCTCATGCCTGTAATCCCAGCACTTTGGGAGGCCAAGGTGGGAGGATCACTTGAGGCCAGGAGTTCAAGACCAACCTGGACAACATAGTGAAACCCCATGTCTACAAAAAACTTAGCCAGTGTGGTGGCTCATGCCTGTAATCCCAGCACTTTGGGAGGCCAAGATGGGTGGATCACTTGAGCTCAGAAGTTTGAGACCAGCCTGGACAACATATCAAATCCCCATCTCCACAAAAAAATACAAAAATTAGCCGGATGTGGCGTCATGTACCTGTAGTCCCAGCTACTTGGGAGGCTGAGGCAGAAGGATCGCTTGAGCCGGGGAGACGGAGGTTGCAGTGAGCAGAGATCATGCCTGCACTTCAGCCTGTGTGATAGAACGAGACTCTGTCTCAAAAAAAAAAAAAAGTTTACAAATAAACCGGGTGTGCACCTGTAGTCCTGGCTGCGTGAAAGGGTGAAGTAGGAGGATCACTGAACCCAAGAGTCTGAGGCTGCAGTGACCCATGATCACACCACTGTGCTCCAGCCTGGGCAGCAGAGTGAGACCCTGTCTCCAAAAAAAAAAAAAAAAAAAAAAAAGCATTTCTTGTAAACAGGTCTGCTAGGGCTGCAAACCTATTCTGCCTCACTGTTGGCTGCTAGTCTGCTGGTACTCAGAGCTGTCATGGTTGAGAAGCTGTTAGTGTTCAAGCCTACCACAGATCTGGAAAGAAGGGTAAGGAGATTGGTCAAGTAAAAATGTTACATACAGGTGAGGTGTCACATGCCTGTAATCCCGACTATTCAAAGATGCTGAGGTGAGAAGATCGCTTGAGCCCAGGAGTTTGAGACCAGCCTGAGCAACTTTAGAGGCAAAGTCTTGCCTCTAAAAATAAAAAATAAAAATTAGCTGGGCATGGTGGCACGCACCTGTAGTCCCACCTACTCAGAAGACTGAAGTGGGAGGATCGTTTGAGGCTGCAGTGAGCTATGATTGCACCACTGCACTCCAGCCTGGGTGACAGAGACCCTGTCTCTTTAAAACTAAATGTCACAAAGCTCCCTATTTTTACTGAGGTTCAGCCATTTTTCTTGAATACACATTCCTCAGATTGTTGCAGTCCTTTGGTTAATTTCCAGAGTTCTGAAAAAGTTGGTTCTGGCAATTTTTGCCAGAATTTTCTTTGTATGGAGGAGTAGATTTTCAGAGGTTTTTATTCTGCCATTCTGAAAGCCCTTTTCCACATGAAAAAATAAAAGTTCAGGTAGGTAAAGTAGTTTCCCATGGACACAGTGCCAAGTAGCACCAAAGCCAATATTTCAAATCTAAAGCTTATATGTAGTCGACACCCAACTGCCAATTACCACTCCAGTTTTCTGTAACTTCTCATTAGATAATAAGGGCTAGTCACAAAACCTCCATTGTGTACACCCTTATTTGGATGGCATTTTTAACAAAGCCCTTTCACATTGAATCCCCATCCCTGAACTTTGCACTGAGACATACTAACTAATCAATGTCATCTGCTGACCCACCAGCACCATTTTCTATAAAATGTGTTTTTGTCACAGGCATCTTATTTTCCTCTCATCTAGTTTTGACTCTTGCTCAGCTGTAGCTCTGCCAACAGCTCCTTAGCATGCACTATGAAGGTGTATGTTGTCAAGGCTTGTCTTCATGGTGACATTGAGTACCAGACCCCATTATAAGGCCCTTACACAAGCAGAATGAATGGTGTGTTACCCCACGGGTTTTAACCATAGTACCTGAATCTTCCAACTTTTCAGTAAATAGTGAGGAGCAAGTAAGATTTGGCTCTCTATAAATGCCAACTAATAGTCAAAAAGGACAGATAGTCAGGGTCTGGAAGAACTGAACGAAATTATGTTCAAATCCTCTTGAACTAGAAGTATGCTTAAAACAGATCCTACATTCTTGAGCAGTGGTCTGTAATAAAAGTAATGGTAAAAGGTAAATCTTTTACCAGGGTGCCCAGTTGCACTATTTGTTATAAAACCGAATGTGTCTGGATGGAAAGTCATTTGCTGTGGTGGTATCAATATTACAGCTCTTGACATCTCTCTCTATGGGCTCAGTTGACCTGAAATAAGATGACCATTTCACATACTAACAGGGCATTTTTCGATGATCTGTTTGACCTTTGCCTCTGGGCTCAGCAATAAGAGGAGTAATAAGATGACATTTTTAGCAGAACAAAGGAACAAGAAACCCAAAGAATTTAAGCTTAAGGGAGCTTAAATACAACAATGAAATAGCTGTGAACATTTAGTTAATACCTGTCCCTTCCTGCAGTGCTTCTGTAGCTTGGCTGCATGTTAACATCACCTGGGAGCATTAAAAAAACCCTGTCTACCAGGTCAGACCTCAGACCAATTAAATCAGAATCCCCCAGGGAGGGACCCAATCATCAGTATCTTTTGAATGTTTTGGCCAGGCACGGTGGCTCACGCCTGTAATCCCAGCACTTTGGGAGGCCGAGGCGGGCGGATCACCTGAGGTCAGGATTTCAAGACCAGCCTGACCAACATGGAGAAACCCGTCTCTACTAAAAATACAAAATTAGCCAGGTGTGGTGGCACGTGCCTGTAATTGCAGCTACTTGGGAGGCTGAAGCAGGAGAATCGATTGAACCCAGGAAGTGGAGGTTGCGGTGAGCCGAGATCACACCACTACACTCCAGCCTGGGCAACAAGAGCGAAACTCCATCTCAAAAAAAAAAAGTTTTCTAGCTGATTCTAAGGTGAGAAACACTGTGTAAAGATACTAAGGACACACCTCTAAAGTAACGTTTGCAGACTTATCAGACAAAAGATACAGGACATCTACTTGGATTTGAATTTCAGATAAAGAATTTTTTAAATTAAGTATGTCCCTTGCAATATTTGGGTTGTACTCATACTAAAAAACTACTATCATCTGACATTCAAATTTAAATGGGTGTCTTCTATTTTATCTGGGAATCTTACACAGGACAAAACTGAAAAATCAAACAAGAGGGGTAGAAATAAAGACTCAGCAACAGGGAAATTTCACTGGGTATAGGTTCCTGTCTCAAAGAACAAGAACACCTGGAATATAACAAAAAGAAAAGTTGTGCCAGGCCAGTACCATCCTGAGGGAGAGTTCCCAGGTCACGGAGGAGGAGGGAGGACTTCAGGACTGACTTCTGGACAGACCTCCTTAGTACCTGTATTCGTGTGCCATAATAAAATATCACGGACTGGGTGGCTAAGGTGCCAGCAGGTTCAGTTTCTCCTGAGGCTTCTTTGGTTGGCTTGCAGATCGCCTCCCTCTCGTCATGTCATTTCTCCGTGTAAACAAATCCTCTGTGTGTCTGAATTTCCTTTTCTTCAAAGGACACTAACCAGATTGGATTAAGGCCCACCCATGTGACCTCATTTGACCTTAATTACCTCTTTATAAAGGCCCTATCTTCAGATACAGTCACATTCTGAGATACTCGCAGTTTTGACTCTCATATAAATTTTGAACACATTTCAGCCCTAAACAGTGTCCCTCACTGGACTGGAGTCCTGAGGGGCTATGAGGCGGTTAGGTTGGTAGGGCAGTCAAGTATTATTGTTCTGATATCGTCTTCCCAGGGCCACCCCAGCCCAGCCACCCTCACCCCATCTCCTGCCATCAGGCTGTGCAAGAGAGTGACTGTGCCCCTGAGCCACCAGGGAAGGGAAAACAGTTTTGTTTGTTTTTTGTTTGTTTTTTTAGACAGAGTCTTGCTCTGTCGCCTAGGCTGGAGTGCAGTGGCGCGATCTCGGCTCACTGCAACATCTGCCTCCCAGGTTCAAGCAATTCTCATGCCTCAGCCTCTAGAGCGACTGGAATTACAGGTACGCACCACGACGCCCGGCTAATTTTTGGTTTTTTTGTTTTTGTTTTTTAGTAGAAGCAGGGTTTCACCATGTTGCTCAGGTTGGTCTCGAACTCCTGGCCTCAAGTGATCCGCACCCCTCGGTCTCCCAAAGTGTTGGGATTACAGGTGTGAGCCACCGCGCCCGGAAAAGGGGCATTTTTTATGGAAGTTACAGAAAGGAGGGTTAGGAGGGCACATGTGGAAACTGCTTTTTTCTGGGGAGGAGAGGGGAGGGGAGGAACATCACCAAATAGGAGGATGATAAGGGTAAAATGGAAGAGCATGTTACACCAACAGGGACCACATGCAAAAGAAAGAATATTGCAAATGATACCCACTTCTCCTGAGGCTGAGGAAACTAACAAAGGGAGTAGGTAGGATACAAGAAACAAATCACGATTTCTACAGCAATGGAAGAACTGTAGACACACTCTCCACACCACTCCTACAGCTGACTTCCCCCGTTTCTTTTGTCCCTTTCAGAAAAAAACAAAAATGCCTCAAGTGTTATGAGCTTTGCTCAGGAGTTGGAGAAAAGACAGCTCTGTCTTCATTTTATTGAAGTCACGGGCTTGGTCAGTTTTCAAGAACTCGATTCACTGTCTCCGAGCAGCTGACCTGGGTTTACTGCTCTGGGGCATGAATATGCATGGCTAGGGGACCCAGATGTGCGAGGCTGCAGGGGGATTCTCAGGACATGCAGGCTCACATGCACACACGCGGGCCTGCCAGGGTTTGAGGCGCTGCCAACGGGAGGAGCAGCCGCGAGCCTGCCCTCCCGGGAGTTGTTCTACAGAGTCTTTGGCCACTGCCTACCCGGGGCTCCCCCGGGCAGGGGAGGCGCGGACGGGCGTGCAGGGCCTTCTTCCCAGACACCTGAACCACAGGTGGAGAAGAGTCTGGGGGAGGACTGGGTATTTACTTAGGGTTTTAGACGGAGGGGACAGCACATCACTCTTTCCGTTTTGTCCTATTCTGTATTTACAAAGAGCGTGTGGTCGGGCAAAGGGGCGAGCCGAACCAGCTACCAATAAAGGGAGAAATGCAGCCCCCAAGGCGCTCAACTTTCCGGGGTGGTAGAAACGTGGAGGTCCCGTGTCTGCTGCAGAGCCGTGACCCAGGCTCCCCGCGCGCCTTTGTCCCCGCACGCCGCCCACGCTCCTCTGCCCTCAAGGTCGCGGCGCAGGCGGCCGCTGTCGCTCGGGCACGACCCATTCGGCCGCCTGGCCCGCAGCCTCTCGCTGCCATTCCAACACGAATGAAAGCCTCCTTAATAAGAGTGTAAATAAAAGCCAGGCTGAGAAATGAGTTTTCCGTCCCAGCAATCACCGGCCGAACCTCAGCTGTAAATAGCCTCGGGGAGCCACCTGGGGAGTCCCGGAACCTGGGGGATCCAGGCCATCATCTCAGCAGCGCCGCCAACAGCTGGGAGCGGCTGGAACCTGGACCCGGGAGGCAGCGCCAGTCCCGCTCCGGCACTGTGGCAGGAAATCACTCGGGGCCTACACCCCCGCCCCCGCGCTGGAGGACCCTCCACCCTCGCAGTGCTACTCCTTGGGGGCCGAGTGCGGCCGACAGAATAATCTCAGTCTGCGGTGTCCTTGGGAGGGACGGCGGCCAGGCCCCCTAATTTATGGTCATCGGTGGAATGGCTTTAACATGATTTATCTGACCGCGGAGGAGATGGCAAAAGCCTCGAGAAGAATGATTGGCCGTCCAGGCTTTGTGCATTTCTGATTGGCCTTATTAATTTAGAACAGAGCCAGGGAGCAGCCTCCCGGCTGAGCCAGAAAAATCAACTTGGCAACAGCCTCCACGTAGAGTCAGTTTTGGGGCTGGCAAAGGTTTAACTTTTGCCGAAACTGAAGGAATAATGTATTGCTTTAAGCAGTCGGGGAGTTTGACAGAAGGTGCTAGCACACTGATTAAAGCAGATTTAGTCTGAAAGAGAGTGAAGATCATTTGGTTTGACTGATTCCTTTTTTTCTTCTTCGTGTTTGTACAGACCAAAGACATCAGTGTTTGGTGGGTGGAAGGGAGGAAGAGTGTTTTCTTGTTTTTATTGTTAATGTTTGACTACTGGGGGAGAAACACAACACTTATGGCTTAGAAGGGAAGAAATTTGGGGAAATCAGGAAGCAAGTAAGTATTGGAACATGCTTTTTAAAATGATACATTTCACAATCCTTGGGAAAAATATTTCTTGCCTTTTGAGTTCTCTTCATACATCATAACTAATATTTATGGAATCTATAAATTATTGGATAAGCACACCAAATACACCACACTTCACAAGGTCATTATTCTGTGTTACAGTATTAACTGTCCTTTAAATGTCACCATTGAGTGATGCAACTTTAGTCCCATGAATAAAGGACTAAATAAGAATTTTAGGGAGTTATCATATTTAATGGAAAATATTTTCATACGAATGAATGACAAATTCAGTAGGGGTGGATATGTAATTTAAATGTATATCCATTCATCATATTTATCTGTATGTGTAGGACTCAGATGTAGACATATAGCACTAGGCAACCTCCAAATATAATCCTTAACACTCTGTTCTTCAGGTGGACCAGAACAAAGCCAGAGAGAGCAAGAGAATGTGATTGCTTGAGGGAGGGGGCAGGTTGTTGTCACACATGCAGTGGCACAATCATTTCTTTTCTTTATAGTTCTAACCAGAAAAATAGACTGGGAGCAGCTGAGTACCAATTTATTTTGCTGCCTGAACCGATGAGTGGTTGCCTTAAATGTCATTGAGTTGGAAGGTTGTGCATTTCATTCGCTGCCAGGTTACAGGAAGCTTTGAAGCAGGTCTAGAAAGCCATCAGTAATTGTCTTGCCACCTATCAAGGTGGGCAAGTGCAATCCTGCCGGGTGGAATTGGCTCAGTGGGGGATGAAAGCTGCCTGTCATCGCTGACTAGTCTCATCAAATGCTGCTTGAGAAGAAACAAAGGTGGCCCATTTAGTCTCATTAAAGAGCAAAGTGGAGTGGAAGGTAAGGATTACCTCCCAGGACAACAAAAACGGATTTGGGGGTTGTTTGGGCCACAAGCCACAGCATGTGCATACAACACAGAGGTCCTTTGTCCAGTTCCCTAAATGTGTAACACTCATGTGAAGTATAGTAATAGAGGTAAGAAGAGAGTGCTGTGGAAAATCAGGGGACAGAGCATTTCAGAATCTGTAATGGTCAAAGAAGGTTTTCCATACATGCTGGGTGCTGTACTGGGTGAAGGATGAGTAAGAGTTGGCCAAGGAGAAAAGGCAAAGGTCATGCTTGCTATGGTGGAACACAGGGCATAAAGGAGAGGAGACAAGATGGAGATGACCCACACTGCCCAACCCTGTGTAATGCCAAATGAGGATCCTCAAAGTATAACTTCAAGATGTGTCTCACCTCTTTGTGAAACTACATGTTTATCAGGGACCAGAAATTTCACTCCCTAATAAAGATCAAGTCAGGTGTCTCCTCTCATTTTCTAAGAAAAAATAATGCGAAACTCTAGATGTTTCTTTAAGCACAGCTAGCCATAATGATAACAGGACAAGCCAAAATAATAAAAAAACACTAAACACTGAAATCCTAGTATAATTGTTTTAGCTTAAAGTAATCCTACTTCATTAATATGACACATGGCACAGAAACAAATCAGAATACTGCATGCAGTCTCCTCAGCTCTCCACAACTTGAACTCTGGTGGTTTTCCTCTAAGGACAGACAAGCTAGCAGTCACCAGCAACATTCCCTAGATCCGGCACAATGGTCCGGTTTTGCCCCTCTGCTTTGTCCTGCTGGGCTGCTCTTGGGACCCTGCGGGAAAGTCATCTGTCATCACAACAAAAATCAGCTCAGTTCATTTGCATTCATTTGCTCACTGGGTAGCTCCCTCCCAGGCCACCCAGTGGGTGCTTCTCTTTCTTCTTTAGCCTCCTCCTCCTCCCTCATTGTTCAAATCATTGTCGAGCATCAGAATTATGACTGGAGAACTGACTGTTGCCCTCAGTCAAAAAAAGAAAAGAAAAGAAAAGAAAAGAAAAGAAAGAAAGAAAGAAAGAAAGAAAGAAAGAAAGAAAGAAAGAAAGAAAGAAAGAAAGAAAAGAAAGAAAGAAAGAAAAACACCTCTTTTGTCTTGCTTCAGTCAACCTCATGGCTATGTGGATGTGTTTCTAGCAGCCCTACTTTTCTCTATAAAGATGTAATGCTACTAATTTTGTCTTCGAAAATGCACATTCTTTAGTCGTGGATTCTAGGCCATCATAAACAGCATTTCCAAGACCTCTATTCTCATATACTGCCTATCTTACCCGAAAGTACTTCTTCCCTTTTTGGCTGTGTTATTCAATACCTCTCTGTGCGATTTGGAATTGAGCCTTTGAGGAGGTTTTCTTGGAGGACTCACAGTACTTGTGTATGAAGGGCAGAAGCCTGGATAGCCCAGGGGCTTGCCAAGGGATTCCAGATGTGCTCATAAATAGCAGTTCTAGGTAACTCCGACAGGATGGGTGTTTTTATTCATTCATTTTGCAAACGTTACAGAAGCTCTTCCATATATTTCAAGGGTTATGGAGATGAATAAAATGAATCTACTCTAGGGAAGCAGACACCTAAATTTGTAATGCTCACATGAGATAGTACAATAATAGAGGTAAGAAGAGAATGCTGTGGAAAATCAGAGGAAAATCAGACTCTCAAAGTGTTTAAGAGTCTGCAAGGATCAAGGAATGTCTCCCACAAACGCTTATGACTGCACTGGGTCATGAAGGATGAAGGAGAGAGCTGGTTAACAGAAGGAGTGAAAGGTTGGCCATAGGTAGAAAAAAAAAGGCTTAAATGGGAGGAAAAGTAGGACAGGTGGAGAGGAGAGGCAAGAAGGAAGAGTCTGTGGGCTGAAAGAAAGAATGAACAAAATGGAAAAAATCGGCCAGGCACGGTGGCCCACACCTGTAATCCTAGCACTTTGGGAGGCCAAGGTGGGCAGATTGCCTGAGGTCAGGAGTTCAAGACCAGCCTGGCCAACCAACATGGTAAAACCCCATCTCTACTAAAAATACAAAAATTAGCCAGGTGTGGTGGTGCGTGCCTGTAATCCCAGCTACTGGAGAGGCTGAGGCAGGAGAATCACTTGAACCCAGGGAGGCAGAGGTTGCAAGTGAGCTGAGATCATGCCATTGCCCTCCAGCCTGGGTGACAGAGCAAAACTCTGCTCAAAAAAAAAAAAAAAAAAGGAAAAAATGGACATGGACAAGAGTGAAAAAAGGAGCTAGACCAGGTGTGGTGGCTCATTCCTGTAATCCCAGTGCTTTGGGAGGCTAATGTGGGAGGACTGCCTAAGGCCAGGAGTTCAAGACCTACCTAAGAAATAAAGAAAGACCCTCATCTCTACAAAAATTAAAATTAAAATTAAAAATTAAAAAAATAAAAGTAGCTAGGCTCACTCCAAGGGCAAACACTACTAATCATCTCACCACTATCTTTCTCACAAATGATGTTGACCTCCAGGAAATGAGTGACTCAGTGTTCACAATATGCTATTAAGAGCTTCAGACAGGTATGGAAGGGGGAAAATAACACCCAGGCATTGAAAAAGTTTGGAATACATTGAAATGATATTAGCTGTTATCTGTTATTATCTATGGGTAGTGGGATTATTCATGATTTTAATTCCTTCTTTTTACTTATCTATATTTTCTATTCTATGGTGAATGTGAACACTTGCAAATAAACTATTTTAATGGGCTACCAGTGATCTTTAATGAAAACACATTGTATTAGTCCGTTTTTATACTGCTATATAGAACTGCCCAAGACTGGGTAATTTATAAAGGAAAGAGGTTTAATTGACTCACAGTTCAGCATGGCTGGGGAGGCCTCAGGAAACTTAACCATGGCAGAAAGCAAAGGGGAAGCAATGCACCTTCTTCACAAGGCAGCAGGAAGGAGAATGAATGCAGGAGGAATTACCAAACACATAAAACCATCAGCTCTTGTGAGAACTCATCCACTGTCACAAGAACGGCATGGAGGAAACTGCTCCCATGATTCAATTGCCTCCACCTGTTCGCTCCCTTGACACACAGGGATTATGGGGATTACAATTCAAGATGAGATTTTGGGTGGGGACACAGCCAAACCATATCACACATTCTAATTAAAGGGTTCCTAAAGTTAAGTTCTTGATAATGACATTTGATCCACATGTGAAAAGGTAAAACTGAAAGATTAAGACTATCTTATTCAGTAGGCAGGTTTCGCAGAGATAGTGTGGGGTATGTCTCATTTCTATGTATGTAAATATTACCTCCGCCACCTTCCTCCAACCCACGAGGGCAGAAACAAACCTACAATCATCTTAGTAGCCCCTGCTCCTAGCACATTATCTGGTACAAGTAGATGCATGTTTAATAACTATTGTTTAATGAAAGAATGCATATTTGAGAAAATAGAACCCTCAAGCATAGCCCACATAAAAAAGGAGGTTCAGCATTTCCTTGCCATGTAACTAACTTACTTCATGACCTCAGAATTTGGGGGATTTGGGGGATTGTCTAGATGAAAACGAACCCCACGATAGAAAGCCTTTTGTGGGAGGCAGCTTCCGATGCGGCTCCCTGTGATCCTGCCTTCTTGTATTCACTTCTTTGTGTAAATCCCTTTCTTTTGCCTATGGACTGGACCTAGTGACTTCCTTTTTTTTTTTTTTTTTGAGACGCAGTTTCACTCTTTTTGCCCAGGCTGGAATGCAGTGGCGCAATCTCGGCTCACCACAACCTCCACCTCCCGGTTCAAGCGATTCTCCTGCCTCAGCCTCCCAAGTAGCTGGGATTAGAGGCACGTGCCGCCACACCTAGCTAATTTTGTATTTTTAGTAGAGATGGGGTTTCTCCAAGCTGGTCTCAAACTCCCGACCTCAGGCCATCTGCCTGCCTTGGCCTCCCAAAGTGCTGGGATTACAGGTGTGAGCCACCGTGCCCGGCTGTGACTTGCTTCTAAGAAACAGAATATTCAAATAGTGATGGGCAATTACTGCTAAGATTAAAACACAACAGACCTTCACTTCCATCTTGCCAGCACTCTCTCTTGCTCACATTTTCTTTCGTCCTCCTGCTTGCTTGATCTGATTAAAAACCAGCTGCCATGTTGTGAGATGCTCAACAAAGAGGCCCAGGTGACAAGGAATTGACCAGCTGCCCATGATAAACTGAATCTTGCCAGCTACCATGTGAATGAGATGACTACCCCATTGAAAGAGACCCAGCACCAGCCTGCTTGTATTCCTGTCCCTCAGAAAACTGCAAGATAACTAAGTGATAGGTAACTAAGATACCTTTCTTGCTTTTTTTTTTAAGCTATAGTCCTTTTCTAGTGTCAACTGTGCAGTTAGTTACTCAGAAAATTCACTCATCAATTTACTGTGATGTGAGGGAATCACTGGTTTGCAAACTACCTACAGGGTAATGTTTTAGATACTCTACAGCAATGTCCACTCCTGTGGATACTTCATGTAAAGGGACAGCCTCTCACAGGCCCCACTGCCTCTCATTATTGAAGGCAGCTGGCTCCTTCCTTAAACTGTAATCCTTTTTATCCTGCTTCCAGACTCAACCTTTTTATCTCAGGGGTGGAAAAACTTCAACCCTCGCCTTGACAAAATGAGTATAATCAGGCTTAGAAAGTGGAAATGGTTTGCTCACTTTCACACCACTAATCAGAGTCGGAGTTAGGAGATGAAACAGTAAGGTCTCGCCAGGCATGGTGGTGTGTGCCTGTAGTCCTAGCTACATGGGAAGCTGAGGTGGAAGGATCACTTGAGCCCAAGAGTGTATCTTCCTGCTCCTGGCCCAGGACAGATATCTGACCCTAATTCCATGCTCACAATCTGTGATGTGAGAGAACATTGCAAATTGAGCAATAGCTTCATATCTCTAACCGGAACTCCTAGGTTACCTCACCCTAGAGAGCGAGGCTTGCTTCTGTTTGGGTGCCAGGCTCACTCTTTCCCTGTGGACTTGCTGTCTTGAGGCTTGGTAAACCACAACTCAGAAACATTACCCTGAATCCTCCAAAGACTTTTTTTCCATGTAGTCAGCCTCTGCTCAGCCATGCAGAACTGCCTGGGATCTCAGAGCATGTTCACTGCTCTGTCCAACTTGATACACACTTAATACATTTACAGTTTGCTTCACCTTTAGTTCCCCTTTATTCCACCAGATTTATAATTTGGGGACAATACTTCCCATGTAGTAAATTCATGTTCACTAGTTGATATATCAAATGAATATGGTTTGATCTTGAATAAATACTTAAACTCAATTTAAACTTGGTTTGTTGGCTTACATTCTCCTGGTTAAGTTTTATTAGTGAAGCTATCAAACATATTAGTTTTAATAGTTGACAGGAAGTTTTTCAGTTGCATCACTGTGAAATTACTTGGGTTTTAAAAATTACATTGAAGGCCGGGAGCGGTGGCTCATGCCTGTAATCCCAGCACTTTGGGAGGCCGAGGCAGGTGGATCACAAGGTCAGGAGATCCAGACCACCCTGGCTAACACGGTGAAACCCCATCTCTACTAAAAATACAAAAAATTAGCTGGGCGTGGCGGCGTGCGCCTGTAGTCCCAGCTGCTGGGGAGGCTGAGGCAGGAGAATGACATGAACCCGGGAGGCAGAGCTTGCAGTGAACCGAGATCACGCCACTGCACTCCAGCCTGGGCGACAGAGCGAGACTCTGTCTCAAAAAAAAAAAAAAAAAAAAATTACATTGAAGCCAGCCATTGCTAAGGGAGATAAGTCTATACAGATAATCTGGCACCTGACTTGGGAATATTACACAAGCCACTGCTCATGAACTTGTGAAATCAAAGGCCTGCCAAGCCAGATAGAATTATACCAAGTCCACAACAGGAAGGAAAAGGGAGCAAAATAATTTAAAATGAAAGCATTCTTCTCTGTGTTCAATCCCATTCTACCTTGTGAATGAAGAAACACCTGTCATTACTTGTGACTTTTTTTTTTCTGAGACAGGGTCTTACTCTGTCACCCAAGCTGAAATGCAGTGGCACAGTCACAGCTCACTGCAGTCTCGACCTCCTGGGCTCAGGCAATCTTCTCACCTCAGCCTCCTGGGTACCTGGGACTAGAGATGTGCACCACCACACCTAATGTTTTGTAGAGATGGGGTTTCACCATGTTGCCCAGGCTAGTCTCAAACTCCTGCGCTCAATCAGTCTTCCCTCACCTCGGCCTCCCAAAGTGCTGGGATTGCAGGTGTGAGCCATTCAGTCCAGCCTAATTGTGACTTTCATCACTATACTTTTACAGGGTTTTTGTTTGTTCTGTTTGTTTTGAAACAGGCTACTCTGTCACCCAGGCTGGAGTACAGTGGTGTGATTACGGCTCTCTGTAGCCTCAAACTCCCAGGCTCAAGCAATCCTCCCACCTCAGCCTCCCAAGAACTTGGTCTACAGACATGTGCCATCACGCCTGGCTAATTTTTTGTAGAGATAGGTTCTCCCTACGTTGCCCAAGCTGGTCTCTAACTCCTGGGCTCAAGCAATCCTCCCACATCAGCCTCCTAAAGTGCTGGGATTATGGGCTTGAGCTACCACTCCTGGTCCTTTTACAGCTAAGGATGAGTCATAAATATGATTTCATGGCCGGGCGCGGTGGCTCACGCCTGTACAATCCCAGCACTTTGGGTGGCTGAGGCGGGCGGATCACGAGGTCAGGAGATTGAGACCATCCTGGTTAACACGGAGAAACCCCGTCTCTACTAAAAATACAAAAAAATTAGCCGGGCATGGTGACGGGCGCCTGTAGTCCCAGCTACTCAGGTGGCTGAGGCAGGAGAATGGCGTGAACCCGGGAGGCGGAGCTTGCAATAAGCCGCGATCCCGCCACTGCACTCCAGCCTGGGTGACAGAGTGAGACTCCATCTCAAAAAAAAAAAAAAAAAAAAAAAAGAGATTTCACTTGACTCTCTGACATAGTTTGGATGTTTGTCACCTCCAAATCTCATGTTGAAATATGACCCCCCATGTTGGAGGTGGGGGGAAGTGTTTTGGTCATGAGGGTGGATCCCTCATGAATGCCTTGGTGCCTTCCCCACAGTAATAAGTGAGTTCTCACTGTATTAGTTCATGTGAGAGCTGGTTGTTTAAGAACCTGTCTGTTTTTGGCCGGCCGCAGTGGCTCACGCCTGTAATCCCAGCACTTTGGGAGGCCGAGGCGGGCAGATCACGAGGTCAGGAGATCAAGACCATCCTGGCTAACATGGTGAAACCCTGTCTCTACTAAAAATACAAAAAACTAGCCGGCCGTGGTGGCGGGCACCTGTAGTCCCAGCTACTTGGGAGGCTGAGGCAGGAGAATGGAGTGAACCCGGGAGGTGGAGCTTGCAGTGAGCCAAGATTGCACCACTGCACTCCAACCTGGGCAACAGAGCGAGACTCCGTCTGGCAAAAAGAAAAAAAAAAAAAAGAAAGAAAAAAAAAGAACCTGTCCATTTTTTTTTTGCTCCCTCTCCTGCTGTGTAACATACCTGCTCCCTCTTTGCCTTACGCTGTGATCGTAGACTTCTTGATGCCTTTGCAGAAGCAGATGCCAGCAGTATCCTTCTTGTATAGTTTGCAGAACCATGAGTCAAAACAAACCTCTTTTCTTTATAAGTTACCCAGTCTGAGGTATTCCTTCATAGCAAAAAAAATGAACTAAGACACTCTCCCATCTCAGGGTTAGGATTATCGTAACACAGATGAGGAAGGAGAGGCTCAGGGAAGTTAAGTAACTTTCTCATTGATACATAAGCATCAGGACCAAAATGTGTTAGGACCAAAAACTCCTAGACCTTCTAACCTTAAACCAGGACTCTTTCCACCACTAGAATGATTCTCATCCTTTAATATGCATCAGAATTATCTGGAAAGCTTGGTGAAACAGAATGCTGGGCTCCACCCCCAGGACTTCTCTTTCAGTAGATTTGGGGTAGGCCCAAGCATTTGCATTTCTAACAGGTTCCCAGGTGCTGGTGCTGCTGCTCCTGGTCCACGTTTTGAGAACCACTGCACTGTCACAGACTGTCTGCAGGGGGAAGGATCCTAAGGGCTGCCTGCTGCCACACATGCTTTTTATAATCATGATATGAAAGAATGCGCTCAAAGATACTGTGAAGAAAAGTCAAAATAATTGGCAGAGAGCTAAAATGGCCAAGAATATTTTTACTTTTAATCCAATTCAACAGCCATTACATTTTTATTCAGTACTAGGACTTGTTGAAGGGATTACAAAAGACCTATTTCCACTATTTGGTATCTTCAAAGACCATATAATTTGGTCATGGAGTTCATACTGGCATTCAGGAAAGGAAAAGTAATAATACATACAGTTGGATAACAAAATGTGTGGCATCAACAAAGTTCTATTCCCACAGAACTTCAGAGAAGGAGGAGATCAGTGTTAACTAGACTAGCAAGGTAAGGCTTCACAGAAAATGTAGGTTTGGGACTTTGAAGAATGGTATTGAGGATATCTATTGCCATATAACAAACCATCCCAAAACTTAGTAGCTGTAGTAGCTGACACAATTTTTTTTTTTTGGTAGTTTCAATAGAAATGCAAGATTCTATTATTGAAATTAGTCACAGGCCAGACCAGATTCCAGGGGGAAAGAAGACTCCATCTCTCAATGCGGGAGTGGCATGTGTATACAGAAGAGAAGAAATTGATGGCAGCCATCCTAGGAGACAAGCTACTACAGATAGGCAGGCAGAGGAATCAACCCACGGCATAAAGATGCAAGAGCTAGATGAGAACCAAGAGGAGATCTGAAAGCTTGTATAAAAGAAAAATCAGAGGAGTTGAAAACTGAAATGAAGAGTCTGGGCCTGATCTAATAAACACTGAGGAATCACTGTACATTCTTAGGTAGCAAATTAGCTTTCAATCACTCCACACACCTGCGTGTACTGTTTGCTTCCTGGCACTTGGGTTAAGTGGTTTACATGCAAATGTACACAAGACAGGCATGGGCCAGCCACCATGGATCAGAATTCAGTGGGAGATGCAGATGAGTAAATAGGCAATCACAATTCGTTGTGATGACTGCTGACAAAGGGGAAGACGCAGGTGTTACGAGAGCCTCTAACTCAAATAAGGAGTCAGGAGGGAGAGGGAGGAGTGGCTGTTAGTGTTGTGTTGTCCTCTAATCAAGGTTCACGGGCAAGACTGGAGGAAGGCAAGAGAAGCCACGGAGACCAGTTAGAGAGCTGTAGGAATAGGTGATTAGAATTACACATTTTAAGCCGCCTCCTCCTCCATCTCTAATGAATGAAAACATAGCCGTGATAGGGAGCATGCCTAGAGCATGATGGGCTGTTCAAGTTGTTATAACAACCCTTCTAAAGATTTGCTTCCATCCGATATGAAGTCTTCTGATAAAATATGTAAAATGACAACACAGGTCAAAATGATATTGAGGCATTATTTTGCATACCTGGAGGGATCACATGCAAAGCAGCAGAGAAAGTGGAAACACGGGTGTGTTCTTTCCTCATGCTTCAGAAGCATGATTCCCACAGAAGAAGTTATACACTTGAGAGGCACAGAGTTACAGGCTAACATCAGCAAGGGGAGGAATTCTGGCTTTGATGCTCTTGTGTAAATTAGGTGAGCTCACATCTTTAAGACAACACCTCAAGTTGCTTATATGCTGTACTTACAACAATACCAGAGAGATCACTCTCTATTAAAAAGCAGGCTCCACTGGTCCTATTGCTTGCTGTCACCACCACTACCTATATCTGGGGCACTGCCAAATATACAGCAGAGTCTCAATAAATATCTAACTACCTTAAAAGGGCTTATCAAATTTTGTACAGATTACAGACAGTGATGGGGCTAGGTACACTCAGAATAATTAACTCCGTGTTCTAAACGCTACCAAGAGCTCTAAGTATGCAGTTAACTATTTAGAGAAATGGAGGAGCTTCCACTATACTACCAAGTACATAGGAAAAATATTTAAACCCAGCCCTGGTGTATACTACAATGGAATAACTTCTCTATGGAAAATGGTGGCAGCTGTCAATGAGGTGGCATCTCCTGCCTGTCACCCGTCTGTGACTATTTCTGTTCTGTTTTCAAATGCCTCTTTTCCTATTTGTTCTTTTCTAGCTTTCATTCAAGGCTTCCCCAGCAGCCGTGTAGGTGTTGTGAGGGAGGGAGGGAGCTGGTAGGTGTGTCCTTTTTCTTCTAGCTTGGGCTACTGCTATAATATTTCCTATCAGAGTAGAGGGGGAAGAAGTGGAGAGAAAACAACTCAGGAAATGAAAGAAGAGAAGAATGAGAAAGAAGAGGATCATATCAAGGAAAAAGAAAATGGAAGAGAAGTAGAGGCAACCTGAAGACTGAGGGAATGGGAGAGTCCTCATTATCTCAGGCAGGGCATGTGATACATATTAAGATAGGAATTGAGTAGAGGACACTGTAATCTGCAGTCAGCGAGGCATGTCCTTTGCTGGTGCTTTCCTCTGCTTTGCTTTTGCATTGTCATTTCACTGTTAATAGCACCTACCTTGTAAAGGGAGAGAAGAAATGAAATTGGGTTCACCATTTTAGAACTTAATAGGTTAAAACAACACAAATGTATTATCTTCACGTACTGGAGGTCGGAAGTCTGAAATGGGTCTCACTAGGCTAAAATCAAGGCAACAGCAGAGCTTTCTGGAAGTCTAGGTGAGAATCTGTTTCCTTACCTTTTCCAGCTTCTAGAGGCATCCCCTTGGTTCATGGCCCCCTTCCTTCATCTTGAAAGCCAGCAATGGCAGGCAGAATCCTCACATCTCATCACTCTCTCCTCTGTAGCCACGTCTTCTCTGACTCTGATTCTTCTGTCTCTGTCTTCCATTGTGATTATATTGGGCTCACCTGGATAAATTATGCTACATTCCCTATCTTAAGGTCAGCTAATTAATCTTAATTCCACCTGCACTCTTAATTCCCCTTTGCCCTGTAACCTAACATATTCATAGATTCTAGGGGTTAGGACGTGAACATCATTAGGGGGCCCATTATTCTGTTGACTGCAAAAACTATATAACTTTGCTGAAACTATACTATTTTCATTTTCCCCCTAATATTCTTAAAAAACAAGAACTCTGAATGTCAGTAATTTATTTTTTCCCTTTCTGGGTTTGCTAGAAACAGAAGTAACAATCCTAGCCATCTGTCATTTAAACAAAGGAAGATTTATTGCCTTTGACTAAAATGGCATTTGCCACAATAGCAATACTAAACACTTCAGCAAAGACAGAGTCTGTCTGGCAGAGGCAACAGCATGCCATCAGCACCTCTTCTTACCAGCGCGGCACAGTTCTCAGTGGTCTTGCATCCTTACCCTGGAAAGCAGTCAAGGGGATCTGGTGCTCTAATGATGGGCCAACAAGAGAGTGAGAGATTAAGATTGGGATTATATGGGTGTATTAAACATTTGAAAGGGACCTTTTAGACTACTTCAAATAGCTACCGTTTATGGAACACCTTCCTTGTGTCAGGACTTTGTTGGGTACTTTAGGTATAGTATCTGTGATCCTCAGAACAACTTCTCATGATGGGTATTACAAACAAGGAAACGGAGATTAAGAAATTCACCTGAGGTCATACAGCTATTAAATAGCAGAGAGAGAAAATAACTCCCCAGCTACCTGACTCTAAAGCCTTTGCCCCCTCATGCACAGAATAACTCACTGCAGAATTATCTAATGCCCATAAGGTAAGTGGTAGCAATGGAAATAGGTAGGAGTTCTGTTGCTGAGGCCCTGAAGTCACCAGGTTTTGTCCTCACCTCCTCAATCAACTAACTAAACAGCATTAACACCCCCAGTTTCCTGATTAGTGGTTTATCTAAAGTCCCATGAGTCAGTGGGCTCTAATTGTGAGTCTACTCTTTGTTTCTGATGTTACATCACTTCTCCTCAAAGATAGCTATATATTTACTTAGGAAGAAATTAAGAAAGTAGGCAAATAAATGAAGAAACTGAGCAAAGAAGAAAAAAATGAAAATTAGAGCACTTTTTTGTGTAAGAGGGAGTAGCTCAATTCTGTAGAACACTGAAAAAGTCATGGAACTACTGAGCTTTGTTCTGCGAAACTTGGAAACTATGATTTTCTATTATTTACTTGGCCTCTTTAGACTGCATCCTCAGAGGAAATGTATCTTTGAACTCAAATTCAGTATTTGATCAAACCATACAACTAAAAATGTTAATTAAAAACAAAGCCAAAACCAACAACAGCCTAAATATTGGGGAAAATTCCTTTTGTGAATTAAATTCACTTAGTAATAAATTCATTTTTTTAATTAAGGCTTTGCAAGCTTTCAGTTTATGAAAAGATGTTATTATTGATGGAATTCAGTTTTCCTGACAGCTTGGTATTATTTTTAAATCTAAGAATGCTCATCATTGTAGTAAGAGACATGGCCTAGTATCATGCAAAGACCTTTCCTAAGGTATGGCAAATCAGAGGATTTTCCCAGGCCCCATACAGTGCACAATGCCAAATTGTTGTTGGAATCCTTCAGAATAAGGAGTTTCTGTAATTTATCTTACACCCGTGGTAGCCAGCACATTGAGGGATCACATAGTGATAATAATAATGGTTAAATAAAGAAATGTGTATTTATATACATGTGTAAATTGACTCACAGAATCACATGAACAAATTTATTTTCTAAAGTAAAACAATTCAGGTAAAATTGTCCTCTTCTTTTCTGGTCCCCCACTCTTCAAAAACCCTCTTTCTTTTAGGCTTTCCCTTTCCACACTGTTATTGCCATTAATTTTATTTAGATTAGAAATCTGTACAAAAATGGTAGCAAAGAGGAGACAACGCATACATCTGACCTAGACTCCAAAGCTTTACAGATGGCCCATAGCATGGAGAGAAGCCAGGACAAATTTTAGCATAGTCTTCTACATTGCATCAATGTCATTACTTGAGTATCAACTTAAGGATCCTTACTCAAAATAGACTCAGGTGGCCTAGAAAAGTGCTTGAAATTTTCTGCCTATTCCATGGGGTAAACATTGAAGTTTGCTATTGTAATCATTCAAGTCAAATTTTTGTGTTAACACTGGCATTATTTATATTAGCTATGTAGTCACTCTGTGTTTTTTTATAAAAACTAAGTAGATAAGTTCAGAGTTTGGATAATGGTAAAAAGCCAGAAAATGTCTGGAACATAGAGAGAGGCCTGGGGTGGGGGTTGGAGAGGACTGTAGAGGTTAGGGACTTTGGGGAACTATAAGTCAGCATGAGGGTGCTGGATTCCATGGGTAAAGATAATACCACTGACAGGGAAAAAGAATGATAAAAGAGACTAACATTTAAAAAAAAAAATTATGTGCCAGGCAGGCCTTGTGTTAGATACTTGGCATATACAGACAAGAGAGTCACAGGAAGGAGAAGTTTTGTGCTTATTTACGGTCACTCAACCTACATTCAAATACATTTTTGTGTTGTTTTATTATATGATTTTTTAAGTTACAAAAAAAAAAAAGAGGGAAGAAGGAAAAGCAATAAGGCAAACTTGCCAATAGGTTCATGAACAAAAGTCAATTATGGAATGTGGCAGAAGGCAAATATAAATGTATTCAAAGTTTTACCTTTAACAATTACACTTGTGGTTCCAGTTATCTGTTGATAATATAAATTACTCCGTATTTAGTGACTCAAACAACAATTTTATTTCTCTCTCATGGGTCTGGAGTTTGGCTGGATTCAGCTAGGTAGTTCTTGCTGAGGGTCATTCATGGGGTTGTCATCGGATGGTGGCTGGTGATGGAAGCATCTGAAGACTTACTAATTGCAGCCGGGCATGGTGGCTCATGCCTACAATTCCAGCACTTTGGGAGACTGAGGTAGGAGGATTACTTGAGCTTAGGAGTTCAAGACCAGCCTGGGCAACATAGTGAGAACCCATTTCGATTTATTTAAAAAAAAAAATTAAAACCAAAAAGAAATGAAGGCTTACTACTTGCATATTTGGAGCCTGGGCTGGGAAGGCTCACACATTTGGTCCTCTTCTCTCTCTCTGTGGTTCTTCCACATGGTCTTTCCAGTGTTGTGGCTTCAGGGTAGGTGGTTTTCTTCCATGGCAGCTCAGGGCTCCAAAGGCACATGTTCTGAGAAAGAACTAGGTGGCAGCTGTATCACCCCTTATTACCCTGTCTCAGAGTTCACACAGCATCCTTCTGCTGCATTTAATCACAAAGGTCCACTCATGTTCCAAAGGAAGAGACACAGATTCCACCTCTTGTTGAGAGTAGTATTAAAGAATTGGTGGACACATTTTCAAACCACCATAATCTGCTCTCAGGCCACATATTATTTACATCCTTCCCACATGCAAAATATACTCACCCCCTCCCAAGACCTTCTGAAATTCTCATTTATTAAGACATTGGGCTCAGGCTCAAGGTCCAGGACTTTATCAGTGAAATCAGGTCACGTGTGGATAAAGATACTTGTGTGTGGTCCTGTGAGTACAGCTCACGTGGCATTCCTTGAGGTCTGAAAAATCTGTCAGCTAGTGAGACAAATTATCTCTCCCTCATACCCAATATACATAGTGGAGTAGGTATGGGGTAACCATTATAAATAATCCCATTCACAAAGGGAGAAAAAAGAGGCATGTGGCGACCTCCATAGCAAGTCTATTGTCTTTCACGGTTCTGGGGCTTGACTAAGCTAATCTAGATGGTTTTCGTTGAAGGGGTCTCATGAGCTTACAGCTAGATGGTGGCTGGTGCTGGAACCATCTGAAGGCTTGCTCACTCATATATATGGCACCTGGTCTGGGAGGACTTAAATAGCTGGGATTGGGAGCAGCTGGGCTTCTTCAGACACCTCTTTCTAACTCTATGTGATTTCCCTGTGGTCTCTTCAGCATGGTAGCTTCAGGGTAGCTATTCTTACATGGCAACCCAGAGCTCTAAAATGCAGGGGCATGGGGAAGCTGTATCACCTCTTATGACCCTGTCTCAAAAGTCACATAGTGTCTTTTCTGTCATATTCTATTTGTTGAGGCAGCACAAAGGCCACTTAGGTTCAAGAAAAGGGAACACAAGACTATATTTTTTACTGAGAAGTGTCAAAGATTTTGCAGACATGTTTTTAAACCACCACAACTGGAAGAAGGAAAAAGAACAAAAAGAAAAGCTTATGAACTGTTGCTGAAAAATTATGCTATATCCTATGGCACCAAATTGGTTGGTGGTTGCAGCCACAAATCTGAGTGATGATGGACAAAAACAGGTCAAGGGTCATATTCAAATGCATGAAATTATTTCAGCTTTTTGTTCCTCAAGAAAGACCTATTTCTTACTTCACTTACTGAAAGAGAGAGAGAGAGAGACAGAGAGAGAGAAAGGGAAAGAGAGAGAGAGACCCAAATGCTCTTTCAGGAAAGCTAAGTTCTAAAATGGAGGGTCGGCAAACTATGGCCTAGAAGTCAAATCTGGCCTATGGCCTGTTTCTGTATGGCCCAAGAGCTGAGAATGATTTTATGCTTTTAAAGAGAAAGAAGAAAGAGAAGAAGAAAAAGAAGGAAGAGGAAGGGAAGAAAAGGAGGAGGAAGGTGGAGACCCAGCAGCATATGCAACAGAGGCCATCTGTGGCCCGCAAAGCTAAACATACTCTGGCCCTTTGCAGAGAAGTTGACCCCTGTTTCAAAGCACTTTCAAATGTGTTTTCAGATGGTTTCCACAGCTAGAATAGCAAATATACCTTTAAAGTGCTTCTAATATATAGATTTTCCTCATAAAATGTAGTAATAACGCAGGACTTGTCCTATCAATTTTTTCTATTATATATTCAATCTCACATATACATATTCTCTCTCATTTATCCTCTACCCACCTACCAATATTCTCATCCCTCCCATAAAAAAACATAATCCTGGCTGGGCGTAGTGGCTCACGCCTATAATCCTAGAAGTTTCAGAGGCCGAGCCGGGAGGATTGCTTGAGTTCAGGAGTTCAAGACCAGCCTGGGCAACATAGTGAGATCTCATCTCTCCAAAAATAAAAATAAAAAATAAAAATCCTTTCTTTTCCCTTGTGTAATTTTCCTTCTCAAAAGCCATAAATGTTTCTTATTCCAAAATAAATCAAAACTCCTAATGCTTACAGGTCACTCATGATCTAGCCCATAACCCTATTTCCAGCCTCTTTGTCTACACCACTTATCTGTCCCTTTGTCCCCAGATTCCTATACAGCATCTACATTAGACTACTTGCTCTTCCTTGAAGAGTCCATGCCTTTCCATATACCCATGACTTTTCTCTTGTTCTTATATCCAGAAATGACCATTCTTGTCATATTGAAAATACGCTTATTTTTCATGTTTCCTGTGCCAATTCGCTAGTTGAAACTGTTGCTCAGTGTTCAGCATTCCCATGGCATGTCACTGTATGTAGATCTACATAACACTTGTTTCATTCTGTTTGCAGTTATTTATATACATGTCTTTTTCCTCAAATAGAAAAGCTCCTTCAAGGCAAGTGCTATTTCTTAGTCATCTTGATATCCAGTAAATACACTAATAGGTCCGGCATGGTGGCTCGTGCCTGTAATCCCAGCACTTTGGGAGGCCGAGGCTGGCGGATCACTTGAGGTCAGGAGTTTGAGACCAGCCTGGCCAACATGGCAAAACCCCATCTCTACTAAAAATACAAAAAAAATTGGCCGGGTGGGGTGGCATGGGCCTGTAATTCCAATTACTTGGGAGGCTGAGGCAGGAGAATCTCTTGAACCTAGGAGGGAGAGAGAGGTTGCAGTGAGCCGAGTTCGCACCATTGCACTCTAGCCTGGGCAATAGAGCTAGACTCCATCTCAAAAAATATATATATATACACACACATACACACACACACACACTAATAATTGTTAAACAAATGATAGAGTAAATGATCCCAGATCCTTTTTTATTTTTCTCTGAAAACATACCCTTTCCCCAGAGTTCATCCAAAGGCGCAACTCTGGTGTTCAAGCTGATCTGTTTCTGTTCTTACTCTTCTGGCTTCCTATTCCCAGAGCCTTTAAATTCTGGAAGAAATCAGCCTACATTCTTTCTAGCAATTTTATGACCCCAGTTTCATTAAATCATTCTCTTAGCACTTCAAAACTCCATCTGTTCCCCAACATGACTTTCCACTGAGCCTAGCTCAACTGCATGCATTTCATCATCATCCACTCCTTTCAACAGCTTCACAGTGCATAAACCACATATGTACCTGTAAGACCACCACCATATTTTTCTTACCTTTTCTTACATTAAAAACAAAAAACAAAAAACAAAAAAAACAAGGCTGGGCATGGTGGCTCACATCTGTAATCCCAGCACTTTGGGAGGCTGAGATGGGAGAATCACTTGAGCTCAGGAGTTCAAGACCAGCCCGGGCAACAGAGTGAGACTCTGTCTCCACAAAAAATTTTAAAAATTAGTTGGATGTGGTGATGTGCACCTGTAGTCCCAGTTATTCAAGGCTCTGAGGCAGGAGGATCACTTGAGCCCAGGAAGTCGAGGCTGCAGTGAGCCATGATCATGCTACTGCACTCCAGCCTTGGCAACAGAGTGAGACTCTGTATTTTAAAAACCACAAGAACATGAAGTTTCATTACCAACTACCTTTATATAGCTAACTGACCATGACTTTTGGAGAAGGGGAATATTATTTTTACCAGTCACATAAAAAGATATAAAAATTATTCTTTAATAGGAAAAAAGAAGAGTGACATGATAAAGGAAAAAGATGGACCTTGAACCAAAATGCCTAGAGGTCATTTGAGAACTTGCATACTACCTTCTGGAACAACACGTTGTTTTTCTCTCTTTTTTTTTCTTCCTAATTTCCTTGAAGTGGTAGAGGACCTTTCCGCTTCTTGGAACCGTGTTCATGGTGTGACTTGACTATTGGAGAATGTGGGAAGAGTGGTTTCTGATTCCTTTTAAGAAGATACTCAACAAGGGAGGAGGCCATAAGGCAGAATCAGAAGGGTTTAAGGAATACACTGTGACTTCCAGCATAATAAACTCCACAGGGTTCATGGATAGTCAGCAGAGAATACTAAAGATATTAGTGGTAACATCTATACATATAGCAATTATCATTAATATTTCTAAGGCAACTTAAGTCCCAGGGTTAATAACAACAGAAAATGCCCATGTATGTAGTAGATAAGGTCACGGCTAAGTTCAACGTCTAACTAATGAGTCCAGATAGTGATTCACTACGTATATACAGGATAAGATATATGAAGTTAAAAAGTCACTAGGATATATACTTCAAAATAAAAGCTATTTAATAGTGATAATATTGGTAAATTTGAAAGAACTCTCTTGGCCAAGTGTGGTGGCTAACGCCTGTAATCCTAGCACTTTAGGAGGCTGAGGCAGGAGGATCACTTGAGCCCAGGAGCTCAAGACCAGCGTGGGCAACAAAGTGAGACCCTGCCTCTATTTATTTTTAAACAAGAAAAGAAAAAAAAGTATCTTATATTTGTAATAATGCTTCAATGTGTTTATTCCTTCAACCTTATATATATATATATTTTAGATAGAGTCTCACTCTGTCACCCAGGCTGAAGTGCAGTGGCACGATCTCAGCTCACTGCAACCTCCACCTCTGGGGTTTAAGCGATTCTCCTGCCTCAGCCTCCCCAGTAGCTGGGACTACAGGCATGCACCATCATGCCCGGCTAATTTTTTGTATTTTTAGTAGAGACCAGGTTTCACCATGTTGGCCAGGCTGCTCTCGAATTCCTGACCTCAAGTAATCCACCTGCCTCGGCCTCTCAAAGTGCTGGGATTACAGGCGTGAGCCACCGCGCCCGGCCTCCTTCAACCTTATTTATATATGTGTGTGTATGCCTGGCATTTGTGGTACACATTCAAAAACATGATAATTTCTGTGCTTAGTAAAATGCAAAATCATTGTTTCTTTTGATCCACAGGTTGGTTATATTTTTTTACCTTTGTAGTGTGCTAATATATTCAAAGCAGTAACAGCACTCAGTTAAATATTTAAATTAGATTAATAACACTGGTAATATGTAGATGCACAATGAACTAACTGCTAAGTGTTAACATATATTGATGGGGGCTGGGCGCGGTGGCTCACACCTATAATCCCAGCACTTTGGGAGACGGAGGTGGGCGATCAATTGAGCCCTGTAGTTTTGAGACCAGCCTGGGCAACATGGCAAAACCCTGTCTCTACAAAAAATACAAAAATTAGCCAGGGGTGGTGGCGTGTGCCTGTAGTCTTAGCTACTCAGGAGGCTGAGGTGGAAAGATCGCTTGAGCCTGGGAGTTGAAGGTTGCAGTGAGCTGTGACCACGCCACTGCACTCCAGCCTGGATGACAGTGAGACCCTGTCTAAACACACACACACACACACACACACACACACACACACACAAAGAAGGTTAAGAAAAAAGGAATCTAACTGGAAACAAAAAATCGAATAAATTGCTAGAACAATTATTAGAGTTCCATTTAAAAGGACAAACATTCTATCATTTGCAACGACATGTTTAAACTTGGAGGACATTACACTAAATAAGCCAGGCATAGAAAGACAAATACTACATGATCTCATTTATATGTGGAATATAAAAAAGTCAAACTCAGAGAAGCAGAAAGGAGAGAATAGTGTTACCAGGGGCTTATAGACAGAGGGGGTAAGGTACTGGGGAGATGTTGGCTAAAGGGTACAAAGTTTCAGTTAGACAGGAGGAATAACAAAATAAAAGAGGAAAAACAGAACTAAGCTTATTGAAAGCAGTTAAAGCCAAACAAATTTTTTTAGTGAGCTGATTTTGCTTAGAGTACTTGTTTAAGAATGTGAAATAAGGCATACTTCTAGAAAAAGACTATGGAACTAGAAAAATAATATTTAAAATGGAAAGTTATTAAGTTTAATAGGCTAACATTAAAGCAAGTACTTTATACATACAAAGTACTTAGTAAAAGTTCTCAACACATCTCTTATTAATTCTAATTACTAGTTTTAATTATAATAGATATATTTAAACAATGGTATCCTTGTTGTGGGTATGTGTGAACTTGCACTATATTAGTCAATATATTTGATCTGGAGTATAAGGAAAATGGACTGATCCTCTGATAGACTTCAAGGTAGTATTTCAAAGTGGCCTGGGAGGATACCCTAAGAACACTTAGCTGCACCTTACTGACCTTCACATGGTTTTGTATGTGTTCTCACTTTGCTTTGGTTGTCTCCAAACCACAGGAATCTTTCTTTGTCTTGTTTTACGTGTTTTTGAGTTTTTATTATGGAACATTCTAAATATACACAAAAGTAGAACAGAATAAAAAAACCCATCTACCCATCACCCATCATCAATACCAACACTAAGACAAGCTTCTTTCCTGTGTACTCCCATATATGCTTCCCATCCCCCATGGATTAAAGTATGAAGCAAAGTCCGATCATATCATTCATTAGTAAATTATTTAGTATGCATATACCAAAAGATTTTTAAAAACTATAACCACAATACCATTTTCAAAAACAATTCTTTAACTTCTAATATTCAGTCAGTTTTAAAATTTCTCCAATTGTCTCATAAATGTGTTTGTGGTTAGCTTTGATCAAATTAGGATCCAAACAAGGTCTATACATTGCAATTAAACCGATAAATATCTTTAAATTCATTTTACTCTACAGGTTTTCCTGCCCTTCTTTCCTTAAAAATTTTTTTTCCTTAGATCATTTGTCTTATAGAATTTCAGTGTGGATTTTTGCTACTTGTGCTCCTGTGGTGATTTAACAATGTTCCCCTATATCTTAAATTTCTAATAAACTACTCATCAGATCTAGAAACTTGATGAGAGTCTAGAGTCTTAGTAAACCACTATCTAGTTCAATTATTTGAACTAGAATATCTAGTTATCTGTTTTTGTAATATTAAAATTGATCAGTGAGTTGAAGTGCGGTTGCCCTGATCCATGAATTAAATACTTCTCTACTACTGATTCATTAATCACATACTTCTCCATCAGCATTTTACTTAATGGTTTCAACCATTAAGTTAGCCATTGAAGAGGTCTAGCTTTATTTCATGAGCTGTTGTAAATGTTAACATTCTATCAGACGTTCTGCACTGTGAAACTGGAATTATTCTGTAATGAGGAAATCTCCCTCACAACCATTTAGTTACCCCGAGGTATAAATTATATAAGGAAGGTAGGATACTTCTTTCTTTCCTGTTCTCAGGCACCACAAGGCTCATAATCGCTCTCCATAGCTTATACTGTTAAAATAATCTGACGTTTCTGCTCCAGAGAGATGCATTCTCTACCTACTCACAGTGCACTCCTGCTTCTTTGAACTTTTACCATGTTTAGAGTGTACATCATAAAATGTGATGTCTGGCTATGGGGTCTAGATTCCTCCACAAGGTAGTTGGGCACTTGCTACAACATTGTAAGCTCTTAAAGGTGAAGTACCTCCTGCAGTGTTATCCTGTTTAGGAGATAGAAAACAGCCCTGGCTGACCAGGCGCGGTGGCTCTTGCCTGTAATACCAGCACTTTGGGAGGCCAAGGTGGGCGGATCATGAGGTCAGCAGTTCGAGACCAGCCTGGCCAACACGGTGAAACCTCATCTCTACTAAAAATACAAACATTAGCTGGGCGTGGTGGCGGGCGCCTGTAATCCCAGCTACTTAGGAGGCTGAGGCAGGAGAATTGCTTGAACCTGGGAGGTGGAGGTTGCAGTGAGCCGAGATCGTGCCATTGTACTCCAGCCTGGGCAACAAGAGCAAGATTCCGTCTCAAAAAAAAAAAAAGAAAGAAAGAAAACAGCCCTGGTGAAACTAAATTATCATCTTTTTTTAAAAAAAATAGGTACAATTATAACAAAAATCAATGGGAAATGGCTTTTTTAAAACATACAACTGGAATATCAATAGTGGTTTTGGAGCAAGGGCTCTAGAACAGGTGTATGAGTGGAACTCAGGTTTGAAAACAACTCAGGTGGCCCATGGATTGTCCTCACTACATGTCTGTAATTATTATTATAGGGAAATGTATTCCTTTTACAATGTGAATTCCATAATGTGGAGTTGGTTTTTTTGTGTTTGTTTTTGTTTTATCTTCTGTATATTCCCAGCACCTGACATAGAGCAGGTATCCGATTCACCTGTTGAATTTATCTGGAACTTATTTATTCTGTATAAGCTTCATTCACTACAAAAAGAAATGAATGGCAGATAGGATTCTTATTCTTAGGTTTTTCGTCCGAACTCTTAAAAAGTATGTAAATTTGTTTTTAAAACAGAAAAATATACTTTAATTTGCTTATGTATCTGTTTTTAGAGTTTAGTCAACTCTTTCGGCCATCTATTACGGTAACATTAAGTCAGTGTTACTATTATGACTAAAACTAGCCCATGCCTGTATCTACATAATACTTCTGTTTAACAAGGGCTTTAAAATACACTATGTGCAGAATATTAAAACAGCAATCTCTGAATCTTAATACCTTTTTGGTAGTTATGTTCAAAGTGAGATAAAACACCCGTTAATTGTTTATTACTCAACCTAAGAGCAGTTAAGGGATTTTTCAGGTATAACAGAAAACACATTACAACTACATATATGATCTAAACTGTCAATGTCTGTGGACAGTTTTTAGTCCTTAATTTACTTGAATTTTCTGTGACATATCACACAGCTTGGCTTTCTGCGAACTCCTGACTTCCATGATAAAATACTCTCAATTATATTATAATGGAACTAACGGAATTTGTAAACCTGATTCGAAGAAAATAATATTTTCTGTAAGTGTTGTTTGATGTTGAATAAGAGGAAAGAACTAGGAACTTATCCTTAAAAACACAAGATTGTGTCTTAGGTTTGTTCATATTTGATATAACTAAAAGACTAAAGTTACACTATCGGGTGTCAATAGTATGCCTTTAAAGGACCCTATTCACAAATTTAGTGGCCAAAAATCCTGTGTAGGCACAATTCCATTACATCTGAACAAAACAGCACTTTTAAAGAAAGGTAAATGTAAAACAAATTTAACCAAAAAAAAAATTTTCAACTTGAGATAAGAAAACACATAAATTCCATGTAGAACTGCTAATATTTCTTTTAATTCTGATGACACTCCCAGCGTATTTGTAGCAGATAATATGAAACTAAACTGTAAATCACCTAGAGTATCATTATCACTGCGATTGTCATCTCCAAGATCTCAGGCAACAAACCTAACCAAAAGAACTCCCTAAATTACTATACTATTTGAAGTGTTCCATACTTCCCTTCCCCCTTAGCTCATTCAATCACTTTTCTGCCAGGTCTCAAAAGTGAAGTAGGTCACTAATGTTTTTCTCACCTGCCCACATTTTGATTATTTATTTAATTTCTTGAGACAGAATCTCAACTATTTTGTCCAGGCAGGTCTCAAACTACTGGGCTCCAGTGACTCTCCTGCCTCAGCCTCCAGAGTACCTGGGATTATAGGTGCACATCACTGCACTGAGCTCACATTGATTTTTTTTTTTTTTTGACAGTCTCACTCTGTTGCCCAGGCTGCAGTGGTGCAATCATGGCTCACTGCAGCCTCAAAGTCCTGGGCTCATGAGATCCTCCCACCTCAGCGGGGACTACAGGCAGGCACCACCACACTCAGCTAATTACATTTTGATTCTTAAACACTTCATGTGACATCTTTCCTGTTTTCCTTTGGGGCAATGACCTAGCTATACAATTATTTTGCTTTCCCCATGGTGCCCAATAGTGATAACCTAACAAAAACACTTAGTGAACTTCATTAGACAATCTTAGAAATAATTTTCAAATTTTTGCTTAATTATCTAGATTATCAGTAGCGCCAACAGCTTTTCAGAGTTTATGACAATGGTCATTAATTCTCCTTTTGGGTACTACCAATCTGGCCTAATTCATTTTCGAAGATGATTGTCCTATTTACCTTTTGTTGTAGAAATTACAGAGGGGATTATTCAGTGGGAAAGGAAATTAATAGTATCTCCTTTGTCAGCTTCACCATGGAGCGGGTGGAGTGTAATAAACAATAGCGGGAGAGAGCATGTAGCTAGGAAGAAATCTCAGCCTTTTTGGTGCTTTGTGCTTATACACTGAAGAGCTAATTTGTGCTGTCAGGTGCCTCTGTCAGGAATTCTTTGGGGACCACTCCACAAGACACAATGTCTTGAGTGCACCCTTGCCAGTCAGTCTTGCCTACCTGCCAAAAGGTTATTTTAAAATAGCTTGTAAACAAAGCTTTTCTATGTAAGATTAGCAATCAGGAATTTTAAAGTATGAAGCAAAACTGTGTTCTCCAAGAATCTTCTCCATATGGTGTGTCCTATATACCATAACACAGTCTCCATTTCCAATTGAGGATGACATTTATTAAAATGTTATTACCATAACCCAGCTTTCCTTTGGTTTAGTATGTACTTATTGAGAAGGGCACTCAAAATACTGCCTTATTACTTTCCACCAGTGGCTTTTTACAACTACAAATTACTTAAATGCTTGACAACAGACCTTTAACAAAAAAGTTAACTGCACCAAGTAAATGTCAATAATACTAAGTTCAGAAAGCTGTATTTTTGATAAATCAAATTCATCTTGTGGGAAACTGTCAACAAGGAAAATGTTCAGTTGGTAATTTTCAGTTGGTGTGTAGAGAAATGTAATTAGCAGATCATTTTTAAAACTGGAGATTAGAGCAGAAATATAGCTATGGGATTAAAACAAGTCAGCTGGTGGCAGTATTTTCTCTTGTAACTTAGGAAACAGTTAACCTCTCAAAGTACCTTTACATCCAATAACTCAAAAATGTTACTACTATTTGGGCAATATGTAGTTGTGGATAAAATTTACTTTAAAAACACAAGATATAAAGTATGAATAGTTTATCTGTATAGGACATTGAGCATTTCTGGTGTGCTTATCCGCTTAAAGTTTAAATTACCAGCAGAATTTGTTATACTTTGGGGTGCAGATTAACAACCGTTGATTCTCCATAAAAATGTTAGAGTGTAGTGGGTTGGAAGATTACCTCGGTTGGTTGAATGAAGTGTTTTGGAAAATAAAATCATAATGAAATTAGCATGTTATGATTAGTTTCTCCATAAACCAAGATTTGACACAGCACCGCAGAGGTTTTCATTATTTAAGAAAACAAGCACTTAACAAAGCCCTGAATTTACTCTGCGTTGCTATCAAGAAAAGCAAACTTCAAGAGCCAACATTCAAGCATTTTCTGCATCTTAAGATTCAAGATAAGGTTCTTCACCGCCCTTCCCACAATGAGGCGGCTCCATCCTGATGAGATCAGATTAAGTAAGGTTATTCTCAAGGCTAAACCAAACCCAATCAAGGCACATATATTAGATCACTTTTGAATGATAAAAGCATCAAACTCCTGCTGAAGGGTTTGGTTGGTTTAAAGAACTGCCTTATTTGTTTTTCAACTGAGCATCAGAAAACCATAGAAAACTGCGATTACATTATATTCAAAACTACTTATTCTGTACAAATACAGATCAGTTTTCAACGAAAAGTACTAAAACTGACCACTTACTTCCCTCAGTGAAAATAAAATAAAAATACAAGTATCTTGTTTTCCACGCAGACTTCAGGGTATTAGAGCACTGAGTATTTTCATTAGTTATCCAAACTACCTTTTTTCTCTATGCAAAGGTATTTTCCTATTAGGAGTAGTGGCCACTCAGGAATCAAAATGAGTGTTAGTAGATTTTAAACTCAAATCTAGAAACCACTTTCAATTCCTAGTCCTCTTCTCCCATACAAAACCTCAAAGATGTAAGTACCACATAACATTAGAATCAAAGGCCATAAAAACCAAAAAACCAACCCACCACACCAGCAGAATCTGAGCCCCAAGGTTAAACTAAAAAGAAAAAACAAAAAACAAAACCATTCACAGCACACTGTACATAGAATTTATTTGTTTGCCTCATACATTAAAAAATCGGAATAGTGCAATTACCTACAAATAATTTCAATCTTCTCATTCGCGAGTTGCAAAGTTTAAAGAGAAACTTTAAATTGCTTTGGGTTTACGTTTTTAAAGACACACTCAGATTTACTAAGAGAGCATATCAGAAACCAGATCTAAAATGTTAAGGCATAAACTTTAATTATCAGGTCTACTTCTTCTGCCCCTCTAATGCCAGTTCTGCAGATCGCTCACACCACTCCAACCTACAGCTAAAGAATGAAGTAAAACAGGTACACACTAAATTTGGCATTTAACTGCTGAAAGAAGTGTTAGAATTTTTTAGGGTGAAAAAGTTATCTGTATCAATTATCTTACACAATTCCACTCCTTCCTTCAAGAAAAGGAATCCAATGGCTTAGCTCTTTCCCAACCTTTAAAATGCATCGCGGTCCACCCCACTCCCCTCAATTCCTTCTAGGAAAATGTGAAACTAACGGTTTCCGTGGTGGCCGCGCCGGCCGGGCGCCGAGGCTTCGCGGGCTGTCCCCAGGCAGCGCCCCGGAAAACAAAGGGGATTCCCAGCCATTGTCCTCCGCGGCGCTGAGCATCACCAGCACTAGCAAGGCAGTAGCTTGCGCAGTTATCTCCACAGCGGGCAATGTCACAACCCGACCAACAGCACAAACTACTACCTCAGCCAGGGCCATGGTGTCGGGGAGGCACGGGACCACGCGGAGGGCAGCAAAGCGGCTCCGGCGCTCCTCCGTCCTTCCTCGCCGCCGACGTCGGCCCGCCGCCCCTTCTTTTCCTTTGCCTTCCCCCCGCGCCGCGCCCGGAGACCCCGCCCAGCACCCAGCGGCTCGGCTACTCCCGGCGCGCCCCGAGAGCTACGGGGATGAGAGGCGGCGCCGGCGCCCGGGTGATACAGCCGGCGTTCTGTACGTCAGCCACCGCTCTGAAGAGAGAAAAGCGGCGGTGTCCTGCGGAGAGAGCCGCTCCCTCCACTGCCCGAGGGGAGCGCGTCGCCTCAGCCGCTCGAAAGCAGGAAATGGGCGGCAAAAGCGCAGTCAGACACCAACTGGTTCTGGACTGCCCCCGAGAGGCAGCGAGCAGCGCTCCCGCGCTTCGCCCGCTAGGAGCTGCCGCCACGTCCCGAGCTGCGCCGCTCGCGCCCCTCCCTGCTCCGAGTCCCCGGTGGGGGCTGGGCTGCGGCCGAGTCCGGTACCCGGGCCCCCACCCGCGCCGCGCTGTCGAACCCGCCGCCGGCCCGCTCTCGGCGCCGATAATCGCCGGCGGGCATCCCGCAGAGGCTGCCGCCGGCTCCGCCAAACAGCAGCCAAGGCATAGCCGGGAAGTCCCCAGGCCACCCGTTCCCCAGCACCCTTCGGGGAATTCCCGTTCAGCTCTACAGGAGGCGAAAACGGAACAAACGAAAACCCCTTAACAGTGAAACCGGGCCCGGCGATGGCCCGGGTGGCGACTGCGACGACTCGACGCGTGCGGACACAAGACCCGTCTCGCGCTCCGCTGCTCCTGTGCGTCCGGACGAACCTTAGAGATCACTTAAGGAGGCTCGCGCGCTACTCCTCACCACGTGACCGCCCCGCCAGGCCGCCCCCCGCGCCGCCATCTTACATCCGGGACAGAGGCGGCGTCCCCTTTCCCTGCCTTGGCAGGCGTCAGCGTGCTACCAGAAATCAGCCCTGAAAGAGGGGACCCCGATTCCACGTCACCAGAGTGCTGAGGCAGCGGGCGATGCCCTCCATCGGCTCAGCGGGGGGGAGTGGAGTCCCAAACTTTTTTCGGCCTTTGCCCGCAAAGAAGATGGCGGCGCATATCGCCGCCTAAGCGGACACGTTGTACCCTGGCCGTGGTTTGAAGTTTCCGGCACCTCCTTTCCCAACCAGCAAGGACACAACCATACGAGCCCCACCCACGCGGGGTGGCTGCCGTGCTACATTCCGCAGAAAACAGGCGGGAAAGCTGCGGCACAGCCCGCTTTAAACGCAAGCTTTTGGGACTTCTGGTTTTGGCTTTTTCTTTTTAAGCCAAGTTAGGGAGAAGGCTGACTGCCATGGAGCCACTTCTGCTTTTGGCCCAGACAACTTACGGGATTTTTTTTTTCCTCCCATTTAGAGATTTTTTGTAGGAAGTTAACAAATTATTTTAAAGAAGTAGTTAGGGCTTGTCAGATAAAATACAGGACGCCCAGTTAAATTGGAATTTCAGATAACCAGTGTTTTGGCATATGTGTGTTACATATATTTTTAAAATTGTTTATCTGATATTCCAATTTAACTGCACATTCTCAATTTTTAATGACTGTATCTGGCAACCCTATCAGCCTTTACCCCTGAAAATCCAGACTGCTTATGACAAAAGTAAGGAATGGAGGGAAATGAAAAGCATGTTTACCTACAACTTAGAATTGTCTTTGCCCAGACTTTGATCCTTCATGGAGGCCAGAGGGCCGTGGTCTAGAACAAAATTTGGCAGCAACTCATAAAGATATCCTTGTATAATTCCCTTTCTGGCAAAGTAAGATTTTTTTTTTCTTAAGCTATCACGATGTAATTTTGGACAACAGATCCTCTTGGCCAAGAGTTTAATTGCAAATTAAAAATTAAATAACTGGCTTTTTGTTTCTATTCTACATGGTATAGGCGATGGGACCCAAACAATTTCTTAAAGTAGAAGTTTTCAAGTTAAAAATCAGCCTGCCTGACATATTTCATAAGAACATTTTTAGGTGCATATTCAGAAACTATTTCCAATTAAGAATATTTGTGTAAACATAATACATTTGCAGTTAAATGCTTTACCTGACAAAGCATAAACTCACCTATCAATCACTAAGCATAAACTCAAAGCAAAAACTCAATCACACCATAAACTCATCTATCAATCACTTACCAGAAAGTCTGTAGAAACTTCACACCATCCTTCCTTGATAAGCAAAGATTGGACTGCCATGGGAATCAACCCTCACTGCTCATTGACTGCGCAGTGGATCAGATTATTCTGTACCAAAGCAAATGTCCTTTGCCATAATGGCACAGATTTTTAAATGGCCACTAAACACCTGTTTGGTCTATGGTATACAGATTTGTTACAGCAGTAGTTTCCAACTAAATTTAGTCATTATACTACTTTATCACTTACATTCCTTTCCATAATGTTTTTAACAGTGCTAACACCAATATACTCATCATCCACATATAATGTACTGTTACCATCAACTTTTTCTCCCCCCTCCCTGCATATCAGGAATCTTAAGTATCCTTTCTGAATATGACCACCGTTAATCAATTCTTTATCATCACCTCATAGCAAGAAAATTGCAACAGCTTTCTAGCTTAGCTTTCCATACTGTATATATCCTATCCTGCTTATGATTGCAAGTTTATCTTCCTTGGTTTTATAATTTATTCTTAAATCACTCCAGACCCTGCCATCTCAAATCTAAACTACTCTCCTTGGCTTTCAAGGAATTTTATGAAGGGACCCAATCCTTCACAACCAACCTTGTTTCACACAATACACCAAAATGCACTGTTTTCTATTTCACAGATATGCCTTGCTCACATTATCTTGCCTGAAATCCCTCCGTATATCCTTTGAACTCATCCAAAATCTAGGTAGCCATCAAGACTAACTTTAATTTCTATCTTAACCACTGAGCTTTTTCATTTCTTTAAAAAACTTCCTTCTGACTACTAACAGCACTATTAACCTGAACCACAGAAGACTAGGCTAAGGTTCCTATTTTATGATTTCATTTTAATCTGTACTTGTCTTTTACTGTACTTTACATACTTGTTAAAAGGTCTGTATTCCCTATAAAACTGAAAACTCCATGAGGACAGAGACTAACCCAATGCTTAACGCAAAAACAGGGTCTAAACAGTTGTTAGTGATACACCAGTATTTAATTGTATAGTCTTGTATCCAGTATTATTTTATATATGCGGTTTCCTTGACTAGCTGTAATAAGCACTTGAGAGCGCTCCAAATAGCTTCTGTCATACAGCAAGGACACAGTTATTAGCACACAGTAGATTCTTAACATTCAGTGGTTGTCTGGTGAAAGGCAAAAAATTGGTCCCTATTGTGGGAAGACATGGATTTTCTGGCCATTCTTGAATGATGTGTGCCAAATGTGTTTTACTTCCCTAACCACCTAGTGGTGATGATGCTCCAGGCACAGCGCTTTAGAACACACTACATTTTGAATTCTGTTAAATACCACGATTAACTCCATTTCACAGAGGAGGACACCAAAACAGGTTAATTAACTTGCCCAAGGTCACACATTTAGTAAAATAACAGAGTTGGGATTTGCATCTAAGAAGCCTGGCCCCAGACTCTGGGCTCTTAACCACAATGCTGTTATTTATAACATAACTTCTTAAAACACACAACATATGTTTTAAATAGATAAAATGTTTTAAACCTGGACCAATAATAAAAACCCAATGCAACTTTCAAGGTCATCGTTAAGACAAATCTTTTTTTCACAGTATTTTTAGTTCTTTGTTATGTTCAAGTATATTTGTCCCAGTGCCCATCATAGAAATAGTAATTGCCTCAAGAGTATTTTTAGTTTATTTTATAAGTCTTGGATTTTAATGGACTGTAAAACATGAAACTATTGTACTGTAGTAGAAAGAACTGCTTTTGAAAAAGCAAGACATAGTGATCCACCTGGACTTTAGGTATGTGACTCTAGGCAGCTCACTTCAACCCCCTAATCCTTGACTCTTCTGTAAAATGAAAATAACTTCTTTGCAAGGCTACTTTGAGGATTAAAGGGAATAATATAGGCAAAGCCTTGGCCTGCACATACTAGGTACTCCAGAAATGGTGGTTAAAATTACGCATCAGAAAAATTATTTTAACTATATCTGACTGCAGTACACACTGAGTAACGTACAAATTCTTGTTTTATACTTTCATTACATAACAAAAAAAGGAATTTTAATGCAAATTATTTTCTTTGAGAGGTAGAGAGATAGTCTGGCATTGATATGGACAGGCAGTTTCAAAACAGCTTCACCAAATTAAAAAAAAATGCTCATAAGATTAAGATAATCTAATCTACATCAGGATTTTTACTTGACCTAGCATTTTTACTTAAAGTTCCAAATCTTTCTTTCTAAACTATTGAGAGACACTTCGTGTCTTCTGTTTATTATTTTTTCATTTTATATATTAATGGTTTTAATAAAGCTCTCAAGAACATTTCCCCTTTACTCTATAATTTTTTTTTTCCCAAAGTGATCATCCTAAACATGTGACTCACTACTCGTAAAGTCTTTAAACAGAGTAAGTGATGTGGGGTGTCAATAATGTTTCAGACTTAACGGGGATGAGAAAGCAAACACAAAGTATATTCAAGAAAAAAATGAATCACTGGTCAGATCCAAAGGTAAATTATCAAAGTGGTTATGATTTTAAGTTATAAAGAAACACTAGTGTTGCTGGAACATAATTAAAAACCTGGAATCATGCTTAATGTTAGCTGTAAAACAAATAAACAATCTGTACAATCACAGTTATAACTATATAGCTTTCATGAAAAATCTATCCTAGACTACAAAGAAAATTTGGGTTTGAGGCCAATACAATTTCATGATTATAATACATAACTGATACATCTCAACAACATAAAAATTGTAAGGAGAAAGAGTAACAACAGTGGTATTACTTTCAAGAATTGTGTTGGGAACTAAAAAATAATTTCACAAAATTAGATAAATATATCCAGTCTGACATAAACACCATATGGTAGCTGCCTTAAGAGACAGGAGTTGTATGTTACGTGTTAAATTATGACACAGAGGTAGTAGTAAGAGATGGAAAGCAAATGAAATTTGCACAGTTGGGTCTGAAGCCTAATATTTTCTTTTTCTAGATAAAAATAAAATTGCAATATAGGTATGGAGTATTTTTCTCCATCTAGTAAACATCATAGAAGGAAGCAGTTGTTAATATATTGCAATGATTTTCCAAATAACGGCATGGTTTAGCAGATCTTCCCTGGCTGCACTGTTTATTGAATTTTAGTTTAAAATAAAACTTAGTGTAACTACATTCGCAGCAACTGAAAATGGTCTGAAAATTTAATTTTTTCATACTTGAGGGGATAGAATCAATACCATAGTACAATTAGGAAGGTTTCAATTGACCTCTGGGTGACCTCTGGGTGAACCAATCACACAGACACCAAATACACTCCAGAAAGACTCAGATATGAGAACTATAAGATTCCGGGTCTTCCATCAAAGACTGCTTTGCAACAGAAAAATGAAAATAGTTGAAATACATGGGCAATATGCTGCCTCAAATTATTCTTGTAAGTAGGCAGTGTCAATATAAATCAATATTAAGATGGGATAAATCTAAAAGTTTAAACGTCTGCCTCAAAAAAACAAATATCTCCCCCACCCCCCAAAATCATAAAAAACCAAAACCCTAATTAAAAATATTTTTTTGAACTAGAGATAGGATCTTGCTATGTTGTCTAGGCTAGTCTCAAACTCCTGGCCTCAAGTGATACTCCCACCTTGGCTTCCCAAAGTGCTGGGATTACAGGTGTGGGCCACCACGCCAGCCAAAACCCTCATTTAAACAGGTTTTAAATACTTTACTTTGAGAAAAGATATATAATCTCTCTACCCACATAACAGAAAAGACATGATTATTCCAAATTTAGGTGCTGAATCCATCATATTTATAGCAATCCCATTTTGTGAGCATCTTGGCTGCTGAATCCCGTGTATTCATAAAGACAGTAGGAGTTATAGTCACAATTTTTTTTTATTTTTAGTTTTTTATGGCACTTCCAGTTTTTGGAACATATTACTTTAACTTGTTCAGCTATTTCAAAATGGCAGGGGAACTTTACCTTGGCAAAAACGCAACAGTGGCCAAAGTGCAAAGTATTTCTACTTTCCACTTTGTAGTGGTAGAACCATGAGCAGTGGTTCTACCACTAACAGCTCCACTTCTTATGAACAAGGAATAGGCACAATTAGAGAAAGAGCTGAAAGAGAAGAGGCAGAGAATGAAAGAGGAATTAAAAGAGAAAAATCAGGGGAAAGTATAAGAAAGATGGTAACGTAAACATAAAATTTAACAAGGATAAAAACATAAAAGAGAGAAGGGGAGGGAAGAAAGTGATGTCCAAGAAAAAGGAAGAAAAATGGTCAAAGATCTCTCTTACAATATAGTAATAAATTTATCAAACAACTTGAATTACCCTGTCATTAAAATCAACTCCACACTCAAATTATGCATTTTTTCCTCTAAAGAATTAGTAACTCATTGATCATCATCTCTGTTTAGAAATAAGGAAACCGCTTTGAAAAGTCAACATGCCTAGAGTTAAATAAGAAGTAGCATCTCTGTCCATCATTGCCTCAGAATTAGTCGAGATGACCAAGAATATTCATATAGAACTTGCCACATGTTCTTTTAAATAGCCAACACTGTTAGAGCATTAGAAAGTATTGGATTTGTAAGACATTTAACTTCCTCTGAAATGGTCTGTATATAAATCAAGATACAAAGATATCATCTCTCTTTCTGAATCTATAAACACTTTTCATTCAAATGAAAGCACTATTCTACTTTCCAGAGATACAAAAACTTTAATTCAAGTGATCATGAAGTATTAAAGACTTTTCCCACTTTATATAAATTGGTAAAATACTATGTGGCATGAACTCCCATTCTTCTCATGAATGACAATTTTTTTAAAATAAAAATTCCCTCTAATAATGTAGATAAATACAACCCAGGAACACTAAGCATAGTAAAATGTGATGCTTTATACAAGATTAGCTTATCTGCCAAAATGCCAAACCTAAGTGGAAATCTAAGGAACATACCTGGCTGCTGGCAATGCTTTCAGAGATCATTTTTGTCTACATCTGTGGTAGTTTTCTCTGAAAAACTGTAATCCACAATATTCTGAGCCTGTACACTAACCCATTCCAAGGGTGGCACAGTTAGGGACTCCTGTAAGTGTTCTGCCTTGGCTAGACAGACTTCACCTACAGCAGTCTCTTGAAAACTTGGTTGCCCATCTGAATTATTCTGTATTTGGGGAGAAAATATTAGTCATTTTAAAATAACTACACTGCCCTTCATTGACACAAATGTAATAATGACCACCTCATTAATAAAGAATATACTTTTGAGTTGTTTTCTAACACTGTTCCATAACTTATGCTAATTCATCCTTAACTGTTTCTCAACTGATCCTTTGGCCCAATGGTTACCTGGGACTAGTGGTACCAAATTGTGACAATAAAACAAAATGCTCTTTAAAATTATACTGAGAAAGGACAAATAATCTAGTTGTTACTGGCCTGCTGTAGAAATAATTTAATTGAATATTATTCTCCAGAATAAAATATCTACACTAAATTGTTCATCTCTTTCTTCTGATGATACATACAAATTTAAGGAATATAGCAAGAGTTGAATCGATAACCATATAATGGAAAAAACAAGAAACAAGAAAGATGTTAGCTGTTAAGTGAATAAAATTAAAAATGAAAGCAAGTGAAAAGTGGTTCTAAGCTAGACTTTTTTATGCCTTTTGTTTGTTTTGGAACCTAAAAGGCTCCTAATAAATGTTACAAATGTATACAATAAAATTAACAAAACCTTAACACTAGTTATAAAGAAATACTAAAGACATTACAAAATGATGTATTTTTTTCTCCCTTGGCAGTGGTGGTAGCATAGGAAACTAAGAAGTAATCTATGCAAGTTAACAATTAGTTTATTTCCTTTATAATGGACAAAATGGCCAGAAAAAGACTTTATTAATCATACAATTGGTGGCATATGTCTGTTGTCCAGCAATATGAATAAAACAGGCACTGGCAGTGACAGCAAGTGACGATGTGAGGCTTAAAACTCATGGTATTGGCTGGGCGCAGTGGCTCAGGCCTGTAATGTCAGCACTTTGGGAGGCCAAGGCGGGCAGATCACCTGAGGTCAGGAGTTCAAGACTAGAATGGCCAAAATGGTGAAACCCCATCTCTACTAAAAATATTAAAAAAATTAGCCTGGCATGGTGGCATGTCTGTAATCCCAGCTACTTGGAAGTCTGAAGCAGGAAACTGCTTGAACCCGGGAAGCAGAGGTTGCAGTGAGCCAAGATCGTGCCACTGCATTCCAGCCTGGGTGACAGAGCGAGACTCCGTCTCAAATGAAAAAAAAAAAAAAAACTCATAGTATTTCTAGTAAGTATGACAAAGGACATTTTTACTACTGCTTAAAGGGCTGGTTATAGACTCAATTGTGCCATAAAATGATCTTATCTTTGAGAGCTTCCTTTTTGAATCTCCTGGCATCGAATACTTTCACACACCCCAGTTCTTCTAGTCACTGGAGAACCCAATTCATACTAACAAGACAAGGGCAATGTGTTCCATGCCAGCAATCAATTACTGTAGTGACTCTTGGAGGGTGACAGGAAATATTCTGGAGGAAAATCCTGTCCAATTATACTACCAAGGGGGCCACCCACTTGCTTCACACTAAGACTGGCATTTATTACCTTATTATATGATATTAACACATTCACTATGTTTATGTTTTGAACTGTAGGGCATGGTCCTGATAAAGCAAGCTTTGGTTCATATAAATGTATATTGCATACACTTGACTCATATTTAACTATTTAATTATCCTAATTGCAACTGATCTTTTATTTCTCAAGAACAGACCATTTTCCTTTGAATAAATGCATAGCAATATTTTTAACATGTTACTGAATCGGTACACTACCCTTGGGTTATTCTGTTTCAATGCTTTATCAGTGATTATGTGGATTTTTCTAATCCTCAATTTAACACACCCAAATATAGAAAATAAGTACATAGCTTGATTTTTTACAACTTTAAGGAAAATGCTGAAAGCAGAACTTATGAAATGCCATATTTTACCTTAATTTTAGGTGAAATAATAAAATAGAAATTCAGTAATTCATGTAAATAAAAAATATCCCCTCAAAGACCTTACTACATTTTACAGATAATGCAAATTAAATAATTATACAATTATAATAGCCTCAAAACTGTATCTCAATCATGACTCAATTATAATATCTTTTTGCAGTTTTATGATTATTCTGGAGAAGCTGAAATTTATAAATTCTATTAAGATCAAAGACCTTCCAATACACTAAAATAATACTGAGACCATCATGATTTCTTATGAATAATCATTGTTTTAAACATCTTTGTGTCTTCACATAAATTATGAAAATTTAACTCAGAAGAAAAATACTGTAATCCATAATCCATTAAATAAAAAATACAGTGAGCTAGGTCAAAGTCAGTATTTTAAGAAATAATTAAGGTATTGTACTCAAGAGCACTTTTCTTTTTCACTAGGCTAGGAAAGTGAAACATAATTAGCATTTTACTCCGTGACAGCAAGTTCACTGCACTTCTAAATGCTTGACTATCTCCAAAAATACACTTTTCATTGTTTTATAATACACACATATTTTATACTTGTGAGTTAACATAGGTATTTTTCTTGAGAAGACATTACAAAATGAAGCACTGATATGAACAAAACCTCACAGGCAAGATTTTAGAAAATCTGAAATCATCTTGCCTGGGTCATAATTCAAAGACAGTGACAAATGTTGTTAGGGGAAACAAAATCAGTAGAAATATAAAATATGAAAAGTCTTTAAAATCCAGACAGCCAATATAAAAAACAGACAGACTTCAGTGAAAGCTTGGAGAGCTGTTTAAAGAAATGAGGTATGATGAAGTCATAGTGCTACAATATGTATCAATGTATTAAGAACCTATATTTCAAAGCTCCAAAATCAGCAAATCATAAACTATTTGCTGCTGTGTTCACATGACCTTACTGGTCAGATGTTTAATGGTCACTAATAATACATTTAAAATAAGCATGAAGCTAACTGCATGATCATATGGTGAGCTTATCCGCCACATATGAAGGCAAATTATAAGTAAAAATGTAAGCAAACAATTTTGTATTAATAATAAATAGAGCTTTAAGCATTTAACATTATCAATACTTTTAAAATTTAAATAAATGCACTATTTTATACAGAACTGTACCATTTATTATACACACAAGTATATCAGTTCCCTTTGTTAACAAAGGCTGGTTATAGATAATATGGAATGTTACAGTACCATCTTGCATAAAATTCTAGTACGATTTTGTACTTGAAAAAGGGTGCAAAAACACCAGACTAATAAATCTGACTGAATTGAAATATCTCTTCTTTCTTTTTAAAAAGTACATCATTAACACATACACCACAAACTGTACATAAGCTCACTTTAAATCACCAACTGGAGATATGGTAGCATGTATACTGTAGTGTTAATTATCCCTCCCATCAGTTTAATTTATTAAAGCCTTACACTGCTGTTCATTCAGGAGCCTTTGTTGATGTGCAAGCCTGTAATATGAATTACTGAACTCAGGTAAGTAGAATTTAAAGGAGGCCAACAACAGCTGCCAAGAATTATCTGCAGTAAGAAATGTCCTTCTCACAGAAGACTCAATTAGGAGCAAACATTTTTTAGACTATCTTCCTGCTTTCAAATATATTGTAGCCGGTCAAGATTCTCCATTTTGAACTCTGGATGCTGGTGGCTGCATGAAATCCTTAAAAGGAACTAGTGCCTCTTTAAGTGCAGAACAGACTTCTGAAGAAGAACAGGTGATGCATTCTACTAAAGTTGGGTATAAGGCAATTACTTGTGCCCAGGTATTTCCATCAACTGTAATGCAAAAGTATAAAACCTCAAAAGGGTGGAATTAAATAGAGATTATTCAATTAACATGAACACAATCCTTTAAACTGCATGTAAAGAAAAAACTCTGAAACATGAAGATTCTACAAGCTTGTATCTTTTTATCTTTTTAATTTTTCAAAGATTTCCTGCTATATTTAATAAGGTATGGGAAAAAATATATGCTCAGTGTGCAGTCATCAGTAACAATAAATTTGATAAAGTACATTTTAAATGGTATTTCAATTTGTGAAGGCTCTGAAAGCTAACAAAGCAATTCAGAACAATCCAAACCTTTGTCATTTTTAATATAATTGCGAGAGGATGTAGTGTACATTTCAAGAATTAGAAAATAACTTTTTCAGTTGTCTGCTAAAAGTAGAAATCTTTTGAAATACAAAATATGTTTAATGATTTTCCCAGTAATATCCTTGATATTCCTTTTAATTACAAACTGTCACAAACAGATCCATTCTTGTCTTGTACTGTTTGCTAATCTTTAATGTATATCATTAGATGTAGACTTGAGTGGGGAGGAACCATGTCTGGCTTCTTCACCACTATCATGAACAAATAGTACAGCTAAATGCTATTGCTACTGAAAGGACAAAAGTGTTATATCCCAATTAGTTATATTTTCCTATAAGTATTGTGCATAATGTTGGGCACCCAATATGCAAGATTTTTTTTAGACTTTTAGGTATTTTTAAAATTTTGTGAAACAAGTCTCAAATCTAAGAGGCATTATAGTATTAAAGAAAAATAAATACTATGTGTAGAGAGCTTTGATTCTGTTTTTCACTACAATTTACTGGGTGTCAATTGCCTAAAATTCTTTCTGAAATAAGGCAATGATGGGTGTCCCTGGTCAAGTCATTTAATTGCTCTTTATCTTACTTCTTCCACTGTAAAATAAAGAAATGTGTTTCTCAAACTAGTGTTCCTCAATTTACTTCTTAGGAAAAAGCTCATGATAAAGTAGTTTGGCAGATGTTTCATATCTCTCACCTTTTGGAGACTAATTCTTCATATCAATTTATTAAGGGCTTGTAGTAAAAGAACAAATTTAACTTTAACCCAGTGTTCCCTTAATTATGGATTTTTTTTCCATCCAATACCTACTGACATCAAACATCATCAATGTTCATGCCTTAGTACATATCTTGGAAAAATGCTATACTGTTAATTTAACCTTTTTCCCCAAACAGGGGCTTCCTCAGGGTGGGTGTGATAAGAAGAAATGGGGAATAGAGCTGATGGGTATTGCTGAGGGTGAGGAGTCAGGCTGGAGCTGTTCTGCTTTTCTCTGTTTTAATATGTTGGGAATTCACATCACATTTCATTTGTAAAAAGAATTTTGCTGCTTAACAGAATACAAAAGTCAAAAAGCCACTGTCTAAGAAGTTTTAAAAATTCTGCTTCAGTTGTCTCCTGTGAAACTTTACACTAATCATTTAACAAAAGATTAGATAGATTGAAACCTGTCTAGGTTGTCCCAGATGGAGAGTCAATTGACCAAATTAACCCTCAGTTTATTACGGTAAAACACAAAAGTATGTTATGATGACATCTTAAACTCAAAGGAAGCAACTCAAATTTCTTAAATTAAAATATGTTTTAGGCTGGCGTGGTGGCTCACGCCTGTAATTCCAGCACTTTGGGAGGCCAAGGCGGGTGGATCACCTGAGGTCAGGCCTGGCCAACATGGTGAAACCCCATCTCTACTAAAAATACAAAAATTAGCCAGACGTGGTGGTCCCAGCTACTTGGGAGGCTGAGGCTGGAGAATCGTTTAAACCTAGGAGGCGGAGGTTTCAGTGAGCTGAGATAGCACCACTGCACTCCAGCCTGGGCAACAGAACAAGACTCTGTCTAAATATTCATTTGTGTACAAAATTCATTGTGTACAAATATTCATTTGTGTACAAAACCGGGATGGGGGAGTATTAGAATATGTACTTTGTATTTAGATAATAAACTTCTGGAGGGATCCACAAACTAATAAAAATGGTTGTCTGTGGTAAAGTAAGAACTGGGCAGATAGAGAATAAGGAAAAGATCATATTAAAACTTTCCCCTGTATATCATTTTACAGTTTTGGATTTTTGGACCATGTATATGTATACTACCTATTTAAAATTTTAAATAAAGATCAAGTAAAATGATGAAAACAAAATCTTGGCTGGGGGGCGGTTGTTCATGCCTGCAATCCCAGCACTTTCGGAGGCCAAGGTGGGCAGACTGCTTGAGCTCAGAAGTATCAGACCAGCCTGGCCAACATGGCAAGACCCTATCTCTACTGAAAATACAAAACAATTAGCAGAGTGTGGTGGCACGTATCTGCAGTCCCAGCTACTTGGGAGGCTAAGACGGGAGGATCGCTTGAGCCCAGGAGGTCAACGCCGCAGTAAGCACAGATCACACCACTGCACACTAGCCTGGGCGACAGAGCAAGAGCCTGTCTCAAAAAAGACAAAAACCAAAAAATCTCCCCAAACAAAAATAAGTCTAACAAATGCATCTTCTCTCACTAAAAAGCCCCAAAACAAATAATGAAGTCATTCTTTTTCTTAATAAAGCTTACCACAGCTTTCTAAAATGTTATATCATCTTATATGTTTACATTCAATTTAAATTTTCACTTCATAGACCCAGAGACATAATTCAAACTCCATTCAACAATTTTTTAACATTCATTTAGTTAGATCATCTATTACTACACTGCCTTATACATATAACCTATTGGCTTTGTAAAAAAGAGTTACTGAGTTTTTGCTTCCTTTTCTCCCTTTATACACATTCTGGTTCTTTTTTTTTTTTTTTTTTTTTAAAGATGGGGTCTGACTACACTGTCCAGGATGGTCTCAGACTCCTAGGCTCAAGCAATCCTCCCACCTCAGGCTCCCAAAGTGTTGGGATTACAGGTGTGAGCCACTGTGCCAGCCCAGGACACTTTTTGAAGAAAACCCAAATCTGAACTCTAATGGGATAAATTCAGGACACTGCCCCAGGCTTTTTCTTAGAAATTCCATCCATCCCTTTGGGTTGAATAAAGACAAGTGTACTGCCTCTTAAGATTTAGTATAATACCCTTTCTAGGCCAAAGTACCAATGGGTGAATTTTAACAAAAGAAAAATATGTATTTACTCCACTTATATAATAGTTGACAGGAACAAATATCCTACAACTCATTCATTAGTAATTTACTAGGAATCTACTTTTTTCTTGGATATTAAAAGTAATGCTCCTTAAGGTGCCAATCTGCTACAAAATAAGAAGCTTGTGCCAGAATGTAAACCAACACACAGTTTTCTTCTTTACCAATGTCTTCTTGTATAAAAAAAAGTCAGCTGAACCAAGCAGTGTGTTTAGTGACACATCTGATTTATATTCTGATGCCAGCTCACTATCTTGTCCCAGACCAGTAACAAAACTGTTGAAGCCAATCAATGGCTGGTCCAACAAACCATACTTTGAAAAGCAATGTTGTAGAGGATTCAAAATAGAACAAAACATGGTCTGAAAAGCCCCTCAAAAATCTTAACAATGTAAAGGGAGATGAGTCATGTACATGCATAATTGTAATACAAATAGAGTGCTTCGAGACAAGTACACATAAAAAAGCTTTGCATTCAATGAAAAGAAAAATTATTTACCTTTAAGAGATTAAAAACAAGGTTTAAAAGTAGGGTGGTATTCCAAATAGGCTGATACAAGCTGGATAATGAAATAAACAAAAGGTTGAAAAAATTTGGGAAGATTGAGAATTTTAGTTTAGTGCAGAGTAGGGGAAATGAAATCTATTGTGGGAAATAAAGTGTGACTAGAATGGAGTCAGACTGGAGTATTCTTTGCAATTTGGTAGGAAACGGTAAATGAAAAATATTTTTTTGCTTTGGGAGGATGAGGAAATAAATGATCAAAGCCCTACTATGGAAAAATCATTTCCGGCTATCATGTAAAGAATGGACTGGACAGGAATGAACAACAGAAAGGGCAAACAAATGAGAAAGAATGGTAAAAATGATTCAAAGTTATTTATACAGTTTGTATCTGCAAAGTAAATCAGTACGAATAGATGATAAAGCCCTTTTCCACCTGTCCCCAAATAAGTCAATTATCTTCTACATTAAAAATATATGAAATATGGATTATTCTTGCAATAACCTGACTTCAGAACAATATAGTAAAAAAAAAAAAGTAAGGTAGACTGCTTCATAAAAAATGAAAACATCACAAATTAATTTTACTTAATTGACATCCTAATGGACTTGATGCTTTGTTGTCATGAGAACTGGAGAAAAGAAGTCTAATGACTGCTATGTTCCTATAATTCAGTTAAATTAACAGACAAAAGTCCATCACAAATAGAACATAAATGTTACGAATTTAGAATAACTGTTTCTAAGCACTTACCATTCTCAGGCTGAGTTTTCTTAAGTGAATCAATAAGAGTACTGACTGCTTTTAAAACAAATATAATTTCTGTTACTTGTTGCCTGAAAAAGAGATAGGAAATCATTTCCATTAAGATTTTAAAGTTGCCAGGTATGTTTGTTTTTTAAACTAAGTTTGTACAAATAGATGAACTTTTGAAAAATACTGAACACAATACAATGCAAGGTTAATGTTAGTTTTAAATTCATATAAAAGTAAAAATCATTTTATTTATATGTACTTCAGTGTGCAAATCAAATTTGTAGTTATTCTTGCCATGACTTATCAATTAATAAAGAGGTGGGGCAATCTACTCCTGAAAAATTAAATTTATTTGTAAGATATTTCACATAACTACTTAAAATTAAAACGTTTTATTTTTATTTATTGATTTTTTGAGACAGGGTCTTGCTCTGTCACTTAGACTGGAGTGCAATGGTGAGATCACAGCTCACTGCAGCCTTGACTTGCGCTCAAGTGATCCTCCCACTTAGCCTCCCGAGTAGCTGGGACTACAGGGGCATGCCACATTGTCTGGCTAATTTTTTTTTTTTTTTAAAGTAGAAACAAGGTCTTGCTTGCTATGCTGCCCATGCTGGTCTCGAACTCCTGGGCTCAAGTGATCCCCCTGCCAAGTGATCCTCCTGCCTCGGCCTCCTAAAGTGCTGGGATTACAGGCATGAGCCACTGTGCCCTGCCCTTAAAACATTTTATAATACATGCTTTTAAAACTTCTCTACAAGTTTTTTTTTTTTTAAACTAATTAGTACTAAAAGAGATTTGCCAAAGCTTAAATGGAAACAAAGACTACTATTACCACATGGCATATATTCTACCATGCTGTTGAAAGTATATTCAAAATTACAATGGTACTTATTTAACTTTCTAATAATACAAACAAGAAACATTCTGGAAATCAATCCTAAGGTAGCACTATTTGGAGACATTAGCAATGAAGAATGAACTTGGAGTAAAGAGTCAACAAGAGTAGCGTGATTCCCTTCTTTCTCCTCATAAAAACAAAGCTCTTCTGGTCTCTGGTCCGCCCTCATCCCTCCCCATTCCTGGTGTGCATTTGTGTTATTCTGCAGATAAGACTTTCTAATACCATGTCAGGATACTATTTCAAGACTTCCTATTGTAAGCATTGAAGTATTTTATTGTGTTGCAATGTAGCTTTTTACAAAACAATTAAATGATACTGCAACAAACACAGAATGATACAATATAACTTCATAGGACAATTATAAATAAGGCTCAATTTAAAGGTAGTAGTTAAAAAGTAAAGACTTAGAACATTAAAAAATAAGGTGAAAGTTTTCTTCTGAAATCAAAAAATATTTTATAATATATAAATATGTTCTAACAATATTCCACTCAAAACAACCTTATTACCACATTTCCAAGTATACTTCAGAAATCAATTTTCAATCATGCCCATAGCCAAATTACTAACATCTGTCTTTGGAGTGTTTTTGTGTATAAATTTGAGTATAAGGAGTTATAATTTAAGTTCTAGAAATTCAAAATACACTGGATCCTAAAAGAAGAAATACAAATAGCTAATATGCATTGGTAATTAAAAAATGAAAGCAAAGTACCACATGACTATTTTTCATTCATCAAATTAGAAAAAGATAAATGATAAACTGGCAAATAATTTAAAAATGCTAAAAATTGAGGAAAGGGACATTCACACATTCCTGGGAGAATGTAAATTGGTATAAATCTCTGTTGGGAAATTTGGTTAATGCATATCAAAAGCTATAAAATGTCTGTGCCTTTTGACAGGTCAATTCCAACTTCAGAAATTTATTATAAGTAAATTAAAATGTGCACAAAGATTTAACACTGGTGATTTGCCTCTCCAGTCCTACCTTATGAGACGGGAACAATGATTTTCGTCTTTCCTGACTTTGATAACTTTGTTTTCCCATGTTATTTTCTGTTTGCTTCATTAGTTATGCCTTAAACTCTAATTTCCACATTATAAAAGTATTTGCAAACCTAACCCTAATTTATGACTGTATCCTTTGTTGAATTCTGGTCTGTACTCCAACTCTGATTAGCCTTGGCTGATCAGAAAAGCCTAGTGCACCTTCCACTGACACAGGCTGAACAGATGAGAAATAAATCAGTTTAGGTCCATGGGCTTAACTAAGCAGATTGGATGAAAAGAAGACCTAAGATCAGGCTAGCTGACACAGAGAGAAACCTGCAAATGACTGTAAAACAAACTAGGATATTCCTAAAATATGATTTATGATTTTCACTTTAGAGAAATAATATCATGTGCTCATAGAGATCCACAAGTACTTATCCAGAAATCTCTGGAAGAAGATATATTTTGGAATTCAGTTTATTTTTTTTTAATTCAAAAAGGTAATTTGGTACCTATGTATCATATGTTACATAATCTCCATGAGGGATCTAAAAAAGCACCCCATAACAAAACATGTTAATATATCTGCAGGAAAACCTGTGAATATTTACACCATATGGGATAAATAAGATTATAAACAACTTCAGCTTAGTTCAGATCACTTACAAAAACACTTGCTTTTCAGAGTTTTCCTTGTTATCAACAATTAGTACAACAATACATTTATTTCTTTAATAAAATGAAATATATACCTTGGAAGAGGGCATTTACCACTTAATCTTTCATCCTCTATATAGCGATGTAGTACATCTTGGGACCTCTTTAAAAGCACTGAGAGTGCCATTCGTGAGATGTAGCCTTCTTGAGGTGTTGTGACTTTATTACTGAAGGAAAACTGGAGTAATGTTTCAAAACACATTTTAGAAAATTCCTCTCTCAAACGAATATCAATCTCTGCTTCTGTAAAATTAACAAATTTTGATGGTTAATAGAAGTTAAATCAATGAGCTTTAATGATAACAATGCTTAGCAAACTAGGAATAGAGAGAAATTCCTCAATCTGGTGAAAGGCACCTAGAACAACCTATAGCTAATAGCATACATATAGTGAAAATGTGTTTTTTTTTTGTTTTTTTTTGTTTTGTGTGTGTGTGTGTGTGTGTGTGTGTGTGTGTGTGTGTGTGTGTGCATGTAGAGAGAAACAAATTCCCCCTCACAAGATCAAAAACAAGGCAAGATCCTCATCACTTCTATTCAACATATTTCTTGATTTGGTCTTTCTATACCATAAAACAGCACTGTAAAATATACTTCACAATAGTTTTTCATGTGGTCAAACTTGCAGTATTCTCTTTTTCTCTCTTTTTCCCTCTCCTAGCAACTTCTTTCCTGGAACGTGACCTCTGCTCCAGTCCGGCAGTTGCTCTCTAGACACGCTGTTCTGTTATATCCTGAAACTAGTCTTTGCCATCACTCTGGAAATTGTTTCCATTCTCTCAAGTTAGATCCCACTTCCAAGATCTCCTTTTTTTTTTTTTTTTTTTTTTTGTTGAGACAGAGTCTCATCTTGTTGCCCAGGCAGGAGTGCAGTGGTGTAATCTTGGCTCACCGCAACCTCTGCCTCCTGGGTTCAAGCAATTCTCCTGCCTCAGCCTCCTGAATAGCTGGGACTACAGGCACGTGCCACCACACCCAGCTAATTTTTTGTATTTTTAGTAGAGACAGTGTTTCACTGTGTTAGCCAGGATGGTCTCGATTTCCTGACCTCGTGATCCGCCAGCCTTGGCTTCCCAAAGTGCTGAGATTACAGGCGTGAGCCATGGCACCCAGCCTCATGCCTTATTTTTCCTTGGTTTACTACTTTGCTTTTACAGAGCATATTTTGAAGTAGCTTCCTAAGAAACAATCAATGAGAAGTAAAACTTTTGAGCGCATGTACCTCCGAAAATGTCATATATTATGGTACTCAAAAATGTACCCTGCAGCATCAGCATTACCAGAGAACTTGTTAGAAATGTAAATTCACATGCCTCCCAGTCTTACTGAATCAGAAATTCAGGGGGTACAACTCAGCAATTGCTTGTCCTCTGGTTGATTAGGATGCATGCTGAAATTGGAGAATTACTGTTTTACACTCATACTTGGCCAACAGTATGAGTTTTAACATGGAGCTTCCATGTTAAAAGTCCTTTCCATTTACAACTCTAAAACCACTGCTTCAATGTCTTTTAGCATCCAATACTGCGTCTGAGAATTCCACTGTCTGTTTTTTTTTTTTGTTTTTTTTTTTTTTGAGACAGGGTCTTCACTCTGTCACCCAGGCTGGAGTGCAGTGGCATGATCTCAGCTTACTGCAACCTCCACCTCCCAGGTTCAAATGATCCTCCCACCTCAGACTCCCGAGTAGCTGGGATTACAGGCACGCACCACCACACCTGGCTAATTTTTGTATTTTTTTTTTTTTTTTAGTAGAGACAGGGTTTCACTGTGTTGGCCAGGACAGTCTCGAACTCTTGACTTCAAGTGATCCACCCATCTCAGCCTCCCATAGTGCTGGGATTACAGGCATGAGCCACTGTGCCTGGCCTCCAATGTCTTTTATACTGAACTTTTTTTCTTTCTTTCTGAAATCTTTTAGGGTCTTCTCTTTATCCCAGGTATTCTGATATTTCATAATGACATGCCTGATTTGGGTCTTTTTTCTTTCACTGTTTTTGATACTGACTATTTTTAATCTGGAAGTTTTGTTCTTCAGTTCTTCAGTTTATTTCTTTGATAATTCCTTCTCCTAGATTTTCTTTGTTCTTTCTTTGTCAGATGTTAGGCTCCCTGGATTCATTTTACTTCTCCTTTCTACCTTTCACTGAACTCTACATCTTTAGTTTCTATGAGTTCTTTCTCGTCTTGTTTTTTTTGTTTTTGAGACAGAGTCTCTAGTCTGTCACCTAGGCTGGAGTGCAGTGGTGTGATCACAGCTCATTGCAGCCTTGTTCTCCTGGGCTCAGGTGATCCTCCCACCTCAGCCTCCCAAGTAACTGGGACTACAGTCATAAACTACCTCACCCAGCTAACATTTGTATTTTTTGTAGAGATGGGGTTTTGCCATGTTGCCCAGGCTTGTCTCAAACTCCTGGGCTCAAGTGATCCTCCTGCCTCGGCCTCCCAAATGCTGGGAATACAGGCCTGAGCCACCGTGCCCAGCCTTCTTTCTTTTTCTACTGCTCCTTTTATGTAGCATTTTTTAAATTGTTCTTTTATCTCTTTGATCATCCTAACTGGTTTTATGTTTTCAGTGACTCTGCATTTTATCTGTTTCCTTCCAATTTCTTTTACTCTCTCTTCATTTGTTTTGGTCTTTCTCTTTGGTGTTAGAGAATTTCCTCAAATGTCTGTGAGCTCTGACTATCAGATCATACTTAAAAGCAAAAGGCCAATCATCACTGGAACCTCTGTGTTTACAGGTTGGCCTTGTTTAGCAAATAAAAGTTTTGTATGTATATGTTTAAGGAAAACTCTAAGTTTTTTTTTTTTAATGAAAACTACAAACTTTATTTTTCAACATAAGCTCAATCAAGTTCAAGACACTTTTGTAAGCGATGATACCAGCCATTTAGTTTATCTGTAAAAAACTGAGGTCCTGGGAATTTAACCATGTCAATGCTGTCTTTTTTACATTATTGACTGAAGAAAAAGGCTGTCCTTCAATGGTATTTTAAGATCCGAAACAAAAAGAAAACAAAAAGAGCCAAATTACAACTGTAAAGTGGATGCCTAATGATTTCCCACTGAAACTCTTACAAAATTGCCCTTGTCTGATGAGAGGAATGAGCAGGAGCATTGTTGTGGTGGTGAAGGACTCTCACGTGAAGCTTCCCAGGTGTTGGAAAACTCCAAGTTAGTGCTGAGAAGACATGTGTCATATGGCAAAGTCACTGAAAGAATGTCCATGCACCTTTCTTGTCTTGGTAAATTTAATACTATACATAGCAAGATATATTATCAGAAAACTGCCAGTAAAAGTATACTTGGTAACTCAATAGCCCTTATTTAACTTTGGACATTTATACCTAATTGTGAATATTGTTCTTAATGTGTATTTTATTAAAAGTTAAATATTTTCACATACTCTTAATAATAAAAAGTTGGCTACATTAAGATAAGCGGGGTTTAAAATTTTCCCCGAGATTCTCATGTTTGCTAAACCCACACTTTACCAGGCCAGTTTTAAAAACTGTTTGGGCTAGAAAAAAGAACTAGTATGTGAAGTGAGCAGTATGAGAGACATCTAGTGGTCAAACTGTACACATAAATGCTCTTTAAAATGCTCAGCACAAAATAGGAGAAGCTAGTTAAGGCTCTAGTAAATTCTGAGGATTAAGGATCTGCATGGCACAAATTTACAGTTTCTTTTTTCTTTTTTGTTTTTGAGACAGTCTCGCTCTGTCGCCCAGGCTGGAGTGCAGTAGTGTGATCCTGGCTCACTGCAACCTCCGCTTCCCGAATCAAGCAATTTTCCTGCCTCAGCCTCCTGTGTAGCTGGGATAACAGACAAATGCCATCACACCTGGCTAATTATTTTTAGTGGAGACAGGGTTTCACCGTGTTGGCCAGGCTGGTCTTGAACTCCTGACCTTAAGTGATCTGCCCGTCTCGGCCTCCCAAAATGTAGTTTTTAAATCATATATACATATATATGAGACAAGAGTCTTGCTCTGTTGCCCAGAGTGCACTCTAAAATGCAGTGGTACAATCATAACTCCGTCACCTCGGCCTCCTGGGCTCAAGCCATCCCACTTCAGCCACCCGAGTATCTAGGACTACAGGCATGTGTCACCATGCCCAGCTAATTTTAAAATCTTTTGTAGAGACAGAGGCAGTCTCACTGTGCTGCCCAGGCTGGTCTCAAACTACTGGCCTCAAGCGATCCTCCCACCTTGGGATCCCACCTAGCGATCCCAGAACACTAGGATTATGGGCATGAATCACTGCACCTGGCTGATGCCACAGTTTAAGACTTGAGCTCAGGTTTACAAAAAGAGAATTAATAACAAACAGTAATTTATATATCAGTTCCCAATTAAGGCAGCATGATATAATGAAAAGAAGCATGTAGTTCTTTTTAAGCATGAATTTGGCCTCTAGCCCTAAGATTGTGAGCAATTTTTTCAACCTTTCTAAATCAATTTTCTTTCCTGTAATATGGTCTTACCTATCCTCACAGAAATGTTGTGAGAAATAATATAACATTCTAGCATAGTATCTTGTACATAGTTGGCACTGAGTAAATGTTAATTCCCTTAAAAAATGTTGAGGCATCTTATTTTTTTAAATGAACTCTGTAATTTATAGTCCTGAGAAGATGGTATTAATATCTCCATTTTAAAGATTACAAAACTGAGACTCAAAAGTTAATTGACTGCTAAGTGGCAGAATATACATTCATATTTTTATATTCCTTTCCAATCTATGACTTCACAAAACTGGTAACTTCTGTCAGCCTGCAGTGACATCCATGGATTCCATAAAGTGCTTTGCAATTTAATTCTTCACAGTTTGCAGTTATGATATTTAAAAAATTTAGTTCAGTGTTTCTGATATATGATCAGAAACACAGTATTTCACAGAATAGAAACATGGAATAAAAACATTCTATTCCACAGAATAGTCATGTCATAACATTTCTCCTCATAAAGCTTAGTTCTATATTACAATCCTAAAAATCACCTTACCATTCTCCAGTTTACATTACCAAAATCATAGGATTAAACATTTCTACTGACAGTTTCTTCAAAAGTACTTCAATACTTTTTAATACTTAAAAAAATTAACATACCTGTAAATGAAGATGACTGAGAATGTATTGAGCCCTTGTTAAGCATTGTCATTATTTGACCAACAAATTCCTTAGGAATAAAATTGGCATAAGGTAGTATCTCATTGCTGATAAGTTGAACTACCTAAAACAAAAGAGGCAAATGCAAATGTATTGTTTTCTTTGAAAGAGACTAAAATAATTTCTAGAGTAAAATTTAAATTTTACTTTAAATGAAAATCAGTTAAAGAACTCTCCTTTAAAGAAGTACACAAACATTTTAATGTTAACATACAGAATGACTACTAATCTGTTTCTCTCATCTGTCCTAGTAACTTTAATACAAAATAGTCAGTACCATAACTGTTTACTATGCCAACCATTTGGACAAATGTTGATCTTCAGCATGATAACTGCAAATAGGGCTCTAGAGAAAAATAGCATATGAAATTTACCCATGTTAGAATTAAAATATTCAAAATAGGATTAAGAATAACATTTAAATCACTTTTTATAACCAAAAACTATCAGCTGTAAGAGAAATTAAAGTTATATTCATTTTTGTCAAATAGTTTATCTCTAACATGTAGTATGTTATTTTGCCCTTTAAAGTCCACAAGAGCTTTAATACAGTAATGGCACGAAAGGCAATATTTTGTTTCCATATGATAATGCCTATGCATTTTAAATGTATATTTTATTTATTTATTTATTTTGAAATGGAGTCTTGCTCTGTCACCCAGGCTGCAGTGCAGTGGCGTGATCTCGGCTCACTGCAAGCTCCGCCTCCCAGGCTCACGCCATTCCCCTGCCTCAGCCTCCCAAGTAGCTGGGACTACAGGGGCCCACCACCACGCCCAGCTAATTTTTTTTTTTTTTTTTAGTAGAGACGGGGTTTCACCATGTTAACCAGGATGGTCTCAATCTCCTGACCTCATGGTCTGCCTGCCTCCACCTCCCAAAGTGCTGAGATTACAGGTGTGAGCCACCGCGCCCGGCCAAATGTATATTTTAAAGTAATGTAATTGATTTTATTTACTTAAAAGTTCCTCTATCCCACTTAAAGGAAAAAAACCACCAAAACCCTACCATCAACAAAAAAATCCACAACCACAAGAACTGCTTATTTAAATTCCATTTATAATCCTCAAAACATATTTCTTACTTTTTTACTTATTTTTTTTACTTTTTTTTTTCAGAGACAGGGTCTTGCTCTGTTGCCCAGGCTGAAGCACAGTGGTACAGCTGTAGCTCACTGCAGCCTCCAACTCCTGAGCTCAAGTGATCCTCTCACTTCAGTCTCCCGAGAAACTAGGACTACAGGTGTGAACCACCATGCCCAATTAACTTAAAAAACTTTTTTTTTTTTGTAGAGATGGTGTCTTGCTATGTTGCCTAGGCTGGTCTCAAACTCCTGGTCTCAAGCAATCCTCCTGCCTCAGCCTCTCAAAGCACTAGGATTACAAGTACGAGTCACAGTTCCCAGCCTCAAAATATATTCTTTAAAAAACACTATTTGCTTTAAGAATTCCATAGGCTGTATATACAGCTGATTAAAAACTGAAAAATTCAAGCAACTTTCTGATTAATTTGAACCAGAAACATCTGGTATGTCAAACTGCAGAGTAAGCTCTCAAATATATGCCTCCTGACTGATGGATTTATTTCATCGAATAAACTCTTTTTAAACTTATTAAATGAACACAACTAAGTATTGGGACAACACGCACAAAGCACAAGACTGTAACAAATCTAAGGAAGTCACTTTTAAAATGCCAGTCCTTTAAACATCAACGTTTAACCTGTAAGAGTTTTAATGCTTTCAGTTTTAATCTTAACCTATTACTTTATTCTTTCAGCAACTGTATAGTTCAAACATTTTTACTATTTGGTTTCAAAAATGGTCACAGGAAAACATTTTAAATAGCCTCCTTACCTCGACATCAATATTTTCATTTCTTTGAAACTCTTGAATAGAGAGATTATCTGGAGGTATGCTAAAAAAAAAAAACACTTGATTTTTAAAGATAAAATATTCCCTGCAAATACAAACAAAATAGAAAAACAGTATTCAAATGTCAAAAAATTATGTCTTCCAACCCAGGTTGGGGCATTATTATTTATTTAAAAGAGTAATGTTGTAAATTAAAGTCATTAGTTTAAATGACTAAGCTAATTACAAACATGATACTCTAACTACAAAAACACTAGGTCCAATCTTGAACTAAATAAAATCTGTAGAACTAAACTTATTTCAATATTATGAATGAAAAAACAACGAAAGGTAAAGAGCTATCATCTGCAGCAGAGCAAAAGTTACCATTGTGGTGTTACCTGAATTCACTTATATTGGTGGTTATTTAAGACAGCCTTAGTTCAGCTGCTGAATTATTCACTCAGAGACAGTCCATTAATCATTAATTTGTAATAAATACAATGGATTAAAGATCTTTACAATAAAGAGGGAAAATCTGTAAAGAAGAAGACTGATGCAGATTTTCTAAAGCAGAAAATTGTTCCAACAAGAACAAAGAAAATCAATAGTTCTGAGAGAACCAAGGTGGATTCCAGACTCTGTGGCTCATAAGAGTGAACAGTAAAATGGACATAAAGTTAAAAAACAGCAAGATACTATTTAAAAACAGTTGAGAATAGGATAGTAATAACTGTTAGAATAATGACAGCTAAAAAGTTAGACAGCCACAGTACTATGAGCTTTATTTGTATTAATCTCCCATAGCAATTCCATGTAGTAATTATTATATAATCAAGAGAAGAGGGAACTGAAACTTAGAATGCCTACTAATATGCCCAAGAACACACTTTAAGTAAATGATGAGGCCACAATCTCAACCTAGATTTATCTGATATTTGAGCCTACATTATTCTTTTTTATGTTGTAGATGTAAAAATAGTATTAGAACATTTAGGTTTAATATACACTTCTGTATATTAAGTATAATGTACAATTTTGTATATAGGAATATATGGGCATCAGACTGTGGTTTCTTTGATTTGGACATTTTTCATTCAACAAATATCTACTGAGTACCAACTACTTTGCATCAGGTATTATATTCTTGGGTGTTCAAGATCTAGCTGTGAACAGGACAGACTCAGTCCATTTCTCATAGAACTTAGATTCTGGTGTCCAAGTCCTAAGCTAACTATAAATTGGTAGTAGGAACTAGAGTAAAAAAACTGAAAGAAATTTACCCAAACCTGAACCAATCAGAGGAATTTCACAATCACTGCCATCAAAGCAGCTTCACAGACTATATCTGCATCTCTAGAGACAAAAGTTGTGTTTAATTTTAATTTATAACCAAGGAAGGTAAGGGTTTAGTAATATTAAAAGATTTGTGATGATGGTGGAGGTAACTAAGGATGAGTTGATGATCAACAAAAAATGAAGAGGCAAAAATAATAAAATAATATTAATATTATTAGTGTGTATATTTCTATATTATTAGTGTTTATAGAAATATACACACTAACAATATTAATACTTTTAGTGTGTATACTGTGTGCTAAGGTGTATTAGTGTGTTTATTTCAACACATTAATAATATTAATATTATTTGGATCATATATCAGAAACACTGAACTAGATTTTTAAAATATCATATGATGAGGGAAGAGAGTAGCATACAAAACTAAAAACTGGATAACTAATAGTTATTTAATTTATAACTAGCAAACATATCAAAAACATCGATTGAGCTTTTAAAAATGCTGATTAACAGAATTTACCTATAAATTATAAGGGGCAATGGTCAATACTGCAGGTTACAAATAAGCCATGTAAGATCTTAAATTCCTTAAATTTGAAAACTACAGTAATCTTTAAAAATTTATTTTCATGAATCTTTATTTAAAATAAAAAAGAGCCTTCAAACTTATAAAGTGTTATTTGTATTTTGTCAGTTCTCTCTGTATGACATATTAAAATTTTTGTTGCAATATAATCTATATATTATAAAATTCACCCTTTTAAAATATACAATTTAGTGTTCCTTAGTATATTCATAAAGTTGTACAACCATCACCATTTCTAATTCCAGAACATTTTGATCACCCCCCCAAAAAGATCTGTACCCATTAGCAGTCACTCTCCCTCATCTCCCTTCCCCTCAACTCCTGGGAACCATAAATCTACTTTGTCTCTATGGATTTGTTACTCTGGATATATCCCATAAACAAGATCATACAATATATAGCCTTTTGTGTCTAGTTTCTTCCGCTTAGCATTATGTTGTAAATGTTCATCCATGTTTGAGCATGCATTAGCACTTCATTCTTTTTTATGGCTGAATAATGTTCCACTGTATGAATACATTACATTCAATTTGTCTTTTTTGCTACTATATTACATTCAATATATTGAATATTGAATATATTACATTCAATTTCACTTTTTTGCTACTATGAATAACACTGCTATGAACATTAGTGTACAAGTTTTTGTGTAAACATGTGTTTTCAATTCTTTTGCACAGTACTTTGTGATTTTTAATGTAAGGTCCACAGATTGTGTAACTTCCCACTCACCCATTGTGTCTCCTTTATAACTACCATGTTTTGGTACTCAAAGTTGGCTAAATGAATTTCTAATAGACTTCAAGTGTCTACCAAATTGCAGTCCTTGTGTTTTTCAACTTTGTCTTTTTCTTTCTCTTAAACTGTTTACTTATAGCCCTCAACGACATGCAAAGGCTTTCTTTTCTGCTAGTTCATTTTATTTGTATTTTCTGTGTTATTGTATTCCCTTGCCAAAGCATCTTGCAGATCAAAAAGTTTGGGGAATATTACAGACAGAGATATGTTTATTCTTAAAGTCTTAGAGTATGTATTAATTAGGTTAAAGGATTTATAAAGGTACCAATATAAAAAATAATCAAGTATTAGTCTTATTTAAATTCATTAAGTCTTGCTATTCCAAGCAACTTTCCAAAACAATCTTCCTACTGTTCAAACACTACTGATAAACTTCAGCTATAGAACATAGTACATATGTGGCATTAAGTAAGGTTTAAAATCTAAAAGTTTATGACCTCCAAAGTTATCAATTATTTAGAAAATAAAAACAAAGAGAAAACCTGTTATGAAACTGAAAATGTGCATGGTTTTTAAGTTCTCTTAACACTGCACTTTTAGTATCAACTGACCAATAAAAGCTTTCAATTTGAGCCTTAAAGTATTTTTGAACTATGAAACAAAAACTAAACTGGCTTTATCCAGTATAAGCTGTCCATGATTAAACATTCATGGACCTTTACAATTACTCCAACAAATAACTTTTCATCTTTCTTTGTTGAGACAGGGTCTCACTCTGTTGCCCAGGCTGGAGTGCAGTGGCACAGTCACAGCTCACTGCAATCTCAACCTCCTGGGCTCAAGTGATCATCCCACCTCAGCATCCCAAGTAGCTGGGACTACAGGCACATGCCACCATATCTGGCTAATTTTTAAATTTTTTTTGTAGAGGCGGAGTCTCACTATGTTGCCCAGGCTGGTCTTGAACTCCTGGGCCCAAGCAATCCACCCAACTTGGCCTCACAAAATGCTGGGATTACGTACTCCGGTTGGCCTTCTTTTTGTCTTTCAAATAAAGAAAATAATGCCTAGTGATGGGAAAGGACCAGCTCACGATCAACAGAAAGTAGACAGCAAGTCAGGACCAGGTCACAGGTCTCCTGACTCTCAATCTAGGGTGTTCATCAACTACTCCATGGAGTAGAAAGCTTAAATCTGTAACTAGAATAACCATAACTTAGAATACTGATACTGTGTTACTTGAGAGCTGAATTTAGAAGCTTTATTATTTTTAGCCATTAAAAATAACTCCAAGCCTGGGCAACATGGCAAAATCCCATCTCTACAAAAAAAATACAAAAATTAGCTGGGTGTGGTGGTGCATGCCTATAGTCCGAGCTACAAGAGAGGCTGAGGTGGGAGAATCACCTGAGGCCAGGAGGTCAAGGCCGCAGTGAGCCATGAACATGCGACTTCACTCCAGCCTGGGTGACAGAGCGAGACACTGTCTCAAGAAAAACAAAAACAAACAAAAACCTCCAAATTTAGAGCTAAATTTCCAAGTCTCAGTCATTTAGAGTTTTGGCCTTTAGAATTTTGGTTTAAAATAATAGTTGTTTCATGGGAATTAATATGGATAATGTCACCTTTTTTAAAAGAAAGAAAAAACATTAATGACAATAATAGTGGAAACAAGCATTTTAAAGTACTTACATGCCAGGTGCTATTCTAAGCATTCATTCATTTTAAGTGATTTAATCCTCACAATAACCCTGTAAGTTAGGGAGCATTATTATTGACATTTAACAGATGAGGAAAAATGAGTCACTGAAAGGTTTAATAACTTGTCTAAAAAGTAGTACAAAGTAGTACTACTGGGATTTGAATCCAGGTAGTCTGGTTGCCAAGCCAATGCTCTTATCCACTATGCTGGCTGCTTCTTAAGTAATGTATTTTCCAACACACCAAACATACTCAAACCTTTAAGGTAAGTAGAGCCATAATCAGGCAAAATATTTTAAATGAAATTATACTACAACTGCATTGATACAAAATTATGTAAAATACTATTATTTGGCCTTTGGTTCCAGTGTCCACTTTTCTATATTAAAAAACTTCAGAAAACGGGATTTAATAAAATAAGAATAAAGTCCAGAAAGTGAAGAATATTTAATAAGAAATTCAAGAATAAGGAAGATGGCAGAAAAACTCTCAAGAAAAACAAAAACAAGCAAAAAAAAACCTCCAAATTTAGAGCTAAAATTTTAAATGAAATTATACTACAACTGCATTAATACAAAATTATATAAAATATTATTATTTTACATAGAAAACCATTTTTTTTTATATACAGGATCTTGCTATGTTGCTCAGGCTGGATTTGACTCCTGGGCCTCGGCAATCCTCCCACCTCAGCCTCCCAAAGTAGCTGGGATTACAGGTGTGTCACCACACCTTGCTAGGGAAAGCAATACTTAAAGAAGTTTTACTCATTGCAAAAAAAAAAAAAAAGCTGATCTGAAAGCTTATTCAATTTGTTAATGGGGCATTAAGCATATATAGACAATTAGAAAATAAAAGGAAAAATGTAAATTTCTCAACCTATGTGCTTGATACAAATTAACAGTGACTCAGGCTCTTATGTCTACGAAGGAACTCAAATTTTCAGAGTTATTTTAAAGATGAAAACATAATTTGTTTGAATATAGTTTATGAGCGCCTATAATTTTTCCTTCAGAAACAGAGTATGCTTACATTGGTATCAATAACATTTCTAGAAGTGAAAAATACATAAACTACAAAACAAAGTCTGACCACTTGCAAGACAGAAATTAGGATCACCTGTTATTATTTTAAATTCTGAACTATAAGACAAACTTTTACTGGGAAAATGCAAGTTAATCTTCTGCACCCTAGAAATTTTTTTTACTGAATAACTAAACCATATTAGAATAGTAAAGAAAATTTTTTTCAGTTAATTCATTCTGTTGTGGACTCAATCATTATCCATATGCCAATGTAGTTTTTTTCTTCAAGTACATCAAATCCATAATTTAAGTGGCTTCAAACTAATAATGTTAAATGGTTATTTAGCAGTACACGGTATCATTCTACAATATCAAAAAATGATTGATGGATACAAACATTTAAAAAATTGGCCAGGCACAGTGGCTCATGCCTGTAATCCCAGCACTTTGTGAAGCCGAAGTGGGAGGATCACTTGAGCCCAGAAGTTAGTTCAAGACACCTAGGCAACACAGTGAGACCCTCCATCTCTACAAAAAATTTTAAAATTAGCCAGGTGTGGTGGTGTGCACTTGTGGTCCCAGCTACTCAGGAGGCTGAGGTGAGAGGATTGCTTGAGCCTGGGAGGTCGAGGCTGCAGTGAGCTGTGATCACACTGCTGCACTTGGGTCTGGGCAACAAAGCAAGGCTCTGTCTCAGAAAAGAATTTCACCAATGTAACACAAACGATAATTACTTGTGCTAGAAGGATTAAACACTGCCTGGCTATTACAGCTATTACAGACAAGTCCACATTTAGTAAAAGGGCACGCTTTAAATCTGTCCTGCCCAACACAACTTTCTGTGATGATGGAAATGTCCAATAATCTGCTCTACCCAGTGTGGCAGCTGCTAGTCACCCGTGGCAATGAGTACTTAAAACATGCCTAGAGAGACTGAAGAAAATTTTAATTTTATTTAAAGTTTGGTTTTAATTAGTCATTTGTAACTAGCAATTGCTACTGTACTGAATAGCACAACTCTAGATGGACCTCAGCAAATTCTTCATTCAAAAAATGTAGTCTGTGTTCCAATCATCCTACAGTAAGTAGTTCAGTGAGGGGTTGAAATAGCATCCTAAATACAAGCTTTAAATTAGATACCATACAATGAAAATTGTTAATCTTTGACAAATCTAAACATCTTAAAGAGCTGATCATTATATTGCCACTCATCCTATTTATTCTGGTAATACACTGATTTTCTAACATTGTTTTTCTCTTGCAATGCCCAATGGGCATCAAATTAAAAACTGAATCTTCTTAGTTTTATTAAGTTAAAATTCTTAAATATGATGCATTTGTATTGTTTTATATATAATATTCCTGTCTTATAAGCAAAAATACAAAAAGCAAAAATCTCCATTGTTCATGGATAATGTACCCAATGGATAAATGGCTAATTCAGGTGTGTTTTTAATACAATCTAGCAACCTTTATAATCAATTACTTTGTTAATGAATAAAGACAACTGTTTTTAGAGCAACTGAAGATATAATGTGCCACTTCTTGTCTTAATTTTAAAAATGAATGAGCTGACCTTTTAGTAAAGAGAAAATCTTCAAAAGTATTGGCTAGTTCTGGCCACATACTGTCAAATTTTCCAGAAGAAGCATGCTGCCGGGCAACAGGTAGCCCAATAGAAAGAACTCTGAGGAGAGAGGATACTGCTAGTTTCCATGTGCTTTCAGAAGGGCAGGAATACTTCAAACTGAGAGGAACCCTAAGAGTCTGAAAATAAAGACAGTTTAATATAAGCATTAATTAAAACATACACACACAATTTTAATTAAGAAAAACTACAGCAGAGAAAAAATAGCATAGGTATTTTCATCTTAAAAAGGATGGTATTTTCATTTAAAAAGGATGTTATTTCGCAGAAAGGCCAATTCTCAGACGTAGTCCTCAAATACTGCCTGGAAAGATATACTTTTAAATCCTATCTCTATCTTATAAACAATGAGCCTACATAAATAACATTTTTGAACCTCAGTTTTTCATCATAAATAATAGGGATATTATCTGAAAAGTTAAGAGAAGGAAACACAATTCTGTACCTTTTCTTAACCCGATGTTATGGATTAGAAAATTCTGGCCAAGCGTGGTGGCTCACGCCTGTAATCGCAGCACTTTGGGAGGCCAAGGTGGGTGGATCACGAGGTCAAGAGATCAAGACCATCTGGGCCAACATGGTGAAACCTCATCTCTACTAAAAATACAAAAATGAGCTGGGTGTGGTGGCACGTGCCTATAGTCCCAGCTACTCAGGAGGCTGAGGCAGAGAATCGCTTGAACCCGGGAGGCAGAGGTTGCAGTGAGCCGAGATCACACCACTGTACTCCAGCCCGGCAACAGAGTGAGACTCTGTCTCAAAAAAAAAAAAAAAAAAAAAAAAAAAAAGAAAAAGAAAATTCTGCCATAGTTATTCCAGCAAAAAATAATTTGGCTGATGTGGATATCCCATATGCAAAGGGTCAATATTGCTTATGCAGTCATCTGCCACATATATAGGTTAGACCATATAGCATAGGTGTGAAGTAGGCTATATCATCTAGGTTTGTGTAAGTACACTATGATGTTCAGACAACGATGAAACGGCCTAATGATGCATCTCTCAGAACGTATCTCGGTCCTTAAGCAGTACATGACTGTATTTTCCCACTAATGGTGAGGGAAGAGTAAACACAACATAAAATGTCAATACTTTGAAGTTGTATGTTCTATCTGTAAAATTATTTGAATTTTATATCCTACTCTAATATTTTTGTGTACTTTTTTACTTCTATTTTTGTGTACTTTTTTCCTTCTCCAAATAGTTCAGTAAAACTGATAATTTAAGATTTGACCATTGAGGGGTACAGGAGTAGAGCGTTTGAGTCATGTACAGTGACTAGATATATAGTGACTAAGTATAGTGACTTCTCTTTTCAACTGATCAACTTTTGAGACAGGTGGCTTTTATTTATTAAAAGAACTAATTTGGTGGTTCAGAATGAATTTCTCTGATCACAGTTCTATCTTGCAATTAGAACACTAGATTAACCAAAACATCATAATGAACTAACACACAGCACCACTGACAAACAGTTTTGGCATACTGTCAGGCAATTTGCATTAGAGTAAAAATTCTGCTGTTACGTAAAAATTTGGGTCTAAAAGTAGAAAAATTTTCATATTTCAAGGACATAAAACCAAATATCATCATCTTCCACACAAATTATTACTGAATACTCATACAATATACATATTAACCATTACATATTAGCTTGAAATGTGCCTTCATTAACAGATAATTAGCACACCCAGAATCTATTTATCCCCTTCCCCTCCTTCCACCTCCATATAATCCATGTGCTTTGGGAGGAACTGTCCCTACTTCCAGTTTGGGAATTCAGGCAAAGAGATGATGAGTTGATTAAGCCAATGAATCCAATCAATTTCCCTGGCCATAATCATTGGTTCAAGAGTGGGTATGGGACCAAAGTTGATCCACTAAAAATTAATTTTAGGAACTTAAGAAGAAGAATAGAAGTGTGTGAATGTGTGTATGCAGGAACATACACACTCTCTCTCTTCCTCTCTCTCTTCCTATTGGACATATAATCTTGTTACTGGCCTACAGCTATGAAGAGAAACGATATGGTCAATTCTTAGCAGAACTTTCTGGAGAAAGAAATGTGGTTTTTGATGATACTGCTGAACCACTGGATCAGCCAGTCATAATGGCCTTCCTCTATCTTTGAATTTTCCAATTAAGCATGCCCAAAAGTTCCCTTTATTGTTAAAGCTAGTCAGAGCCTGAGTGTATGTCATTTGCAACCAAAAGAATACTAAGTGATATAGGGCCATTTTGAGTTTACATTTTATAACTCAAGCTAAGATAAAAGAAAAGTATGGTTTGCTACTGCAATTGATATTTTATTAAAATCAAGAAAAACATTAAGCATAGCAGATCCATTCAATTTATATATTTTATTTTTAAAAATGTTTACACATCTAAACAGGAAGTGGTATACAGTATGTGCTCAGTAATTGCCTGTCACCACAAGGTTCACAATTTTGGAGAAAGAGCCTTGTCCAATTAACCACAAAACAATGTGGTAAGTGGCATCAATGAAATGGGATTATAGAAAAGAGATCATTTAACTCCTTTAAAAATACAAACTGAGTGGCTCGGCATGGTGTTTCATGCCTTTAATCCCAGCACTTTGGGAGGCTGAGGTGAGCGGATCACTTGAGGGCAAGAGTTCAAAACCTGCCTAGCCAACAAGGTGAAACCCCGTCTCTACTAAAAATACAAAAATTAGCCATGCGTGGTGGTGTGTGCCTGTATTCCCAGCTACTCAGGGGGCTGAGGCAGGAGAACTGCTTGAACCCGGGAGGTGGAGACTGCAGTGACTGAGCCACTGCACTCCAGCCCAGGCAATAGAGCAAGAGTCTGTCTCAAAAAAAAGAAAAAAGATGTATACATATATATAAACTGAGGCCAGGCACAGTGGCTCACACCTACAATCCTAGTGCTTTGGGAGAAGGAGGTTAGAGGACTGCCTGAGGCCAGGAGTTTGAGACCAGCCTGGGCAACAAAGCAAGATCCAGTCTCTATAAAAAATTTAAAAATCAGCTGGGGGTGGTGGTGCCCACCTGTAGTCCCAGCGACTTGGGAGGCTGAGGCAGGAAGATCACATGAGATCAGGAGCTTGAGGCCGCAATAAGCTATAATTATGCCACTCCACTCCTGCCTGGGTGACAGAATAAAACTCTGTCTCTAAAAAAAATAAAAATACACAAACTGATTCATATTACTTTGTAGTGTTTAATCCTTCAATGGTTAAAGAATAAAGTCTGATCTTATGATGGCTTAGAAGACCAACAGTTATGTTTTCAGACATATCCCAGGTTCTGAACTAAATTTCTCAACATTTCTTAAAAATATACCATGATCTTTAACACGGCTTAATTTACCTATAATACCTGCCTCCCCCTTTTTAACCTAACTCTTAACTTTTTCAAGTGTCATCTCTATTAATTCTTGCCCAAATCCCCTCAGCAGTTGACTTAGTTTTTTGTCTTTCAGAGGAACTCAATTTTTATTCAGCACTGACTACTTGGCAAGCATCATTAAATGCTGTATCTCAATGGATTCTCTCATTATAGGTAAGACATGTAAGTAGTATTGGTATTATCCTTCTTTTAAAGACGAGAAACATGCTCAGATAGGTCTATTTGCCAAAAGTCATAAAGCAGTAAGCCAGTAACAGTGGACTATTCGAAGTCAGGCTATCTGAATGCAAAGCCTCCACTATGGTCTTTACCTAGCACTTAACATACTGTAGTATTACTTGTTTGCCTTTCTTTATTCTCCATATTGAATTATTAAATCTAAGAATCATTTTATTCATTTTAAAATTGCTAGCACCTTGTAGAAAGATGCTTCAAAAATATGCTCAATAAATAAAGTGAGAGGATAGTTTTGGTGAGGTAAGCAGTGAGGAGAGAAAAGTATCGTGAAAGTCAAGGGAAGAAAGAGCTTTCAGAAGGCTCAGGTTTCAGAAGGCCAGTACCATGCTATAGGGAAGATAAATCATTAGAGAAGGACTGAGGATGTGAAGATTTGGTCTTTTGTAAGTTTAAGAAAGCAGTTTCTGTGGAGCAATATGGACGTAAGCCAACACACAACAGGCAAAGAGTGAGTGGTGACTAGGTGAAGGCCACAAACTGTTTAAGGGATATGGAAATAAAGGAAAGCTGAAAGAGGATGACAATTTGAGTAGTAAGTACAGTTGAGAGAAAATTCTTGTAGTATCCAAGGCTTAAGAATCCTTGTATGAGATGGCTGAAAGAAAAATGAAAATAATCACCAATGAAGAAAGGTTGGGATAGATGAGTCTTTAGAGAAGACAGCTCAAGTTGGTCTGGTATTTATACAATCAATATAAGGTACATCCACATGCTAGAGGAAGAACAAGGTTTAGGGCTAGTCCTTCAAAACAGAGGGAAAAACAAGAAATAAGCCTTAGAGGAATGGAACACAATCAACAAGAATCTTTTAAATGGCTGTCCATATACTAAAAAAGTGGCTTTAAAAAAGTCAGCATGCATGTTCAGTTAAGTGTATGGGCTGCATTGTGAATTTCTCTCTGAATGCTCATCAATCTTGAACCTTGAGGAATATTGTCCTAAGAAACCCCCTCACTGGGTTATGTGGGAAAATGTAAGAACTGTAACAAATTTTTTTTAATTATACTTTAAGTTTTAGGGTACATGTGCACAACATGCAGGTTTGTTACATATGTATACATGTGCCATGTTGGTGTGCTGCACCCATTAACTCATCATTTACATTAGGTATCTCTCCTAATGCTATCCCTCCCCCTCCCCCCACCCCACAACAGGCCCCGGTGTGTGATGCTCCCCTTCCTGTGTCCATGTGTTCTCATTAAGAACTGTAACAAATTTAATGCATATTTATGTTAAAATATTTTTCACTAAAAAGAACTTTTAGAAAAATGGCTTGCTAAATACAATTCATGAATATTGGAGAAAAGTCATTACAAATAATACTACAAATTGTATTTTCTATTTATCCCAATATAATGATAATGTATTACCTAAGGAATAATTTCAATAATGTTCACACCATCTAATGAAAGTGTAGAAATGAAAAAAAGATACCTTAATAATATTCTGGAGCACTTTCTCATTCACCACTGCTTTGTGACACGCTGTTTTTTGGTATAAATCCACAACTACTTCTAAAGACCTTTCAGCAAACGGCACATAATTCAAGGCTACCCATTCCGCCTAGAAAGTAATATTTTCACATGCAGTTAAAAATAAACTGAGATTAAATTAATCATATTGTTTTCAAAGAGAAAGCATCTTTGTCTTAAAGTTCAGGCCTTGGTTTTAGGTCAGATTATATTACATGCAAAGTTTTCAAAGAGATATGTACTTCATGAAAAAAATAATTTTCAGCCAGGCAAAAATTAAAACTATTGGAAAAAGCACATACAGCATTCTACCAAGAACCGGGAAAGATGTACTTTATTTGTTGCCAAGAGGTTAGGACAATTTTAGGAAATTTAACTCACCGGTGCAAATAGTTGGATCTATTGTGATTCCATTGTGTTGCAAGACAAATAGAATGAGAAAAGTTAATACATATTTAAACTACTTTCGGACGATATAAAATTATAATTTTTATGTTGAGTGAACAAAATCAGCATGGGCATGCATTCAGAAATTTACTTAAACAAAGTTAAAATTTGCCAACTATGGCTATAAAAATATTTTATATAAAATCCAACTAAACTTCACACCAGTAGTGTACAACTTCTTATTTAGTACAAACAGTTTCTTCATCTTGCATGGCAGGTATCTGTTTTAAGTAAGATTAGACTTAGGGATTTAGAAGCTGTTTTGTATTGGGATGGGGCAACCAAGAAAGAGGTACAAAGGAACTTATATTTTTCAAGAAAGATGTACTGGAGAGTAATATGAAAGGCCAAACTTTCTGAAGAATCAGTTGGAAGAGGAAAGTCATAAATGAGGAGAAAAAGAACACAGAACTAGTTTCCCAAACAATATTTCTGTTCAGCTTAAACTGCTAACAGACATGTATAAATATATTTGTGAGTGAAAAGTATCCTTTTCCGAGATAATCAAAGTCCATCTTAAGTGGAACTATCTGTATTTATAAGCCATGAAATCTTACAAAGTAAATAAAATTTACAGTAAATTACCTGATTATATTTTGCATTTGCAATGTGCTTTGTTTCCAGCTGTCCATACTGTGGAGGTTTACAGGAAAATTCTACAAATGCCAACAACTGGTCAAATATAGCTGGATACATTATCTGCATGTTTTCTGGTCCTACACAAATGGCCTATAAAAGCAAAATAAGAACATTAGAATGCATAATCTGAACTCCATTAAGTTCTTTACTGTGTATATATTTGTTTAACCACAGAATCTTAAAAACTGTCTTATTTTATGTATTATACCATCTTTTCTGAGCCCTAAAGGACACAAACTATTTTAAACTGTTATAGAATAAAGTATAGGCTGAAACTGTTAATCAGCTAAAAAATGTTCTTTTTTACAGTGTGATTTATTTCTTAAAAGAATAGAAAAAGGGCCAACAAAGTGAAGTCCCAGGCAGTCCTCAGGTTCTACAATCTGATCATTTGTTCAGTAATACAGCCATTAGGCCATTAAGAATGTGTGACTGACCACGATGACACTGACTTCAAATTCTGTGATATCAGTTCATTGAAATGACATCTGATTTCTGCACCATGCCTGGTCCACCAACTTAAACAAATAATCATGTGTGTTACAGTTGGGAAAATAAGTCATCTACGAAAATTTGTTTCTAAAAGAAATGTATGGATTAATTTTTGACAGGGCTGTGTATATTTAATGTGAAATGTATCTAAATATATCGATTTGATTTAAAATAAAATATTTTAATATAAGAAAACATTTTAATAAATAGTAACTAGTTTCTCTAGGTTTCTTACTTCAAATAATTTGATAGGAAGAAAGAATAAAATGCATATCATGATACTGCAGATTTTAATTATTTCAAATGTGTTGAAAATACTTAAATTGGGTTTTTTTTTCTAGCCACAAATTTTTCTTTTCGTATTTTCTTGTTTAAGTCTTCATTTTTCTCCATGAGAAAAACATTTAATGATATTATTTATGAAGTGTCTAAAATATACTTGTGCTTTATAAGACAAAAAGGATGATCACTTTATGCCTGAGAGGGTAGGTACTCTTAAAATCTTAAACCAAAATTCAAACCATTTAACTTTTTTAAAAAGTTTCTTTAAAAACAGTATGTACAAAATTTATTTTATGCACTCCATGGCTTTTAGCTTATTAGATAACACATTAGTTTTATTTTCCCTCAGAGGAGATGTAGCCATTTAGCTATAACGGAACTTTTAGATAAAACTGCACTGAGATATAAAGTAGATATGCAAGTGCTCCCCATACCCAAGTGTGATTGTCCTATAATTATAATGTAAGAAAGTAGTAAAAAGACATCTAATACCATGTCTCAATATTTTTTTCTCAGAAATAATGAAGAATTTGAATAGTAAAATTTATACACTCTAAAAATTCTCTTTACTGACTGCTTGTAATAGTTCTACTTTCTTCCTCATTAACCTCTTGCTGGATCTTAACTCTTAGAAGTAAACAAGTAGTAATTACTGTGGAAAAAGAGACTGAATTACTCTAAGTGAATTGTTTTATTTTCAATGTCTAACAACAACAAAAAACCTATGTGGGTACCTGAGAAAACTAAGTATTATAATTTCTTTGTAAGAATCTTAACACAAATTAATGACTTAACTATGCATTTTGATTTTCAATGGTCCTTTATGATAAGAAAACATACTAATAGTGTTATAGTTGATATATAGAGCAATTTGGGGACTTTAAAATGCATAATTTGGAACCCACAATTTTTTAACAACAAACTCCATCTAAGAAAAAGTTTTTATGGGCTTTTCTTCAGTATTCTGAAGTCTGAATATCAGAAAAATCTATAGAATAAACCTGATAACAAATTTTAGTCCAAAAGCTAAGAACTGATAAGCAATCTAGATAATATTTCCTATTAGTCCTTGAAAGCTGTCTATTTGAAGACAAGAAAAAATATTGAACACCTGATTTCTTATATTGTTTAAGGTTTCACTTACTAACTCATTTAATAATAATCTTTTCAGTGCCTGGCACGTACTAAGGTCTTTGCTAGAGAACTTGATGATGAAAATAACAACAGCTAACATTTACTGGATGTTTAACTCATGCCAGGCACTAAGTGCCTTACAAATATCCCACATAACAAGCAAAAAGTTGTAGACTTATTATTTTTACTTTATAGATGAGGAGGCTGAAGTATAGAAAGATTAAGAAACTTGCCCATGTTATTTAGAAGACAGGGCTTTGTTACACAACTCCAAGGGCATCATTCACATACAATGTGATGCTGTCTCCTGGAGTGCAACTCCGGCAGCCCCGGTGATTAATGCAGATATGGTATCCAGCCATCTGACTAAGAAGTTTAGCAAAAAATAAGACAGATGCAGTTTCCTGACTTCAGGACTTACAGTAAAGCACATACAGAAAGCAGATAATTAAATTCCCAGTTCCTCTATGTATGCTAAAATAACTTGGCAATACATAAATAAATAAATTAGCACATATAACTAAGTCAACTTGGCTGGGAACTGGTGGTTTGAGAACAAAGAGAAGACTGAGAACTTGAAGTCCTAAACAATATAAAAGCACTGAGGAAGAACAACATAAATGCTCCCCTTTAGAAAGAAAACATGATATCAGAAATCAGTTTATCTCTTAGGAAAGAAAATAGCTTTCTATCAATAAAGTGTTTTGCTCGATAACTATTAGTTTAAGGATAAAGTCCAAAAGCAAGTAAATTTGGCTTGTGCAAAAATTTTCTTACATCTGTGGAAAAAAATATAAAAACACTCTGATAATAAAATATACATTTTTCTGTTAGGAGATACTAGAAACCCATTAAAAATCTCACATTCAAGGTCTATGAAACATCATTTAGGTAATCATACAACACAACAATGGCTAGTGTGAACATTAATAATAATTTTAAAATAATATAAATTAACAACAATAACCCTTCCAAAGTTTCAGACTGTTTTCAAAGCTATTAAAAGCTCTGAACAAATTACTAGTAGTTGGGATAAATGATTCCACTTTTCCTCTCACTGCTAAAGCAGAGTTTTTTAAAAATAAAACTTACATTTTTTTCTGAAAAAAAAAAAAAGTTTCTTGTTTATCCTGTACACATATATAAAAACCTGAATCAAAGATCTGAATCAGAGTACCAGATTACGGGCATCTCAAAGGGCCTATGTCTTATTTTCTTTTCTGATAGGATAACTCTTCCATCCCCTGAAGTCTATAAGCAACTTATTTGCATGTCCAATGGACAGGGTGGGTAATTACTTTTCTTCCCCATTGAAAATAAAGATGGGTATTTTGAGTTCAATTGTAGAAAACTAATACCCCTACACTGAATTTTTTTAAATGCCAGATTCTTTTTTCCTGCACAACACAACTAGGGTTCAACAGTTCAAGAACTACTGCTCAGCTAAACTTCTTCCAGAGGTAATTAAGAGGTATCATCATACAGTAGAAATTCTTACTGTGAAAATTTTTATCATTCCAGTTGGGTAAGATGCAGTTAATCAGAAATCTAATTTACACTACACAAATGGTTACTGATAACATGTGTGATCAGAATCTAGATCTACTCCAATCTTATTAGAATGTTTTTACTTTGTTGGAATGGCTGGCTACTCAGTTGGCATTTTTTTAAAGCTTAGCATTTTGATGACTGTGAATTGTGCTATCAATTTTTCTTGCTAGTCTAAAAAACACTTTGAATTTGATCTAGCCTTGCTTGCTAATCTGAATTTGCTCCATAATTTTAGATCTGTTTATCTGAATAGTATTTTTTTTGCAATAACAAAATACACACAGTAAAAATAAATCTCTTTAAAAACCATGAGGAAAAATACTTTTTATAAATTTCTTTTTTTAATATAGGCTTTCAATAATTTCAGAACTAAATTTAAGCACAGATTAAAAAAATATAATCCCACTGCTTATTAATTTTCTAATTATAAAAGTACTTTACTAAAACTTTTATTCCAAATATTATATCCTCTTGTGAAGACTTGCGTGGACAAACCAAAAATCCTGGTGAAGTGAAACATTAGGATGCAGGCAGCTTCTTTAAGATTCAAAACATACATGAATTACCTTTCAAAATGCAACAGAAATCCACAAGTTTTCAAAATACCTAGATCTTGACAATCCTCAGTTTATCCCAAAGTATACATATAAAACAATCTTGATGATCTAAAATTTATCCCCGCAAATATATAGCAAAATAAAAAAAATTTCAGAGAACTATATGCAGTATTACTTAGCCACTAAAATTATATTACCTTTTGGAGAACATCTAAAGCTGTAAGTACAGCTTCCTGTAAACTTGTCAAAACTGCTTCGGTATAAGATGGAAGAATAAAAGGGGATGCATCTGAACTTATTGGGACTGAAATAGCACTGTGCAATATGACTCCCAACTTTTGCAAGTCATCCATATTGAAACCAGTTTTTATGTGTTGGTAGAGAGCTGGAAATATCTGAATTAAAGCTGTAAGAAAAGGCTGGCTAGGAATAAAAGTTAGTTTATCAAAAGTAATAGGAGGCTTAGTACTTTCAGATCCAATTCTATACCAGGTATTCCACGCAGCCCACCATAGATTCAAATCTTCAAGCTCATCAGTAACAATGGGTGGCTCAGAGCTACTATATCTTCCTAGTTTTTCTCCAATGGAATCTGTTCTTACAAATGGCCTGCTCATGCCTGATATGGGCCCTATAAGAACAGGCACAGGTACATTAACTACAGGTGGTGTCTCAGGCTTATCTGAGTCTCTGACAGGGGACACAATCTGTAAAATTTCCTGGAAGCTTTTCAGAGCAGCCAGAGATACTTCATTGTTTTTGCTGAGTGCTGCTGACTGTATATGGTCAAGAAGAACATCCCAAGCTCTTGAAAAATCTCCTATATTAGGAAGAGAAAAAAAAACTATTATCATAAAAGCGATCAAATTTTCTCTTCATATTAGACACTTGAAAGCATATTTGCTTAATTTTTCTGCTTAAAATCCTACAGAACTGGAAAATATATGACTAGGTACTAAGGTACTAACAATGGGAATTAAAATTATCACAACCTAGAAATTCAGTAAAAAAATTTTTCAGATATAGGAACAAAGGGCACCAAGAGGAGGATGATGGATATATCAAATAATGTTTCAATCTTAAAAACAAAACTCAGGTAGGTGACGAGTGCACTAAAATCTCAGACTTCACCACTATACAATTCATCCATGTAACCAATAACCACTTGTACCCCAAAAGCTACTGAAATAAAAAAAATTAAAAACCCCAAAATATGTATGTACTTATACATATTTATACCATTTCCCAGAACTTCTGCCAAAGGATAACAGAAAATTAAATCAACGAGGTTGAAACAAAAGCATTTCAGTAACATCTTCAGTCTACCCACCTTTATTAATGATTAAGTAAGAAGTTCTCGTTCTTAACCAGAGAATCATTGGAAAAGTCGTAACTTAGGACAGTATAATACATGTTTTTTTATTGGCCTAAATATTTAAGATAAACTATGTCACATTCATAAATCTTAACTTTATACTTTAGTTTTCATATTTAAATTATTTTAGAGCTGCAGAATTTTTTTCTTTTTTTTTTTTTAAGAGATGGTATCACACTCTGTTACCCAGGCTAGAGTGTCATGTGGTATGATCATGGCTCACTGAGCTCAAGTGATTCTCCCACCTCAGCCTCCCAAGTGTGGCTGGGATCACAGGCACATGCCACCATGCCTGGCTAATTTATTTTTAAATTATTTTTTGTAGTGATGGGATCTTGCTATGTTGTCCAGTCTGGTCTTGAACTCCTGGGCTCAAGCGATCCTCCTACCTCAGCTTCCTGAGTAGCTGGGACTACAGATGCACACCACCACACTTGGCTAATTTTTGTATTTTTTGTAGAGATAGGGTTTCACCATGTTGCCCATGCTGGGCTCAAGCAATCCTCCTGCCTCAGTCTTCCAAAGGGCTGGGATTACAGCCATGAGCCACCATGTCCAGCCAGATCTTTTCCCTACAGCAAACAAGCCTACTGGCTTTGTTAATAACATGGATTATTATCCACATACCTACATTAAAATGATGTAAAAAATTAGGAAAGTTGATATTTTCCAAAGCAGTACAACATAAGTAGGCTATGAAACATGTAAAATAAATAATCAAGGTTTAAGGACTTTCATTTTGGAAAGCTGATAAATGACCAGATTTTTTTAAAAAAGGGATAAACCCCAAATTCCTGGGAAAGCAGTCGGTTAATAGAAAAGCTTGAAGTAGGTCTGGTATAAAACAATAGGTACTATCTGCCTACTCTGGACAAACTGTAACACCTGCCTAGTTATATGCATCTTTCCCCTCCATATTCTTTTTATTAAAAATTGAGGGCTGGGCCCAGTGCCTCACATCTGTAATCCCTGCACTTTGGAAGGCCAAGGCGGGTGGATCACCAGAGGTCAGGAGTTCGGGACCAGCCTGGCCAACATGATGAAACCCTGTCTCGACTAAAAATACAAAAAATTAGCTGGGCATGGTGGTGGGCACCTGTAATCCCAGCTACTCAGAGGCCGAGGCAAGAGAATCGCTTGAACCTAGGAGGCAGAGGTTTCAGTGAGCCGAGATCACACCACTGCACTCCAGCCTGGGCAACAAGAGTGAAACTCCAAAACTCCATCTCAAAAAAAAAAAAAAAAATTGAGGTATAATTTACATACAATAAAAACACAGAATTTTAAGTAAACTGTTTAAAAGAGTTTTGACAAATTACATTTTAAAATGTCAAACAATTAAAACACTTCTACCTGTTGCCATCAAAGTTTAAAAGTCTCATGAATCACTATATTTGCCAATCAGAATGGTGACCTAATATCAGATTTAGAATATCCCGTGCCATTTAGGGAGAAAAACTCCTGCAATTTCTCTATTAACATATTTTATGTCAGAGAAGGGGTCCCTTTAAAAGAGTAGATATAATTATATATTGCACGTGGTTATGTTAAAAATATAAAACTTATTCTAAAATAACAAATATCATTTCTTAAAGTTATAAAAAATTATCAAAGACATTAACTGTCTTATGTCTTCATTTAAAAAAAATCTAAATCTAGGCTGGGCGTGATGGCTCACGCCTGTAATCCCAGCACTTTGGGAGGCTGAGGCAGGCAGATCACCTGAAGTCAGGAGTTTGAGACTAGCCTGACCAACATGAAGAAATCCCGTTTCTACTAAAAATACAAAATTAGCCGGGCATGGTGGCGCATGCCTGTCTGTAATCCCTGCTACTCAGGAGGCTGAGGCAGGAGAATCGCTTGAACCTGGGAGGCAGAGGTTGGGGTGAGCCAAGATCGTGCCATTGCACTCCAGCCTGGGCAACAAGAACGAGACTCCATCTCAAAAAAAAAAAAAAAAAAAAAAAAAAAAATATATATATATATATATATATATATATATATATAAATCTATTCGTTCTCAGCTTTTAAGAGAAATATCATGAAGGTACTAAAAATGATGCTCATTTTGTCAAAACTTAGCAAATGTACAGTGAAAATTTGTGCATTTCACTGTACGTAAATTTTATATGAAAAAATCCCAATATTTAAAAATACATATACCAAGCCCTAACATGCTAAATGGATCAGACACCATAAATAGTTTTTGGAAAAAAGGAGAAAAAAGTGCACATAAAGAACAATATACAAAAATGCTTATGGAATGAGTAAATATGCTTGTGCTTTAACATAAATTAGTTTAAAAAATGCCAAACACGAAATAATAAAATAGATAATATGTACAACATGCTCATAACTATGTACAAAAGTATCTCTGTTCACCTTTTTCTACCACCACCAGCATTACCACCAGAATTGAAAGTAGTATAATCGGCAACCAGGTTTCTCAGTCTTAGTCCATTGACATTTCTGGTTGTATAATTCTTTGTTATAGGAGGCTGCATTGTAAGATGTGTAGCATCAACCCTTGCCTCTACCCTCCCCAGATAGCAGTAATGCTCAACCTTCCCCAGTTATGACAACTAAAAATGTCTCCAAAATTGCCAAATGTCTTATGGGAGTATAATAGGCCCTGTTTGAGAACCACTGATATACACAACCAACAGCTTCCTAACCAGTCCAACAACATCCTGTCATCCTTCCTTGTTGCCATTCCATTCTACATATACACTAAGACATGCACTTTGTGATCTTTTTGAAGTGCATATTTGATCATGTCAAATCATGAATTAAAATCTATCAGTAGTTTTTTTCATTGCTCTTAGGATGAAATCCTTTTTTTTTTTTCGAGACAGGGTCTCACTCTGTCACGCAGACTTGAGTGCAGTGGCACGATCTTGGCTAACTGCAGCAACCTCCACATCCCAGGCTCAAGCAAGCCTTGCAACTCAGCCTCCCAAGTAGCTGGGATTGCAGGTGTGCACCACCACATTTGGATGATTTTTTATTTTAAAAAAATTTTTGTAGAGATGAGATCTCATTATATTTCTCAGGCTGGTTTCAAACTCCTGGGCTCAAGCTATCCTGTTGCCTCAGCCTTCCGAAGTGTTGAGATTATAGGCATGAGCCACCATGCCCAGCCTCCTAACTTTCTCCTAACACATTCTACATGATCTGGATGATCTGGCCTTTCACTACCTCTCAATCTCTTTGATAATCAAACTCTTTCTTATTCTCCTCATTCTAGACCTTTAAACATGCTAGCATCCACCATCTCTTTTCCTCAATCTTCTCCTGTCTCTTTTACATTCTCTCATTGACTATAAGGCTCTCCACACTTCGTCTTACTCTTGCCTGATGAACTCCTACTTACCCTACAGATCTCAGGAAAACTATTGCTTTCTCAGGAAAGTCCATCTGGAATTCACTGGCCAGGTCAAATACTTACCGAAGCTCACAAAGTACCACTCCTTGTAACACATCATTGTAGAAATTTCGCCTTTATTTATGTAATTATGGGTACTTCCTCATGCCCATGATAGCAAGAATGACGTGTATTTTGCCTTTCATTGTATCCTCTAGAGGCTAGCCCACAGTAGGTACAAACGAATGAAAACACAGATGCTTACACACACACCACACATAAAGACTAAGTTAAGATAGACTCTAAAAGAATCGTCTGTATTTTCCAAATTTCTTTTAACATTAATTACTTGTATAATCAGAAAAAAATGTACGTATACCTAAAGGCTGCAGCAAATATCTTCTAGTGTTGAAGATCCTTGCTACTCCAGCCAATGTTAATACCCACGTCTCAGCCCATTGCTTCTCGGCGGTGTCCCTTGAATGATGAATGAGAATATTGCCACCTCCAGACTCAATCTTTTCTTTGTCTGCAGTGGTAGAGGACTCTCGAACTCTGTCCAGTAGATGAAAGAGTACCTAAATATTTATTAAAATGTCATTTAAAATGCATTGATAATATAGCTTAAGTAATAGCATAGGAGCAACAGCATAAGAATCTACAAATTGTTACAAAAAATATACTTGACAGTCTTATCAATCCCTATATATTGGAGGAAACTGACCAATAGAGTAATTATACATTCTTTTTTTTTTTTTTTTTTTAGATGGAGTCTCACTCTATCATCCAGGCTGGAGTGCAATGGCACAATCTCGCCTCACTGCAACCTCTGCCTCCCAGGTCCAAGTGATTCTCCTGCCTCAGACTCCTGAGTAGCTGGGATTACAGGTGTCCACCACCACACCAGCTAATTTTTGTATTTTTAGTAGAGATGGGGTTTCATCATGTTGGCCAGGCTGGTCTCGAACTTCTGACCTGAGGTGAACTGCCCGCCTCGACCTCCCAAAGTGTTGGGATTACAGGCGTGGGCCACTGTGCCTGGCCATAATTATACATTCTTAAGTTTATCATGGAATATAAAAAAATAAGGTTGGGCACAATGGCTCACATCTGTAATCCTGGCACTTTGGGAAGCCAAGGTGGGCAGATTGCTTGAGCCCAGGAGTTCAAGACCAGCCTGGGCAACATGGCGAAACCCAGTCCCTACCAAAAAAAAAACCCAAAATTAGCTAAATGTGGTGTTATACATCTGTAGTCCCAGCTACTTGGGAGGCTGAGGTGGGAGGATCACCTGAGCCCCCAGGAGAGGTTGAGGCTGCAGTGAGCTGTGATCATGCCACTGCATGCCATCCTGGGCAACAGAGTGAGATCCTGTCTCAAAAAAAAAATTAAATTAAATTAAATGGATAAAATATAAGACTTGTTGAGGCATCAATGGAGAATTTATGGGTTAATGTATAAGAAAAGAACAAAGCTGGCCAGGCGCAGTGGCTCATGCCTGTAATCCCAGCACTTTGGGAGGCCGAGGCGGGCGGATCACGAGGTCAGGAGATCGAGACCATCCTGGCTAACACAGTGAAACCCTGTCTCTACTAAAAATACAAAAAAAATTAGCCGGGTGTGGTGGCGGGCGCGTGTAGTCCCAGCTACTCGGGAGGCTGAGGCAGGAGAATGGTGTGAATCTGGAAGGCGGAGCTTGCAGTGAGCAGAGATCACGACAAAACAAAAACACACACACACAAAGGTAAGGAGAGGGGTCCAGGACAAAAGTAGAATTACTGGAGATGGCTCACACCTGTAATCCCAGTGCTTTGGAAGGCCATAAAGTGGGGATGATTGCTTGAAGCCTAGAGTTTGAGAACAGCCGGGGCAATATGGTGAGACTATCTCTACAAAAAAAATTTTAAAAATTAGCTGGGCTTGGTAGTGTGAGCCTACAGTCCTAGCTACTCAAGAGGCTGAGGTGGGAGGATCGCTTGAGCCTGGCAGGTCAAGGCTGTAGTGTGCTACGATCAGGCCGCTGCACTCAAGCCTGGGTGACAGAGCAAGACCCTATCTTTCACTCACAAAAAAAGACCAACTGTAGCCTATGAATAATTTCTGTGTTTCTCAAAGTGTGGTCTCTGAACTAACCAGCAGCATCAAGCTTCACCCAGGAACTTGATAGAAATTCAAATTCTCAGGACTCACTCCAGGCCAAAATAATCAGAAACTCAAGTTCAGGGAGGGCTGACAATAGTGGCTCAAAAATCTGTGCTTTAACAAGTCTTTAAGGTGATTCTGTTATTCTCTAATGTTTAAGAGACTGAAGTAGAATAGTCTGGAAATCAATTACAGAAAATAAGACAATGCAAGGTGTGTGAGAAAAAAATCATTAAGAATTAGGCAGCAAGAAGATAAAAAATGAAGTTGCTTGAAAGGAAAATTAGAATCAGAAAAGTATTAGATTAAAAACAAACTGTATGGGAGAATTAAGCATGTTTGTGATCTGAGGAGGAACTATGGGATGGAACTGAAATACAAGACAGAAGGAAAGAGGGCTTTTACTATAATAGATATGGGGTTTCACCATATTGGCCAGGTTGGTCTTGAACCCCTGACCTCAGGTGATCCTGCTGCCTCAGCCTCCTAAAGTACTGGGATTACAGGTGTCAGTCACCATGCCCAGCCCATTAATTTTTTAAGAAGACATTTTGGGGTCTATTAATTTGAAAAACTCACAAAAGCAAGTGAAAGGATTATAAACAGAATTTTATTATAATGGAACAGATGGAACAAAAAAGATGAGACTTTTAGCAAAGAGGGAATGATCACTAATAAACTGCTGATTTTATTAGAAAGTTTCAAAAGAAGAAAAAAATGAAATTGTAATTTAATGAATAAACATTACATGTACAATATACCATTTGGAGGTTACTTTTGTTTGGTGAGTCTACAAATAAACTTCATTGCTATTGATATTCATCTGTTAATAAAATTCTCTTTTGATTATATTTAAATTACATATCTATAAGTAGACCTCAAAAGTAAAACAAACAAAAACCCCAAAAGCTTTCTACTCTATGGTAAGGGATTGATTACCCTTTGTTGTTTAGTAACTCCTGGTTTTTACCATTTGGGAAAACTGGGGGAAAAAAAGGAGACAGAAAGGCAAAGGCAGAAATCACGAGAGATATAATAATAAGAGATGAAGACAGAAACAGAGATAAGGCTGTTAATATTTAATTTGCTCTTTATGAGGTACAATTTACAATATGACACAGTTATTTCCTGTTTTGTCAAATACACAAATGCATGGAAATTCTTTAAAAATTAAAAGAAATAAGTTTAACTGAAAAAGTATTAATATATAAGCATGACTCATTAAAAGCTGATAGTCCAATCTATTTTACAATACCTTCCAGATAACAGTGTGCCAGGTTGAATGCTGTAATAAAGTTCCATGCGCACCAATTGTAGAAAACAGAGTTTGCCCTGCACTCTTCCTGACAGCAGGACGGGGATCCACACATAGTTCACCCAATTTTGCATAAAGACATAACCACAAGCAATCAAATGGCGGTGCAGGGTGGAATGGCCGATTTAAAACAACTCCTTTCTCTTCTGCCTGCTTTTGCTGTGCTGCCTCTTCCTTATTTAGTTCTTTTTCAATAGTTTCCCCTCTTTGGAAAAAATAATCTGAAATATTCCACTAAAAAGCAAAGTAGAAAAATATTAGTTCATCCAAGGTTTTGTTTTAAACACATAAATATGCAACATGTGGCTGTTTTACCTTTCAGAGTAAAACTTTAAAAACATTACTTCAAAAATCTCTTTCCTAGTAGAATAGATTCAATGAAAACATCTCTTCTTCTGTCAGTGTCTCTACATTATTTCAGGAGAAAGTGGGGAAACAATCTTGAGCTAACTTTTTTTTTTTTACTTTTTTATTATAAAAAATGTCAAGAACATACAAAAAACCAAGAATAGTATAAGGAACTTGAACATATTGATGTATCTACCACCTAAATATAACAACTGTTAACTATAAAAAAAAACTATAATATCATTATCACCCTAACAATGTTAACAATTCCTTAATATTGTTTAATAAGTTTGTAATTTCATACACGAGCAATTACTGTTTCCAAACATATCTTATATTAATGATAATTATGCCAATGGTTAAAATGTAGAGAATCCAGTACTGTGAACATAAATGTAAAATAAAGGAGGTGCTATCCAGCAGTAATTTAAGCAATGTTGCACTAGCCACCCACTTGCAATCATATATGCAACATGCTTACATTTTTTCCCATGTAAAAATGGGAAAAATAATAGTAATAGTAAAATACAGTTGTCCCTCGGTATCCGTGGGGGATTGGTTTCAGGACCTCCCACTGCATACCCAAATCCACAAATCCTCAAGTCTGTTATATAAAATGGTGTAGTATTTGAATATAATCTACACACATCCTCCTGTATACTTTGAATAATACTAGGTAACTTTTAATACCTAACATAAGGTAAATGCTATGTAACTAGTTATACTGTATTTAGGTAATATTGACAAGAAAGCCTGTACATGTTCAGTACAGATACAACTATCTTGTTTTAAAAAAAAATTTTCTATTTATAGTTGGTTGAATCTACAGATGCAGAAGCCACAAATATTAAGAGCTGAACGTAGGAAGAGATGAATGTAGTAACTTATCTAGCTTGTGAGGAAAATTTAAAGTTCAAATTTATAAAACTTCTGAGTTTTAATATACATTTAAAAGATTCTAAATAATTGCCTTAAAATATATGTTGAAAACAATTCTGTGCATGTTTATTTCATGTAATGTTAACAATTCTCTAAGATTTCATTACAGAGATGCCTTGTTTTATTGCACTTCTCTTTGTTGTGCTTCACAGATAATTGTAATTTTTATAAATTGCAATTTATAAAGGTTTGTGGCAACCCTGCATTGAACAAGTCTGTTGGTACCGTTTTTTTCCAGCAGCATGTGATCACTTTGTGTCTCTGTGCCACATTTTAGTAATACTTGTAATATTTCAAACTTTTTAATTATTACTATGTCTGTTATGGTGATCTATGATCCGTGATCTTTGATGTGACTATTGCAACTATTTTGGGGTGCATGAGCCGCACCTATGTAAGATGGCAAACTTAATGTGAGTTTTCTGACTGTTTCATCGTCAGGTTGTTTCCTCATCTTTTTACTTCTTCTCAGGCCTCCCTATTTCTTGAGATACAACAACAGTGAAATTAGGCCAATTAATAACCCTACAATGACCTGTAAGTGTTCAAGTAAAAGGAAGAGTCGCATTTGTCTCACTTTCAATCAAAAGCTAGAAATAATTAAGCTTAGTGAGGAAGGCATGTCGAAAATCAAGACAGGCCAAAACCTGGGCCTCTTGTGCCAGTGAGCCAAGTTGTGAATGCACAGGATAAGTTCTTGAAGGAAACGAAAAGTGCTACTCCAAAGAACAAACAAACTATAAGAAAGTACATCATGGCGGGCGCCTATAATTCCAGCTACATGGGAGGCTGAGGCAGGAGAATCACTTGAACCCAGGAGGCAGAGGTTGCAGTGAGCCAAGATCATGCCACTGCACTTCAGCCTGGGTAACAAGCGCAAGACTCCGTCTCAGAAAAAAAAAAAAAAAAAAAAAAAAAGAAAGAAAGAAGAAAGTACAGCAGGCTTATTGATGGTATCAACAAACTTTCAGCTGTCTGGATAGAAGGTCAAACCAGCTACAAGATTCCCTTAAGCCAACGCCTAATCCAGAGAAAGACCCTAATTCTCCTCAATTCTATAAAAGCTGAGCAAGGTGAGGAAGCTGCAGAAGAAAAGTCTGAAGCTAGCAGGGGCTAGTTCATGAGGTTTAAGAAAAGACGTTATCACCATAACCTACAAGTACAAGGTGAAGCAGCAAGTGCTGATGTAGAACCTGTAGCAAGTTATCCAGATCTAGCTAAGATCACCGATGAAGGTGGCTACACTGACCAACAGATTTTCAATGTAGACAAAACAGCCTTTTTATTATTATCATTTTTTTTTACAGAGACAAGGTCTGGGTCTGTTGCCAAGGCTGGAGTGCAGTGCTGTGATCATAGCTCACTGCAGCCTCCAATTCCTGGGCTCAAGCAATCCTCCCATCCCAGCCTCCCATGTAGCTGAGACTACAGGTGTGCACCACCATACACAGCTAATTTTTAGTAGAGATGGGAGTCTCATTTTATTGCCCAGCCTGGTCTCAAACTCCTGGCCTCAGCAATCCTCCCACCTCAGCCTCCCAAAGTGCTGGGATTACAGGCATCAGCTACCATGCCCAGCCTGAAACAGCCTTGTACTTGAAGATGTCATGTAGGACTTTCATGGCTAAAGATAAAAAGTCAATGCTTGGCTTCAAGGCTTCAAAGTACAAGCTGATTTTCTTGTCAGGGGCTAATGTAATTGGTTCACATAAAAGTCAACTGAAGATTTCCCTTGTATATACTATTGTTTACTAAACCCTTTCATGACAAACCCTGTAAAACCCAAACTTCAGCTCAATGTATGAAAATTATTTCAAACATTTTGTTATTAATATTTAAGTGATGTTATTTAATCCTTCACCCAGACGTAAGTTTGAAATTTAAAAGCCATATAAACAATTTGCAAAGAGCTAAAAGTATATTTGCTTAGCATTCACTCCCAACTGAATAACAATGATTTCTAAATTATATTATATTCTAAGGACAATGATACTTACCAATAAACCTATTGAAGTTAAACTAATATTGAGTTCTTGGTTATGGAGGCCAAAGCTACCTGCAACATCTACAACTATTTGCAGGCAAGTACAAGGCATTGTTGGTAGAAAATCTGTCACAACCAACTGAAGACACTGGAATGCAGTTCGTATCAAGGATTCTCTGAAAACAAAAGAAATGTATACAGATGCACTTATTTTATTTATTTATTTATTTTTGAGACAGGGTCTCACTCTGCCACTCAGGTTGGAGTGCAGTGGTGCGATCATGCCTCACTCTCAACCTCCCTGGATCATGTGATCCTCCCACCTCAGCTTCCCCAGTAGCTGGGACTACAGGTGCACACCCCCATGCCCTTTTTTTTTTTTTTTTTGTGGAGACAGGGTCCCACTATGTTGCCTTGGCTGGTCTCAATTTCCTGGGCTCAAGTGATCCTCCTGCCTTAGCCTCCCAAAGTGCTACGATTACAGGCATGAGCTACCACACCCAGCCTTACTTATGCATTTAAAAGAAATGTGTAAAAATACATATCTTACAATAATTTGAAGTAAAATTTTATTTCAGAATTTAAACAAGAAACTCCTAATATTGATCATAAAGTATTTTAACATTTACATAAATGTAAAAAAGACATGCTTACTTAAACAAATTAACAAAAACAAAGAAAGAAGCTTACAGGCAATAAGAAATAAAAACAAATTTAAAAATAAAGTATTAACATCATATTACTTCTATTTGTATTTCATACCAACTAACCAAAGAAAACTTAGACAATAAATGAGAATGGCAAGTTTGCTACAGTTATTTTTCTCCTCACTGTATCCCTGATATCTAGTACAGTGTCCAGTACATGTAAATACACACAATTTACTGAAAAAGAGCTCCTCATTCTTTTATATCCGTACTGTATCTTATTTAAATCTCCAAAGAAATATAAAAACCCACATCCAGTCAGTGAGAAAAGAGTAAATTTTGAATTTCAAATAAAGATAATAAGAAGTATTTAGTTTTGGAGAAAAATCCTGGTGGTAAAAAATAGTAATGAAAATGATAAGTATAATTGCTAATACTCTGAGTGCTTAGTATGTCACATACTTTCTAACTGTTTTACACCCATTAATTCATTATACCCTTACTACAATGCCCTATTTAGTACACCACATTATAGGTTGGGAGAAGACACTTAAGCTTGATCTAAGCTGATTCTTCAATTTAAGCATCTCAATATTTTGTAGTAAAGAATTTTATTACTATAAATATTTAAGAAAAATTAACTTTCCATAATATTCTCAAGCATCTTGGTCGTCTACAACTTCCGAACTAGTCATCAAAACAAAAGTGTGATACTGCAGAATTACAGAAAAATCTATCCAATGTCTGTCTGCTTAATCTCTCCACTGCAATCTCCTACCCCAAAAGTTAAACAAGTCCATATGTCCCCTCCAAATTTGCTCTTCCTTGTCTTTTCCCTATTTAGTTAATGATACTACCATCCCCCACTAAACTGCCTAAGTCAGAAATCTAGAAGTCACTCCTGATTGCTATTTTCCCCTATGCCTCGCTACAGTCAATCCGTTAAGTAGCTCAAATCCATCTCTTATTTCTAGTGAGCACTTGTAGCCATTCTCATTTCCTACCTTCCCTTCCATGCTGCTGTCACAGTGATATCTATAAAATTCATATGTGATTAAGTCATTCCTCTGCTTAAAATCCCAAAATGTCTCCCACATGAATTTTGGATAAATTCAAATCATTTATATAACCATATAAGATCTCCTTCATAATTTTGCCTCTGTCCTCCTCCTGCTGAAGGTTTCTTATTTTGTGGCATAACAAACTACAGTCATGTGTTGCTTACTGATGAGGATATGATCTGAGAAATGTGTCATTCGGCGATTCTGTTGCTGTATGAACATCACAGAGTTTACTGACACAAACCTAGATGATATAACCTACTACACACCGGGGCTATATGGTATATTATTGCTCCTGGGCTACAAACCTGTACAGCTTGCTACTGTCCTGAATACTGTAAGCAATTGTAACATAATATAAGTATTTATGTACCGAAACATATCTAAACATAGAAAACGTACAGTAAAAACAGAGTATTAAAATCTTATGGGACCTCCATCATATATGTGGTCTGTTGTTGACTGAAACGTTAGGCAGCGTATAACTATACTTTCTCACTAGGATTCTATGTCTAGGGCAGGAGCTATTTACCTGTGTAATCAGAATAACTACCATGTATAGTATTTGAAATACACTCTGCACAGAATAAATGTTTAATAAATTAAAAAGTAATGAAAAAGTTACTTTAAAGCAATTTCTGACTGCCTAATATATATAGGGAGGTCAAGCCCTAAATGCTAATTCACATCTTATCAAATAATTTAACAAAACACAACAGCCCAATCTTTGGATGTGTTATAAAATTTGTTAATTGTTTCAAGTATCTTATAAGTAAGAATCATGTATTCTTGCATGAATGTTAAATAAAGAGCAATTTTTCCATCTTTCCAAACCAAAGGTGATCCCTAAAAATTGCCTGTAGCCACTTAGGGGTAGAGTTAAGAAAAACTATTACAGATCTTAGCCTTAAGCAGGAAGCGCATACATGAAAAAAATAACCACTATTTCAAGATTTTAGGATGGAGTCCTTCTCTACCTCTATCACTTTTTTGATGTTAATTTTATTTTATTTATATTTTATTTTTCATACATATTTTTTCTCAAATAATTTTAAATACTTACCCTTGATCATTTCTGATTGCTCCCATGACTCCAAGCACTAATGGCCATCCAGGCCCAAGACTGTCTCCCTGACTCTGCAGAATCTGCAACACGCATTCTAACTGCTTGAGTCGAATATCTGGATGATTAATATTGGACATCTCCTTTAACGGGTTCAATAAAAGCAACTGCAGCCTCTGAAAAGGGGGCAAGAAACTAATTAGGAAGAGAAGTCCAAAAAGACAAGAAGGCTTTACTGTTGCTTTTCAAGTTTAAATTCATCGCCATTCAGACTACTATGGGAAATAGATATTTTTATGTTTTATTTATTTTTTTTGAAATGGAGTCTCGTCCTGTCACCCAGGAGGCAGGAGTGCAGTGGCACAATCTTGACTCACTGCAACCTCCGTCTCCTTGGTTCAAGTGATCCTCCTGCTTCAGTCTCCTGAGTAGCTGGGATTACAGGCATGCACCACCATGCCCGGCTAATCTTTGTATTTTTAGTAGAGATGGGGTTTCACCATGTTGGTCAGGCTGGTCTTGAACTCCTGACCTCAGGTGATCCGCCCACCTTGACCTCCCAAGGTGCTGGGATTACAGGTGTGAGCCACCATGCCCGTTTGGAATTTTTCTACCTAAATAAACATCAAATATCATTTATCTAACAGTAATTATTAAAGACAAATCTATATTTTTAAATAAGAGAAAAAATCAACTTTCAAGATGTTAGATTTTAGATAAATGGGTAGTTATCTTACTTTAAAGATACTAATTATAGATCTGATAAATAATAGAAATAAATTTCACTAAAGGAAATATATCTCTAGATATATTTGGAGAGAGGTAATCAATTCCCAATCTCTAAAATGACCTTTCATTTACTTTATTAATGTATATCATATGTATTTAAATGTAAAATTCTCAAGTGTGATGTAGTAATAGAAGCTATAATACTTATAAAAAATGAATAAATGTAGCAGATATTAACAAAGATGACATAAAACCACGAAATTTGTTGGAGACTTAAAAAAAGCACTCTGTCTATCCCTTTCAGCATCTGAAAACCCTTCATTCTTAACTTTCTTCTCTCTAGGGGATTCATTTATTTGGTTCATTCACTGAATAAACATTTCTAAGCTTTCACTATGCACTAAGTATTAAGCTGGACATTGAGGATATCAAAATAAATGGAAAAGGGTATTATTTTTTCAAAAAAAATTCAAATTGTTGCAGAAGAACATATGAAATCATTAAATGTAAGCTCTATAAGCTTTATAATATCTTTTCTGTCTTGTTCATCATCTTATTCCAGGTGGGGTATTCAATAATTATGTGTTAAATCAATTTCTAGAGTACAATTACAATACAATAAGATGATGAGGGCAATTGGAATGGTTATTAAATGCCTCATTCTGTGCTTGCTTCAGTAGCACATATAATGAAATGATACAGAGATGAGCACAGCCCCCGGGCAAGGATGACATGCAAATTCATGATGTACTCCATATTTTTATTTAAAAAATTAAAAAATAAATAAATGCCTCATTCCTACTCAGTCATGAAACAATAAAACTTTGGTAGACTTTTTAAAAAGTGGGTACAAATAATAGAGAGTCAGGACAAAGAATTCATGACAAAAGTAAACTCTGGAAGTAAAACATAATTTAAAATTATTTTAAAATAAAAAATCTATTTCATTGTGCTTGTTTCTTCTGCCACTTATTTTCTCCCCATGTAAGGGTAGTGAGAAAAAAAAAAAATCCAGGGACATGTGAAGACCAAAGCAAAAGAGGCTCCAAAACAACACTTTAGCACTGCATGAAGAGGAAAACTTATGAACGTGAGACCAATTCCAGGTAATTTAACTTAGGTTAGTGTCATCCACAAGATGTTTAAAATTTTTTATGAAAACAGCCCTAAAAATCTCTTACCTTATGTAAGAGATTCAGGGCCTACATATAAAATAGAATATTAAGTTAAAAACCCTACTCTTAGAATATGATCTACCTGATAAGAAAAAAATCACATATGGAGGAGGATAATTTTATATTGAGTATTCTTTTTAAAAAGTAAGGTTTTTATTACCTGGTTTTGTGAGAGTGGAGGATCATGGTTAAATGTTAATCCTGCTTTAATAAGAGAAGTTAAAGCTTCTGCTCCCCATTCTCTCATTCGAGAGTTTGGATGCTGGCAGACCTGAAGGTATATAAAATTAAGTTTAATTTGTATACTTAAGCTATGAATCACACATCAATTTTACATTTTATATCAAATGTTCAATAAGGGTTGGAAGAAAAATTACACCCAAAATGTAAGTTAGCTTACCTTCTGAATAAGGGCAAGAGCAAGCAATAGAGAGACAGAAGAAAAAAGATGAAACTAAAACAATTCACAGAGAAGAAAGGATTTCATAACAGTAAATTATATATCAGGGTAAACAAAAGAAGCAAGCTAATACCAAGGTTCTTAATTAAGTTTACCCTCATTAATCAAATAATATGTCACAGAGTTGCCCTTTGATGAGACCATCCATTAATGAAGGCATCTGCACATAGCCTTTAATCATTCATAAAAGTAATTCCAATAAAATGGGGGGAAAGCTCATGTACATCTGTTTTTCTTATTTATTTTATTATTATTATTTTTGAGACACAGTCTCTCACTTTGTTACTCAGTCTGGAATGCAGTGGCACGATCACAGATCACTGCAGCGTCAACTTCCTGGGTTCAAGCAATTCTCCCCATTCAGCCTCCCAAGTAGTTAGAACCACAAGCATATACCACCAAGCCCGGCTAATTTTTTAAATTTTTTGTAGAAATGGTGTCTCCCTATGTTGCCCAGGCTGGTCTTGAACTCCTGGGCTTAAGTAATCCTCCCACCTCAGCCTCCCAAAGTGCTGGGATTATAGGTGTGAGCTACTGCAGCCAGCCTGTTTTTCTTACTAAGAATAATACCTTTCCTAGGTTTCTAAATAACACAAAAGAACTATGGTAACCTAAACCTAAACTGTACACAAACACACATACTGGCAGAAGCAGCTTGTTTTTAAGCAGGAACTATTTATTAAGAATTACCTCAACCTGAATGTAAGACAATGTAAATCCAGGTAAAATTCTCCAGCACTATCTATAGTTAGTGTTACCAAACAGGTTTTCCCCTTCACAGAAAGCTATCTCATAATCAAGGCCAGGAGCAGTTGCTCACGCCTGTAATCCAAGCACTTTGGGAGACCAAGGCAGGTGGATCACCTGAGGTCAGGAGTTCCAAGACCAGCCTGGCTAATATGGTTAAACCCCGTCTCTACTACAAATACAAAAATAAGCCAGGTGTGGTGGTATGCGCCTGTAATCCCAGCTACTCGGGAGGCTGAGGCAGGAGAATTGCCTGAACCTGAGAGGCGGCGGTTGCAGTGAGGCGAGACCTCACCACTGCACTCCAGCCTGGGTGACGGAGTTAGATTCCGTCTCAAAAAAGAGAGAGAGAGAAAAAAAAAAGCTATCTCATGATGATAGCAAAGGCTATAAATGAGCAGTGTTTACTATTAACTCTATGCCCCAACTGCCTTGAAGTTTCAGAACTATCTGAAACTGAGGTGAGGTGGATCAAGAGACTGTATGATAAAAGAAAGGCATCTCAAGGTAACAGCTGACTTCACTGATATTTCTCACTTTAAAATGTCACCCATTTTCAGCCAATAAAAGCAACCAATTCCTTCATGAAATAAATTACAAAACAACTTTAGTCCTTGATAAAATGTACAAACATAAGTAAGTACACAGTCAGGAAAGGGGGAAAAAAAGTTAATGCTGATTTTTCAAATGGCTATTTAGAATCATTAGCTCAGTGTGCAAATGTTTATTAAAAAATTAAATATATTTAAGAAAGAGAATTTACCTCAAGTAGATGGCCAGTCAGAGGTCTCCACAGAATTTCTATTCGGTGCATATTAACTAAACCAGTTTCTAACAATTTGGCAACAGCAAAAAGAGATGGTTCCTAGGGAGAAAATACATTGTATTTTGATAGTATAAGGAGAATTCTGAGTAATTAGACTATGAATAAAACTGAGAATACTCTGAAGAGCATGACTGAAATTAAAATTGAGTGGTTAGTATAAAGTTATATTTATAACAAAACCTCAGTTATCAAAGACAAGGCTTCCTGTCAACCTTAAGTATCCAAAATAGCTCCTAATTAGAAAATTTGGTTAGGAAGAGAATGCTTTAATAGTGGAGGGATGAAAATCCAAAAATGATACTAGACACATAGAATGGCTAGTCTTCCAACCAGAAGGAAAGAAGCATTCTTATCAGCAGTCTTAAAATGACCAGGTTTTATGTGTGAATGTCAAGAAGTAGGGAAAAAGAGACAACAGAGATAAAGGAAAAGGAAAATGAAATCAAGACTATAGCAGAGATCAGGGCTGTCAGTCCAGACACTAACAGAACAGCAGAGGACACGAAGACAAAACAGTTTTCTATAGTCCCTGACATATCAATAATCAGAAAGGGAACCAGGGTACATTATACATGGCTAAATTAGAGTACCTGGTCCATGTGTCACAAGAATGGTTTCAGAAAAGATCAAAGGGCAGTTATCTCTAATCTAATATTAATGAAAGTGATAAACATGTTTAAATGCAAATTCAGCTGATGAAAGCCATGAGTATTTTTGAGTGGATGGCGTGGTATTTCAAACAGAGACATTGTCTTAGAAAAAAGACAAGACAACTGAATAAAAAAGCCAATTTAGGAGAATAATTTTTAAAGAGAAAGATTTTTTATGAGTCTATATTCTTAACATTTTTACAGTGCTAATAAAAATCTAACAGGGAAATGTGTGATAATATCTTCCTTTCTAGCAGAAGCCAGTGAACCAAGTATATTGGGGTTTTAAGACAAATATGGTCAGGTTGACCCTTCCCGCATGCGCTAATGTGGAAAGCACCCTAAAAATTTGGGTGGTAGGAAAATTCATGATTCTAGGGAGAATATGGTATAGTAGTTAAGATGATGTCTATGAAGTTTTAACTGGGATCTCATCTCAACTCTACTACTTAATAGCTATATAACCTTGGGTAACCTATGTACCTCTTCTGAAAGTTTTTATTTTTTAAACCTAAAAAATGAAGATAATAATAATATAGAAAACTATCTAATGTTAGAAAGTGCCTGGCATATAAGTTCTCCCACAATGTTGCCTAATATTACTTCTTTATTCCTCCTCTTCCTCTTACTTATTTTAACTAGGATATACTCAGGAATCATGTAAAAGAATATGTATAGGTATCCAAAGCTCACACCTGAAGATTCTTACTCAAAAACCTAGAATGTGGCCCTCGCATTTGCACTTTTTAAAAAACTACACAGCTGTTTCTGATGCACACCAAAAGTCAGCAAAGTATTTAAGAACAGAGCTTTGGAATGAGACATAAGTGAATTCAAATCCAAGCTCTTCCAATAAGTAAGTACATAACCTCAGGCAGGTCACTTAAGCTATTTTTCATATTTTCATCTGTAAAAGGGTATATTACCACTAAATCTCACAGAGTTGTTTTAAATGATAAAATAAGTTAGTGCTTGGCATACAGTAAACAGTGAACAACAGCTGCTTTAATATTTTTGTTGTTGTTATACTGTGCTTGTTAATGTAACTATAAAAGTATCATCCTCTTCTAAGAAAGAATTTGCAAGCTTTATCTTTTTTTTTTTTTTTTTTGAGACAGAGTTTCACTCTGTTGCCCAGGCTGGAGTGCAATGGCGCAATCTTGGCTCACAGCAACCTCCACCTCCCAAGTGATTCTTATGTCTCAGCCATGAGAACAGCTGGGATTATAGGTGTGCACCACCATGCCAGGCTAATTTTTGTACTTTTAGTAGAGAAGAGGTTCCCTATGTTGGCCAGGCTGGTCACAAACTCCTGGCCTCAGGTGATCCGCCCACCTCAGCCTCCCAAAGTGCTGGGATTACAGGCGTAAGCCACCACGCTCAGCCTGCAAGCTTTATCTTAAGTTACTTCCTCAACACATTGGCACAAATTCCTGCAACGAGGATCAAAAACGAGATGCTGATCACTGTAAAGCCACACCTAAAGAACACTGATATATACATCTTTAATCCCTAGAATATTTAACTCACTCAGAACAGTCGATTTAGATGAACATTCTTTTTTCAATAATATAGAAACTTTCCCACTAATTTTAATATCTGCATATTTATAATAACTTTTATAGATGGCATAACTGAATAAACTTTTTATAGCCTCCATCTAAAAATATAAGGTTTATGTTGAATACTTTTCTAAAATTTATACTTGAATATTTTTATAAAGTTTTAATTTCCATTCCATATTTACTTCACTTTACAAAATTAAATCCTAAAAGGGAGACATGTAAATCCATTTTCAAAGAAATTATCTCTATTTTACTCAGCGTATCCATTTTCTCCACAACTGTTCTTCCCAAGCCTTCCTTAAAAATCGTATCTGTTGCTACCACTCTCTGAAATTGCACTACTGAAAGTTAAAAATAAATGATTAATCATCAAATCTCCTATTTTTTTCTTATAGGTCATGATTTCCTACAATATTTTTCTTTTGATTTACATTAACCTGCCCTTTCCTACCTAAATCCTACCAATCTTTCAATATACATCTCCAATCACACTAGTTCATCTTGATTAATCTTAATTCATCTTAATAGAAACATATACCAATAACATCTTATATAACAAGGAACTAAAAATTCAGAGAGTAAGTCTCATGTCATTTAATATCTGTATTATTTATTGAGACTCTCATACCATAGTAATTGTCACTAACTATGAACCAAGTAGCTTATATACTCTTTGAAAGTAGAAACCTCTTATTTCTTAATGTCTCTGAGCAGATCGTCATGTACACAGTAAGCCTACTGTGCTTATTGAATAAATACATAGATTCTGAAAACATTACCATATAAACTTGCTTAGATTTCATTAAGGTACTTTATTAAAAATATTATAGTTTTGTGTTAAGAATCTCAAATATGTAGAATTATTAAAGGTATCAAAAAATTAATTACTTCATTATATATTATCCTTGCCCTGATTTAGAACAAACTATAATATATATTTTCTTTTTTTCTTGAGACAGAGTCTTGCTCTGTCGCCCAGGCTGGAGCGCAGTGGCACAATCTCGACTCACAGCAACCTCCGCCTCCTGGGTTCAACTGAGCATGTCCAGCTAATTTTTGTATTTTTAGTAGAGACGGGGTTTCACCATGTTGGCCAGGCTGGTCTCGAACTCCTGACCACAAGTGATCTGCCTGCCTCGGCCTCCTGCAGTGCTGGGATTACAGGCGTAAGCCACCATGCCCAGCCATAATACATACTTTCAAACACCTGCATGTTTATATAATTATCTAGCTAGGTACTATAATATATGAAACTATGCTCTAATGAGACTTTCTTCACCAATCTTTAAATGAGTCATAAGAGCCAAGATAACAAGCCACAGTACCCAAAATTACACTTAAGGACTAGGCAGATGGCCGGGCGCGGTGGCTCATGCCTGTAATCCCAGCACTTTGGGAGGCTGAGGCGGGCGGATCACAAGGTCAGGAGATCGACACCATCCTGGCTAACACAGTGAAACCTTGTCTCTACTGAAAATACAATAAAAAAATTAGCCGGGCGTGGTGGCGGGCACCTGTAGTCCCAGCTACTTGGGAGGCTGAGGCAGGAGAATGGCATGAACCTGGGAGGCAGAGCAGTGACCCGAGATTGCGCCACTGCACTCTAGCCTGGGCGACAAGGCGAGACTCCGTTTCAAAAAAAAAAAAAGACTAGGCAGACAACATAATTTTGAATGCTACAGTTACATGTTATAGCTTTAAATTATATAAATTTTAGCTTTTAAATCATATTTTGGGTTATTTTCACTTATTTGTAAATAGTCAAACTATATTTATTGATTTTAAAATGTGGAAAGTATTTTGTTTAATTATTTCTAACATATAAATAAATACAACTGTTCCTGTGCTTTCCAAGTATAACAGAAAGTGATATTTTTAGTAGTATAGAAAGAAATGTTCTTGAATGTTAATATTCAAAAGTACCGTTTTATTCATTTAATCAATGAACAAATAAAAATTTAAATTTTCAAGATAAGGAGAATCATTACCTTTAGAAAGAAATGATTAGCTCCTTACTTTCCATCCCAATGAAAGCAAAGGAAACTGAGACAAACATTCTTTAATTTAAATCTTATATTACCCCAATCATAAATTGTAATTACAAGTATTATCATGACATTTTATATAACCTATAAAACTGTATTATATTATTTTATAAAAATATTTTTAAAATGTTCAGTATATAAGAGAAATGAACACAACTTAAAATCATATGACATATTTAGACATATCACAAGCCAAATCATGTCCTTTTTACTCCTTCGACAAATAACGATAAGTGGTAAAAACCCAACAGAGTATGGTTACCATACAATCTGAGTGTTAGTTCTACTAGTAAAACACTAAGATCATAATGGATGTACATCTTATATAACTAATGTATCATATCTAAAACAGAAAGGTAGAATATCACACCTTATTATTTCCATAGGCCATATCCATTGCTTCTAGAGACAAGGAGCAAAGTGCATTTATTAAATGATGCAGTGATACATCATCAAGATACCTAAAAAGGAAATGAAGAAATAAGACATCTTGATCTAAAATATATAACAAATAACAATGTTTTTATCAATTAAAAAAACTGACTCTTACTGTGAGCTTTCAAACAATCTTGAAAGTATATTGGAAATCACTGGTAAATCTGTCATCACTGCTGTTGTTAGAACCTGAGAAGAATAAAATTAAATGTAATATATGACACTTTGGGATGCACTAATTGGGTAAGAAAGACTAGAGCTTACTGTACTGGGTCCTTCTACAGCTCTCCCAGGTTTCAAGGCACCGCCACTACTAGGCTTTAATCCCAGAATCCACACAAGATGCTGTAAAATTAAAAAAAAATCAAAACAAATAACTTTACAAAAGTATAAAAGGTCCAATAACTAAAATTAAAATCAGTAGTAACTTCTAGCAACCAAAATTAAAATCAGTAGTAGGTTTTTAAAACCTAAAACTAAAATCACTAATTAACATTCATATAAAATAATTAATGATATCGAACATATGCAGCAGAGCTTAGGCCATTATGAGAAGCATTCCACCACTTCCTACAATATGAGTCACATCTTTTTCCCTTTCTAACTTCTCTTTTTTCATACTTACTATCTATTTTTTAGGCCTGTCCAAAACATCAAAATACATTGCTTAGTCTAACTGTTAGCAATTATATATAAAAACAACACTAATCTCTGACCTAGACACTTTTACATACCTGAAGAGTTGCCAAGACAAGTTGCCATGATGTTCCAAGAACAGCCCCATGGCAATGCGCCAAGTTAAGTAAAGTCCTCATACACTGGATATTTTTGGAAGTCAGCTATATTTTAAAAAGGATACATTTTCAATAATTGTTATGTATTCTTAAAAATTAAAAGCTTATAAAGTAGCATTAATGTGTTAAAAGATTTTTTTAAAGAAAAAATTAAGAAAAAGATTTGGAAGGTTTTATAAGGAACAATTCATTTGATTAAAAGTTGTATTATCATATTGGTTACAGTAATGTCAACTGCATAAACTAGTTTCTTCTAGTTTAAGAAAGTAGTTCTAGTAAAAGAAAGTAAATAAATGTATGACACATTTTGGCAAACACAAAGATAGGTACAACAAGTTTCCTTGATAGCTAATTGATAACCAAGAAAAATACAAGTACATTACCATTACTGTCCCTTGAGGCTGGACTGCTAAAGGTTGACCCACTGCCACAACTTGTTGGTGAGATTCACTTGATGGACTTATCATCATAACACTTTGGCCCTGAACGGAATATGCTAGAACACAAAGGAAAGCCTAAATAATTAAAATATATTTTTATATTGCATTTAAAGTAATGTTATATTTAAAGTTTGATTAAACCAAGTTTAGCCATACACTTATTTAAATATCAGTAATACCTAATATCTGTATCAAAACATTTAAAAAACTCATGAGGGGCTGGGCACAGTGGCTCACACCTGTAATCCCAGCCATTTTGGGAGGCTGAGGCAGGCAGATCATTTGAGGTCAGGAGTTCAAGGCCAGCCTGGCCAACATGGTGAAGTCCTGACTCTTCTAAAAATACAAAAATTAGCCAGGTATGTCGATGCACTTCTGTAGTCTCAGCTACTCAGGAGGCTGAGGCAGGAGAATTGCTTGAATTCAGGAGGCGGTGGTTGCAGTGAGCCAAGATCTGGGTCACTGCACTCTAGGCTGAGCGACAGAGTGACTCTGTCTCAAAAAAAAAAAAACAAAAAAACACAAAAACTTCATGAGGTACAAAAACCAAGACAAGTTAAGCAAATATTAAGTAATTTTCTATACAACATAAAATTATATAACTTTGGTAGATTTCTTCATAAGCAATACAGAACTCGAACACATTCTAAGTATTTTAAACATGTATCCCTGGTATGTTTTTTAATTTAGAGAGCAATACATTTTCAGTTTGAAAACTGAGTATTAGCATGTAATAACAACTACTTGGGAGGCTGAGGCCGGACTGCTTTAGCCCAGTTCAAGATCAGCCTGGGCAATATAGCGAGATCCTGTCTCATTAAAAAAGTATAAACAAAAAAACCCTAAATATTACACTGAAATTTATATTACATGTAACAAACAAGTATTCTTAAAGAATTCAACAAGAAAATAAATTTTTGAATGTAAGTTTAACCTAAGTGGTTACAAACATTACTGTTCTACTAGTTCCATTAAAAAAAAATAACAATCACCATTTCAATGGTATCTCATAGTTTACAAAGGACTTCCAGATTTATCTTATTTTCCTCTCACAATTATTGTTTAAAATTGGTATTACAAGTTGAGTATCCCTTATCCGAAATGCTTAGGATCACAACTGTTTCCGATTTCAGATTTTTGAATATTTATATTATATATACTTATGCATTTATTTGCATAATATATTTGTAAATACTTATGTTTGCATTATATACCTATTCACATTATATACTTATCCAATGAGCCTTTCCTTTGTCATGTTGGTGCTCAACAAGTTTTAGATTTTGCAGCATTTTAGATTCTGGATTTTTGGATATCCCATGCCCACCCCCCACCCCCCACCCCATATTTTTAAAGAGCTCTCAGGGACATTAATTTCCCCAAGGTCACACAGTCAGTATGTGAAAAAGCAGAGACTTAAACTCAGATGTTTATAATCTTCTGTCTACACCATATCATCCCACTACATAGAGAGAATTTTGAGTAAGCCTGTCTTACATTTGTTGGAAAGTGTAGCTGCAGTGGTGGTATTCAATACAGTAAGAGCATAATGGGGAGGCAGGGAACCTTTGCATATTGCAGTTATAAAGGCATCTCTTGAAGTTACAAGGCCCAGTCTTCCACAAAGAGCAGCCATAGTCAGTTCAGCTTTTAAAATATTCTCAGTGGCAGCTTCATCTGTGCTGAAAAGAAAGTATTTTATTTAATCTGATTAACTTATTTTTAATTACATTGTAAAGCATGATGTGGAATTAAGTATTCAGTGACATTTTAAGAAAATCTATACAAAAATATTGTCAAAATATTACCAATATACTTAAGAAGGAATTTTAATCTATTAACATAACCTCAAAAATTTGAACTGGGTAAAAGCAATGAATAATAATACATGTATTTATTACTGAAGAAAATGACCAAGAACATAAAGATTTAGCTTAAAATATCAAGCATTTTGAAACCAGTAAATTTTTAAATCCTAAAGAAAAAGAACAAAGAAATTAAATATAATCATAATTGCAAAAGTAGTTGTAAGTCTTGAAATGAAAAAGGCATTCTGTAATTTTAGGACTGTATTTTCCATTAAAACATCATGACAATTCTGGTGGCTTGGGGCAGGGCAAGGACAGAATGAGGAAGGGGGATGAGGGAAAAAGAATAATGTTTCACACATATAAAAAACTAATATTAGAAAATAATTCTAGGGACAAATGTAAGTAAACCATTTTAATGTGTTTTTTTTAACTGACACAGTTCAATATAAAACTTACAAAGACTTAATACCTGGCATCAAGAAGGAGTGAGAGTGCAGCAAGAAGACCACACCAGCAGGCATTCACCATTTCTTCCCAAACAGCCCTACTAACTTAAAGGAAAAAAACATACAATATTTAATTTTAATTATAGATAGCACAATATGTATTAATATGTGAAATTCTAAAATTTTCCCAGACAATATGTCAAATATTCCATTAACAACTTAATTATTAAATCTAATATTCAGTATTTAAAAATCTAAAAGAACGAAAACTCAGAAGCCGTACTATAGTTTCAGGCTTGAAGAAGTCTTAAAAATAAGTTGTTGTAAAATATCTATGGTAAGATCTTTCTGTACACGTTAAATTTTATATATATATATAAAATATATATATATATATATATATATATTTTTTTTTTTTTTTTTTTTTTTTTGCGATGGAGTCTTGCTCTGTTGCCCAGGCTGGAGTGCAGTGGCATGATCTTGGCTCACTGCAACCTTCGCCTCCTGGGTTCAAGAGATTTTCCTGCCTTAGCCTCCTGAGTAGCTGGGATTACAGACACACGCCACCACACCTGGCTAATTTTTGTATTTTTAGTAAAGACAGGGTTTCACCATGTTGGTCAGGCTGGTCTCAAACTCCTGACCTCGTGATCCACCCACCTCGGCCTCCCAAACTACTGGGATTACAGGCGTGAGCCACCACGCCCAGCCATTTTTTTTTTTAAGAGACAGGGTCTTGTTATGTTACTCAGACTGGACTCAAACTCCTGGGCACAAGCAATCCTCCTGCCTCAGCCTCCCAGGTAGCTGGGATTATAGGCACATGCCACTATGCCCAGCTGATATCCTTTCCTTTCCCTTTGCCTTCATCAACCCAAACTTTCTCAGCCTGTGTGACCAGTTGGAGTGAGGGCAGGGCGCAGTGTAACAAACTGGCTCAGCCAGGAGACTGATTACATACACTGAGAATCAAGCAAATAAGTAAATACACTGAGCAAAATGTGAGCAGGTTCCAACACTGTTGGAGAAGGGAATTACAAATACAGAAAGTTAAAAATAAACCTTGTGGTACTGAACTGGAACTGAAGAAACTAGTGTGATGTCATGGTAATTCAATATAGAGAAACAGACATTTTAGAAATGTACAGAGACGTGTGCTTGTGTGTGGGGGTGTGTGTATGTGGCTATGTATTTCCTATCCAAGTGGTGAAAAGCATACCTAGTATACCTGTGTTCGTTTCAATACTATTCTCCACTAAAAGGAACCAGGACTTCCTGGAGAAATGACTGACACCTGGGATGGACAAGAATCATCCAAGATCAGCCTGGAACATCTTGTTCTATCAAATAGGAAGTGCTCAGAGAATGTCAAAAGGGCATGGGACATGTCCAAAGGACACACGGGTCATCTTGAAAGAGGTCCCATTGGCCATGTTGGGAACAATCTGAGCATCAAACCAAATAATAATAAAGACTATAATCCTCTGAATAAAATAGGAATCCATGAATCTACACTAATATAAGTGAATAATTTTTAAAAAATAAAAAAATGCAGAAGGGAAAGCACTCTTTTGTAGTAGCAATCTGAAAGTATTTTTCCACAAAAAGTTAATAATTAACTGTACACTGAAGAAACCAGGCTGACATTGTATTAACCAACTCATAGAAGTGAGCATCTCCAATAATGACACAAATTGATACTGTAGTATGCTTCCTAATGTAATGATACAGTAAGTACAGCACAGCAACATTTCTGTGCCAGTCCTGTCAAAAATGAATAAGCTGAATGTAATTATGAAGGAACACAACACAAACTCAAACTGACTGACTTGTACTCAAAAAAGTAAGGTCATATAAAACAAGGAAAAACTAAGAAACTTCCAAGTTGAGACATGGCAACTAAATTCAACACATAAAAGGACATCACTAGGGCAACTGGCAAAATTTGAATGAGACCTGGAGTTAGATGATAATATTGTATTGATGTTAAATTTCTGATGGTGATTGTACTATGATACACAGGAGACTAACCTTATTTTGAAAAAATACACACTGATGCATTAAAGGGTAGTAATACGGCATCATGTCTGCAACTTTTTCTATAAATAGGTCAGAAAAAAGTATAGTCACATGTATATAATTCAAGAAAATGGTAAGGTAAATGTGGGAAAGTGGTTAACACTTGAGAAGTCAGGGTGAAAGATTTATAAAGACTACAATTTTTGCAAATTGTAAATTTCAAATTATTTCCAATAAAAATTAAAAATACAGACTCATACCAATTTCCTTATCCATTTGGTCTGATGTTGACTGTAAATCCTGCTGTTCTGTCGACTGTGTTGGTGAAGAACCTTCTTCAGTGGTGGTTTGACATTCTGTTTCAAGCTCTCCTAGCTCTCCTTCAATCATACTTGTGATTCCACGAACAAGGTCTAGCAAACAATGGAATGCCACAGACATGGCGTAACCTTCAGGTATAGTTGGAGGCTCAACTTTGTCCAACATTTCTAAGCTGAAATTATGAAAAATATAGAATACTAATGAGAAGCCACAACAAAAAAAATACATAAAACTATTTTCTACAATTTACAGACTATAGAAATTAAGATTAACAGAATAGCAAAAAATAAAGGGACATTACCAAATTTCTTTCATTTAGGGAAGAGATCTCTTCATGGTATTCTAAAAACCTGATTAGAAAAATTAAGGCCTGACCACTGCCATAACTAATTATTTTAATAATTTACTTCTCATTCTCCCCTGAGTTGTGCCAATGTTTTCATTAAATATTAGATATTAGAAAAATTAAGACTGACATGCAAAATACAATGAGATAAAACTTCTTAAACTCTGACTTGTGCCTTAAAAATAAGATGCCATTGGCCGGGCGTGGTGGCTCACGCCTGTAATCCAAGCACTTTGGGAGGCCGAGGTGGGTGGATCACGAGGTCAGGAGATCAAGATCATCCTGGCTAACACAGTGAAACCCTGTCTCTACTAAAAATATAAAAAATTAGCCAGGCGTGGTGGCAGGTGCCTGTAGTCTCAGCTACTCGGGAGGCTGAGGCAGGAGAATGGCATGAACCAAGGAGGCAGAGCTTGCAGTGAGCCGAGATTGCGCCGCTGCACTCCAGCCTGGGCAACAGAGTGACACTCTGTCTCAAAAAAAATAAAAAATAAAAAAAAAATAAGATGCCATCAAATCAAATCACTCCTATGAAGAGGAAGATGCTTTTCATGCTGTGAGATGCCCAGCTCACCTATCATTTCAAATACAATCTGCCAACAAGGTGAGAATAAGAGCATCAGTGTGTCAAGTTCAAACTGCGGAGCAATTTTTTACCCCATAGTTAGGAGAAAGTTTTCAGAAGGAAGGACAATAAATCTGTTTTAAATCATGGCAGGTAGTGAACTATGGTTCTAAACCTCTTAAAATTGACATCTGGCAAAATAATTCCTGGAAAAAAGAGTAATTCAATTGACAAAGAACTAATGATTCTGGAACAACTGGATATTCACATGCAGAAGAGTGATGGTCCTATCTCACACCATATGCAAAATTAACTCCAAAATGAATCAATGATCTAAATGTAAGAGCTAAATCTATAAAAACTCTTAGAAGAAAACATGGGTAAAAATCTTCACTACCTCGGATTAGGCAAAGGTTTGTTAGATATAACACCAAAAGCACAAGCAACAAAGGAAAAAATTGATAAATTAGATTCATCAAAATTAAAAACAATTGTACTTCAAAAAGCAGCAATCAAGAAAATGAAAAGACCCACAGAATGAAAGAAAACTTTTGCAAATCACATATCTGATAAGAGACAGGCATCTAGAATATATAACTCTTAAAATTAAATAAGAAAAAGACAATCCAATTAAAAAGGAGCAATGAATCTGAATAGACATTTCGCCCAACATGACATATAAATGGCCAAGAAGCACACAAAAAGATGCTTGTCACCAGTAATTAGGGAATGCAAATCAAAGCATGGTAAGATATCATTTCATACTCACTGGGATGACTACGATAAAAAAGATTAACAAGCATTGCTGAGGATGTGGAGATATCTGAACCCTCCTCACACATTGTTGGTAGGAATGTAAAATGATATAGTTGCTTGGGAAAAGAGTTTGGCACTTCCTCAAAAATGTAAACATAGAGTGACCATATAACCCAGCAATTCCACTTACTAGTTGTATACCCAACAGAAATGAAAACACATGTCTATGCAAAAACTTACAGACAAATGCTCATGGTAGTATTATTCATAATAAACAAAAGTGAAAATAACCCAATATGCATCAATTAACTTAAAAAAAGTGATTCCATATATTGGAATATCATTCAGACATATAAAGGAATAAAGTATGAACACATTCTCAACACAGATGAACCTTCAAAACATTATGCTGGGCCGGACACGGTGGCTCATGCCTGTAATCCCAGCACTTTGGGAGGCTGAGGCAGGTGGATCACGAGGTCAGGAGATCGAGACCATCCTGGCTAACACGGTGAAACCCTGTCTCTACTAAAAAATACAAAAAATTAGCCGGGCATGGTGGCAGGAACCTGTAGTCACAGCTACTCGGGAGGCTGAGGCAGGAGAATGGCATGAACCTGGGAGGCAGAGCTTGCAGTGAGCCAAGATCACACCACTGCACTCCAGCCTGGGTGACAGAGCGAGACTCCGTCTCAAAAAAAAAAAAAAAAAAAAATTATACTGATGTGGGAGCTAAAAAAGTGGATCTCATTAAAGTAGAAAGCAGATTGGTGATTCCCAGGGGCCAGGAAGGGTGGAGGTTTGGGGGTAAAGAGAGGTTGATTAATAGGTACAAAAATACAGTTATACAGACAGGAATAAAATTTAGCATCTAACAGTTCAGTCGGGTAACTACACTTAACAATAATCTATTGCATATTTTTAAATACCTGGAACACACGAATTCAGATGTTCCCACCATAAAGAAAAGATAAATGTTTGAGGTGATAACACAATTACCCTGATTTGATAACTACACATTATATAAATGTATCAAAATATCACATTTACCCTGAAAATATGTACATTTATTACATAACAGTTGAAAAAAATTATGTTGCATCAAAGAAGTATGACACAAAATAACATTTATTGTGTGATTCCATTTATATGAAATATCCAGAATTGGCAAATCAATAGATGCAGAAAGCAGATTAGTGGTTGCTAAGGAGCTAGAAGAAGGGGGATTGGGAAATGACTGCTAATGGGTATGAGGTTTCTTTTAGGGGTGATGAAAACTTTCTGGAATTAGGTAGTAGTAATGGTTGTACAACTTTGTAATATAATGAAACCATGAATTGTACACTGTAAATGGGTGAATTTCATGAGATATGAATTATCTCAAAAGTAAAATTGAAATTACTAAAGATTACAATAAAAAAGCTAAGAAAATGTCCTACCTCAAAATCTTAAAGTTTCTGAATCATCAAGGTAGGTAATTAATAAAGAAATGCTAAATTAAAAAAAACATAATAAGAACATCTATATATAGTGATCATTCACTGAGCAAATACTCTTAGCCTGGGACTCTACTTTTTTAATATGTATTATCTCATTTAACTCCTCACAAAAACCCTAAGAGACACAGAAATAAAACTGAGGACTAATATTACAGTTATTAATGAGAAGTTTTTAAAATCAAGTCTGACTGACACTAAAGCCTACCACTAATGTGTCAACTCTTGAGCTTTTAAAAATTTATGTAATCATTAGAAATATGTTTACATTGTTGATTATGAAATTTAAGTTCTAGAGCTGGAGGCTATTAGCAAACTAACGCCGGAACAGAAAACCAAATACTGCACGTTCTCACTTATAAATGGGGCTAAATGGTAAGAACTTATGAACACAAAGAAGGAAATACCAGACACTGGGGTGTACTTGAGGCGGGAGGGTGGGAGGAGAAAGAGGAGCAGAAAAGGTAACTATTGGGTACTGGGGTTAACATCTGGGTGATGAAATAATACATACAACAAATCCCCATGACACATGTTTACCTATTTAACAAACCTTCACATGTACCCCCAAACATAAAAGGAAAGTGAAAAACAGAAAGAAACTTAAGCTCAAATGGGGAGATAAATATCTGTTTACGGCTTTAATCTTTCCCAGGCCAATTAGCCTTTGAGAGCCACATCGTAAATAAATCAGTGTTAAGCATCTCATTAGACAAATTCCTATTCTCAAAGAATATGTGATCTATTGGGAAAATGTATCTAAAACATAAAATAATCCAAAACATCAGAAACTCCAATTCTCCAATTCTATGGCACAGACTTTAAGCACTAGAATAGTTAAGAGAAAGGGTAATTTATACTTTTTATTTATACCATAAACCTAAAAGAAAACACATACTTTCTTAACTCACTGTTTCAGTGCTACTTTATTAGAATTACTGCATAAATTCCACTTTGAGATAAAATGTAATGTATCTGTTTAAACATTTTAAACTTAAGGTCAAATTGCAAAAACTGTCACAAGTCCAACTTTGAAGGGATCTGTAGTGTAATAAATATAAAAGAATATGCCACCAATACTTACGTCCAAACTACTTCTATCTATATATCACTTAAGTTTTCAAATTATACTCAAGCAGTCAATAAAAGAACAGAATGCACAATCAAGATGTATACATATGCCTTCAAAGAAAATAGTGAAATCATTTTATATTGAACCTCACAATGAATTGAATAAAAGATGCCAATTCAACAGTTAAGCTCCAGTGTGAACATACTAACCCATGTACAAAAGAACACCCAATATTTTCTGGCCATTTATTATTTCAGAATTAAGCAATTTCAGTATGTATAGCACTAAAAAAAAATCTACACATATGTTCCTTTAGAGATTCAGTCCTAATCTTGTCTTAAAGAAGAGAAAATTAAGATCAAGTGAAATCAAGTGCTATACTCAAAATCACAGTATTTAGTAGCAGAACTAGTTAAAATCCAGTATCAATAAACAGTGTTGGTAGGCTTTTACTAATAAATTTTAAAAAGGAGTTCTACAACCCAGACAAGTATTTATTATTTTGTGGCTTGTTTCTTTTTTTTTTTTTCCTTCCTCAAGTACACATCTTCACTCCCTCCCTTTATGTGTCTGCTCAGTATTATTTCCTCAGGGAGACCCTTTCTGTCCCCATCTTCACCTTGGTCATTCTCTATGGCCTTAACTTGCTTTTTCTTCAAATTAACCACTACCCAAGGTTATATTATATATTTACTTGTGTATTTATTTATTTACTATCTCACTCGCTAAAGTGTAAGCTCTATGAAGGCAAAAATTTTCTTCTGTGTTGGTTTATGTTCAGGTTATAAAATGAGGTGGGAAGGTGAACTAGATAATTAATGTCTCCTTTAGTGCTAGATATCTGATTCTTTTACAACTTAATTCTCTAGTATACTTGAGTCATTACCTTTTGTACAAGGCAAAGCCTATAAAATACTAAGTGATTTGAATATAAATGACTAAAAATAACAATGAACTTAAAATATTTCAGTCTTCTATGACTCTATACTTTTATAATTTTATGCAAAATAAAGCTGTAAGGTAAAATATACCTAGGATGATACAATGCAGACTGACACACCAGAGAAACTGATGATTTTAACTAGCCGAAGACTCTGTTTCATTTCTATTTTTTTTAAGAGATGGGGTTTCACAGTTACCCAGGCTGTACTCCAACTCCTGAACTAAAGTGATTCTCCTGCCTCAGCTTCCTGAGTCTGTTTCATATTAAGTCTTGATTTATGTCATAAGGATAGTTTTATTTTATTTTTAGACAGAGTCTCACTCTGTCACCCAGGCTGGAGTGCAGTGACATGATCTCAGCTCACTGCAACCTCTGCCTCCCAGGTTCAAGCGATTCTCTTGCCTCAGTTTCCCGAGTAGCTGGGATTACAGGTGCACACCACCATTCCAGCTAATTTTTGTATTTTTAGTAGAGATGGGGTTTCACCACATTGGCCAGACTGGTCTCGAACTCCTGACCTCAAGTGATCTGCCCACATCGGCCTCCCAAAATGCTGGGATTACAGGCATGAGTCACTGTACCTGGCCAAGGATAGTTTTAATTATACATACCAATTACTCAAAATATATCTATAACTGCCTCATAGTAACTATAGCAATGTTAAATCCATGTAGTATTGATTGCCTTATTTCTGTAAGTACTGTATCTCATTAAGACTTAAGAAAAAATCAGTAATACATTATTGAGTATGCATTTGTTAAATTGAAATGGCTAATGACAAACAATTTAAAAATAACAGATATGGAATCCATTAAACACTTTTTAATTAATTAAAAACTAAAATTTTCATGTGTTTAACCCTAACAATATGATTAGATAAGCACTTAAAACAACTTTTCTTACATATAGAATTCTGAAAATTAGATATATCACTACTCCCATTGTATAGATGAGAGAAATGAGGTTTAAAAAAAAGAAAAAAAGATTAATTTGCTGACAGTAACTCAGCTAATATTAGAAGACCTAAGCCCAAGTGGTCTGAAACTAATTCATATACTTAAACCAAAAAGCTGTATAGGAGAGCTAATAGGTCCATATGTAAAGAAATCACATTTTGTTTTATAATGCTGTTAGTCTACAAACAGCACAAAAGAAAACAAATAAAATCCAGTCCTAGATACAATTTTCAAAATATGACGAAAGAAAATGAGCTCTAAAATACCTTAGAAGTAGTGGGTCTAAAATTTAAAATACAATAGAGAAGAATTTTAGGTTAAATATCACCCCCAACAACATCATTCCTTATAAAATAATGCTGCTACTACTTACTAGGTGGCTTTAGCACTGCCTTGAACTGTGATTGTCAGAATAGGTATCCAGGTTCCCCTATATTCAAATGCTGGTAGCAAAGTAACACCTCCACCAATCCCCACCATTCCTGAGTTAGCTGGTGCTGAGACTGAGCCACCTAAATTATTGTTTCCTGTTAGAGAAGAAGGGAAAAAAAGAAAAGACACTAATTTACTACTTGACTACAAATCAGTAATAGTCAAACACCTGGCCAATCTTTAAAAAAAATTTCTGTGCTATCAGAATGGGTATTGCAGAAATAAATGAAATTTATCAGTACTACTTTGTCTATCAGAGAATGTTCCTATTTCCCTAAAATACCATTTCCCTTTTTAAAATAAAAGCTGCTAGGGGAAGTAAAAATGCTGATAAATGTTTAGCCTTTCATTAGACCACTTTTTATCAGAAGTGGGAATAAAGTATACAAAACCATCACTCAGTACAAAGTGGAAGAGAAAGAAGGTAAAGGGAAACAACAAACCATACAGATTCCCAAACTCCAATGACCATGTTAACCCCTTTAAGAGAGGGACTAAGTCTTCCTAAGGTGGTAACCATCTAGACTCTTCAAAGGGAGTCATCAAATAAAGGTTCTTTTAAAATGAAGATTAGCATCTAAACTTTTGTTCTTATGTGATCAGAGAAACTGAAAGTATGTCAGAGAAGAAAATCTATTCTGGAAAAAAGAAACACAACTGCTTCATTGAGATCAGATTATTCTTTCAGTGCAATTCTTTACTACCAACATGTTTAGGTAACCCAAATTTCTCTAGTCACAGAATTTCATAATATCCTCTCAGAACAGTCAATACTGTAACTTACGGCAGAATATAAGAAACAAAATTATGAATATGTTTTTACCAGCTTGGTTGCTTGTTGCAGGATTTCCAGTAGGGGGGACAAGAAACAAGGACTGTATAAAAGATCCCAGTGCATTTACAATATCACGAAAAACCTTGGTAGAATGCTGTTTCATATCATAGGACTGACAAAATGACCTGTAAAATAATTTAAAAGGTTTTTGGGAAAAACATTTGAATATATTAAAAACTGTAAACCTTTTTATAGCAAGTGATATTACTATAAGAGTTACCAAACTATACTAAAACATTCTTCATTACAACTCAGTAATTTTACCAATTTAGGACAAAGGTTCAGATAGAGGTCACAGTTCTAAAAAAATTATTTTGGCTATATTAAATCAGTAAATTCAGACTGATGTCTATCACTCACCACATGTGTTTACCTCACAGTTCTTTTCCACATCTACACGCCCTACCCGTCCTTATAGATACAATACCCTATTTTCTTTGTTTAGAAATCACTAATATTGGGAATAAATACCAAAAGTCTTCTGACTAGTTTATTAACCTATTATAGGTTAGTTTACAGGTTAATAAACATTAACCTATCTATTTAACAAACTATTGCTGAGGTTTTACCTTAATAGTTGAGGCTGCACACAGAATCTGTGTATTGATTCCACCGCAACAGCTCGTAGCCACTGTGGTTTATCTGCATCCAGAAATTTCACCAGAAGTGACAGAAATATCTCACATTCAGTTACCTAAAAATATATGATTTTTAATACTATTTCTTTGAATCAAAGAGAAGAATTATAGACTGTGTTCTTATTCTTAACTTAGTGCTATGGACAAACCAATAAAATCTTTTAGATTAGAAATCAAACTCTTAATGGGGAGTGGAGAAACAGAGAAAGGAAATGTAGTTATACATGGAAACATTAACAGTAAAAATAATCACAGTGTTTCTCTAAATATATACCTGAAAACATTAGTAATCTGCTAATACGGTTAATCCTTTATCCTTGCTCTTTAGAAAGCAGATAATACCATCATGCCATCTCCATTTCTAAAAACTGCCAGACAGCATGTACCACATAAACTGCTGACAGGATGCACGTTCTACTCTTCAGAGCAGTTTTTTCCATACTTTCTTTTGCTACTAAAGAAACAAAGAGGCAAGCCAAAGGGTGCTTAGTATAAATTTTATAGTAGAAAAATAAGGAGGAACCTATAGCAGTTGACAGATGTAAAGTATATAACTATTAGAACAGGGCCTGTACTGCTAATTAAGTATTAATTATCATTACTGTTGTTGCTAATATAGACCATTTCTCAGCAAGCTCTTTATAAATAAATAATGTTCAAGGCACACCCAAGGCATTAATCATTACATGTCTGATAACTGAATGAACAAACAAAAGCTAACCCGTTCATCCAAAGGTAAATGGATTGTTTTTGTTACTTATTAATTGACAATACAGCAGGACCTCTGGGAGGTAAAAATTAAGCTGACATGGTGATTATTAGGCCAAACTGATTCTTGCTACTAGGTACAGCAAGTTATTGGATGTTTTAGCTGGGGTATCTCAAAATGAGTGAACCATAATGTGAGACAAGAAATTTGGGGAAATATAGTAGCCCTCAGGCTTTTAGTGCAAAGTCTTAGCTGCTAGTATTTTCTAATGCCTTTCAGTATCTTTAACTGGATGCTTAAAAAAAGGACATAATCATAATGACACAGTAGGAGGAATAACTAAAAACAACATTATCATTTAGACTGCTAATGACTGGGTAAGTATATGCAGAGGCTTGTCATTGTCCTAAACATGATAAAGCTTAGTTTAAAGGAACTAGATCAGGAGTCAGGTGGCTCAACTTCTTTATCCAGCAACCTTGTGCGTAAGGACAAGCATGGTTGCCTTTCTTATAAATAAAGGATGAAAATATCTACATCTTTCTGGGAAATCAAATGAGAAAAATGTAAGAATAAAAACATCCCCTAAACATGACAAAGTGCCATGCAAATGAATAGGGCATTATTTTTTCTAAACAAAATGACACCTCTTTAGAGGAAGAACTGAGAAAGAAAGACCCATGCTAGTGACTCATTGGACAACAGCTCTATCTACTGGAGGGTTTGAATATTAGTAAGCCCTTCAACAAGTGCAATATCAGCTTTACAAGTGGCATAAGTGGCATATAAGTGTGTGTGAATGAATTTAAGGTTCATCAGCTAAGCTTTGAGGCAAGAATACAAAGGATCTCAGAAACATCAAGTATATTACAGCCGAAGGAATAACATTATAAAACTTGCCTTGAAAGCATATCATTTTTTCTCTATGACACAATGACTATAACACAAACCAATTATTTATCAATTTATACTGGAACCACTAAAATCTTATGATTTGGGTAAAAAAGAGAGGCTCTCTCCTGAAGTCTAGAACCTTGTTCTCCTTTTGTTTCTTCTTGTCAAGTGTGAAAGTTTGAGCAGAGAACTAGTGTTGAGAGCACTGAACACTGAACAAGGGCCTCAATGGAGAAAACCTACTATGAATCTGTTAAGACTTTCCCCCAAGTGGCTGCACTTATAAGGAAACAGGTATTAAGATTAGCACTTATGGTATAAATCCAATTTTTGTGACCCAGATATGTCATAAACTCCACTATACCAACATGAAGGGTGATGAATGTTTTTGAACTCCTGTAGTACTTTGGTAGTAGATTATTATCTAAACGTCAAGAGACATCTGATGGCTTAAGATGAATCAAAGTTACTGAGGTAGACATTCTAATCTCAATATCACATAGATATCTATTAAAGAATCCTGTATGTAAGAGTTGACTTGGCAGACAATGAAGAAAATCTGGTAGCACATTCATGTAGGAGTCTATTTGTCAGGAGCTTGTCCGAGTTAACAACCTTGGAGCTAATAGATTTGGTAGTGATGAGATCTTTTGTTAGAGAAATGTCTGTGAAGAAGTAGAAAATTAGTTTGGACAAGGCAATTTAGCCTCATTGATTCCTTTCTAAAAACAGTAAGTCAAGGGCAGAAAAGAGATATGCTAGCCTCTTTTTTTTTTCTCTTTTGAGACAGTTTCACTCTGTTGCCCAGGCTGAAGTACAGTGGCTCAGTCTTGGCTCACTGCAACCTCCACCTCCTGGGTTCAAGTGATTCTTGTGCCTTAGCCTCCTGAGAAGGTGGGATTACAAGCCACCATGCCCAGTTAATTTTTGTATTTTTAGTAGAGATGGGGTTTCGCCATGTTGGTCAGGATGGTCTCGGACTCCTGACCTCAAGTGATCCACCCGCCTTGGCCTTCCAAAGTGCTGGGATTATAGGCGTGAGCCACCACACCCAGCCACTAGCCCCTTATAATTAAGTTTCATAAATTCCTTAAGGGTACTTGTTTAAGGAATATGTGGGTACACATCCTAAGTGATTCAGAGAGCAGAAAAGCACCTACCTTGGATGACAGAAAGGGAAAATAATATAGTATAGTAGCTATTAATATACCTAATGAGTGAGAAATTCTAATTTCTAAATTCTAATGAGTGATAAATTCTAATATACCTAATGAGTGAGAAATTCTAATTTCCTCTAGTCACTCTAGATGTATTAACAGAACCTTTAAAGATTAATTATCTTCACCCTTGAACTACCTGATAGAGTGAGATAACCTGGTGAATACTGGGAAGCACATAATTCTCTAGGGTAGTCATTCCCAAAGTGTGGTCCCTGGGCCCCTTAGGAGTCCCTGAGACCATTTCAGGTGGTCTGCAATTTCAGACTTATTTTCATAATAATATATTATTTGCCATTTTCAATGCACGTGGGCCAAATGGCTGGTGCCTTAGCAGAAATCAAGGCAGTAACCCCAAACTGTACTAGTGTCATTGGATTCTTCACTGCCACGTATGATTTTAAAAAACAAAAATGGTTTTACTTAAGAACCATAATAAACGGGCCGGGCAAGGTGGCTTATGCCTGTAATCCTTCCACTTTGGGAGGCTGAGGTGGGTGGATCACTTGAGGTCAGGAATTCAAAACTAGCCTTGCCAACACAGTGAAACCCCGTGTCTACTAAAAATATTTTTAAAATTAGCCAGGCATAGTGGCAGGCACCTGTAATCCCAGCTACTTGGGAGGCTGAGGCAGGAGAATCGCTTGAACCTGGGAGGCAGAGGTTGCAGTGAGCCGAGATCGCGCCACTGCACTCCAACCTGGGCAATGAGAGTGAAATTCCATCTTTAAAAAAAAAGATTAATTTTTTTTTTAAAAAAGAGCCATAATAAACAAAACTAAAATAAAAATAAAATAGATTGATTTTGTTAAATCTGACCCATAAGTACATGTCTTTTTTTTTTTGAGATGGAGTCTCAAAAAAAATAATATCTTTACATATTATATAATATATAATTATATATATATATTATTATACATATAATATCTTATATACTTTGGATATTTTGGTGCCTGCCACCACACCCGGCTAATTTTTTGTATTTTTTAGTAGAGATGGGGTTTCACCAGGTTGGCCAGGTTGGTCTCAAACTCCTGACCTCAGGTGATCGGTCTCCTAAAGTGCTGGGATTACAGGCGTGAGCCACTGCGCCTGGCCAAGTACATGCCTTTTTAATGTTCCTTGTGACAAAACAGGAAGTACACATGAAGCGTTTTTACTGTGTATCAAAGTACCATCATTGTTGGAAGAAAAGCATAGCTGTGAACTGAGCTAGTCTTTTTACCCTGTGGAATAACATTTTCACTGAAAAAGCAAACAGTAAATCATGATTATTTACATTTGTATATACTGTACAAACAGTTTCTCAAAAATAAAGTACGCCTGTCACTTTAGGGTAAACAACTGACAGTGTTTGTTGCCAATAATAAAATTTGAGCTTTCAAACAAAAATCAGAATTTAAAAAAACTTGTATCTACCCTATAACCTAAGACTCTTCTGATATATGGTGGTGATATTAACAAATGTAATATTTGCAGGAAGTGATAACATTTGGAATATCTACACAACTAAAATACATGATGTTACAAAATCATGCATGACTAAAAGATCCATTTGAAATGTAAGACCAATGAAATGAATTTTACTGTAACACAGTATAAAAACGTTTCAGATCCTAGACCTGTAAGAAAGTGTCGGCAGGGTGTGGTGGCTCACGCAGTAATTCCAACACTTTGGGAGGCAGAGGCGGGCAGATCACGAGGTCAGGAGATCGAGACCATCCTGGCTAACGGGGTGAAACCCCGTCTCTACTGAAAATACAAAAAATTAGCCGGGCGTGGTGGCAGGCGCCAGTAGTCCCAGCTACTCAAGAGGCTGAGGCAGGAGAATGGCATGAATCCAGGAGGCGGAGTTTACAGTGAGCCGAGATCACGCCACGGCACTCCAGCCAGGGTGACAGAGCGAGACTCCGTCTCAAGAAGACAAACAAAAAAAGAAAGTGTACCGTTTGGTATAGTATCAAAGAAGAATATCCACCATTATTATCTAAAAAGGCCATTAATATAATTCTGCCTTTCAACTACATGTCTTTATGAAGCCAGATTTTCATCGTTATGTGTCAACCCAAAAAAAATCACAACAGAATGAAGACAAAAGATATGAGAATCCAGCTGTCTCCTATTAAGCCAGACATTCAAGACATTTACATTTGGAAAACGTAAAATAATTTTTTCTTTAAAACATAATTATTTTTCATAAAAATTTATGTTAACATGTAATAGGTTTAGTATCATTTCAGCTTTAATTCTTAATAAAGTAAATAATGATAGAAATAACTCACATGCACAAAAGCTCCTAAATATTTTTTAAGAATATAAAGGGGTCACTGTTTTCATAGGGCATTCAACATGATTTATTTATTTTGGGTCCTGATACCTCTGTCTTGGATCCCCAAGTGTCACTCCCTCCCAGCATTCCCCTCTCACCACCCACCCCCAGTATCACTCAGCTGAGGCGATTTCAGGGACTAGTAGGGACACAAAGGGCTGAATGATTGGAACGGTGGTGTGCTGCTAGAGGTGGCAGACAGCCAGGGCGTCCCCAGTGCCTTTCTGCTCTGGAACATTCTGTGACCCGTCGGGGTGTTTTGAATGGTAGCACCCCCTCTTCCACATGGTTATTTATTAAATGACCACTTCCTGTTGCAAAAAAAGTAATAAAAGAGTATAAAGCAGTCTTGAGACTAAAAAGTATAAGAATTATTCCTCTAGTATGTCTTCTAGGAGATGTACCATTTCCAGGTTTAAATAAAGAAAATACAGAGAAATAAGAGAGAGGCATCACACATCAACCATATATAGCTTGCCCCCCAACTACCAGGCATCTAACTTTTGCCCTTGAAGAAACTGTAGAATGCCTAATTTTTTCTAAGCTAAGATGTCCCAATGTAGCCAATTACAATACTGAGGAATTACTTTCTTATATATATCTGAAAATCTCAACTTTGCCAACTCAGTCCTAGAGTTCCTTATTAGGAACCAATGTTTTACCAGTTGATCATCACCCACAGTTCACAAGTAAAGCAGGAAAACAGGCCTTCCTCTTCCTTTAGGCAGTAACTTTCCATTTTTTTCTGTTGCTGGCTGTGCTGTCATTTGTCCCACGTTGTCCCCCTACACCCCCACCAATTAAAGGGACAAAGGTCAAAATATGGAGAATGTTATAGAAGCAATACAAGAAACTTGGCACTGTCAGCCTTGGAGAAAGAAAAAAAAAGAGAGCGAGAACTAAGAAAACAGCGAAGTAGTAAAGTGTAGTGGGGTTAAAAGTGTGTTATGGAGCCTAAAAAATTAGTTAACACCCCAGTGTTGCAGCTTATAAACTGCATCATCTCAGGCAAACTATATAAGCATCCTGGTCCTCATTTTCTCAGCTATAAAACTCAAATATGAATGTCTGCTTCATAGGGCTGTAGTAAAGTTAAAATGTATTAATGTATGCAAAGCAATGCTATGGTCTAAATGTTTATACACCCCCAAAATTCATGTGTTGAAGCCTATTCCCCAGTGGGATGATATTTGAAGGTGGAGTCTTTCGGAGGAAATTAGGTTATAAGGCTGAAACCCTCATGAATGGGATTGTGCCCTTATAAGAAGATACTTGAGAGGCTTCTTCCTGTCTCTACTCTCCACCATTTAAGAATAAAATGAGAAGACAGACATCTGCAAACCAGGAAGTACACCCTTACCAGACACCAGATATGCTAGTAGCTTGATCTTAGACTTCTGAGGCTCCAGAACTTTGAGATTTAAGCTACACAGTTTCTGGCATATTTTATATAACAGCCCGAACTAAGACAATTACTTTGTACAGTGTCCAGAACAGATGAAATCAATAAAACAATTTCATCCAAAATGGAAATTACTGAGGAATTAAGATATCTGTATCTCTGAAAAGGTTATTAGATAAATTGTTAAATAACAGAATTGATAGACAGAAACCAAGTATCTCAGCTTGGCCCAAGTATCTTTAGTCTGTCATAACAAGATAACCAGAGACTGGGTGGCTTAAATGACAGAAATTTATTTGTTACAATTCTGGAGGCTGGAAATATGAGATAGAGATGTTAGCGTGTTCAGGTTCTGCTGAGGGCCCTGTTCTGAGCTTGCAAATGGATGCTTTCTTCCTTTGTCTTCACATGGTGGAGGGCAAGAAAGTGAGAGAGCAAGCATGCTCTGGTGTCTTTCTATGAGGGAACTAATCCCATCATGAGAGTCCCACCCTCATGCCTTCATCTAAGCCTAATTATCTCCCAAAGGCCACATATCCAAATACTGTCATGTTGGGGACTGGGGCTTCAATATATTAATTTTGGGGGATATAGTTCAACCCATAGCATCAAATTTTATTTTAAAAAAAAGATGATGATGATAAATAAGTTGGGAGGTCCTGGTTAGCAACAGAAACAAAATGTGAATTTTGCATTTGTTACTATGAAGATGTAACTAGGCTGCATTACTGAGGAGAACAGAATACTTGTTTTTCCAGGACTGACTAGTGGATATGAAAAGGAAAAGGGGAACTGTTTTCTCTTCCTATAGTCTTAACTTAATGTAGTTAAGAAACATTCTAAAGAAAGGAGGAGGAGGAACCCTTCTAAGACAGCCCTGCTAATATTTAGGGAACAAGTGAGGAAGTGGTATTTAGTTGGCCTAGTGACAGGAACAAAAACTTTCTAAACATTTGGACCACCATATGACCTGGCCACCTGATTTAATAGCAACTATGGCAACTACATTGGCCCTTAAAGTTCTTCTCCTTTTTAAAAATCCCTCCTATCCTGTTGACTTTCCATGGTGACTGATATTACTATATTGTAATTATTTTCATTTCCACTATTTTGTTTACTTAAAAATATTTTTTTTTAATTTTTATGAGTATATAGTAGGTATGTAACATTTATAGAGTAAATGAAATATTCTGATACAGGCATATAATGCATAATCATCACATCAGGGGAAATGGGCTACACATCACCTCAAGCATTTATCATTTCTTTGTGCTAAAACATTCCAATTATACTTATTTATTTATTTATTTATTTAGAGATGGAGTTTTGCTCTTGTTGCCCAGCCTGGAGTGCAATCGCACAATCTTGGCTCGCCGCAACCTCCGCCTCCTGGGTTCAAGCGATTCTCCTGCCTCAGCCTCCCGAGTAGCTGGGATTACAGGCATACACCACTATGCCAGAATAATTTTGTATTTTTAGTAGAGACAGTGTTTCTCCATGTTGGTCAGGCTGGTCTTGAACTCCCGACCTCATGTGATCTGGCCGCCTTGGCCTCCCAAAGTGCTGGGACTACAAGCGTGAGCCATGGCGCCTGGCCTCTTTTAGTTATTTTTGAATGTACATTATTGTTGACTAATCACCCTGTTGTGCTATCAAATACTAGATCTTATTCATTCTATCTACCCATATTTTTGTACCCATTAACCATCCCTACTTTCCCCCTGCTCCCCATCTCCACCACCCTTCCCAGCTGCTGGTAACCATCATTCTATTCTCTCTCTCCATTCGTTCAATTGTTTTAACTTTTAGCTCTTACAAACGAGTGAGAACATGTGAAGTTTGTCTTTCTGTGCCTGGCTAATTTCACTTAACATAATGTCCTGCAGTTCCATCCATATTGTTGCAAATGACAGGATCTCACTTTTCTTTTTATGGTTGAATAGTACTCCATTGTCTATATGTACTAACTTTTCTCTATCCATTCATCTGTCAATGGATACTTTGGTTGCTACTAAATCTTGGCAATCATGAATAGTGCTGCAATAAACATGGGAGTGCAGGAATCTTTTCAATATTAAAAAATATTTAATTGTGGTAAAACCATACAATATAAAACCCCAACAATATTTACGTGTACAGTTGAGTAGTATCAACTGTTTCACATCGTTGTGTAAAAAACTCTCTAGAACTTTTTTTTTTTTCCTGAGACGGAGTCTTGCTCTTGTCACCCAGGCTGGAGTGCAATTGTGTGATCTCGGTTCACTGCAACGTCTGCCTCCCAGATTCAAGCAATTCTCCTGCCTCAGCCTATCAAGTAGTTGGAATTACAGGTGTGCGCCACCACACCCAGCTAATTTTTTTGTATTTTTAGTAGAGACGGGGTTTCACCATGTTGGCCAAGGTCTCAAACTCCTGAGCTCAGGTGATCCATCCACCTTGGCCTTACAAAGTGCTGGGATTACAGGCATGCACCACTGCACCTGGGCTCTAGAACTTTTTTATCTTGCAAAACTGAAATGCTATACCCACTTAACACTAACTCCTTATCCCTTTGTCCTCCTGGTCCTTGGCAACGACCATTCCATTTTCTCTATGAATTTGACTACTCAAGGTACCACGCATAAGTGGAATTACACAGTAATTTGTCCTCTTGACTCACTTATTTCACTCAGCATAATGTCCTCAAAGTTCCAGTAACAGGATTTCCTTCTTTAAGGCTGAATGATATTCCAACATATGTATACACTGTATTTTCTTGGTTTGTTCATCTGACAATGAACACTGGAACTGCTTTCACCTCTTGGCTATTACAAAAATGCGACAATGAACATGGGTGTACAAGCATTTCTTTCAAATCACACTTTCAATTCTTTTGAATTTATATGCATAAGTAGTATTGCTGGGTCATATGGTAATTCTATTTTCAGGTTTTTGAGGAACCTCCATACTGCTTTCCATTGAGGCTGCACCATTTTATATTCCCACCAACAGTGCACAAGGGTTCCAATTTTCTCCACATCCTTGCCAACACTTGTTATTTTCTGGTGTTCTGTTGTGTTTTTAACAGTGACCACTCATGGGCATAAGCCTCATTACAGTTTTGCTCTGCATTTCTCTAATGATTGGAGATGTTGAGCATCTTTTCATATGCTTGTTGGACATTGGTATATCTTCTTTGGAGAAATATCTATTCATGTCCTGTGCCTATTTTTTAACATTAGTTTTTTGTTGTTGTTGAGTTGTAGGAGTTCTTTATATATTTTGAATATTAACCCTTTTCAGGTATGTAATTTGTGAATCTTTTCTCCCAAGTGTTGCCTTTTCACTCTGGATATGGTTTGGGGCTGTGTCCCCAACCAAATCTCATCTTTAATTCCCACGTGTTCTGGGAGGGACCCAGTGGGAGGTAATTGAATCATGGGGACAGGTCTTTCTCATGCTGTTATCATGATAGTGAATAAATCTCATGAGATCTGATGGTTTTAAAAAGGGAGTTTCTCTGCAAAAGCTCTCTTCTTGTGTCTACCACCATTTGTGATGTGCCTTTCACCTTCCTCCAAGATTGTGAGGCCTCGCCAGCCATGTGGAACTGTAAGTCCACTAATCTTCTTTATTTTGTAAATTGCCCAGTCTTGGGTATGCCTTTATCAGCAGTGTGAAAATGGACTACTACAGTAAATTGGAACCAGGAGTGGGGTGCTGTGGAAAAGATACCTAAAAATGTGGAAGTGACTTCGGAACTGGGTAACAGGCAGATGTTGGAACAGTTTGGAGGGCTCAGAAGAAGACACGAAAATGTGGGAAAGTTTGGAACTTCCTAGAGACTTGAATGGCTTTGACCAAAATGCTGATAAGGACATGGAAAATGAAATCCAGGATGAGATGGTCTCAGATGGAGATGAGGAACTTGTTGGGAACTGGAGTAAAGGTGACTCTTGTTATGTTTTAGCAAAGGGACTGGCAGCGTTTTGCCCCTGCCCTAGAGATTTGTGGAACTTTGAACTTGGGAGAAATGATTTAGGGTAACTGGCAGAAGGCATTTCTTTCTTTCTTTCTTTCTTTTTTTTTTTGAGATGGAGTCTCGCTCTGTCACCCAGGCTGGAGTGCAGTGGAGCGATCTCGGCTCATTGCAAGCTCTGCCTCCTGGGTTCATGCCATTCTCCTGCCTCAGCCTCCCCAGTAGCTGGGACTACAAGTGCCTGCCACCACGCTCGGCTAGTTTTTTTTTGTATTTTTTAGTAGAGATGGGGTTTCACCATGTTAGCCACGATGGTCTCGATCTCCTGACCTCATGACCCGCCTGCCTCAGCCTCCCAAAGTGCTGGGATTACAGGCGTGAGCCACCACACTCAGCCGGCAGAAGTCATTTCTAAGCAGCAAAGCATTCAAGAGGTGACTTGGGTGCTCTTAAAGACATTCAGTTTTAAAAGGGAAACAGAGCATAAAAGCTTGGAAAATTTGCAGCCTGACAATGCAATAGAAAAGAAAATCCCAGGCCGGGCGCAGTGGCTCATGCCTATAATCCCAGCACTTTGGGAGGCCGAGGCGGGTGGGTTGCTTGAGGTCAGGAGTTCAAGACCAGCCTGGCCAACATGGCGAAACCCGGTCTCTACTAAAAATACAAAAATTAGCCGGGTGTGGGGGCTCACACCTGCAATCCTAGCTACTCAGGAGGCTGAGGCAGGAGAATCACTTGAACCCAGGAGGCGGAGGTTGCAGTGAGCCAAGATGGGGCCACTGCACTCCAGCCTGGGATACAGAGCAAGACTCCATCCCTCCCCCGCAAAAAGAAAAGAAAATCCCATTTTCTGAGGAGAATTTCAAGCTGGCTGTAGAGATTTGCATAAGTAACAAGGAGCTGAATGTTAATCACCAAGACAATGGGGAAAATGTCTCCAGGGCATGTCAGAGATCTTTGAGGCAGCCCCTCCCATCACAGATCCAGAGGCCTATGAGGAAAACGTGGTTTTGTGGGCTGGGCCCAAGGTCCCTGTGCTGTGTGCTTGGTCCCCTGCATCCCAGCCACTCCAGCCGACTGAAAGGGGTCAACATAGAGCTCGGGCCGTAGCTTCAGAGGGTGCAAGCATCAAGCCTTGGCAGCTTCCACATGGTGTTGAGCCTGCGAGTGCAGAGAAGTCAAGAATTGAGGTTTGGAAACCTCTGCCTAGATTTCAGAAGATGTATGGAAACATCTGGATGCCCAGGCAGAAGTTTGCTGTAGGAGCAGGGTCTTCATGGAGAACCTCTGCTAGGGCAATACAGAAGGGAAATGTGAGGTCAGAGCCCCCACACAGAGTCCCTACTGGAGCACCGCCTAGTGGAGCTGTGAGAAGAGGGCCACCGTCCAGACACCAGAATGACAGATTCACCAACAGCTTGCACCATGCACCTGGAAGACCCACAGACACTCAACAGCAGGCCATGAAAGCACCTGGAAGGGAGGCTGTATCCTGCAAAGCCACAGGAGTGGAGCTGCCCAAGACCATGGGAACCCTCCTCTTGCATCGGTGTGATCTGGATGTCAGACATGGAGTCAAAGGAGGTCATTTTGGAGCTTTAAGATTTGACCGCCCTGCTGAATTTCGGACTTGCATGGGGCCTGTAGCCCCTTTGTTTTGGCAAGTTTCTCCCATTTAGAATGGCTGTATTTACCCAATGCTTGTACCCCCATTGTATCTAGGAAGTAATTAACTCGTTTTGATTTTACAGGCTCATAGGCAGAAGAGACTTGCCTTGTCTCAGTTGAGCCTTTGGACTGTGGACTTCTGAGTTAATGCTGAAATGAGTTAAGACTTTGGGGACTGTTGGGAAGGCATGATTGGTTTTGAAATATGAGGACCTATGAGACTTGGGAGGCCAGGGGCGGAATGATATGGTTTGGTTGTGTCCCCACCCAAATCTCATCTTGAATTCCTACGTGTTGTGGGAGGGACCTGGTGGGAGGTAATGAATCATGGGAGGCAGGTCTTTCCCATGCTGTTCTCATGATAGTAAGTCTCACAAGATCTGGTGGTTTTAAAAGGGGGGTTTCCCTGCATAAGCGCTCTTCTCTTGTCTGCCGCCATGTGAGATGTGCCTTTCACCTTCAGCCATGATTGTGAGGCCTCCCCAGCCACATGGAACTGTAAGTCCAATAAATCTCTTTCTTTTGTAAATTGCCCAGTCTCGGGTATGTCTTTATCAGCAGTGTAAAAACTAATACAACTCTGCTGGCTTCTTTCTTTGAGGTGTAGAAGATTTTAAGTTTGATGCAGTTCCATTTGTCTATTGTTGCTTTTGTTGCCTGTGCTTTTAGTATCACAGTCAGGAAATCACTGTGAAATCCAATGTCATAAAGATTTTCCCCTATGTTTTCTTTTAGGAATTTTTTAGTTTTAAATCTTGTGTTTAGGTCATGAATCCATTTTGAATTATTTTTTGTACATGGCATAAGGTAAGGGTCTAACCTCATTCTTTTGCATGTGAATATCCGGTTTTCCCAGCATAATGGTTAAAGAGACTATCCTTTCTCCACTGACTGGTCTTGGCACCCTTTTCAAAGATCACTTGACCATATATATGAGAGTTTATTTTTGGGCTCTCCATTCTGTTCCATGGGTTTTTGTGTGTGTCTTTATGCCAGTACCACTTTATGCTATTCTGATTACTGTAGCTTTGTAATATGTTTTGAAATCAGGGAGTGTGAGACTTCCAACTTCGTTCTTTTTTCTCAAGATAGTTTTGGCAATTTGGGGTCCCTTGAGATTCAATATGAATTTTAAGATGGTTTCTTCTACTTCTGCAAAAATTGCTGTTGGAATTTTGATAGGAACTGCATTTAATTCATAGATCTCTTTAGATTATATGGACATTTTAACAATTTTAAGTCTTTTAATCATGAACACTGGATATCTTTCCATTTCTTTGTGTCTTAAATTTCTTTCAATAATGTTTTATAGTTTCCAGTGCATAGGTCTTTCACCTTCTTGGTTAAGTTTATGCCTAAGTATTTTTATTCTTTTTGGTACTTTGCAAATGAAATTGTTTTCTTAATTTCTTTCTGGAATTGTTCACTGTTAGTGTATAGAGACATATTTGCAACTTTGCTATGTTTATTAGTTCTAACAGTTTTTCTGGTGTGGAATATTTAGGGTTTTCTAGATAAAACATACATTAGCAAACAGAGATAATGTTACTTCTTCCTTTCCAATGTGGATGCCTTTTATTTCTTTTTCATTCCTAGTTACTCTGGCTAGGAGTTCCAGTACCATGTTGAATAGAAGTGGCAAGAGTAGGCAATCTTGCCTTGTTCCTGATCTTAGAGGGAAAGCTTTCAGGTTTTCACTATCAAGTGTGATATTAGTTATTAGTTATTGTCTCTTCATAAATGGCATTTATTGGGTTAAGGTAGTTTAGTTCTATTCCTAGTTTGTTGAGTGTTTTTATCATGAAAGGATGATGAATTTTGCCAAATACTTTTTCTGCATCAATTGAAATGATCATGTAGTTTTTAACCTTCATTCTTTTAATGTAGTGTATTATATTAACTGATTCTTGTATGTTGAAACGTCCTTACATTCCAGGGATAGATCCCACTTGGTCATGGCGTGGAATCCTTTTAAAATGCTGTTGAATTAAGTTTCCTTGTACTTTCTTGAGAATTTTTTTAATCAATATTTATCAGGGAGCTTGATCTGTTTTTTTTTCCTTGTAGTATTTTTGTCTGGCTTTGGTATTAACGCTGGCCTCATAAAATGAGCTTGGAAGTTTTCTCTCCTCTTCAATTCTTTGGAGTTTGTTAATTGTTCTTTCAATGTTTGGTAGACTTTTCCAGTGAAGTCATCTGTTCTTGCACTTTTCTTTGTTGGAAGGTTTTTCATTATTAATTCAATCTCCATACTAGTTATAGGTCTGTTTAATTTTTTTCTTGTGATTCAGTTTCAGTAGGTTGTATGTTTCAAGGAATTTATTCATTTCTTCTAGGTTATCCAATTTGTTGGCACATAATTCTTCCTAGTAGTCTTTTATGATCCTTTAAATTTCTTATTTCTGTGGCATCAGTTGTAATGTCTCCTCCTTCATTTCTGATTTTAGTTATTTGAGTATTTTCTCTTTTTAGTCTGGATAACGGTTTGTTAATTTTCTTAATCTTTTCAAAAAAAAAACAACTTGCATTGATTCTCTCTATTGCTTTTCTATTCTCCATTTTGTTTATTTATGTGGTATTCTTTATTATTTCCTTCCTTCTCCTAACTAGTATGTTGTTTAATTTCCATACATTTGAGACTCTTCTCATTTTCCTTCCACTATTGATTTCTGGCTGGATTCCATTTTGGTCACAGAAGATACCTGGTATGATTACAATCTTCTTAAATTTGTTGAGACTTGTTTTATGGCTTAACATAAGCTCTATCCTTGAGCATAATCTATGTGCACTTGAAAAGAATGTGTATTCTGCTGATGTTAGGTGGAGTGTTCTGTATATGTCTGTTAGGTCCAACTGTTCTACAGTGTTGTTCGAGTCCTTTGTTTCCTTATTAGTCTTATGTCTGGTTGTTCTACCTTTATTGGAAGTAGAATATTGAAGTCTTCTACTATTATTATATTGTCTGTTTTTAGAATATAGGGCCAGGCATGGTGGCTGACGCCTGTAATCCCAGCACTTTGGGAGGTTGAGGCGGGTGGATCACCTGAGGTCAGGAGTTCAAGACCAGCCTGACCAATAGGGTGAAGCCCCATCTCTACTAAAAATACAAAAATTAGCCAGGTGTGGCGGTGGGTGCCTGTAGTCCCAGCTACTCGGGAGGCTGAAACAGGAGAACTGCTTGAACCCAGGAGGTGGAGGTTGCAGTGAGCCGAGATTGTGCCACTACACTCCAGCCTGGGTGACAGAGTGAGACTCCATCTCAAAAAAAAAAAAAAAAGAAGAAGAAGAATATAAATGTGAAAAAATTACAGAATGCTGAATTTGACCTAACACAGAATTTTAAAAAAACACGGTGCATTATTTTTTCTGAGAAACAGTATTTGAATGTTTACGACTAAAGCATTACATAAATAGAATTATCATCCGGAATATCACAACATAATAGGCATCCATTAACTTATGCAAAACAGATACAATATTGGACTGTAAGTCAAAATAATTGGTTTCTAATCTTAGATTTGACCAAATCTTTAATGTCTTTGCTTTAATCTGTTAAGACATATGAAACAGTATAAATGAAAGCAGAATAAACTGAAGAGACTATAATTTTAATAATCCTTCAAATGAGATACAGACAATTAGCTAAGAAGCTGAGTTCCAAAACGACAATTCCTATGCTGGCTTCAGACAACAGGCAATGACTCTGCTTCACACATTATGAATACTCTATAAACATAAGCAAGATTCAAGAAAGGATAGAACAAACCTTTAGAGTACCTAGACTACACGTAGGTACTCAAAAAAATTCTGTTGAACTGAATTGAAAAAACTAAATGCGCTACAACAGACCACTTTTTACAAAGGGCACAACATGCAACTATATACACAAATACATAAGGAAATTAGCACTTACCAAAAGACTGTAAAACTGCTTAATCAGAACAGATACTACTCTCAGCAAACGCATGCAGATAGGAAAATATGGTTTTTCAACTGGTGCTGGAGAAGATGAGGTGCTGGAACCTTGTCTGAACTTTATATTTGGAGAAAAGAGCTTTATCACAAGAGGACATACCCTTTCTTTGAGGAGGAAACTAAATTCTTGGTGCTATTTGCAAGGAAAAAAGAAAGAAAAAAATAATTAACTTTATTTGTACTTAATACTTCCAAAAACACAGTCTCACTAGGAAACAAAACTTCTTAATAACCAGTATTAATAATTTAGCTTTACTATAAGTTTATATGTTTTATTATTTTATAGTTTACGCACAATTTTGAAATTCGTATTGCACTTAGAGAGTCTAAGGTCAGAACAGTCATCAGAGCCCAGCATAGTGGCTCATGCCTGTAATCTTAGCATTTTGGGAGCCCAAGGTGGGAGGATAGCTTGAGCCCAGGAGTTCAAGATGAGCCTTGGCAAAACAGTGAGACTCCATCTCTACAAAAAAAATTAAAAAATTAGCCAGGTATGGTGGCACGCACCAGTAGTCCCAGCAATTTGGGAGGCTGAGGTGGAAGGAACACTTGAACCCAGGAGGTCAAGGCTGCAGTTAGCCGTGATCATGCCACTGCCCTCCAGTCTGGGTAACAGAGCAAGATGCTGTCTCAAATAATCATAATCATAATCATAATCAGTATTACAAGAAGTTTTTGAAAGAATATAAGTTTAAAAGGAACATTTAATGATTTTAGAAGTAAGTAATTGGTGATTAACAGAAACTTCAATTTTAGCTGGACACTGGTAATTAAAAACATAAACAGAAGAAAGAAAATACAGCCAGGCATGGTGGCTCAGGCCTGGAATCTTAGCACTTTGGGAGGCTGAGATGGGAGGATTGCTGGCATCCAGGAGTTCAAGACCAGCCTGAGCAACACAGGGAGACCCTGTCTCAACAACAACAACAACAAAAATTAGCTGGATATAGTGGTGCCTCCTGCGGTCCCAGCTACTTGGGTGACTAAAGTGGGAGGATCACTTGAGCCCAGGGAGGTTGAGGCTGCAGTGAGCCATGATCACACCACTGTACTCCAATCTGGGCAATGGAGCAAGACCCTATCTCACACAGAAAAAAAAAAAAGAAAAAGAAAAAGAAAAAAGAAAGAAAAGAAAACAAGCTATACAAACTCAAGCAAATAGTTTAAAATAGGTAGCTGAGGAGAGAAAATTTCCTAAGAGAGTATAAGTTATATAATTCACTGATTTCATTTTTCAAAGAACAATTCCATTCATGCAGAAGATTTAATAATTAACTTAAAATTTTGTTCTGCTTGGACTGCTTGAACAGAACATGATGAGCTGATAAAACATGCAATGGCAAACAAGCATAATTATTTTACAAGTCAGGGAATCTTGCAAATAATTCTTAAATTTTACTTATAGCCATGGTATATCATAAAGAAAGCACTCCTTAACCTGTTAATTCCCTGCCTATATTAGCCAAGAGTAATCCCATTTCACTGACAATATAAGGCCTAGGCTGTATTTAATGACTAGCCTCAAATACATTTTGTTGTTGTCATCCAAATTTCACTGAAGCTATAAACAAAGAAAATATCACAAAAATCATTTGACCTAATCCTTTCATCTTACAGAGAAGGAAAATAAGGCACAGAGCAGGTTGTTTGCTCAGAATCACAAAATTTTTTAAATGTATCTTTTTTTTTTTTTGAGATGGAGTTTCACTCTGTTACCCAGGCTGGAGTGCAATGGTACAATCTCGGCTCACTGCAACCTCCACCTCCCAGGTTCAAGCAATTCTCCTGCCTCAGCCTCCCAAGTAGCTGAGATTACAGACATCTGCCACCACACCTGGCTAATTTTTGTATTTTTAGTAGAGACGGGGTTTCACCATGTTGGGCAGGCTCTCCTGACCTCAGGTGATCTGCCTGCCTCAGCCTCCTCCCAAAGCGCTGTGATTACAGGCATAAGCCACTAAACGTATGTTTTAAAAAATCAGATTCTCAAGAAAGAAAATCCAAAAACACAGATAAATAAAAAGATAAAAATAAAAGTCTTGCCTAATCTCACCTCCTGGAGATAAGTGGACTAGTCATTGTTACTTCTGCATGTATACTCTTCCAGACTTTTATAAATATTTTAATATACTTTTTCATTCTTTCCTCCAAAATGAGATCTTAAGAGATAAGTGATTTGAAATTATACTCTCACATCTACAGTTAGTTTATCTGACTGCCAAAATGAAAAGTAAAGTCCACTTTCATATTTTACAAAAATAATTATTTTGTATATTGGTTAAAATATATAAACATACCGGCAATTCTTAAGCAATTCTTAAAAGTTTTACCAATTCACTGTTTCCCTCTCACTGCTCAACTCACTACAGTTGGGTTTCCTCCAGCACTATCACCAACCATCCCAACTCTACTTCTCCACTTCTCATTATACTCATCATGATCTCTGTGGCCAAAGCAAACATTTTCCAGTCTTTCCAGTTTTCATCTTATCAGATCTCTTTGTTTTTGTTTTGTTTTTTTCTGTTTTTGAAATAGGGTCTTGCTCTGTCACCCGGGCTGGAGTGCAGTGGTATGATCATGGCTCACTGCAGCCTTGACCTCCTGGGGTCAAACGATCCTCCCACCTCTCAGCCTCCCAAGTAGCTGAGACTACAGGCATGTGCCACCAGGCCCAGCTGATTTTTTTTTTTTTTAATTTTTCGTAGAGACAAGGTCTCACTATGTTGCCCAGGCTGGTCTTGAACTCCTGAGCTCAGGCCATCTGACTGCCTCAGCCCCACAAAGAGCTAAGATTACAGGTGTGAGCCACTGCGCCTACCAGATCTCTGTGAACCACCTGATATAACTGATTACTTGCTTCATCTTGAAACTTTCTTTGCTTTTGCCTTTTATTATGTCACACTCTCTTAGATTTGTTCCTGCCTTCTGGCCTTGTGTTCTCAGTCTCTTGTATATGCTCATCTTCAACTGTTTAATGTTGAGCTTCCTCAGAGTTCCAGAGTACCATGCCCTTGCTTTGTACTCTAGGTTCTTACCACAGAAAATCTCATTCACTCCCATATCTTCAATTAGCAACTATATGCCAGGAACATTTAAATTTATAATTTCAGCCCCAAACCTTGAAATGCATAAGTCCAACTAACATTTTGCATGTCTCACAGATACCTTGAAATTAGTATATATATGAATAATGTGTCCTTTGTGATAAAAATTCTGCCCATGGAGTACTCCATCTTAGCAAATGGTTCACTGTTCAAGCCAGAAAGCTAGAAATCATCTTTGAGACTGCCTTTTTCATCTTCCACTACAACACTTCATTGAGGCAAAAGGCAAAGCTTCAATGCCCTTAAAGCTTATTTTTCTAGAAAAGAAGACATCCTTTCTCAGGGTCACTGCTCTTCAAATTCCTTCTGTGTGGAGTATTCTTTTCCTGTTCTCTCTATATCTCCTAACTACTCTTAATCCTTCATTTACAAGCTTAAGTATCCTATCCTTGATTTATCACCAACTCTCCACCAGGTCTGGTCCCGTTATTCATTTCCTAACACTTTTAATACTTTTCCTTCACAGTACTCATCAAGCCTTATCAACTCAGTTAAAATCTGTCTCCCCATTAGAATTGTAAGTGCCACAGGGCAAAGATTTTATCAGTCTTATTTAACTTCTGTATACTTGGCATAAAACTTAAGTGACTGGTAAATTTTGATTGCATATGTGAATGATGAGTTAAAAAAAGAAACAAATACGTATCTCTGGAAGAAAATTGTACAGGATGAAATTCTAGGATCTTACACAGAGAATTCTTCCCCTTCCATGCTTTACAGCAGGAAGAATAAAGTAAATTTTCTAAGTATAATAAATCCATAAAAACAGGCCGGGTGCGGTGGCCCACGCCTGTAATCTCAGCACTTTGGGAGGCTGAGGTGGGCAGATCACGAGGTCAGGAGATCGAGACCATCCTGGCCAACACGGTGAAACCCCATCTCTACTAAAAAAAATACAAAAAATTAGCCGGGCGTGGTGGCGGGCACCTGTGGTCCCAACTACTCGGGAGGCTGAGGCAGGAGAATGGCGTGAACATGGGAGGCGGAGCTTGCAGTGAGCCGAGATCATGCGACTGCACTCCAACCTGGGCGACAGAGCAAGATGCTGTCTCAAAAAAAAAAAAAAAAAGAAAAGAAAAGAAAAAAATCTGTAAAAACGGTTTCAAATCTTTTCCTATGAAGTCAGAAAACATGACCCAAACATAAAAATTTTAAATTCAAATTCATTAACCAATTCATTCATTCAAATATTTATCAAACACCTGCCATATGCCAGGCACTATTACTAAAGACACCTATACAACAGTGTACTAAATCCCTGCCTCATAGAGTTTATCTTCTTGTAGGGAAAGAGAGAAAATAAAATAATACACAATATGTAATAATATATAATACACATATACGTGTGTGTGTGTGTCAGGCAGGAGGTGATAAGTGCTACAAAGAAAAAGAGAGATAAGAAAGATAATGGTGCTGATAGGAAAAAAGGTTGCCATTTTACACAACGTGGTTGGGGAAGATGTGTCTGGTAAGTTGACGATTGAGCAAAGCCCTCAAAAAAGTAAGACAGCAAGCCATATGAGGAAAAAAGGATTCCAGGCCCAGGAATAGTAAGTACAAAGGCCCTGGGGCACGAGTCTGCTTGAGGCACTTCACAAACAACAAGAAGGACAGTGTGGCCAAAGGGTGAGGGCAAAGAGAAGAGAGGAAAGAAACAAGATCAAGGAATACTGGGGACTAAACCATGAAAAGTTCCACAGAGCATAAGGACACTTCATCTTTTAGTCTGATAAGGAGGATATCAACTGAACCAATTTACAAGAGACTAAAAAGATTCGACTTTTTAAAAATACCATTGTGGATGTGGTGTCACAAACAACTATAGTAAGTGGTACAAGTATTAACATATATGCAAGCAGACCAGTTAGGAAGCCAACACAATAATTCAAGTAAGAGGTGATGGTAGCTTAGACTAGAATAATTGTAGAAGTGGTAAGAACTGATTGGATCCTGAATATATTTTGAAGGTGATGGTCGGGATGTGATGTGTATATAAAAAAGAGAGGATACAGAGAGAAACTAATTTGGATCAACATGAGTTCAAATCCCAACTCCATCACTTATAAACCATGAAACTGCAGACAAATTATTTAACCCTCTGGATGTTGTAGTTTCCTCATGTGTAAAACAGTGATAACTGGTATCTCAGGCATTTGGGAAGATAAAAGAGAATATTAATATGTAAGGAATCTGGCACATAGCACATAGAAGGCAGTCAAGAAATGACAGCTACTATGACTATTATTTATACAAGAGTGCTGGACAAATTATACCTAAATACTGCTTATCCTATTACACTACAAGAAAGGGAATCATCAGTGTATATACTGCTCGCCAAAAGCATTTAACAACTGCCTAATGTATACCAAAAATTATGAGCCATATAAAACTAATTTCAGCTCCACATCCTGGCCTAAAAAATCTTATATTACTGTAGCACTTGATTCACTCATTTTGTAGGTAAGAGCAAAGGATAAAATGGATTACTTAGGGAGGAAGCATGGTAGGGGAAGGCACTAGATGAGTAGTTAAAAAACCTAAATTACAGTTCAAGACCTAATAACTAAGGGACCCTGTGCAAGTCACTGACTTGATTTTGGACTTTAGTTGTTTTCCATTTAAGTTATGTGAAAACACATAGCTAGATATATAAGCAAGTAAAAATCAACAATTTCTTTAAGCTTTTAAATATTATACAAGTAGCTCACATACCACATTTCCTTCATAGACCCATACACTGGGAAATACCTGACTATTAATAGATTGTCTCTAGAGATTCTTTCTATTATTAAAATTCCAAAATGCTAAGGCACTAAAAAAAAAGTAATGTAACACTAAACTGTTATATGTCTAAAGTTTGAGGCTACAATTCTCCATATCTTTCTTTCCTTCCTTTTTTTTTTTTTTAATTTAAGAAATGGGGTCTCGCTCTCTCACCCAGGCTGGAATGTAGTGGCTTGAACACGGCTCAGTGCAAACTTGACCTCCTGGGCACAAGCGATTCTCCTGCCTCAGTCTCCTGAACAGCAGGGAATACAGACATGCACCACCATGCCTAGCTTTTTTAAAAAAATTTTGTTTTATTTATCTTTTTTGAGACAGAGTCTTGCTCTGTCGCCTAGGCTGGAGTGAAGTGAGGCGATCTTGGCTCACCGCAACCTCTGCCTCCCAGGTTCAAGCCATTCTCCTGCCTCAGCCTCCCGAGTAGCTGAGACTACAGGCACCCGCCATCACGCCTGGCTAATTTTTGTATTTTTAGTAGAGACAGGGTTTCACCATATTGGCCAGGCTGGTCTCAAACTCCTGATCTCATGACCTACCCACCTCGGCCTTCCAAAGTGCTGGGATTACAGGGGTGAGCCACCGCGCCCAGCCTTTTCATTTTATTTTCTGTATTGATGGTGTCTCACTATGTTGCCTAGGCTGGTCTCGAACTCCTGGGCTCAAGCAATCCTCCCACCTCAGCCTCCCAAAGTGTTGCAATTACAGGCATGAACCACCAACTCTGGCCTCTTTGCCACTTTTAAGGTGGAAAAAAAATACACGTTGCTTTCTTTAAAAATATCTGTAAAACAATTCAGATTAACTTTGTCACAAGATACTATAAATGGCTTACTTGTAAAAAGACCTGCGGAAAATCATTGAGGACTGACTCAAGTAATTCGAGGCCAAACGTCCGAGTCATTTCTGTCATGCCCACTAGCCAATAAGGAGCATCAGCATTAACCAACTGACAAAGATCCTGGGAAAATAAATCGAACAATTTCACATGCTAGAATTAAATGTGCTTTTCCAAACTCGCAGTTCATAAATCTTTAAAAAAAATCTATCTTCTTATATAATACATGTTTTTGCTCCTTAGAAACTAAGCACTGGTAATTCCAATTTTGACAAATTGTGTAATTGATAGATTATATAAGTAAACTTCTAAAGAATCATATAACTACTGACAACACAGAGACAGTAGACAGATAAATGATTAATCTAACATTATTTCAAATGAAAAACTAAGCTTTTAATCCGAAGTAATAATATTTTCAGTACAGATTAATCTTGTTTTACCTAAAATTATTTATTCATGACAAGTGATGTAAAAATCAGGTATCTATGTATCAAATTATACTACACAGACCAAATTTATTACTTAAATTTTCCTTTTTTAAAGAAACTTTTTTTTGTATGACTAGTTGTTTCTGATATACCTGTTTTCTAGTTCTGCATTTATTTCATTTTCTTAAAGTGAGTAATAACGTTTTATCATGTTAATTAGCTATAAAGTAAATATAAAAGTTGTTCTTTAGAACTATCTTAATACTACCTTTGACATATTTTCAAAAAAATTCACATTAAAAAAATTAGACATAAAATCCCCAACTAAAAAATTCACACAAAACTATATTTTAGAATAAAAATTACTTTTATCAACTAAAATACCTGGAAAAGCATATATGCATCTTTAGCACAAGGTTTGAGGGTACTGACAGATCTTCTGTTACTATTTCCTTGTACCAGTACTGGTTGTTCTATAATATCTGCAATCAAAACAGGATGGGTTTTAGGAGTTCATAATAGCCTTTAATAAATTATATATTCTGTTTAAAAGATAATGTTTAAAATAAATATTTGTTTATATAAGTTGAAGTTATAATTTCAGAATTAAAATTTCCAATGTTAACATATGCCTCCAAAACAAAAAAAAATGGGAATCTGTTTTTACACCAAATACCATAAAAATCACTCTTTGCTACCTTACATTCACTCTAATAAGCTGGGTATCTTTGTTCATACATTTGGTTTCCCAGTCTCCCATTCTTCAGCCCCTTTTTTTCATGGATTTAAAATTCACATGATCTTTAAATGTGCTTTTAAATATCAAACAAACATAAACGTTTACCATATGGTTAACTCCTCTACCATTTCACTATTTTCAAGAGAATTACTGCTTGATCTGCTGCTGTTACCATGTCAGTTACAGATACTCACCAGCTAAGAATCAGCTAGGATGGTGTTTCCCAACTCAGCATTTCTTTAACTACTAGTAAAAAATATCATTCTCTGTAAGTTATGACAGCCTGTTTTGAATAAATATTGACTTAACGACTACCTGAAAAGAAAAAAGTTCTAAGTATTTCTACCTTACTATAAAGTATTAAATGGCAGATTAGCCTTAGAGACAAACAACTAAAACTACCACTCCAGGAATTTTATTGAGGATATGAATGTATAAAACATTGAAACTGGGAAATTGCCCTGTGTTATTACAATATGATTTTGAATATTTTAACCAAATGGGACACATTATAATTCCTTAATATTTCAAACTACTAGAATTCTACCTGCATTTTTCCCCAAGAAAAAATAAAGAAAAAACAATATACCAAAGTGGAAATATTCTAATAAAGGTAGTCGATAAAAATATTTTAAAAAAAATTTTTTTTTTTTGAGATGGAGTCTTGCTGTGTCACCCAGGCTGGAGTGCAGTGGTGCAATCACAGCTCACTGCAACCTCTGCCTCTCGGGTTCAAGTGATTCTCCTGCCTCAGCCTCTGGAGTAGCTGGGACTACAGGTGCACACCACCACACCCAGCTGATTTTTTGTATTTTAGTAGAGACGGGGTTTCACCGTGTTGCCCAGGCTGGTCTCAAACTCCTGAGTCAGGCAATCCACCCACCTCAGCCTCCCAAAATGCTACGATTACAGGCATGAGCCACCGCACCCAGCCAAAAATTAATTTTTATATTATTTAAATGTTCTTAACACATGTTAGCAGATACAGACAAAAATTTACGAGGGAAGCCCACTCTTGGAAATTTATCCTAAAGAAATAATTCAAAAAGATACGTAGGAAACCACCCAAAACAGTTATAAAACACTGAACAGAATGCAAGTGTCCAATAGGAGACTAGTTCAGTTAAATTACAGAATGGCCATGAAATATAATGCAATCATTAAAATTTAAATTATGAGGACGAAGCAATAACATGAAAAATTCATAGAATGTAATGTTTGGTTAAAAAATACATATAATGCAATACTTGGTTTAAAATGTGAAATTATCATATTTAATACAAAATTATGCATACACTAGAAATAAACAAGGAAAACAAGGAGCCTATTCCTCAGGGGATCAAATTGTGAGGAATTTATTTTTTAAGTTGCCATTATAGACATAATAATGTTGATCATCTGAGCAAAGGCCGAAAGTTAATACAAATGAAATCATCCAAGAACCACCCACAAAGTAAAACAACTTCTAGCACTTTACCTCTGTGTCGTTCATCTTCAGCAACCATCCTCTCAAAAACAACAGTAACAACTTGTCGCACTGTAGCAGCAGCTGTATTATTTGTAATATTATCTTTTGTGAAGTGTAGTCGAAAACAAAGAACGATTGCCTGAAAACACAATTTTCATTTAGTGTGAAATAAGATTGAAAAGCAAAGCCATTATCTTTATTGAATAATTTATGTTTGGTTGTTTCAATCACCATTATGGAAAGTCCCACCATTTACAATAAAATATAAAATCCTCAGATTTTGATGTAATCCAAGTTGTCAGTAAATATATAGCCACAGAAGATTAGCTATGGTAATGTGAAACATACCTTTTAAAATTTGGTTTTTTAACATCTATATAACAATGTGTTATGCTTTTATTTCCCCAGAATGACGTGCTTTGCAAATAACATGAACTCAAAGTTTGTTGTATCACTTAATGATCTGGAGAAGCTATGTGATTGCTAAGCACATAAATAAATAAAATTATGAAACTTTTAAAAGGAGTCATTTTTTTCTTTTAAAACTCAAGTTTATTGAGATGTAATTTATATACAATAAATTATAGAATCCCTTAAACTTATATAATTTGATGAGTTCTGACAAACATGTGGGCCCATGAAACTATGGCCACAATTGACAAACAAAATATTTCCATCACCCCAAAAGTTTTCTTGTGCTCCTTTGCCACCCATCTCTTCCTCTACCCGTGGCCCCAGGCAAACACCCATGTGCTTTATTCACTGCAGATCAATGGACATTTTCTATGATTTTTATATGAACAGATTAATTCAGTATGTGCTCATTTGGGCCCACCTTCTTCCACTTAGAATAATATTTGTGAAATTCATCCACTTTGTTCTGTTTATCAGTAGTTTGTACCTTTTATTACCAAGCAGTATTCTATTGTACGAGTACACCATATTTTGCTTATCCATTTACCTGCTGGTGAATTTTCCAGGTTCTGACTATTGTTAAAAAAAAAAAAAAGCTGCTATGAACATTCATATATATAAGTCACTGTGAGGACATATGTTTTCATTTATCTTGGGTAAATATCTGGAAGTGAAATGGATGGGTCATCTGGTAAGAATAGGTTTAACTTTTTAAGAAACCGCCAGTTGGCTGGGCATGGTGGCTCACGCCTGTAAACCCAGCACTTTGGGAGGCTGAGGTGGGCAGTTCACTTGAGGCCAGGATTTGAAGGCCAGCCCGGCCAACATGGTGAAACCCTGTCTCTACTAAAAATACAAAAATTAGTTGGGTGTGGTGGTGCACACCTGTAATCTCAGCTACTTGGGAGCCTGAGGCACGAGAATTCCTTGAGCCTGGGAGGTGGAAGGTTGCAGTGAGCCAAAATTGCGCCACTGCACTCCAGCCCAGGCAACAGAGCAAGACACTATCTCAAAAAAAGAAAAGAAAAGAAAGAAACCGCCAGTTTCCCCAGTGGTTTTACAATTTTACACTTCTGCCAGCAGTATACGTGAATTTAGAACTATCCCTACAGCCTCCATAACACTTGGTACGGTCTTTTTTCATCGTAACTATTCTAATGGAAGCATAATACTATTTCCTTATGGTTTTAATTTGTGTCCCTAATAATAACACTAAACTTCTTTTCATGTGTTTGTCACCCATTTGAATATATTATTTTAATGAAGTGTCTGTTGAAACCATTTGTCCATACTTAATTGGGTTGTCTGTGTTATGAATGAATTTTTTTTATTATACTTTAAGTTTTAGGGTACATGTGCACAATGTGCAGGTTAGTTACATATGTGTACATGTGCCATGCTGGTGTGCTGCACCCATTAACTCGTCATTTAGCATTAGGTATATCTCCTAATGCTATCCCTCCCCCCTCCCCCCTCCCCCAACCCCACAACAGGCCCCAGAGTGTGATGTTCCCCTTCCTGTGTCCATGTGTTCTCATTGTTCAATTCCCACCTATGAGTGAGAATATGCGGTGTTTGGTTTTTTGTTCTTGCGATAGTTTACTGAGAATGATGATTTCCAATTTCATCCATGTCCCTACAAAGGACATGAACTCATCATTTTTTATGGCTGCATAGTATTCCATGGTGTATATGTGCCACATTTTCTTAATCCAGTCTATCATTGTTGGACATTTGGGTTGGTTCCAAGTCTTTGCTATTGTGAATAGTGCCGCAATAAACATACGTGTGCATGTGTCTTTATAGCAGCATGATTTATAGTCCTTTGGGTATATACCCAGTAATGGGATGGCTGGGTCAAATGGTATTTCTAGTTCATTATGAATGAATTTTAAGAGTTCTTTATATAGTCTAGATATAAGTCCTTTGTCAGATATTTGTATTTTCCCACATTCTGTGGCTTACTCAAGGATTTTAGTTTTTGTGCCCTAATAAATCTTTACCTACCCCAGTATCACAAAGATTTTCTCCTATTTATCCTTCCAAAAGTTTTCTACTTTTAAAAGAAGTCATTCTTGGAGAAAAACATAATGGTAGTTTTAGAATCAATGCCTATCACCTTAACTAAAAGACACAAGCCTTTGATATCGCTACTACTCTTTAGATTTCAACATAAAGGAAAGACACAGTACATAGTTATATAGAAGCCTTCATATTACTCAATTTTATACTATTTCTTTATACTTGATTTTTCTCATCCCCAATTATTGCATTTCCAAATTAACCAACATACTAAAATAAATCCTATAACCAGTTCTTATTTCTTTAGTAGATCAAATGAAAACATTTAATAAAACTTTAAATATATGCATCAGAACAATAATTTGATAGCTAGAAACCAAGAGGAATGATACACAAAAGGATATACAAAAATATATATAATATTTATATAGCTCATATAAGCCTAAAAGAATAAACTATTTGCAGTTAAAATCTCATTATGATCTAAGAACATCACTTGATATAGTATACACAGCTTAATGTGACAGTATACTGTACTTCTTTATAAGCCATGCAAATTATAATAAAGCTATTACTGAGAGTCTAAAAAATTCCTTAGACTATAATTCATTTACTGCTATGGTACTCTCTACTTTCTGTTCTTTAGAAATATTTCATAATAAAAAACTTTTTAAAAAGTGAAATAAATAATAGAATGGCTCTTACATGTTCCAAAGTGGGTGGGAGTGATGACAAAATGAGAACTAGCCATCATACATGCAATCTTATCTAGTATAAATGGTGAAAGAAGATTTGTCTAGCCATTTAAGAAACATATTTGAACTGTCTGGTTTACATACTATATACATGTGAAATTATGGGTAGGGAGAGCTATCACAGGGAATCTAAAATACTCAAGGCAGTATCTTTTTTTTTTTTTTTTTTTTTTTTTTGAGACGGAGTCTCACTCTGTCGCCCAGGCTGGAGTGCAGTGATACGATCTCGGCTCACTGCAAGCTCTGCCTCCTGAGTTCACGCCATTCTCCTGCCTCAGCCTCCCGAGTAGCCGGGACTACAGGCGCCCGCCACTACACCTGGCTAATTTTTTGTATTTTTAGTAGAGACGGGGTTTCACCATATTAGCCAGGATGGTCTTGATCTCCTAACCTTGTGATCTTACAACATGTTTTTTTTTTCTTAGTTCCCTCCTTCCCTATTCTTACTCTTGGGCTACTTTCTCTCTTTTTTCCATTTCCTATTCACAACTCAGCCTGTTGGCTGTACCCAAGGGGCTTTGCTTAAGCACCCCAACGTGATTTCAACTCTAACCTGGAAAAAATAAGGTACCAACAGTTATTAACATGCAATGTCAATCATCACCATAGCTGTAGGGAAGTTGCTTTTGGTTCAAATGGCACCAAGCTTTTCTCTTTCAGCCAGCTTATTCAAATACTGTCTCAAAGCACATATGAACTCTGGCAAACAGTTTTCCTACCTTAGAAAGTGCCTCATCATGAACTACTGTATTGGTTGTTAAAAGAACAAGAACTGTTTGAAGTAGCTTAAGTTCTTCAAGACTATTCTCCATTAGCTGCCAAAGCATGTTAATTATATTTCCAGCTGCAGTCTGTAAAATAGTTATTTTAATTATTGTCAACAAATACAATATAGATGTTGATGTCCCTAAATAAGAGAAGGTATACAAACCTACATCAGCTGAAGAGGATTTCTTGATCACAATAACAAAACCCATATTTTTAGATTTCTAGATCCAAACACATCTCTCAAGTAATTTAGGACTTACAATCAATTCTCTCCCTCAAAAATTGTAATATCCTATTTGAATATATACAAATAGCAGCAAGCAGTTTTGTAATACCTAGTCAAAATCACAGCTCATTTCTACAATAATGTTGATAGATTGTATTTGGACATGAATAATACGGACATATGCAAATTAGCTATGAGCCTGCTGTTTCAGATACAAATACTTCATTTACAGTATGCTACAGAAAAAAAATGCAACCCATATTAACAACACATTGGCACACTCAATTAAATCTGACATTGTTTAAGATGATACATTAATGTCAAAACATTTATCACTTCTACTATAGTACTTATGGAGTACAAAATTAAGAATAACACCATTAAATTTGAGACCAACATGCAGATTCATGGTTAAGAAATATTTTTTCTCATTTTTCCATCATAAGGTTAGATATGAACAATACGTTTAAGTTAATGAAAAACAAATTATTACTCCATATAATCTAGGAAAGAGAGTCACGCTCTTCCCTCCTCTTTTTATAAAAGAAAAATTAAATAACCAATTAAATTGAAAACTTGCTTGAGTCTCAAAATTTTCATCTACATTACTGAACTGTGACTTCTTAGATTACAAATGACTTGCAAAAATACTTGTTTGTGAGTGTTTAATGAGGAGAAAATTTGGCAATATTTTTAAATAAAGCCATTTTCTCCGAGCACATTGCTATTTGTAAAAGTTTTATATTAAATATCAGGTATGTTTCATTCTCCTTTCATGAAAACTTCTGATTCAACTCTTAGGTGAAGTTTAGATAAAATCTTCATATTACCTCAGACACGACTTCATGTGACATGAGTCTCTGAATAGCAGCCAAACATAGCTGAGTGATCTTCGGTTCCTTGGTTCCACAACCCATTAAAAAAGGCTGTACAACCTCTGAGCTGTTCTCTTTCAGTGCTTCATTTAGAACACATATAAAGTAAATTATTAAAATTAATCTATAATTAAGAATGCATTTTTATATAATTACAACCAGTAATAGCGATCTCAAAAAAAATCCACTTTACGTAAAATAAACACCAAAACAAAAATCAAGTACCAAGAGTTAAAATACCTTGGACAGACACTCCAGACTCTGTATCTAAGCTATACGCCTTAACTACTGCTTTCCCATGCTTTTCTCCTAACACTCTGTCCTTTGGTTCTCCTCCATCTTCTGCTACAAACTCTATTAGGACATGGATTTTCAAAACTTCTTTCCCACCTCAAAAAAGCACTCTATTTCTTCATATACTACAGGAGGGAAAACATAAATAAGAATTCCCACCCTAGAATAGAATCATTAAAAATAGTACATACATCATCCCCACAATACTTGTAAATGAATATTAAGAAATTTCCTAGAATTTTATTATATGCCTTGAATTTAAACAGCCCTAATTTCTTCAAGAAATAAACACATTTCATTAAAAACAATAACATTACTCCTCTTATTACTGAAACAGCACTTTAAATTAATTGGGTACACATGCTATAATTCCGAACCTTAATTTAACTTCTTCTACCAAGCCAGCTCACTCAGAAGTTTTTAAGTGGCAATAAAAATGTAAGAGGTTAGAAAATGCACGAGGTTAGAAAATGCACAAACTGAATTACACATAATTAAATTTACAAAATGAAATTAAATCTACACACATTTACTGAAAGGCTACACAAAGATGGATAAGACAAGTTTGTCATCCTTACAGAATTTGAATAAATAACACGGAATTCCAAGTCAAGAGAACATTAAACTCATAAGCGATTATTTGTTTTGTGTGTTTGTGTGTGTGTATGTGTGTATGTGTGTGTGTGTCTGTGTGTGTCTTTTTGGTTTTTTTTGTTTTGTTTTTCTGAGATGGAATCTTGTTCTGTCCCCAGGCTGGAGAGCAGTGGCACGATCTTGGCTCACTGCAACCTCCGACTCCCCGGTTCAAGTGATTCTCCTGCCTCAGCCTCCCAAGTAGCTGGGATTACAGGCATGCACCACCACGCCCGGCTAATTTTTGTATTTTTAGTAGAGACGGGGTTTCACCATGTTAGCCAGGATGGTCTCGATCTCCTGACCTCGTGATCCACCCGCCTCAGCCTCCCAAAGTGCTGGGATTACAGGCGTGAGCCACCGTGCCTGGCTGTGATTATTTTTTATTATAAGAACTAACGGCCGGGCGCGGTGGCTCACGCCTGTAATCCCAGCACTTTGGGAGGCCGAGGCGGGTGGATCATGAGGTCAGGAGATCGAGACCATCCTGGCTAACAAGGTGAAACCCCATCTCTACTAAAAATACAAAAAATTAGTCGGGCGCGGTGGCGGGCGCCTGTAGTCCCAGCTACTCGGGAGGCTGAGGCAGGAGAATGGCGTGAACCCGGGAAGCGGAGCTTGCAGTGAGCCGAGATTGCGCCACCGCAGTCCGCAGTCCGGCCTGGGCGACAGAGCGAGACTCCGTCTCAAAAAAAAAAAAAAAAAAAAGAACTAACTCTATCAGTTATTTTTTGAGGCAAGACATGCAATAAAGACATATAAATCTAAGTTTTAAAATGTTTCTCAAAAGAAATTGACACAAAGTAATTCAGAATCACCATTAAAAATGTAAAACCAGTATTAACATTAATTTTATCATTTAAATCCTCACCTTCTTCTTCCAAAGCTGTCTTTATGGTATGGTAAATTAAGACTACAACTTCCTACAGCCTGCGCTGCAAAGTCCCTTAGTATGCCAGCATAAATTACTGATTTAGCACAGCTAAAGATGGCAAATGTAACTGGCAATGAACAGTGTTCCCAAAAGGGCTCCCTGTCCTTATTCCCTTGCTTTCTTGTACACAAAGGTTTTGATTCAAACCTAGAGACAAATTTTCCATAACGATATGAATGATTAAAAGATCATGACCATAAAGCTCCTCATAAAGCTTCAATAAAATGATTAAATATCCTACCAGATTTAAACCTGCCAGAACCACTGAAGTGTGAGGCAACCCCTATCTCTGCTGAACACTCCTTATTAAATGTTATTCAGGCAAATTAAAAGCTCTTAATAGTAACCAAGTTACATTTATAATTTTTATGTGTTAATATGTTTCTCATTTTAGCATCTCAATAATCTTAGAGAGTTTACAGGGCCTGATGCAGCCCTACTGATATAGTAAGTAGGTAGTAAAGCCAGAATTTGAAAATACCGTATGTCTTCTAACTCCTGGTTCACTATTCTTCCTACAATATTATGCTGCCATTCCTTATGGTACATAGCAACCTGACAATAATGGAAGTTAAAAGAGGACCCAGTGATTTGCACTTTAAAGTTGTCTGCCTGAAGTCTTCAGACAAATAAAGGAAAATGAACTCATTTTCATAAAAAACAAAAAAGAAGATATACTTTCATAGGGTTTAAGATGCCATTGATTTTAAGACATACCCATAGTATCACAACAACAAAAAAAGTCAGTGACAATTAAACTACGACACAATGCTTTCTAATCACTTAGAATTTTTCTTCACAATTTCATCCTCTGGGCCATAAACAGCACTGGGAATGAACACCTTATTTCTTGAAAGAATACTTCACTATTGTCTCTGAGATTTTCTTCTAAGTCAATGGCACCCATTCTGCATGTTTTGTTACTGGTGCTTTATTCATCTTACCATAAGATGTTAACGGAAAGTTTTCAATAACTAGGGTGACACTTTAAACAGCAATTCAACTCAATGTATGTGGTATCAACAATGCATGCAACTCAACTGATGTGATAATAACATGAAGAACCATGAACAAGTTCATGCACATATTGAAAAAGATAACTACAACATCACCTGGCTCATAATGATTCTAAGATGCCATCAACTGCAAGATGCATACCAATCAGGGGATGTTAAAAGGTGAAAAAACTGTGCATATTAAAATCAACAAAATAAGGTGAGTCATGGTGAAATGCTGTGTACATGTTGGCTACAACCAGGTCTATCAAGCCGAGATAAACTTACGATAGTAATAGAAATTAATTTTTAAATTTATTTTAATGTAATTCAAAGGAATCAAACATCTATTTCTCATCTTTTCCCTCCTAATTTATATAAGAATAATCAAAAAGGAAGTTTATATGTTATCTAGAATAAATGATCAACAAAACAATAAAACCTATTTATCTATTCTAAGTCTTCTGAAGTATACTTTGAAAAACAAAAACACATCCACTGTATTGAGATCATAATTCAGTAAGAGAAAAATCATAAGGAAAAAAGTTATTGCTTTTCCTTTTCTTCTTTAAAAAGTGGTAATAGTCCAAAAAAGTATAAATTATTCTTGCTCTTCCAACTGAGAGATATCCACTCTCCACAATAACTTTAATAATATGTTAGTTAATGATAGCTTTACGTAAATACCTTCCTACAGACTGAGATTTTAGAAATCACACTGACAAAAAGGCTGTACAGCAATATAAAGAAGACATTTTACTTTAACCATTTTGTATGTCATTCCAGAAAAAAACAAAACAAAACAAAAAAAAACAGAAAAAGCTGATTCTTTTTAATGAAAGTTATTTGTTTCTATTTTCATTAAAACATAAAAATAGGTTACGGAGAGGGATAAAAGAAAAAGTTTATTTTCTGCCTAAGTCCCTCAATAGTGTAACTCTTTAATAGAGTAACACTGTGTATTGGATAAATATTGTATTTCCAAATTATACAACTGTGAGATCAAATGATGCACTTTCACACACCTGAAAAAGGTCCACCAGGTCCCCATATCCTAGGGGTTTCCTTGCTCTGAGCAGTTTCACTGCATAATTGCAGTTTTTATCCTGGAAAAAAAGAATTAAACTAGGATACCCCACTATGAATCATATTAACAGGTGTAATAAAAGTTTTATTGTGAAAAATTTTAACAGCCATTAAAAAATAAACTTCAATTCTTATGAAAGAAAATGTGACTTAGACATTATTTTGATACTCAAAATGCTTAAAATCTAGTTCTGGGGAAGACTGACATTCCTAACAACATTAAAAGGTATTTTAGTGGGTTCAAAACGTCTGAAAATATATTTAAATGATTCAAGAATGAGGACAAATGAAAGTCTAGGCAGTTTCACATTAAAAGCACATTACAGGAAAGGGAAGGGGCTATTTAACAAATGATGTTGGTTCAATTGGTTAGTAATTTTGCAAAAGAAAAAATCTAAGTCCTCACATTACCCTACATATTATTAAGAAAAATCAAACCATAAAATAAAAATGACTATCAACTATGTAGAAGGAGAAGGTCATCCTAAGTGCAGAGCTACAAAAGAAATCAGAAAAAGTGGTTAGGTTATATAAAACTGAAAAGCCTCTAGATAAAAAAATCAAAAGGTAAATGGCCTAGAAAAAATATGATATCAACATGATGGGAGGTTAATATTTTTCCTGTATCAATAGCTCAAGCAATTTGACAAGGAAAACACAAAAGTTCGAAGAAATGAATGTAAAATTTTAAAAAAGAATAATTTAATACAGGGAAAAAATGATCAACATCTAGTGGAAGTGAGAATTCATTTGTCTATTTAATTACCAAAAGACTTTTAAAAATAATAATCCTGGCAAGGAGGTTATAAAAATATGCTCACTTATTGTTGGTAAAGGTATAAACTTTCATCTTTTTGGAAAGCAGTATGGTAACATATTCTAAGAATTTTAAACATATTCATACCCTTTAACTTTATAATCCCACTTATAGAAATTTATTAAGAAATAATTCTAAATACTGAAACATGCCTAACATAAGGAAATTGTTAAACTACAATCCACTTGCTGAAATATCATACAGCAATTTTATTAAATTTTTTTTATTTCTTTTTCTTTATTATAGTTTAAGTTCTCGGATACATGTGCAGAACGTGCAGGTTTGTTACACAGGTATACATATGCCATGGTGGTTTGCTGCACCCATCAACCTATCATCTACATTAGGTATTTCTTCTAATGCTATCCCTCCCCTATCATACAGCAATTTAAAACATTTAAAAAGACTGGCATCAAAGAAAAATATTTATAACAAAAAACACGAATGATATAAGAATGTAAATTTTAAAAAGAAAAAAAGAATAAATAAAAGCACACTGTACTGTAGATAAACTATGTAATCTCCCTGGCTCAACAGGTCAATTTCTGAAAATGGTATTATTTACAGCCCCTCATGTCTTCTAGCCTGGATTTTAGAAATAGCTTCCCAAAAGATCTCTGCCTAAATGTGATACACTGAAATATATCTTCCACACTGCTATCCTAATTTACTTAAAATATAAATATGAACGTGTCACTTCCCTGACTCAAACTCTTCCCATCATGCTGCTCAGGATATCACATAATGGCCCCTATGAAATTCCTGACACCTATTCCCCCTTCATACTCTACAGTCAGGCAACACTTCAATAGTGTATCCGAATACACCAAGCTCTATACACAAACCTCATGTATTTAAGAAGTCCCCTTTACTTGATACTTTTATATTTTATTTGCCTGGCTAAGTCTTCCTCAGGCTTCCAGACTCAGTCTCAGATTCCCAGGCTGGGTTAGGTGCCTTCCTTATGTCCCCATAACAACCCTCTCTATACTTCTACCTTAGCATTAACCACATAGTATAAAAATTCTATGCTGAGGGTCAGTCTCCTTCATTTTTCTGTTATCTGGTTGACATGAACTTAAGATGATAAAACTCACGTACTCAAATCACGTAAAATTAAAGAGAGGTAGAAAAACATACTAGAGGCAGCAATGACTTAGTTGCCTCTTAGTGTAATTTATTTATTAGCCTACATTTAAAGAGGGCTTACTATTTCCCATGTAGGATGCTAAATACTGGCAACATAAGTCACAATAAGATGTTGACTCTGACCTCAGGGAGTAAGTCATCTAGAAGAAAAAGTTTCTAGAAAAGGTCTTCAAAAGCCAAATGAAGGAGTAGGTAGGCTAAACAGAATGAAGGGCACAAACATTTCTTTCAAGTGTATTTCTTGTATTTCCATATAGACTGGAGGCGAATTTCATTACCCATCTTTATATCTCCTCTAATGATTCTTACATAATTATTTACTCATTAGGAATATGTTGCATGATATATTCTATAGATGTTTGTAAAATATCACAAGCACATTTATTGATAAGAAAATATATTAAATATATAAATATAAATGTATTCAATTTTAAAAGCAAATAAATTACCTTTTAAAATCAGAAAAAAATTCCAAAGTATATTTACTCATTGCTACTTAAAGATCTTTTAGTTATGAGCTCTTTAAAAAGAAGATGAGGGAACAACATGTGAAAAAAGAACAAAAGTCACAACTACTGATTATTTATGTAAAAATTCTTTATGTATACTGACAGCAGCTGAAAGCAGCCACAGGTAGATGTAACCACTACGGTTTGGGGTAGGGGCTAAATATACAATGTTAAAAGATACCACAACTTCATTGATTTCCTTGTTACAAAAATTTATGCAAAAAGCAGATTATGTAATTCTTGTATAACAAAGAATTTCTGAATTTTTAGTATACTATAAGCTAGGATAATAAACACAATTTGTAATATATAATATTCATATAATAAATGTAAGATTAAGGTATTTGGCCTTGTAAATGAAAACTTTATGTTGCTATCTCTCATTTTCAAAGTTTTATTTTTAAAGAAAATGGAAATTTTGAAATAATGATCTGTACATCTGAATCAATGCTGACATTACCTGGCATAGCATTCCCACTTATGTCAGCATTCATGACAGCAGTGAAAACAAAGAAAAATAAACATTAAAGGAGGATGCTTAAAAGAAGGGGAGATGTAAAGCAAAGACTTATTCTGAAATATAAATAATATTCCCTTGGAAAATAAATCTAAGAAAACTAAAGTTGACTAGAAATCTATGCCGAGTATCATTAATTAAACTACTTGATCCAAATTAAAAGTTATCATTCTTACAACAAATCTTTATATATTCTGAATATACAGAGACATATGAGATTTCAATATCCAATCTCATTTGAGACTCCTCAATTGTTTGGTATTTTTGACATACATTAGAGCACAAAAGTAGTATAGTCTCCTATAGTCTCAAGTACCATAAAGAAGTAAATACTTCTCATGAAATTTTAAAAAGTTAACTAAAAATTTTTCTCAGTATTAACTGTACTCTTAATTATATAGTTTAGAAACTATATACTGACTAATTTAAACTCTGTTTTGAAGAGCCTCTGATTTTCAAGATGATAGTGGTCTATAAATCTACAACTTTTAGGTATAATTGCTTTAAATACTTCAGAAAAAATACTAGGATAAAGTTTAAGTGCAAATATACCTCCTCAAGTATATGGGCTCTGGATACTACGAAGATTAAAACATGACTATTAATTGTATTTGCACCAGATCTGTTCTAACTTGATTTGAATAATGCAAATTGAATTAAAATGAAATTAACAGCCTGCCTATATATTTAAATCATACCGACTAAGTCAAAATTTTTCTTACTCATCTTAAGAGTAATTTATTAGACATTTTACTTGGGATAGAATGCTGGAATAACAGTGATCCTCTGAGGAAATCAGTCTTTTTTTAAAAAAAGTCTTCCACAAACTATAAAACCAATAAAAATTTGTATTATTGGAGAATAATTAAGGACTTACCACGGTATCAACAATGATATTAGCAACAGTAAATATTTTAAATATTTACAGTGATATTCTAATACGATTGGCCTATGGTAAGTCTCCAACATAAAAATATCCAGGTCATCATTTTTCTTTAAACACCAATTTCCCCACAGTAGCTAATCTGCCTAATGTACATCTCCCATTAAAACCCACATGCTGGCCGGGCGCAGTGGCTCACGCCTGTAATCCCAACACTTGGAGAGGCCGAGGCGGGAGAACCCCGAGGTCAGGAGTTCGAGACCAGCCTAGCCAACATGATGAAACCCTGTCTCTACTAAAAATACAAAAATTAGCCAGATGTGGTGTTGGGCACCTGAAATCTCAGCTACTCGGGTGGCTGAGGCAGGAGAATCGCTTGAACCCAGGAGGCAGAGGTTGCAGTAAGCCGAGACCACACCATTGCACTCCAGCTGGGATAACAAGAGCAAAAGTCCATCTCAGGAAAAACAAACAGACAAACAAAAAAAACCCACTTGCCAGCCTTCCTAACCCTACCATGTGCACCTCTGCCTTTACCCACCACTTTCACTATACCACTTCTCAATATGCACACAGAGCATTATTTACTTCTGTGCATAATGTTATAAAACTATTGGGTGTTTTGATAAGACTGTTCAAAATCAGGGAAAAAGCTGTGGGAAACAGATGTAATTGAGGAGCGCTTATGCTAAGGGCAAATTTCCAGCAAAGCTGGATAGCCTAAGTGAAATCCACTCTTGCCCCCGATCCTTAATCTGACCCCAAAAATCTTAATTTCATTTCATAACACTCTGAAATCCCACCAGTTACAGATTTACTGGTATCCCTTTTAAAAAATGTAAAGTATATGAAAGTTAAAGAGATTATTTACTATTTGGACTCTGTAAATTAATTTAATAGGACTACTTTCCTCATAGATTAGCTGAGATCAACAGCACTACTGGAACTGGAAATGCAGATTAAAGGATCACTGAAGCAAGCACTGGTTACATATGTAATACTTGGGAGTAAGTGGCTAACGTGGAAACCTGGTGATACCATGGTAGCACACTGTAGCAGGAAGAACATGGGCTCCTGAACACTCCTGGATTTTAATCTGGTTCTATCACCTTTCCTGTGACCTTGGGCAAGTAACTTAACCTCTTCACATCTCAATTAGCTCTACTATCAAATAAGATAATATTTCCCCACAAGGTTGTTATGTAAGATAGAATGACACAAGTGCCTTGCATATAACAGATTCTTAAAAAAAAAAAAAAAAAAAAGCCAGTTTACCTCTTTTCCATGTTCATTATTGAGGCAAGAACAAAAGGCACCAAGGAAGAGAAAGGAGTGGACTGGGTAGAAAAGAAGGATGCCAAAGAGAAACTCCTGAAAATTCCTCCTTGAAAATCAGGTTCAATCAAGAGAAGGTAAGAAAACATTTTTGTTTTCTTTTCTCTACTTCACTCTCATTCTTTTTTCATGATCATACTGCCTTAATCCCAAGACTCAAAATTCATACGGTACAACTAAATACAGAAGACTATGTTATGAACTGTTCGTATTATATTAAAGAGAAAGTAGATCACAGAAGGTGGACTGAGAACAAATCTTTCATTCAATACAATGGAACAAATATTACTGAATGCTTTTTATGGTGTGTCTCAGGTGATTAGCAGGAAGTGGAGGAGAATGCGAAGATGAGTAAGAAAAAATTCCTTGCCTTTAAGGAGTCAGTAGTGTTAAGCTTTCTGATTTCAGAGAATTTTTGTAGCATTCGTCTCTGGGAAATACAGTCAGTTCATAAGTTATGGACTTTTGCCCATTCTGTTTCATTATGAATAGCATATGTTAGGGCATGAGGAAGAGATGTTACAGAAAACTGATGGCTTTTACAATAAAGATTCTACTTTTACTATTAGTCAAATTTTTGTTTATTATTAAATTTTTAATACAAAAAATTACCTGCCAAAATTTCAGTGTTTCGTGCAGCAATTGTTTTAACTTTTATTATTCCTGATTCAGCAGCCTGCAAGAATAAAAATAATTAGAACACAAAATTTACTGCCAAAATGAATTATCTATGGAAAATAAGTCATATGTGATAGACAAAATATCAAGCACAAAGTCAGTCACTACCCTACCACCTTTTTAATTTTCAAACCATCAGATACTAAGCCCAGTAGTGACATATACGTTAAATGTAATAAAACATGATTAATTTGATTATTCACATGCAAACTCTGAATGCACTACAACATGTTGCCTTCCTCTGCCTTAAGGCATTATCTGGAATACCTCAATCCCCTGCAAAGTTAAATTTTCCGAGAATAAAAATAACAAACAAAAACAAAATCTACTGAAAATAATTAGGCTCCTTTTCCCCATTTCAAGCCTCCTCTCTCTCCACCACACACAAAAAAATTATAGAACACTGCAAAATCAAGTAAAACTACTGTGTTGGATTTATTTATTTATTGTTGATGGAGTTTTTTGCTCTTGTTGCCCAGGCTGGAGTCCAATGGCACGATCTTGGCTCACTACAACCTCCGCCTCCCTGGTTCAAGCCATTCTCCTGCCTCAGCCTCCCAAGTAGCTGGGATTACAGGCACCCACCACCATGCCTGGCTAATTTTTGTATTTTTAGTAGAGTGTTTTATTTTTGTACTTTTTGTATTTTTAGTTGGCCAGGCTGGTCTTGAACTCCTGACCTCAAGTGATCCACCCATCTCAGCCTCCCAAAGTGCCAGGATTACAGGCATGGGCCACCGTGCCCAGACCTGTGTTGGATTTTAAAAGCTACTTTGTTTTCTTTTTTGAGAATGGATAACCAAACACTTCATTAACCGTAGTATGTTTAGCGGGCAGTACTGGCAAGTCACATAGTATTTTACAGAATGCCACAGAACTGCACTGTCCAATTTGGTAGCCATTTGGCTACATGTGGCTATTAAGCACTTGAAATGTGGCCAGTCTGAATTGAGCTATGCTCTAAGTGTAAAATATATACTAGGTTTTGAAGACTTAGTATTAAAAAAAAGAATATAACCTATCCCCTAAATATTTATACTGACTACATGTTGAAATAATATTTCAAATTATTACGTTAAATTATTATTAAAATTAAATGTCTGTTTCTTTTTACTTTTTTTCCCCTTTTTTTTAGAGACAGGATCTTGCTGTACTGCCCAGCCTGGAGTGCAATGCCACAATCATGGCTTACAGCAGCCTCAAACTACTGGGCTCAAGTGATCCTTCCACCACCGTCTTCCAAGGAGCTGGTACTATAGGTACATGCCACCATGTCCAGCTAATTTTTCAATTTTTTTGGTAGAGACAGGGCCTTGCTATATTGCCTAGGCTAGTCTTGAACTACTGGCCTCAACCGATCCTCCCACCTCAGCCTCCCAAAGTGCTAAGATTACAAGCATGAGCCACTGCACCTGGCTTCTTTTTACTTTTTAATGCAGTTAAAAATTACGTATATGTATTACATCTGTAGCCCACATTATAATTCCATTGAAGAGTGCTGAGATATAATATTGACATATTATTTCCATCATAGAAACTTGGAACATTTTTATTATTTAGAAACATGCTATTTTATACATACACTGTTATCTATACTTCCAAAGATAGTAAGTACGTACTCATAAGAAGCTATATGTACAAGTTTTCTTATTAATTTGCTTGCTACTTGGTCATTTATTTTATCTCTTACTGCTTGCTAAGGGACAAGTGGTAGCAGTCTCTAAAGGTTTAAAAATAATTATGTAAAAACACCAGTATGCTATGGCCTGTTAGTCTGACAAACAATGAATTGATGTCTAAAATAAAGAACACATTGTAAGATATACCATGTGCAGTAGACTTCTGTCATTTTGTTGGCTCCAAGCATGTCAAGCCCTTGCTTGTGTTTGAAGAATTCCTAACTTCATAAATTTTGGTGCAAAACAGAGCCTATCTTCCATTATTAAAACTGAAAATGTAGATGCTTTTCCACATGCCCTGCTGGCAGCCTATGCTTACCCAGAGATGTACCCACCAGCAATTTTGAATGTAGAACCTAGTAACAAAGAGCAGAGACAACAAAGAATTCTTTCTGATGACAGCAATAGTGAAAGCAGTATCTAGTTTCCGAAGGCAGCAGAACCAGTAGTGGCCTAGAGTGACCAGCATACCCAGAAGTGCAATCAACAGCATCCAGTCATCATTCAGCAGACACAGCCGTAACGGTCACGCTGGCATGAGTTTTGCCATGGTTCTAGTTGTTTAGCCTCCCCTTTGTTTATACACTTTTTCTAGGGCTGGCTCCATCCAGCCTTCTACCAACTCTGTAAACCACTCAATATCCTATCAGTAAAGTTTATTTCAGCTTAAATCAGCCAGAGTCAGCTTTCATTGCTCACAACTAAGAAGCCTAATGGATACACCAGGACTTATTTCTAAAACTTTAGAAAATGGAAAGGTCCCAAATTAAATTAATACATCTCCTAGAAGAAAAACATGGTCAAAATGAATTACTTCAGGGAAAGATTATTGGTTTTCTGATTACTTGGGCAGTGTATATTAGAAACACCAGAAGCTTTTAAATAAGTCCTGATGCCCCGATTGCAACCTAGTTAAGCCAGAATGACTGCTGGTGGGAGACAGCCATCAGTAATTTTTTTTTTTTTTTTTTTTGAGACGGAGTCTCGCTCTGTTGCCCAGGCTGGCTCCATCTCTGCTCACTGCAAGCTCCGCCTCCCGGGTTCACGCCATTCTCCTGCCTCAGCCTCCTGAGCAGCTGGGACTACAGGCACCCGCCACCACACCCAGCTAATTTTTTGTATTTTTAGTAGAGACGAGGTTTCACCATGTTAGCCAGGATGGTCTCCATCACCTGACCTCGTGATCCGCCCGCCTCAGCCTCCCAAAGTGCTGGGATTACAGGCGTGAGCCACCACGCCTGGCCGAGCCATCAGTATTTTTAAAAATCTTCACGTGATTCCAATATACGGTAAAATTTAAGAGACTACAGCAATAATATAAGCAAGAGATGATGATGGATTGGCCCAAGATTGTTAGTGATAGAGATGGTAAGAAGTGGTGAGATTCTCGATATACCTTGAAGATGTACAAACCACAGCAAATTTACTACTGTAAAAATTATAGAACACTGAAATTATTATGTGTATTTTGTAACATTCACACACCCCATCTCAAATTATCTTGGATCAATTTCTTACTGAGGCAGTGGAAATTAATCTGTGGTCACTGAAATTTCCTCCATCATCATTTTCGAGTTTAACTTCTCCCCTTTCTCACTATGGCCCTATATACCTTGCATAGGTCCAAAGTCAATATGTGGTTTTGCTTCGGTGCAAACCAAGATTGATTAAATTGAACCATCATAAATATGGATGTAATTTATCCAGACTTTCTAAATTCTAGTCAGTCAAACCTTAACGGTTTCCAAAATCCATCCTGTAGCGTGCTAGATGATAGATGTCAGTAAATGATTTCAAATTCGCCATAGTCCTGATTTCCTGAGATGAATAAGAGTTGAACCATGAATGTGTGCACATGTCTAATAAATATCTTTATGCAAACACACAATAAGGAGAAGGAAAAGGAAGTTTGTTTTTCATTTTGAGACCAGGTCTTACTCTGTCACCCAGGCTGAAGTGTTAATGGCAGGATCACAGATCACTGCAGCACGGACCCCTAGGCTCAAGCAATCCATCCATCTCAGCCTCCTGAGTAGCCTGGGACCACAGGCACACACCACCACACCTGGCTGATTTTTTTTGTTTTTTGTTTTGTAGAGACAGGGTCTCCCTATGCTGTCTAGGCTGGTCTCAAACTCCTGGACTCAAGCGATTCCCCTGTCTCAGCTTCCCAAAGTGCTGAGATTATAGGGGTGAGCCACCGTGCCTGGTCAAGTATTTTTTAAGTAGTTCCAAAATGGTATTTTAAAAGATACGTAACCAGTATTTTCATTCCTAAATTCAAGGAATTGCCAAAAGGACTGTTTGTTGCCTTAGATATAATTAGACCTATCACATAGCTCCTCATTTTTAACATACAAGTTTCTACTGTCAAAATACTCTGGAATTGTATCATCTTATTCTCATAGGCACCCTGTGTTGATGGAAAATTTCACTATCAATGATTATTGACACACTTGTATATCACTTAGGTATGAAATAAGACTAGCCTATATCTTTAAGGTTATTCTGTATGAACAGAGGTCTTCGCAATCAGATTTCCTTCTATGTATCAAGGATTGCAGGTGTGAAAAAAAATTGTTAGCTTCTTGCTTTAAAAGTATTCCCTATTCTGATCAGATACCACGTATATCTGCAGGGAACCTAATAAATTGTAAACATGGTTGTTGTTGTTTTTCCTTAATTGATACTCATGCAAAAAAAAAGAAGAAAAGAAGATGAAAAAAGTTCTACAGACTTGAATAGAAATGATATAGGTTAAGGTAAGTAATCTTATCTACTGCTGAGGACAATCTATGAGTTGGAAAGAATGCCAAAGCCTTAAATACACTGCAGCGTTTAATATGTTACTCTTAATCTTCTCAAGAAACATTTTCTTCTTTTCTCAAAACCCTTTGCTGACTGCTTTTCTAAGACCACCTAGAATATCCTTGACCTCATTTCTCACTCAGTAAACTCTTCCTGTGTAATACCATACAGCCAGGCCTCCGTATCCACTGGTTTTGCATCTGCAGATTCAACCAACTGCAGATCAAAAATATTTGGGGGGGGGGGGGGATATACACACACACACACACATTTTAAAATACAGCATAACAACTATTTACATAGCATTTACACTGTATTAGGTATTATCTAGAAATGACTGAAATTATATGGGAAGATATGCACACGTTATGTGCAAATATTACAACATTTCATATCAGGGGCTTGAATATCCTCAGATTTTGGTATTCCCTGGGGTTCTTGGAACCAATTCCCTGCAGATATCAAAGGATGGCTGTAATTTCATGGTTTCATTTACTTTCTAACTGCTGAAGACTTCTAAATTATATTCCTGTTCCTGATCTGTCTCCTATACTACAGAAATTATTAACCTAAATGTTTAAAAGGCACCTTAAATTCGACATGTTGAAAATAGATGTTATCATTTCCTTCTACCCCCAAACTCCTACCTCAGCCAGAAAAATCTATTTCTTCTTTCTACAATTTCTGTTTTTCTTACCAGCAGCATCATCTATCCAGTCACTGACCAGATACCAGGGTTTTTTCCCTCAACTCACAAGTCTAATCAGCCATGAAGTCTTTTTGGTTAACCTATCTTGTACCTTTTTCTCAAATCTCACTCCCACACTTTAGTTCAACACTCATTATCAACCTAAATGAAGAAATGTCTCTACCTACAATCATGTCCTCCATCCATCCACTGTCTCAATTCTTCAATGATTCCCTAGTGCCCACTCCTACCAGTGTTTCTCAAAATTTAGTACAGTAGTGTAAGGACATCTTTTAAAAGGAAGAAACAAACTATGGACCTACCCAGTCATTGACAAATTTACATGTATATATAAATACAATCAGGAATATACTCTTTATAGGTCTTAAATTATAATGCCAACATATTCACAAATGAAATACAAACCCAAATTGTACTAATTTAATGTGACAAATAATGCTTTGCTGAAATTAAACCATTAGTAACAACAAGATGATAGCTATAGACTTATGGTGCAGGTCCTTCTGATTTTGTCACCCTCCTAGTGTCATAAGCAGTGACGGAAATCTTTTCTTCCATCACTTTCTTCTACGGTAACTACTGAAAAGTCTTTCTACCTTTAGTACTGTCTATGGCTTGTACCTGTAACACTTTATCTTATTCATCTCATTATGTCTGTTTCTTCATACTACCTATAAGAATAATAAAGATAAGAAATAGATCTCATTCATAGCTCTATATTATTGTCTATCCCAGTGCCTTTCATACAGTAGCTATATAATAAATGTTCCCAAGGGAAGAAATGGAAAGTTCTAAATGTACCAGAAAAACTTGTTGGTATTTTATACACACACACACACACACACACACAAATTATATCTACAAGTGCCAATTCTAACTCACTTAAAAAGGGGAGAGAGAGGGATGGACTTTACTGTATCACAAATTGAAACATGCAGAGGAAGTCTGATCCAGAGATTTACAATGTCATCAGGGTTGCAGTTTCACTTATCTGCCATTCTCTTGGTTCTGCCCTGTTCCATGAGTAGGTTCATCCTCAGGCTACATCCAACCTTGGCAACAACGGCTGCAGCCATTCCACACCTCAAATTTCATATGACACCATTTTGAAGGAAAGAAAGGGTCTCTTTCAGTAGCTCTAGAGAAAGAAAGAGAAAACTTTTCTTTCCCAGAAGCACTCACTAGCATTATGTAACTTGCGCAGGAATGGAGGTGAGGTGGGGAGCAGTTAGGAGGATTTAAAGTAGACTAATCTAGGCCAGAAGTAGTGGCTCACGCCTGTAATCCCAGCACTTTGGGAGGTCAAGGCGAGAGGATCGCTTGAGCCTCAGAGCTCGTGACCGCCTGGGCAACATAGGCAGATGCTGTCTCTAAAAAAAAAAAAAAAAAATTAGGCAAACGTGGTGGTGTGAGCCTGTAGTATCAGATACTCGAGAGGCTGAGGTGGGAGCTCAGGAGGTCGAGGCTACAGTGAGTTGTGATTGCACTGCCACACTCCGGCCTGGGCAACAGAGAAAGACCCTGTCTCAACATAAATAAATAAATATAAAGTAGATTAAGTTAATCATGGTACCCTAGAGTTAGGAATGAGAATCCAAAGGGTTGAAAATGAGAGAAGAACATAGCCTACCAACGAAGGAAGCAAAAGGGAATGGATGGTAGCAAAGGAATTAACAAATGTCCACTCAAAACTATGTATAGATTTACACACACAAAAAAAGTTATTTAAAAGGTTACTTTTTTTTCACAAAAGTTGCTGTTCTGCTTGGTTTTGTTTTTGAGATAAGGCATCACTCTATCAACAGTAGTGTAAGGACATCCTTTGAAAGGAAAAAACAAACTATGGACCTACCCAGTACAGTGACGCCTTCATAACTCACTGCAGCATTGAATTCCTGGGCTCAACCAATCCTCCTGCCTCAGTCTCCCAAATGGCCGGGACTATAGGCACACACCACCACGTCCAGCTAATTTTTTAGTAGAGATGGGGGTCTTGCTATGTTGCCCAGGCTAGTCTCGAATTCCTATCTCAGTGATCCTCCAGTCTTCGCCTCCCAAAGTCCCAGGATTATATGCATAAGCTTCCACACCTAACCCCTGCTCTGTTTTTAAATAACAAATGTTTTTCACGACTTCTATGAGAATAAAACCTGGATATTAAGGCAAATTTACCAAAGGTCCAAATTATTTTTCCACAGGACACAGCATGAAACAAGAGCTAAAGAAGAAATGTGAGGCTGGGCATGGTGGCTCATGCCTGTAATCCCACTACTTTGGGAGGCTGAGGTGGGTGGATAATTTGAAGTCAGGCATTCAAGACTAGCCTGGCCAACATAGTGAAACCCCGTCTCTACTAAAAATACAAAAAATTAGCCGGTCAGTAGTGGTGTGCACCTGTAATACCAGCTACTCAGGAGGCTGAGGCAAGAGAATCGCTTGAGCCTGGGAGGCATAGGTTGCAGTAAGCCTAGATCATGCCACTGCACTCCAGCCTGGGCAATGGAGCGAGACTCTGCCTCAAAAAAAAAAAAAAAGTGAAATTCAAGTTAATGGCAACTTAGATAAAATAATATACTAATGAGACACAAGAGAGGTATGGAGCTGCCTGAAGACTTGTGATTTCAGATGTCAGGTAAAATCAAAAGACCCGAAGTCAAGTGTACACTGGGAGTACTTGATACATCTAGAACACCCTTTAGGTGACAAAATGCTCACAAAACAAATACTACATTGAAATCAATAAGATTTTCTTCTGTAACATTCAATTATTCTACAACCCTAAAACCTTCTAAAAATATATACCTATATGACATTCTATTCTAGAACCTCTGGCTTCTAGAAAACAAAATTTCCTTAACAAATCAAAGACTGGAATGCAGATTACATGTATATAACTAAAAATATATACATGGTATTCCCACATAGGTGGTATGCTTTTTCCTTCCTTTTCTTTTCTTTTTGAGACGGAGTTTAGCTCTCGTTGCCCAGGCTGGAGTGCAATGGCGAGATCTCGGCTCACTGCAACCTCCACCTCCCGGGTTCAAGTGATTCTCCTGCCTCAGCCTCCCGAGTAGCTGGGATTACAGGCGTCCGCCACCATGCCCAGGTAATTTTTTGTATTTTTAGTAGAGATGGGGTTTCACCACATTGGCCAGGCTGGTCGTGAACTCCTGACCTCAGGTTATCAGCCCGCCTCAGCCTCCCAAAGTGCTGGGATTACAGGCATGAGCCACTGTGCCCGGCTGAAGACTAAATTTTTAAGAAAAGGAGGATGGGTGTGGTGGCTCACGCTTGTAATCCCAGCACTTTGGGAGGCTGAGGCGGGCAGATCATGAGGTCAGGAGTTCATGACCAGCCTGGCCAACATGGTGAAACTAAAATACAAAATTACTAAAAATACTAAATTACTAAATGCTAAATTCACTATAGTGCAAAGCATTTGTATACCTAGGAGGTGCTAATTAGATACTTGTTGAAGATTAATTTTTTTTTTTAAAGATAGAGTTTCACTCTTTCACCCAGGCTAAATTACTAGATTACTGAAAATATTCTACCAAAAATACAAAAATTAGCTGGGCATGATAGCGGGCGCCTGTAATCCCAGCCACTTTGGAGGCTGAGGCATGAGAATCACTTGAACCTGGGAGGTGGGGGTTGCAGTGAGCCAAGATTACACCACTACACTCCAGCCTGGGCAAGAGTGAGAGACTCCATCTCCAAAAATAACAACAACAACAAAAAAACAAAGAAGCCATAACATGAAAGACAGAAGCAGTAGGACATATTTGGAGACTAGCAGGTAACCTAGTTGGGGTGAAGCATAAAGGCATATGAAGAAGATTTGAGGGTGATAAAGCTAAAAAGGAAGGTTAGGAAAATCAAGAGAATATTAAATGCTATGTTAGAGTCCTATAAGTAGAGTAGACATTGTGGGCTTCTGCATGGGTGACATACAGAATGATTTGAAGTCATGTATGCTATTAATGTATGTCAAAGGCCAGGCATAATGTTACTAATAGAATCTGGAACTAGCATAATAGCTGAGAAAACAGAAAAAAGGAGAAGTATGCTAAAAATTACAGAGCTGGAAGGAACAGGTGACAGTGAATAAAGAGAGATGAGGGAGAGAAGATAGCCAAATATGACTAAAGTAGGCAACAGTGCTAGATACCATTAACAAAACAACTGAAATAGGGGGAAAATGACGTTTTGAGGAAAAGACCAGTTCAATTACAAGAAGTTCTATCTGGCTGGCCGCGATGGCTCACACCTGTAATCCTAGCACTTTGAGAGGCCGAGGCGGGCAGATAACCTGAGGTCGGGAGTTTGAGACCAGCCTGACCAACACAGAGAAACCCCGTCTCTACTAAATATACAAAATTAGCCAGACATGGTGATGGGCATCTGTAATCCCAGCTACTCAGGAAGCTGAGGCAAGAGAATCACTCGAACCCGGGAGGCAGAAGTTGCGGTGAGCCGAGATTGCACCACTGCACTCCAGCCTGGATAACATGAGTGAAACTCGTCTCAAAAGAAAAGAAAAGAAAAAGAAGAGGCCAGGCGCAGTGGCTCACACCTGTAACCCCAACACTTTGGGAGGCCGAGGCGGGCGGATCACCTGAGGTCAGGAGTTCGAGACCAGCCTGGCCAACATGGTGAAACCCATCTCTACTGAAAATACAAAAATTAGCTGGGCGTGGTGGCAGGCGCCTGTAATCCCAGCTACTCAGGAGGCTGAGGCAGGAGAATCGCTTGAACCTGGGAGGCGGAGGTTGCAGTGAGCTGAGATCGCACCATTGCACTTAAGCCTGGGGGACAAGAGCGAGACTTTGTCTCAGAAAAAAAAAAAAAAGAAAAGAAAAGAAAAAGAAGAAGTTCTACTGACGCATGTGAAAAAACGTCCTAGATGTGTTTGATGTGCAGCTGGAAATGCAGATCTACACTCAGTAAAGAGAGCAAATGACTGAAGTAGATTTAAGAGTCATCAGCATCGCAGCAAGTCCAGAGGCAATAGGAGTGGATGATGCCAAGCAGGTGAGCATGGAGAAAGGAAGGATCTGAAGAGAGAACCTGGGAGACACTTGTATGTAAAGAAAAGGATGGCCGGGCACAGTGGCTCGGGTCTGTAATCCCAGCACTTTGGGAGGCTGAGGCAGGTGGATTGCTTGAGCTCAGGGGTTTGCGACCAGCCCAGGCAACATGGCAAAACCCTGTCACTATGAAAAAATACAAAAATTTGCCAGCCGTGGTGGCATCTGCCTACAGTCCCAGCTACTCAGGAGGCTGAGGTGGGAGGATCATTTGAGCCTGGGAGACAGAGGCTGCAGTGAGCCAAGATAGCCCACTGCACTCCAACCAGGGTGACAGAGTAAGACCCTGTCTCAAAAAATAGAAACAAAAAGAAAAAGAAAAGGATGTGGAATACTGAGAGGGGAAACAGGGAAGTACAGTCTTACAAAACTCAAAACTAGAGGGTTCCAAGATGGAAAGAATAACCAATAGTAACAAATAATGAAGCAAGGTAAACAAATGGGAACAATAACAAAAACAAGAAAGTTGTAAAGGCATGTGCAGCATGATATAATGGAAAATGGGAGAGGAGTTAGAGATGGACTCACATGGACTCACATACCATTTCCACCATTTCCACCATTTTCCAGCTTTACTACCTTATGCAAATTACTAAACCTGTCTATACCAGTTTCCTCATCTGTAAAATGAAATATTTAATATGGCATGTTGCATTAGAGTCTAAGGATGCAAAGTTCCAAGCCTAGTGGGAAGGCAACATTTTATTCAACCTTGAGTTAACTTCATGAGACTAAAGGCAATTTCTCAATTATTTCTGTGTTCCTGCTGTGCTTTTTTAGGAGACTCATAAATTTCTGTTAAATTATAACAGTAACAGCAAAACCTTCTACTTCATACATGGTTGAAAATGTTCAGCTATGCTTACATAAAGGAAAAAAGAAAAATAAATCAAATTTTGAAATATGTCTTCCTTTTTGGCTTATAAGTTAGAGAATATGTCTTTTATTTTTTCTGTCACCAAAGCACAGGTAATCATTTATTTCAGTTTATAGCTTTCAATATATAAAGCATGAATATATTATATTACGCTTATGGGAGAAAGAACACAATGTCAAGAGGAAGAAACCACATTATAAAATACTAAACCAAAACAGATCCCAAGTAAGCTCGTAAAGATTATCCAGCCCTCATCTTCAATGTCATAAGGTCGTGCAAATGAGGTGTTAACCCAACCAGGAGAGCCAATGACATTAGTCACAGTCCCTAAATATCTGATTAAATGGCAAATCCTGTCACAGTAAGTAGAAGGCATCTCTTTCACTAGGGGTCTCCCTAAGCCAGTTAACAAAGCAAAACACCTGGATACTGAGGAACTCTATCACAAGAAACCTTTGCTTTTCTCTGCCAGCCAATTTCTATTAGGCCTGAATGGGTAACAGGAAACTTAAACTACATAGCCTAGGAAGACTACTTGCACTTTTAAATTATTTATACCCTTACTGATTCTGCATCATTTAAAAAGAGAGAAAAGGAATCTATCCAATTCCCTAATTCTGACCACCTAAACTCAAATGAACTTCTTTCCCTTTACTCTTCTACCACCCATTCCCTGGACTTCATCATCCTCTAGTGCTGGGCAATCTGAAATGCAATATTCCCACCATTGTCCCAACTCCTATCCTTCTAGCTCTCTCACTCCCCAACCCCACTGCTCTTTGATGAAATAGGTGCTGCTAGCCTTTAACCTTCCCATCATCATCCAGTCAATCCAAACTATTGGCTTTCCTTCTTTGGGAATCCAACCTAGCTCTCACAATCCACCATTATTTCAACCACTCTTCCTGCTAAGACTCTTAAGTGTTCCAAGACAATTTCTCCTCCACTTCTCCAAAGTGATCCACTGCTCTCCTCAAACTTGCCACCCCCTACTTCTTTTATCACTTAATTATTCCTACTAACAAGCTTGTTTCTTATCTTCGCAAGAAAGCAGAGGCCACAGACCAAACTGCCCACAACTTGTCGCTCCCTTCTGTCAAATTTGTCACATTCAAACCCGGTTTTTCCTTTGTCCTTCCTCTGTCAGAAGGTAATGTGTCCTTTCTCAGATTGAAATCCTGTTCATATACTTATGCCACTGAAACTTCAGTTTTCTCAAGGACCTTCCTCTAACGAGTTTTACCTTTCTCTCCTGTATCTTTAACCTCAGTCTGCCCAGCAGCCTTTTTCTTTAATGTTGTTTCCCACAGTTCCTTTTCCAGTCCTGATATTCTCACTCTATACACACACTCTTCCTGGCCCATTTCATCCAATTCTATGGTTTCAAATATTATTTATAAACTGATACTCCTAAATTTGAAATTCCAGACTTCCCTCTTAAGTGCCAAACCATCATTTTCAAACACCTACTGGTCAGTTCCACTTGGATGTCACACATAAATCTTAATATAATGACTACTCTGCTGGGTGTGGTGGCTCACGCCTGCTATCTCAGTACTTTGGGAGGCCGAGGCGGGCAGATCACCTTAGGTCAGGAGTTCGAGACTAGGCTGGCCAACATGGTGAAACCCCGTCTCTATTAAAAATACAAAAAATTAGCCAGGTGTGGTGGCACGCGCCTGTGATCCCAGGTACTCAGGAGGCTGAGGCGGGAAAATCACTTGAACCTGGGAGGCGGAGGTTGCAGTGAGCCGAGATTGTGCCACTGTACTCCAGCCTGGCAACAGAGACTCCGTCTCAAACAATATACACACATGACTACTCATTTTCCCCCAAAACATTTCCTCCTCTTTTATTTCTTCTCTTAGTGATCCACCTAGTTTCCCAAGCCAGAAACCTGGGAGGCATCACACATTTCTCTCTCTCCATTATATAAAAGATTACCATGCCTTGGTAATTTTTACCTTTTCAATCTATACGCTCTTTCACTACTGTCTAACTCAATGCAAGCAACCTTCTGTCTATGTCCACTACTGCTTCAAAACAGAGAATCATCATTTTTTAAACTTTGCTCTCTTTGCTTCAGTCTCAATACCCTCTAATTCTTCCTACCAACTGTCAAGGCAATGTTACTAAATATCAATTTGATCATATTACTCTCTTTCAAAAAGCTCTAATGGCTCCAATCATCTTCAGTATAAAATTTATTTTACATGGAATACTAACAACGTGTGCTATTTCCTCTGCTAGGAATGACTCCCCTCCTCCAACTTCCAGGCTCAGTTAGATACCCCTCATCTGTACCTGCAAATAGGAAATAATAAGAAAGTTTTTATTCATGAAATACATAAACATAAAGCTTCAGAGTTGTCTTCCTCTAAAGGCCACTGAATATTAATCACATAGAAGTGATCATGGAAGGCTTCAAAGTAATTTTTAAAACAAAGGAAAAAATTTCATACAATATTCCCAAATTAGCTAGTACAGTTGTACTAAAAAAAGTTATACTGCTAAAACATGAAGATTTATGTATAACAACTAAGAAAAATAGAAAAAAAGAGAAAGAGGTTATTATAAAATGACAGAATAAAGCCATAGCCACTACAACAACAATTTAATATACAAAGGATAGAGTTATAAATGAAAACAGTAAGGTAGGAAAAACCATGTAGAAGTCCAAAGACAGTAAGTAAATATCAGTAAATAAAGCACTATTCTTTATCAATACTCTTTTATTGGTTTTTCTAACAGATTTGAAATCTTTAAATCCAGCTTATTATTAATTTTAAAAAAGAATTACATGGGCAGCCTGGGATACGCCTATAATCCTAGCACTTTGGGAGTAGGAGGTGGACAGATTGCCTAATCGCAGGAGTTGGAGACAAGCCTCGGCAACATGGTGAGACCCTGTCTCTACAAAAAAAATACAAAAATCAGCTGCGTGTGGTGGCATGCACCTGTAGTCCCAGCTACTCAGGGGGTTGAGGTGGGAGAATCACTTGAACCCAGGATGTCAACGCTGCAGTGAGCCAAGATCCTGCCACTGCACTTCCAGCCTAGGTGAAAGAGATCCTGTCTCAAATAAATAAATAAATAAATAAATAAATAAATAAATAAATAAAATAATAGTCAAGCACTATGGCCATAAAAGACAGAAATGACTAAAAATTTGAAATAAAGACTAAATATAAAATGTCTCTGTTAACTAGCTTCTTAGACTTTGCCTTAAAGTTTAGTTGGCAACCAAAGAGAAAAATAAAACCAAAATCCTACCAGTTTCTTGAAGAACAAAAGCCAAAATCTGGCACTCTTATTAATTTAACAGAGAAAATTTAATTCAGCCAAACTATTTCTTGAAAGTCAAACCTTTGTCCTAAAACTTCATCATAATTAGGCTAATGACTCTCTTTGTTTTAAACCTATGACACAGTCAAGATCATTTTTCAATTCCTAAAGTAGTGCCCAGTGTCATTGGGTAAGAAATCAAAAAGCTTTCATTCAACAAATTCTTATAAACACGTACCATATACAAAATTATGCATCAGAGATAATCACAAGAATTACTTTTGCTATTATCTCAAAGACTAGGTGCAATTACAAAATATCTCTCTAGCCAGTGTTCAAGTAAAAACCAATAAGCTTTTTTGTTAGTTTGTTTTGAGACAGGGTCTCCTTCTGTCTCCCAGGCTGGAGTACAGTGGCACAATCACCACTCACTGCAGCCTTGACCGCCTGGGCTCAAGGGATCCTCCAGCAGCTTCTGGCTGGGCATGGTGGTTCACACCTGTAATCCCAGCACTTTGGGAGCCAGAGGTGGGCAGATCGCTTGAACCCAGTTCAGGAGACCAGCCTGCCAAAACCCCGTCTCTACAAAAAAAAAAAAAAAAAAGGCGAAAAATTAGCCTGTCGTGGTGGTATGCACTTGTAGTCGCTGCAACTCAGGGGGCTGAGGTGGGAGAATCACCTGAGCCAGGGAGTTCGAGGTTGCAGATCGCACCACTGCACTCCAGCCTGGGCCACAGAGACCCCATTTCCAAAATCAAAAAACAAAACAAAAAAATGTAATAAATGGCAATTAAATTCCCAAGCTAGACCACAACAGCCTATAGAGGAACCACAGTTTTTGTATGAATTATTAGAACTGCGAAGTCAGTTCTACAAATTATTGTTGAAATTACAAAATAGTGTTTGATATTTTCTAAATGAGAGCATTTCTCTTATAATTAAAACAACTTAATTCTTTAAAATTCTCTAAAACAGCCTAATTCTTTAGATTTACTTGTTATAACTTTCAACAGAGGATATAAAAAAAATGAAAATCAATATCAAAACAGACTATTGACTATGTGAAATAAAACATATCGTAACAGCCATCTTTCCAAAAGTGGCACATCTGGTTTCCATCACTGGGTAATACTTTATTAAAGAAATACAAGATGGAGTTTGTTGAAAACTGATAAAACCAATGCACTTACAGAAAAGTCAATATTCCTTACAAGCCTAAAATCCAAAATTTATTGGTCAAGTTCTAATTACATAATCTTCATAATAATAAAGATATATTTAAATAAGTATGTAAATATGAAATCCCTCGGTGAATTTTTAGGGCAAAGAGTAAATGAAATTGCAGGTAAAACAAACTACATTAAATAGGAATAAAAATAAAAACAGCCGGGCGCTGTGGCTCACGCCTGTAATCCCAGCACTTTGGGAGGCCGAGGCAGGGGGATCATCTGAAGTCGGGAGTTCGAGACCCGCCTGACCAACATGGAGAAACCCTGTTTCTACTAAAAATACAAAATTAGCCGGGCCTGTTTTTGGTGGGTTTTTTTGTTTGTTTTTTTTTTTTAGAGAATTAAAATGGCATTTTAAGAGAAAAAGCAAATAGTAACCAAATGTTAAATATTTCACCTCAAGAACTATTTGGAGAATTAAATTTCCATGTATTATTTACTGGGATCTCTTTAATAATACCCTTCTGCTCTGACATCTTTCCCATACATAATATAAAACCATCCTTTAACCCTATTTTACAGCTGGAAAAAAAAACCCGAAGCTCAAAGAGGTTAAGATTTATTGCTGGAACTAAATTCAGGTGTATTCGCTCTGACTGCAAGCCCAACTTCCCACTACAGTACTGCTCATAACAAGGTTTAACATGATTATGTGGATCTTCAATATTCTTCATAAATTAGGTGGCTCTGGATAGTTTATTAACACGTCAAAGGATTGATACAGAGTTAAGCTGAATGATATATACCAGAAGGAAAATTGTTTCCAATTCAGTGATATGCCATAAACGTGAGGAGTACAGGTTTCAACAAGATGGGTGGATACTCGTTTCGGGGAGCAACAAACAAGTTTTTCAATTTTGGTTTGGCCAGTTTCAAGTAAGAAAAAGGCCAGAATAGGCTAGTGCACAGTACACCTAGCTGGATTAACTGAATAGGCTCACTTCATGAACTTCACTCCTAAACTGGGAGGACAGGAGAGGGGAGAAAATCAAAGTGCCTCAGCCCTCTCCAGTGGAAACTATAAAAAGCCCTTGTGGAACAACCCACCGACTCACAAATCTGGAAAGGTGAGGCCTGAATGAAAATTAGGACTGGAAACTGGGGTGAAGCACTGAGTCTAACAGGACCAGGCATGCTCACAGTGCCTTCTCCTGACGTCACCTGAAGCTTACCTCTTTGACAGGTGGGAATTTCTTCTTGCACTCCAGTGACAAGGCGCGCAAGTCGCTCTGCATATTCTCCAGCAGCTTCTTCACCGCCTCGGGGCTGCTGGTGCCGGACATGATCCTCCAAGGTCCCAGCCAATTTCCGAGAGGTACAAACAAGCTCTGGCACGGTCAGCTCCTTAGGGCCACAGGCAGCTCCCTCCCGGTGTCTCTGGTCCTTCAGCAGCCCGCTTCTTGGGCCCTGGGCTGCGAACCCGGAGCCTGCTCGAGCGTCCCCCAGCAGCTTCCCCGCAACACCTCTGGCTTTTCTCGGAGGCGCCCCCCGCAGTCGCACCGTCCCGCTAGGCTCCGCCGACTCTGGCCGAGAAACCCACAAGGCGGGCAGGTCCCTCCGCTGCCGCGGGGCCCAGCCACACCGGGTGTCACCAGCCAACCTGGCAAGAAGCTTCAGCGCCAGCTCCCCAGGCCCCTAAGACTCGCCGACGCCATTAGCCGAGTCGCCCACAATTCCGAGCGCTGCCGGGACACGTCAGCCGCACTTCCGGGTACCGTGGCCTCCGCCACCGCCGCGGCCAACCCCGGCGGCAGGCCGTCGGCGGGGCGGGGCTGGGGCTTGGCCATGCTCGGGGCAGGCGGGATTCCGGGTGGGCAGCGATTCCCACAGCCCCACCCCCGGAATCAAGTAGGCTAGACAGGGTTTAAGGCGTCAAGATTCGCTTCGTTTTCATTAACAAGTGCCTGAACAGAGCCCCCGAGTACTCCTTGGCATATCTCTTTGCGTATGTTTGTGTTAAATTGTATTTCGGTGTAAATAATTTGTTTCCCTGTAGATTAATCTTAACGTGTCTCCTCCCGCTTCATTTCGAATCTCTGGACTAGTGGCCCCAAATCAGTGGCTACCTCCTGTTAATATACATTTTTTTTCTTTAAACGCAACTGGTGCACTTACTGTGGGGTAGCCTCTTATTTTCCTAATCTCTAAAATGAGACTACCCTCTGCTCCACGCATTCCGCTGGCCTCCCATCTCACTCAAAGTAAAAGCCAAAATTCCTCCAATCACCTACCAGGCGCTACGAGATCTGTCCCGGCCCCTTTACTGGCAGATGCTCCCAGCTAAAAGGAGAGTTTCGCGAGTTGGGCTGCCGGTTCTTCCTCTTTTTAAATCTTATTTTGTTTCCTGTGTATCTCCAGCACCTAGAACAGTGTCTGGCATATAGCAGGTAATCAGTACATACTTGTTGAATGAATACCCTTCTATTATAAAATCAGAGTTTCGAGGCTCAAATAAGGCACAGATACATAAAAGCCTTCATCAGGTCTGAAGTGCCAAATAAATATGAGGCAAAAGCCAAACAGAAAAATCTTCATCTGTATTTCCCCAAGATCCAGGTTGGTCTACTTTTTCCCCAAGACATTTTGCAGCTGCTGGTCAGAAAGCAGAAAATGAGGGAGGAAAAACCAGAAACAGTAGAGATGAAGAAACCAACACCTTCAGACAGCTGAGCTTATGACATGATGGAAGACAGTGAGCCATGAGATTGTCAGTGGATAGCGCTGTTTGGCTGTAACAGAGCTACTTTGTAAGCTAAATAATTTTATTTTATTTTTCCTTCTGATAAGAAGCAAAGCAAGGATGGATAAAGGGGACAGATGAGGTAATAGTAGAGAGCTCCTAGGGCAGTAATTTTGATCATTTGTGCCTATTACACAACTTCTGGGAAACTTGACACCTCCTATGGTATAAGCTTTATGTATGAAAACTGGTGAATTTAGCAAAAAAGTTCAAATGGAATATATGGCAGACATTATTCTTGAGGTCTCAGGGAGCTTGTAAAAACGAGGCGCTTTTTTTGGGTGGGGGGTGGAGACGGAGTCTCACTCTGTCACTCAGGCTGGAGTGCAGTGGCGCGATCTCCACTCACTGCAACCTCCACCTCCCAGGGTCAAGCAATTCTCCTGTCTCAGCCTCCCGAGTAGCTGGGACTACAGGCGTAGGCTGCCACGCCCGGCTAATTTTTTGTATTTTAGTAGAGATGGGGTTTCACTGTGTTGCCCAGGCTGGTCTCCAACTACTGAGCTCAGGCAATCCACCTGCCTTGGCCTCCCAAAGTGCTAGGATTACAAAGGCGTGAGCCACACCGCAGGCCTTTTTGTTTGTTTGTTTGTTGTTCTTTTTAGTAGAGATGGGGTTTCAGCATGTTGGCCAGGCTGATCTGGAACTCCAGAGTACAAGTGATCCACCCACCTCGACCTCCCGAAGTGCTGGGATTACAGGCATGAGCCACCACACCTGGCCAAAAATGATGCTTTAGTAATTGGGCTAGTGATATAGGATCAAATTCTCTGACTTTCACTATGTAGCCAACTTTTCTTTTGGATTTTTTACTATTGGTAACTTTGGCATGATTAACTCAAAATCGTTAGAATCTTTTACATCTCTGTTCAGAGTTGAGGACATGCAATTGGAATTCATTGATTGAAAACAATACTTCTAATGATTTGAAAAGCCAAATTTTAAAAGTAAGGTGTAGCACCTGGGTGCGGTGGCTCACACCCATAATCCCAACAATTTGGGAGGCCGAGGCGGGTGGCTCACCTGAGGTCAGGCGTTGGAGACCAACCTGACCAACAAGGCGGAACCCCGTCTCTACTAAAAATACAAAAATTAGCCAGGCGTGGTCACAGGCACCTGTAGTCCCAGCTACTTGGGAGGCTGAGACAGAAGAATTGCTTGAACCCAGGAGACAGAGGTTGCAGTGAACGGGGATGACACCACTGCACTCCAGCCTGGGCGAGGGAGTGAGACTCTGTCTCAAAAAAAAAAATAATAAAATAAAATAATAATGTGTAGCAAGTACTTATATCAAGTATTCTGTAAATTTCTTTTAAAAAAATACACAATAGCCTTTTATGTACATATGCCAAGAGAGATTATACTGCCCCAGAAACAATGCATGGCTTTATGCCAAAGCCAAGCAAGTTACCAAAGGTAAAAATAATTTTTTATTCTACAAGTTAACAAATCAGCTAAAGTTAAGAGTTAGCATTTCAAAAAACTGAATAATTTCTCTTTCAATAGCAAAACCAAATATTCAAATACATATTTTTGTTCTCAAGTATCTCAAGAAATACTTTCAAAATTGTAGCATACCTATAAATGTCGGTGTGGGTATAAAACTCCTCCGTGGCTACCAAATCTCTCTTCATTGAAAATTACATTAATAAATGCCTGATAAATTTAACCATTTATTACCATAAGTAATGCTTTCACAGCATTGTTACATGGTAGTTAGGCTTCAGACTCTGAAGTTGGAAAGCTCTAGTTTGAATCTGAGTTCTGCTGGTTACTACCTGGGTGACTCTAGCACATTATTTAACTATCGGGGGAACCCACCCCCAATATTTCAGTGTAGGTTCTTTCTATTTCTATAAGTGTCGGCCGGCTGAGAAATAGAGAAAGAGTACAAAGAGAGGAATTTTACAGCTGGGTCTCTGGGGCTGGAATCATATATCCGTAGGACCATGATGCCCACCTGAGCCTTAGAACCAGCAGGTTTTTATTAAGGGTTTCAAAAGGGGAGGGGGTGTACAAACGGGGAGTAGGTCACAAAGATCACATGCTTCAAAGGGCAAAAAGGAGAACAAAGATCACATGCTTCTGAGGAAACAGGACCAGGGCAAAATCAGAAACTCCTGATAAGGGTCTGTGTTCAGTGGTGTACGTATTGTCTTGGTAAACATCTTAACAGAAAACAGGGTTCGAGAGCAGAGAACCAGTCTGACCTCAAATTTACCAGGGTGGGGTTTTTCCCCACCCTAGTAAGCCTGAGGGTACTGCAGGAGACCAGGGCGTATTTCAGTCCTTATCTCAACCGCATAAGACAGATACTCCCAGAGCAGCTGTTTATAGACCTCCCCCAGTGAATGCAATTCTTTTCCTAGAGTATTAATATTAATATTCCTTGCTAGGAAAATAATTTAGCAATATCTTCCCTACTTGCACGTTCGTTTATAGGCTCCCTGCAAGAAGAAAAATATGGCTCTTTTTGCCCGACCCCACAGGCAGTCAGACCTTATGGTTGTCTTCTGTTGTTCCCTAAAATCGCTGTTATTCTGTTCTTTTTCAAGGTGCACTGATTTCATATTGTTCAAATGCACATGTTTTACAATCAATTTGTACAGTTAACACAATTATCATAGTGGCCTGAGGTGACATACATCCTCAGCTTACGAAGATAACAGGATTAAGAGATTAAAGTAAGACAGGTGTAAGAAATTATGAAAGTATTATTTGGGAACTGGTAAATGTCCATAAAATCTTCACAATTATGGTCCTCTGCCATGGCTCCAGCTGGTCCCTCCATTCAGGGTCCCTGACTTCCCGCAACATTTAGCCTTTCTAATCTTCACCAATCTTTACTACTTAACCTCTCCATAGCTTTAAAAGAAGAAAACAAAAGTGCCTTCTTCATGGGATAGTTGTGAGGTTAAATGAAATATTGTAGGTAAAGCATGCCTGGCACACATTAGCTTTGAGTAAACGTTTTAAATAGGTGGTAGAAAAGAGAACTCTTAAATTTGTAGTCATCACTAATGCCATCTTGTATTAACTTCTAACAGAATTATCAGTGAGTTTTGTCCTAGTGTTTAACCTTCTAGTTGAAAATTAGGAAATCCATGTCTTTTTCTGAGCCCTTGTTATGAATCTTTTAGAAAATATATCTATTTAACAATGAGTATATATTTACATGTAATAAGAAAATTTGTCTAATGTCATTCTGAAATATCTTAGTTTAATGATGAAATACAAATATTATTCAATCTACCTTTCTAGTTGTTCAGTCCCTCTGATTTTATCACATTTACTTATTCTCCTCTTAGACTTTTCTTTCACCTACTCCTCAATTATTAGTGTTTCCCAGAATTCTATTCTCTGCTGTCTTCCCCACCCTCACTTGCTTGTCTTCTTTATTCTCTTTGATCCTTTGCACACCAATGGCTTCAATTACTGCCAATCTATTGATATCACCCTGTATAACCTCCGTGTTGATACATATCAATAGAAGGTGCAGATTAGCAGAAATACCACCACACAGACACCACTTGGGTTTACTTTATCTAAAGGATACATAAAGGAATTAGTTGCAATATCAGCCAAGAGATGAAAGTGCAAGTTTCTAAGCCTTCCAAATACTCAGACCTTCTGGAATGCATAACATCAGACCTTCTGGAAACTTAACTTTCTCTTCCAGTCCTAGCCTTATATACATAAAGCTGGACTAGTCCTATACATAGCCCCTTCCCTAGAGACCACTTCACCTAGACATGGTAGATGATCAATCACAGAGTAATACAATACACAATATGATAGCTAGGATACAGTTTAGAGGATATTCAGATATGAACAAATTATTTATTCTAAGCTTTCCTAGGCTAACACAGTCTAGTTTAGTGTATTCCTGAATTTAGTATGGTGAGAATAAAACATGAAACTGTAGTCTTAATATCTCTGAAAGCTATGATGTTGAGAGGTGTCAGTGTGCTGGCAGCCCTCACAGCCCTCGCTGACTCTCAGCGCCTCCTCTGCCTGGGCTCCCACTTTGGCAGCACTTGAGGAGCCCTTCAGCCCGCCGCTGATCGGTGGGAGCCTCTTTCTGGGCTGGCCGAGGTCGGACCCGGCTCCCTCAGCTTGCAGGGAGGTGTGGAGGGAGAGGCGTGAGCTGGAACCAGGGCTGCGTGTGGCACTTGCGGGCCAGCTGGAATTCCGGGTGGGCATGGGCTCGGTGGGCCCCACACTGGGAGCCGCTAGCCGGCCCTGCCGGCCCTGGCCAGTGAGGGGCTTAGCACCTGGGCCAGCAGCTGCTGTGCTCGACTTCTTGCCGGGCCTTAGCTGCCTCCCCACGGGGCAGGGCTCAGGACCTGCAGCCCGCCATGCCTGAGCCTCGCCCCACCCCACCGTGGGCTCCTGTGCAGCCTGAGCCTCCCCAACGAGCACCGCCCCCTGCTCCACTGCGCCCAGTCCCATCGACCACCCAAGGGCTGAGGAGTGCCGGCGCACACGCGGGACTAGCAGGCAGCTCCACCTGCGGCCCTGGTGCGAGATCCACTGGGTGAAGCCAGCTGGGCTTCTGAGTCTGGTGAGGACTTGGAGAACCTTTATGTCTAGCTAGGGGATTGTAAATACACCAACTGGCACTCTGTATCTAGCTCAAGGTTTGTAAACACACCAATCAGCACCCTGTGTCTAGCTCAGGGTTTGTGAATGCACCAATCAACACCCTGTATCTAGCCACTCCGGTGGGAACTTGGAGAACCTTTATGTTGACACTCTGTATCTAGCTAATCTAGTGGGGACATAGAGAACCTTTGTGTCTAGCTCAGGGATTGTAAGCGCACCAATCAGCACCCTATTAAAACAGACCACTCGGCTCTCTGTAAAATGGAACAATCAGCAGGATGTGGGTGGGGCCAGATAAGAGAATAAAAGCAGGCTGTCCAAGCCAGCAGTGGCAACCCGCTGGGGTCCCCTTCCACACTGTGGAAGCTTTGTTCTTTTGCTCTTTGCAATAAATCTTGCTGCTGCTCACTCTTTGGGTCCACACTGCCTTTATAAGCTGTAACACTCACCGTGAAGGTCTGCAGCTTCACTCCTGAAGCCAGCCAGACCACGAACCCACCGGGAGGAACGAACAACTCCAGACGCGCCACCTTAAGAGCTGTAACACTCACAGCGAAGGTCTACGGCTTCACTCCTGAAGCCAGCGAGACCACGAACCCACCAGAAGGAAGAAACTCCGAACACATCCGAACATCAGAAGGAACAAACTCCGGACACACCGCCTTTAAGAACTGTAACACTCACTGCGAGGGTCCGCGGCTTCATTCTTGAAGTCAGTGAGACCAAGAACCTACCAATTCTGGACACAATGTCAAGCCCTTATACACACTTATAATTACAGAGCTCTTGTCTGAGATCCAGACATGAATATTCAACTGGTTATTGGACATCTTTACCTTTAAGTCTCATTGACACCTCATATTCCTCCCCAAAAAGGAGTTGATCCTCTTCATACATTACCTTTCTCAATGAAAAGCATCACCATCCATCTGGTTGCCCATATCAAGAAACTAAGAGTCAAACTTGACTCTTCCTTCTCCCTCATCCATTACATCTATGCTGAATCAAGTTCTGTTG